>NC_000003.12:16260000-17510000 GCF_000001405.40 Homo sapiens | reverse complement strand
AGAGTTATGATTTGAGAAGATAATTTGCATCTTAGGGACATATAAAATTTACAAATAGTGTAGGTTGGAAGTTGAAAATAATTTAAAACAAAATTTATTCAATATGGAATAATTTATATAAGTGAGAATTGAGAGGGAAAACTTTCAAAACGACCAAAGGAAATGTAGGTAGTTATTTATAAAAACTTGTAAGTATAACACCAGAGGTGGATATTATACTGGAGATACAGATACATTTGAGCATGTAAAAAGTTACCTATGTCACAAAAATGTCATACAACTGAAAGACAGATACACTTTGAGAAAAATATGTGTATCATATAAACAAGGTTTAATACTCTTAATACTTAAAGCATGTTTAGATATCATGAAGACAGTCATAACAATTAACTCTATTAACAAAAGACAATAAACAAATGTCAGAGAAACAGTATCTCAGTAGTTACCAAGCAAATACAATACAAAATTTGACTATCAGGTTGGTTCAGAAAATCAAAGAGGAAACATCCATTGTTAATGAGAATCAAGGAGAAATGAATTGTTCTATTAGGTACAAACCTTTATAGAGTACAGTTTGCTAAAATCTTATTTTTTTAATATATATTTTAATCCAGCTATTGTACTTTAAGAATTTATCCTAAGGAAATAATCATGGATATCATACAGACATACTGCTAAAAGATAATTTATTTTTGAGACTGTTTGTAGTATTGAACAACTGAAAACATGTTGTTTACTAAATAAGGAATTGGTTACATAAATTGTGCTGACTATATAATAGAATGCTAGGAATAATTAGAAATTATAGACACACAATTGTTTTTTTCTTTAAACTGGGGAGGAAAATACTGAATTTAAAGTATTCATAGATTACATAATCAGTATGTTTACCATGTTATGGGTCACATTAAAACCATATGTATTTTAAATGCCCAGAATAAAGACAGGAAGTACATGTGTAATACACTGAAATGTTAACACTAATATTTCTAGCTAATACTATCATGAATAATTTTAATTTGCTATATTTTCTGTATTTTGAAAGTTCTATTGTGAATGTTTATTATTTTGGCTGTAAAACAAAAGGATGCTATAAATGTGAGAATATTGTCTTTAATTTAGAATTTAGCTTATTTATTGAAAATAAATATGATTCAAAATTAAGATAAAGATTATAAATGATGCTCAGATTTTTGAGAAATTTTTGAAATGGAAATTTTGTTACCTTTTTCCCTTCTTTGCATAAGCCTACCAATGTGAGATAACAGTCCCTGGAGCCTGGGAAAAACTTGTTAATGTCTGTAATGCTCATGTAATCATTTCAGTCTTATATTTATTCCCAGTCATAGCAGAAAAAGAATTTATTATTTTTCTCTGTATTTTTTCACCTCCCAGGTAGTTACTTTTGGTGACGCTGTCCAGTTCCCACAATGTATCATTCCTTATCTGAAACTAGACATCCTCTGCAGCCAGAAGAACAAGAAGTAGGCATTGACCCCTTGTCCAGTTACTCTAACAAGTCTGGAGGTGAGTTTTGTATGCCAATACTATTTGTAGGTAGTGTACTGGGAAACCTAGCAGAGGGCCCTCAGTTAGCTGTGTCCACCTTATGTGTGTGAACACATTTTGATGAAGTGAGCAGGCCAGTGTTAAGTATGTTATTCTGGATATGTACAGAGCACTCTTGACACTAATGAATACTTCAACAAGCCACAGTTATTCATGGAAGCATTAGCCAAATGTTTAACGCACTGTCGTTCTTTAAAATAAAATAATAAACTGAACAATGACTTCAGCATAAGAATGTTGAAATGCGAAAGGGCCTTGGTCGAACATCTTTTAAAGATTCTTAAATTTTTGGTGTTGATTTTGCAGGGATTTTTTTCCCCTTTCAGCAGATTGAGATTATTCCAGGATAAAAGACTTGATTCATCCTCTTTTTTTTTTAAAGTAATTGAAATTTGTTCATCCTCTTTTTTTTTTTAAAGTAATTGAAATTTGTGTTATATTTTAAAAGATCTATACACTGAAATTATTAAGTGGTAGACAGTTAAAATGTAGACCGTATTCAGGTTCTACCCTATAAAAATGTATCAAATGTTTATGTATCAGAACTCTACTATTTTCTCAGTATTTACTTAATGATAGTAATAACATAGTTTCTTAGACAGAAGCAATTGAGTTTGTGAGAATTTTTGAAGCCTTATCCTTAGTTTTTAAGCAGTTCACTAAATATTTGATAAAGTTAATTGACTCAGTGGCTGCTTGTAATTTTTCACTTGTGGAATGCAGGTATCAAGATTGTGACATCTATTTTAAAACATAAATTAGTCAAAGTATACAGACAAACTGTTATAAAAAGGAAAATTAGTCATAGTAAATCATGTGTGTTATTTTCTTCAAACAAAATGATTTTTTCTGTTTATACTGATGCCAAAGTCTGCTTTTAACTCATGTTTTGAGAATTTAAAAAAAGAATTGACCCCCACCTAAAGTGGCTATTTCTTTAGAACACAAATTTTATGCAGAATTTTTATGCTTTTTGTGCATCTTTAATACCTCCTACATACAAATGCCATTGTTATTTTTAATAAAAATGGGAGAGAATTTGTCCAGCTTATTTTTGTGATTTAATTTTTAAATTTTTATATTTTTTGTTAAATAAGAACTCAAGACTTATGTTTAATATTTTGATAATATGAAAATAGTGTTCATTTCAATTTCAGTTATTTTAATATCTCAGTGCTAGGCATGACACCTTTTCTAGTGATATTTTCTCTTAAATGTAATACTCATAAGAAGCATTCGTAGTTAAATAAATCAAATTATTTTGCAAGTACTTCTGTAAGTGGATGTTTTAAAAGTGAATGTCTTTGTGTTACAAGTGTATAAAATAGTTTCACCAAAATATTTCATACTATTTCTGATTACTATGGTTATTTGAGGACATAGTTTTTGTTGTTGTTGTTTGTTTGTTTGTTTTTTGAGACGGAGTCTTGTTCCATAGCCCAGGCTGGAGTGCAATGGCGCAATCTCGGCTCACTGCAAGCTGTGCCTCCCGGGTTCACGCCATTCTCCTGCCTCAGCCTCCCAAGTAGCTGGGACTACAGGCGGCTGCCACTTCGCCTGGCTAATTTTTTTGTGTTTTTAGTAGAGACGGGGTTGCTGTTTGTTTTTTAAGCACGTATTTTTATATGGTCTATTTCATTAAATACTGAGGTTTTTTTTTTTAACCTGGTTAAAATAACATTTTAAATTAATTTTATCCTTTATTGTTTACAGGAATGAGTAGTTACCTTTACTAAAAAGGCTTTTCGTTTATATCCTAGCCTAACATTTCTATGACATACTAAGTTATTAGGACTGAATTGATGTTTAAAAGTGCCATTAATTCATTTACCCCAAATGTTCATTAACAATGTAAATGTATGCTGATGTTCTATGAGACAAGGAAGTGACTAATGACTCTTCCAACTAACAACACTTAAAATGAATAGAAACTTTCGATAGCTAATCTTGAAGTAATCAAGACCCTCATTCAGCTTGGCATCTCTGTATGCTCTAAAACAGCTGTCAACTGTTAAAAATATATACAAAACACACATACGCACATGCACATGCAGAAAGAAAGATATGTAAATATCTTGTTCTTCAAAGCCATAAAGGTTACTAACCATAGTGGGCTTTGTGCATTGTATAGGTAAATATTTTATATAAAGCATCTATTTCATCTTCTTTGATTTTCTTTTTACAGGAAAATGTGTTGCATTTTAATGAGGTTGTCATATTATTTGAAGAAAATCATCACCTTTCTATTATGTTTGCTTATTTTAATATATGTCTTACCTGGGCTTTCTTCAAGTATTTTGAAGCTTTTTACACATTTCTGCCATAATCTTTAGGGAATTTGTTACTACTGGATGACTCATTTTCTAAGTATTTAAACACTGCACTTTAGTGCTTTGCCTGTGTAGAAGTTATGTGTAATTTTTAAAAACATTTCTTGTCATAGGTTCTATTAGTAAAAATATATACAGATATATATGCAAAGTCTTAGGAGATATTTTCCATGTGAATTAAACTTTTAACTGCTTTAATTGTTTTTTCAAATAGAGAACAGCATAGAAAATATGACATTTTCTGTGTGCCCTGTTCAGTTTAGTTTACATTAATTACCACATAAAATTCCAAGATCTATGATCAAAGTTTAATAACTGACAAGTTACTAGTAATTTAGTTAAAAACAAAAAAGCAAAAATATTTGTTAGACTATTTATGATTATTTGCTCTTAACCTTTAATGACCAATAAAATGAAGAAGTAATCACTTTATTTTAAATTTAAGATAACAATATCAAAATTCAGGTATAGCAAACCTATTAATTAAATAATATTGTTGGAATCACTCGTTTTCACAAGCTTATAAGAGATTGGAATGTCATCAGTGATGAGAGAAATTTTTCTGTAGGGGATCCTTTGTTAGTCTGTTTTTACATCACTGTGAAGAAATACCTGAGGCTGGCAATTTATAAAGAAAATTGCTTTAATTGGCTTATGCTTCTGCAGGCTGTACAGGAAGCATGACACAGGTATCTGCTCCTGGTGAGGGCCTTAGGAAGCTTCCAATCATGGCAAAAGGCAAAGGGGGAGGAGGTATATCTCAGGAGTAAGAGAGATGGTGGGATGCCCCAGACTCTTAAGCAACTAGATCTCAAGTGAACTGAGAACTCACTTGTCACCAAGGGGATGGTGCAAAACCATTCATGAAGGATCAGCCCCTGATCAATTCACCTCCTTAAATTTTGTATGTCACAGTATTCACCTTCTTACTTAATAGCTTTTATATATTTAAATAATTGCCTAACCTTTCTTTGCCTTTTAATATACTATCTGTTTCAAAGCTTGCTTTCTATTGTCATTCATAAAATATTTGGCAACTTAAAAAAAATCCAAGATGTTCAGAATCCTGCCAACTCCGTTTTGCTTCCTATAATTTTGTTTTTTTCCCAAGTATTCCTTTCTTTCCATTACAATGACATGTTTTAGAATTAGGAAGGTATGTCCTGGCTTTATTAATGAAGAAATTGGTAATTTAAAATAGTTGACTGATGTCGATATAATAAGATGATGCTGTCCTATCATGATCTTTAGTGTTGTTTTCCATATAGTAGAGGTGGATTTAAATTTGATTAAAAGATGGGTTTCTTCTGCTGAAGATATCTAGATATCTGGCTAAAGTATAAAAATGGTGTCTGAAGTACTATAAACCCTACTCTGGGCTAACTAGCTGGAGTCATCTTAGAGATGAAAAAGTCTTTTTACTTTCTTCCCTGGCTTACAACTCTTTAGTGACTTCCCATTATATTAACAATAAAATCCAGATTGTTGACTGTGATGTGCATGGCTGTCTTCTTGTCTGTCTGGTCTTGCTCAGATATGCTAAGCCAGTTCTAAACTCTGGGCCTTCACACATGCCATTTTTCTGACATTATTTTTGATTCATTCAGAGCATTCAACAATATATAATCCTTTTTTTTAATTTTTATTTTGTTTTTAATTTATTATTATTATACTTTAAGTTTTAGGGTACATGTGCACAATGTGCAGGTTAGTTACATATGTATACATGTGCTATGCTGGTGCGCTGCACCCACTAACTCGTCATCTAGCATTAGGTATATCTCCCAATGCTATCTCTCCCCCCTCCCCCCTCCCCCCACCCCACAACAGTCCCCAGAGTGTGATGTTCCCCTTCCTGTGTCCATGTGTTCTCATAAGTGGAGGTACTCAAACTGATAAAACAACACAGTTTGAGTACCTCCACTTATGTTAATTAATAATTGCTTAATGCCTCTTTCCTCCATCTGTCTTTCTCTTTCCTATCTTAAGTTGTAATGTATGAACTCTGTTTTATTGTCCCTGATAATTCTAGCACTTGAATTTTTCTCCTTTTAGGGTTTCAAAAGTTAATATACTCTCCTGTTTTATCCTCTGTTCTCTTTGACCTCTCTTCCTTTGAAGTTTCTCCTAAAATTCACTTATTCCATGTTTTCTTTTAAATATGACCCATCTCAGAATTTGCATAAAACCAAATGGGCAGAGAGTTTTCTGGCAAATAAATGTCAAGTTATGATGATTAAGAATTATTGAGTTAATGCACAGCAGTAATCACTTGGCAAAGGGAAAGCTAAGGAAATAAATTATTACTTTTCTAAGAAATTTGTGGCCATAATTTGGGAGCATAGACTATATGTAATATGCTTACATTTAATACACATGTTTAATGCACATAATTCTTAGTGAACATTTTGTGTAGATAGTATTCTTGATACCTGGTTTCTTAAACTTACTAACGTGGTATATAGCAAATATTGTTTGTTTTTTGTATGAAATATGATAGAACCAGTAACTATCGGAGTAGCAGCTTTTCTTAAGCTTTTAAAGTTCATTTTTTGTCATTCAGTAAATATTTGAGTGCCTTGCGTGTACTAGGCATTGTTCTAAGTGCTGGAAATAAAACATTGAAAAAGATACCATGGTGTTTATGACTAGTAGCCAGATTTGGGGGTGCTCAGCAGAGAGAAGTAAATGATCAATAAACACAGAATAGTAAGTGCTTTCCTAGAGGAATTAACAGTTGCACAGTGAGTATATTGGTAGAGAATCCAACTGTGGTAATGGTGGATCAAGGAAGGTGTGATGTCTATCTAAGCCACAACCTGAAGGATGAGTAGCTGTTAGCCAGATGATTGTAAAGAGTTTATGCTATGAGCTTGCCCTCTGCTAAACATAAAGAATTTCAGTGTGATTTAAGATTAGAGTTCAAAAGTAGAATGACTACAAATAAGACTGAAGACTAGGATGAAGCTCCCTTATATGAAGAACGGTGGGTATTTCAGTGAAAGGATCTTGTGGTCAGATTTGCATTTTACAAAGATTATTCTGGCTGTAGTAGGGTGAATAAACTACAGTGTTGGGGGAAAAACTAGAAGCTGAACAATCATTTCGGAAGCCATCGAAATATTCTAGGTGAGATGATAGTGGCCTGTACTGGAAAGTATCAATGGAAATAGAAGTGGAAACATTTGAGAGTTATTTAGGAGGTAGAATTGATAGTACTTGATCTACTACTTGACTGGATATGGGGAAATGGTAGGAGAGAGAAGTTTGCAGTGACATACAGTTTTCTGAGTTGACTAGTTAGGTCTGTGATAATGCCAGTATTGAGACAGGGAAATCTAGAGAAAGAATTTTGTATGGTACAGACGGGATAGAGGGCTGCAGAGGACATGACATTGGATGTTCAGTTTCAGATGTGAGTTAGAAGTACCTTAGGGCATTCAAATGAGACACCCTAATGATTTTGATGTATGGGTCTGAAACTTAGAATTGGGCTGGAAGATAAAGATTTGTCAGCTTAAGTATGGTAGCAAAAACAATGGCAATGATTGTGATTACCTCATAATAGCATGTAGGCCAAGAAGAGGACTTAGGACCAATATCTAAGGAAAGTCATTTAAAGGCCTTGCAACAGAAGAGGATCCCGCAGAGGAGACTTAAAAAAAGAGGCTGGAGAAGTAGAAGGAAAACCAGGATGGTGTGATACCAAAGAAGCTAAGATGTCAAGAGGAGAATGAGCAAAACTGCCAGAGATTACTGAAGTTAAGAAAATAGAAGTGTCCAGTGGACAAAGTCATTGTTGTGATAAGCACAGTGCTTTTTGTAATCTGAAGAATCCATACGCCAGCACTCTGTATATTTCATATAAGTGAATTATGTATTCTATACTAAACTGACATGAGGAATAGAAGAGAAAAGGCACAACAGTATTAGGAAAAGTAAAAATCAGTGGAAGAAGAGTTCTGCGGTCTTGGAAGTATAGAGGAGAGGCAGTGTAGAGCAAAGACAGGAAGAGGGACCTTATTGTCTGTTGTAATCATAGAAGGGAAAAAGAAAAGGAGGTGTTTAGATGCAACAAGTTCATGGGTTTGATGGCAGAGTTGAATGAGATATCACTGATGTTTTAATCTCTTGTTTGATAAGTTAGTGTGACATTATTTGCTGACAGTGAATAACAAGGCGAAGCATGTGAAGATCTGTGGGGAGTAAAAAAGGTTAAAGTGGGTTGATAAGACATACATAACCTTGGAGACAAGTTGAAATGGGACATCATATTTATGGGTGATTCCAGCTTGTAAATGTATGTGATTATGTCCAGCAGAATTCAGCAGCTAGGATTGAGCCACAAAGAAGAACAGCCAGGGTTTTTGTCAGGGCTGTATAACAGGTAAACAGTAGGCAAGGAAGTTGATGGTTGAAGAATTCATTGATGGATTGAGAATATAAGGATATTTGCTATCATGGAAGGTGGTTTGCAGAGGGCAGGGTAGACAATTTTAGAAGGGATGGAGTCAAGGGAGAAGGAAGAGTAGTGTGGTGATGGGAGTCCTGAAGGGAATGTGGGAGCAGTAGGGCCAAAATTTTGCTTGATGTCTAAGAGTAACAGGGATGGTGAGGGTGGCGGCAAACTTTTCACAGTGATTCCTAATAATCTAAAATGTTATGTGTTTTATATTAAATGTACCTATCTAATATATATTCTAAATTCCAAAGAAAATAGTAACATGGTCTTTTATCACATCTCTTAATAATTCTTATGTGTTTGATAAGTGCATTAATTTGGTGAAACATTGTGTGGTGTTAGCCAATAAAGCAGCTCAATGCTCCATTATTTCTGTGTAATAATTTGGATCTATAATGATTTGGATAGGGCTTGGTTTGAAGTAACTAATAAAAAATTCACCCTAGATATCAAGGAAAATGGCAGTTTAGATAGATAAAAAACTGTAAGTTAGACTGTAAGGTTGTCAAGGAAAATGGTGGCTTTATTCAAGACAGATTGTTAAATAAATAGGAGAGTGACCTGGAAGTTTCTGAATGCAGTAACAAGGATAAAAAATACGTGGATTTTAAAAATATCTCTTTAAAAACAGATTTTTCAACTGGTATGACAGTAGGACAAAGTGACATCCGAGAGCAAAGAACATGCCAAGCCTAGTTCCTCTAAATTAAGCTGTTCAAAAAAAAGTTGGATATGAGAGACTTCAGTTTGAAAGACCATGAGTTAGAAATCTGTGAGTCATCCTCTAGAAATGCCAATTCAAGGTATGAGACAAATAAGAAATCAAAGGAAAGAGGAAGGAGAGAGCTAAGGATTGATTTGTAGAAAGTCCCCATGATTAGAACTTGGATAGAGGAAGTATTTTAATAGTACTTACTGGAGGAATAATCAAAGTAGGGGAAAGTCACAGTACCAAAATTATAGAAGCCACAGATATGAGAGCTTCCAGAAGGTTCAAAGCGAGCAGTTTTTCAAGCATTGTGTAGGTTAAAGAGTATAAAAGGAGGAAATACATGATTTGGTGATTGGAAGACTATTGATTATCTATTAGGGGTTAAGTCATTTTCAAGAAACCACTAACTCATTTGAGTGGATGGAGGCACAGGAAGTGAACTAAAAATCTGATTCCAAATTCACATTAAAAAGATAGTGATTAAATATCAATGATGAACATTTAGATGGCGAAGAATATTCTTACGCTTTAATGTTAGATTTAGGTGATTGTTTTTTGTATTTATGTTCTTACATTGTGTTGAGAACCTCACTGCTGGTAAAATCTAGATCCTTAAAATTTGAAAAAAAAAGTCCTCTGGTCTTACTTCTGATGTTTTTTTCATTGAGTTGTCCATATCTTATTAATTAGATCTGCTTTTCAGTTTTATTCAAAATCTTCCATTGATGTAGCAATTCTCTTTATTTGCTTGAAGGGAGATAGGCTACTTTACAGTTACTTTAGAGTTGGATTTATGTGAACAGTCATTGAACCATGTTGCAAATACCTTGATATTATTCATTTACCAGTGTCCTAGGAGCAATGAAACCTCACTGCTGAGCAGACAGAGAAACAGTAGCCTTGCAATAGCCCTTATCCACTACCCCTTTAGGCAATTAGGTCTGCAAAAGGATATCCATGTCTTAAGATATATTCTCCACCATCCTTTCTAGTATTCCTGGACCCCCCAGACATGGGAGGTTGTGTGGTGGTAGTTTTGGTTGATTGGTCTTGGCACAACTAGAGGAGACACTGGTGATTTAGAGTATTATCTTAAAACCTAAAATATGAAACAAACATTGAAGTAAAATGGCCTATAATGGAGCTTTTATCAAAAAATTATGTTGGTTGCTTTTTGTTGATTCATTAATGGGGCCAAAAACTACAGTAGAGTAAGGGTTTAGATTTTTTTTTTTTTTTGGAGACAGTGTTTCACTTTTTCACACAGGCAGTGGTACAATCATGGCTCACTGCAGCCTTGACCTGGCAGGGTTCAGATGATCCTCCCACCCCAGCCTTTCAAGTAGCTGGGACGATAGGAATGCGTCACCACACCCGGCAAATTTTTGTATTTTTTAGTAGAGACAGGGTCTTTCCATGTTGCCCAGGCTGGTCTCAAGTGATCCGCCCACATGGGCCTCCCAAAGTGCTGAGATTACAGGTGTGAGCCACAGTCCCCTACCTAGAATTTTTAAATAATGAAATAACCCAGCTTTCAGCCCGCATAGCTTAGGAAAGTATATCAGAGTTATCACTTGGCTTCTCACATGTTAAAGCTCCATTTTATTGATTTATGCATTAAAACAGATTTCTCCTTCATGGCTTGGTAGTGAAATGAATAACTAGGCCCTTACAAGTATAATCCTCCACCTCCCCAACGCTTCTGTTAACTCCTTTCATAGCATTAGCCATTTAAAAAAACTATATACTGCAACTACTGGTCTTTAAGATTACAAGCTTGCTTTCTTTGATATCACTCAATTAGAGGGAAGACTTGAATATCCAAGGGAGGATAAGAGGAATGCAAGAAAAAAATTAAACTTTACTCTGGGAAATCACTCAAGGACTTCCTTAATCACTCTTTTATATCAGTGCCCTCCCCTGCCACCCCCCAACCAAAGTAGAGGTCCCCAAAGACCTATTTATCTCAAGTTCATGTCTTAAAATTATCCCCTTACTTTGCTATATAACAGTCATCAATATAATAAAACAGCCAGGAGCATTTTTTTTAATATAGCTGATATATTTTGGTAAAATTCTCCTTACATGTACTTGAGTTTTTTTAAAAAATATTTTACTAACACTACATGTAGATATTTATAACTTTTCTTGTAGATCTAAGTTAGGCCCATTGTGTGTGTTTGTCTTTAGGAGGTTTAAAAAATTATTATGTGTTACTACAGTCTTTTTGAATAGCAAGCACAGTAGTCAGTTTAATGTGCCGAGTCTACATTACATTTGTAGATGTTCACATCTACTTTAGTGCATTGTAGCAGATTATAAATTGTATGTCTCATTTTTGGTAAAAGGAGATGTGTTATTGTGGTATTTTTATTACTTCAGTAATTGTCTTTGAGTTTTTAGTGTTTCCAAGTAAATGTTTCCACAATGATTCTTTGACATTGTTCTGTTCTTAAAAGACGTCTCACCGAAAGCTTTGATAATACACTTTGCCCTATCAATATGTCATTAATCTAAGCTCAAATATTTTTTGTTCTTAACTTTGCATTCTATGAGAATTGAAAATAAATTAGTTCACCATTACTGTATACTTTGGCTGGAATGAGGGCTTCCTTGTTAATCAAATAGTTGTTTTGAAACTTGCAATCATTTTTTTTTCATACAATACTAGTATTTTATTCTGGAGTTTGGGTAGCTCCTTGAATTTCCTAAGAAGGAATCTCATATGAAGTATATAGGAAAGCACAAGGGCAGGAATATTATGCTAGCTTCAAGCTGGTTTTACATTTTAGGAAAGTTTGAGTGTTTTAAATGGAAGAAATTAAGAAAATCATAAATCATAAAAATTAATATTATGAAAGTTATTTATTTTAAGTGGACATTTTCTTTTACATCTCCAGTATTTAGAATATAATTTACTTGCTTCCTTGGAAAAGATCTGATATTCTACCACTTGATAATTTTTGTATTCCTATAAATTACAGTGACTATTTTGTTTTTCCTGAACTTAACAAATATCTTTAATTTTAGTCCGGGAAAAAAAAGCTCAACTAGCTTTGATTTATCTACAGATAAATAATGAGAATTTAGCTTTACTCACTCAAGTCAGAGATGAGTCAATGTGTGAGCCAAATAATCTTTTATATCATGGCATCATGTGTACTTAAATAATTCTCCTACTTTCCTTCTCCTATTCTTTCTTCTTCCAAATGTAGAAAAACTTTAATAGCCATTGAGTTCTTACCACTGGTGTTTAGTGAAAATTTGAATGGAATAGGACTGATTTTAGCCAAGCATAGAACACTACATCAATTTTTATCCTTAATTAGACTTGTGAATAGATTTGTTTTATTGAAGGGATAGATTTTTAATCAGAAATGTTGACATGATGATTATGAAAATTCAGTAATAATAACTGAATCTTAGGGGCACATATATTTTATCATACAGAGTGAGGGCTGCCGCCCAAAGACCTGATGTTCATTCATTTATACAAACATATTTGTTGATCATCCAGTATCTGGGAATAGAATATTGAAAAAGTAGACCACTTGCTTTCTCTTATGGAATTCATATTTCAGCATGAGATGGACAAACATTGAGAAGTAAGTACAGAAATAAGAAAATCAGAGAAAAAATACCATGCAAAGAATTAAAATAGGGTGATATTATAGTGAGTGACAAGGTGAGTACTTTAGATTGTCAGAGAAGATCTCTCTGAGAAGGTGGTATTTCGGCTAAATGTTAATAACAAACAAGAAGGAGCCAGATATGCAGATATACAAGGATGGTGTGTGTGTGTGTGTGTGTGTGTGTGTGTGTGTGTGTGTGTGTGTGTGTCAGAGAGAGAGAGAAAGAAAGAGAGAGAGAGGCATCTGTCTAAACAGAGCTCATAAAAGCAGTACTATATGAATAGGCTTGTCATACATAGGGAACTGAAGAAGATCACTGTGGCTGGGCTACCATGGGTGACAGGGGAATGACACAGGATGGGACTAGTAGGCCGAGGCCAGGTAGAAGGTTTTTGTAAATCAGGCTGAAGAGTGCAGATTATATCTAAAGACTCAGAATTATGTAATAGCCTGTGTTGTTATCTCTGTTGAACTCCCAAGTTTCTTCTCAAGGATAGGAATGATAGCTATTTTAAAATATATTTCCTTTTGACTTGGTGGTAGGCATTTAACAAGTAATGCCTGATTTACTGAGAGTTGTTGTATTTTTAACATTTTTTTCACGTTGCAGTCCACACCAGTTGGTTTGTTTCCCCATTCTCAACATTTTAACAATTTAATGGTGAAGTAATTCCAGCTTAATCTGAGATAACAGGATGCCCTAAATTTTTCTATTTCTCTAAAGCTCAGTTCTTTCTATATGGTCCATTTTATGCCATGCTACCAGTATATACTAATAGTTTATATAGCCTATTGAAACCTTTTCTGTTGACCCATTTGTGTGTGTGTGTGTGCGTGTGTGTGTGTGCATGTATGTATATATGTACATGTACGAGCTTTATTTGTGTGGAGAGCATGTAATCATTATTTTCCCTTGCTGATGTAATGTAGAATTCGTTCCTCTAGGACATATTAGAACAATGTGTTTAATGCTCTTCAATTTAATTTGCTGGTATCACAATTAATACAATTAGGGTCACTTGGAATGAAACTATTAACAAATTGAGTAATTTACTTTAACAATGTCAATGTGTTCTCACAATTACATTTGCTTTAATTAGTGTACAAGCTATTATTTAATAGCATACTTCACATAGAAAAATGTAATAATGCATTCTTGGCTCCTTAAAAAAGAAAGAAGGAAACTTAACGGACTGAGTGATTTTGTGGTAGAGCTGTTAGCTGTAAAGTGATGGAGGAGAAAGTAGAAAGTCAGAAAGCAAAGTTTGCAAGAATGTAACTAAAACATTCTTGGTACTTACCAGTACATGGAAAGGTAAACACTATTGCCTGAATAGTATTGAGAACTTTTAATGATAGTTAAGAAGGGGAACATACATCCTGGAAATTTTTAATAGAGTTTAGTTGTAATACTGCAATAATAATTCAATTTCTGAACATCATAAAGTAGGTCATTCCTAACTTATCACCCTTATGGAGAGGAATGTAATGGTGCAGAATTTTAAAAGGTGGGAAACAAAAAGTTATAATTCTCAAATGGGCTTTTGTTTTATTTTCTAATGTAGGTATTTCTGACCTAAGAATTTACTAATAGCCTATGAAAAAGCTCTGCAGAAGGAGATGGTGAGCAAGCTTTTCCACTCCTGTGGTTACTTCTTCTATCTGGCCTACTCTGTTGAGGTCAGAAGACCCAAGGAAGAATAAGTTGTTATATTTCTATTTCTTTATATGTAGAGTAAGCAGAAGGTGATGTGCTGTCAACCAAGTCATAATTAATAAGATCTGCTGTTCTCTGTAAACAGAAAAGCAAGATTTACTATCATGTTATCAAGTGGCAACTTAATGTGAAAAGGAGATAAAAGCAATCCAGAGAATTCAGTACTCTAATTTAAAAAATTAGCTTGATAATCTGTTTACCTAATTTGATTGATTTAAGTTTCTGTTACTTTCATCTTTTTTCCTTTTTAGTCTTTTGGTTAATGACAAAGGTTCATAAAATACAAATAAAAAAGGAAGCAGGAGGAAGTTTAATTAGGCAATAAATATTTAAGTATAAAATGCAGGAAGCTGCAGAGTGGGGCCAAGATGGCTGCTTAGAAGCAGCTTCCATCTGTGGCTCCTGTGGAGGAAAACAAAAGTGGCGGCTAAATCCTGAATCTTCAACAGAGGTATCCAGGTTCTCTCATTGGAACTGACTAGGCAGTTGGCATGACCCACGGAGAGTGAGGAAAAGCATAGTGGAGCAAGGGGCCACCCGGGAGCCGCACGGGGCAAGGGGAGCTCCCATCCCCAGCCAGGGGAGGCAGTGAGTAATTGTACTACCCTGCCTGGGAAATCGTGTATTTTTCATGGATCTGTGCAACCCAGGGATCAGGGTATCCCCTCATGAGCCCATGCCACCAGAGTCTTGGGTCCCAAGCACGGAGCTGTGCAGACTCTTGGTGGCTGCTTGGGTTGCAGCCAGCTAGCAGCAGGCTGGAGACTGCCTAAGATGATTGAGTTCCCGAGGGAGGGGCAGCTTGCCATCACTGCAGCTCCAGTCAGCGGTTTTCCCCGATGGTGCCAGGGAGACTGGGTTCGGGCTAGGAGGAATTCCTCACAGCCCAGCACAGCACAGCACAGCGGCTGTAGTAGATCATGGCCAGACTGCTTTCCCTGCGGAGCTACCCTGTGGGAATTTCAGCAACTCCAGCCAGGGGCTTACAGACAGAACTCTGATCTCCCTGGGGAGCCCCTGGTGGGAGGGGCAGCTGTGGTCTCTGCCCATCAGCAGACTTAGTATTTCCTGCCTGCTGGCTCTGAGGAGTCTGGGCAGTCCAGACGAGGAGGATTCCCCCCAGCACAGTGCACCCACTCCACCAAGGGGCAGCCAGACTGTTGCTTTAAGCAGGTTCCTGATTCCGTGCCTCCTGACTGGGTGACACCTTCCAACAGGAGTCACCAGACACTGTATACAGAAATGTTTCAGCTGGCATCAGGTCAGTGTGCCTCTGGGACGGAGCTCCCAGAGGAAGGAGCAGCCCATCTTTGCTGTTCTGCAGTCTCCAGTGGTGATGCCTACAGGTGCCGGGTTGGGGGGTGACCCAGGCGAATAGGGTCTCAGGTGGACCCCAAGCAAACCACAGCAGCCACTATGGAAGAAGGGCCTGACTGTTAAAAGAAAAACAAATAGCATCAACGACAACATCAACAAAAAACCTCATCCAAAGATCAACAGCCTCAAAGATTGAAGGTAGATAAACCCACAAAGATGAGAAAAAATAAGCGCAAAAACGCTGAAAACTAGTCAGAGTGCCTCTTTTCCAAGTGATTGTAGCACCTCTGCAGCAAGGACACAGAACTGGGCTGAGGCTGAGATGGATGAACTGACAGAAATAGGCTTCAGAAGATGGGTAACAGTGAACTTCGCTGAGCCAAAGGAGTATGTTCTAACCCAATGCAAAGAAGCTAAGAACTATGATAAAATATTACAGGAGTTGTTAACCAAAATAGCCAGTTTAGAGAGGGACATAAATGATCTGATGGAGCTGAAAAATGCAGGGCGAGAACTTTGGGAAGCATACACAAATATCAGTAGCCATATCCACCAAGTGGAAGAAAGGATATCAGACTTTGAAGACTATCTTGCTGAAAGAAGGCATGCAGACAAGATTAGAGAAAAGAGAATGGTAAGGAACGAACAAAACCTCTGAGAACTATGGGGTTATGTAAAAAGACCAAATCTACAACTGACTGGGGTACCTGAAAGAGATGGAGAGAATGGTACCTAGTTGGAAAACATACTTCAGGATATCATCCAGGAGAACTTCCCCAACCTAGCAAGACATGCCAACATTCAAATTCAGGAAATAGAAGATATTTCCTGAGAAGATCAACCCCAAGACATAATCATCAGATTCTCCAAGGTCAAAATGAAGGAAAAAGTGTTAAGGGCAGCCAGAGAGAAAGGCCAGGTCACCTACAAAGGGAAACCCATCAGACTAAGAGAGGATTTCTCAGTGGAAATCCTACAAGCCGGAAGAGATTGGAGGCCAATATTCAACATTCTTAAAAAAAAAAAAAATAATTTCCAACCCACAATTTCACATCTGGCCAAACTGAGCTTCATAAGCAAAGGAGAAATTAAATCCTTTTCAGACAAGCAAATACTGAGGGAATTCATCACCATTAGGCTTGCCTTGCAAGATCTCCTGAAGGAAGCACTAAATATGGAAAGGAAAAACCATTACCAGCCACTACAAAAACACACTGAAGCACACAGACCAATGACACTATGAAACAACTACATCAAGTCTGCAAAATAACCAGCAAGCATCATGATGACAGGATCAAATCCACACATAACAATATTAATCTTAAATGTAAATGGGCTAAATGCCCAATTAAAAGACAGAAAATGGCAAGCTGAATAAAGAGTCAAGACCCATCAGTGCTTCTGAATGATTCTTGAGTAAATAATGCAATTCAGAAATCAAGAAGTTCTTTGAAACTAATGAGAAAAGAGACAATGTACCAGAATCTCTGGGACGCAGCTGAAGCAGTGTTAAGATGGAAATTTATGTCCGAGTATGGTGGCTCACGCCTGTAATCCCAGTACTTTGGGAGGCCAAAGTTGACAGATCACTTGAGGTCAGGAGATCAAGACCAGCCTGGCCAAAATGGTAAAACCCTGTCTCTACTAAAAAAGACAAAAATTAACCAGACCTGGTGGCACATTCCTGTAGTCCCAGCTACTCGCTAGGCTGAGGCAGGAGATTCACTTGAATCCCGGACATGGAGGTTGTGGTGAGCCAAGGTTGTGCCACTCCACTCCAGCCTGGGTGACAGAGGAGACTCTGTCTCAAAAAAAAAAAAGTTGCAAATGTATAGCACTAATACCCTTAACAAAAAGCTAGGAAGATCTTAAGTCAACATCCTAACATCACACCTAAAAGAACTAGAGAACCAATAGCAGACAAACCCCAAAGCTACCAGAATGAATGCAAGAAATAACCAAGATCAGAGTGGGACTGAAGGAGATAGAGACACAGAAAACCCTTCAAAAAAAATCAGTGAATCCAGGAGCTGGTTTTTTGAAAAAATTAATAAAATAGATAGACTGCTAGCTAGACTAATAGAGAAGAAAACAGAGACAATAAAAAATGATAAAGGGGATATGACCACTGACCCCACAGAAATACAGACAACCATCAGAGAATACTGTGAACAACTCTATGCAAATAAACCAGAAAATTTAGAAGAAATGGATAAATTCCTGTACACATACACCCTCCCATGACTGAACCAGAAAGAAGTGGAATCCCTTAATAAACCCATAATAAGTTCAGAAAATGAGGCAGTAGTAAACAGTCTGCCAATCAAAAAAAGCCCAGGACCAGGTGGATTTCCAGCCAAATTCTATCAGAGGTGCAGAAAGAAGCTGGTACCATTTCTTCTGAAACTATTCCAGTTGAAAAGGAGGGACTCCTCCCTAACTCATTTTATGAAGCTTACATCATCCTGATACCGAAACCTGGCAGAGATACAACAAAAACAGAAAACTTAAGGCAACATCCCTGATGAACATCAATGCAGAAATCTTCAGTAAAATACTGGCAAACCACCGGCACTTCAAAAAGTTTATCCACCATTATCAAGTCGACCTCATCCCCGGGATGCAAGGCTGGTTCAGCATATGCAAGTCAATAAATGTAATCCATCACATAAACAGAACTAAAGACAAAACCACATGATTATCTCAATAGAGGCAGAAAAGGCCTTCAATAAAATTGAACATCCCTTCATGTTAAAAACTCTCAACTAGACATTGAAGGAACATACTTCAAAATAATAAGAGCCATTTATGACACACCCACTGCCAATATCATACTGAATGGGCAAAAGCTGGAAACATTCCCTTTGAAAACCGGCACAAGATAAGAACACCCTCTCTCACCACTCCTATTTAACATAGTATTGAAAGTTCTGGCCAGAGCACTCAGGCAACAGAAAGAAATAATGGGTATTCAAATAAGAAGAGAGGAAGTCAGACTATCTTTGTATGCAGATATACATGATCCTATATCTAGAAAACCCCATCATCTCAGCCCAAAAGCTTTTTAAGCTGATAACTGACTTCAGCAAAGTCTCGGGATACAAAACCAGTGTGCAAAAATTACAAGCATTTTTATATACTAATAGCTGACAAGCAGAGAGCCAAATCATGAATGAACTCCCATTCACAATTGCTAACAAGATAATAAAATATCTAGGAATAAAGCTAACAAGGGAAGTGAAGGACCTCTTCAAGGAGAACTACAAGCCACTGCTCAAGGAAATCAGAGAGGACACAAATAAATGGAAAAACATTTTATGCTCATGGATAGGAAGAAACAATATTGTGAAAATGGCCATACTGCTGAAAGTAATTTATAGATCTAATGTTATTACCATTAAATTACCATTGACATTCTTCACAATATTAGAAAAAACTTTTAAAATTCATTTGGAACCAAAAAGCCCAAATATCCAAGACAATCCTAAGCAAAAAGAACAATGCTAGAGGCATCATGCTACCCGACTTCAAACTATACTACAAAGCTACAGTAACCAACACAGCATGGTACTGGTACAAAACCAGATACATAGACCAATGGAACAGAATAGAGAACTCAGATATAAGACTGCACAACTACAAACATTATTGTTGAAAAAAACAAGGGGAAAGGATTCCCTATTTAATAAATGGTGCTGGGAGAACTGGCTAGGCATTTGCAGAAAATTGAAACTAGACCCCTTCCTTACACCTTATACAAAAATTAACTCAAGATGGATTAAAGACTTAAACTATGAAACTGTGAAAACTCTGGAAGAAAATCTAGCTAATAGCATTCAGAACATAGGCATGGGCAAAGATTTTATGATGAAATCCCCAAAAGCAATTGCAACAAAAGCAAAAATTGACAAATGGGATCTAATTAAAATAAAGAGCTTCTGCACAGCAGAAGAAACTATCATCAGCGCAGCCTACAGTATGGGAGAAAATTTTTGCAATATCTCCATCTGACAAAGGTCTAAAATCTAGAGTCTATAAGGAACTTATACAAATTTACAAGAAAAAAACAACCCCACTAAACAGTGGGGAAAGGACATGAACAGACCCTTCTCAATAGAAGACATACATGTGGCCAAAAAGATATACTAAAAAAACTCAACATCATTGATCATTAGAGAAATGCAGATCAAAACCACAGTGAGATACCATCTCATGCCAGTAAGAATGGTGATTATTAAGAAGCCAAGAAACAACAGATGCTGATGAGGCTGTGGAGAAGTAGGAATGGTTTTCCACTGTTGGTGGGAATGTAAATTCCACCATTGTGGAAGACAGTGTCCTCAAAGACCTAAAGGCAGAAATACCATTTGATTCAGCTATCCCGTTACTGTATATGTACCTGAAGGAATATAAATCAATCTATTACAACGATACATGCACACATATGTTCATTGCAGCACTATTCACAATAGCAAAGAAGTGGAATCTACCCAGATGCCCATTAGTGATAGACTTGATAAAGAAAATGTGGTACATATTCACCATGGAATACTGTGTAGCCATAAAAAGGGAACACCATCATGTCCTTTGCAGTATCATAGATGGAACATACTTGAACCCTGGACATGGCGGTTGTGGTGAGCCATTATCCTCAGCAAATTAATGCAGGAACAGAAAACCAAACAGTAGATGTTCTTATCAGTGGGAGTTGAACAATGAGAACACATGGACACAGGGAGGGGAATGACAAACACTTGTGGAGGCTTGGGGGTAGTGACAGCAAAACAAAAATACAAGAAAATTGAAGAATATACAGATTTCAAGGAAAGAGGTTCATAGGAGTGTATTTAGTTTTTCAACCCTTCTAAGTGTTTATGGAACAATCCCTCACTGCATTGCATTGTTTATTTTAAATTCTGAGGTCAGGCTACCAGATTATTCATAGATGAGATGAGTCAAGGATAGAGTGATTTACTGAGGAACAATCTACTTAGCAGTAGTAGAAAATTAGGTATTTTAAAAATAGCATTGTGACTTTTACATAGGCAAACTACTACTTGCTTAGTTGCTACATATACTACAGCAAACATTCTTGTTTGACCCTTATTTGATACTCATTGCACTCAGTCTCTAAATTTTATGGTTAATTTTAAAATGATTCATTTGTTGATTGCTTAACCCAGTAGTCCCCAGCGTTTTTGGCACCAGGGACTGGCTTTATGGAAGACAATTTTTCCATGGACCGGAGTCCGGTGGGGGATGGTTTGGGAATGAAACTGTTCCACATCAGATCATCAGGCATTAGATTTTCATACAGAGCATGCATCCTAGATCCCTCATATGTGCAGTTCACGATAGAGTTTGTGCTTCTATGAGAATCTAATGCCACATCAGATCTGACGGAAGGCAGAGCTCAGGTGGTAATGCATGCTCGCCCACCACTCACTTCCTATTGTGTGGCCTGGTTCCTAACAGGCCACAGACCAGATATACATATGGCAGGATAAGCATAGGTAAAAATACTCAACATCATATGTTATCAGGGAATTGCAAATTAAAATAACACCAAGATACCACTATATACATATTTGCAGGATTAAGATCCTAAACAATGACAACATAAAATGCAGATAAGAATGTGGAGCAACAGAAACTCTTATTTATTGCTGGTGGGAATGCAAAATATTACAGCCACTTTGGAAGACCTTTTAACAGTTTCTTACAAAATTGTACATACTCTTACCATATGACCCAGCAGTTTTGCTCCTTGGTATTTACCCAAGTGTGTTGAAAACTTACGTCTATACAGAGTTCTGCACACAAATGTTTATAACAGCTTTATTTATAATTGCCAAAACTTGGAAGCAGCCAAGATATCCTTCAACAGATAATGGATTAACAAACTCTGGTACATGTATGCAATGGAATTATTCAGTGATAAAAAGAATAAGTTATCAAAGCACAAAAAGACATGGAGGAACCTTAAAAGCACATACTGCTAAGTAAAAGACACTAATCTGAAAAGACTACATACATTATTCCAACTATATGACATTGTGGAAAAGGAAAAACTAAGGAGACGGTAAAAACATCGATGGTTGCCAAGGGGCCCAGGAAACAGGAAAGAATGAATAGGTGGAGCACAGAAGATCTTTAGGGCAGTGAAACTATTCTGTATGGTACTGTAATGTGGGCACATGTCATTATAAGTTGTCAAAGCATATAAAATGTATAGCACAAAGAGTGAAGCTTAATGTAAAACTATGGAGTTTAATAATAATTTGTTACCATTGGCACATTCATGTAACAGATGCACTATACTAATGGAAGATGTTAATAGTGGAAACTGTGTTTGTGTGGTAGAGTAGGTATGAACTCTCTTTACTGTACTTTTGTTCAGTTTTTCTGTAAGCTCAAAATTGCTTTTAAAAATAATAAAATCTATTAATTAAAAAGAATCCAAGATCCCAGGATTCTTCTTCCATTGACTTTTACTTTTTCAGATGGTACCATAACTTTTCCCTTTATTCCTCATGCTAGTTTAATACAAACACATGCTTAGTTTATTTGAAATATGTTGAATACTCAAAACTAGTGATTCTTGAAATTACAAATTATTAGAAATAGATGTGTTAGGTTCTCTGCTTACATCTCTTAATTAATGTAGCTCAAACCTTTTTGGTTTATAGTTCTCAGTCTCACTCCTAGAATTGGCCAAATCCTTCTATGATTTAATCTTTTGCATAAGTGGTCTTTGTAACCCATGACCTTCTAACATCTAATTTTTCATTTAACAGTTCTTGTAAGAATTCTCTTGTTAATTAGTGAGCAAAGTGCTTTTCAAAAAATGACCAATCCTTAATTTTGGATTGGAAATATTGTTTATGTTAACTCATATTTTTACATAAACTGTTAGTGTTATTTTTCTGTATTTTGATAGCTTGGTTACTTACAATGGACAGGATAGAGAAATCTTAGTATACCTGTCAAATGTCAATCTGAGGTCAGTTTTTATAGTAGATTATTCTCTAGAATAGCGGTCAACAAACTTTTTCTTATATGGCCAAATAGTAAAATTTTAGTTCATACCACTTTAGCATGAAAGGAACCTGAGACAATAAATAAACAGATTGGTGTAGATGTGTTCCAAGAAAACATTATTTACTTAAACAAGAGGCTATAGCCAGTTTGTCCAATTGGCTTTAGTTTGTTGACCACCGTTGTAGAATTAACTATCACTATGTTACTGAAATAATATCTGTAGTGGGAATGTGACAGAGTACTAGGATATGCCGTTTTCTAATATTTTCTTTAAATAGACTATCCTAAAAAACCACCACTAGAGAAGCCACCCATGAGTTGGGCAAAACAAAGGCAAGCACTTGCTCTCATCCTTTAGGGAGCTGCCAGAAAGATTGAAACATTCAACCCACAGTTCTTTCATTATAAAGTTTGCATAGCTCCCTCTGGCACTAGGAATATAAGCTGCCACTTTACTGCTGCAGTAGATCTAGAGGGTGAAGATGCTAGGTGGGCTACTTAAAATGCCACAGTGTGCTGTTAGTGTTATCTCAGTGCAGCCCGTCTTTATTAATCTTTCCTCTGTTTAAGTTTTGACTAGATTTCAGAGATCTGCAAAAGTTGATTCTTAAAGTTTTTGCCAGCTTATTTGTTGTTTTTGTGGATGGGCAGAACCTGGGAGTTCCCTGCTCTGACATTATTGGTGTCACTACTACTCATGTACTGTGAAGAGACTTTTAAAAGATGGATTAAAGACTGAAACGTTAGACCTAAAACCATCAAAACCCTAGAAGAAAACCTAGGCATTACCATTCAGGACATAGGCATGGGCAAGGACTTCAAGTCTAAAACACCAAAAGCAATGGCAACAAAAGCCAAAATTGACAAATGGGATCTAATTAAACTAAAGAGCTTCTGCACAGCAAATGAAACTACCATCAGAGTGAACAGGCAACCTACAAAATGGGAGAAAATTTTCGCAACCTACTCATCTGACAAAGGGCTAATATCCAGAATCTACAATGAACTCAAACAAATTTACAAGAAAAAAACAACCCCATCAAAAAGTGGGCAAAGGATATGAACCGACACTTCTCAAAAGAAGACATTTATGCAGCCAAAAGACACATGAAAAAATGCTCATCATCACTGGCCATCAGAGAAATGCAAATCAAAACCACAATGAGATACCATCTCACACCAGTTAGAATGGCGACCATTAAAAAGTCAGGAAACAACAGGTGCTGGAGAGGATGTGGAGAAATAGGAACACTTTTACACTGTTGGTGGGACGGTAAACTAGTTCAACCCTTGTGGAAGTCAGTGTGGCGATTCCTCAGGGATCTAGAACTAGAAATACCATTTGACCCAACCATCCCATTACTGGGTATATACCCAAAGGACTATAAATCATGCTGCTATAAAGACACATGCACACGTATGTTTATTGCGGCACTATTCACAATAGCAAAGACTTGGAACCAACCCAAATGTCCAACAATGATAGACTGGATTAAGAAAATGTGGCACATATACATCATGGAATACTATGCAGCCATAAAAAATGATGAGTTCATATCCTTTGTAGGGACAGGGATGAAATTGGAAATAATCATTCTCAGCAAACTATTGCAAGGACAAAAAACCAAACACCGCATGTTCTCACTCATAGATGGGAATTGAACAATGAGAACACATGGACACAGGAAGGGGAACATCACACTCTGGGGACTGTTGTGGGGTGGGGGGAGGGGGGATGGGGGAGGGATAGCATTAGGAGATACACCTAATGCTAAATGACGAGTTAATGGGTGCAGCACAACAGCATGGCACATGTATACATATGTAACTAACCTGCACATTGTGCACATGTACCCTAAAACTTAAAGTATAATA
Organism: Homo sapiens; assembly: GCF_000001405.40. Classification (NCBI taxonomy): domain Eukaryota; kingdom Metazoa; phylum Chordata; class Mammalia; order Primates; family Hominidae; genus Homo; species Homo sapiens. The sequence goes on along the minus strand of NC_000003.12, from coordinate 17,485,345 downwards.
ATAATAATAATAAAGAATATTGGCTTGTAAATGTAAAAAAAATAAAATAAAATAAAATTTTACTAAAAAAATTCTATCTTTAAAAGTAATTGAATATAGAGAGCATAGAAAGTAATAATGTTTTCAGGCATATAAACAGAGGAATCACAAACTTCACAATTACTTTAAAAAAATAAACCCATTCCTTATTTCGGTACCAGAAACATTTAGGTAAATCCTAAATAGTCATTTTTCTCTTTTTTCATTATTAGACAGTTGTATGCATAATAGTATCATAGTTCAAAATTGCTCAGTGCTGATTTTATATTCTCTAATATAATTTTCATCTTATGTTTATCATATCTCTGTTAAATAATAGTGTTGTCCAGTGTTACCTTGCAAAAGTAAGTCATTGAATATATTATTCTCTTTAATTTTATTAAGACAGTTCAAGTAGAGTGAATGTGGGTTCCTCATTTTCCACTCTCGCCTCTCATCAGTTAAGTACAGAGATTCTGTCATGTACCCTGTAAATTCATCTTAAGGAAAGGAAGTCTATGGTAGCATATATACTTGGTTTTAAGGTCGGGCCTAGTGGCTCATGCCTGTAATCCTACTATTTTGGGAAGCTGAGGCAGGAGGATCACTTGAGCCCAGAGTGGAAGACCACCCTGGGCAATACAGGGAAGACCCTATCTCTATGAAAAATTTAAAAAATTAGCCAAGCATAATGGCATACACCTTTGGTCTCACCTACTTGGGAGGCTCACTTGAGCCTGAGTGGGAGGAATACACACACACACACACACCCTGGTGTTACCTTATTATCTTTAAAAGTCACCTCAGGATGCTTTGAGTAATTATGATTGTTACCCAAACACACACACACACACACACACACACACACACACCCTGGTGTTACCTTATTATCTTTAAAAGTCACCTCAGGATGCTTTGAGTAATTATGATTGTTACCCAAACCTGGGGCGGGAGACCTTTTATCAATTTTTGAGTTTCTGATTAATTTGTTTCTGAAGTTTTAGTTCTATGCACACCATAGTAAACTGTTTTGTTATCTCTTAATAGGCCTTTTGATTAAGTTTGTTTTAATTATGACATCAGGAGTGTGACAGGTTTCATATCGAAAATAGTACTCTATTGCACATCATTTTATGTTGAAATAGTATTGAACTTCAGTTTCTGTTCCTGTCTTTAAGGATAAACTGAATGATTCACAAATTAACATTAGGAGTGAAAAGGAGATCCTTGGGTCTGGTTCTTTTGATACTTAATATCCAGTGAGTGGTGGTATAGGTAGTATCTTTACCTAATGAGGCCACTTTCTCCAGTTGTCTAATGGTTTTGAGAGAATTCTTTGAAGATAAAATTTTGATTGTTTTCCTAAAGTTATCATGTCCAGGCTGCTGTATTTAATAGCCAATTTTAAGAACTAAATAAGGTATGGGCCAAACTGTTCAATAGACAGTATTTATTTTTTACTCTTTCAAAGGTTAAATTATTTTTTACAGCTGTCAGGCATACTACTTTAATAGTCCTTTATGTACATTTAATTAATTGTGTGTTAAAATTAACATCACAAGTAACTTATTAACAAATCTTTTGTCTTGTTAAATTTCACCCAAAAATGCAGTAAATATCTAACACATTTCTATACCTTCTTCTTTTAATGATTTGATTCTGATTAATTTGATAAATGTGAACACTTTTAATAATATACAGTTCAATTGTGAGTTTTGTAATTATTGCATACATATCAATAAGATTTATTTATGTGGTACATTAAAAAACTTAGTGTAATAGTATAGTCTACTTAAACATGGACCAAAGCTGAGTAGAAATTTTGGTTATGGATTGACCACTTAAATGCAAAGTTTTGAGTTTTCTTCTCAAGCCCACCCCTAAAAAGTAATTGATTTGAGCCATTTGCTATTGCCAAGGCAAATATAAATAGGTTTCATTTAGACCTTCTGTAGAAATTTATGGAAGCAATTAGGAATAGAAATTTAGTCTACTAGGAACTTTTTTAGGGGAGGAAGTATGGGGTGGGGTGGGGGGTGGTTTAAGAATGGTTTTTAATGGCATTCCATAGAATTCATTTATAACAACTTGCAGTTCTTATATGGTTTATCTAATTTTAGAGATGGCTGTTATATTAAAGTTCTCTGTAAAGCCTGAGGGGTGCTGTTCTTACATCTAGGCAATAGTCGAAGTTCGGGTGTGAGAGCAAGCGATGGAAACACTAAGAAGTATTTACATGCATGGTAATTTTTTGCCATTTAAACACACATATACACACATTCACATAGATTAGGTGTATATTTATGCACAATCTGGCCTTTTAACAAAGAAAAATAAGCCTGTGCTTAGGCTGCCACTGATACAAACAAAACATCTGAGACTTTAATGAACACCATACTGAGGGCATGTAGGACATAAGGCGAATTAAGCAGGTTACAAACTGCACGTCTTCTGTTTAGATATAGGAGATCTCCCCAATCCTGACAATTAGTTGTACTGACAAGGCAAGCAGACAGACAGAAACAGAAGGAGATCATTTGTATCAATTTGAGAAACAGAACTAGTAATGAAAAAATAGCCATATAAAATAGTTCGTCTTTTGCTTTAAAATTATTCTTTCTCTATATTTGCTCCAAAAATAAATACACACTGGTAAACAAAGCCTTCTTTTATTTTGTTTGCAAATAAAGACCAACTTAGTTTTTATTTTTATTTTTTAAGAAAATATTTTCTGGACACTCAAACGAATTTTAATCTTGGTAACCTGACAGCTTTGTTTAAACATTGAATATGAATTTCCTTTCATGAAAATCTTTTCAAAGTATAGCAGTTCAGCTGTGAAAACCTGAATACATTAATGATGACAAAGAAGCTCCAGAATGAGCCAACATTTGTTTTGTTCTCTTTCAACATTTCTTGATAAATTGCATACACAAAAGTATTGCAGGGTTATTTTAATTTCTCCCTATTTCTTTGCTAATAAGTGTCTCTGTGTTTACCTTTCTATATCCAGTACCTTATTATTAATCACTTAATATTATTTATTTTTAAATGACTTTAAGAAGTTTTTTGTCTTTTAAACTATGCCTTAAGGTACACGTTATAGGGAACATTTGAACAGAGCTTTTGGTATATGTTATCAGATATCAAAATACATGACTCTTGTTTAAGTTTTGGATCATTGTTTTCCATAGTAAACACCTTTCAATGCTCAGACAATTGTGTTCTGAAGGCGTTTATTTAAGGATCATTTTCTTTGTATCTTAATTTATTTAAATAAATGAGTCGGCCAGGCGCGGTGGCCCATGCCTGTAATCCCAGCACTTTGGGAAGCCAAGGCTGGTGGATCATCTGAGGTCAGGAGTTCGAGACCACCCTGGCGAACATAGTAAAACCCCGTCTCTACTAAAAATATAAAAATTAGCCAGGCGTGGTGGCACATGCCTGTAATCCCAGCTACTTGGGAGGCTGAGGCAGGAGAATCGCTTGAACCTGGGAGGTGGAGGTTGCAGTGAGCCAAGATCGTGCCATTCCACTCCACTCCATCCTGGGCGACAAGAGCGAGACTCCGTCTCAAAAAAAAATAAAGTCATTTGCCAGAAACGCAACATTGAAGTATTTTAATACAATACATTTTTAAGGCTTATAGCATATTTATTCTACATAGTTATTCTTACGAAGAGTGGCATTGTTAATTTTTCTGAAATAAGTGTTTCCTATCTTGTTTTAAAAAGGTGAGAGGCATAATTTGGGACATACTCTGTGAAGATAAGCTATACAGGTCTCGCTCTGTGGCCCAGGCTGGAGTGCAGTGGCAGATCATGGCTCACTGCAACCTCTACTTCACAGGCTTAAGTTGTCATGGGCTACTTGGGGTGTTGCTTTGCCAGCTGGAAACCTCTGTGGCAGGCGGTGCCTTTTACCTGAGTACTGCTTGTGCCTGCTGGACTTGTTCCATCCACTTGGCTTGGCAGGCTGTGCTTGGCTCGTGCTACTCACCCAAATCCCATGCCTTCCAAGGGTGAGCCAGGCACAGAGTGGAGCAAGTATGGGTTCTGGCCACTGCACGCAGCCAGGCACGTCAGCTGCTTCGGTGGGGCGGGCAGCCCTAGGTGCCGGTACAGATGCTGGCTCTGTGCAAAGCTGCGGCTTGATCAGATGTACTGCACGTGACTTCCATTGTGGGCACCCACATCTGGACGAGGGGAACATGATGGCACCCGGAAGCTTGGAGAAAGCAGGAACCACAGAACCCCAAAGAGGTTGTCACAACCCTGGTTCAGGGAGCCCCTGACTCTAGGGTCCCTGAAGGGCCCTAGCTCTTCTCTCCTTTTGATTGCCCACAATGTGGTGAGCAGTGGGGGAGCATGTTTCAAGCCATTTGTGTTATAGCTCTTTTAGTCTTGCCATTTGGCAGGTCCCAAGTTCTTGTCCTGCATCCAGGAAGAATGAGGTACACGGACAACTGGATGGTGAGCAAGGCAGAGAGGAGCTTCAGTGAGTAACGGCAGCTCTCGGGAGACCTGAGTGGGTAGCTCCTTTCCGTAGGCAGGTCATCCTGATTAGTGTCCAGCTCTCAGCAGAGAGGAGACCCTCACTGGGTAGCTCCTTTCTGAAGGCAGGTAGTCCCAATGAGTCTCCAGCTCTCAGTGGAGAGGAGAGCTGCAGTGGGTAGCTCCTTTCTGCAAGCAGGTTGTCCTAATGAATGTCCAGCGCTTAGCAGAGGTGAGACCTGGAGTGGGTAGCTCCTTTCCACAGGCAGTTTGTCACCATGAATTGAGGAGACCCAAGGTGGGTAACTCCTTCCCGTAGCTGGTAGTCCTGGCTGGGTCCAGGGTTTTTATGGGCTCAGAAGGGAGGAAGTACATGCTGGTTCGTCCAAGGGCAGGCTGGAAAAAGCACCATAAGTTGTCACTCCTGGCAGGGGCTTCACCTGGAAGTGACAGCCTGGCCCCCATGCTTCAGGCCATACCTGGCTTTAAGGCGGGGCTTCACTGGGGAGCTGCCTGTTTCTGCCCGAGAGCCTGTCTGCTTTCTGCCACCATCAGCATGTCATCCATGGCGCCCAGGTTTTTGAGCTGAGGGGTGCTTGCAGGCACATGCTGAGCCACCCTTAGCTGCTCATCACCCTCTCTCCTGCGCTCGCTGGTGCCCGAAGTCCTGAAGGGACTGAGGTGGCAGGGGGCCGGCATGACAGTGCCGCCCTATGTGTGTGCACACCCAGCTGGGTCGTAATAGTGCCCGGACTCAGCCACAGCTTTGCTTCACTCCAGAGAGCGGACACCAGGAGCAGGGAGAGGCCAGGCCACAGGATCAGGCACTTTCAAAGCTGCAGGGACAAGGGGCTTCCTGGGACCCCAAGAGCACAGGGATTCCTTGGTCTGGAGCTGTGTGGCTATAGCTGTGCCCCAGAGCGTGGGGCTCCAGCCCTGCCTACTTGATAGGAAGAGGGGCTCCCTGCCTGTCCCTCGCTCCCGCAGGTTCATAGAGCATGCAGCCCCAGCTAGCGCCTCCCCCACTGCACCCAGCATCTTCACAGTGGCCCCACCAAACAGGCCACTGCTGAAATCAGTGTGATCTTCCTGCCTCCGTCTCCTGAGTAGCTAGGACTACAGGTACATAACAGCATACCTGGCTAATTTTTTAATTTTTTTGTAGAGATGGGGTCTCACTCTGTTGCCCAGGCTGGTCTCAAATTCCTGGGCTCCATCCATGTCGGACTACTAAAGTGCTGGGATTACTGGTGTTAACTACCATGACTGACCTCTTTTCTGATTTTTAAAGTTCAAACATGTTTATTCCATTTATCAGATAGTTTTCAGTAAAAATGTATCACAGAGTTTTGCAACTTTAATATTATGTTTTGAATCATTTCTTGAACTACACCTTGATATATTGTTTGAAAGTGTTTCCTTTCTTTATTTTTTCTGAGATGGGGTGTCTCTCACCCAGGCTTGTGCACAGTGGTGCGATCACAGTTCACTGCAGTCTCAACCTTCTGGGCTCAAGTGATCTTCTTTTCTCAGTCTCTGGAGTAGCTGGGACTTCAGGTATGTGCTACCATGCCTGGCTAATTTTTAAATTTATTTTTGTAGAGACAGGGTCTCAGTACTTTGCCCAGTCTGGTCTTGAATTCCTGGGCTCAACAATCCTCTTGCCTCTGCCACCCCAAAAGCTAGGATTATGGATGTGAGCCGCCACGTCCAGCCTTTGCATGTTTTCAGATGACATATATCTAGCTCAGTGATTAAAATGAGCTGTGTAGCCATTTATTTACCAAGCATTAATATTTCATGTTATTCATAGATAGTGTATCAGTTAACTTGGTTTGTATGACGTACTGTTTCTAAACTTGTTACACAATATAGTAAGCATTTATTATGGGTAATGGTAAAGTGAGCAAGTTGAGTAATTCTCTTACTCTGAGCTGAGCTTGCTTACGTGTCTAAGCAATGGATGATCTAAGATTGTGTCACTTGTGTCTGGAGATTCAGTAAGCTACATGTCTCATCCTCCAGCAGGGTAGCCATCACTTGTTTACATGGTGATGTCAGCTTTCCAAGTAAACAAACTGCCAGGTTTCAGGATTTCATGAGATCTAGACTTGGTACTGTGACCTTGTCAGATCTGCCACATTTTCTTGGCCAAGACAAGTAACAAAGCCAGCTAGAGGTAGCAAAATTGTTAGAGGTAGCAAAAATTGTATTTTTGTATACTAGCAGTGAACAATCCTATAATAATTTTAAGCAAAAATTCTATTCATGATAGCATTAAAAGAACTAAATATTTAGGAATACATTTAACACCAAAAGTAGAGGAAGTACACTGACAACTATAAAACAATACTGGAAGAAATTAAGGAAAGTTATAAATAAGTAGACATTTCATGTTCATGGATTAGAAGACTCAGTATTACTATGTTGCCACTACCTTTTGATGGAAGAAGCTGGAAAGTCACACCCTGAATGTCATATGTTTAGGAAGGGAGTAATTGGGCCATTAATACCATCAATTTTTCACAGATACTAATTCAAAAATAAATGAACATTTATGATATGTAAATATTTTATGTTAATCAGCCAAAAAAAGATGGCATTACCGAAAGACACAAAATAATTAACTGAAAACCTAAGACAATTGACTGAAAAATAATGGAAGCAATGAGAGCTCAACAGTAAAGCAGCTAATGGGAAACAAGCAAAAAAACAAACGTTTTCCTAAATTTCTGGATTTTCCAGATTAAAAATGTATTGCATATGAAAAGGTATAGTGAGGTCTTTAAAATAAATTCTTTAATCAAGTTTAATTTCAATCACATTTCTAGAGAGAGTCTTTTAACCTCTAAAATATCTTTCTAAAATCCATTCAGAATTATGAACTGGTTAAAAAGACAATACAAGTATTCTCTTATGTGAACATTTTTATGACTATGAATTGGAAAACTAAGGTGTAGTGGATACATTTCTATAAAGACAAGAATTATTGAAATAGAGTTCAGTTCAGTAAAATATAACCTAGAAAGCAATGTGTATACATACTTCTAAACTTGTTAAACAATATAGTAAACATTTATTATGGGTAATGTGTATACACATTGCTTTCTAGGTTATATTTTACACATCAAAAACTATGGTTACATAAATGGATATGTAGCCATTAAGTATGTATGAAAATTTTAAAAATGAGAAAAGTTGGTTATTTGATTAAGTGATTTTTATAACGGACATACAATGACTTATACAGTTGTATCACAAGTTTTAAAATATAAAAGAAGAGATAAGTTTCTGCGTGATACTATAACCATTGATGTAATGGAATAAATAATTATAATCCCAGACAGAAAACACCAATCCCAATTTGGGGACAGATGATTTCTAGAAAACATAAAGAGAAAATTCTTTCAGAGAATTGAAAAATAGGGAATGTTTTCAAATTTATATTACGTGACTGGTATAACCTTTGTAACAATATCAGTCAAGAGCATTATGAAAAAGTACAGTCCATTCTTGCTCATGAATATGGATAAAAATAAAATATTAGTAAACAGAATCCAGCATGGGTAAAAAGATAAACATATTTTACCAAATTTTGTTTATCCTGGGAATGCAAGGTTAGTACTTAGGGAAAATCTATTTTTGTAATTTAGCTTATTAGCAAAGTGGAAAAGTCATTTCAGTAGTTGTAGGGGAAACATTAAAAAAATTCACATAAGTTTGTGATAAAATAACTGTTAACAAACTGTGGATTGAGGAGACCTTCTTTAATATGAAGAAGGACATTTATAAAAGAATTACACTAAAATCCTTCTCAATGTAAAATGTTAAAAGTTTTCTCTTTAAAATTAGAAATAAAAATCTACACATAAATTATTAGAATTTAATAATTTAGTTTACCTATATTCCTTGTTATATAACGTGTGCAAAATCAGTCGCACTTACAAATATACCAGCAATAAAGATACAGCATTTATAACAGTACAAAAATATGAGTAAACCTTCAATAAATCAGTAAACTATGTGGTAGTTTTTGTGGAGAACGTTATGAAACTTCATTGGAAGACATTTAAGAAGACCTGAATAAATATAGAGGACACACCATGATCATGGATGAGAAGACTTATTGTCACAGAGTTATTAGGTTTTCCCCAAATTGATCTATAGATTCAGTGTATTTTTCAGTCAAAATTTTTACATTGATTTGTTATTTTTAGTAACTTGGCAGGTCATTCAAGTATTTAATAGAAAAAAGGTACAATAGTCAAGACATTTCTGAAAAAAAACATGCACATTTTATATAACTAGGTAATATGATAATGGCTCATGACTTGATAAATAGACTAGTGGGAAGAACAGATAGACAGATAGACTCAAACTTACATGAAAACCAAATACATGACAGAGCTGAAATTATAGATCAGTGGTGAAAGAATGGCATCTTCATTAAGTGGTGCAGAGGACAACTGATTTTTCATTTGGGTGGAAAACAAAAATGAATTATTTTCTCACATCTTACTAACAATACCAAATTCTCCTAAATTAAAAACTTAAATGTGTAAAGCAAAACTATAAAACTTTTAGAAGAAAATATAATTTCAAATATCAAAAAGGAAAAAATATATATATAGAATTAAATTATTGCAAAATCAAAAACTATTATGAGAAGATACTGTAAACAGAGTGAAAATACAAACCACAGTCTAAGAAAAGATGATAATATACAAAACTAAAAAAAGTTTAGCATCCAAGAGGTATGAAGAATTCTTATGAATCAATATGAAAATGGCATGAAAAAGGCCTATATTTTGTAGTAAAGGAACCATGCAATAGCCATATATGTATGAAGAATTTAAATAAAATCCCTGTCAGATAACATATGATAACCTCTAGATTGGCAAAAATCAATTAATGTGAGTTTGCCACCGTGTGAAGAAACGTGAGCTCTGTTACGTTGCTGATAGGAGTTAAAGTTGGTTCAAACATTTTGGAAATAACTTGGCATTACAAGAAAATTGAATATGACCATACCCTAGGAACACAGGGAAACTATTGCATATCTGCATCAAGAATTGTGTGTAAGAACATTGTTTATGATAACAAAACTGGAAACAGTCCAAATGTGTATCAGCAGTGCAAATAATTTCTTCAGCTTCTGACTGGGAATGCCATCCTCAGGAGAGAGTTGATAGTGGGGTTAGACTGGGAAGAGGAGTAGTGGAAATGAAGATAATTAAACAGATACCGGATATATTTTTGATTTAGGGTAGAGAAAACTACTTGTTGATGATTGCAGGGCAGTGAGGTAAAAGATTTATCTAGAAAGATTCCTAGATTTTTGGCATTGGGCAACTGACTAGAGAGGTGATAACATTTACTAAAGTGTTGGAAATTGATGGAAAATTAGATGATATCATTTACTAAAGTGTTGGTAGTTGATAGAAAATTAAATTTGGAGGGGGTGAGTGGGGAGGAGAAATAAAGAGTTTTGTTTGCCTTGTATGGTGACGTCTGAGATGTCTGTTAGACTTTTTGTCTTGTGGAGATGGATATATGAGTCTGAGATTCTGGGAAGATGTAAAGTCTTAAGATATAGGTTGGGGAGAAGTTACCATGCAGATGGTGTTAGATTTGGGAATATATAAACGGGTGGGGCGGGGCAAGGTAGAACCACCGGATACTCTTAACATGTAGAGATTAGTAAATGAGAGTTTGATATCTTTAATATCCAAAAATTCAGACAAGTTAGGAATATGAACACAATTGAAAAATGACCAAAGGACATAAACTAGCAATTCTTAGGCAATATTTTGGATGCTTAATAATTAAATGCAGAGTGACCTCATTTGCCATATAAGGAATGACATTAAAGCAAGTTTGTTTCTTGTTTTTCTTTTTTTTCTTCCACATTGTTACGTTAAAAAAAGTAATGCAACTGGGCTTTGCTTGAGGTCTAGGGAATTGGAGATTTTCACATAGGTTTTGTGGCAATATAGATTGGTATTATCCTTCCGGCATTCCATTTGGCAATGTATATCATAAGTCTTAACGTGTCCTTGCCCATTGACATTCAGTTTAATTTTTCTCTTTCTGAAAGCCTGTGCTTCTCCTGTCCTTGCCTGTTTTTTACTTTCGATGTCAATGATGCATTAAAATAGATTTAAGTGTGAATTGTTGGTTGGTTGAACATAAAGTTTTTATTTATGTGAAACTGTCTAAATATATCTTCTGAAGATTGGAGTCGTTCTTTATTATTTTCATGTTTTCTCTATGTTGCTGTTCATTTCTTTTACTTTTGAATATCAGCTTTATTTTTTTCCTTTTGGATAGAGAATTGATTCCTTCTTTCAAATATTGCTAATGTTCATACCTAGTACAGAAAACTTATAATAAATCACATAATGTTCAATTTTTAATGAATTAAATAGAAAACAGGGTATGATTTTCCCATTTTGCCCAAAGGAAAACAAAGATATGATGGACATTTTAGGACAAACATAAACTCAGCTTATGATGAAGCTCGTTTATCTCAGTTAAGTTTATAACTCAGAAATCTGTTTTGATGAGTAAGTAGTTTATATTCTAGAAAAATATTTGCCAGTGTAACTGTCTATTTTGTGTTTCTAATTTTGTAAATTATATAAAAGTATCAGTTTTTACAAGGTGATTAACTGACTTTGGATGAGTGCACACTTTGTAGATTAAAAGGTAGTTTCTGTTTCAAAGTTTTGTCTGCATCTCTCTTAATTTTATGTCAGTTTACTCCTTGTTAAGTAAATTATTTTAGAGGAAAACTTCCTATGTGAAAGTTACTTACATTGTAAAAGTGAGGATTAAAAAGTCCTCATCCTCCCCCTTGTGGGATATTACTGTACTGTTTTTTCCAACATTATGGATCATAAACAGGTAAAAAGCAAAACTAAACAAGTAAAGCAAAAAAAAAAAGTAAAGTAAAAACTAATGAGGAAAGCAGAACAGGTAAAAAGAATGAAGTAAATGTAATTATAAGTAGAAATTCAGCTAAGCACATTCATTTCATGTTATTACTAAAATTTTATTTTGTTTACTTTTAAAAAACACTTCAGTAAATTAAAAAGCCACATGATCTGTTTATTCATAGACATTTTCACCTTATACTTAGTTAAATCCTCATCAAATTTGATTTACTGACTTGTGGCCAGAACCTGCGGTTAGCTTTTTGGAAGAGAGAAGATTATTAAGTAGGTTGATCCACAGAGCCACCTTCAAATTTTATTCTTTGTAGAAGTACAAGTTGAAAAACCTCTTTCTCTCAGAGCTTAGTGTTTTATACTTTACGTGTTTATATTTAGGTTTAAGTTTTAGAAATACAGTTAAAATACATAAAGGATGAATGTTGCAACATTTGGGGAATCTTTAGTATTGCAAGTTCATTGTATATGAATTCATGTTTACATTAATGTGCTAAGTTATTTTAATCTCCTATCAAAGTCACATATTTTAAAATGGTATGTTAGGGACATGAAATTGCTCAAGATAATTATTCTTTTATTAAATCTGTGATTATTCGGATATGCTTTCAAGGTATCGACACTTAAAAAACTTATAATAGACACAGAGTCTCGCTATGTTGCCCAGGCTGGTCTCAAACTCCTGGGCTCAAGTCCTGTGATCCTTCTGTCTCGGCCTCCTAAAATGCTGAGATTACAGGTATTAGCCACTGCACTTGACCGAGATATTTACACTTCATGAAAACCAATGTGTTAGTTGATTTATATTCTGTACATTTTAGTTGAAATAATTTTTTTGGATAAAATTTGTAGCTCATGATAGAGGAGATCAGTACTTTGTGATATATTTTCTCTTCATTGTATTTCAAGGATTGCATGGTTCAACTAAGATGACTGAGTGTGTGAATTATGGTACTGTGATTACTCAGCCACAGATATTCTGATGGCATTAATGTTAATATTTAGAATGTAATAGGTCTATCAGATATTCAGTACTAGCTGTCTTAAGTATCCTGGTTTCGTTGTTAATGTAGAAATATATGTTTTTAAACTTATGTGCTCCCAGATGTTTATTGTAATATTTAATATTCATTGATTTCTTCTTTCAGTAGCTGTTTATTGAGTGCCTACTCTCTGCCAAGATATATTATAGATGCTGAGAATTACGGGTATAAACAAAACTATAGCCTTTGCTTTGAAGGTTACAATTCTAGTGAAAGACTGACAGTAAGCAAGATTAATATGTAAAATATATCTGGTTCTATAGGGATAAGTGCTATGGAGAAATATAAAGCCTGGGAGAAGGGTAGGAAATGAATTAAGGAGGGTGTTACCATTTTAGTTAGGACAGAAAGAAAGGCCTCATTGAGAAGATATGAAGTAGAAAAGCCCTCATTTGTGTAGTAAAAAATCTCCCTTTGGGCTGGGCGCAGTGACTCGCGCACTTTGGGAGGCTGAGGTGGGCGGATCATGAGGTCAAGAGATCGAGACCATCCTGGCCAACAAGGTTGAAACCCCATCTCTACAAAAAATACAAAAATTAGCTGGGTGTGGTGGCGCGTGCCTGTAGTCCCAGCTACTCGGGAGGCTGAGGCAGGAGAATCACTTGAACTCAGGAGGTGGAGGTTGTAGTGAGCTGAGATCACATCACTGCACTCCAGCCTGGCAACAGAGTGAGACTCCATCTCAAAAAAAAAAAAGAAAAAAAAAACTCCTTTCATAAAACCTTAATGTTTTCAAATAATATACTAGATTAGTGTTGAATTTTACTATTCTTCTAAATTACTTAACAATGAGATGAACATTGAAAAACTTATAATCTCCTGAAACTGTTATAGTTTACTTAGTGTGTCCTGTTAGTATAGTTTGCTATTTTAGTATGTTAAAGGGTAGATTTCGTCATGTGGTAACTCTGCTCATGTTCTGACCGCCTCCCACAGCAAATGTGTAATTCAGTGCATTTTATCTCTGTCGTAGAAAGGAAATCAATTAAATTCTATTAATACGTGTAGTTTCTTTCTTGTTTTTAATTTTTGGAAATCATTTTCCTCAGGTTGAAAAACACATGTAGTTTCTAATGCAATAAAATACATTTTAAATTACATGGTATTGTGTGTACATGTACTGGATATCAACTTGCTTATTTTGATTTTTTTTTTTTTTTTTTTTTTTTTTGAGACGGAGTCTCGCTCTGTCGCCCAGGCTGGAGTGCAGTGGCGCAATCTCGGCTCACTGCAAGCTCCGCCTCCCGGGTTCACGCCATTCTCCTGCCTATTTTGATTTTTTAAAATGCTGTTTATGTAGTATTATTATTTGTTACCTTTTCCTTTTCCTACATCTTTTACAAATACCAGGCAAGAGGAAGGCAAAGTGGTTTCTTTCACAGGTTTTTAAAATTATACTTATGATTGTTTTCTAAAATCTGTTTTTTAGTTTATTGCTCATCCAAACATTTTAAAAATTATTTAAGCATAATAAGAATAGAATATTAATACTAATACCATTTCATTACCTTCTTAGATTTTAATCCTGCTACAAAAACACTTTCAAATGCATTTTAAGAATGACTCCTTGTAGTTTTAATTCTTTACGTATAGGTCAAAAGAAGAGAGAATGACTACTGTGATCTGTTCATCTGTATGCCCAGTTTTCCTGTCTCCTGATACTTAAATTTCTGGGCTGCAATTCCATCTAGCTATCACTTAGGTGGTGTGATCACCTAGCAGAAAAGTGGTTTTAGGCTTCATGTTCTAATGTTCTCACTGGAGTGATAGTGCTTATTGAACTCAGTGTGGTAACCCCTTGCAATGACATCTATTTTTTAGTGATATGGTATCGTCATTCACATCCCAAATGTGCTGGGGAGGGAAAATCATAAGCCGTTTTCCTTGCAGAAGTTCATGTCACAAAAATCACTTTTTTTTTGAGATGGATTATCACTCTGTCGTCCGGGCTGGAGTACAGTGGTGCGATCTTGGCTCACTGCAACTTCTGCCTCCAGGTTCAAATGATTCTCCTGCCTCAGCCTCCCGAGTAGCTGGGACTACAGGTGCCCGCCACCACACCTGGCTGATTTTTTTGTATTTTTAATAGATACAGGGTTTCATCACGTTGGCCAGGATGGTCTCGATGTCTTGACCTCATGATTCACCCACCCCGGCCTCCCAAAGTGCTGGGATTACAGGTGTGAGCCACCGTGCCCATCCAAAAATCACTTATTTTTAATTCAGATTTCTCACAGTAGTGCAGAAGACCCTTGTGCCATTAATACATACATTTTACAATCATTTAAGTCACTCCATTATTCTAAAGCTCTTTATAACACCAATATAGATTGATTTATAGAAATATAGATATACTGCATCATTTTCCATTTCTGTTTCTCAATAACACAAATTCTTAGGGTGTTCTCTCCTGATACCACCACTAATTGTATTGTTATACTTTGCATATAGTGTTTTTATTTTTTAAAAAATTGGTAATGCTTTGATATAAGCAATGGTGCTTTATGTTTTCTAAGGGATTGGGTGAATGCAGAAATAGTTACCATTACCCAATGTACCTATTTTAGGAAGATTTCCTGCCTGAAATAATGTTTTAAGTGAGTTGAAGAAAATAGCTTTGTTAGCCAGATTTTGTAGGACAGCCTAAAAATAGTCACTGGTCTTGACTAAGGGGAAAAACTAGTAAAGGAATATGCAAGTAGCAAAAATGAACACATGTTTTTTCTTGAACTTGGAAGCAGGTCTGCAAAGTTAGACTATGGTGACAGATTATGAAGCTAAGGGCGCAGTGTAGGAGTGTAGGGAAATAAGTGACTGAGTGACACAGCTTATTTTATAGCCACATCTTAGAAGAAATGTGAAGGAGTAAGGTGGATCAAAATGAGATGATTAACTAAATTCTTTATGTAAAACATTTATTCTTTTATTTTAGTGTGTACTGCTTTTCCTGTACAGTAAGTTATATATCCTAATAAAAATTAAAGAGCAAATTGTGTTTGGAAGATCGGGTCATCGTAATTCATTGACATTAGGCCACATAACTGAATAATGTCTTCCTTCAGCAAAATACATCAAATGAGATCAACAATTATGACTCATAAACATGCCTTGCAGGCATAAAACAGCAGGGAATTAGCATGTGAGGCTGATAAATATGCATGTAAATAAGCTCCCAAAGGAATAACATGGGTTTGATTGATAGGTTTAGAATTGGAACATATGTAAACCCCTTTATTCCTCATTCTGGTGTAGCTAAGTAAAGATGCGTTTTACTTGTTAAAAAGTTTCAATAACTTTGTAAATCTTAATGCCACATCTGTTTTTTTTTTTTTCTTGTGCATGTCACTTGTAAGATTAATTGAATTGTCTACAGGCTGGACGGCCCTCATAAAGTAAATGGTGGAACATGTGAATGAGTGGCTATACATTCGTTGCTAGAAACAGAGTAAGAATCTTTGGGAAATCTCTGTTTTTACATTGTAAAATGATGTATGGTCATAAGAAATTTCTTTTGGAAATAAAGATGTGACTCGATAGATTATTCTGGCTCCCTCAGTAATACTTCATACCATCTTTTTCTACATTTTAGCTCCTAACAATGCAGTTTCTATTTATTTGCTGATTTCTTACTATTGATTTGATAGTCTATAATTAACATGTATCTTTTTAATAATTTTTTTTTCAGTTCTTGGTACTTAATTCTAGTCCTTCTAAATCAGTATTCAGGAACTATTGTGGGAGTGTATTAGAAAGTGCATGTTCAAATGCTAATCACATATCCAGGGAGACTCCAGTTCTGTGTTCATGCCTCTCAGCCATCAAATGACTTCGGGAAATATTAATTCCCTTCTCCAGGTTCAAAGTCACTTCAGGTAAATGAAAGAAGAAATGTGGTTTTTGATATCCTGGTGCAGAGTCTGAAGCTTGATTTCTGTGGAGGGTCTAGAGATTTGCTAACTGAAGGCATTATGGGATTAGTTAGTGCCCACTTCTATGTAGGAAATATTTTTCTGTCTCCCATTGATAATAGTAAATACAAAGGAACATCATTAGTTTAATATTATGAAACAGCCTGCAGTTTCAAAGGAATCATGTTTTTGATTTGGTGAGACAGGGCTGGATTCTCTACAGCCTATATTCATCATTCTGCAGATCATGGTTGTTGATTATTGAGGATTAGGCCTTCTAAGTTCTACAGCTGTGTTCTAGGTGCTTGGGACATATCATTGAACATAACAAAGATCCCTGCCTTCATGGAGCTTGCATTCTAACAGAGGGAAATAGTAAATAATAAATATAATAAATAACAAAAATAAACAGAGTCTTTGAAAGCAGTAATTTCTTTGGAAAAAAGAAACGAATATTGCAATATTGCAATTTAAGGGGATTGATAGTGTATTATAAGTTATTATAAGTTGCAGAATTAAATATCAGAGCAGTTATTATTGAAAAAAAATTGAGCTAATATTTAAGGGAGATAAAGGAGTGAACCATGTAAGTTTTGGGGCAAGGACATTCCAAACTGAGGAAATAGCAAGTGTAAAGGTCCTAGGGTAAGAGCTGCCAAACATGTTCTGCAGGTCAAGCAGGCATAAAGAGGGATGTAAGTTAATGTAATCATTTTATCCTTTCTAATCTTCAATTGATGTTAGAGTCTTTTTAGTGTTCCTAAATGTCTGTACACTAGATCCTGGTTGGCTGAATTGCCATCTGCAGTGGTCCTGCTACTGGATTCCTCTGACCTTTGGTCATTCTTCCCTTTAAACCTTTTACATTTTGACACTTCATTATTTTATGCTGCTTATTCAAAATGTATACTTTCTTTTAACGTTATTCTTTCTTTAGTCTCTTTACTTCACTTGGAGTCAGATTCTACTAGAATCTTTTTTGACCCCAAAAGCATTTGGAAACACATGAAGATATTTGGGGGAAGGGGAGTTGTCATGGTAACTAGGGAACTCCCGTTTCCTAGACTGCAGTACAGTGTCATGATCTCGGCTCATTGCAATCTCTGCCTCCCGGGTTTGAGCAATTCTCATGTCTCAGTCTCTTGAGTAGCTAGGATTACAAATGTATGCCACCATGCCTGGTTATTTTATTATTATTATTATTATTATTTTTGTATTTTTAGTAGAGATGGGGTTTTGCCATGTTGGCCAGGCTGGTCTGAAACTCCTGGCCTCATGTGATCTGCCCGCCTTAGCCTCCTTACATGCGTGAGCCACTGAGCCTGGCCAAAATATTGTCTAATTATTCATCATTCTGTAGTGTTGAGTAAATGTAACTTTTTTGTGTCTATATTATGTAGTTTTGAGTAAATGTAACTTTTTTTGTCTGTGTCTTTGGACACTTGTAGCCAAAAAGAGGAAGAAGAACAGGAGGCATACAGGGTATTTTAAGGTCTAGATTGAACCTGGACCTTGGAACTGCTTCCTAGGTGTTGCAAATGGGTAAGAAACATATGTAACAAACCTGCACGTTGTGCACATGTACCCTAAAACTTAAAGTATAATAGTAAAAATAATAAAAAAAAGATCAAAAAAAAAAAAAAAAAAGAAGGTCTGGCAGAAGCTGGGCCCTAATTAGGTGGACTTAATAGTTAGCATTCTGCTTGATAAAATCAGAAAGGCACTGAAAAATGGGATGAAGGATCAGACCTAGAATGGTAGCAACAGAACATGTTTAGTGTACATTTTATCTATAGTAAAACAAAACATTTATAATTATGAAAAATATTGGGGAGGAGAACTCTTGACGGGTTTCTGAAAAAATAAGAGTAGACGTAGAAATCAGTTGTCATACCCACTATTAATAATTAAAGGTGAATACTTTGTATGTTTTCATTTTTAGTATTATTCCTTTATTTTAGAAAATACTAAATATTTATTGGGGCTTTCAAATTTCACTTCCCAAATTATTTTCATCCTGTTTTTATTATAAACTTTTAAATTTAATTGTGATAAAGTTTCCAATCCTGATTTTTTTAGTAACTTAATATTCCTGTTGAAGATGGACTACTTGAGTCACGTTTGATAAAAATAAAACAATCTAAAGACATAATTACTAAAAAAAAAAGTAATTTTGCATATAAGGTGTTAAGCCAGTAAAATCAAGGACTCTTTATATTTATAGGAATGTCTTGTCTAGTGGTCTAACTTGACATGAAGAGAAAAAAAAAGAATCCTTAAAGGAAATTACAGCCAGCCTATCTATTGGATAAGTATCTCCCAACCCAAATTATACTGGGAACTAATATATTGCCTAAAGTCCATCAGTTTCATGGAGTGAGGGAAAAGAGGAAATAAGTAAGTAGAAAAGAGAAATAGACATGAAATAATTGTAAGTGTGCCTAAACATTGCTTTAGATGTGTCTTCTTACACATTGGCTGTCTTAACTGCCTGAGACAAGCTATACAGCTCTCAGTTGAGGAACTTGTTGTATAGATACCCTTTATGTTACTCATCTATTTTCCTATCTAAATATTTTTTTCTTTGAAAGCAGAGGCTGTGCATTTCATCTAGGCACATAGCAGAAGCTCACTAAATTTTTACTAATAGAGCTGATTCATATTTTAGCTAGTAAAACGGTTATGTCAAGGCAGTAGCATTTCATCATGACATACCAAAATACTGACTTATATTCTTACTGGGATGTGTTCTTCCATGGGTGTGACTATAGCGGTATCTCTAGGCAGAGGCAAAATATTTTTCAAGAAACAGTCTACGTTCCTGAGTAAGTACTCTGTTGATACCCTAGAATTTCATGCCACGCAAGATGGCAGGGATCCCTGTAACAGGAAAATGTGGAAAGTGCCACCAGTTGTCCATATCAATTCTAAGGTGACTGAATTCTTCACAATAGTTGAGTTGAAATAATATCATGTCCTATTGGGCCTAGCAGAAGGAATTGGGTAAAAATATGTTCCTCCAGGAATTGCCCTGCTGAACTGACTTTGTTTGGTATTTACCTTGTGTAAACTAGAAAATAGCTGCCAAAAAATTTTGAATTTGGATATATTTGATGATGAGCTTTTCCTTCTCTTACTAGTTAGACAACAGGATCCATTGCTTCTTGAAATATTTCTCAGGTTGTGATAATAAAACCATTTGAACTATTTGGAGAACAGCACATATACCCTGTTTGCAACAGCAGGAAGTATCACTTTATTCACATTTATAAAGTGTATAAATAAGTTGAAAAGAAGTGTGTATGTGTTTGTGGAAGTTGAAGGAGTCAGTTTTCTTTCTGAGGATGAGGTGTGATTTCTTATTTTTTTATGTTTATTTTTGGTGATTTTATAACTTTATTTGATGTATTTGATGATCAGCAGTTAGTTCTCATCCACAATGACTGTCTGTAGATTTTTGAAAGTGGTAACAGGTGCATAGGTAACCAAAGTGTAGAACTCATTTGGTAGATCTTCATCCTTATTATGTTTTCTCGACAGCCACACATGGATATGGTATGGCACATTCCTTATTCCTTTGGCCCAGACAGCTTTGTTGAGCCTGCTATCAGTGCACAGTTCTGGAGTTCCCCTCTCCCTCATGACAGATTTCCAGATCTCTTTGAGTGCCTGATGGGCATGCTTCTTGAAGCCCACTCCATGGATGCACTTGTGAATGTTGATTGTATGCTCAGGTCACCACCTCATTGATGGGAGAATGACCCTTCTTCTTTGTGGGAGCCATTCTAGTGGGCCCACGTTGGGGGTGTGATTTTTAAAAGTGAACAATCAGGTTTTATTTCTCAGCTGGTTTTTTTCTGTCAACTGGTAGAATAATTTTTTTCACGCCTTTTCTCTGCAGAGCAAGCTACCTGTTGGACAGTAGAGAAGAAGTGGTCATTGCTGTGGCCACCAGAGGCTTTTCTTTATCTAGTGCGGCAACATCACCTTCTGCTGGTGAACTTTATGATCACTCAAATATGAATTTTATATAATTTTCATGTGTCACAGAATACTGTTTTTTTTTATCTTGAAAAAAACTTTTTGAAATATAGAAACTATTCTTAGCTCATGGGCCACACAAAAATAGTTGTAGTTTTCAGATACTTCACCAGGACTTCTTCAGAAAGAATCACATAATATTGCTAATGGAAGAAGGATATAGATGAAAAAAAGAGATGATTCATGTATGGTTTTAATCACATGGTAGGGGTGAAAACCGTAAGTGTCAAATGAGAAAATGGAAACAATGTTCAGTATATCATGGTGGTAGCAGTAGTAAAGTAAGTTAAATAAGGTTAGAGACTGCTCTAGTTTTAGGAAGAATTTCTAGGGCTCTATGACCCAGTTTCTGTTGAAACACGAAGGAATCAATGAGGAAAGATTTGAAGGAAACCGGGAAAGATTTGAAGTTTACATGAAAGAAATAGTTATAGTATTTCTCCCAATAAAGGAGAAAGGAGAGAATAAAATAGGAAATCAGATCTCTCTTCCTTTGAGATAGTAGAAAAACACAATAAAATGGATGCATATTTAGAGAAATTTTGAGCTTTAAGCGTGTGGTGGCATCTTGGTTTGAGGTGGAGTAATTAGTTGTGAAAACCAGCAACTCTTATCTGATTAAGAATAAGGAATGGACAGGCGCAGTGGCTCATGCCTGTAATCCCAGCACTTTGGGAGGCCGAGACGGGAAGATCACCTGAGATCTTCCTGACCTGGAGTTCGAGACCAGCCTGACCAATATGGAGAAACCCCGTCTCTACTAAAACTACAAAATTAACGGGGTGTGTTGGCGCATGCCTGTAATCCCAGCTACTTGGAAGGCTGAGGCAGGAGAATCACTTGAACCTGGGAGGTGGAGGTTGTGTAGAGCCAAGATCGCGCCGTGGCACTCCAGCCTGGGCAAGAAGAGCAAAACACCGTCTCAAAAAAAAAAAAAAAAAAAAAAAAAGGAATAAGGAATGCTAGTATTGATTGGGAACGTGAGAAATATTATGTGAATAAAATTAATACTCAAATCAACAGCTGTGAGAAGAGATACGATTGCATGAAATTAGCAGGCCACATTCTGCTTTCTGCAATGAAGAGGGCAGAGATCAGTGGCTGGGAAGTACAGTTGTTTATATATTTGTTTCAGGGCCGAAACTGGGATGAGGCAAATGACAGGATCATTATTACTGACTTTTCTTTAGCCTTGGGCTCCAATGTGGCCTGATATGGCAATATTAAATTTTGTCTTCATTTAAAATTTTGATATTTTGTTAATCATGAATCTTTTGGAATCATTCAGTTTTTTAAAATATTATATTTAAGTATTTTTATGTTAATTACTTAGTTTTGAGCACCCCCTTAAATGGTATGCCCAAGGTTAAGCACCAGATTTTCTTAACTCACTTCACCCTAATCTAGTCCTAATTTGTTGAATGAACAGTGAGTTCTCCCCAGGTTGACTACTGACTTGCAAACTGTAACTAATGACCAGAGAAGCCAGAAACATAGGGTCTTAGATAATTGGAGCTTGAGATGATCGACTGTAGTATCCAATCCAATGGAACCCAGAAGTAGGCAAATAAATATCAGCAAGTTAAAGAGTGAGCTGGCTTTTGACACCTAGTCCATGCTTTCCTATCCTACTGTCAGAATGCTTGTAGAAACAGAGATGTGATATTAAGAAGTGATATAACCCAGAATATTTATCAGTAATATGCCAGACACCAGGAAGAATCTCTACAAACTAAAATGCAAATGGAACTTAGAAGCAGAATAGTAGTACAGCAGGATATAATGATGGAAGGAGGTTTTTTAACATTATTTTTTGTTTTTGCTTTTAATTCCAGTGCATGTCTGTACCTTTGAAATTCCAAACCTTTCAGGAAAGAAAGCTGTTTTCTGCTCTGAGGGAGTTGCTTTCTGACATAGTGGACTATTTCATGACCACACAGACCCCTTACCCCAACTATTCACCCATTAGTGCTTTGCTTTATTTAGAAGTAAGGTTCCTGATAATGTAATATGACCAAGGTAAAAGAAGATAGGTCATGGCACATTTCATTCAGAAATAAGAAACAATGCCAGGAAGATCCATAGGATGGATCTATGCTGTCTGGCATTGCATTTTTATTGATACAGTTTAAAAGAGAAGATCTGCTTCAGTTCATACAGTCTTTATTATTATTCTGTATAGATAGGCAAGCAGTAGAAGGAACCCAGGTGAACTTTCCTTTTACCTTTAGAGCCATAGTAAGTAAATTACAACTAATATTAGAAATTTGAGGGCTGGGCCCAGTGGCTCATGCCTGTAATCCCAGCATTTTGGGAGGCTGAGGCGGGAGGATTGTTTGAGCCCAGGAGTTCAAGACCAGCCTGGGCAACATAGTGAGACCTCCATCTCTACAAAAAAATAAAAATTAGCTGAGTGTGGTGACCTGCACCTGTCCTAGCTATTCAGGAGGCTGAGATAGGAGAGGATCTCTTGAGCCTGGGAGTTTGAGGCTGCGGTGAGCTATGATCACACCATTGCACTCCAGCCTTGGTGACAGTGAGACCCTGGCTCAAAAAAAAAAAAAAAAAAATTAAGGTCCGAAACATTTAAATATAGCACGTGGGTAATGAAGGAAACCAGGAAATTAATGTGGCACTACGTCCTCTTCTCCACTGATTTATTAGGAAAGAACAGAGCAGACCTTAACAATGAATAAACAGTCAAACAAAAACCAAAAGACTCAGAGTATAAAATAAGTGTAACATTTTTCTGAGGGGAAAGAAGAAAGACATATTTTTTGAAAAGATTTAAATCTAGGAAAAATAAGTAAATTTTTTAAAATATAATTTTTATTTTCCATAAGAAAACATATTTTTTTTGAAACAAAGTAGGAATGATGTTAAAAAGACTGGGTTGAAATTTGCCTGAGATATTGGAAAAGATTCAGAGGGAATTGGAGAGAGAAAATGATAAGACATTAAAATGTGATAGCAGAAATGAAATGTCTCTTAGAAGCAGTAAAAGACAGAATCAATAAAGCAGAAATTTAAAGCATAGATAGGGAGGAGAAATTAAAGGGATGATATAAAATAAGGTGGTGGGTGCAGTGAGAGCCAACATCCCTTCTAGAATATTGAGCTTATAGGAAGTGGGTTAGAGAAGATGGGAGACCAGTTCACAAGGACATTTGATTCTTTGGTAGGGAGTTTAGATTTGAATTAGTAATCAGGTAAAACAACACACATACACACTCACACATGCACACACACATACACACACAGAAAAAGAGACAGATTTATACACAGTACTCCAAGCCCTTGATCTCTGCCTCCTTGGCAAACAGGATTATTTATATGAAGATTATTCTGATGGTTATTTTTTAAATTCTAAGAAGTAAAAGTCTGTAGGTTAGGTTATGAAGCCAGTGAATGGAGTGATGGCTTTGCAAATGAAAAGTAATATAAGTAGCTTAAAGCATTGCAGAACATTCAGTAACTATCAGATACTGAAGTTAGTGAATGATGGAAATCTTCTCAGTCTTGGATTTGAGAGAAGCCCACAGTATGTACATAAGAACACATTAACAAAACTTGTTGGAAGTGTACAGA
Source organism: Homo sapiens (assembly GCF_000001405.40). Classification (NCBI taxonomy): domain Eukaryota; kingdom Metazoa; phylum Chordata; class Mammalia; order Primates; family Hominidae; genus Homo; species Homo sapiens. The sequence continues at coordinate 17,461,304 of NC_000003.12, read as the reverse complement.
AAGGAGACTTCCAACCAGAGGTGTGTTTGCACGTTCATATATGTGTGTGTAAAGAAAACATGAACAATTAACTGAAAATGTTAAACTGTGCTTGCATTATTGCATTCATATTAACATACCTGAGAGTAATACGTACCATAAACTACCTAATTATACTGACTTGTCATATACTGTGCTGGAATCAACTTACAGTAGGATGTTATTTTCTGTGCTTTATTTGCAAGTTAACATTTTAATAATTATCATAAATAGTTACCTGATTTGCATATTGTGGTGCATAATCCAACTGTTCTGTGGATCAACCACAGTTATCTTATTATTCGTGCCAAGACTTCTATATTAGTCTGAATAATCTATCGTAGACTGCATTTCTGTTTCCAGTTCTCTGAGCTTTTTATAACTCCAAATATAGTACTTTTTTAATCAAAAGATTGAATCTTACATGTGTTAGTATAATAATCTTTCTGACCCACTAGTATATTGAAGTTAATTTTTTTTATTGTATAATTTCCAACATTTCTATGTAGTATCTTTTTTTTTTTAACCGTCATAACCCTGTGAGCTTGGCATTGAAGTGTTGCATCCTTTTTTGGCATATATGTATATATGCAAGAGTGGGCCTATGCGCTAAGAGCTGAAAAATTTGAAAAATATATTTGAAAATAGTCAAATTTGACTCTCAAGAGTCAAATTATAAAATGTGTGTAAAATAGATAACATAATAGAAATGATCATGTTAAAGGGGAAAAATGGCTGAGAGGCCAGATTAAGAACTTCACTATAGTGTAATCAATTGTACTAACATACTTAGAGGAAAACTGAACCTGTGTGAAGGAGGAGTGTCTAGAATTGGGAAAGAGTAAATATTCGTAATAACCATTTGAGCATTAGCTACAGAAATAGGAATTGTTTTAGAAAGCCATAACGTTCTCATCATTCATCCCCAAAGATGTGGAAGGATGAATGCATCAAGCTAGAGGAATTTGAAGCCATTAAAGTGAGATTTTTCTGACCCTCTCTAATTTGGCATTTTCCTTATCAATTTCTCTTCTGAAGCTGTGAATTCCCAGGTAGTTTTTGTTACATGTAAAGATCATATCGGTTAGGTTCTTATGAATATCTAATTCTCCACATTTTCTGGCTTCCCATAACATGTCATTAATTGGCATATATACTTTAATTTTTATATGAACAGAATTGGCTTGAAGTACCTGACTCCAGTGAAACAGTGCGTACTGAAAAGTTTACCTTTTAGAATACAAAGACTAACTACTTAACATCAGAGTGCTAGAGGTATAAATATTAGATAGACCATGTTCCATGAAGGCTATTTTTGTGTAAGTATACTCCTGTCATTAAATGTAACCAGATATATCCTGCTGAATTTTTATTTTCATCCTGTCCTTATCTGCTATTTGCTGTAAAGCATAGGATCAAATTTGCAAGGAAAACCCTATGTTTTTCTAAGACATGTGCCTTCAATTCATCTATGTGTTACGAGCAATTCAGTTATCTGTTAACAGTGAATAATCATTAACTCAGGCTGTAAATCTTTTTTTTTTTTTTCCTTTAAGAGATCGGTTACACTAATGTTGCCCAGGCTGGCCCTGAACTCCTGGGCTCAGGCAGTCCTCCCATTTCAGCCTCCTGAGTAGCTGGGACTGGAAGTGAGCGCTGCTGCATCCAGCCCCTCACCCAGCCATTAACCTATGCCTTAAAACTCTCCATAAAAATATGTAATGGTGCAATATTTATTAAGTATGCTCTACAGTATCATTTTTGAATGTTTGAAGTATTCTCTATAACAGAGGTCCTCAACCCCCAGGCTGTGGCCTGTTAGGAACCGGTCACAGCCAGAGGTGAGCGACAGACAAGTGAGCATCACTACCAGAGCTCTGCCTCCTGTCAGATCAGTAGCGACTTTAGATTGTCATAGGACCATGAACCCTGTGCATGCGAGGGATGTGGGTTGCACACTCCTTATGAGAATCTAATGCCTGATGATCTGAGGTGGAACAGTTTCATCCTGAAGCCATCCCTGTGCCCCTACCTGTGGAAAAATTGTATTCCATGAAACCAGTTTTTGGGGCCAAAAAGATTGAGGACCGCTGCTCTATAAGAAACTATTACTGAAATAAGGTATAAAGTCTTTATCTTACTTATATTTATATCCTCTATGGTGTCCACACACAAGGTGCTTTTTACACTTAAGTTGTTAAACTAAAATATTTCTTTAAACTTAATGGAAAATAAATGTAATCATGAAATATTTTTCTCTGATCCACATGTACTCATTCTTATGGTTAGAAATTTGGTCAGCTTGTCTTTGTCGGGGGTTTTGTATGGCTACGCGTTAGTTAACTGCTTAACTTTGGCAGAATGAAGGTACCAATGCATGCAAAGTGGTAACTTTAGCTGTACAATTGTTGAATGAGTGAGCCTAAGTGGAAAGTTAGTAAGCTTTGAAAACCACAATACATAGAGTTAAATATAAGTAGTTGGGATGACTTACGGTTTCTGATCAGAGATGTAGTGAGCTGGAAAGACATCACTCCCAAATGTAAAACAATGAAAAGCTGAAAATCAAGTTCACAGCTTGCCTTGACCACTTCTCTGAGTGCTGAAATTTCAGACCCATGGACAGACCCAGAATCTAGAGACAAATACCTGCAGGGAGAGGCATCCTACAAGTACTGACTTACCTGGATAAGACACAGCTGTACACCTCTAGAAAGAGATCAACTAAGATGATCGTTACATTGATAGAAGCCAAGTGTATACTGATGAGAAAGGATGAATATCCTGGGAGCCACAAATACAGAGGGAACCCACACCCTCTTGCAGGCTTGTTTATGAACCCATCAGTAAAAGAAAATGCCCTCCGTGGTGAGGAACAGGGGGAATATTACAGCAGCCATAGCCTGAGGGGGAATAATCTCCACGTGGACTCTGGAACAAAGCTATATTTTGTCAGAAGCGCTGCAACAATTACCATTCCCCTTAAGTACTGATGAAATCTTTTTGCAGTTGGGGTATGGAAACAGGGAAAAAACCCTCAGCCCCTGAGGAAGGGGTAGGAATATCTACAGTGATAAAAACTATACTAGGGGAGGAGAAGGATCATGGAGAAGGCTGTACACCTCAGACTTAGGGTCACAGTGTTCACCTAAGACTGAGGCTGAGTCAGAAGACCAAAGAAGACCTTCCTCCGTTTCTTACTCTGCTGTTAGGATCATAAGTACCTTGGTAAATAACTTTTTTGAGTACAAAGGAAAGACGTGACTTAGTATGTAGGTAGTGGTTCTGAAAATGAAGAAAGAAATATTTTTACAAACTAAATCCCACACCCCAATATAAGGTATCATTTAGGAATGGTAGCCTGTAGAGCACTGAGTGTAGCGTAGAAGTAACAAACTTCAAACCTAGCTCACTTTCTAATTATGTTGATGCAAACCCCTGTGCTAAAGTTTTAGCAGAAGGAAACATGTGGCCATATCCAAGCAATGAAAACTGTTTTAGTCTTTACTGTCATACATCTGATGACAATAATACATGAGAATTTAAACAAAAAGTTAAAAGCATATGAACGCGCAAGAAAAAAAAAACACTCAAAATAGATAAAGCAATTAGAACCAAAACACAAATGCAGATATGACATATATGGTGGAACTGTCCCATAAGTATTCTTAAATAACTATGATGAATATGTTGAAGGCTTTAGTGGAAAAGCTGGGCAACATTCAACATCAGATGGTTAATTTCAGCAGAGATACAAAAATTTTATTTGAATTAAAAGGAAGTCCTAGAAATGTAAAACATAGTAACAGAAATGGAGAATGGCTATGTCAGGGTCATCAGTAGAACTGGCAGGCAGTGAGCTGAAAGATAGGTCAATAGAAATCACCCAGACTGAAACACAAAGAGAAATAATAATGAACCATTCAGAACAGAACACCCAAGAACCATGAGAAATATCAAATGGTACATGTAATTGGAGTCTTGGAAAAAAAGAGAAAAGAGTAGAAGAATTATTTGAAGAAATAATGGCTAATAATTTTTCAAAATTAATGACAGACATCAAACTAGAGATTCAAGAAATTCAGAGAACTTAAAGCAGAATATAGAAAATAAAAATTTAAAAACCAACAACATTGTATATCATTCACACTAATAAAAACAAAAGACAAAGAATGTCTTAAAGACAATTAGAAAAAAATACTATATATTGTTCTAGCAAAAAATAGAAAACAAATGCAAAAGATTCTACCCCCCAAAATATTTTTTTTTGCTATTGAAAGTCACTCTACATTCTCACTGTTAGTCCCATAAAACCACTATTCAACTTTTTGTCTTATAACTGTAAATTTGCTTTTTCAGACATATCATATAAATGTAACTACATGGCATTTATGACTGTGCCTGTCTTTTGTTTAACAAAATGTTTTTGTGGTTCAACCATTTTATAGCATGTATCCGTACTTTGTTCCTTTTTATTGCTGAATAGCATTCCATTTTATTGTTATACCACATTTTTTTACTCACTCATTTTGTATTTTAGATTTTTGAGGAACCTCCAAACTGTTCTTTGTAGTGGTTGTACTAACTTACATTGCCACCAGCAGTGTATAAGAGTTCTACATCCTCACCAGCATTTGTTATTGGCTGTCTTTTGGATAAAAGCCATTTTAACTGGAGTGAGATGCTATCTCATTGTAGTTTTGATTTGCATTTCTCTGATGATCGGTATGTTGAACACCTTTTCATATGCCTGTTTGCCATTTCTGTGTCTTCTTTTGAGAAATGTCTATTCAAATCTTTCACCCATATTGTAATCAGATTGTTAAATTTTTTCTTATAGAGTTTTGTGAGCTCCTTATATAGTCTTGTGATTAATCCCTTGTTACATGGGTAGTTTGCAGATATTTTCTCCTATTATGTGGCTTATGTCTTCACTTTGTTCATTTTTTCTATTACTACACAGAATATTTTTAACTTGATGTGATCCCATTTGTCAATTTTTGGTTTGATTGCCTGTGCTTGTGGGGTATTACTCAAGAAATCTTTGCCCAGACCAATGTCCTGGAGAGTTTCCCAGATTTTTTTTTGTGGTAGTTTAATAGTTTGAGGTCTTAGATTTAAGTCTTTAATCATGTTTTTATTTGATTTTTCCATATGTCAGGAGATAGGGCTCTAGTTTCATTCTTCTGCATATAGATATTCAGTTTTCACACTACCATTTATTGAAGAGACTGTCTTTTCCCTGATGTATGTTAGTGGCACCTTTGTCAAAAATGAGTTCCATGTAGGAGGGTGGGTTTGTTTCTGGGTTCTCTATTCTGTTCTATTTGTCTGTGTTTGTTTCTGTGCTAGTGCCATCCTGTTTTGGTTACTATAGATCTGCAGTATAATTTGAAATCAGATAATATGATTCCTCCTATTGTGTTCTTTTTTGTTTTATTTTGTTTTTGAGACAGGGTCTCATTCTTTCACCCAGGCTGGAATGCAGTAGTGCAGTCTCAGCTGCCTGCAACTCTGCCTCCCAGCCTCAAGGAATTCTCCCACCTCAGCCTCCCAAGTAACTGGACTACAAGTGTGCACCATGACACCTGGTTAATTTTTTTGTAATTTTTATAGACATGGGGTTTCTTCATGTTGCCCAGGTTGGTTTCGAACTCCTGAGCTCAAGCAATCCACTGCATTGGCCTCCCAAAGTGTTGGGATTACAGGCATGAGCCACTGCACCAGACCTATATATATATACACACACACACACATATATATATATATATATACACACACACATATATATATACACATATATATACATATATATACACATATATATACACACACATATATATATACACACACATACACACATATATACATATATACACACACGTGTGTGTATATACTTTTTTTGGCTTATACATATATATACACACATATACATATACATATATACATATACATATATACACATATACACATATTTACATATATACATACATATATACATATATACACACATATATGTATATATGTATACATATATACAATAATATATGTATACAATATATAATATATATGTATACATATATACATATATATACACACACACGTGTGTGTGTGTGTGTGTATACTTTTTTTTTTTTGGCTTAGGATAGCTTTGGTTATTTTGAGTCTTCTGTGGTTCCATATACATTTTAGGACAGTTTTTTCTACTTGTGTGAGGAATGTCATTTGGTATTTTGATAGCGAATGCATTGAATCTGCAGACTGCTTTGGGTAGTATGGACATTTTAGCAATGTTGAGGTTTCCAATCCATGAACATGGAATATCTTTCCTTTTTTTGTTGTTGTTGTTGTTGTCCTCTTCAGTTTGTTTCATCAATCTTTGATAGTTTTAATTGTAGACATCTTTTACTTCTTTAAGTTAATTCATAAGTATTTAATTTTATTTGTGGCTATTGTAAATGGGATTACTTTTTTTATTCTATTTGAGATTCCTCACTGTTGGCATATAGAAATGCTACTGATTTTTGACTGGGCCACGGTGGCTCATGCCTGTAATCCCAATACTTTGGGATGCCGAGGCAGGCGGATCACGAGGTCAGGAGATCAAGACCATCCTGGCTAACATGGTGAAACCCCATCTCTACTAAAAATACAAAAAAATTAACCAGGCATGGTGGCGGGCACCTGTAGTCCCAGCTACTCAGGAGGCTGAGGCAGGAGAATGGCGTGAACCCGGGAGGCGGAGCTTGCAGTGAGCCGAGATCGTACCACTGCACTCTAGCCTGGGTGACAGAGCGAGACTCCATCTCAGAAAAAAAAGAAAAAAGATGCTATTGATTTTTATATGTTGATTTTGTATCCTGCAACTTAAATGAATTTATCAGTTCTACTAGTTTTTTTTTGTAGAGTCTTTACGTTTTTCCAAATATAAGATCATATCATTTGCAAACAAGGATAATTTGCTGTTTTATTTTCCAATTCGGATACCATTTATACCGTTATCTCATCTGATTGTCCAAGCTTGGACATCCAGTACTCTGTTGAATATCAGTTGTGAAAGCAGGCATTCTTGTTGTCTTCTAGATCTTAAAGAAAAGGCTTTCAATTTTTCTTCATTCAGTATGATACTGGCTGTGGGTCTGTCATATATGGCTTTTATTATGTTGAGATATGTTCTTCTGTCTCCAGTTTTTTAAAGGCGTTTATCCTGGAGGATAAAAGGAATGCTGAACTTTATCAGATGCTTTTTCAGCATGAATTTAAATGATCATGTGGTTTTTATCCTTCATTCCATTGGTAGGATGTATCACATTGATTGATTCGCATATGTTGATTTATACTTGCATCTCTGAGATAAATCCCACTTGGTCATGATGAATGACCTTTTTAATGTATTGTTTATTTTGATTTGCTAGTATTTTGTTGAGGACTTTTTGCATCATTATTCATCAGAAATATTGACCTGTAGTTTTCTTGTTTGATGTGTCTTTGTCTAGGTTTTGGTATATTGGCATTGTAGAATTAGTTTGGAAGTATCCCCTTGGCCTCTAGTTTTTGGAACAGTTTGAGTTTAGTAGGATTGGTGTTAGTTCTTCTTTAAATGTTTGGTAGAATTCAGCAGTAAAGCCATTATGGCTTTGATCTTGTTACTCATTATTGGTCTGTTCAGGTTTTGGATTTCTTCATGGTTTGATCTTGGTAGATTGTATGTGTCTAGGAATTTAAACATTTCCTCTAGATTGTCCAATTTATTGTCTTATAGTTGTTCATAGTAGCCACTAATGATTCTTTCAATTTCTGAGGTATCTGTTATAGTGTTTTCTTTTTCATCCATGATTTATTTGAGTCTTCTCCATTATTTTTCTTTGTTAGTATGGCTAAAGGTTTGTCAATTTTATCGTTTCAAAAAACCAACTTTTTATTTCTTTTTTTTTATTGTTTTGTTTATTTCAAATTCATCTATTTCTGATCTGATCTTCATTATTTCTTTTCTTCTCCTAATTTTGGGTTTGGTTTGCTTTTGCTTTTCTAGTTCTGTAAAATGCATCATTAGTTAACTATTTGGAATTTTTCTTCTTTTTTGATGTAGGCACTTACAGCTATAAATTTCCCTCTTACTACTGCTTTTGCTGTATCCCATAGGTTTTGGTGTGTTGTGTTTCCATTATCATTTGTTTCAAGACACTTTTCTTTTTTTTTTTTTTTTTATTTCTTCATTGACCTGCTGGTCTTTCTGGAGCATATTGTTTAATTTCCATGTGTTTGCATAGTTTTGAAAATTCCTCTTGTTATTGATTTGTAGTTTTATTCCATTGTGGTTAGAGAAGATGCTTGATAGTATTTTTTTTTAATGTTTTAAGACTTGTTTTGTAAACTAACATATGGTCTATCCTGGAGAATGATCCATTTGCTGAGGCAAAGAATGTGTATTCTGAACCTGTTGGATGAAATGTTCTGTAAATATCTGTTGAGTCCATTTGTTCTATTTTGCTGATTAAATCTGATGTTTCTTTTTTGATTTCTTTGTCTGGGAGATATTTCCATTGCTGAAAGTGGGGTGCTGAATTCTCTAGCTATTATTGTGTTAGTGTCTATGTGTCTCTTTAGCTTTAATAATATTTGCTTTATATGTTGGATGCTCAGTACTGGATGCATATATATTTATAATTGTTTTATCCTCTTCCTGTGAATTGACCCTTTTTTCATTATATAATGACATTCTTTGTCTGGATATCTATTTTGTCTGATGTAAGTATAACTACTTTTCTTCTTTTTTGGTATCCACTGGCATGGAATATCTTTTTCCATCCATTTATTTTCAGTCTCTATGTATCCTTATAGGTAAAGTGTGTTTCTTGTAGGCAATAGATCACTGTGTCTTGGGTTTTCATCATGTCTTGGTTTTTCATCCATTCAGACCTTCTGTCTTTATGCCCTTTAATTTGACAGTTTAGTCTATGTACATTTAATGTTATTATTGATAAGTAGGGACTTACCCCTGCCATTTTGTTGTTTTCTGGTTGTTTTGTAATCTTCCCTTCCTTCCTTCCTGTCTTCCTTCTAGCGAAGTTGATTTTCTCTGGTGGTATGATTTCAGTTCTTGCTTTTTATTTTTTTGTGTATCCATTGTATGTTTTTCAATTTGAGCTTACCATGGGGCTTATAAATACTATCTTATAACTCATTACTTTAAACTGATAGCAACTTAACACTGATTGTGTAAACAAACACGCAATTAAAAAAAAGCAATAAAAACTCTTTATTTCTGACCCTTTGGAGTTTGATTGTTAAATGCCTTGAGGTAATCACCTTTGGGTTAAATCTGCTTGGTGTTCTATAACCTTCTTGTAATTTTTTTTCTTTTTTGACGGAGTCTCGCTTTGTTGCCCAGGCTGGAGTGCGATGGTGGTCCTCTCTGAGCTCACTGCAACCTCCACCTCCCAGATTCCAGCGATTCTCCTGCCTCAGCCCTCCGAGCAGGGATTACAGGCGCCCACCACCACGCCCGGCTAATATTTTACTTTAAGTTCTGGTATACATGTGCAGAATATGCAGGTTTGTTACATAGGTATACACGTGCCATGGTGGTTTGCTGCACCCATTAACCCGTCATCCACATTAGGTATTTCTCCTAATGCTATCCCTCCCCTTCCCCTCCAGTGTTATTTCTAGTTCTAGATCCTTGAGGAATTGCCACACTGTCTTCCACAATAGTTGAACTAATTTATACTCCCACCAGCAGTGTAAAAATGTTCCTATTTCTCCACATCCTCTCCAGCATCTGTTGTTTCCTGACTTTTTTTTGATGATCACCATTCTAACTGACATGAGATGGTATCTCGTTGTGGTTTTGATTTGCATTTTTCTAATGACCAGTGATGATGAGCTTTTCTTCATGTTTGTTGGCCACATAAATGTTTTCTTTTGTGAAGTGTCTGTTCATATCCTGGTTATTTTGCCCATTAGTTGATGCAGTTTCTTCATAGTGTTGATGGTCTTTACATTTTGGTATGTTTTTGCAGTGGGTGGTACTGCTTTTTCCTTTCCATATTTAGTTCTTCCTTCAGAACTCTTGTAAGGCAGGCCTGGTGGTGACAAAATCTCTCAGCATTTGCTTGTTTGTAAGGGATTTTATTTCTCCTCCACTTACAAAGCTTAGTTTGGCTTGAGATGAAATTTTGGGTTGAAAATTCTTTTCTTTAAGGATGTTGAATATTGGACCCCACTCTATTCTGGCTTGTAGGGCTTCTGCTGAGAGATCCGCTGTTAGTCTGATGGGCTTTGTGAGCAATCTGACCTTTCTCTCTGGCTGGCCTTAACATTTTTTCCTTCATTTCAACCTTGGTGAATCTGACGATTATGTGTCTTGGGGTTGTTCTTCTGGTAGAGTATCTTAGTGGTATATTCTGTATTTCCTGAATTTGAATGTTGGCCTGTCTTGCTAGGTTGGGGAAGTTCTTTTGGATAATATCCTGAAGTGTATTTTCCAACTTGGTTCCATTCTCTCCATCACTTTCAGGTATACCAATCAAACGTAGGTTTGGTCTTTTCACATAGGCGCATATTTCTTGGAGGCTTTGTTCATTCCTTTTCATTCTTTTTTCTCTAATCTTGTCTTCATGCTTTATTTCATTAAGTTGATCTTCAATCTCTGATATCCTTTCTTCCACTTGATCGATTCTGCTGTTGATACTTGTGTATGCTTCACGAAGTTCTTGTGCTGTGTTTTTTAGCTCTATCGGGTCATTTATGTTCTTCTCTACACTGGTTATTCTAGTTAGCAGTTCCTGTGACCTTTTATCAAGGTTCTTAGCTTCTTTGCATTGAGTTAGAACATGCTCCTTTAACTCGGAGGAGTTTGTTGTTACCCACCTTCTGAAGCCTACTTCTGTAATTCATCAAACTCATTCTCTGTCCAGTTTTGTTCCCTTGCTGGTAAGGAGTTGTGATCCTTTGGAGGAGAAGAGGTATTCTGGTCTTTGGAATTTTCAGCATTTTTGCGCTGTTTTTTCCTTATCTTCGTGGATTTATCTACCTTTTATCTTTGATGTTGATGACTTTTGGATGGGGTTTTTGCGTGGGTGTCCTTTTTGTTGATGTTGATGTTATAGCTTTCTGTTTGTTAGTTTACTTTCTAACAGTCAGGCCCCTCTTCTGCAATTCTGCTGGAGTTTGCTGGGGGTCCTCTCCAGACCCTGTTTGCCTTGGTATCACCAGCGGAGGCTCCAGAACAGCAAAGATTGCGGCCTGCCCCTTCCTCTGGAAACTTCATCCCAGAGGGGCATCTGCCAGATGCCAGCCGGAGCTCTCCTATATGAGGTGTCTGCCGATCCCTGCTGGGAGATGTCTCCCAGTCAGGAGGCACGGGGATCAGGGACCCACTTGAGGAGGCAGTCTGTCCCTTAGCAGAGCTTGAGCATTCGCTGGGAGATTTGCTGCTCTCTTCAGATTCTGCAGGCAGGAATGTTTAAGTCTGCTGAAGCTGCTCCCACAGCCGCCCCTTCCCCCAGGTGCTCCGTCCTGGGGAGATGGGAGTTTTATCTATAAGCCCCTAACTGGGGCTCCTGCCTTTCTTTCAGAGATGTCCTGCCCAGAGAGGAGGAATCTAGAGAAGCAGCCTGGCTACAGCAGCTTTGCTGCACTGCAGTGGGTTCCCAGTTCGAACTTACTGATGGCTTTCTTTATACTCTGAGGGGAAAACTGCCTACTCAAGCCTCAGTAATGGTGGACGCCCCTTCCCCTACCAAGCTTGAGTATCCCAGGTCGACTTCAGATTGCTGTGCTGGCAGCGAGAATTTCAAGCCAGTGGATCTTAGGTTGCTGGGCTTTGTGGGGGTGGGATCCACTGAGCAAAACCAGTTGGCTCCCTGGCTTCAGCACCCATTCCACGGGAGTGAACAATTCTCTCTCTCTGGCATTCCAGGTGCCACTAGGGTATGAAAAAAACTCCTACTAGCTTGGTGTCTGCCCCAAATGGCTGCCCAGTTTTGTGCTTGAAACCCGGGGCCCTGGTGGTGTAGACACCTGCAGGAATCTTCTGGTCTGCAGGTTGCAAAAACCGTGAGAAAAGCATAGTATCTGGGCTGGATAACACCGTCTCTCATGGCACAGTCCCTCATGGCTTCCCTTAGCTAGGGGAGGGAGTTCCCCAACTCCTTGGGCTTCCCAGGTGAGGTGGTGCCCCATGCTGCTTCTGCTCACCCTCGGTGGGCTGCACCCACTTTCTAACCAGTCCCAATGAGATGAGAAGGGTACCGCAGTTGAAAATGCAGAAATCACCTGCCTTCTGCATTGGTCTCTCTGGGAGCTGTTCCTTTTTGGCCATCTTGCCAGATCCCATGAATAAGGACTTTTATAGCTAAAGAGGAGAAGTCAGTACCTGGCTTGAGAGCTTCAAAGGACAGGCTGACTCTCTTGTTAGAGGCTAATGTAGTTGGTGATATTTAGTTAAAGCTGATGTTCATTAACAATTTTGAGGATCCTAGGGCCCTTAAGAGTTAATTAAATCTCCTCTCACTGTGCTCTGTAAATAGAACAGTAAAGGCTGGATGTTAGTACATTTGCTTATAGCATGGTTGACTGAATATTTTAAGCCTATTCTTGTGACCTACTGATCAGAAAAAGAAGATGCCTTTCAAAAATGACTTCTCTTTGATAAGGCACCTGGTCACACAAAAGCTCTGGTAGAGATGTACAAGATTAATGTTGTTTTCATGCCTGCCAACACGGCATCCATTCTGCAGCCCCTGGATCAAGTAGTCATTTCTACTTTCACATCTTATTATTTAAGAAATACATTTCATAATTCATAGCTGCCATAGATAGTGATTCCTCTGATGTGTCAGAGCAAAATACATTGGAACCTTCTGGAAAGGAGTCATCATAATAGATCTATTAAGAATATTCATGATTCATGGGAGGAGGTCAAAATATCAGCCTGAACAGGGGTTTTAAAGGAGTTGATTCCAGCCCTCATCGCTGACTTGGAGATGTTCAAGTTTTAAGTTCAAGACCTCCTCAGTGGAGGAAGTAACTGCCGATGGACAGGAAATAGCAAGAGAACTGGAATTAGAAGCGGGCACTGAAGATGTTAATATATTCCTGCAATCTCATGATAAAACTGTAATGAATGAGGAGTTGCTTCTTTTGGATAAGCAGAGAAAGTAGTTTCTTGAGATGGAATCAGCCTTGAACCCGAGGGCTCCGGTGATCTGCCTGTCTGAGCCTCCTAAGTGCTACTGAGACTACAGGTGCACACTAACACTCCTGGCTACAAAGTTAATTACCCTAAAAATTAAAGAGCTTTTACAAATCAATAAGAAAATGATAATTTAGCAGTGAAAACAAGTTTAACCAGCTATTTAAAAATGGCGAGATGCAAATTTCCAATAAACATATTTTAGAAGTTTAGTTTTCCTGATATTCCAAGAAATACAAATGTACACAAGATCCTGTTAGATGGGAAAAATAGTTTTGAAACGTTATTATCTACTTTGATGATTAATTGGTAAAAGCTTAATGCCAGCCAGTTTAGGATGTATATATCAATGACTGACATGTTTATTCTACTGTATGATTTATCTTTTCAGCCTAAGTTCATGATCACCATAAGAATTAAGTTGTACTTTCCCTCTCTTCTCAGGTATTTCAAAACCTTTGTAATTTAAACTTATGATTTCCTGAAGATTGACTCTGCTCATTCCATAAAGAAAATAGAAATTATTAGGTGGGAGCTTTAGCTTTCTGTAACAGAGTTACCTGCAACTACATCTGTATCTTTCTGTTTTTTTCCCTAGTGATGTCTCTTCCGTTTCAGATCAGTTCTTCTACCTGTGGCCTAGATCCCATCCTCTTGTATCTTCTCAGGAATCTTGTATTCTATCAGTTATCTCTCAACTCTTATATATTCAACCCCTGTGTTTCTACTGGATCTTTCTTGTTTTGTTGATAGTCCTTCTTATCTTAGTAACTTAAGCTAGGATGAAAAGTCCCGTGCTGATCCCACCACTTCTTTCAGCTACAGCAGTAGCTTTATTCTCGTTTTCTGAGCAATACTCCATAAATGGTTATCTTCATTTTTTATTATTTTACATTTTACTCTGGTGACTGTCACTCATTCTACTTGAATGAATATCTTTTGAGATCCTAATGGTCTTTCTGTAATTAAATCTATTTTAAGATTTTATCTGGCCTTGACAGTAACATCCTAAATTCTTGACTTCCTCCTTCTCAAAATCCTCTTTTAGCTTCAGTGATACAATTTTCTCTTGGTATTCCTTGTTTCTTATGCTTTTCAATGTGGTCTTTTTTTTTTTTGAGTTGGAGTCTTGCTCTGTCGCCCAGGCTGGAGTGCAGTGGTGTGATCTCGGCTCACTGCAAGCTCCGCCTCCCAGGTTCACGCCATTCTCCTGCCTCAACCTCCCAAGTAGGTGGGACTACAGGCGCCTGCCACCAACCTGGCTAATTTTTTTGTATTTTCACTAGAGACGGGGTTTCACCGTGTTCGCCAGGATGGTCTCAATCTCCTGACGTCGTGATCCACCCGCCTCGGCCTCCCAAAGTGCTGGGATTACAGGCGCGAGCCACCGCGCCCGGCCCAATGTGGTCTTTAAAATTTGGGCTTTTACTTGTCTCTGTTTTTATCCTAAGCTTTAGTTATCGATACCTTAATACTTTCAAGTGTTTCTAGTTCAGGTAGCTCCAGATTCATATATCTGACATTCCAGATTACATTTCCTCTTAGATTTTAAAAGTTCTGACTCAGCTTGTCCAAAATTGAATTTGTGATATTTTCTTCCAAACTCCTCTCCTATTTTTTTTTTTAATCTCAGTGAATGGTGTCAATATGTATGTAGTTGTGTAAGCCAGAAATTTAGGAATCATTATTGACATCTCTTAGCCACCAATGCAATAGATTTGTCACCTTAATATCTCAAGAATCTGTTTTACTTTTTTTGATCTAAACCATTGCAACCTTAAAGCTACTATAATTCTTCTCATCAATAGGATTTGTTTCTTATCACATTCAGAGACCTAAAGGGAGTTTGACCAAATTTGGAGTTATATTTGGGGTAAATTACTTAAAATAAAAAGTATGTCTCTTCAGGAGGAATGGGGTTGGGAGAAATAACCTAAAGAAAGGATATCTAAGAGAGATGGGCAGTCATCCTTCTGCCGTACATATTTTTATGCCACAGAGGAGAACATCAGCCATTTCATTTTGAACTCTGTATTATTTTAAGCAATGACTAAGACCCAAAATACAATGACTTTAAAAAGGCAGAAGTGCATTACTCTTAACCTAACAGCCCTGACTCCAGGATCCTTCCCTGTTGTTCTTCTTCCATTTCCTAGAGCTGTGCTACTCAGTCTAGTCCATGGGTGAGAACTGTTCGTAACTAGTTCTCAACTGTATAAGTATAGTATTACACTCTTATCTGTGGCGAATATGGTCCAAGACTTGAAGTGGATCCCTGAAATCACAGATAGTACTGAACCCTATATATACTGTGTTTTTTGCTATACGTACATACCTATGATAAAGTTTAATTTATAAATTTGACATATTAAGAGATTAACAACCATGCTACTAATAAAATAGAACAGTTATAACAATATCCTTTTATCACATAATAAAAGTTAAGTGAATGTAGTCTCTTTCAAAAATATCTTATTGTACTATTCTCACCTATTGTTGGACCATGGTTCACTGCAGGTAACTGAAACTACGGAAAGCAAGACCACAAATAAGAAAAGACTGCTGTATGGAAACTGAAGGTTAATATATAGAACAGAGTAATTTTTCCATCTTTTGAATGTAATAATAAAATATTGAGGCTTATATATTATATATCTTTTTATTTCACTTTTATACGAATATTTTTATTATTTCACAAAAGTATTGTCTATGGCAGACGGGACTTTTTTTTTTATGGTTCTTCACTAAAGACCGTCCTCTTTAAGAAAAAAAGCCTTTAAAAATGTATAAACCTTTTTTGTCCACAGGTCATATGAAAAGAGGCCATTATTGGCCTGATTTAGCCATTGTAATTGACTACTGTTTTAATCCATGGAAAAGAAAGCTCATATAAGACATCATTAAAACAGAATATGCCCTTAGCACTTGAACATACAGGGCTATATCTAGGCATAAACTAGATGTGAAATATGGTCTGTAGCTGGGTTGCCATATGTCCACTGATAAGGGGAAAACAGATTCAGGGCAAGTGTCAGTATTATGAAATACCTAAGTCAAGGGTTACAAAATGCAGATGCTCACATTTCAAAAACTGACTTTCAATGAAGTTATTTCTCACATGGACAGTTCTGTATAGTATGCTGTATGGTTAGTAGCTGTAGGAATACATTTACTTACTGATGATGGGTAATTCTTTTTCTCTGTAATGCTATTGTGTAACACCCTTTGTAGCCATTGAAAGTTATATTAGGATAGTATTAAACTATATATTGTATTCAAATTATAGAATATATATAATGCATATTGTTAAAAATTTGAGCAAATGTTAAAATACTAACAATGGAAGAATTATGTGTGGCTTTATATTTTCTGAATATAGATCTGCATTTGAAAATTTTGTACAATAATTATGTATTAGTTTTGTAATTTTTATCAATTTCTATTTGTTTTGTGGTTTTGTTAATACTTTTTGATCAACCAATTTATTTCTCTAAAGGCAGCCATGGAAGGATTTGTGCACAAAGGTATTTATCATAGTGTTATTTAGAACAGCTAAATCTTTTAAATAAAAGAAATATCTGCCAATTGAAGAATGGTTAAATAAATTATAGGACATACATTGATTATTATGTAGCCAGTTAAAATTTCTTTGTAAAAAGTTTTTTAAATAACATGGGAGAAATGCTCATATAATACAATGAAATAATATAATATAAAATTGTTTATGTAGTATGTAAATTCAATTTTATAGAAAATAGTCAAAGGAAAAGTATCCTCATGTAATTGCATCACATTATGGGTGGGTTTTGCTGTCTACTTTTCTTTTTCTTTCTTTTTTCTTTTTTGTTGGTAGTTTTTGTTTTAATAATTTCTCTCAAGTGTACAAGTTTTTAATGTAGTTTGCATTGCTTTTACATCTGGAAAAATAAAGTATATCCAAGAAATGGAATATAAGTTAATATTAGAGTGGGTTAAATTAGTTTTTACATTCTGTTATAATCTCATTTTTATTTAGGTAATTTTTACATTTATTCTTTAAGCTGTAACTGTATTTCAATGTAGCTCATGAGAAGATAATTAGATTACATTGAAGACTTATGTGATTTTGATAATGTTTTTGAAAATACTTTGAATTTTGAAGATTTACTGGGAGGCTGTATTGTCCCCATGGATCCTTGACACTCCGTTCATTTCATTTTTTAAAATGTTGTTTTTCTTTGTTCTTCAGATTGTATATAACTTTTGTTGATCTTTCAGTTCACTGTCCCATTCCGCTGTCTTATCCATTTCATTACAGAGCCCATCTATGAATTTTTAAAATTTCAGGTATTGTTCTTTACAGTTCTAAGATTTCCATTTGGTTCTTTTTAATAGTTTCTATTATTTTACAGTGAACTTCTATTTTTCTGTTCAAGATTATACACCATTACCTCATAGAGAAAAGTTTGTTGACTTGAAGAAGCTGAGGCACAAAATAAAACTTTAGAGTTTACGTAAGCCAAAGTGAGGACAGCTGCCTAAGAAACATTTCCAAGTTGCCTTGGGAAGTACTCCACTCAGCCTTTGTTACAAGCAGGATTTTAAAGGAAAAAGGAAACCAAAAGTGGGCTGATAAAGTTGTTTGATAGGAATTCTCATTGGTTGATAGAAATAACATTGATTAGTGATTGGCTATACATTGTTGAACTATAGGGTATGAGTTATGGTATCCAGCACGTGGTATTGTTCGGTTAATTTTATGGCTACTTGGTGTCAATCTAGAGCCCACATAGTACATGGCTTCAAGAGATAATTACTTAGCTCGGAGTGCAAGTGAGACCTGACCGCTGTCACATTTCAGTGCCTCTCTGGCCTGATAATTTAAAGAGGCTCATATTCCACAGATAAAAAATAAAATAAACTTCTCAAGTTATGATAGCTTCTTTAAGTCTTTGTTGATTCTAATGCCTGGAGCATCTCTGGGTTGGTATCTGTTTATTGTATTACATTTTGATAATTGATCATATTTTTCTGGTTCTTGATATAGCAAGTAATTTTAGACTGTGTCTTGAACATTTTGAATAATTTGTTATGAAACTCTGGATCCTGTTAAATCCTCTGGAGAATTTTTCTCCTTCCTCTCTTCCCTTTCCTCCCCTTCCCTTCCTTCTATTTCCCTCTTCCTCTTCCTCCCCTCCCACTTCCCTTGTCCCTCGCTTCTTCTCCCTCTCCTCTCCCCTTCTCTTCTCCCTTCCTTCCCATTACCAACTCTCCTGCTGTTCCAGTTAAGTTCAGACCACAGTTTCTGACTCACTTTCTGTGGGTGGAGGTTCCAGTGTCAGCAGTTTCAAAGTCCTTTCCATGCTTTTTTAGTCTGCTCCTTGCGTGTGACCCTCAGAGGTTAGTCTGGGACTTTGGTGGTAGTTGATATTAATATTATGGTTCCGTTCTCAAAGCTTTTGTTGTGCTCCTTTGGGTATATTTTGAGCATGTACAGGTGAGGAGTGAGCTCAGGATTTGTGTCTTTTCATACACAGAATTAGAGAATCCCCATGTCCAGGCCTTCTTCTACAGGGTTACCCCACACACTGTGTCTGGTTTTATCATAACATTTGCCTCCTGTGCTATTGCACAGTTCCACATGAATGGATGCACTTTTTTGGCAAAGTGATGAGAGAAATAGCAAAGAAAAAAATAATTGGGGTTCTCCACTCACTGTCTGCACAACAGGGAACCTTTTCTGCAGTTTTCTTATCAAAAGGGTAGCCTTATTAAGAGTTTTAGGTGCCCACACCACAGCTACCACCAACCTACTGTGGCAGCATAGTTCTACAACTAGACCTGGTCTTGTCACATGGTTAGAAATGAAAAAAGAAGGGAAAAAGAAAGAGATTTCTTTCCACACTCTCGAGATCACAGGACCTCCTTTTTCTAGTTTCTGAAAAATGGGATTCTTTTGGGGTTTTTGCTCCCGATGCCTGCTGTTTAATTCTCAGATTCATCCTGTTGTGGTAAATAAAGGAGAAGAAAGAACAGAAAACTCAACACCACTGATTTTCTTCTCCAATATGCCTCCTGTTATTTACTTTTCAGAGCACTCAAGTGGTTTTTGTTTTTGTTTTTTTGTATTTTGCCCAGAGTACTAAATTGTTGTCAGTGGGAGAAATATGCTGCAGTGGTACTCCATTATGGGTGGAACTGGAAATCCTACTAGTAACCTATGATGTACTTTTCTTCTGGTTTGTTTTATTGTGATCTGTTTTAAGTCTTATTGAGAAATCAAGTTAATTACTAATCTAGGTAGAAAGCAATTCAGTAAAATAAATAAATAATTGTTTACTATGCATGAAATAAAATACTTTTACCACCATTGAAATGATTTCAAAGCATACCTGTTTAGAATATCTTAGAAAGAATTAATTTTGTGATTTTATAACTTTCCAGTAGCTTCTCATTGTAGTTTCAAAATCCAGACTTCCTCCCATTAAAACCATAAGTTCTATGGTCACTTCTTATCCTGTATTCTTATCCTCATCTCATAGTACTCTGCCCCCAGTCCTCCAGCCACCTTGGCCTTATTTTCTTATCTAAAAGCTGGCTTCTGTAGTAGTGCCTTTGTGCTTTGCATATTGTACCCTTTGCCATAGATATTCAAATGGCTGACTTTTTTCTTGTCGTTAGAATCCAAAATCAGATATTACCTTCATCTTCAAAGAGCAACCTCCCACAGTCACTGTCACATTATTCTGTTTTGTATTTTATTTACAGCTCTTATAATTATCCGAACTTACAAATTTATTCTCTTGTGTTTTCTCCGCCTGCTCCTCCACTTCATTCTGTAATACTATAGTTCACTATAATACTTCTAGTTCCTAGGACTGGAATTATGTGTCTGGCACATAGTAGACAGTAGATGTTCATTGAATGAATGAATGATTCAAATGAGATTTAAATAGCAACAGTCCTGACAGAATGGTAAATTTCCACACTTAAGATGGTCTGTTAATGGTATCATCAATGTTGATAACTATTCTATCATTTATTTTTGCCTTAGGGTACCACACAGCTTCTTATCCAGTCTCCCTTCATCCACTCTCCTTTTTCCTACACCCACCCACAAATCACTTCACCCTGAACTTCAAGTGACCACTTAAAAACGAATCTTTTTGGTGGGACACGGTGGCTCATGACCATAATCCCAGCACTTTGGGAGGCAAAGGCGGGTGGATTACTTGAGGCTAGGAGTCCGAGACCCGCTTGGCCAACATGGAGAAATCCTGTTTCTGCTAAAAATATAAAAATTTGCTGGGCATGGTGGCTCACACCTGTAATCCCAGCTACTTGGGAGGTTGAGGTAGAAGAATTGCTTGAACCCAGGAGGCAGAGGTTGCAGTAAGCCGAGAACATGCCACTGCACTCCAGCCTGGGTGACAGAGTGAGACTCTGCCTCAAAAAACAAAACAAAACAAAACAAAAAATGTATATGTTTTTAAGAGACAAAGTCTTACTTTGTCACCCAAGCTGCAGTGCAGTGGCTCCATCTCAGCTCACTGCAGCCTAGATCTCATGGGCTCAAGTGATCCTCCTGCCCCAGTCCCCTAGGTAGCTGGGACCACAGGTGCACGCCACCATGCCCGGCTAATTTTTTGTAAATATGAGTTTTGCCATGTAGCCCAGGCTGGTCTCAAACTCCTGAGCTCAAGTGATCTGCCCACCTCTGCCTCCCAAAGTGCTAGAATTACAGGTGTGAGCCACTGTGCCTGGCCTATAGCCCTTCTTTTACTGAGTTTTTTTTTGGGGGATAAAGACCAAAATCCTTAACGTGAACTCCACAGAATCTTGGCATATGCTGATCTCTAGTGGGATGCTCTTTTTGCCCTGTTTGGTCTGTGACTTATCCACCCCCTCATTCATATGTTATTATAGTAATCTTGTATAACATTTTTCAAAGTTGTCATTGTGCATTGCTTTGGCTGTCCCTCTGCTCTGTTGGACATTCATCAAACTGAAGTATGTCAGGGATGGGTTTTGAGCTTTGGCTTACCGCTATAACGTCAGCACTTGAATACTGTAAGTGTTCAACATGTGACTGCTGAAAGAACTGAAAAATGCTGGAAGAACTATTACATCTAAATTTATGACAAAGTTTGAATTACAAAATGCATTTATTAATTAGGGCCCATTTACAGTTTGTCTAGGTAATGAATAATTTGAATAAAATGCTCAATAAGTGATAACTACTTTGAATGATATTTTTAATAATCTACAAGGATTTTGTACAATATTGTACATTTCCTAGCATATTTAAAGGAATAGCTATTATATTGACATATTTCTAGTTATCAGATTTTAAAAATCACCTTTTTAGTAAATAAAGATGCATTATCATAAAATGATACATATCAATTCGTGGATTTAGAATTCTTTTCTTTGAAAAAGGAAAGAACAGTACAGTAATTCCTTAATGTCATAGCAAAAATTTGTAAAATAAGACATTTTTGTAGGAATCAAAATATTTTTGGAATTTTTTTATTTGAAGGAATTGGTAAACATTAAAAAAAATTGATATTTGAAGATTTTATATTTAAATACTAATCAGTAACGTTTTATTGTGATTTGTGTTAGTAAATCTTTTATAAGACTAAAGATATTTTTGAGAATATATGCCTTCACTTCTTTATTTAGGCTTTGGAATGTCTTAGTAAAAATGCCATTTATGCTTTTTAAGTAGATGTTTGTTATATGAACTTGTTCAGATAGCTGTTATTTAAAAGACACAGATAGGATCAGCTACCCTGGTTCACAATGATAATTTATATCCTGCATAGAGTCCCAGTGAATTTTTCAGGCTCTAAAATGGGACATATCTAATATTAACATTGAAAGTTATGTACTTCGGGTTAACAGATGCCTTTACATTTTATGAAGTCTTGTCCACTAGATGTTCAACCTTGAGGGATCTAGCACTGATTGTAATCACCAGTTGAAATGAGTAGTGCCCCAAGGATTCTTTTCTCTAGAAAAAGATGTTTCCTTTTTATTGCACTGAAGAAAAAGAATAATTTTGATAAATATAAATATTCTATAGGTATTATTTGAAAGACAGTGAAATAGGACCTTACTGCCACATATACTCTATTTTATATAGTAAATAATATGTATTTTATTTTTGTTATATATATTCAGGCACTTAATAGATAATTTAATGTTAGGGTTAGAATTCCCTAAATATCAATTAGATTATTTTTGAAAATACAATGATTTTTTGTTTTGTTGTTTTGAGGAGGGTATGTTTTATTTAAGCTTTTGTTGGACTGTAGTAAGGCTAAAAATCTCAGCCAAAGTTAAACTAAATTGTTATCTGTATTTTGTTAAGATAAAATTGGAGTGAAGGACAAATTATATAATAATCATGTATTAGTCTGTGCTCACACTGCTATGAAGAAATACCCAAGACTGGTAATTTGTAAAGGAAAGAGGTTTAATTGACTCTGTTCTGCATGGCTTGGGAGGCCTCAGGAAACTTACAATTATGGTGGAAGGCAAAGCAAACATGTCCTTCTTCACATGGCAGCAGGAGAGAAAGTGAGTGCCCAGCGAAGGGGGAATCCCCTTATAAAACCATCAGATCTCGTGAGAACTAACTCACTATCATGAGAAGAGGATGGGGAAAACCACCCCCATGATTCAGTAATCTCCACCTGGTCCTTCCCATTGATATGTGGGGATTATGGGAACTACAATTCAAGATGAGACTTGAGTAGGGAAACAGCCAAACCATATCAAATCTTTTATGGCCTTAATACTATTTCTCCAAGTTTAAAGAAATATTTTCAAATACTCTTTATCAACATATTTACTTCTTAGCAAGCTCTTCTGAAAGTCTGCTTTGTTGTTTATGTGCTAAGTGGAAATGTGTTTTGTAATTGTCTAAAATGCAGCATTAGCAATGCAACTCTTTCTCGAAAAGGTGCTTTTGAGATCCAGGTGGTCTGTGGTAGAACCTCAGAGGCCATTAGTAGCATTGTGCTTAACATCTGGAGCCTGCACCCTCCCCTAATAAAGAGCACATAGTACTGGTCATATTAGGATAATGTGTGAAGTTGGCATAGCTCAATGCAGTCTATTACTATTGCTGGAAAATGAGATCATAGTTTGTGCTTTATTGTTAGTCATTAGTAAATGAGGGCATATAAGATACCCAATAATTTCCTCAATTTGGGCAAATTAAATTGCCTTCTATAATAAGATAGTCACTTTTAGTACAGTAGAAGCTAATAATTTTAGAATAGGAAAGGCCTGTGTATCATCAGAATAATCTAGGGAACCCTTTAAAGTGGAGTTCTAGGCCTCACCCACAAATATCTCAATCTCTTTTCTCTCTCTGCCTTCACTTCCCCCGCTACTTTCTTTCCCCCTTCCTTCCTCTGCCCCCTCTCTCCCAAATCTCTCCCTCCCTCCCTTCCTCTCTCTCTCTCTCTCTCTCTACCTCTGTCTCTGTCTCTCTCCCCTCTTTCCATCCCACCACACACACACACACACACACATGCATACTACCTATATACCTGTTCCCAGGTGATTTGGATTATCAGATATGATCTGGTACCACCCCCTCTTGTAATAGATGTGGGTGGTAGAACCCAGAAATATTAATTTTGCCTTAGAATTCTGTTTTCTTGATTGATTCTGGCCTACTCTGTTATATTTCTACGACATCAGGTAGCTTTATATCCATAGAGTACCTGGAAAAATGACAATCATACTAAATAGAAATACTTGGATTTGTGTGTTATTATGTGTTATCTTAGTCTGTTTTGTGTTATCATAGCAGAATATCACTGACTGGGTAATTCATAAATAAAATAATTTTATTTCTCACAGTTATGGAGCCTGGGAAATCTAATCTCAAGGTGCCAGCATCTGGTGAGGGCCTTCTTGTTGCATTATCCCATGATGGAAAGCAGAAGGGCAAGAGGGCAAGAGAGCACATGTGAGAGACAGCAAGAGATTGAATTCACAGTATTAAGCTATTTTATAACCAACATTAATTAATTCATAAGTGTAGAGCTCTCCTGACCTAAACACCTCCCACTAGGCCCCATCTCCCAACACTGTTGCATTGTGTATTAAGTTTCCAACACATGCTTTTTGATGGACACATTCAACCATAGCACATGTTAACTTAAATTGGGTAGTTCTACTTGTGATTATCTTTGAAATTAGTCCCTGTTTCCCATTTAGTTGCAGAATCATTAATTAATTCCTCTTATAGCTTGTTTTATCTGTTATTGCTATATGTGTAATACTATGTACTATCATACATGTTAGTTTTAGTTTATTGATAGACTGACCATGGTTTTAGTTTTTTATCTTTTATCAGTTTCAAGAAACATTTATATATCTTAAGTTCATGAAATTATATGGCTTTATATTTCAAGGCTGTAATTTTATTTAAATTTACTATATCCTGCATTCTCTTTAAATATTTTATGTTTGATAAGATCGTTGTCAGGAAGGATATTATAAGGGCTGCACAAGACTTATACACCATCCTCATATAATTCATAAAGTTTTTGATAAAGTTTTTCAGAAATAATGCTCCTTTAATTGATAAGAAGAAAAAAGCCACAATATTCAATTATTTAAGTTATGAGTAAGTGTATTTCTCCTTGTGTAGAACTAGTAGCCTTTTACTTTTATACCTCTACTAGAACCAGTATTATAAATACATTGATTAAAATGTTAATAAAAATGATAGCTAACTTTTTTTGAGGACTTACATTGTACTATAAGCACTTTACATACATTTATCTCATTTAATCTTTCTTACCACGTTTTGCAGTAGAACCTATTGTTTTCTCCATTTTACAGATGAGGAATCTGAGATATTGAAAGGTTAAGTGAGATAACAAACAAATGGTAGAGTCTTAGCTTTTAATTATGATACTTTAATGCCTCTAGTTCCTGATTTCATTAAACTGAATCTGTCAGTTTAATTTTACCAATTCAGTAAGGCTTACTCCTGGAAATACTTCAAACAGAGATCATGGACAGTGTATTTGTTCTCTTAAAAGCTAAAAGCACTTTGTATTTATATAGACCCCCACCCTAAAAATTCGAAACCTCTTCCTGTCTTTGCAGACTGGCTCTGTGCCACAGTAGTTCTTTAACATTTAGCCACGCTTGCAGTCCTCATATAGTGATCAGCTTTTGGTGGAAGCTTAGGGTCTTCTCAGTTACTTTCTGATCATGCATATTGCTCTAGGCACACACACGGCCTTCTACATCTCTCCAATACACATGGATGCTTTTGAATGTCCTAATTTCCCAAAGAAATCCTCACCAGCTTTTGCTCCCAGGCCTTAGGTGGTCTATCTTATGTTTCAATTGCAGTCTTTTGCCGCAGGCATCTGTGAGTGATATGATTTTGCTGTGGCCCCACCCAAATCTCACCTTGAATTGTAGTTCCCATAATCCCCATGTGTCATGGGAGGGACCTGGTGGGAGGTAATTGAATAATGGGGGCAGTTACCCCCATGCTGCTGTTCTTGTGATATTATGTGAGTTCTCACAAAATCTGATGGTTTCTAAGGGGCTTTTCCCCCTTTTAATTGGCATTTCTCCATCCTGCTGCCATATGAAGAAGGACATATTTGCTTCCCCTTCCATCATGATTGTAAGTTTCCTGAGGCCTCCCCAGCCATGCGAAACTGTGAGTTGATTAAACCTCTTTCCTTTATAAATTACCCAGTCTTGGGTAGTCCTTTATAGCAATGTGATAAGGTACTAATACAGTAAATTGGTACCACAGAGATTGGCGTGCTGCTATAAGGATACCCAAAAATGTGGAAGAGACTTTGGAACTGGTTGATAGCCACAGGTTGGAATAGTTTTGAGGGCTCAGAAGAAGACAGGAAAATGTGGGAAAGTTTGGAATTTCCTAGAGACTTGGGGGGCTCAGAAGGTAGGAAGATGTGGGAAAGTTTGGAACTTGAGATTTGTTGAATGGCTTTGACCAAAATGCTGATAGTGATATGGACAATAAAGTCCAGGCTGAGGTTGTCTCAGATGGAAATGAGGAACTTTTTGGGAACTGGAATAAAGTTAACTCTTGCTATGCAAACAGACTGGTGGCATTTTGCCCCTGCCCTAGTGATCGGTGAAACTTTGCACTTGAGAGAGATGATGTAGGGTATCTGGTGGAAGAAATTTCTAAGCAACAAAGCATTCAAAAGGAAGCAGAGTATAAAAGTTTGGAAAATTTGCAGGATGACAATGTAGTAGGGGGAAAAAAATTCTGGGGAGAATTACAAGCCCACTGCAGAAATTTGCAGAAGTAACGGGGAGTGGAATGTTAATTACCAAGACAATGGGGAAAATGTCTCCAGGGCATGTCAGAGACCTTCACCACAGCCCCTTCCATCACAGGTCGGGTGGCCTAGGAGGGAAAAGTGGTTTTGTGGGCTGGGCCCAGGGCCCCCCTGTTCTATGCAACCTCAGGACATTATAAAGGAATTATAAAGACCTCAGGAATTATAAAGACCTCAGGTATTATAAAGACATGAGATTTGGGAGGGGGTACAGTGATATGGTTGGGCCGTGCCCTGGATCCCAGCTGCTTCAGCTCCAGCTGTAACTAAAAGAATCCAGTGTACAGCTTGGGCTATTGCTTCAGAAGGTGCAAGCCCCAAGCCTTGGCAGCTTTCACATTGTGTTGGGCCTGTGGGTGTGCAGAAGACAAGAATTGATGTTTGGGAATCTCTGCCTAGATTTCAGATGATATATGGAAACACCTGGATGTCCAGGCAGAAGTCTGCTGTAGGGACAGGGCCTTCATGGAGAACCTCTGCTATGGCAGTGTGGAAGGGAAATGTGGGGTTGGAGTCCCCATACAAAGTCCCCACTGGGGCATTGCCTAGTGGAGCTGTGAGAAGAGGGCCACTGTTCTCCAGACCCTAGAATGGTAAATTCAGTGACAGCTTGCATTGTGCACCTGGTAAAGCTGCAGACACTCAACGCCAGCTGTGAAGGCAGCCGGGAGGGGAGCTGTACCCTGCAAAGCCACAGGGGCAGAGCTACCCAAGGCCGTGGGAGCCTACCTCTTGTATCAGTGTGACATAGATGTGAGACATGGAGTCAAAGTAGATCATTTTGGTACTTTACAGTTTAATTACTGCCTCTTGGATTTTGGACTTGCATGGGGCTTGTACCCATTCGTTTTGGTCAGTTTCTCTCATTTGGAGCGGGTGTATTGCTCAATGCCTGTACCCCCATTGTATCTATGAAGTAGCTAACTTGCTTTTGATTTTGCAGGCTCATAGAGGAAGGGACTTGCCTTTCTCAGATAAGACCTTGGACTTGGACTTTTGGGTTAATGCTGGAATGAGTTAAGACTTTGCAGGACTGTTGGGAAGGCATGACTGTGTTTTGAATTATAAAGACATGAGATTTGGGAGGGGGTACAGTGATATGGTTGGGCCGTGCCCCCACCCAAATCTCATATTGAAATATAGGTTTATAATCCCCAGGTGTTACAGGAGAGACCCAGTTGGAGGTAATTGAATCATGAGGGCGGTTACCCCCATGCTGCTCTTGTGATAGTGAGTTCTCATGAGATCTGATGGTTTTATAAGGGGCTTTTCCCTGTTTTGCCCTGTACTTCTCCTTCATGCCATCATATGAGGTAGGGCATGTTTGTTTCCCCTTTTGCTATGATTGTAAGTTTCCTGAGGCCTTCCCAGGCATGTGGAACTGCGAGTCAATTAAACTTCTTTCCTTTTTAAATTACCCAGTCTCAGGCAGTGCTTTATAGCAGCGTGAGAATGGACTGTATATCGGGTGTTTAGTTTGGCTTGTTGTATGTTCTATTCATGTCCGCTGCTTCTTCTAAAGTAGCCGGAACAGAGAAAGGCACCTTGTGTCATCTTTCAGGTGGCCCTTACACAGGGTAGAACATATATGCACAACAATTTGCTAACATGGTACCCTCTTCCCTTCGAGAACTAAGTACCAGACTCCCACCCTGGGAAAGTAGCTACCCTCTTCCAGACTGCTACAGTGCCAGGGATGGGGTGGGTGGGGCAAGGGCAAGTGTAAACACCACGAAATTTTTAAGTTGCCTTTTTTCTTGATTCAGTGTTCATTTTGCTTTGGAACATTTTTGACTGTTTATTACAGCTTTTACAAAGTCCTAAAAGTTACTTTTTGTTTTTCAGTGTTTCTGTGGGAGGACATGTACTACTTGGAGTTTCAAACTCTGCCATCTTGCTGATGTCATGCTGCTTTCTGTCTTTTGTTTTTAAGAATTCTATGAAAGGTTTAATAGGAACCTTTGATAACAAAGCATCCTTTTCTCAAATTAAAATGTCCACTTGAAAATGTTTTTTATTTAAGACTTCTTATGAATTTCTATTTTACGTTTGAGTTTTCATTATCTACAATACAGATTTTTTAAGACATTATTTAGAGAACTAAATATGACTATTAAATCACTGGAATGTAAGTACATTAACAATAATAAAGAAAATTGAAAATTATAAAATTGACACATTTTTTTCTGTGTTGACTTCAGCACTGGCTCTTAGATCTAATGAGTGGTCCTGGATTTTTAGCATAAGTAATTAGCTTGGGGTGGCTAATGGTTAGCCTGATTTCACAAATGATGTGGCTACTTTATGGATAATGCTGAGTCATTATGCTTTGCCTTCACTGTGTGTCAACACATGAATATACTTTATTCATAGATTTTTAAAAATCATTTTTTTAAAGGATTTTAAAGTTAACTAAAACATTTCATTGGTATATACTAATTCCTTTAAAAGACACAAAGGCTTTCAGGTCTTTACACTAAACTCATAGCTTTGTTTTCATCTTAGTTTGAACCAAGTCATTTTTCCCCATCTTACTATTAAATACCCCACCCAGACTGTGTATGTTGACAGTTCTCTAATGATTCAAAGATAAAACCTTTTCTTTATTATGTAATACTTTTCAGAATTCATACCTAGTGTGATGTGATAGTCTAAAACTTGATGTTTTCACATGTAAACTGAAGACACATTTGAGTAGGCGTGATTATTTATAGTGTTATTCTGGCTGTTTTTAACTTAACCTAGTTTAAAAATCTCTGGTTCTCTCTTCATGAACTAGATGTTTGTGTATAAAAAAATACTACAGAAATCTATTGTAAACCTCCCTTTAGAAAGATTTCAACAGTGCACAGATGGAACCAAAAATGCCCTTTGTTAAACATGACTTCAGTTAAAGCTAAAAGGGAGTCTGAAATTCCATTCATTCTGTTTTGAAATTTAAGTCACAGTTATCCTTTCTGGCTTAGTAAGTTAGATACACATGTTAGAAATTACTATTAAGCAATATTATGCATTTTCTTATAATTTAAGCCAATGTAACTATCAGCATATTTTTGCAAATCAGCAATTTATTTTCATTGAATATTATGAACCCATTAGGAAAGTTGCATACCAATTAATGAGAAATGAATGTTATATAAATTTCAAACTTACGGTCACAAGTAATTGATGAATTGTTCTTATAGATATATGTTGTACAATGTTATAAATATATAGTTACACATATGTTATTTATTTTATATAATTCATGCATGTATTCAAAATATACTCAATAAAGACATCTAGATTCTTTTACTGGTTACTTTACATTAGATATTGAAATACCTTTAAAGTTACAACTGTATTCTAAAAATTGCAGATTAGTTAAATTATTTTCAGGTAAGAGGAAGCCTATTATCTTAAACCACATTTTAGATATTTGTGCTGTTTGACCATTTAATAGTCTTTGTGTAAGATTACATTAATACTGTATTTGTATGTGTGTGTATGATGCATCTTTGTTACAGTTACGGCTACCTGACAACTTAGTTCAAGGATCAGAATAGCAAGTAAAAACATCATAGTAAACTCTCTTGCACCCTCTGTTGTTATTTTTGGGAAACACTACATATACGTTCCCATGATTGTATTGTCATTTCATTTACTTTAATCCCTTATAAAATTAATACTTATTTTATTATACTTACCTCCAAATTAGATTCAGTAGTAAAGTAACACTTGTTTATTTCCCAAACTGGCGGAAGTTGTTTTCTGGTGTTACAGATATGTTTTTTATCATATTATAGCTTAAATGAAAAATGAGCCTTTCTGTTTGTCTTTGATTTCTCCTAGTTACTGGTATTAAGCCTCTCCAAATGTTTCACACCAAGGAAAATCTCTACAGGATGTAGCACATTGTATACACAATTTTACAGAATTACAGATTCTGTCTGTTCTTTTGTAAACCTTTCCATAGTCAGACAGTTTCCTTCCAAAATAAGAGTCTGGGATCGTCCATACTAAAATTAAGAGTTTATAACTGTAAGGAACAGATGTTTTCATAAACATTTGCCATAATTAATTTCAACTAGAGGATTGAGGGAACAAAGCGTTTTTCCCGCTTCAAAACTTTATTGCCTTTTCCCCATATAGCCAACTCTGAAATCTTTTCTCTAATATTGTTAGTGAAACAATTGTACTCCTTATTTGCTATGTTTTTGAGAAAGAAAAACTGCTTTTTTTTTCCCTATTACCATTTTTTTGCACCTTGAAAGTTACATTTAATGTGATAGTTTCATTTGGAAACAGTTTTAAATTAAATAAAACCTTTATAATATGATAAAACCTGGTTGTTTATAAAGCCAAATTCTCTTAATTATTTGAAGGATTTTATATTTGATCTGATAAATATCACCTTAAAGGAAGAACTATTCTATTGGTGTTATTTTTCATGTTTAATCATAATCTTTAGTTTTAACGAGAAAGAAGCTCATATTTTAAATGTATAATATAGTACTTATTCTATGCTGATTATGGAACGTTTCACAGGAAATGTCTGCAAGCTGTTAAATAACATGTGTTGTAGGAAATTTTCATTTAGCAAGACAGAGACTAATTTTCCTTACATCTTTTTAGTTTATTATAATATTATTAATTTTTAAAAGAAAATGAAGGGTGCTGTATGAGTAATACCATACCCATGTTTTCAAAGAATTAGCAACTTATACCTAGCTAGGTTAATTTTAAACATTTATATGTTTTTGGATTATTTTCTTCTATAAATTGTCACCATTTTTAAGTGTTGTAATCCATTTTAGGATTTTTTGTTTTTTCAAAAAACAAAATAAACTGGAACAATATTTTGAAAAAAGAGTAGAGTTGAAAGTTTAATAAGCAGGCTCAGTCCACTTCTCCTGAACACTGGCACAGCTGCACATATCTCACCAAATTCTCAAAAAAGAACCAGTGTTCTTTACTATCTGTCAGCTATAAAATGTGTAAAGAAAGATAGGTAGCTGTCATTAAAATTACATTTCAGCATTCAGTCACCATTTAATGAGTAGCATAATTATATAAGTATAGTACCTTAGATACTATACTCAATAATTAAAAATAATCTCATCTTTAAAGTGAAAGCTCTGTAATTACTGTTTGACTTATCCACGACCACTGTGATGATTTCCTATTGCACCTTCGGTTGTTCAAAGTATATTAAAAGTATAAAATTGGATTAAATCATTGTTATATTAAGCTGTAAATATTATAAAAATCAAATACAACCTGATGTTTGAAAGTTACATTATATAAATTAGGAGTATAAAATATAATCAGATTCTAAACTTTTAATTTGTTTTGAAGAACAAATGACATTTTTAATAGTGGTATACTATGGTTTCATAAAAGCTGTACTTTGAAGTATATATTTAAAAAAATTGAACTATGAAATTTCAATCAATAAGAATATATAACAACGGGGCATTGGTAAGCATTTTTTCCAACTTTAGTACATTTACTTTTATTCTGTAGTCTTTAAATTGATATGTATAATTTGTTCTAAATGTGATTTTATGAATATGATAGATTTTTGAGTAAAAATTTTTTTTCTAAATGTTTGATATTATTATAGAAGACAAATACCTTTTGATGTTGTTCCTTTTTCATGTTTTAAATTGCCGAACTTTTGACAGTTGAAACCTAAAGTTAACAGATAAAGTTTTGTAAAGAATATTAAGTAAGGCATATTAAAATCTCATTAATTAATCACTACCTCTCAAGTTGGCTTTTTATTTTACCTCTGTTTACTAAATTCCTAGAGAGCATCAAACTAGGACCTGGAAAATCATCCAGGTCGGCTCTCTGCCTGTTCTCTTTTGACAGTGCCACTGATCAGGATGGGTGACTTAGTCATTAACAGAAAATTTCCTTTCTTTATAAACACTGGTTTATAATTTTAGTTTTGTCTGTAATTCATAAGAAGAAAATGTTTGTACTGTGCCTCATTTGTTCCTGATAGCAATTACTTTGGTACTGTTACTGTCCAGTCTAGGATTGGCATTGGTTTATATTTTGGTATCAAAATGAGTTTTCTACCTAAAAAGCTTTGAGTACAAAAGATAATTTGGGGAAGGGGGAGAGGATGTATGCTTTTTGGCTAATATATTGCGTAGAGCTTTCACACAGTTTTTCAACTGAAATATTCAGTTTATCTCCATTATTTCAGTGTCGTAATTTTTTTCTCCAGGAGATTCAAATAAAAATGGAAGAAGAACAAGTTCTACTTTAGACTCTGAAGGGACTTTTAATTCCTATAGGTAGGTGATGAATACATATATATATATATATATATATACACACACACACACACATATAATATTATAAGATAATGTATAAGATATATAATTATATAGGGTTTTGATCTAGAATAGTAAGGAACCACTACTTGTGTTTTAACAAGGTGACCAATGTAAACAATATTGTGTTATGTTATTTTCTGTAATTAATAAGATACAGAAAAATATAATATTCTAAATTTTTGAGTAAATGCACTTACTGCAGTATCTGTTGTTAGCCAATAGTAGGGTAATTGGAATGAATGCACATGTAGTATTCAGCTTCATTATAATCTATTTTTGTTTTTCCAGTATATCTGTTACGGTACTAAAGCTTCCTTTTAATTTTCCTGCTAAAATATAGTACCGCTCATGAGCGCCTAAGAGAGCTTAAAATGTAGTTCATGGTTGAATTAAGTGCTCTTTGCTAATATCCTGTTTTAAGTTCTTCAGCAAACAGGGCTATTACTTCTCAATTAGTAATTTTTAAAAGGATATACTAATTAAGAAAATATGTATTTTACCTAGTACTTTCTTAATATTCTCCTCATAACTTGAATTTTGCTTCAGTAAATATTTATGAAATTTGTACCTTGTATCTGGGAAACTCAGGAGTAAGAAAGATTAAAGTATTTTCAGTAATACTTGAAAATCTGTATACAGAACCAAAGTGGTGTAAGAAATTGGTTATTTTCTTTAGGAAAAAAGTGCAAATTCAATAATAATACATTTTAACATTATAGATGGCAATGCAGATTCTTGAAGAAACAATTTAATTGGTCAACATTGTCCTTGTGGTTAATTACTTCTGATACTTGTGTAACAACACTATAAAATATATGCAAGAACCACTGTGTACTTGAGAACTAATTTTAATATTAAACTGTCTTCTTTTCTATAATAAATATGGAATTTATGCTTAGTTTATATTTTTATTTGTATACATATTATATATTCTTAATTGGAACTGTGTCATTTATTTCTTCAGATTTCAGGCGGGCTTTTAACATCTAGAGTTGGGCCTTTTATACAGGAGGCACTTGACAAAAATGTAGTAAATGAAACAGTTTTTACAATTTGTTTATGAATTTCAGAAATGAGATGGTAATTGAAACACTTGATATCTTTATTTTATACCATTTGGGGTCTGTATACATAATCAGTTGTTCAAGTGTCACAGATACTACAAAAGGCTTATGTTCCATGGTGTTCTAGAAGGGTGTTATCACAGCAGTAAAGCTCATATGTTGTTGTTAAATTTTCACTATATCCATCCTACCTTATAAATATTGGAATTGTCCAAATGCTTTCTGAGTCCTGAAGTATAATATAAAGCTTGTATTTGGCATACTAAACTATAGGTAGAATCCCCTATTCGAGTGTGTCATAGCTGATTGTAACAATAACCAAAAAAGTAAATATGAAAGATAGTTAAATAAATATTAGGAGTTGACATGTAACAGAGGAATCTTAATATGGTAATATATGAAATCTATGATAGTAATTTATTAGGTATAAACACGATTAAACATAAACAAGACAAAAAAATGTATTTCAAAGGAAGGAAAATCCCATTATATGTATAAATTTTGTTGGTGAATTGTATTTTACAATTACATTTGTATTTTAGCTAATTATAGTAAATAGTGGGTATAATATAAAGTTAAAAGAAATGTTTTCATGTGAAGGTATAGTATTATCTTGTGGGTTTTTTTGTTCTTGAATAAAGTATCTTAGTATTAAATGATAATTGTATTTTGAAAAGTAACTCCTAGTGTAGCTTTGCACAATAAATACTTACGTTGTTAACTAAATATTTTTAATCAATGCCTGTCATTGTTTAAAAATGGCAGGCATTGATTAAAAATCAATGTTGTAATGTTAGAATATTAATTTATTGTTGTAATTAAAAAGAGAAGATAAAAAGCTCAAGTAATACAGTATGTAAAAATGTACTTTTAATAGTTGGCAGGCCAGTGCTGTTGTTAAATACTATTATAGTATTTAAGGTGTGAAATGAATATTTTTCTACTCAGTAGGCAGTAGCTCTTATAATGAGCTTACTTGTGGATTTGACACTTGGGTTAAGTGTAGAATTCATAGAAGCACAGCTCTGTGGTATAGCTTCATATTAAGGTTAACTGACAAAATCTAGGGATTGTTGCAGAATCACATTAAAATGGCAGTCGAATTTTCAGTAAAATTTACTTTTGAAAATGCAAATTATTTTTTGTTGCCATTATATCTCTTTAAACTAACTAGACATAGGTTATTAGAGAAATGTAAATGTTGCAACCCTCAGATGTCCTTTTGCATGACAATTCTACCTTTGTATTATTTAAACCGCCTCTGAAATCCTAGCTTTTCTCACAATTCGACAACGCAGGCCTGAAACCTACACCAACATACTCATACTTTATATATACTTGTGTCTAGGGTTAAGATTTACTTTAGTTTCTTATCTATCAAATGGGCATTATAATGCCTAACTTGTTTCCTTCCCACAACTGTTTTAAAGACTCAGGTTAAAACATGTAAAATAAAGGCCTTTGAAAATCTAAATGGGAAGTCATAGTATTAATTCTTTTGTGATCACTTCATTAAATGGGTAACTTTGTTTTCTGTATTCACCATCAGACACATGTACCCTTCTCTAACATATGTTGAGATTTTATTAACTTTTGAATTCAGTCTTGAATTGGACACTGAAATGTATATTCTTTCCACTGTTTGTATTATTATGATATTAGATTGTCAGTTTCAAGAGGGCATAGTCTCTGGGGGTTTTGTTTGTTTGTTTTTTGAGACAGGGTCTCACTCTGTCACCCAGGCTGGCGTACAGTGGCACTATCTCGGCTCACTGCAGCCTCAACCACCTGGCCTCAAGCAATCCTCCCACCTCTCAGCCTCCTGAGTAGCTGGGACGACAGGCATATGCCACCACACCTGGGTAATTCTTGTGTTTTTTGTAGAGATGGGGTTTCACCATGTTGCCCGGGATGGTCTCAAACTCCTGGGCTCAAGAAATCTGCCAGCCTTAGCCTCCCAAAGTGTTGGGATTACAGGCGTGAGCCACTTCACCTGGTCTGTTTTTTAAAAACAATGTTTAAACATAGTGTACTGGTTCAGATCCTGATTCCAAATACTTTGAATACTTTTGACAAGTCTTAGCCTCAGTTCTTCACTTTTGAAGTGGAGATGATAAAATACAGTTGATATGAGGAGTTTAATCAGATAATGACATATGGTAAATGCTGAATAAATATTAGTTACTTTTTTGTTCCAGACAGTGTCATCATCATCATTGTCATCATCACTAACCTTTTGGTATTGCAGAAATTGTTACAGTGATCTAATATACCAAAAGGAAAAAATATGTTTTACAAGAAAATAAATGTTTTGTCTGTTAGCAGAAAGAGTGCTTAAGAACAAGCTTAACCTGAGATTTGACATTCTCAATATCTGACATATATTTCAGGTTACCTTGGAATAACAAATTTGAAAACCTAGTAGATGAAAGGAAGATGTTTTACTATAAATTCAGAGATGATGGCTGGAACTTTGACAAATAAATTTTAAAATTTAAAGTGAATCGACCCTAACTATAGCTTTATGTGCCTAATACTCATAGACTTTTTTTTTTCTTAATAACCTGGGATGTTTACTTTGGATTTATATCTTCTTTTGATCTTGCTTCATGGATTCAGATAGAGTACAGCTGCATTTAACTCCTAAGGCACCAGTATAATTATTATTTGATGCTTGAGTAATAGTCCAGATATTGTTTTGGAAAATTTGGTTAAAATTTGATTGTATATCTCTGAACTAATTTGCAGATGATGCGTTAAAATGGAAAGTTTATAAGACTTGAGAAGACATTGTTGGTTTTGTGAAATATATCTTGTACTTTTTAAAGACCAACGTTAATGTTGTCTGCCAAATTATATGAGCTTTCTCTGTTCCTTATTTAACCATTAAAACTGAGAGAAGAACATGAATGGGTGTGAAAGAAGGAAAGTCATTTCCTGATTATCAGTTTGCTGAAGATGTTTAACTTAGTGACTGTAGCACAGGCCACTCCTCTCCTCCTCTTCCCAAGGGCAGCTGACCTTCTCCTCGCCAAAAGAGGCAAGCCCCTTGCCAGCACATATGACTACAGACTATTACATTAATCTGTTTAGCTGTAGTACCAGCTGCTTGCATGTTTTTAATTATCTTACTAGATGGTATAACAGTGACCTATGAAATAAATTGAAGGCGAACATTTAAAAACTTTTGTTTTATTACCCTATGTTTCTAAATATCTTTTTGATCAAATTATAACTTTCCTCAAAAGTTGACAGGAAATCTGTATCATTTTTGAGCCAATGTAATGCTTTTTTTTTCAGATTTTTAAAGTATAATGTCATAATTCCCAATATAGAAAATAACTTATTTGTTGGCTCATTTATTCATAAGCTTTTTGTGTCTCTATAGCCAAAAATTTGTGGTAAACTTGGCTTAATAGTCAATTTAGTTAGAGAAAGCTCAGACCAGTTATTTGGCATTCTCAGGGAAACTCAAAATATTGCTTAATTTTTGTACCTCATCTTAGTTTTGTGTAAATGGCGGAGGATAGAATATAAATCATTGTAGATTATTTTAAATTAAATGTGTACATTATATTTAACCCTAATTTTTGAGATTCTATATAAACTGTAGTAAATCATCTAGTTTACTCAGTATTTTTTCCAACTTAATTTCACATGACATTATTTATATTTTCCAGAGCTGTACTCTTAAGAAAAATGTACACTCTTTTTCATCTTGACAGTTAGATACTTTAAAAATAATCATTTGTAAATGCAATGCTGACTTCCAGAGACACAGTTCAAAATTATAAACACCAAAGATGCTCAGTTAGAAGTCATAGCCAATAAGCTGAAGATTATAATAATTTAGTTAGGAGCTTTGGTGTTGAATTAAAAAACAAAAGTTACTTGAATGCTAAAAAGATACACAGATACTTCTGTGTATGTTTTTAGTTAATAAATCCTACACCTGGGCTAGTGGAGTGACTTGAGACTTAAAAAATTTATAGACTGGAATACTTATAAACTTATGTATTTTTTTAAATAAAACAGTCATACTTTTGGCTTATTTTTTTCTCTAACAAAATATTGTATTTCATATTTGAAAAGAGCTTTTATTGAAGAAATAAAGGGAACTTTATATATGTATGTAGTTTTGTTGTTTGTTTTTTTCCTTTTAAGGAGAGACAAAAAAAGGCACTTGTCTTTAAAACAATGGTGTTCTAATGTCTTGATATTTATCAGAGCTTCCAAAGTAGCCTCCCTTTCTCAGTATAGTATGTGCTATATATAGCTCACCAAGTCAAAGGCTGTTCAAGTTGGTAAAAAGTTTTTAAAAAATTAAAGTTGGTATAGCCTTTTAAATCTAAAAGTTGTCTTTTCCTGCCTAAGAAAAAGTACATTAATTTGAATTTTCTTGAATCATTGAGTAAATTTGAAAAATTAGGCTTCAAGCTTTGGCACAAAGATTTGTATGTATCTTATTTGCATATAATCAATAATTTTGTATGTATCTTAGTTGCATATAATCAATAATCAATAAATTTGAAAAATTAGCCTTCAAGTTTTAGCACAAAGATTCGTATGTATCTTATTTGCATATAATCAATAATTTTGGAGGATGCGGGAAATATCTTTTCATCATTTACATTTATTTTTAGTATAGTACCTTTTACATTTGTATGTAAGAGAATTATATATCTTATAGAAATAACAATGAAACAGTGATTTAGTATATTAGAAAGGAGATAGTAGGGCAAAAGCCTACTTTGGCAGCAAGATTTAAAATTCAGAAATCTGGGTTCTAGTCACACTCTTAAAGTGATATAATTTTGTTAATCATGTTATTTTTAAGAATATTGGCTCATTGGACGAGAGCAGGCTCAGTGGCTTACCCCAGTAATCTCAGCGCTTTTGGAGGCTGAGGTGGGTGGATCACTTGAAGTCAGTTGTTCAAGACCAGCCTGGCCAACATGGCAAAACCCCGTCTCTACTGAAAAAAAAAAACAAAAAAACAAAAAACAAAATTAGCCAGTGTGGTGGTACACACCTGTAATCCCAGCTACTCGGAAGTCTGAGGCACAAGAATCACTTGAACCTGGGAGGCGGAGGTTGCAGTGAGCCAAGATCGCACCACTGTGCTGCTGCCTGGGTGATAAAAAAAAACTGTCTCAAAACAACAAAACAAAAAAATCCCAAAAACCAAAAAACAAAAACAGAATATTGGCTCAATCAATTTATTTGCTAGAAGTTATATGAAAGATGATAGAGACCAACCTGAATCTACCATCCCTCTTCCTCACCACTCAGTCCTCTTAAGTTTCTAAGGCCTTGCCATTTTAATTATTTTTCCAGGGTTTCATAGCTTAATAAGTAGAAGAGGAGGGAGGAAGGCCTAGAATTAGTGCTCCTTTCCTGATTCCATGAGCCTTGCTTTTCTGATTTTGTTATATTGCCTGTATGTTGTTGAGGATCTATATAATGTTAAGATGTTCTTAAGAATAAATACATGATTTAGGGAATCAATTTGGAAAAAATGCACAGAAATAAGACAAACTAAAGTCTAGATCTTAGCTCTACCACTGTAACCTTAGGCAAAGTAATTAACCTCTCTGATTCTTAATTACCTCATCTATAAAAATGAAATGTTAACATCTGTATTATTGAGTTGTAGAGAGCATAACTGTAAAATGTGTAAAGTACTTGGCCCTTGTCATGAAAACATAGTAGGTAACTACTGTTAACTTTTTTCACCTTTTCTTTCCCTCTCTCTTTTCTAAAATTTCTTTTAAGTTGTAATTAACTCTGCCAGCTGACAAAGTTGGCCGTTGCCTCAGGAAAGTTAATTTTTTTTTCTAGTTCTAAAGTGGCAATAAATGAGTAAAGAATCAGATGTATCTATGGTTACCTATAGATTATATAAGAGGAACTTTTA
Organism: Homo sapiens; assembly: GCF_000001405.40. Lineage (NCBI taxonomy): Eukaryota > Metazoa > Chordata > Mammalia > Primates > Hominidae > Homo > Homo sapiens. The sequence goes on along the minus strand of NC_000003.12, from coordinate 17,421,426 downwards.
TATAATCGCTTCTTATATTTAATCTCATCAAATTTTCTTGCATCTTGTTTGTTCTTAGATTTGTTCAAGAAGCATCACGACCTTTACAGTTAAATGATCACTTCAGAGAGCACAAAATGTATAGCCTTTTTGTTTTTTAGAAATCAGAGTCTTAATATTACCTTTTGTTCTTATCTCCATAGTGGAGGCTCTTTTGAGTAAAGAAAAATCACATTTGAATGATGAATACATCTTCTCGAAGTAACGTATTATTTTTATGATAGTATCTGTGCTTCTTTATAATATACAATCTCTCTGAACTAATTTATTGATTACTTAAGGCTTTGAAAAAATGTTACCCTCTATTTTGAAAAGTCAACTGATTTGTTTGCATTCACAGCCCTAATTATCAACCCACACTGGCTTGAGCATACGTGTTACAGTTTGAGTTATTTTCCTTTAGAAACCCCTTCAAGCCCTTTTAGTTATCTGTTGCCAGGCTTTAGGGGAAATTTTTTTTCATGTTTGTTTATTTACATAGTCAGCTGAAAGCCTGATCATCCAAGGCTGTGTAAATGTTTATCTTTGAAAAGACAGGCATACATTTGAAATGTGAGGATAAGCTACTCTGAGTCAATCAACACTGAGAGTCCTTTCCCCTGGACACACTTCTGTTTCCTGCTGGTGTTCCCAGTTGAAATGCCTTGCTGTCAGTCCTATGGATCACTGTTTGTAATATATAGTTAGGATATAGTGGTGAAATATACAAAGTCAATTAAATATTTGCTCAGTAATACTGAAGTATCAGAAAATAATGCATAGAATTAGGGTTCAAAAATAGACTTAAAAATTTGAGAAAATAATGCATAGAATTAAGGTTCATAAGTGGATAGTTAATTTTTTTAAAAAAATTCACCAATATCTTGCTTATTTATTTACACATTGGTCTCCTTTATAGTCCCAATAATTAAGTATTATATAGTAGCTCTATATAATACTTAATTTCTGATTGTCTATTTCATAAACAATTTGACTCAAATGATTTAAGGGAGAAATTTCTACAGGATATTTAAGTAGGAGTCAATATTTAACATTTGCCTATTTTTTTATATCAGATTGTGTTGTCTTTTGGCACAAAGTTGTAGTGGTTAATAATTATATTTCCCCATTTTATTTTTAATCCAGAGCTTTTTCACAAGTGCTTTTTCAACGTTTGTCTATATCTTTATTTTTTTTTTTTGTTCAAGGGAGCTAACTTATCTTCCATCATTATGTATATCTTTGTTATACTTCCATTATAGACAAACCAGTGTGCTAAACCCTCAAGACCCAAAGAGGAGTTAAACACAGACCCTGCCCTTGGGGCACTCATGATCTAGCAGGGAGAAAAACATGGAAGCAACTAACATAGATGATGACTGGTATTATAATGGAGGCATTTATCAAGAACTAGGGGAAGGCCAGGTGCAGGGACTTAGACCAGTAATCCCAACAGGCTGAGGCGGGAGGATCACTTGAGTTAAGGAGTTGAAGACCAGCCTGGGCAAAAAGCAAGACCTCATCTCTACAAACAGACAAATAAATAAATAAATATTTTTAAAAAAATTAGTCAGGCATGGTGGCACATGCCTCTAGTCCCACCTATTCAGGAGGCTCAGGTGGGACAATCACTTGAGCCTGGGAGGTTGAGGCTGCAGTGAGCTGTGATCATGCCACTGCACTCCAGCCTTGGTGACAGAGCAAGACCCTGTCTCAAGACAAAAATAAAAACAAAACAAAAAACAGAACGAGGGGAAGACCAAATGGTTGGGATGGTGGGTGTTAGGAGGAAAATCTGTTTGCTAGGTGTTCTAGCTGGGGCAGGAGCTTCAGGGAGGCGAGCAACATGTACAAAGATGGTCTTCATTTTCCACTCTTCAGCAATGCATTCTTTTAGATTTCTTTTGCAGTATATTAGAATGGGTAAGTTTCAGTTTGTCAAAAACACAGAGATTCTCCAAAGATATTGAGTTTATTAGGGGATTTGCACATCTGGGATATGCAGGCCTTGGGAACCATAGGCATATCCAAAGAGGTTGAGGGAAGGGGAAGCTTTTAAAGACAAGAGAGGAAAGTACACACAATTTATTTTGTAACAGAGAACTTTGGTTACAGGGGCTTATTGCAGGAGCTAACACCAGTTCATTAATGGAGACAGTTTGTCTGGCAAGTGTTCTTGTACATCAGCTAGCTATCCTTGTACTTATGTAGCAAACTGCAGTTTAGAAAGTTATTGGCAAAAGTTTTTGTTACAGACGTATGTGTATAAGAGCCCTTCAGAGAGTCTTTGTAATATTTCTTCAGCGTATGTGCATGAGGGCTCTTCTTTCTAAACCTGTCTTTATTTATGGTTATCTGTCAGTATTCTTGGGGATGGATTTCAGGACCCCCATGGATACCAAAGTCCAGCAGTCAGCTCTAGGGAATTGGAAAGGATAGGAAAAATCAGCCCCTCTGTATCCATGAGTTTGACATCCTTAGAATACTGTAGTCTCAGTCCGTGGTTGGTATAAACCATGAATGCGGAATCTCATGTATGGAGGGCCAACTGTACTTTTGTTAGGGTTTGACACAAGTGACTTCATTTTGATTTTGACAACTTTCCCATTTGAACTTAGTCATCAGTGACAAAATTATGCCCTTACCTATGAAGACAGCTAATGTGACCCATACAACATCAGTATTTACATATGTATCTATTTCATTGTGGTGACAGTGTTACTTTACATGAACTGCTATTTTATAGTACTTGCTATTTGATAGTACTAAAGTTTAAAAATTCAGTATATCATAGTTTTTTTTTTTTTATTAGATGGGGTCTTACTCTGTTGCTTAGGCTAGAGGGCCATCTCAGCCCACTGCAACCTTCACTTCCTGGGTTCAAGTGATTCTCATGCCTCATCTTCCTGTGTAGCTGGGATTACAGGTGTGCACCACTGTGCTCATCTAATTTTTGTATTTTTAGTAGAGTGGGGGTTTCACCATGTTGGCCAGGCTGGTCTTGAACTCCTGACCTCAGGTGATCCACCCACCTCAGCCTCCCAAAGTGTTGGGATTACGGGCATGAGCCACTGCACCCAGCGATGTTTGATATATTTGAATCGATGATCAAAAATTTTAACTGAGGGTTAAAAATCTTTAAATCACACAAAATTAATCATGAAATAGTTGACAATGATACAATTGAGAATGAGTATTATGTACCTAGAAATATGAAGAAAATCAATAAAGCTGCTATGGAATAAAAAATAACCTGCAAATGACAGAATATTTGAAATGTAAAAGATGTCCTTGTATCTGAACATACGGATACAATTTTCATTCCATGATTATAGATGTTATGTTCTGAGAGAGACATAGAAGTAGTTTGGTTGACATAATCTCAAGGCGTTTCAAAGACTCTTCCAGGCTACCTTTTCAGATTAGGAAACTAATGCAGATGACGTGCCCAAGTGTCTCAACCCATTAGAACCAAAACAGGGTAGTTGAACACTGTATCTTAAACCTCATTCCAATTAAAAAAAAATACTTCTAAATCTTAAAGTTCTCAAACAACAGGTGCTGGAGAGGATGTGGAGAAATAGGAACACTTTTACACTGTTGGTGGGACTGTAAACTAGTTCAACCATTGTGGAAGTCAGTGTGGCGATTCCTCAGGGATCTAGAACTAGAAATACCATTTGACCCAGCCATCCCATTACTGGGTATATACCCAAGGGACTATAAATCATGCTGCTATAAAGACACATGCACACGTATGTTTATTGCGGCACTATTCACAATGGCAAAGACTTGGAACCAACCCAAGTGTCCAACAGTGATAGACTGGATTAAGAAAATGTGGCACATATACACCATGGAATACTATGCAGCCATAAAAATGATGAGTTCATGTCCTTTGTAGGGACATGGATGAAATTGGCAATCATCATTCTCAGTAAACTATTCGCAAGAACAAAAAGCCAAACACCGCATATTCTCACTCATGGGTGGGAATTGAACAATGAGAACACATGGACACAGGAAGGGGAACATCACACTCTGGTTACTGTTGTGGGGTAGGGGGAGGGGGGAGGGATAGCATTAGGAGATATACCTAATGCTAAATGACGAGTTAATGGGTGCAGCACACCAGCATGGCACATGTATATATATGTAACTAACCTGCACATTGTGCACATGAACCCTAAAACTTAAAGTATAATAATAATTAAAAAATAATAAAAAATAAATGTCAAAAAAATCTTAAAGGTCTCTTGAACAGCATAGCTCAACTTTCGTAGATCTAGACACAAACTTCTCATGTATTTTGTTCAGTTCACAGTAATAAACTTACAATCTCCAAAATAACTACTATTGCCTTCTTACCCTTCCCCCCACCTTACCACAGGGAAGCAGTACTTAAAATACTTAATTGACTTTAAACAAAAGTTTATCCCATGGCCCATTTATCTTCATTTTAAATTGTCCCTTCCAGGTTTGTTTAGCCAGCCTGTTACTGAATATGATTATATTACGTTCGTGATCCAAATCTTGGGTCTAGTTCTTTCCAGCATTGACCATTTTGGGGTAACCAATAGAAATGACCCTGTCATCACTAAAGATTTGCCTTTCTAACTTTCAGGTATGTGTGTGAAAAAAGGAATGTGGGTGGAGGCAGGGGAAGGGAGTGATAGAAACAGAAACCACAGGGAGAGTCAATGAGATAGACACGGGAAAGAAAAAGAAAAGATTATATCCATATCTAATAGTCTTATTGGTAGCACCATTTATTTAGAATAATTATATGCCATGTTACCTCTCTTATGGAATTAAGTTGACTTATTTAACCACATGTATTATTTAACTTTTAATGTTTGTTTGCTTTCCCCAGTTATATATGAGTATGCATCACTTGTATATTTATAGCCCTTGAAACGTTATAGTTGTTACTTTAAAAATTGAATGTGTATTATGAGTGAATTGTTGCCATCCTTAACATTTTAAGCTTCCCTGTCCAATATGGGAACTACTGGCAATATGAAGCTATTTAAATTTGGATTTCAATTAATTAAAATACAATATGTAGTTCTTCAGCTGCAACTAGCCATGTTTTAACTGCTTAGTAACTATGTATGGTCAGTGCTTACCATATTGGGGAGTCAGATGTAGAACATTTCTGTCATCTCGGAAAGTTTACTTGCTTAGTGCTCATCTAGAGGTTGTAAAGTGAACGATGGATTCAGTTAAAATATAATTGATTTTAATATTTCTTAGAGAAAGTATTTAAGCACACATGTATTTCTGTTTGGTAATACCCTGTTAGTCAACACACTATTGGAAAACATGCTTTAAGTCATAGGATTGACTTTTAATTAGGACATCAGGTTTCGCTAAATAAATGTCTATTTATAAATAACTGGAAAGTAATTTATTCTCTATTCTACCAGCCTTTCCTTTACAGTATTGGCTTATATTTGCAGACTGTGAGGCAAATTCTTTATCATGTTATAGAATGTTAGATATCAAGCCCTTGCCAGTTATTGCAAATATCAAAGTAAATGAGGTGAGGTGAGGGTGGGAAGAAGGTAGGAAAGGTCTGCAGGGAGAGGATTTTTTCCTTATTAATTATAGAGGAAGCATGAGTAAACCATGGAATATAAAATATACTTACTCCAGACAACTTCACAGAGATTGCTGGTATAGGATCCTTTTCTCACTTCATTTCTAAATGCCAGTCCTTTATTATTAATCTAATTATGTTTATCATATATTTAAATTATTAATACAATTAAAAGTGAAAAGCTTGTTATAAAATCAAAAAGTTTGTGATACTGCTTTTCTTGGTTTCCTTTTTTAAAGTATGATTATTGAGTTTACCTACTTTAATATGACCCTGGATTTGGAAGCTCTTACACACTGTATTTTTAAGAAAATAATGCCTGTGTTTTTTTGTTTGTTTGTTTTTGTTTTGTTTTTTCCTTTAAAGAAGAGAGTATTCCAGCCCTTTGGGAGGCTGAGGCAGGCAGATCATGAGGTCAGGAGATCGAGACCATCCTGGCTAACACAGTGAAACCCCGTCTCTACTAAAAAAGTACAAAAAATTTCGCCGGGCGTGGTGGTGGGTGCCTGTAGTCCCAGCTACCTGGGGAGGCTGAGGCAGGAGAATGGTTTGAACCCCAGAGGCGGAGCTTGCAGTGAGCAGAGATAGCGCCACTGCACTCCAGCCAGGGCGATAGAGTGAGACTCTGTCTCAAAAAATATATAAATAAATAATAAAAAGGAGAGTATTATATTTGACAGTCCCTAACTAACTGTTTTAACTCAGTTCTTTGTGTTCCTGTGAAAACTAAGGTGAAGGCTCAAGGTTTCTCAATTTAAAGTTCAGTTCAAACCTGAATCAAAACATGACCGTAATTTTAACAAACCTCTAGGCAATGAACTATTCTTTACCTGTATTTCAGTGGAGCCTTATCATATGATAACATGTTTCACCTAGACATATGAAAAAATACATTTTAAGCTTGTGTGTAATTGTGCATTCTGTTTTTTTATATATATTTATGTATAAGAGATATGCCCTGATGTTTCATTATGGAGGAGAAAAAAGCTTTAAATAAAAGTAAGTTTTAGAAAATTCGTGGTACAGGAAGCAAAAAAGCCAGTACAGTTTGTAATTGCCTTTTAGAGACTCGTGAGTTCCCTCATTACCTGTGATTTAAGCTAAAAATGAGGTAATTATAGATAACATCAGTGTTTATCTGGTTGATCTTGGCACCTGCAGTCCTAATGTTGTAGCTTACCCATATCTGGTGCCACACTTTACAGTCTTATGCTGACATACCTAATTTACACTTTTCATATTTCCATTGATTTTAAGTTAGATGTTACTTGTTCTATTTGAATAGTATTTTCAAAATCATACCTTTAAAATGGCCTAAAAGTATATACTCTTAAATGTAATACTGGAATTATGGTACAGTGCTTGGCATTGATTGAAATCTTTCACTAATGTATTTTGATATAGATTAGAAACAGATTCAAAAATTTACTGGCTCCTTTTTGATAAAATAAATGGATCATACTAAATATGGCAATTTTTAAAAATATTGGCATGTACTTTAGGATTATGAAATTGTATAAATCTTTTTGAATCAAGTTCAGCTTTCTTACCTTTTACTACCTCAGCTTCAGATATTCTACCCATCTAACCCTGATCTAATCCTACTTAAATCCTGCTTCATCCTGCTGTAGCCACTTTGTTCTATTATCTTACTACTTAGAATTGCAATGAAATGATCTGGTTGACTGGCTGACCTTGTAAACTCCATGATCATCTCTGAGAGCTGTCTGCTGCACTTCCCTATCACTATACCTCCCAGAGAGCTAAAAGCAACTTTCTACCTTATCTCTTTTTTCTTCCACTGTCTGTGACTTTTGGCTTTCCCCAAGGTGAGAATCCCTTCTCTTAACCACTCAGCAATTTCATTGTCAGTAGAAGCCTAAGTAGCTCCTCTTAACCAATGATTAGAGATCTTCAGTCTTAAACTGTATGTAGGCCCTGAACTCTTTGCTATTATTGTAGTCATTTGGATTTCTTAAGTTAGCCCACAAACACATTGTTTCCTTTCCATGTTAAGCTTAAAAATGGGATAGAAACCATCATATAAACCTATACAGTGTAAAATTAGTGTTTTCCATAGTGTATCACCATTTGGGACAATGATTCAGAAGCCTTCTAGTCATAAATTAGCACATAATTTAGTAATTTATTAGTCATCATGTAGGTTATAAAGGTATTTCAACTATTAAATTTAGAAGATATTAACAAATTTAGAAGGTACTAGTTTCACACCAATGTTATGAGCATATCTTGGGAAACTACTATTTAATTATATGTTAAAATATATAATTACAAATAGATAATCTCATTATAATCATCAGCTGTATTTATCCACTACATATTCTGATTGCTTTCCATGTCAAAATAGCCATTGCAGGAAGCTTAACTACCCAAATAGGTCTTAGAGGGAAGGTATCAATTCCTGCTGCAGAAGTTGACTTTATTTTTTGAGAAATAATTGCATCAATCATGGCCTACATATTTAATAAGTTACAGTGTTGTTTCCTGAGGAGCACACCAGTAAGCTCAGAGTCCTTCTCAGCATGGTGCTTCCAAGGCAGCCAGTACTGATCTATTAACATTGGCCTGAGAAATGAAACCTACTCATCTTCACCTTTCCCTGCTTAGATGCTGATTGTTTTCAGGGACCAAGTATCTGCAAGATAGAGTAATTGCCACTAGGTGGCACTAATGCTTTGTTAAGGAAATCTTCAAGGTCCAGGTGGCTAATCCATTCCATTTAAGGTTTTGCACACCTAAACACCCAGGTTCTTAACTACTCACAGGGACTGTTGTTAACTTATCTTCTCAGTCCAACTAGTAAAAAGTTATCTGCATGTCCATGGGCTTGATATTCAAAAACTAAAAATCTGAGGAAGAAAACAAGGGTATATTTCTATATTGCCTTGTTGCCAGAGGTCATTTTTGCTCTTGGTGTCTGGAGAATCATGTTTCCCTTTAGTGGTTACTTCCATGTTATTCCAGAAAGATGTCTTTCCTATTTCTCATTTCTTTATTCTCTTGACAAGTTATTCAATTTTTCTGAACCTTACTTTCCTCATTCATAAAGAGGGGTTAAAAATATATACCCTAAGTGATTTACCTAAAATATTATATCATAAGTGGGTCTTTTAAAAGCATTTCGATGGCATTATTGTCAGATTTTTGCTTTTCAGGCACATTGTAAGTATATTTTTTTATGTAAGAATAAGTTTAGCAACTACTTTTTTTTAAATTAAACTGAAATATTTCACCACTGACACCTCAATATTTTCTATTGTTAATCATGTCTTCCTCCAACTTCAGGAGCAGGCCTACCATTCATATTTGTGATTGTAAAAAAACCTTCATTTTGATCCTTCTCCCCTAGAAGGGCTAAACCTTTCAGCAGTTTACCCTCTGGAATCTGTTTAATGTTTGATTCTCAGTTCTTTGCAGTAGTATTTCAGTGGCTATGGTGCTACTGTTATTTTATATCCTAAGTTTTAATTTTGAAGTATCAAACCATTTCTTTCCCCTCTGTACTACCAGAGGGCTTTGCAGTAATCATTTCTACTCAATTCTTTGCAGTAGTATTTCAGTGGCTATGGTGCTACTGTTATTTTATATCCTAAGTTTTAATTTTGAAGTATCAAACCATTTCTTTCCCCTCTGTACTACCAGAGTGCTTTGCAGTAATCATTTTATTATTGGTTTACACATCCATCTGTCCACTCTTTAACTTTGTATGTTTTAAAAAATATGCCTGTGAGTGCTAAGCACATAGTAGGCGCTTAATAAATGTTTATATTTACTCTGTGTTACAGTTTATTGATGAAACACTATTCAATAGAAATGAAAGACAATTAATATATTATTATGTGGCCTTTATGCTCCTCTGTTGTTAGAGCCGTTCATCAGTTTGAGATGTTATGCCTTAATTAGAACTGTAAGTACCCATGAATAAATTTAAATGATTGTAAATTTCAGAGATAATGTTTCCAATTCACATGCCTCAGTCTTCTTTTCCCTATACCAACACCGTAATCAAGGTACAGGGTCTTATTTAAGCTAACAAATAATTATCCTTCATTACATAAGTAGTATGTAACTTGACCTTAAAAGCCTGCTTAACTTGACAAGATGGCAATGAATCTAGCCACCAGCTGTGCCTGTACTTTTACAATTTCTTAGTACTTGTGAATAGGAGCTGATTTTGGAAAAGACTGGAGGAGTCATTGCTTCATACTTCCCTCTCTTATCTGGAATACTTTGTGTTTTCAGTCCACAGAACTGCATGGTGTCTCACAAATTGTGATTCCTTTTGGGTTCAAAACATTGCACATTTGAGATCTGTGCTTGTTGTTCACAGACTACAAGCTATTTAAATATATGTATGGTTTTTGAGATGTGTATACATACCCCACAGATATTGCGGATTCAGTTCCAAACAACTGCAGTAAAGCAACTATTGGAATAAAGTGAGTCACGTGATATTTTTTGTTTTCTAGTACATTTAAAAGTTATGATTACACTATACTGTCATCTATTAAGTATGCAATAGCATATATCTAAAAAATATATAAACCTTAATTAAAAATACCTTATTGCAAAAAAAAAAAATGCCAAGGATCATCTGAGCCTTCAGCAGTTCTTAATCTTTTTGCTGGTAGAGGGTCTTGCCTTGTTGTTGTGGCTTCCCACTAGTTAGGGTGGTGGTTGCTGAAGGTTGGGGGTAACTGTGGCAATTCCTTTAAAAAACACAACAGTGAAGTATGCCACATAGATTGACTCTTCTTTTCAATAAAGATTTCTCTGTAGCATGAGATTCTGTTTGGCAGCATCTTACCCAGAGTAGAACTTGTTTCAAAATTGGACTCAGTCTTCTCAAACCCTGCAGCTGCTTTCTCACTTAGTTTATTAAATATTCTAAATTCTTTGATATCATTTTAACAATATTCACAGCACCTTCACCAGCAGTAGATTCCATCTCAAGAAACTACTTTCTTTGTTGATTCATAAGAAGCAACTTCTAATTTAAGTTTTATATATATGAGATTATAGCAGTTAAGTCACATCTTCAGGTTCCACTTCTACTTCTAGTTTTCTTGTTATTTTTCCCCATCTAGTTACTTCTTCCACTGAAGTCTTGAAACCCCTCCAAGTCATCCATGAGGATTGGAATCACCTTTTAAAAACTCTTGTTCATGTTGCTATTCTGACTTTCCACCACGAATCTCTAATGTTCTTAACGACATCTAGAATGGTGAATCCTTACCAGAAGATTTTGAATTCACTTTGCCCAGATCTGTCAGAGAAATCACTATCATATGGCAGCTGTAGCCTATGAAATGTATTTCTTAAATAATAAAACTTGAAATTAGAAATGACTCCCCACTTCATGGGCCGCAGAATGGATGTTGTGTTAGCAGACATGGACACAACATTAATCTCTTTGTACATATCCATCAGAGCTCTTGGGTGATGAGGTGTATTGTCAGTGAACAATAATATTTTGAAAGGAATCTTTTTTCCTGAGCAATAGTTTCCAAAAATGGGCTTAAAATATTCTGTAAACCATGTTGCAAACAGATATGCTATCATCCAGGCTTTGTTATTCCATTTATACGGCACAAGGAGAGTAGATTTGGCATAATTCTTAAGGTCTCTAGGACTTTCAGAATGGTTAAAGATTGGCTTCAGTTTAGTCACCAGCTGCATTATCCTGTAACAAGAGAACAGCCTGTCCTTTGAAGCTCTGAAACCAGGCCTTGCCTTCTCGTCCCTAGCTATGAAAGTCCTAGATGGCATCCTCCTTCAATAGAAGGTTGTTATGTCTACATTGAATATCTATTGTTTATTGTAGCTACCTTCAGCAGTTATCTTGGCTTGATCTTCTGTGTAACTTACTGCAGCTTCTCAATCAGCACTTTCTGCTTCACTTTGCAATTTTATGTTATGGAGATGGCTTCTTTTCTTAAACTTCGTGAACCAACCTCTGCTACCTTCCAACTTTTCTTTGGCAGCTTCCTCACCTTTCTCAGCTTTCACAGAATTGAAGAGAGTTAGGGCTTTGCTCTGGATTAGGTTTTGGCTTAAGGGAATGTTGTGGCTGGTTTGATTTTCTATCCAGACCATTCAAACTTTCTCTGTATCAGCGGTAAGACTGTTTTGCTTTCTCATCATTCATGAGTTCACTGGAGTAGCACTTTTGAGTTCCTTCAAGAACTTTTTTTTTTCTGCATTCACCACTGGGCTACCTGTTTAGCGCAAGAGACCAAGCTTTTGGTCTAACTTGGCTTTAGATGTACCTTCCTCACTAAGCTTAATCATTTGTAGGTTTTGATTTAAATTAAGAGACCTATGACTCTTCTTTTCACTCGAACAGTACGAGGCCATTGTAGCATTATTAATTAGGGAGGTCCAAGGAGAGGGAGAGAGACAAGGGACTGTTTAGTGGTATGGCCAGAACACATACAACATTTATCAGTAAGTTCACTGTCTTATATGGTTGTGGTTCATTTTGCTTCATAACAGTTACAATAGTAACATCAGAGATCACTGATCACATATCCCCATAACAGATATAATGAAAGAGTTGGAAATATTGTGAAGATTATCAAAATATGTCACAAGAGTCATGAAGTGAGCACATGCTGATAGACTTGCTCAATGCAAGGTTGCCACAAACCTTCAGTTTATTAAAATGCAGTACCTGTGAAGTGCAGTAAAATGAAGTGACATAAAATGAGGTATGCCTCTACTCCTGTAATGTACTGATTGCTAATCTCATCTTTGAATATTGCTAAAAACTAGACAATAAATTTGAACATTATGAGATATCAGTATATATGCGTAACTACTTGGAAATAGGACATATTTAGAATATTTTAGGTAATAAAAATGGATTAAAATGGGGAAAAAAGCCCCACAAGATTTCAGTGAATATTTGTTTGATGTTGGAGTGGCTAAGAATTACTTAAGCAAGAGAAAACAATGAAAGGATCAATAAGAGAAAATAATGTTAGATCTTAATTATACACAAATTTAAAAAGCTTCAATGTATTGAAAATTAAGACAATTGGGTTAAAAAATTGGCTGATGAAGGCATGATGTCTTTAATGTATGAAAAACTTTTCTCTTTAATCAATAAGGCACACTAAAAAGCAGTATTATTAACAAAAATATTAATTTTTAAAAGTATAGGACTTGGGCACACTGTCTCATACCTTTAATTCCAGCACTTTGGGAGGCTGAGGAGGGAGAATCAACTGAGGCCCTTTGTAGACCAATCTGGGCAACATAGGAATACCCAGTCTCTACAAAAAGTTACAAAAGTAGCCAGGTGTGATGGTGTGTGCCTGTGGTCCCTCCTGAGTAGCCTCAGCTACAGTGGAGGCTGAGGTGGGAGGATTGATTGAGCCCAAGGAGTTCAAGGCTAAAGTGAGCTGTGGTTGCATCACTGTACTCCATCCTGATGACCAAGTGAGACCTTGTCTCTTTTTTAAAAAGTGTGTGTGTGTGTGTGTGTGTGTGTGTGTGTGTGTGTGTGTGTGTGTTGGATAGTCTTCTGAGGGCTTTTCATGTATTTTTGAAATTCTCATAATAATTCCTTTAAGTAGATTGTTATTACTCCATTTTACAGATGAGGAAACTGAGGCACAGAGAGGTTAAGAAATTTGCCCATGCTTGCACATCTAGTAAGTAACTAGTGAGCTGTGTAGCTTTCCTTACTGCACAGCTGTCTTTCTGATCCCAAGCATGTGCCTCTCATGTCCATTCTCTTAACCACTATCCTGTACTGCTTAAAACGGGCAAAGGGCAAAAAGCAGGTTTTACAAAGGAAGCAGTAAAATGACCCAAAAGCATGAACAATTTTTAGTTCACTAATAGTACAAATTAAAGTAAAGCCAGATTTTTTAAACTAATAGAGTGATGAGAATAAGAAATTTTTGTGGAGTGGTGATAGAAATGCATTTCTTCCAGCATGGGCTGGAATGTGTGTCTCATTTAGCAATCTTAGCCAGAAACCACTATTGGCAGAAGGCTTGTTGTGTTTGAGGATCACAACGCTACTGGGTTAAAGCTGGAAGTTCTGCTGGTGGCAGTACGGAATGTGTCATTGTCTTTGGTCACTCTTCTGGAACTTCTTTTCTGGAGAAGATGCATTTTGTCCCATGATCAAGTTTTGAAATTTTTGTGTACAGTTCATTACTCTAAGCATAGTATGCAAGATTATCCTTTCTCAAAATAAGTAGGGTCTGGCCAGTGACAACTGCACATGTGTGTAACGGAAGAATGATTGAGGGTTTTAGTGGCTTTCTTTTTCAGAAATCTCTCTTAAGATATTGCCGTCAGGGTTTCAGCTTTGATAATAAATGTTAAGTTATATGTAAATTTTATTGTGATATGATGGAATTTGGGAGAAATTTCATAAAGCTAATCTCAGTAGCCTCTACTCAAGTGATTCTTAATGTTTAGTTTGGTGCAAGATGCAGGGAATATAGGTCTAATTGCTTTATTCAAACTCAGTAAATGGTTTGGGACAATTAATTTCCAATTGTTTCCCAGTAGAGCAGATTTACTTGTATATTAATGAGGCACAGGTGTTAGGCCCCTGGTGTCTGCATGCCTGGGAGGCATATTTCAGTTGTTTATCTACTCAGCCATAGGTACTGCAAGGTACTCAAGCTTGCCTTTAACAGTTTTTACAGTGAGGCTTTTTAATTTTTTGATGTTTTTTTCAAATTTGCCCACACCTGTTAAAATTTTAAAACTGATCATGTAGAAAGAAGTTGCAATTTCAGTAGTAAGCAGCACTAACAGTTAAAGTAGTCTTTTATTATACTTTACTGTCCAGCCTGACATTAAAGAGAAATCGGATCATTTAAAGAGGTATTTCACATGAGAAGCTAATATAATCAACATTACACTTCTTTGTTGCATATTTTTGGAGCAGGTATGTTTTTGTCATTGGCTAAAAGAGTCATATATTATTCATTTTTTTCTTGTTTACTCACTGAACTGTACTATCAGCATTTTAGAGGAAATGGAATAGCCTCCATAGACATTATGAATTTCAGTAGCTGGCGTAATTATAGCTATCTACATATTCATTAAATCTACGGAAGAACTGTGTCCAAAAAGACAGCCATGCGTTCAGAAACAGTACACAACTAAATATATATGTTTTAAAAGTTGCATTTTTTAGACTTACTTAAAATTAATTTCCCGTAGAACTTCTCTCCAAGCAGAGGAATTTTAACAAAAGGATTCTCATGCTTTGGTTTCTTTCATATAGGAAAGAATGGGAAGAACTATTTGTAAACAACAATTACTTGGCAACAATAAGGCAGAAGGGGATTAATGGGCAGCTGAGAAGCAGCAGGTTCCGCAGCATTTGCTGGAAGGTAAGAAGAAAATATTTATTTACAGTTTCTGGTTGCAATATATCAACACATTACCTGATGCCCTGGAAGATTAGCCATGCAGGGGATCACTGAATTTTCCAAGAGACTTCACTCCCATTATTTTGACCATCTATGTTTATCTTTCATAGGACATTTACTAATAAGGTTGAACTACCTTAGTCCTGAGTAAGTGATAACGGTAAAAGAGTCATATAAAAAAACTATCTTTTCAACTGTTTTGATGGTGCCAAATTCAGAGCAACACTTTTACACTCCCCAGAGGCTCTTGCAGAAATTCTTGAAGATTTGCAAGAAAAGGCAGTGGTCGGGGGTTAACTTTTAGGTTCCTATTATATCAAACCATCATTTAGTTATCTTCCCTTTTTTCTTCATAAATGGCAGCTGGAAAATATTTTTCACATTTCTTTTAGTAGTGAGGGGTGGCAAGAAGTGGAAGGAAATTGGATCACTCTCCTTTAGAGGAAAAGGACCACTGATTACCAAAACTAGTAATAATAATCTATAGTTGTCTTTTTAATTGCTTTGAAATATTATTTGTTTTTGTTTTCTAAACATGAATTTATTTAGGTTTAGACTCATTTCTAGAATGAATTCTATCATAAGTTTTTAGGGTTATCTGCATAAATTAAGCATACTGAGTCTGTGCAAGTAAAGACAAAAACACATAGTGTATTAGACAGTTTTAGGTTCAATAATTTAGATTTAATAATTAAAATACACTTTTCTTCTTTTAGATGCAGGCATTAAAGGCAGGAGACCTGCTGCTAGAGTATTTGTATACAAGTATTTGTGCGCCACCCCCATTCCCTGTTAACTTTTACTATCTTTCATTTGTTAAAAATAAATCTAAATCCAAATTTATTTTAATATTGTATTAAACTAAATTAAATCAAATTTGTCATTTTAAGATTGTTTGTTATTTTCATAAGCTGACTGCCAGCTTTAAATTACATTTTTTTTCTGTAAAAGGAATGCTTTCATGTTTCAGGCTATGCCCTCAGTGAGACTGTTGTTCACTAACTTTTACCAGCTTGTTTTAAAACAAAACCTTAAATGTAGCAATTACTAATCAGACTTTGTGCTCCTTAATAACCCCCTTACCACTCCCATTAAGACTAGAATGTAAAATGTGAATTATATTTGAACCTCAATGAATTTTTCTTCCTTTTTAATGTAAATCTGAAGGGGAGCTTGATTCTATTTTGTGGTATAGCTTTTGTTATCTTGCTTTTTGGCCTTTGTTCACTTTTTGAATTTTCTGATTATATATTTCTTAAATATCTCCAAACAGAAATTGGTAGGAATTGAAATGATGATATGAATATGAAATATCATGACTATTATGTCTTTCAATGTTCAGGTGGTTCAGTTTGGCATAGTTTCACATTTTATATCTTAAGATTTTTACAAAAGTTTCTTCTGTTTTTCTTGACAGCTATTTCTTTGTGTTCTTCCTCAAGACAAAAGTCAATGGATAAGTAGAATTGAAGAATTAAGAGCATGGTATAGCAACATTAAAGAAATAGTAAGTAAATAGTATATTTAATTAATGTAATTGTTTTCTTATGTACACTTTAAAGTCCAGTAGCCTCTGATCCTTGTGTGTGTGTTTTCTCTTTCTTTACTAGCATATTACCAACCCGAGGAAGGTTGTTGGCCAACAAGATTTGATGATCAATAATCCTCTTTCACAGGATGAAGGGGTAAAGTTCGTCTTTGTTCATGTCTTAACCTCTTTTGCTGCTAAGAATATGTTTATATGACTGGTTGCCAGTCACCATGAAAGCAATATATTTCATGCTAACTGTTTTCTTTATTCCACATACAGTACCACCTAAAACCTGGTAGAAATGATTTTACATTACATATATATACTGTGTTGTAGAAAATTTATGATCTATTTCTGTGGAATGGCAGTACCAAGAAATCTCGGGATTCTGTAAGAACTAAGGGTAAAATATAAGACCATAAAGATGAGAATAAAACTTTTATCAGGGTTGCAGTGGGGAATTGGGTAGCTAAGGAAAGCCTCCCTTCGTCGTGAAAATAAAGAAGGGCTCACTTAGTAGGGCTAACTCGCAGGAAGAAAGAAGTAACCCTTTGTAGTGAGTCTATGAAGAAGTTTTTAAAAAATCAGGTCTACTTCTATTCATATTCCAGTGAAGACAAGGATTACTACTTTAAAGATATTATGTAACTTTAAAAGTATGAGTGCTCTAATTTTTGCCTATTTACCTAAAAGCACATTTTTTCCATTTAATCCATAGTGTTAGCATTCCTCTTTCCCAATACGTAAGTATTTATAGACTCTTCGGTATAAGAACATAAAATATTAAGTAATTTTTAAAAACTTTCCCTTAAATTCACATTTTAAAATGTACATAAAAACCTACTGGATTATAAAACCAAGTTCTGTAGAAAAACTTAACCCGTCTTTCTTAGTGCATTGGGAATTCAGGTCAGGTTCAAGCTGCGGACAGTTGGCCTATGAGTCCTGCTGTAATCCAAGCACCTTTCTGTTGTTACAGGGGTAGTAGCAGTAGCATATGGCAGTGAAAAGTATTGTTCACTTTATATAGATAATAAAAATTTTGAGAATATATACTAGTTTCTCATTATTCACAGGGGATTGGTTCCAGGCCCCTCATGGGCACTACAATCTGCAGATGATGAAGTTTCTTATATAAAATGGCATAAGTATTTCCATATAACCTGTGTACATCCTCTTGTATACTTTAAATAATCTCTAGATTACTTATAATACCTAATAGATTGTAAATGCTAAATAAAGTTGTTATACTGTGCTGTTTTTCTGATTTGTATTTTTTTATTGTTGTATTGCTATTTTTAATTTTTTCCCAATATTTTTGATCCACAGTTGGTTGGATTTTTGTTGTGGAACCTGCAGATGAGGAAGGCTGACTTTATATGATAATATCAAACTGGAAAAATTGATGTTAGAATAAAGATGTGTTTCTGAGATTAAATTAGATTTTAATAAAAATTACCCCAGTCTCAGGTTTTCTATCTGCAATGTGAAATGATCTCAGAGAAGAATAAATTTTAACCATTTACATTATTAAATTGAAATCACTAAAAGTAAAACAAAGGTGTGAGACTATATAATAGATTGTTTTCCTTATTTCAGAGTCTTTGGAACAAATTCTTCCAAGATAAAGAACTTCGATCAATGATTGAACAAGATGTCAAAAGAACGTATGTAGAACTATTTACATGTTACTTTCAATAATTCAAATTGTTGTTATCTCTTTCTAATTTTAACAAAACACAAAATCTGCAGTCAACTTAATTGAATGCAGTATTCTACTTGTGTTAATAACAAACTTGTTTTGACAAATTGTGATAATAAGGATTGTTTTCTACTCTAATGATACACATTTCTATGTTCCCTTTTTAAAAGTAAATTACATTTATAATATTGATAATCTTCAATAATATTTAATTAGTTTTATCAAGTTCCAACAATTATTTGAAGTCATATTTAAGGTTATATTGTATAGTCTTGTTGCCAGAAAAATTTATCCCTTGCTTTATGCATTTGAATCCCTTTCTAACCAAGTTACTTGTTAAAACTTGTTAAATGACAACTGTTATTCTTATCCTCACTTCTCTTCTTCTTGAAGCTATTCAGGTTTGCAAACAATTTCTTCTCTCAATCTACTCAGTATTTACTATATAAAAGGGTAATTTGTTACTTAGCATAATGTCCATAACTTTGATATATTCGACTGAGTCATAGGGTGAGGAGTAAATGGAATTTGTGTCAGAAGATCATAGAGTCGTAACTAACGGATGCTGTAATTGTGGGAAAATTACTTCAACATCTTTCCCTCTCAGTTTCCTCTTGTGTTAAATGGGGATAATAGTAATCATCTCTTATGATATTTGAGGATTAATTAATATCTGTCAGAATAGTAAATTAGATAAGTTTATACTTTAAACTATAAATCATTATATAAATGTTAGTAAACTTAATGTAATCCTTAGGATCTGGGATTAGCCAGGTATGTGCAGAATCGTGAGTATCTCTGGTGGCTTCTTCCAAGTACTTCTGCAGCTTTGCCTGTGTGCTCCACTCCTAGTTCAATTCCTGCTAAATCTATTATAATGTCAAGGCCTCTCGCTCTCTGATATTCATTTCTTTGCAAGTTATAAATACTGAATAATAAGATGACATGAACTACTACTAAGTTTGTAGTACATATTTAACAAATACAATTTCTTTAAAATGAAAATAATTCAGAGGAATCACAGGTTTAGAGTAAATGAAACCACAGGTAATTGGCAGTGGTAATAGGGTATGGGGTGGGAAGTTTGGGATGATTTTGGTTAGCTTGAGTTATCCAGTTAACTCAGGAGTAACCCAGTTAGGGAAGCTACTCTCAGAGGTATGGGTGATAGTGCTTGGTCTCCCTAGTATATAGGTGCAGAAAGTAGAGCACCATTGTATTAGCACACAGGAGTCCTGGTACTCAGTAAATATTTGAATAAAACAAAAGAAGGAGTTGCCTCAGTAAGTATATAGTTAATCAGTGGTAGTAAACAGGCCTTTTAAAAACAAAATGTGCAGTATATATTGTTAACTAAACTGTAAAGGCATCCCTTTTTAAAAATGCTAGGTAGTTATATTTAAAAACTTGCCAACTTCAGATTGATCTGTCTAATGAGCAGGATTATAATTAATCTCTCTACAGTTATCAAATGTAAATGAAGGGGCCACAGCGCTGGTGCCGAGTCACAGAGTCAGAGGCCATGGGGGCCAGATTGACTTAAAGAAATAGCAAACAAGAAAGGGGGAAAATAAACCTCTGATAGCCACACCAAACAGGCAGTGATACTGGGAATTTTTTCATCATTTTAGTTACGTAGTTCGAACATTTCTGCTTTGTTATGTAAGAAAGTGTTAGTTCTTGAAAACTTCTATATTTTCTGTTTTTTTCTTACAAAAATGCAAGATATATACACAGATACATATATACATATACATATACATATACATATGTATATTATACACATACATATATATGTATATTATACATATATGTATATTATACACATACATATATATGTGTATTATACACATACATATATATGTGTATTATACACATACATATATATGTATATTATACACATACATGTGTGTGTGTGTATGTACACACACATACAGTGTTTTTCTTAAAATGTATCTCTACTAGTTGATTTTAATTAAAATGGCAAACCAGTGACCCAAAGAAGGTAGCTAGGAGGCCCTATAGTTGATAGAATAGTAGGGAAATGTATTAGCGTTCTCTAGAGGGACAGAACTGTTAGGAAAGATGTATATATAAAGGGGAGTTTATTAAGGAGTATTGACTCACATGATCATGGTGAAGTCCCACAATAGGCCATCTGCAAGCTGACAAGCAAGGAAGCCAGTCCGAGTCCCAACACCTTAAAAGTAGGGAAGCCGACAGTGCAGCCTTCAGTCTATGGCTGAAGGCCCCAAGAGCCCCTGGCAAACTGCTGGTGTAAGTCCAAGAGTCCAAAACCTGAAGAACTTGGAGTCTGATGTTCGAGGGCAGGAAGCATCCACCGTGGGAGAAAGATGAAGGCTGGAAGATTCAGCAAGCCTGCTCTTTCCACCTTCTTCTGCCTGCTTTATTCTAGCCACACTGGCAGCTGATTAGATGGTGCCCATCCAGAGTGAGGATGGGGCTGCCTCTCTGAGTCCACTGACTCAAATTTTAATCTCCTTTGGCAACACCCTCACAGACACACCCAGGAACAATACTTTGCATCCCTCAGTCCAATCAAGTTGACACTCAATATTAACCATCACAGGAGGGTTCCATATCTTATTCTCTTGAAGACTCTCCCATGGCTCTCTCCACATTTAGATTAAGTCTCCTTGTCATTTCTATATAAATTTTCTGGCAAATACTTAGCTTGTGAGGTAAGGCGGTTAGTCTTATTTTAAGTCCACCAAATTATTTAATTGTAAAAGCTGAATAGCTTGTATAAATTTAGTTTACATCTTTATAAGGTACTATATGATCTAAAATATATGATTTTCATTTCAGTCTATGAGGAATTTCCTAATAATATAAAAGAAGTACAGCCCAGATAAGGTTATAAAGTGTTACTTGTTTTCTAGCTTTGTGATAAGAATTTTTGAAAAAATGTATATTTATGGAGCATCGCTATGTTCCATAATTGCCCTTTGCACTGTGGGGGACAGAGTGGAGTGGTGAATAACACAGATAGGATGCTGCCATCACAGGTTGTATATTTTAGTGTGGTGTCGGGGAGAGTGGTGAGACAGTAAGCATGTATAGATAAAGAGAATAATTACAGAGGGTGATCATTTTTCTGAAGAAATAAGGCAGAGTAACTAGATAGCTAGAAGGAGAGTAGCCAGTGGGATGGCTACTTTAGGAATAGTGATTGGAGAAGACATCTTTGAGAAGATGACATTTGAGCTGAGATGTGAAAAAATTTAAAGGCCAGACATCTGAAGAACTAGGGCAAGAACATGTAGACAGAGGGAGTAGCTAGGGCAAGGTTAGTTTCTCAATGAAAATGAGCTCAGTGTTTAGAGGAGCAAAAAGAAGTCAGTTCGGCTAGAGCAAGTGCTTTAGAGAAGGAAATCTGAGAGGAGAGCAAAGGCCAGGACAGTCTTGTAGACCACAGTAAAAAGTAAAGATTTATTCTGATTGCAATAGGAAGCTTTTGGAGGACATTGAGCAGTGGCATGATACCTACAAAGATAATTATGGCTGCTGTGCAGTGGGGCAAAGGTGGATGTAAGAATGGAAGCTGGAAAAGCAACTAGGAGTCTATTGGAGTATTTCAAGTTAGGTAATGTTAGCGATTTATTAGACTAAAAATGTAGTAATAAAGACAGGAGTAGGTAGATGGGTTGGGGATATGTATTTTATGTTTCAAAATACAAATTAGGGGATCATTATGTGTAGTTTTCTCACATTCATAAGTTTCTGTTCCGTTTTTACTGCTCTGTTTCAGATCCTTTTTACCTCCTGCCCACAGTCACTTACTTGTTTAATTGTTTTCTTGGGATCTAGTGTTTTTCCACTTCCAGTCCATTCCATGTGTTAACAGCCTAATCACTCTACTCAAAGCAGATTTATAATCACTCTATTTGCCTAATCCAGAACTTTCTATGACTCCCTGTGCCCTGAAGAAGAATGGACTTACTCAGTTTCTCTAATACATACCCAGTTCCCTTTTAGACAAGTGCTTCTGGCATTATTCAATGAACAGGTTTTGTGCTTTCCATTTTCAATGTTTTGGAATCTTTCATGCTCTCCTCTGCTGGAATGCTGCTTCCCTCTGCTTCCTGTTAGATTCCTAACAGCTAACCATTCAAGGCCTGAGTTCATCACCCAAGTTTATGAAACATTTTCCAGTCTTGGCAATTGGAAATCATTTGTGCCTAGTCTGTGTTCTATAGAATTTTCTTAATAACTTTTTAATATTATTTAATTTTGTTTGGTCTTTTATTTATTTAGGTCCATCTGTCAGTGTATTCAATACATTTATATTGATCTCCTTAGTGTACCAGGCACTAGAGATGCCAAGATAAATGTGATATGGACCCTTAAGAAGCTTACAGAGAAAACAGGAAAAAAAAATTACAATGCAGGATTATTGGTGTCATTAAGAGAAGCAGTATGTACAAGAGCTCTTGTGTTAGCCCAGATCTTACCTTTCAAACCTAGTAGTAAACCCTTTGAAGGCATGGACCTAGTCTTGTTTTTGTCTCACTGGTTATCACCAAGTTGATGCTTAATAAATGATCATTGATTGTGAATCTTATCACTGATGATCAGTGTTGTTCAATTTTAGTAATTATCTCAAACATCTTTAAATTTTCACAGACATAAGCACACTTCAAAAAATAATATTATCAACTTTCTAGTATGAGTTTAAACAAGATAATTTGATTTCATGAGCTGTGATTCTGCCATCATTATTTAATTTATTTGATCTGGATACGTCACTGTATTAAATATTATCTTCCTCTTCAGCCAATTTTAATATTCCTTTATGTCACCCTTTTTTGCCTCAAAGCGTTTTGCAATCATTTCAATTAATTGTTCTTTATCTTAACCTAATGAGGTTGTTACTATTCCCATTTTTATTACTGAAAAAACTGATAATCAAAAGGTAAATCAAGGAATTTCCATTTACAGCATTCTAATTTAGAACTTGAATTGTCTATTCTGAACAAATGTTGCCATGTTTCAAAAGCTGTAACATTAAAAGAAATTCAGTATTATTTAAAATGGTGGAAATAGTGAGTTCACGATAAAATATCATTTCCATATTAGATGCCAAAGAAGTATGTTATTTGGTCTATCAAGGTCTATTCTAAAAATATATATGCAGCATCTATAACATCATTTGCAGATTAACATATTTATAAGCTATTGCCAAATAGTCTCATCTTTTCTTCAAATGTGTTTTCCCTCTCTTGAATTAAATGATTAAATTTCTTTAACTGACTTTTATAATTGTAACTTTGACCATATTTAAAAGTTTATCTGATTGCCTATTGATATGCTGTTATCATCTTCAATATTTGATCTTTTGTATTTCTAGTTATTGTAGTTAACATTTTAGGTAGCTCATTCATAATTTAATTATTCTTTTTCTTACTTGTATCTCCATGGTGAGTTTTTAAAGATGCAGCTTTCTTGGGCCAGGTGTGTTGGCTCATGCCTTCAATCCCAGCACTCTGGGAGGCCAAGGCAGGAGGATCACTTGAGCCCAGGAATTTGAGACCAGCCTGGGCAACATGGCAAAACCGTCTCCACAGAAAACACAGAAATTAGCCATTAGCCAGACATGGTGGCACACACCTGTAGTCCCATCTACTTGGCAGGCTGCAGTTGGGGGATCTCTTGATCCCAGGAGGTTGAGACTGCAGTAAGCTGTGGTCATGCCAGTGCACTCCAGCCTGGGTAAAAGAGTGAGATCCTGTCTTAAAAAAAAGTAACTTTCTCATCTTAATGTTTCCTTTTGTTTATAGTGTATATGTATGCCATGCTTCAAACATAATCTATTTAAGCAAATTTTGTCTTCTCAGTTTTTTAAGTCTTATAATTTGATATTTTGCAAGCAAACTTTGTCTCCTCAATTAAAACACACCTTATTTGATATTTTCTGGATTCATTAATAATTGCTTGCAAGAGAAAAGGAGCAGGTAGGGAAGTAAAAAAAAATTCTTTAAATTCTTTTTTAAAAATTATAGATATGTGCTGTACTGTTTGGTAGATACCAGGCATATGTGGCTGTTTAAATATAAATTTAAATAAAATTAAAAATTTTAGTCATCACAGTAGCTATAGCTGATAATGGCTACTGTATATACTGTACTGGACAACTCTTACAGAGGATACTTCCATTCTTACAGAAAGTTCTTTGGACAGTGCTGTATAGATAATTCATTATTATGCTCGCCCCAGCAGCACAAATATTAAAATTGGAATGATAATTCATTATTGTTTTATTTTTGTGTAATATGTAATGTAAATGTCTACATTTTGCTTTTTATTCATGTTGAACTTTTAGATATGGCCTCTGTGAAACATTTACTTTTATTTCTTTTCTCTCACCTTTAGAAAATGACATGAATTTTTACAGTAAATCTTTCCTGAATTTTTGGTCAAATGTAGTTATTATGTTACATTGTAGTATGTGGATGGAAACTAGATTAGTTTTGAATTTTTTTCTATGTTAAGCATATTCGAAAGTTATTTTACTGAGTAATTTATTGATTTTTTTTTTTAATTTAAAGATCCTCTTTCTCAGTTCCTATTTTGAAAAAGAAATACTCCCAGTAATTTGGTCCATTGATGTCACACTTTACAAAGTTAAGATGTCCTAAATGTCGGTATCTCCTACACAGTTTCCTCCAAGCCCATTTTTTATTGAAATAAAAAACAAATTCCTCTGGGAAGAAGGATTTTACAAGCAATTTCAGAGCAGAATTGATTTTGGTGTGTGTTAATGCCGACAATCTGCCCAGTGTTAAAATGTTAAAGAGAAAAAAAAAATACAAGCTGCCATATTCCTGTGATCACACCAAAATAGCAGCTTGTATTTATATTTTCAGTCTCCTCGAGGTGGACTGCAGGCACACATGAATGAGTGGATGTACTTGGTGTTGTGTTGTGATTTTATTTAATGCAGGCAAAGTACATGCTTGTGCATGCACGACCAGCCCTCACATATGCACTTGTTCACAGCCGAGAAAGTGAAAACTACAACACAAGCCGCTCTCTAAGAGTTGTCGGCAACCTGTGTGTGTTTCTTAAATATTAAAGAGGGGGGAAAACAGATTTTCAGGAATATGAAAAATAATGCTTCTGTCAAATGGCCTGTAGTCCTTCCTCATTTGACACTTAAGATAAAAGCAAAATAATTACTATTGCATATGTATATTTAGTATCTTTCCTGTACTGCTCCTGTACTGTTTTAAAGTATATTTTTCCTATTTCTGTTTCATTTGAGCATGCAAATTCTTAGCATACATTTATTCTAATTTGTGAGATTTTTAAAAACTTAAATTTTTTTCAGTATTTTAATGAAAATATAGTTGCAGTGCTTTCATTAGCACCCTGGTGCTCCTAATCTTCGGAATTTAGGAGCAGTAGTACATAGCGGCAGCACAGTTATAGGGGTACCCTCTGAAATGCTGACCAATAGAGTTTTTGCTTTTCAGATTTTCTTTGTTTTAAATGAGCCCAGATTTTTAAGGACTATTTATAGTTGTAGATTTATATGATTATGAGAAGGTTAAAAAGTAAAGTTTGGTGAGTAGTAAAATAATATTCCCAGTGGGCACAGCCTGTTTGGTAGTGTAACACAGTCTTTTTAGAACATTTCAGCAGATTTAGAATTGAAGCAGCTTTGGTACTTCAGGGGTAATGCTTTGTATTTATTTTTTTAATTTTTTTCTTAATTATTGAAAAACTTCAAAATAAAGTCTGTATTTCCATTTGCGACACAGTCTCGTCTGGCACTGAAAGTACATATACAGTGTATCTACCTACGTTTATATTTTTTCCTAATTTTTTACCATTATGGTAGGAACAGAAAGATGTTTTTGGAGGCGTGGAGGAGTGGGGTAAAGGGCTTGTTAAGTGACTCAGGCATTGTAGAACTAGAAAGAACCTTAGATGAAGACCTCTACTTAGATGGTGACAGATCCCATCTCCTGAACTGCAGCCACACCTGCCTTCTCCCAACCTTATATCCTGTCATCCCAAACCGCCCCTCCTTTTTGTTTTTGCTTAATCTTCTCAACTGTATGGTGATTTCTTACTCCACCTTCCTTATTAGCCTCTTGGAGATTTTTCTGCTGCCCTCTTGGGCTGAGTCCTACTCATTGTCATCACAATAAATTACTACTTCCTTTTTTTTTTCACTTTAAAAAATTCTGTATTCACCTCCTGTTTATGAACTATGAAAGCTATATGTCATTCTTTTCTTCACTGAAAACATAAATTAAAGAAAGCAGAACCTTGTTCAGGCTTTGCTTTTGCTTTGCCTTCATATCCCTAGCGCCCGATTGCGTCGTCTTAATTTTCCTCAAAGGTTTGGTTGTTTGTAAGGTTTGTAGGTATATTTGTCCATTCAGCAAATACTACTTGAGAGATCACTTGTCAGCCACTGTTTTAGAAGTTCAAGATTCAAATAAAGAAAAGACTGCCTCTTCTGTTCTTTAATATATAATGCATATTTTATTGTAATTATCTTCTTTTAAAATTATCTGTAAGATGTCTGTTTTTATTCTCCTAGATTTTCTTGAGTTTATATGTTTTGTAGCTTCATATTTCCCAGTACTTGGCACCCATTGTAAGCATTTATGTCATTAATAGTCATCTAGTAAAATCCTTTTATTTTGCAAAGGTGAAAAGTTGAAGCTCAGAAAGACTATGACATGAATAAACAAATATAACTTGTTAAGGCCAAAATGGAAATGGTACCTGGGACTTCTGTTTTTCCATTACTCTATAATTTATGTTAATCTTGTTTGTCTAGATTCAATGCTTCTTCAAGAAATGTTTATTAAATACCTTCAGTGTGCAAGCACTTTGTGAAGCAAAACAGGACAGAAACATAAATGAATCAGTATCTCAAATCTTATTCAAAAAGTGATGGAGACTAAATAAGTAGATACTGTTTCTGCCTTCTGGGTTTATATATTGTAATGCAGTGTTTCTCAACCTTGGGAGTATTAACATTTTGGACCAATTCTTTGTTTTGAGAGGTTGTTTTGCGCACTGTAGGATGTTTAGCAGATCCCTGATCTCTACTTGCTAGAGCTGTGAGGCCTGTTCACTCTGATGATAGTTTCTTTTGCTGTGCAGAAGCTCTTTAGTTTAATTAGATCCCATTTGTCAGTTTTGGCTTTTGTTGCCATTGCTTTTGGTGTATTAGTCATGAAGTCTTTGTCCATGCCTGTGTCCTGAATGGTATTGCCTAGGTTTTCTTCTAGGGTTTTTATGGTTTTAGGTCTTACGTTTAAGTCTTTAATCCATTTTGAGTTAATTTTTGTATAAGGTGTAAGGAAGGGGTCCAGGCTCAGTTTTCTGCATATAGCTAGCCAGTTTCCCCAACACCATTTACTAAATAGGGAGTCCTTTCCCCATTGCTTGCTTTTGTCAGGTTTGTCAAAGATCAGGTGGTTGTAGATGTGTGGTATTATTTCTCAGGCCTCTGTTCTGTTCCATCGTTCTGTATATCTGTTTTGGTACCAGTACCATGCTGTTTTGGTTACTGTAGCCTTGTAGTATAGTTTGAAGTCAGGTAGCATGATGCCTCCAGCTTTGTTCTTTTTCCTTAGGATTGTCATGAATATATGGGCTCTTTCTTGGTTCCATATGAAATTTAAAGTATTTTTTTCTAATTCTCTGAAGACAGTCAATGGTAGGTTGATGGAAATAGCATTGAATCTGTAAATTACTTTGGGCAGTATGGCCATTTTCATGATATTGATTCTTTCTATCCATGAGTATAGAATGTTTTTCCATTTGTTTGTGTCCTCTCTTATTTCCTTGAGCAGTGGTTTGTAGTTCTCCTTGAAGAGGTCCTTCACATCCCTTGTAAGTTGTACTCCCAGGTATTTACAAAGAACTTAAACAAATTTACAAGAAAAAAACAACCCCATCAAAAATGGGGTGAAGGATATGAACAGACATTTCTCAAAGGAAGACATTTATGCGGCCAACAAACATGGAAAAAAAAAAACCTCATCATCACTGGTCATTAGAGAAATGCAAATCAAAACCACAGTGAGATACCATCACACACCAGTTAGAATGGTGATCATTAAAAAGTCAGGAAACAATAGATGCTGGAGAGGATGTGGAGAAACGGGAATGCTTTTGGTGGGAGTGTAAATTAGTTCAACCACTGTGGAAGACAGTGTGGCAATTCCTCAAGGATCTAGAAACAGAAATACCATTTGACACAGCAATCCCATTACTGGGTACATACCCAAAGGATTATAAGTCATTCTACTATAAAGACACATGCATACGTATGTTTATTGCAGCACTGTTCACAATAGCAAAGACTTGGAACCAACCCAAATGCCCATCAAAGATAGACTAGATAAAGAAAATGTGGCACATATACACCATGGAATACTATGCAGCCATAAAAAAGGATGAGTTCATGTCCTTTGCAGGGACATGGATGAAGCTGGAAACCATCATTCTCAGCAGACTAACACAGGAACAGAAAACCAAACACCGCATGTTCTCACCCGTAAGTGGGAGTTAAACAATGAGAACACATGGACACAGGGAGGGGAACATCACACACTGGGGCCTGTTGCGGGGTCGGGGGTTTAGGGGAAGGATAGCGTTAGGAGAAACCTAATGTAGATGATGGGTTGAAGTGTGCAGCAAACCACCATGGCATGTGTATACCTAATGTAACAAACCTGCACATTCTACACGTTTCCCGGAACTTAAAAGTATAATTTTTTTTTAAAAAAAGGGTCACATGACACAGCAAGTGGATCATGTAGAAAGAAGATGTTAGCATAAGACTGGACCCTATTTTCTGCACCAATATTACAACCAGTAACTATCATTGATTACTTAGTAAATTCAATTTTATGCCATCACTAAAAAAATAAATAATAAAAAATAAAAAATCTAAGGGCCTTTTGTCTGACTGAAGGGTTCTCTGTGGCATCATCTTAGAGCTTTCTGAGATCTTAACAAAGGCTTTTACAGTCACACCTTTGATTTCATCTTTAGTTCTTGCCTGTCTTTGTCCTAGATTTGATCTTTGCCCAGAAGCAGTGTGTTAATGTTGGTATCATTTGCTGACTTGAGAAGCTGGGAATGAGAAAAAGCTTTATTTTCAAACCAAGAAAGTTCTAGCACCTTTATGTTTACCAGTTATTCCTTTTGTTTTTTCTCTTCTTTCATTCTACTATAAGTAACATAAATAAACCAGACAATACTTTCAGTACTCTGCCTGGATATCTCCTTAGCTAGATCACTCAGTTTATTAGATTCATTTTCTATGTTGCATATAACTAGAGGCTATCACATTGCCAGACTTTCTGTCACTGCGTAATAAGGAACCCCTTTCCTCCATTTTTTTTTCTGTAATGTTTTCTTCACTTTCATTTAAGCCCTCACTGGCGCCTCTTTGCAGATTGTCTTTTGCTAATAGTCTTTTTCCCACAGCCTTAATTTCTCACTGATGCTCTCCTGAAGGTCCTTCTGTCTTCTATCCAGTCCCATAGGCACTTCTACCACATATTTTAGGTATTTTTTTTTTTTGAAACAGCACCCCAGTTTCAGATATCAAAACCTCTATTATATTTTGCTACGTAATTAATCAACCAAAATTGGTGGCTTAGAACAACAATTAATTATTATGTCATGGTTGCTGTGGATCAGGAGTTTGGGAGCAGTATAGCTGGGAGATTCTGGCTTAGGAGTGTTTCATGAGATTGCAGTCACGTGGTTACTGGAGCTGCAAACGTTTGATGGCTTGACTATGGCTGGAGTATCCACTTTGGTTCCTCTCCATGTGGATCTCTCTAATGTGCTGCTTTACGGTCCTCCTTCAGAAGATACTTTCTTCAGATCAAGCGATCCAAGAAAGAAGAAGAGCCATGTAGAAGCTATGTCGTTTTTATGCCATTACCTCAGAAGGGAAATGTGAGAATTAAAAAATTTGCAGATATAGTTTTAAGAGCAGCACAATCCCAGTGGAGTTTTCAAGGTCTTCCCCATGTTCTTTTTCATTCCGTCTACTAGACGGGGAAATGTGTACAGAGGCCTGCCGGTGGGGAAGTTAGGGGAGTGTATTTCCTGGTCCCACATAATTTCCTCTCTCATTCCATTGGCTAGCACTCAAGTCACATGACCACAGCTAACTGAAAAGGAAGCTGGGAAATTAAATCCAGCTATGTGCCTGCAAAGAAGAGAAAACAGGTTTGGTTGAATAGGGAGAATGGAAATTACCAACCAAAATAGGGAACACAGGAAGAAAAAGAATTGTGTCTTTCAGTATGTCTGTTTTTATTCCATATCAAATTGTTCCTTGTTGTGGTCTTGGCTTGATTGTTCAGTTTTTCTTTAATAAAACAATAAACCACAGTAAGATATTATAGTTATTTTGGTGGTTAATAGTATTCTAGGGAGTTTTCATCAGCTCATTTAAAAATTTTGGATGAGTGCTTGTTTTGATTTTCCGTTTTTGAAATATGGGCATAACAACAGTTATTGTTCCTTCAAGTCCTTCTGTGCTTCTTTGTCCTATTGCATGATTATAAACCCTCACCAAGGGCTTTCCTTTTTCCCCTGGGGCATCTTATTGAATACTTGCATCTTCAGTATTTCATCTGAGCCCAATGCTTTGTCTGTTTTAATACTTCTAATTACCTAATTATGTACTATAATGTGGTGACAAAACCCTTTATCATTTTACTCTTTTCTTAACCCTTTTCTTGCTTAGGAAAGATTCTTTTTGTCTCTTTGTTGCCTGCATTACAGATAGCCCCGATATTTGTCTGGCTTCCCTTTATTGTCTGTATTATGACAGACCATTGTCCTGTTGAATGTCTTTCCAACTATCAGGCACCTGGGTTCCTGGTTATTGGGGCTCCAAAGTTGGTGTTTAGTTGTTCTCCATCCCTCACTTTTCAGTTCACTTCCACACACTGCAGTCATATGAGACCATATCCAAATGGCAAATAGGATACTCTAGTTGTCATAAACTACTTCTGTTACAGAATTAGTAGCCATTCTATCATGTATAGGTCTTTGTATAATCAAATGTCTGCAGTAAGTATCCATGAGCCAAATGTAATAGAAATCAATAAGATTTTTAAAAATTATATGAATTGTACTTCAGGATAGCTAAAAATTGATGAAGGATTTTTTTCATTATGTCTTAGATAATAAAGGAAGAAAAAATATTATAGAATTATAGTTTTACCATTTTATGACTTCTAATGAGTTAATAGATTTAGGCAGTGATCATTAACAGTTGGTAGCATCACAGAAAGTGGGATACATTAATGTTAGGTGCCTCCTGATGGAAGTACACAACACCAACTTACCACTGCATTGAAATCACCCCAAGTTTAAAACAACAGAATTTATTTTGTTGTTGAATCTACAACTTGAGCAGGGCTCAGTAGGATGGCTCATCTCTGTTGCACATGGTGTTGGCTGGGGTAGCTTGAAGTCCAGGGTCTGGAATCATCTGAAGGTTTGCTCATTCACCTGTCTGGTTATTGAAGCTGGCTCTCAGGTGAGACCTCCTCTGGAGCTGTGGTGAGAACACCCGCGATGGCCTTTTCATATGGCTGTTTGGCTTCCTTACAGCATGGTGGTCTGGTTCTGAGAATGTGTCCAGAGAGAGCCAGACAGAAGCTGTGTTCCACCACCACTTTTGACACGTTTATTTTTTGAGAAACTGGTCACTAAGGGCAGCACATACTCAAAGGGAAGAGAGTCAGACTCTTTCATCTTTCTATGGGAGGAGTATCAAAGAATTTGCAAACATGTTCTCAAATTATGTCATCTATAGATGAGACAAGAAGAATCTTGTTGAAAACTTGAACCTGAATCTGATAAAGTCTCTAGATCTAACTGCCAGTTTGTAGGAAATACAGGGGACAGGAGAATCGTTAAATAAGAAAATGGAGGCACAATACGTAAAATTCTGAATGTGGGAAGCTTCTACAGGATAAAAAATCTGGTTTCTTTAACAAATACATTACAAGATAAAAAAGAGAAGAAGGACAAGTCTATAGATTAAAGGAATCTTAAGAGATAATATCAACAAATTGCAATGTACTGACAAATATTTCTTGGTTCTTGAACAAAGTGTTAAGAATTTTTAGACAGTCACAGAAATTTGAACATTTACTGGTTATTTGATTAATAGATTATTATTTTTATTATTAGTAGTGTTACAATGGCACTATGGTATTTTTTTTGTTTCTTTGTTTGTTTGTTTTGTTCGAGACAGGGTGTGTCTCTCTTGCCTAGGCCAAAGTGCAGCGGCACAAACACAGCCCACTGCAGCCTCTACCTCCGAGGCTCAAGTGATCCTCCCACCTCAGCTTCCCAATTAGCTGGGACTACAGGTTTGTGCCATCATACCCAGCTAATTTACTTTTACTTTTTTTTTTTTTTTTTGTAAAGGCAGGGTCTCGCTATGTTGCCCAAGCTGGTCTCAAACCCCTGGGCTCAAGGGATCCTCCTGCCTTGACCTTTCAAAGTGCTGGGATTATAGGTGTGAGCCTCTTCACCTGGCCTATGGTTATGTTTTTAAAGAGTGCTTATCTTTTAGAGATACACATTGCAGTATTTACAGATATAATGACGTCTGGGATTAGCTTCAAAATAATGCAATATTGGAGAGGAATATATGTAAAACAAGAAATTATTAGTGCTGAAGCTAGCTGATGGGTAGATTGGGGTTCAGTTTACTGTTGTCTTGTCTTTATTAAATGTTTGAATTTTCCATAATGAAAGATTTTTAAAATTTATAATTAAACCTATATTGCCTACCAATTTTGGTTTATTTCAAGATAGAAAACAAAACTTACACACCACATGTTTGTGATGGCTCTTGTTATTATTGTGTACTATGTAAAATTTGTTTAAATATGGTTTCTTCACACATCTGAGAGAGAAACTTCTATATTATCAATACTGATCAGTTGAGTCTAAACTGAAATATGACTTTTACCCTAAAGTAAGGATTTAAGACTATTTTAGTCTAAATTCCATTATGGACTACTTAATCTTTGCTGTTCATCTCTATTTTTAGAGTTTCGCCCTCACCTATTTTACATCTCAATTTTTATTTTATGGACAAATGTAGAAAGAAAGACCTTCTGTTAATAATAAAATTTGTTTCCAGTTCCTACTTAATGTGATTTTTTTCCTTTCTGTTTTATTTTCCTACCAGATATTTTGGTTTGAATAAATTATGAACCTCTACAGTTTTAATTCTAAATTTCTCTCTTTATTTTCATGAAACTGTAACATCATTGTTGATTTTTCAAAACCTGAATGATTGTTGCATCTAGTGTGGTTAGTATTCTGTGCTTTTAATTATGTTTCAAAAACAGATTTGCCTTTCCAATGATATTTGGGTTAGACTGATGTTCAAATTACTTTACCTAGCCTGAATCCACACCATCTAGCAAGGGGTAAATAAAACCTAGAAGTGTAATGAGTGGTAGGGAAGCTATTTTGAAACTTACAACATATCATCAAAAACAGATTATTACTATTCCTAGAAATGCTACTCACTGTACTTTTTCTCCCACATTTCTTATACCTATAAATGTAACATCTTCTGGATTGAATCCTGATACTGTGACCATCAAGTATTTTTTGTAGGAACTATGTTATTGTCTAGGTATATTCATCAACCTTCAGAGCTAGGTTCTTATGTGTAACTCTAAAGTCAATGGAATTTTACCTAAATGCATTTCTCAGATTAATTTATAACTGATTAGGGAAGCAGTTGGAAAGTGCTGCTGTTCTGTTAACTACCCAGATACCTTGGCACAGGTATTATTTCTCTGTGCTTCTGTTTACTTGCCTGTTAATCTCTGAGTTGGACTGGATAATCTCCAAAGACTCAGCACAAAACTCTGATTTTCAGTTCTTTTTCCAACTTTTGAAATAGTTTTGAAAACTTTACTTCTTTTTCAGAGCTTTTCTCTATCTTTCTACCTTACTTATTCGATGCAATGGATTCTTCATCATTTAAAGAACAAGTTATAGTTTTCTAACAAAGAGAGTGCCATGAAACTTCACAAATTAGCACTTCAGCATTGTAGAGCAGAATCATAGTTGGTGTGCTGTTTCATAGATATGCTATGTCTGCATAATACATATTTTCAGTTGATTTGGTATTTGCTAAAAGTAGACAATTTAAATTACTACTTGCAATTGAATTCTTTTAGATCTGTAGTTTTTAATCTTGAAAGTGGTTGGTATGCATTTAAATGAAACCAGGAATTGATATACAGTGTGTTAAAAGAAAAACTTCAGCCGAATTAAATTTAATGGAGTTTAATTGAGCAATGAACGATTCGTGAATTGGGCAGCCTTCCGAGTCAGAGTAGGCTCAGAGACGCCAGCACAGCCACGTAGTGGAAGATTTATAGACAGAAGAAGGAAAGTGACATACAGATAACAGAAGTGAGGTACAGAAACAGCTGGATTGGTTACAGGTTGGTGTTTGCCTTATTTGAACATGGGTTGAACAGTTGGCTACATTTGATTGGCCAAAACTCAATGATTGGCAGACGTGTAAGCTGTGGTCTGTTTACACCTCCACTTGTTATAGTTCACGATGTGCAAAGAAACCTTTAGGCTGAACTTAAAATATGTAAGGAGGCAGCTTCAGCCTAAAGTTGACTTAACAGGTATACTTTACATTTTTAGTTTTTAGGTATTAAATTATTTATAGTTTATGGATACTCTTTGCAAAGTTAATGTAGTAGTTTTTAGTACTTTCTTTCATAATCAATTTTAGATTATAACAGCTACACAGAATTTGGTTGTGCCAAT
Organism: Homo sapiens; assembly: GCF_000001405.40. Lineage (NCBI taxonomy): Eukaryota > Metazoa > Chordata > Mammalia > Primates > Hominidae > Homo > Homo sapiens. The sequence continues at coordinate 17,386,288 of NC_000003.12, read as the reverse complement.
GTGTGTAGAAAATTTCCAAAGAATAGATGAGGAAGGGGACGTGCAAAATTATTAAGTCAGGTGATCCAGATTTTTGGGAATGAAGCCTACTTGAAGACAGAGTTAAATTTATGTTATATAATGAGAAGGAGAGAAAATTTCACCTCTCAAAAGTATTATTCTATTCGTAGCTTAATGGCTAAGTTTCCCAAGATATTTCTCTATACCAAGTTATTTTATTAACTACTTACCTATCTTTTATCCTGATTAATTTGGGATATTTGATTTTTAAGGGCTTTAGCAACTTTCTTTTGTTTCAAAATGACATTTTAAAAGTTTTTGTGTTTCTTGCCTACTTCAGTGCATTTGACATCATTCTGCAGTTTCTTTGGCTTCTCTGACATATGCTTACTCTTCAGGTTACTTTTTCTCTTCTTTAGAAGTTAATTGTGCCACCCCTATTTGAACTCTGATTCCTGGATAGGGACTGCCTGGGAGATCATCACATTAAGCTTTATGCAAATATGTGAAGCGACCTTGCTCAGATCCTTAGTTTGTTTACTGGCCCCCCAAAAAGAGGCTTCCTTGCTGCCACAGAAAAGGTAGGAAAAAAAAAACAAAAAACCAAACCTGTCTGGGCAGTTGCAAAAGAGAGTTGTAAGCAAAAGTCAAATGAACAGATGAATGTAAAATGGACCTTAATTTATTTAAAAAATTAGGACCAGAAAAAAAGATGCTTCACAGATCTCTAGCACAATTCACCAAAAACCTAGCTTGGACTAGAAAGTTATAACTGTCCAAGGCACCAACAAAGTAGCAGAGTGAAGCATAAAATAGCTGAGGTCTTCAGAAATGGGAGGCAGTAAACCATTATAATATGATGTAAAACATAAAACAGCCACTACTGCTCTTAAAAGACTCATTAAGGAATGTTTCTCTGTTTCAATAATGCTCTATGCCTTCATGCTCTAGGTCATCTTCCTCTCTACTCTCTCACATTTTCTCCCATTTTTTAGTTCCAAAGCCACCTGATTTGCAATCTCATTACCTAAAGTATCATTACTCAAATACTATTATAATAATGGCGTCTTATTCCTGAATATCTGCTACTTGTTAGGCACCGTTCTTGGTGCTCTTACATGATTTTATCTTGATCACAAGATCAGTATTGTTATCCCTGCTTAATAGATGAGGCAGTTAAGCAATCATTCACTCAGGGTTGCATAACTAGAAATTATGCAACATGAATTTGAACACAGGCTTTTCTACTTGGGTTTGGGACTTTTAAATTTCACTTTATTATAATGCACTCTTAAGTCCTTCCTATGCTACTCTTTCAGGTTTATTCCTCCATAGAGTTAAATTAAAATACTGTTTTCTTTATCACTTCCTTATTCAAAAATATACATTTACTATGCTGTGTTTCCATAGTTGGAAATTCAGCATTCAAAGTTCTTTCCAGCCTTACTCCACCTTTTCTTCTATCCCACTGTCCTGCTCCCAGCAGGCAGTATTTCATGGAATTGTCTTTTCCTTCTGATTAATAATTACCATGTTATGCTGCATTCTTGAAATACCCATTGCCTTCTGTGCCTTCATATCTTTCTTTCTGTTTTGATTACCTTTTCCACTGATGTTCCATGTTCCTCCTCTCCTAAAAATTATTGTTCAAACTCTCTGTGATTAAACCCAGTTGACTACTACTACTAGATGACATTCCCTCGGCCCTTATACATTCATTGTGTATTGTGTTGCTGTGGGTTTTCTCTTTGGGTTCTTGCAGTTGTGGTGTTTTACTGCATTATAAATAAATATTTAGAAGTCTATATTGTAATCAGATGAAAGGCTGATAAGGTGGTTATATGTAATAACTGAAGTGTCGCTATTTTACATCAAGGAAAAAGAATGACAATCTTTTTTTGAAAAAAATTAGTACTTTTACAAAATCACATTCTTATCCTAAAAACCAGTGGGCTAAAACAAAGCAACTCCCCATCTGCAGACACGTAGAATATGATTCAAAAGCTATCATATTCACATATGTGTGAAGTATATGAAGCATGTGAAAAAATTTGAAATGTGAATATGTTGAAGGATGTAATTTACCTCTGGGATGTAATTATTTCCCCTTGCCTCACTCCTTTTTCAGTCCCCACTAAAGGCATAAGTTACATGGCAAACACAGGCTTGTTCTAAAACCTGAAGCAGCCCTTGGCACGTCTTCGAGATGAGAATTTGAGAGTGATTCTTGAAACTGTGTTAGTCAGTTTCAATCTTGTATTTTCTTTTTCCAGGTTTCCTGAAATGCAGTTTTTCCAGCAAGAAAATGTGAGAAAAATTCTTACAGATGTTCTTTTCTGTTATGCCAGAGAAAACGAGCAGTTGCTTTATAAACAGGTAATGAAAATATCTTACAGGTGGCATCCATTGACTCAAAATTTTCTATACAGCTTGACAAATGATAGAGCAATAATGTAGCCTTTATTGTATCCAAAGTTGTATCATAATGCTAAAGCAATCAGAGAGTTGCTTGTCAGCTGCATGGTGAGAAAGGTAAGCTCATTGAAGCACATATGCTTCTTCCTCATTATAAGACATTCCACCAAATTGTCTTCTAGAAGGTGTTCAATCTTTTCTTTCAACTTCTGGGAGTTTGTTTATAAACAGCATCTTTGAAGGCAATCTAGTAATAAAATTTCAGAGTTGTATGTACAAATATTATTTTTAAGTATAGCATTTATAAATATATGACATGTCATGTAAAAAATAATCAAGTATCCTATTACCTTTTAAAACTTATCAGTAATAGAACTTCAGAAAGTTTCTTTAAATTTTTTGAAATGTGTATTTAGTTCCTTTGTGATCCTGTTATTTGACTCGTCTCATTACTAAAGCAAAGAAGATTATTGGGTTGTTTTATTTTATTGAAATGTAAATTATTTAATATATACAGATATATTTACATTTTTTATTTAAGTTTATGGTGTTCTAATAAAAATACACACACTTGGGTATTTTTATGTATTTCTCCAAATGCAAATTAAGTGAGAATTCAAGCTAAATTCTTAAATTCTCTAATAATCAAAAGTTATAATGTATACCTAATTCAGGACCACTGAACTTAAATTTAATATAATAGAAAACACTTAATGGTAAAAGCAGTGTATTTAATTTGAAATAAACTAGATTTAAGGATAGTAAAACATTTCAGACTACAAATATACCAAATCGTACATTTTTAATTATTGTATATACATAGAATACCCAAGGGAACTAATTTTATCTTATTTTTAATAGTAATATTTTTCTGTATTAATTAACTGCTGACAATAGCTTATTAGAATTGGAAATGAAAAATATATTGCATTTATAAGGGCAACCAAAAGCTATAACATGTCTAGAAAAAAATTAACAATAAAGATACAAAAGCTATATGAAGGAAACTATAGGCCAGGTGCAGTGGCTTACACCTATAATCCCAGCACTTTGTAAGGCTGAGGCAGGGTGATTGGCTGAGCCCAGGAGTTTGAGACCAGGCTGGGCAACATGGTGAAACCCCATCTCTACAAAAGTACCACAAAATTAGCTGGGCATGGTGGTGCACACGTATAGTCTCAGCTACTTGGGAGACTGAAGTGGGAGGATCTCTTGAGACCAGGAGTTTGAGGCTGCAGTGAGCTGTGATTGATTCACTGCACTCTAGCCTGAGCGAAAGAGTGAGATCCTGTCTCAAAAAAAAAAAAAAAGTTATTCAAGGATATAAAGCAAGAATCGAATAAATAGAAAAATAGCATGTTTTTGGATGAGAAGACTTTAAGTAAAAATATTACTTCTTTATGTTTAAATGAATTATCATTCCAGTGATAACCTGAGTAAGATACGTGTTTTTTTTAAAAAACTGGATACAGTTATTTTAAATTTAGTGCCTAAAAATGTTACACTTATTTTAACGGAGATAATATAATTTAGGGATTAAAAGCACTGAGTGTAGACACAAATTCCTTTGTTCGAATCTCACCTCTGTCATTTACTAACTTCACAATCTTAGACAATTTACTTAACCTTTTTAATCTTTAGTTTTGCATCTGTAAGATGAGGGTAATAATAGTAATTACTTTCTAGAGTTAACATTTGGTGCCAAGCAAAGGTTCATGTTGGTAGTTGTGGTTGTTTTTATTATCATCATCATTATAATAATTATTAAATGTGTTGGAATTACCATAGAATTTGTGGGAAAGGGATAATGGGAAATATAGATATTAAAACTTCTATAAAGGTTCTGTGATCAAACTAATGTGACAGTATTATGTGAATTGACCATTGTTCAGTGAAACAGTCTAGAAACAGGTTCAGTTATATATGGGATCTGAATATGGTAAAATAAAGAAAAGGATATTGACGTGCTATATGTGGATTTCCGTCTGGAAAAACCATTAAATTACACATTTATTGGAGAATAAATTCCAGATGGTGTAAAAATATAAATATAAAAACTTAAAGTATATAAAAATACTAGAAGATTTAGGAGAAATTTTTTTGTAATCTCAGACTAGGAAAGGCCCTCGCAAGCAAGGTAGACTCATCTACAAGTCGGATAAAAAGTCGAAAGACTAAAAACAAACCAAAAAGGAGACTGGGGGAAAAAATCTATTAGTGTAGAATTCTTTTGGGAGCAAATAGCAGAAGACCCCGTTTAAAATGGCTTAAACTGTAAAGAGATTGTTAACACACTTCACATGAAGTCTGGGAGTAAATAGTTCTGCTGCATTAGTTCATTAGCTTAAAATCTTTATCACAGATTCCAGGATTTTGTTTTTCTGCTTTCTTTTCATTATGTTGGCTTTCATTGTGAACCTTATCTCTTTGTTATTTCCTCTTTTCCTTTAACTACTTGAAAATACCCCGTAGTAAAAGACTTGATGATAGTGAATCAAATCAGGATAAAGTTATCCCAAATTACACATCTGTTTTCCAATTTTTTTTAGAGAAAGAAAAAATAGATTAAGGAAGTCTTATAATAATGGAAACAAGTTCTATGGACAAGGAACAAAAACATAATAACTGTGCACTCCATCTACCATTTGTGATGTATGTGGCCCACTGCATTTGTATAGAAGACTACTCAGGAATATGGAAGATCAGGTTCTTGATCCATTTAGACAAAAATCTATCAATTACTAAATTAGAAACTATTATTAACTTACTCCTGGGTGTCATTTTAAAATATTTAATTACTCCCTGTACATGTTTAAAATCCTATAGATTTTTTACAGAAAAATAATACCTTGCTGTAGAAGGACTGAATATTTAGCCAGATCAAATTTAAGAAAAAACCTTAAGTTTCATCACAAGCTGTTAAAGCTATTATTTTGTACTAGGTGACACCCTGTTAAACATCGACCATATTGTTAATAGTTATGGGATTTTATTGAATTAATGAGACTGTTATCATGTAGTAGAATGTCTTGCTGAGTTAATTGAAATTGCAGAGATTATATAAATGGTATTAATGAACTTTGACTGCCTGATGCCTTAGCTTTAATAAAGACTGCTTGGTGGGCTAAATGAACACAGGCAGATAAAAGAACAGGTTCAATTTTGTGAACCTACAGGCTGTTGAAGAAAACTTTTGTTACCTTTATTTTCAACTGGCATGAGTTTGGAGTGCAGTGACTACTAACAATCTAGCAGGGATAAAGGCTTTTAAGCAGGCAGAAATGCTGACAATATAGGTGGAAGCAAAATATACATTTTGGGAACCAGAAGCGTACTATCAATACATTATTTTCTATTACGTTTTGTCAAATTTGTAGCATATTGAATTCATGATTATTATTTCTGGTATTTCTCTTTTCTTTTAAAGACGTCTATGTAATTGCCATTTGTAATTATTAAACAGGTTTTACTAGTCTAGAATTGATAGCAAAACCAAAAATCTCAAAATTTTAGGTATTTGAAAAAAAATCCCTAGTTTAGATGAAAGTCAAAACTGAGCTTGTAAAATAGTTTTAATGGTATTCAAAAGACTTAATTTCCATTCTGCCAAGAACACCTTTATTTATTAATTTGAAATATGATTTAATGCTATTCTTTTTTCATATTGTAGCTTAGCTTTTTTCACTATGTGGATATACTAAGTGGTAGATATTGCATTCATTCAGTCAATATGTAGTGAGTACCTTATTTGTGCTGGGCCTGTGGTAGGATCTGGATGTGTATACACACACACACACACACACACACACACACACACACACACACACATACACAGTCACAGCTGTACAGTGTCCATTCTTACCTGCAGTACAGTACAGTACAGTAGTTCGCCCTTACCTGCAGTTTCACTTTCTGTGGTTTCAGTTACCTGCAGTCAACCATCATTCAAAAACAGTTGAGTATGGTACAATAAGATATTTTGAGAGAGAGAGAGAGAGAAACCACAATCACATAATATTGTTACACTATATTGTTATAATTGTTCTATTCTTATTAATTGTTGTTAATCTTAGTGTGCCTAATTTATAATCTTTAATTTAAATCATAATTTTAATACCTTTGTCATACAGGTGTATGTATAAAAACAGCATGGTATGTGTAGTTTTCAGTACTATTTACAGTTTTAGGCATCTACTGGGAGGTCTTAGAATATATCTCCTGCACATAATGAGGGACTATTGTATAGTCATTTCTGTGCTCATTTTATTATTTTGTTCCTTTCTTTCTAGACCACAAGCTCCATCGAAGTTAGGAACTTGCCCACTTCATTCACTTTTGTGTCCACAGCAAATATAGGCATTTAATAGTTTTTGCAATACGTGAATGATTAATGGAGAATCTAGACAGAGTGGTGTAACAGAAACTAGAAGGAAGAGAACATTTAAAGTTGGAAAGATCCATTTAGACAAGAACTCTTATTAAACTAGCCATAACTTGTTATAAAATATATTTTGGGGAAAAAGCACTATTTCTTTCAAAAGGGCATCCCACTGACAGCAAAGAAAGAAAACTTCATGATAAACCTAGTAAGAACTATGCAGTTCTGCAAATTTTTGGATTGGAAAATCTGATGTTCTTAAAAATACTCTCCTCAAGTTAATTTAAATGCAATGCCAATAACAATTGTAATGTTTTGTTTACCATTTTATGTAACCTACATGATAATGACATAGCCTGGAATAAAAAAATAGAATCATCAAGATAAATTTGAAAAAAAAAAGGAGCAGAAAATAGGAAATATTAGAATATTTTAAAGGTCGAATCTTTATAATGGTACAGTTATTGTTAATAGTATACAAACCAATGTATTTCACAGTGAAAGCCTGGAAAAAATGTAAGCTAAATATTTATTTTTTACTAAAGATGGCATTTCAGAACTCTGGGGAGAAGATGGGTTATTCAGCTTATTGAATAGATTGAATTTATTGAAGATGGAATGATTAATCAGTAAATTGGTGTAATTCTTTTGGAGAAAAACATACTTATTTTCATGGCAAAAATTAAACTTATATCAGTTAAGTGAAGAATTAACTGAAAAAAAAAAAAGGAAACTGTATTCTTTCCTAATCTCAATATAAGGAAGGTCTTTATAGGCATGAAAGCAAAATAGAAACCATGAAGAATGATTTATTGTATTGACTAAAGTGTATAATGTCAGTATGATATATCATAGAAATCAAAAGTAAGACTAATGATAAGCATGGTAAAATGTTTGTAACAAAAATTACAAAGGGTTAATACCTTTCATTGGTATAGAACTATTAGACATCACCAAGGAAACGAAACATTTCATGAGGAGAAAAAGGGCAATTTATTAAGTAAAAACGGTCAATAAAATTTTGGGGTTCAATCTTGCTAGCATTTAAATAAACTATAACAATTTAACTGTGAAACTTGACAAAATTTTTTTAAAACACTCTGAATATAGGTGAGGATGTGTGAGAGAGTGATTTTTATATTCTTCACTGAGGGAATTCTTTCTGGAGACAGCTTAATGGTATACATCCTACCAGACTTTAACACATATTTTTACCCCTTTACCCTGAAATTCTACTTCCAAGGACTTCAATACTGGAGAAATCCTCAGAAATAGGCAAAAAAAGATCACAAGGATATCTATTGGAGTTTTAAATTTATTTCTTAACTTTTGGTTTTTGTCTGGCCTCCTTCTCCCCCTTTATCATTTTCTTATTTTGGTTTTTGCTTTTCCATACTTTTCTATTAATACAATACTTATTTATTATTTTAATGATTAAAATTATGGCACTTTCTTTTTGGAGTAACTTGAGACTATTCCAAGAGAGTAAACCCTTCATGATTTTTAAAGCAGAGTTAGTAATGCTTAATGTCATTTTTCTAGGTGTCTAACATGTTATCTGAAAGATTTTTTTCAAGGTTTGTTTAATAAGGAGATGGTTACCTATAAAGATTGAAATGATATGTGGTCATTTGTCCTAAATCACAAGTAAATTGTCAATGAATCATAAATTGTTTTGTAAAAATATAACTAAATCTTTTTAATTCAAAGCTAGTGATAACTTATACATGAAGTCTGAAAAAGTTAACTTGCATATTATCTTTATGATAACAATTGGCTTTCTAAGAATAGTACAGTACTACTAGACTGTGCAGAGGACTATGTGACTCTGTTCATCCATTATAGGAAGTCTTCTCTAATTCTACCAGCAAAATATTTATCTCCTCTCTGCTTTCGTATTTTATTTTTATTTCCTCTAAAAGTGGTGTTTTGTCTTGTCTTTTTATAAAAGAGCATCCCTAGTTACTAAGCAAAAGGAAAGTAGTAATTTGCTCACTTTAAGAGACAGGAAAGATTATAATCTGTTTTAACTTGCTGAAATGTTTTTCGATGCTTAAGGGGGAAAGAAATCTCAATTAGCAAAGGTAGCCATAATGTGGAATACTGTATGTCACCACAATAATGGATCAGTAATGGATTTTTTTTAGTACCCTTTTAAGGACAGCTTAGTAACTAATATTATACCTTTTTGTTTCTATTCCTGTTTTTGGTGAAAACCAATATAAAGAGGAAAATCGTATTGGTGAAATCATTAAATAAATTGAAATTAATCCTAGAATTTAAGTAGACAGGAAAAAATTACGGTAGTTTTCTGATTAAACATGTTAAATCCTATTTTAACAAGTTTATTTTCTGTCATACCTTCTTAAGGTTGTTTCTTTTATTATCCAACATTTTAGCTAGCTGACTTCAGCACTTCCTAAATCTACAGACATCCTAATTTTGAGCCATTATATAATGAAAACATTGGATGTAATTTCCTTAGGTCTACAGTTCTTAGTTGCCCTTCTTACTGCAGATCTTAACACTGTAGCTCATGATTATAATTTGCATAAATGAAATTCATATTTATGAGTACAGATCTTGAAGCAACTGACAGGTGCAAGGTTATCTACCATGCCAATTTATTGTTTGTCATGTCATTTAAAAGAGAACTGCTCTCCATATTTTAAAGAAGAATACCTGCTGTGGTTGAATTAGAATCAAATTCTGAACGTAGATAAAAATCTCATCTTGTAGCTTTCCGTTTTTATGTGTTTCTATGTAATGTGGAAATTTTGCTAGTGGGAATTGGTTTGAAGAAGTATTTAACTGAGTTTATACTGTCCACTAATGGACTCTGAGTATCCATCTCTTTCATTTTTCTGGCTCTTTTATTTCAGGGCATGCACGAACTGTTAGCACCTATAGTCTTTGTCCTTCACTGTGACCACCAAGCTTTTCTACATGCCAGTGAGTCTGCACAGCCCAGGCAAGTTTTTTTTTTAATATGAGCTCCATTTGTTTTTTAGCCCCCACGGTAACCTTTGTTTTTGAAACCTCAAAATCTTCTAAATGGAAGGTACTTACAAGCTGTACAAGTTGTAAACATTTGATTGTGTTTCATGTGGTTAATTGTTAATTCTACTTAATTGTTGTTAGGCCAGTTTAGCTATGGGGCAAATTTAGAATCATAAATGTCTTTGGAATTCTTGATTCTGTATCAAAGGAAGACATGTAAGTAATGGATCAAGAATGGAAAATTTTTGTTGTAATCACAAAAGTGCTAATGATTGATATTATCCATATATATCATGCTCAATGATCCATTTTTTACTCCAAGTTGAATAAGACTTTATATATGAGATTATCTCTCCTCATCAGGTTTGACTCAGCTTAATTCATAAGGAGCCACAAAGAACCTCAGTCTGTAAATAAACAAAATTGCTTCTCAAATTTTTTAGATATATTCATTTATTCTTTCCTGCAAATAACTTTTGTAATTGGATTCAACTTAGGCTAATTGTTAGAATTCATTTTTCTAACTTAAGATACCCTAACTTTGGGGCCTTCAGAAAATCATTTTGGAAATGGAGGGCTCTGGGACTGTCAGGTTGTGTCCAGGAGTATTCATCAGGCCAGCGCATCTATATGCAGTAAACAGAAAACTTGCAGATAACATTTCACATATCTGATTATAAGATCTTTATTAATCAAATATAGCCATCCACTTTGCTGAGCATATATTCAGGCCTTTGTTAAATTAACTTTTGTCTATTAGTTTATAGATTAGTATTTTCAAGTTTCCTTGAAGCTTTGCTAATTTTACTGAGTTTTTTTTTTAATCTTGACAATAGTATAACCATATATAACTTGCTTTCACTTCAGTTATTCTAAAATTTAAACATGAAGTTAGTATTAGGATCCTGTTGTAATGCCTTTTTTTTTTTTAAATTTTATGTTTTGAGACAGAGTCTTGCTCTATGCAGCAGTGCTATCTCGGCTCACTGCAACCTCTGCCTTACGGGTTCAAGTGATTCTCCTGCCTCAGACTCCCGAGTAGCTGAGACTACAGGCGGGCACCACCTCGCCCAGCTAATTTTTGTATTTTTAGTAGAGATGGGGTTTCACCATGTTGGCCAGGATGGTCTTGATCTCTTGACCTCGTGATCTACCCACCTCAGCCTCCCAAAGTGTTGGGATTACAGGTGTGAGCCACCATGCTCGGCCTGCCATTTTTTTTTTAACATGTGAGTGTATTCTTCAGACAGCAGCTCTTTAAAAAATGTGCATGTAGAATATAATTTACAAAAAAATATAGGTGATTGAAAATAGCTTTTAAATGTGTTGGACCTGCTTCTTCAGCTGATTCAATCTGTTAAAAAGTAAAATAAATGCTTAAGAGGTGTTGTCACTGATAAGTTGACTGATAAAATGAAAATAAATCCAGTTAAAGAAAATAAATCAATGTTTTGATATTGCATATTTGACCAGTAACTACCTTTTTGTTCTTTTGGACAACAAGTGATAGATTGTGGATTAATTGATTATTCTAGATGAATCATAGTCAAGGAATATATTGTCAAATTCTGTATTTATTTGGAATAATTAGATAGTTCATGTCGCATAGAGGCATAGACAAGGCAGCTAATTTGTTTTTGATCTTTATAGAAAGAAAGCATATCATTTGTTAATGGCATTGCTCTTTTCATTAAAAAAGACTAATTTTTTTCGTTTGCATATTATATGAAAGTTGTCTTATATAGAATAAGGCAAACTCTGCCTCTTTAATTATTCAAAAATTACACATTTTGATTGCTTGTATTGCTTTTTTAAGTGAGGAAATGAAAACTGTCTTGAACCCTGAGTATCTGGAACATGATGCCTAGTAAGTACAAAAACTTTCTTTGTTTTATTTTTTTATACCATCATTATTTTAATGAAAGTTACATAGCATTGTGTTATTTTATTTTTAGTGCAGTGTTCTCACAACTTATGGAAACTGCTGAACCTTGGTTTTCAACTTTTGAGCATGATGGTCAGAAGGTAAATCTTATAGTACAGATCTTTTCAGTATATGCTATGGAGCAAATGCTTTCAATAAATAACAACATGTAACCAAAGAATAGTATATAGCCTTTATTATTGCTGTAACCAAAATGAAATTACCTATGGAATAAGATTGAGCCTGGGGATCTAAGTATATTTCTAATCATATTGGCAGATACACAAAGGCAATTGTAAAAATTTCATATAAATACATTTTATATGTGTGTATATTAATCAAGCAGCATAAGTGCTTCGTTACAAAATTATTATATTTCTCTTGCTACCCTAGTTAGTTGGTATACACATTATTACTGAAGTGCATAGGTAGAATCTGTGTCAAATAGGTTGTTTTGCTTTTACCAGTGCGTTGCTATTGAATTCATACATTTAGCATCAATATCCCTTACTCTTACTCTTCCTCTTATTCATATTTTTAACTATATTTTAAATTTTTATATAATTCACATAGCATAACTTGTACCTATTAAACTTTTAATGGTTTTTAGTATATTTATAGGGTTAGCAGGCAAACATCCCTGCTATCTAATTCCAAAACATTTTTTTAATCACCCAAAAAGAAAACTGCATGTCCATTAACAGTCACTCTCCATTTCCCTGTTCCTACAGGCCCTGGCATCACTAATATACTTTCTGTCTCTATGGACTTGCTGATTCTGGATATTTCATATAAGTGGAATCATATAATACACTGCCATTTGTGACTGACTCCTTTCACTTAGCATAGTGTTTTCAGTGTTCATATTGTGGCATGTACCAGTATTTCTTTTTATGCCTGAAAAATATTGCATTATATAGATATACCACATTTTGTTTATCCATACATCAGTCGATGGACATTTGGGTTATTTTCACTTTTGGCTATTGTGAATAACTTTGAGCATTTATATACAAGCTTTGTATGAACATGTGTTCATTTCTCTTGTTATATACCTAGAAGTGGAATTGCTGAGTTAACTATATTTTCAAACTAACCTTCATGCTATCTTAGTGATCATTATGGTTGTCTCATTATATTACACAATATTGGAAAAATCACAAATTCTTCTGGCAATGGATACTGTTAAAGAATTTGGTATATTGTTTCCAGTATGGCTTATTTCCTTTATATTGGTATAATTAATTGCTTTCTGGTTAGAAACCATTATTACTCAGTCACTTCATTCCATCTCTTAAAAAATGAAATAGTTAATCGATGTTTTTCATGCCTTTGGCCAGCTCAGAGGTTGGCATCCTACTGCCTGTAGGTCAAATTTGGCCTACCATCTGTTTTTATACATCTTATGAGTTAAGAGTGGTTTTTAACATTTTTAAATGGTTAGAAAACTGTCAAAAGAAGAATAGTATTTTGTAACATGTGAAAAGAATATGAAATTTAAGTTTCCATGCCCTTAAATAAAATGTTTTGGAACACAGTCATTCCTATTTGTTTACTTATTGTCTGTGGCTGCATGATCATTACAGTGGCAGAGTTGCAGCACAGACTGTATGACTCGTAAAGCCTAAAATATTTACTCTCTGGCTGTTTACAGGGAAGGTTTGCTGACCCCTACACTAGGTGATAAAGTATTTCTTCATATACCAATATGTTATATTCTAAAAGGGTTGTAGAAGGTAAAAGCTACTGTAAGCGTATTTGGCAAACTACTTTATATTTTTGGAATAATAACCTTTTGTTCTTGGCAAGTTATGTGATGAAGTCATAGACTTATATGAACATCAACATTTTGAGCAGAGTATTTGAACACATTTAAACACTGATCATTTCTTAATAGTGGTCATTTTGTATTTTATAACTGAGTCACGCTAGGTGAGAAACTCAGTGACTAAACTGTGAGGGTTATCAGTTCTTGATTTTACCTAATTGTATTGATATTACTGAGTCAGCTTTATAAAAGTGGCTTAGACAACACAAAGAAAGACATTCATTTTTATCAAGGAACATAATAGATGTGACTTTTGAACATTCGTCTTAATTACCCTTATATATGAATGAATAATATATTCCTAAAAAGTATTTCTAGTGAATCCCTTTTTCATCTTCCTATTTTAATTATTTCATGGTGCTCTCACCTTTTTTTAAGAATGAGTAGTAGGCAGATAATAAGACTTCTTGTTTAAACTGTCATTGATAAAGAATGACATCCATATATTTATTAATTTCATATTTAAATAATACATGTTCAATTTTTCTGTTTTTAGGGGAAAGAAACACTGATGACTCCCATTCCCTTTGCTAGACCACAAGATTTAGGGCCAACAATTGCTATTGTTACTAAAGTCAACCAGATCCAGGATCATCTACTGAAGAAGCATGATATTGAGCTTTACATGCACTTGAACAGACTAGAAATTGCACCACAGATATATGGGTTGTAAGTATTAAAGTTCTTTGTTTGTTTGTTTGTTTTTTGAGACAGAGTCTCCATCTTTCACCCATGCTAGAGTGCAGTGGCATGATCTTGGCTTACTGCAAACTCTGCCCCCTGGGCTCAAGCGATCCTCCCATCTCAGCTTCCCAAGTAGCTGGTACCACAGACGCGTGCCACCAAGCCCAGCTAAGTTTTTGTAGTTTTGGTAGACAGGGTTTCACCATGTTGGCCAGGCTCCCCTTGAATTCCTGAGCTTGCCTCTGCTTCCCAAAGTGCTGGGATTACAGATATGAGCCATTGCACCCAGCCTAAAGTTTCAATTTCAACTACATCTAATTATATAGTAGTTTCTAATGATATGTAAATTTCTATGTGCTCGGATCCTTAAAAATAACAACTGTTCCTTCTCCATTTTATTTCACATCTCTTTTGTGTGTCTATGTGCATGCTCAGTGCTTATCACTTTCACCTGTGTATGGTATCTCATCTAATACTCTTTGTAATACCAACCCTGTAAATTGGGTATTATTCCTTTATTAGAGATGAAGAAGTTAAGGCTCAGGTTTAGTTTACACATATTTCACAGTGAAATCATAACTCAGAGCCATAATTATTTAGGATTGGCTACATAATTTGCAGAGCTCAGTGCAAAAGAAAGATGCAAGGCCCCTTTGAAAAAATTAGTAAGAATTTCAAGCTGGTAACAGCAGATCATTGAACCAAGCATTCCAAGAAGTTGTATGAGTCGTACATGCATGGAGCCAGCCCCAAATCCTAACAATACAATAAAATATTCATGTTCTTTCCATTATATCATATGATCATCTTTTGTTCTACCCTCAGACGTAGATTCCTGTAAGTAAGATAGATGCCTCTCAGAGACCATAATGACCATAATGTATTAATTTTCTTCAGCCACATAACTTCTGTAACATGTCATAGCAGAACAGGGAGATGCTCACTCCTTAGGGGTGGGTGTGCATGTGTGTGTGTGTGTGTGTGTGTGTGTATTTTTTCAGTGGCTTATAAGGTGTGTATGCAAATTAAAAAATAGTGATTTTAGTAAATGTGAATTATCTATGCACTGCTACAGACAAAAGGGTTCTCTATATTGAAATAGTAGAACATTTATATGTAGTGCTAGGCAGTTTCTTGGTAGATACTTTATGTAAAGCTTGACTCTCCATTAGGTAGAACATGCAAAATTGAGGCAATTTTTTTATTGAGGTGTACTTAGTAGATGCTCAATAAATGTGAATTCATTATTTCAATTGCAGAGAATCTCAAACAAGTCACCCAGAGCAGGGTCTGTTTATTTAACCCAGAAAAGAGAATAGTGTTTTGTTTATATTCTCATTTTATACAGAGTCTTCCATGAATAATAACTCTCAGCTGTTTTTCTTCTCTGGAAGCCCTGAACTGTGACTGAAGAAGTCTGCTTTTCTGTTTTAACGCTGCATGTTTTCCTTTTTCTTACTTTAGCTTAACCTCATCATTGAGAGCAGCTTCATTATTTCCACTGGAAATGAGAAAATTGTGTGTGACATGTGGTATTGGGCAGCAATGCAGGTTATTAATGAATTGCTATGTACATTTGAAAGTCTAACTAATACATTTATGATTATAGACATAAAAATTTATTTGAAAGAGCTAGTAACAAGGTCAGGAGTTAAATTTTTATATTCCTCTCCACTGTGCAAATAATTGGTATATCCAAATACAAAAGCACATTTTACACCCTCAAAAATTGCTTGCTAAGATCCAGAAATTGGTTTTAAATATTGGGGAAAGAAGTTGATGTTGAACATGTTTATCATTTCTTTGAAATGCTTTATAATTTTTTGCCTTCTTGCCCAAACCGGTGCTTGATGTTGCAGTGGTGATGGCGTGGGCTTGGGTGCAATAATTTATAACCAGAGTGTTTCTGTTTCCTTTTCAGATGTTAGTTTCCTTCAGTTAGTTTCAGGGGTTAGTTTCATCTTTATCAGAATAATTTATAGAATTTCTTTGGCATTTTGACCAGTACCTTCCCATTAAAATTCCATGATCCATGACATAATTATTCTTAATCTCTCCAACATTATCAGCAATACTGAAAATACCAGGTCTTGCAATAATCATAGCTACCTCATTTAGCTCATTATATTTTAATAGAATCTCATCTGTATTATTTTTTAAAATATGTATTTTTTAATCTTTGAAGAATAGATTACTCATCTCAACTGGCCTCTATTACATTTTATAATGCAAGGATTTTATTTACCTATTTCACATATTAATTTGGTTTTGTTATTACTATTTATGGAGCACATGAAAGGCCAGAGTGCTTGAATTTTCTTATATCCCTAAGCTGTACTACCATCTGTACTACCCATCTATGTATTTTCTATTAATGACTATTAGAAACTTTGGGTCAAAAAACAGTGTAAGCCAGGCATGGTGGCACATGCCTGTAATCCCACCCTGCTCGGGAGTCTGAGGCAGGAGGATCGCTTGACCCAGGAGTTCGAGTCCATCCTGGGCAACATAGCAAGACCCCCATCTCTAATAATAACGGTAGATAGAAGCATAGGCTCTGAAATGAAACAGCCTTTGTTTTTTCATCTGTGAAATGGAAATTAAAAATAATGGTACCTACTTCATAGGGTGCCTGTGAGAATTAAATCATAATATACAAAAAAAAGTAGTACTCAGTATGTAGTATACATTTAATGTATGTTTTGACATGCCTTTATTATCATTATTTGTCATTACCATTACTTAATTAGAATGTCATGGCTATGTGAATATGATGTCCTGTGTGAATCATTAGTTAGCCCTTCCAACTCTGTCTTTGACTTTTTTTTTCTTTTCACTAGAGCCTATGTGCTTCTCTTACCTGCAAACTTATAATAGCCGTGTTTTAGACCACTGCTTTCTAAAGTGATGCTATAGAAGTTGGGAGTAAACTTTTAGAAATGATCATATAGTTTGGCAGAATAATTTTATGTTCTAGAATTTAATATTATAGTTTTGTATCTCATGGAAATGAATTAAAATATCTTATTCTGTATCACACAAATATCTTAATCTAAGTAATTGCTGTGCTACTGTTTATTCCTTTTAGAAGAAAGTTGTTAATTTAGTTTTACATTCAGAATTAATACTTGAAAATATAGACAGTGGTTTGAGTAAATATCACCAAGGGGCAGATGTAAAATAATCTCTTTTTAGTTAATGAAACTGCTTTCTCAGATTACATAATAATTCATAATGGTGTCATCTAAAGTGTGCTTTTGCATGCCAGATATTTTATAGAATTTTAATTTTCAAACAAAACAAATTTTTTTGTAAAGTAAAATGTTTCAAGAAAATTATAAATTATAGTAAAAATGAAAAATTTAAAAAGAAAATAAAAAATAAAAGTAAAATATTAGAAATTATAATAAAAATGTCAATAATGAATGAGCCAATGGCAAAATGTTATCATTACCAACAGCTTGTATGGAAAGAGGAGTAAATCATAAATATATATTTACATGGGGGAAAAGTGTTAGCAAGATTAAATTAAGCCCCATGTAGAGTCCAATTTCTACTTTTAGTCAAAATTTTTAACAGTTGCATGGAACATCAAATTACTTAAATCTAGTCTGTATTATGGTTATATTTGTCACTAAATTTTGCAATTATTTTTAAAACCAGTTTTTCCAAGAGAATATATGTTAATATCTCCTGAGGTGGGAGATGTGCCCTAAGTATGTACACTTGCTGCATTTTGCTAATAGATGTACTTAACAAAATTAGAATTAACAAATAGTACAAAACTATTACTTGCACTAAAATTTGATAATCTCATTCTAAATTACATGATCCTAGTTTTATATAAATTGATGACATTTATCTTGACATGTGAATAAGTCCACATGAAATCTTGAATATTATATAACAGTTTGCTTATTTAATGCTGTTACTTATATATTTAACTGTATTATCTTCTGGATGATTAAAAATTTTTTGTTAGCAAGTTTTAAATCAATTTACTACCTGTATTTTAGGTTAAATAAAATTAAATCCGCAATTAAATGTTCAACATAAGTGATTTTATAAAATAATATATCCTAAAGGTAATTTATATTATGTTTTTCATTAATTTTATGAAAGTTCCTTCTGTTGCACATAGAATGAAGTTTCTCTTACTATAATTCGAATAAATAATTAACATCTTTTTTCTTTTTTTTTTGAGAGGGTGTCTTGCTCTGTTGCCTAGGCTGGTGTGCAGTGGTGCAATCTTGGCTCACTGCAGCTTCTGCCTCCCGGGTTCAAGCAATTATCCTGCCTCAGCCTCCTGAGTAGCTAGGATTATAGACGCCCACCACCACACCTGGCTAATTTTTGTATTTTCAGTAGAGATGGGGTTTCACCACATTGGATAGGCAGGTCTCAAACTCCTGACCTTGAGTGATCTGCCCGCCCGGGCTTCCCAAAGTGCTGGGGTTACACGTGTGAGCCACTGCGCCCAGCCTAATTAACATATTGAGTTGTCTTTTGTTTGCCAATTATTGATTGGTATTGCACTTAAAAAAATTAGGTTCTATAAACCTGTCAATACATACTGACCAATTTGCAAAGTAAAATATTGACTGCATCATTTCCAGCTTTCCAAGGTAATTTTTTAAGAGTCATTTTTGTGGTATTTTTTAGTATAAGCATAAGAATGTCCTGAGATTTCATCACTTGGGGATTATTTTTGTGCAAAAGCATCTAAAATATTTGCGTTACAATTCTATCACTGATCACACATCATGTTGTGAGTTCAAAAAACTCTAACTTAGAGCAGATTTATATAGAGATTCAATGCTACTACAGCATTCTTTTATTATAAAGAGACTAAAATTTGAAGTTTAACAGTTTTAGTAGGCCAGAATAACTGTTTTATTATCACTTTTAAATGTATTGAATCTGTAAACTTTTTACTGTATTTTATACTTTGATATCAATAGAGTACATAATAGGCATCTGTGGGATATGCAATTAATGTCACTTTTGAGGAAAGACCCTCATAACACGCTTGGGCTTCGTCACTGTTAAATTATGAGCTCTTTACAACACTCATGGGATAAATTCCATATCCCCCAAATGCTTATTATATATCTTCCATGTCTGTTTTCTATTATCTGGATTAGCAGTTGTTTTACCGTGCAGTTTATTGTAATTTAATTGGGGAGATTCTTGGTTATTGATTACTAATCTGCCAAATTATTGATATAATTTTAAAATATGTCATAGTATATTGTTTCTAACATATCATAGTATAATTATGTTGAATGCCAAGTTTTTTTTTAACCTATATTTGAAGTATAAACATATTGGTAAAAAAGTAACTCTCAGTCATCAGAAGTCAGTGTAATTATCCACCTAAAAGATTATATCTCTCAACAGTTTAAGAACTTCCTAAACACAGTTAACAATTGAGATATTCCTTTCTTTTCAATGAGCTTTATATTATACATTAAACATAATACATGAAATATGAAGGATTAGAAAGTGACGATCCAATGATAGCTTGCTTTCATACACTACTGAATGTTTTCCCAGAATTATTATTTTTCAGAAAGTAGGAGTTTTTCCCCTTATACATGAAGAATGATCACTGATTAAGAATTATGGGGAAGAATAATTAAATATTTGAAATAATGACTCATAATTTATTATATTTATTATTTCCTGAGGGCTAGGCATTGTGCTAAAGGCTTTATCCTTTTTTTTGTTTGTTTTTTGTTTTTTTGTTTTTTTTTGTTTGTTTGTTTGAGAGGGGGTCTCGCTCTGTCACTCAGGCTGGAGCGCAGCGGTGTGATCTCAGCTCACTGCAGCCTCCAACCTCCCAGGCTCAAGGGATCCTCCCACCTTAGCCTTCCAAGTAGCTGGGACCACAGGCACCTGTCACCATGCCCAGCTAATTTTTTGTATTTTTGGTAAAGACAAGGTTTCACTATGTTGCCCAGGTTGATCTCAAACTCATAAGCTCAGGTGATCTGCCTGCCTTGGCCTCCCAAAGTGCTGAGATTACAGGTGTGAGCCAGCACACCTGGCCAAAAGGCTTTATCTTATTTAACCTAATAACACATAGAAATAGGTACTGTTATTATCCCCATTTTGTTGATGAGGAAATGAAGGATTATAAAGCCTTATTTAGATTAAATAGTTACCAAGAAGCTGAGCCAGGCTTTGAACTCTTGAGCTAATATTCACAGTTTAATTTGACTAGGACTATAAGTGTGGTAGAAAGCTGAGGCATCTGAAGGTTTTATGTGTCACATTGGACCATGAGCCAAATTCAGTTTCACCAGATATCAAAGACCCAGGCTAGGTACAAGGCCCAGAATCAGGAGTCTTGTTAGTACTGATTAGAAACCAGCCTTAAAAGGAAGGAATAGAAAATCAAGGCCCCTGGAGAGCCTAAGGTCCACAGCCATGCCCCAAATCAGGAATAAATGAGCTCCAGATCTTTCACACAGGATGTGCCCCCAGCAAATGTATAGCTAAAACAATAAGCCATAGCCTGAAGGCTTAAATTTCCTTGTCGGAGTCCAATTCTGGCCTTATTTAAGTCAGACTACTGGATAAAAAATTAAGGAAGCTTGGGGATGGGGATCTGCTACTTTAATCTTAAACTTGACCTACAAAGGGTTAATTGATGAAGTGGGAGAAACAACCTTTACTGACAAAGTGACCATGTATTTTAGCATAGTCAAAGGCCAAGAAGGAAAAGTGCTGAGTTACGCATGCACTAGCTTAGGAAGGGTACCATCCACATGCCTTTCTAGATAAAAATATGCTTTTCCCACTGAGAGGCGAACAAAAATCAATAATTCAAGCAAGAGGAAAACAAGTGTAAGAGGACTACTGGAAAGCAATGTAACCAGTAAGATATGATTAAGTCTAAATAACTGAAAGCAATTGTCAAAAATAATCATGCCAATAGCAGTGAAAATAATTTAAATCATTATTTGTATCTTAAGTCTACTTAATTCTAGTGAATAATTTAAAGAGGGAAGGAAGTATGGAAGTTTACATAATTCATCAGTACACATGAAATAAATATATTATTGATGTTTCTAATCACTAAGTAAATGTTTTAAAAAATGCTCATAAAAGATGTTTATGCAATAGCATTGTGACGATTAAATGAAAAAAATCATATAGAGTACAATACCTGGCACGTTGTAAGCACTCAATCAGTGTTCATTGTTACTAATTTTTATGTGCTCAGTGCAAAATTCCTGGCTATTAATAAGACTCATAATAAGAAGCAGCAATGAGAAGAATAACAAAAGAAAGTAACAAGATTATTTACAAAGGAAGCATAATAGATGATGACAAAGCTATCAAACGTTAGTTATGGTACTATACATAAATGCTTTAAACTTACCTAGTAAAAGGCAAAAATTATTGACTGGCTTTATAGACAATATCCAACTATATGCTTCTTAGAAGAGGCAGCTAAAATAAATGATGTAGCTTGGTAAAAGGATTACAGGGACAGCAACTGTAATATCAAGATAATATACTTCAAAGAAAAGCATTGAAAGAAACAGAGAATAGCCTTGTATAGTCATAAAACATTCAGTTTTTCATAGACATACAATAGCCTTGAATTTTGGCATGTAAAATCTGTGACAGCAAGGAGTTTGTCTGTCTTATTCATTAATATATCTCAAATGCCTCCCTAAACTGAACCTGGCATGTGGTAAACACTCAGCAAATAATTTTTGAGTACATGAGAAGATGGATGAATGGGAAGGAAAGAAAAACAAAAGAAGGAAAGATCACAAACCAGTAATACAAGGATCTGATTATTCAAAATATGATATGGTGAAAATTTTGTTGCTATTTTAAGGAACATCAAGTAATAAGAATGAAACAATTACAACTCTAAATAATTAGTAGAAAACATACATGAATAGCCTATCTTCCAATGACGATAGATTTTGTAAGAATATCAGTGAAGACATTCTAGATGGTAAGCTGGAAATTTGACTACTTCAAAATTTCAGTCCGGGGAGGGGGTGGTGGTGCTGCCTGATTCTTGTGTTGTTCTTTGCTCGATTAAACTCTGTTAAATTAAAAAAAAAAATTAGTCCAATAAAATTCAATGTAAATTTTTCCTTATGATTTTTAAATTGGTTTAAAAAATTTAACATACATAAAGAAATAATATGAAGAATAAAATACTAATTTTTATTTTTTATATATAGAGTCCTAAATTTGGTAAGAAATCACTAATCCATTAAGTAGAACAGTAAAATGAAACAACAAATCATAAGGAAAAATTAACAATGGCCAGTACATATAGTGAAAACTTTCAGCTATTCAAACATTTAAAGAAACAGAAATTAGGTGGCTCATGCTTATAATCGCAGCGCTTTGAGAGGTCGTGGCGGGAAGATATCTTGAGGCCAGGAGTTTGAGATCAGGCTGGGGGCAAGGTAGTGAGACCCTTGTCTCTACCCAAAAAATAAAAATAAAAAAAGAAAGAAAAAGGAAAGAAAAAAAAGAAAAAATTAGCCAGGTATGGTGGTGCACACCTGTAGTCCCAGAGACCTGGGAGTAGACCCTGTCTCTAAAAAATAAAAAAATAAAAAAAAAGGAAAGAAATATACAAATTAAGTAGCATAATATAATTTTCATTTAGATTGATAAAGATTAGAGAAAATTTTGCTCAATGTTGATATAATCATTTAGGAGGCAATAGGGAGGGTAAGTCAGAAATCTGACCAATTGGATTATTTGACTCATAATTTTACTTTTAAGCATATAAACATACTAAGTGCATCAGTAGAATAAAAGTCCATGTATAGATATGTTTATCACAGTGTTTTTTATGACATGAAATGAGAAATAATACATTTCCAATAATAAGGTAAATAAAAATAGGGGAAATGTTATGCCAAGAACATGGAAAAAGAAAAGTAAAATAAAAGTAGAAGGCAGGAAATAATAAATATGAGTTAAAACTAATATAATTGAAAACAATAACAGAAAATAAATGAAATGAGTTGTTTCTTTGAAAAGGTCAATTAAATTGACAGACACTAGCAAGACTAACAAGAAAAGGGAGAAAGGAAATGAATATGGCTATAAAAGGGCATGGAAAGGATCTTTATGGTAATGGAACATATCATGGTAGTGACATTGGACTGTAGTTTTGCAGGATGTTACCATTGGGGAAAACTGCTGGGTACTGAGGAGCTCTTTGTATTATTTCTTACAACTGTATGTGAAGGTACAATTATCTCAAAATAAATAGTTTAATTAAAATAATGTCAGAGCCTTGCGCAGTGGCTCATGCCTGTAATTCCAGCACTTTGGCAGGCCGAGGCGGGCAGATCACTTGAGGCCAAGAGTTCAAGACAAGTCTGGCCAACATGCTGAAACCCCATCTCTACTAAACATACAAAACTTAGTCATGTGAGGTGGCACATGCCTGTAATCTCAACTACTTGGGAGGCTGAGGCACGAGAACCTCTTAAACCCAGGAGGTGGAGGTTGAAGTGTGCCAAGATGGTGCCACTGTACTCCAGCCTGGACGACAGAGTGAGACTCAAAAAAAAAAAAGTCAGTCTACGTGTCTTACATCTTTTGCCCTTTTTGAATAAATTGGGGTTATGTTCTTAGTATTAAGTTTTGACAGTTCTTTATTCTGGATACAAGTCCATTGTCACATTTGAGATTTGCATTTGCAAATTGTCCCCCAATCTGAAACTTGTCATTTCATTTCTCATGTCTTTCATAGAGCAAACACTTAATTTTGTTGAAACCTAATTTATCAACTTTTTCTTTTATGGAGATTGTTTTTTGTGTCACATATAAGAACTCTGCCCAATCCAAGTCATACACATTATGTTTTGTGTTTCATAGCTTTATATATTATATTTAGGTCTATGATTTATTTTGGCTTAATTTTTATGTAAGGTAAAAGGTATTGGTCAACTTTTTTTCTTTTTTAAATATGAATATCCAATTATTTCAGAACCATTTGTGGAAAGACTACCCTTTCTCCATTGAATTGCCTTTACACTTTTGTTGAAGATCAGTTAGTTTTGTCTGGCTACAAGTTTATCAATAAAATTGATCTTTTCAAAGAACCAGTTTTAGGTTTGATTAATTTTATCTCCCTTTCTCTTTTTCTTTCTTTCTGTTTTTAGTGTCATTAGTTGCAGCTCTTATCCTTTTACTTACGTTGGGTTTATTTTCCTCTTCTCTTTCAAGTTGTTGAAGGTAGGAGGTCAGATTATTGACTTCAGACCTTTCTTCTTTTTAAGTATGTTTTTATTGCTATAAGTTACTTCCTAAGCACTGGTTTAGTTGTATTCCTAAAATTTGGGTTGCTATATTTTTATTTTTCTTCAGCTCAAGATATTTTAAATTTTTCTTTAAGGCTTCCTTTTTGTACCATGGGTTATTTGTATTGCTTAATTTCCAAATATTGGGGAATTATTCTGATATCTTTTAAAAATTTATTAAATTCCATTATGATCTAAAAACATGATTTTGTATGATTTTTAAGCCTGTTTTTAGCCCTAAATATAGTAGAGCTTGGTGAATATTTCTTGTGCACGTGAAATGATTGTTTATTCTACTATTGTTGAATGGAATGTTCTATAAATGTCAGGTCAAATTGGTTGATTATGTCGGTTAGGTCTTCCATATTTTTGCTGTTTTTCTGTCTGCTTGTTCTGTCTCCAGCTATAATTATAAATTTTTAAATTTCTGAATCTAAATCTACTTTAAAATGACCAGACATGTGGGATTAATAATGAAACATCCAGTATTCTTACCCAATGCAAATGGCACAGTTGAAAAAAAAAATTAGGCAACTCAGCTTTTGCTTTCGTGTTTTTGTTTACTGGTACTTTTCACACACAGGAAATAGCGTTCCAGTCACGTAAATAGTTACATAGAGACTTGATTGTGAAACTTTTAAATATAATGGACATATGAGGTTTGAGAAACCAATGATTTCCAATATGGTCTTGATATACTGTAGCTAAAGGACTATTACATATATATTTGGAAATGTAATTTTAAACATAGACCAGGATGTCTCTTTTTGTTCCTTCCAAAAATCCTGGCCACAGTTTGAAATTTCTTTCAATTAGATGGCTTCTTTCACTGGTGTTTTGGAACCTAGTAAATATATGGGACTAATGAAAACAACCAAAAAACAAATGATGTCATATTTATTCAACATATTTGAGTAGTTTTAATACTTCCAAAGTATTTACCTTCTAATGAGAAGTATTTACAATGAGTTTTTAAATACTTCCAAAATATATAACATAGAAGAAATTTTAATCATAATTTTAACTCTGCAACTAAGACTTTATTTTTAAATTTGTATTTATTAGAACAGTTTATTAAAGATTGCTATGCATATTTCTAAATTTTTGTAAATATGTCACTAAATTCATAGTTTTAAAAATGTATATTTCTAAATAAGAATTGAGGCGATTGAAACAAAATATGCTAGATACCTGAGAAATACTGATGCGCTGAAAACTGATAGGCCAAAATAGTTCATGATAGAACATACCTTCACCTCAGCTATATTTGCCATTCTAGGTATATATATATAAAAAGGTAGTAAATATCCTTTCTTTTGGTTGTATATCTTAAACAACACAACCCTTTGCCAATCCCGGTCTTAAAGTCACTAACCAGACTTGATCAACTTCAGGTTATATGAACATTCTCTAAGGAAAGCCTGATAAAACTGTGACTTTACAGTGGTTGTGGTTCTTTGAACATAAGTATACAGGAAAAACGAATATTTAATATTACCCCAAAACTTTATAATTACAAAATACCATCTAACAAGGGTCAGGAAAAATAAAACTTTCCCAGAAATATATTTAGTCAGAGTTGTTTTTAAATCACAGTAAAACAAAGGAATGCCTTCTTTAAACTATGTGGTTTAGTAACAGTGATAATACTTTAAAACTGACATTGCCTTCCAGTCTGTTGGCAGAATACATTTAGATTGGAAGGAAAGTAATTTCTACCCTCCAATCAAAACTATAGGTTCTAAAGCTTGAAGGAGAATTTTTCAGGACTTACTAAGAAATAATAGTTAAATGTGGGTAAAACATCCTAGAATTAAGTTAATCTTTAATATTCAGATTTCTCTCCTTCCTTTCTTATCCTTGGATTTTTTATTTCATGGGTCTCCGTTTTTCCATTCTCCAACTCTTTGAATAACCAAGTAACCTAGAGGCAAATTGAATATCTAGAGCTAATTGCTCTAATAAGCTCTTTTCTATTGCCATATGGTAATTTATGTATGGTATCATATTCCATTATTAAGTATACTTGGTAATTAAGCTAACCTGTATCACTTATACTAGTGATTACATTGTGTGTCTTTGATAGGTTGTGACCAGACTTAAGTTTCTACCCTTATTTTTTGACCTTGAGAGACTGCTTAATATGTGTAAAACCTTTTATGGGAACAAAGAGGGCTTCAAATGTGCCTGTAAAAGCAAGTTTTCTAGATAAGTGTCTCCTGACTAGCTTTTAAGATATTTGAGATCACCAGTATGCATCTTGTATGACAATTCTAAGATATTTTTCTGGCTTTTGTAAAGTTACTTTAAGGACAGAGTTTTACCGGTATAATTTTATCTGACCCATAATACCAAGATGGAATCCTGTCTTCTCACTATTACTTCTTTTCTGACCTAAATATAAGAAAAATGATGGAGCTTGCTTAGTGAAGAGAACCTTTCATAATGTCATAAGATGCTTTGACAAAGGCTGCTGAATCAATTAAGAAAAATTGTCATTTATTACACTCTATTATAAAGGATAAAAGATAAAAATTCTTCAACCAACAAACCCTAAGAAAAGCTTTCTACACTAATTGGAGATACAGATGAAATGCTGGTGGAACGTGTTGCTTTTTGCTTCTTATTTTTGCTTTTGACTACTTTTGGTTCTTTATGTGTTTCTTTATCCCCTCAAATTTCTTATTTTTATAGTTTTAAATAGATTTGTAACAGAATTTAAATGCAGAAAAAGAAATATTATTTGTTATAATAATATAGTAAGTTAGGCATGTATATGTATTTTATTTCTAAAAATTTCTTTTATTAAAATTTGCTTTCTCTAATGCTTTTATTGTCATTTTACACGAATTATTGTTAGATATTTTTCAATGATTTTTTATAGATTTTTTATACCAGTGTACCATCTCCAAAGGTTCTTATTATGCCTTAAATTGTAAATGGTATGTAGGGTTTAAAATATCTCAAGTTTAAAAATACTCGAATTTTTTAATTAAAATTAAAGATTGTACTACATGGAATTTGTTAGAGAAAATATACCTTTTAAAACATTTTAATTTAGAATTTGTAATCATTTTAATAGATCTAAGCTCTAAGAGGCATCAGAAACAATAACAAAATGAGTGGGACTGAGATAAAAAAGAATGAGTTGTAAGCTGAGAGATTGCACCTATGCTCAGTAGATTCAGGTTTTATTAAAGAGAACCTCTGACCTAATTATGTCAATGGGAGGGACCTAAACAATTAAAAATAGTGCTATTAAGGACAGTGGGCCAGGCACAATGGCTCACGCCTGTAATCCCAGCACTTTGGGAGGCCGAGGTGGGAGGATCACCTGAGGTCGGGAGTTCAAGACCAGCCTGACCAACGTGGAGGAACCCTGTCTCCACTAAAAATACAAAAAATTACCCAGGCCTGGTGGCACATGCCTGTAATACCAGCTACTCAGGAGGCTGAGGCAGGAGAATCACTTGAACCCAGGAGGCAGAGGTTGTGGTGAGCCGAGATCATGCCATTGCACTCCAACCTGGGCAACAGGTGAAACTCCTTCTCAAAAACAAAAACAAAAACAAACAAACAAAAAAAAAGTGAACATTGTGGACAGTATCAGAATTTAGCCAAGGCAGTGACACTGGAGAGAACCAGAGATCTAGTTTCTCTAGCTCACCAGTTTCCAAGCATGAAGATGATAAATTTCCCCAACTGGAGTGAGTTGTGGGGGGAGGTACAGAACTACATATATATTTTAATGGATAGAATTTTATCCTGTTGTTGCTTGGTATATATTACAAGTTTAGTTTATTTGAACTACCAGTTTATAATTAATAGGATTTTATTTTCTGTAAAACAAGAAATATGCAGAGAAATGTAATATTTATAAAGTATCTTTTCTATACCTGTTCTTTCAGTTGCTGAACTCTTCATTCATTGCAACCAAAATCTGATCTTGTCTCCTATTCAATGGAACGCAACAGAAAAGCTAAAGTCAGATCAAGAGTACTGAGTTTATAGGGTTTCCATGTGGAGTTCTTATTTGCAAAGCACTTAAAACAGTGCCTGTTGCATAGGAAATATTTCTTACATATTTATTAAGTACGTCTAAGTAATAATATGATAAATAATGTCACTTTCTCAAACTGAAAATTGAGAAGAGATTTTTTTTTGTAGTGATGTCAGTCCCCATATAACAAATGCCTCTTGCTCTGGCTTCAGCCATCTATAAGTAACTCCCTTTTCTCTACGTCGATCACCTCTAGGCAGGAAGGCCTCTGCCGGTTGGTATTTATGACAACAGTGCCAAATCCTATCATTATTTTTTTCATTTTTGACTTTTCACTCCCACTCTTTTGACTTTTCACTCCCACTCTTTTGTGGAAAATGCAGTTTTAAAACAGTAGTGAAGGTGATTAGTTATCTAATTATCCTTTTCAGTGGATTGTATTGCTGATGGCAGAAAGGAAGCACCTCCTTTCTTTGCATTGCTGCCCAGATTGGTCAGACAGGCTTTGTCCTGACTCCCCTCCACCACCTTGGCTTTCTGCCTGTGCAGTCTTTTATTCTTTTTCACCCTTCCTTCTTGTATCCTTCTCTTCACTTGGCCCTTACTGCATCCGCACCTCTGACCAGTGCTTTCTGCTGGTGGTAAGACATAATGCAGGAAGGCAGGCAAAATAAAACATGGGAAGAGTTTTTTTAAGTTTGGTAGCCATGCATTTAAATCATTTATTAGGAATGTATATAGTGTCACTATTTTTTTTTTTTATCACAAAACAGTGATTATCTCCCCACAACCCCCACTTTTAAAAACTATTTAAAGATCTCTGAAGAAAGAAGGTTTGACTGATTCTCCTGTACCAAAT
Source organism: Homo sapiens (assembly GCF_000001405.40). NCBI lineage: Eukaryota > Metazoa > Chordata > Mammalia > Primates > Hominidae > Homo > Homo sapiens. Next base: position 17,356,896 of record NC_000003.12, on the reverse strand, counting down.
CTATAGTCATAGGTCATTTTGCCTCCCAAGGTCTGCCTTCTAGAAGAAAGTCCCAAGAGAATGGGAGACTAGCTCACCACACCCAGGATCTGCATTTCAGAACCCCAGGGTGTGTTTCCATAGCTACCTGACTGATCCCAGCCATTTTCTGACCCACATATGATTGGCCTCTTTGCCTCTGATTGCTGCTCACTCTGTTCTAGTTGGTCAGAAGTTTGGCTCTTCACCTAGATGTTCTTAGATTTCTAAGTTTTCACAATAATAGAAATTTAAGCTGCTGTATCTTTTAAAAATTTCTTCAGTTTATGCTTTTTATCCGAATTCATTAATTTTATTATAATTTTTTCCAGTTTAATGGTTCTTTAAAAATAGAACTGTTCAGGTCATTATTGAGTAAGCAGATATTTAGTAAGCAGCTACTAATATCAAGCATTATGCTTTGTTTTAGTATCACTTGGGTATTTAGAAAGTATAAATTAGAGCAGGGAACATTCTTCTTAGAAGGCCAGATAAGACCCAGTAGAAAGAACTTGGGGGGCATGTTTTGAAGCAGCAAGCCTGAAAGATTCTCTATCGAAAGGAGTTTGCAAAATAGATGGTTTAGGATTAGGTGAGCATGCTTTCACCCTGCTATTTCAGCAAAAGCTCAATAGTCCCCAGCCATCAGAAATTTTATGAATGGGTGTTTTTATTATGAATGGGAGATTGGATTAGATGGCACTTAAAAGTCCCTTGCAATTTTAAAGTTACACACCTTTGAAAATAACACAATGACTAGCTTTATTCCCATTAAAAAACCAAACCAAAAATTTTAACCAACAATGATCACTTTTTTTAAAACCAGCATATTGGTGCTTTTAATATTAAAAATGATTATGGTTTTTCTAAAGCATGGTCATTGTAACAAGTTACACATTTATTTTAATTTACCATTATTCCTCAAAATACTTCTGGAATTTTCTCTCTGGAATTGGCTTCATTACTAGAATAGGAGCCACATTAGAAACCTGTTTTATAGCTATAAAATCAAACAAAGAACATTTTGACCTCAGAAAGTATTGCATAACCTTATTTCTCACATTGTTCATTCACCACATTTGGCTCTAATTAGAATTGTTAGTTACTTGCATGAGTAAAACCCTCAAAACACAGTACTCAGCCTCTATGGGAAATAAAAACCAAAAAAAAACGCTACCATGGGATGTGAATGATTCATTTCATGTATAAATTTTGGTATATTTAAAAAAATTTATTACTTTCTTGTCACACATTCTATATATTTTATGAAAATGGCTGTGATGAAAATTGATGTTAAATGTCATACAGCAAAACCAAAACAATATACTTGATATTTCTTGATGATGATGATTGTGTTCTTCAATATTACTTTAGAGTAAAACTTGTAGATTACCTAAAGAGGAAATCCAGGCTGAGATGGCTGTCCTTTCCTACAAGATACTAATTCACCCAGTGACATACTTGAATGAATTTTCTGAGTTTTGTTTTCTACTTGGAACTATTTTAATTGGCCACAGCCTCCTGAGAGTTGGTGTTCATTCTTAAAAACAATTGGGAACATACAGGAGTCTTGAGAGTGCCATAAATAGAACAATACATTTGAAGGACCTTGGAAACTGATAGGGTAGCACCCTGGGCTACTATAGCAGGCATAAAAATAGCTAAGCCAATAAACTGCCATACCTTTTTTTGAACATAAGTTGGAAGTTAGAGGATCTGGGAGACAATTTGCTAGAGTTCTATAAAAACCTTGGCTTATTATAAGAAAACAACGAAAGGGAAATGATAAAGGGAGTGAAATGATCCCATCCTTTGGATTGCAAACTACAGTCCAGTTGGCCAGATTTGGATTTTCAGCTATTGCCCAGCTGGTGAATAGTTCAAAACTATTTTAGGTCATGTGATCCCATTGTAGCCAATTGGGTGGTTTGGCAGACAACAACAAATTTCTATTCTCACAAATTGTATGCATACTGAATTTGTCCGTGTGCATTCTCTGCTTGCCTATATTGATGAAAACACATCCATATGGATGGATAAATTGTGTGTATAAGTTCATACCTGTATATTTATACACGGTAATTATGCACTTTGACTTCTTCTAGGAAACAAAATGATAGGAATAATCTAGTTAAATCAGTTTCTCTGGGGTTTTTTTTTTTACTCCTTTTTTCATATTTCCTCTAGTTGTAAAAATTACAGTGATTGCACATCATAAAGCCTATCTGTAATAAAACACATCAGCTGGCCAAGGTTTTCATCGCTCACTCAATAATCCATTAATACAGCAACACTGCCCAGGCATCTTTATAATACCAACTCGGAGGTAATTTTAAACAGCTAGACCAGCTGGTATTTAACAGCAGCTGCTGGAGACGCCACAAATATACTCAATAGCTGACATCTTTATTTGCAGTTTTTCAAGGGGAGAAGAGATTCTCCTGTGGTTACTTATATTAAGCATTTAAAAGAAGGTGTAAAGTATACAGGGGTTTATACCTAGATGAGAAGAGGAAAGGGATTAATGATAAGACAAAAGTGATAAAGTCTATCAGAAGGAGAGGTTTGTAAATGAAGAAACTCCTCAAATGGGTAAGAATGCATTGGCCTTGGGTGAACATCAGACCTTTTTTCCAGTTACATTTACACTAATCTTTGATATCCCTAGCAGTAAACATGTAGTTGGCTGTGTAGCTTTCTTATATCCTTTTGTATTAGATTTGTAGTATCCTTTACTACATAAGGCTGTGAAAAATATTTGAGTCTGTGAAAGAGTAATGTGCCCATGTGTATGTAGTCTGTCTTAACCACTACATACCGTGTCTTTTTTTATGTACATATTTTGTTAATGTTCAATTTTGTTATTTTAGATGAAAAATCATCAGTATGTACTGTCTGATAGAAAACGTGGAATGCTATTTTGCATTGGTGTATATGAGCATATGTGAGGGAAACAAGCATAGGCAACATGAAGTTAACAGTCACAAACCCATTATAAATAAAAATTTAATTACTCTTGGGGGAGCTTGGCTTACAAAGCTCAGAAATCCATAATGGAGCTTGCTGCTAATAAATGCCTGATCTGTTTGTTAAACTCCACTGTTTCCATTCCTCTTCTCATCTTCTTATATGAAGTACTCTGACATCTCCACTGATTAGAAATTATTAAGCAGAGCTGACTTTCTGATTTGTAAAATGTTTTTTCTCTTTGGATGAGAATCTTAACCTTTTGGCTTAATAAGAAAAACAAAAATTAGAGTAAAGAAGGAAAAGATAATAAGAAAAGCAAGGTTTTTCAAGATAGTTACTTAGTCTATATTTATAGATGATGGCTTCGCATTCACATAGTTATGCATTGAAATATAATAGTGATGTAATTGTCTGATATTTATGCAAACTGAAGTTAGGTAATTTACAATTTCAGTAGATAATTTCTTGTGTCATTTTCCCTAATACAGATTTCAAAATTAAATATAAAAAGTGTATTATAAAGCAGTAAATTACTAAAAAGTAAACCAATGGACTTATGGACCTTATACTCTTGCTGTAGAAATAGGTTTACTATTTCTGACTCTTGTAGAGCAATCATAACCTTTCTTATGTTAATAGTTTTCGCTGGGAAATGAAGCATTACAAACCCCTAAAAGAGTAAAATGTGTTATTGTTTAAGTGTACTTCTAAATCAAATTATCTCAAGTTAACCAAATTCATTGTAATACCAAGTCTCTTGCAGGTAACTTCATTTATCAGTGCCATGGATTTTCTTTTCCCAGAGCCAAATAATGATATGTCTGTGTTGGACTGTGATTGAATACTCAAAATTAAAACACAGTGACAGAATGGATTACTGAGATAGCAATTTCAATTCAAAAATTACTTAGCAAGCATTTCTTTTTTTTCTTTTACTGTTTGTAGTGAAAACAGTGTGTTTAAGTTTGTTTAGTGTGTTTGACAACAGACAGTTTGATATATTGCTGGGCACAGCGGTAGGTTGGACTTGAGTGGTATTAGCTCTCAGTGTTTTGATTAATGGTAATTGTTTCGATGAAAAGGCATGTTTTACGTACAACTCATATTTCTGGAAAACAGGAGTCAACTTGCAAGATCCATAATTACTATTCTGAGTTAGCATATAAAAGGGCAAGGAGAACCTGTTGGAGTGCACAGTAGGTTTTTTTGTTTTTTTTTTTTTTTTGCCTTTTGCTTTGTATTGTAGTTAGAGATGGTTCTTTATGTCAGAATATAAATCTTCTGTTATTTGTCTTCTGTTCAATATTTGAAGTTGATTTATGACACATTTCTGCATCCCATTATTTAGTTTGAATCCTGTACCAAGGTAAAATTTCACCAGTCTCTACAGTCAACTCTATAAAAGGAACCCAAAACAAATCTAGTGTGGGATAGAGTAAAGAACATTTTTAAAAAATTTATTTCTCTTCTTTTATTTTAAAAAATAATGTAGAAGGCAATTAGAAGGTTTATTTTAACACTTAGAGATTTCTGTTGCCTTTTAAAGTAAAACATTTGACATATCATTAATGTATGCAACCTAGGAAAAATAAAAGGTATTTTTTATTTGCAGAAAATAAAAAATGCATTTAAAGACTAAGTTTCTCTCAGCTTAGAAACTGTCAGAATAATGCCCCGATAACATCTTTTATTGTAATACATAGACCTACGTGAAATAGATGTATGTATACATATTTATACAAAGTGCATAATGCTCTGCATTAATCAGTAGGAATTGGCTTTAAATGTGTGTCCTTACATTTAGCATCAAGAAAGAATTTTTTCTTTTAGATTATCTGGGTTCATGGGGTGGCTGCTTCTCTGTATGTCTTAGGGTTTTTTGTGTGTGTGTGGTTTTTTTTTTTGACATGTTTCTCTTTAGGTTAGATGAAACGTTAGATGAAACGTTGTTTGAGGGTTTTTTTGGGGGGAAAAAAAAACGGATTCAGAAAAGGGTAGGAGAAAATGCCCTTACCATATTTAGCCAACTTTGTTTTAAGATGATGAGAAATTTTGTAGGTAGGAGGTAGTGCTAGGGAATCTCTTTTTTTTTTTTCCTTTCTTTTCTCTTGTTTTTTCTCCCTACTAAAGAAAAGAAGTAGGTAATGTAATAAAATGTAATCAGAATATTCTTTTTTTTAAATTATACTTTAAGTTGTGGGATAAATGTGCAGAACGTGCAGGTTTGTTACATAGGTATACATGTGCCATGGTGGTTTGCTGCACCCATCAACCATCATCTATATTAGGTATTTCTCCTAATGCTATCCCTCCCCTTGCTCCCCACCCGCTGAAAGGCCTTGGTGTATGATGTTCCCCTCCCTGTGCCCATATATTCTCATTGTTCAACTCCCACTTATGAGTGAGAACATGCGGTGTTTGGTTTTCTGTTCCTGTGTTAGTTTGCTGAGAATGATGGTTTCCAGCCTCATCCATGTCGCTGAAAAGGACATGAACTCATTCTTTTTTATGGCTGCATAGTATTCCGTGGTGTATATGTGCCACATTTCCTTATCCAGTCTAACATTGAAGGGCATTTGGGTTGGTTCCAAGTCTTTGCTATTGTGAACAGTGCTGCAGTAAACACACATGTGCATGTGTCTTTATAGTAGAATGATTTATAATCCTTTGGGTATATACCCAGTAATGGGATTGCTGAGTCAAATGCATGAACAGCAACCAGTTTGTGAAACCAAGGTTGAAATCAGTATTTGTACTACAAGTCTCCCTACTTTTATTTAAAGAAGCATAGAAATTTTGACTCTATTGAATAAATATTTACCCATGAAACTTAGTGTGATATTTTAAAATAATATTCCTTCCTAATTATAGCAGGATTTTAGGTTTATGTGAATATTAGAGCTTTGGCTTGAATATTAGAATGCATGTCTTGTATAACTTATATATAAGCCATCTTCTATAGTATTTGGGGATTGGGGATTGAGCAATTTGTGAAGCAGGAGCTTGTGGTGTTACTGCATGATTGTATCTGAAAGTAAATGATTCTGTTGTATAGCAGCCTGAATTGAAATGCTGTTTGTCAGGGTGTTTATTCCAAGCAAAATTAAAATTAATAAATGGTTGTCTAATGCACACCTAAGCCTTTGACACAAAAATAAATATAGTTAAAAAAATTTCCTCATAGTTAACTGTGTGCCACTGTGGCATCTTTTATTGAAAGGAACTTTATTTAAGTAGCATAAACTTGTTGGATGGGCTTTAATTAAATGATGATTTGTTAATGCAAATGTGTCGCGAATGACTGGTAGTACATCTGTCTCTTCATCCATAGGCCATTACTGAGCAACGTTAGCACATGATTGTAAAAAAGGAGAAATCATTACATGCAGGTAGTACACATTCAATCAATTCTGAGCTTATGTCTCTGGTGAAATAAAAAAGTATATAATGTAAATGATATTTAATCTGAATAACAAAAAAGCAGCTCTTTGACTCTGGCTCAAGCTGTTAGGTGAGGTGACTGCTGTTTGGGATTGATGTTTATTGGTGGCCCAGTGGGGAAAGGCTATCACTTTTATTCTTTGTCATTCCTCCCATGCGTTTCTCTAACCCACATCATATTTTAAGTTCTGTTTTCCTTTTTTTTCTTATCTATTTTTTTCTTTTCATTATTTCTTTCTTTTGGGGAGTAGTTTGTGGGATAGTGGTAAAAAATGGGTGCTGATGACCACCAGTGTGAGCATGCTAAGCAAGCAATGACAATTAATACAACAACAACAAAAGTTGTACGATTAGCTTCAGCTCCATAAGTGTCTAATGAGCCATTTGTCAGTCTTTTGGTGAAATAAACTACTCTATCTTAATTCTCCACTCTTGCAGTAAATAAATAAAAGTTATGAAACACCCGGGCAACAATAAAATATAATTTATTTCATAGGGCATGACAGAACTCTTTACATATCTAAAATGAACATGTTATTTACAAATGACTTGTGATACTCATATAAACCATGGATCTGTGTGTTAACTGCTTTCATTAGGGAGATATGCATTTTTTTCCTAATTGTTTAATCGTTTAAATGTATCATTACTCCTAAAGGCATGTGAGTTAAAGTGACTTCTCTTGGTGCGATTAACTCATAAGGCTAAGAAGAACCTCAGAAATGAGCTCTTCTGCAGCTGAAGACATTAAGAATTTAATGGAAAGGACAAAACAATAATTTTCATTTGGGAACCTCTCAGCTCTCTGCTGATTATCTTCCTGCCCTTATTTATTTTTAGGAACCCCAACCTCTAAAAAGTTTTTAAGCATTGCTATACATCAGTCAAACAGAACAATGTTGTAAGCTTCTTGTACTTGTATTTCGTACTAGGTAGAAAGTTACAATCACCATACTGATTTAAAATGCATGGGAAATGAGAAGTATCACTCAAATGAAAGCCCAGATATTTAAAAAGTAGTAATTAGTTATTTTAAACAGAAAAATCATACACACAACTGGTTTTCAGAATAATGTATACCAGTGATTCTCAAGTGTCATCCCAGAACCAGCAGCACCAGCCATCACCTGAGAGCTTGTCAGAAATTCAGACTCTTCAGTCCCACCCACCTACTTAACCAGAAAGTGTTAGAGGCGACTAAGAATCTATGTTTTAACATGCCCTGAAAGTGATTCTGATGTACAGTAAAGTTTGTGAACCACTGATATATACTGATAGACTAATTGAAGCAAAAATAAAACATTGTGGGACATTTATTAATTCCTCATGTATGTATAGAATCCCAAAGAAAGCAAGTGGATTTCTTTCAGTTTTGGATAATTTCCATCAGATGCCATTAATCTCATTTTCAACTCCACCTATTTGAGTTTCTGCTACTTTTCCCCATTTCTTTTTCTCAGTTTTAATACACCTTTTTCTCTACCCGTTTTGCAAGGTAATGATAGAATTTGTAGTTAAATTCCATGTTACTCAGCCTGTGATTGTCTATTCCTAATAACCAAATATCTCAGTCTAGAATTTAGAGATTCTAGTGTTTGGTGGTATTTTGTTTCAGTTTCAATTTCAAATTTATTTCAAAGCTATTCATAAAAAATACACTTAGAATGAAGAGAACAGGTTTCTTCTGGTGCCATCCAGGTGAATCTTTGATGAAGTAGGCAGGTATCTCTGGTAGGAATGGGTCATATACTCCACAACGGCTAATAAAGGATTATTAGAATTTAGTGCGTTTTGCCTGCAGCCTTTATGATTAACTACTGTGGCCAGTAGATTGACCCCATGAATGAAATTGAGTCTAAAGTGGAAAGTGGCAAGAGAAATCAGAAAAAAAGACAGCCAAGAAGAATTGTATGAGAGGTAAATTAAAGCCAGTGATAATTATAGCCAGTTTTGTTTAAAAGGCATTTCTTCATCCCTTACTACTCAGAGTGTAGTGCGAGGACCAGCAACACTGCGTCACCTGCAAACTTGGTGGAAATGCAGAACCCCAGGTCCCATATCAGGGTAGCCCACTGACAATTCGCATTTTACCAAGATGCCCAGGAGATTTGCATATACACTAAAAATGGAGAATCGCTTGCTTAATATATTAGCAGGCAGTGGATTTGGTCAAAGATTGATAGTGAAGGCATTTATTAAAGCAATGTTGTACTTTTACATGAAGAATTCCATGGGGCTGTGATAGTTCCAAGGTGATTTTCAGCAAATACACAATGCTATTGCAATTATAGGAGAAATTATTTGTCCAATTTAACTTATTTTGGAATAAATTAATTATGGAACTATTAAATGTGATGAATGATCTTTAAATTTTACTTGTCTCTTCCCAAGAATTTAAAGTCCAAGATGATATTGTAAGTATGAGGTGGGGGGGCTCCATCTAATGGACGACTTTTTATGTTGTAGAGACAGGGTCTCGCTCTGTCACCCAGGCTGGAGTGCAGTGATGTGATCGTAGCTCACTGCAGCCTCCAGCTCCTGGACTCAAGGGATCCTCCCACGTCAGCTTCCCAAGTAGCAAGAATTACAGGGATGTGTCTCCACACCTGACTAATTTTTTTGTTGTTGTTTTTTAGAGATGAGGTCTTGCTGTGTTGCCCAGGCTGATCTCAAGCCCTTGGGCTCAAGTGATTCTCCCACCTAAGTGTTAGGATTACAGACATGAGCCTCTACTCTTGTCCCAAGGGATAATTTAGATTTAAATCTAAACTCAAAAAATTCCGAGCTCAGACTTTCTTTGATTTTTTTTTTTAAGTGATAGAAAGTGTAGGGATTTTTATATTTTTACAACTCAGTTGCTTCATCTCAGGAAATTAAGAAAGTGAGGCATGTTTATTATTACTCTTCCCTCCTGCTATGTCAGAAAAAAAATTTAGGCTTATGATTTTAGGTAACTTGTCAATAATTTTTTTTAATTTAATTTGTACCTGAGAAAAATTGCTATAGTTAGTTCTCAATTATCTATATTGAGAGGAAACAAGAACAGTTTTAAAGGTGACTACTGAAATAAGTGACTGTGTCATGAGGAGCATTTCAAAAGACTAGATTATTTTGAATTAAGACAGACTAAACCAAATTTACTTAAATATATATAGTCATTAAACAAGTGGTTTCAGGTGCTTGATATCAGATGCCCTCATAGCATCACTATGAGTTAGACAAAAACGAATACTGTTCCCTGAGACATCAAGAAGCTGAGTAACATATCCAATTCACATAGTTGGTACTTGAAGGATCTACATCCAAAACCTTATCTCTGACTCCTGGGCCAAGTACCACCCTCTTGAAAAGCAATCTGTGTAAACCAAAGAAACAAAACTTTAGGTTGTAAAACATACATGTAAAAGTATATAATTTAAATAAAGGTAAATTTTAATTGGTGTTGAATTACATACAATGTCAGCTAACACAGTAATTGGCAAGCCATTCTGTAGAACACAATAGAAAGTCCATATATTCAAGTATATTATACAAATTAGCTTATACTAATAGTGAACACCTATTGAATCTGGTCTCCATGCTTATGTGTGTTAATATTATAAAGGTGACTTCAAATTTGTATAGAAGGATAGAATATTCAGTAAATAGTGTTGACATAATTTATTATCTATTTGGGACAATGGATAATAAATCTGTTATGCATACCCCACTCCATATGCTGAAATTAATTCCATATAATGTAAGAATTAAACGTGAAAGGAAACTGCTTTAAAAAGCTAGGAAAAATGTAGCTATATATTAATGTATTCTTGGGTATGGCTGGACCTTTCTATGTATGATTTCAATGCAAGAAACCCATTAAGGAGATGTTGATGGGTTTTACTGAATAAAAATGTTCAATATATCATGGGAAACCATTATCAATTGAAGGACAGTACATTAGGAAAAATGTTTACAAGTATATGGCAAAGCATTAATATCCTTAATATATTAAAATTTCTTACAAATAAATAGGAAAAGGATTAGTAACTGAATAGAAAAATGGGCAGGTGGTACAGACAGTTTTAGATGTATGTGTATGTATATGCCCATAAGCATTTGAAAAAAAATTAACTTTGTAATCAAAACCATGCTAATTAAAGCAAGGGTATGTCATATTTGCTTATTAGGTTAGCAAAGGTGAAGCCAAAATAATTCAGTGTACCCCATATTTGGAAGGTTTCATGGAAAGGATCAATTTCACAGTTTGTTTCAAAATTCATAAAGCTATGTATAAACTTTACCATCCAATTGTATTATTGGGATTTATTAAAACCATATAATTAATGATCTACAGAGTTTTTGCTTTAAAGATTTTTTGGCAATAGTATTATACTGAAAAATTCTTTTATTATTATTATTATACTTTAAGTTTTAGGGTACATGTGCACAATGTGCAGGTTAGTTACATATGTATACATGTGCCATGCTGGTGTGCTGCACCCATTAACTCGTCATTTAGCATTAGGTATATCTCCTAATGCTATCCCTCCCCCCTCTCCCCACCCCACAACAGTCCCCAGAGTGTGATGTTCCCCTTCCTGTGTCCATGTGTTCTCATTGTTCAATTCCATCTATGAGTGAGAATATGGGGTGTTTGGTATTTTGTCCTTGCGATAGTTTGCTGAGAATGATGATTTCCAATTTCATCCCCGTCCCTACGAAGGACATGAACTCATCATTTTTTATGGCTGCATAGTATTCCATGGTGTATATGTGCCACATTTTCTTAATCCAGTCTATCATTGTTGGACATTTGGGTTGGTTCCAAGTCTTTGCTATTGTGAATAGTGCCGCAATAAACATACGTGTGCATGTGTCTTTATAGCAGCATGATTTATAGTCCTTTGGGTATATACTCAGTAATGGGATGGCTGGGTCAAATAGTATTTCTAGTTCTAGATCCCTGAGGAATCGCCACACTGACTTCCACAATGGTTGAACTAGTTTACCGTCCCACCAACAGTGTAAAAGTGTTCCTATTTCTCCACATACTCTCCAGCACCTGTTGTTTCCTGACTTTTTAATGATTGCCATTCTAACTGGTGTGAGATGGTATCTCATTGTGGTTTTAATTTGCATTTCTCTGATGGCCAGTGATGATGAGCATTTTTTCATGTGTCTTTTGGCTGCATAAATGTCTTCTTTTGGAAAGTGTCTGTTCATATCCTTTGCCCACTTATTGATGGGGTTGTTTGTTTTTTTCTTGTAAATTTGTTTGAGTTCATTGTAGATTCTGGATATTAGCCCTTTGTCAGATGAGTAGGTTGCAAAAATTTTCTCCCATTTTGTAGGTTGCCTGTTCACTCTGATGGTAGTTTCTTTTGCTGTGCAGAAGCTCTTTAGTTTAAATAGATCCCATTTGTCAATTTTGGCTTTTGTTGCCATTGCTTTTGGTGTTTTAGACATGAAGTCCTTGCCCATGCCTATGTCCTGTGAATGGTAATGCCTAGGTTTTCTTCTAGGGTTTTTATGGTTTTAGGTCTAACGTTTAAGTCTTTAATCCATCTTGAATTAATTTTTGTATAAGGTGTAAGGAAGGGATCCAGTTTCAGCTTTCTACATATGGCTAGCCAGTTTTCCCAGCACCATTTATTAAATAGAGAATCCTTTCTCCATTGCTTGTTTTTCTCAGGTTTGTCAAAGATCAGATAGTTGTAGATATGTGGCGTTATTTCTGAGGGCTCTGTTCTGTTCCATTGATCTATATCTCTGTTTTGGTACCAGTACCATGCTGCTTTGGTTACTGTAGCCTTGTAGTATAGTTTGAAGTCAGGTAGCATGATGCCTCCAGCTTCGTTCTTTTGGCTTAGGATTGACTTGGCGATGCGGGCTCTTTTTTGGTACCATATGAACTTTAAAGTAGTTTTTTCCAATTCTGTGAAGAAAGTCATTGGTAGCTTGATGGGGATGGCATTGAATCTATAAATTACCTTGGGCAGTATGGCCATTTTCACAATATTGATTCTTCCTACCCATGAGCATGGAATGTTCTTCCATTTGTTTGTATCCTCTTTTATTTCATTGAGCAGTGGTTTGTAGTTCTCCTTGAAGAGATCCTTCACATCCCTTGTAAGTGGGATTCCTCAGTATTTTATTCTCTTTGAAGCAATTGTGAATGGGAGTTCACTCATGATTTGGCTCTCTGTTTGTCTGTTGTTGGTGTATAAGAATGCTTGTGATTTTTGTACATTGATTTTGTATCCTGAGACTTTGCTGAAGTTGCTTATCAGCTTAAGGAGATTTTGGGCTGAGACAATCGGGTTTTCTAGATAATACAATCATGTCGTCTGCAAACAGGGACAATTTGGGAAATTTATAGCACTAAATGCCCACAAGAGAAAGCAGGAAAGATCCAAAATTGACACCCTAACATCACAATTAAAAGAACTAGAAAAGCAAGAGCAAACATTCAAAAGCTAGCAGAAGGCAAGAAATAACTAAAATCAGAGCAGAACTGAAGGAAATAGAGACAAAAAAAACCCTTCAAAAAATTAATGAATCCAGGAGCTGGTTTTTTGAAAGGATCAACAAAATTGATAGACCGCTAGCAAGACTAATAAAGAAGAAAAGAGAGAAGAATCAAATAGACACAATAAAAAATGATAAAGGGGATATCACCACCGATCCCACAGAAATACAACCTACCATCAGAGAATACTACCAACACCTCTACGCAAATAAACTAGAAAATCTAGAAGAAATGGATAAATTCCTCAACACATACACTCTCCCAAGACTAAACCAGGAAGAAGTTGAATCTCTGAATAGACCAGTAACAGGATCTGAAATTGTGGCAATAATCAATAGCTTACCAACCAAAAAGAGTCCAGGACCAGATGGATTCACAGCCGAATTCTACCAGAGGTACAAGGAGGAACTGGTACCATTCCTTCTGAAACTATTCCAATCAATAGAAAATGAGGGAATCCTCCCTAACTTATTTTATGAGGCCAGCATCATCCTGATACCAAAGCCGGGCAGAGACACAACCAAAAAAGAGAATTTTAGACCAATATCTTTGATGAACATTGATGCGAAAATCCTCAATAAAATACTGGCAAACCGAATCCAGCAGCACATCAAAAAGCTTATCCACCATGATCAAGTGGGCTTCATCCCTGGGATGCAAGGCTGGTTCAATATACGCAAATCAATAAATGTAATACAGCATATAAACAGAACCAAAGACAAAAACCACATGATTATCTCAATAGATGCAGAAAAGGCCTTTGACAAAATTCAACAACGCTTCATGCTAAAAACTCTCAATAAATTAGGTATTGATGGGACGTATCTCCAAATAATAAGAGCTATCTATGACAAACCCACAGCCAATATCATACTGAATGGGCAAAAACTGGAAGCATTCCCTTTGAAAACTGGCACAAGACAGGGATGCCCTCTCTCACCACTCCTATTCAACATAGTGTTGGAAGTTCTGGCCAGGGCAATTAGGCAGGAGAAGGAAATAGAGGATACACTGAAAAATTCTATAAATTTAAATGCCTAAAAATAGAGGAATAATTTAATAGGTAATAGTATATACATATAAGGGAAAAGTATACATTCACTTTAAATGACTCTTCAGTGGTTAATATTTGTTGACATAGAAAAAAGATTATAATATGCGTGTTATGGTCATATTTTTATTATAAAGTAAATTTGTTTATATATTATATGTGCATAAAAATAAAATTGGAAAAGCATAATCCAAAATAATTTCTGGGCAATGAGATTAGGGGTATCTTTTTTTCTTCCTTTTGCTTATGCTTTTGTTTGCTAGCTTTCCTGAGACATATACAGATTGCTTTTGGAATAAGGAAAAATTTATTTTAATAGTCAGCCTTGACATTAGCTAATATGTAAAAGAGTATGTGTAACCAATTTAAGTTGTAGATTAAATATTTTCCTTTAATTTGGTACCTATTACATACTGTACTAACTAGAAATACAGCTCAAGGAGTTCATCTTGGTGTGTAGAAGAAATTAGCCCTGTAAATAAGAGGCATGTGATTCTGAAATAAGAGGCATGTGTAGCAATGGAGTGGACATATGTCAGAATAAGAATGGTCATCTGTGCTTCTTGATAATCAGGAAGTGGTTCAAGCAAGAAGAGATTATTGAGCAAGGTTTTGAAAAAGTTCTCCAAATGTATGTAAGAAGGCAGAGCATTCCTGACAAGTATTAAATGACTCTGTAGTCTACAATTAGGATAGACTAAAATGTGACCTGCATATGAGGAAGTGACAAAGATAAGTCTCAGCAGATAGTCAGGATTTTAGATGCCACACAAAGGCATTCATTAGGTGAGCAGTGTGGGACAGAATTGGTCATATTTATATCTTAGAAAGATATCTGTGGCAGCAGAATGGCCCTAAATAAGATGGCAGCAGGGAGACTAGTTAGAAAGCTGATGGAGCATCTATTAAGAAATGATAAGGTCAATAGCAGTGGAGTTGGAGTGGGGAAGATAACTACAAGTAGGCAGCGAATGCTGTATTGGGGATGGGAAGAGGGAGGCCTTAAGGACTAGGAGTAATTACTACTATGGAAGAAGATAAAAGTTGGGGTGGGAGAGAGGTAAAATGATGAGTTCTGTGTCAGAAGAATTAAGTTTGAGTGTATTGTTAATTCATACTGCAATTTTTAGCTTGAATATTTGTTTTGCAGTTATTTTTAATGTTCTATTAATGTATTCCCAGCTACTTCTCATCATTTAAATGTAGTAGTCTAAAAGTGTTACTATATTTAAATGTCATTTATTAGAAGGTAATATAGAACGGTGATTAAGAATATGAGTCAGCCTCCCAAGAATTGAATCCCAACTCTACTCCTTACTCTGTGTGACCTGATAAAAGTAACTGGCATCTCCAGGCTGCAGTTTCTCATCTACAAGATGAGGGAAATACCTTTTAAGAATTCAGATTTTAGGCCAGGCGCGGTACCTCACGCCTGTAATCCCAGGACTTTGGGAGGCCGAGGTGGGTGGATCATGAGGTCAGGAGATCGAGACCATCCTGGCTAACACAGTGAAACCCCGTCTCTACTAAAAATACAAAAAATTAGCCGGGCGTGGTGGCGGCCGCCTGTAGTCCCAGCTACTCGGGAGGCTGAGGCCGGAGAATGGCGTGAACCCAGGAGGCAGAGCTTGCAGTGAGCGGAGATCATGCCACTGCACTCCAGCCTGGGCGACAGAGCGAGACTCCATCTCAAAAAAAAAAGAATTCAGAATTTAATAAAGAGCTACATGTAAAGTGCTCAACATAGTAATCACTCAAATAAGTATTAGCCATTGTTATTTAGTATAGCAAGACAGATTGTTTTATAGGAAAATATAGTTTTATAATATGCAGAAAATATTTACTTGCATATTTTTCTAAAAATAAAATTATCACAGTAGAGTCATTATGCAAAATTGAGGGACTTCTGTAAATATTAATGTGACATTTTCAGAACGTTGTAAGTTGCAGAAGCCAGTGCCTGTTGTTCAGAAGTTTATCTACAGTGAGATGACCCAGTGGTGACTAAGAAAGTACCAGAGACATGGGTTACTGATAGAAGATTTCTAGATACCGCTACTATACACACAGCTGTACTTATTTTATAAATGTATGTGAATAGATAAAATTCTTTAGATCCCTGCAAGGAAGCTAGTCCTCCCCACCCCATCATTGACTCTAGACTTCATTATGGTGACATGTCCCTCTTAATAATCCCTCTGCTCTTTCAGCTGCCCTTGGAAGAATTTGGAAACTCCAAGGGACAACACTTGTAAGTCAGTTTCCTAACATGAAACAATAAATACTTTTGTTAAGTTACAGTGACAACCCATGGCTATATTTTCTATTTGTCAGACATGTACTTCCTTCATAAGGCTACTCTAAATCAGGTATTGATATAGTACAGAGGCCAGTGAAATCTTACATCTCACTCAGAGGCCCTGTATGTGCCCAGCCCCTCAGCCATGGCTGCACCCCAGCACTGCTGTTGCCACCTCCCTGCCTGTGGTAGTAGCTGGAATTATATGTGAGCCTACTTCATTGGGGATTTCAAACTCCTGATTGTCTGAAGGCCGACCCCACTGGCCCAATGTGGTTATACCTCAGGAACATAGACCACTTTTTTATTGTCTCTCCTTGTGAACTTCTCAAACTGAACATTTGCAGGCAAGACCTGGGTAACTGCTTATCCCTTCATGTTGTGACCCATTCCCAGTATAGAGGGGACCCAAACATGAAATGGAAACACAGAACTCTTGCTATCTCCCTCTTGTGTTACTTTACCCCCCAGTACCCGTCACTTCCATCTGGGGAGCTCTGAGCTGCCTTAAGGGTTTGTAAACACAGTGGGAACTGTTTACCATTCTTCTAGCTTCTAAGAAAAACTGGCAAATTTGCCTACTGCTAGCAACTATATCAAAGCTTTATCTTATAAAAATTAATTAATTAGCTAATTAATTAAGCAAACATATACTGCTATATTTCTCACATTAACATTAATTCCATTTCAAAATGTAAACTTTGTTTTTCTTAATTGAGCTTTTTAATCTTCTACTGCAAGGTATGTGTTTGCCCTAGCATTAATTTTAGAAACTGACCAATGTCTTTACTTCTCTTTTTCCTTAAAATGAACTCCTCACTAATAATTAAAAGGATTATCTTCTCAACTTTCCTGAGTAAATTCACTGCAAATGTCATGCAAAAATACTGTAGGCAGTAAATTTTTTGCTATATGGCATGTGTGTGTACATATGTACACATATATCCTTTCTAATGCTGTATTTATAGATTTCTATATATCAGTATACGAAAATTAGTTTCTCTTAATTACTGACCATGGGAATATGTGGGGAAATATAGATAACCAGCTATTACTGGTCAAGTAAAATTTCTTCAGTTAGTTTGTTTAAACACACATGTCACTGAGTGGTTTTTCAGAGAAAGATTAGCTTGATGGGTCATCAGATAAGTTATTTGACATTTGTCCCCAGTCAGACCGGATGCCACGTGAAAAATTTACTCAGGCAAAAGGCTCCTAGGAATAAACAGTTCTCTAGTGTTGCTCACAGGGGACTTGGCAAGGTGAGCGGAACTTCAACTTGTCACGGATGCACTGTTCTGACAAACATAAGTAGATGCTAATGGCTAAATCGTGACAGAATAAAGTCCCACAACCATATGGCTAATTGCCACAACAATATCTTCAGTGTTATTAATCAAGTTTTCATAGTGTGCCATGATAATTGGAATAATTAGAAACAGCATAGGCATTGCTTGTCTTTACCACACGTTTTGCAGACAGGGACCTCAGACAACCACAATTGCACTTTCAGTACTGTGTTGTTTAATGCTATCTTTTCTTCAAAAATAATTTGGCTGATTAATGAATTAACTGCTTGCCACCAGTGTATTTTGTGCTAACTTCTGTAGAAGCAGGAATATCTAAATGAGACCATCAAACCCTCTGTGAATCTGTTTAAATAGGCAGTATTCCTTTAAGGCAGGGATAGAAATCTGCCCATCTTGGATCTTATAGTTTGAAAGATGAATTCATTGTATACTAATTTAGATGATGGACATTCATTTTTTGGTCATATACTTCCCCTTTTAGCTAATTTAGTTAAGAAAATGAGGAATTAGAAAGCAATTAAATAAATTACAAGACGTAAGTATGTGCATAATTTGTTTCAGGCTGGTACTACATACTAGTGTTCCCAAAATGAATTATTTTGAACATGTCTTTCAATTATGAATGAAGTAAATATTACCACTTTAATATCACAGTTGAAACTTATTTTCGTGTTGCTAATGATAAAATATACTCATCTCCATATCTATTCTTTCACCTTAGTAGTGAAATGAGAATTTATTTGTGCTTGGCACAGTGTTCTAATGAAGAGGGTTTCTTGGGCTGCTTTGTTTTGTGAGGAGGTGGCCAGTGAGGAAAGAGAAGATTGATGATAGCCAGCACCTTGGAGGTACGGAGTACTCAGGCAAACAGATGAAGGGAAGTAGCTGCTGGAGGTGTCCGTTGTTAAACAGCTTCTATAATTATTTTTCAGTATATAAGTAGTCATAGTTTTGAATTCCATGCCATCTCAATTCTTGTTTTCTCTGCGCTTTTCTGTCCTATTGCATTCCTTAACTAAAGACGGGTCATCTTACATGGTTCTAAAGTTTTAAATTCATTGGCATCTTCAGTTAAAAAGCATCCCCAAAATTCTCAGAATAAAAATAACTAATTACAAATACTATTTTATTAAAACTTTAGGATTCCCTAAACAACAAATTATTGCTTCAGTGACCCCTGAACTCTGCAAAATTTAAAATCACCGTGTTATTCAGTTTGTTTTATTTAATTGAGTCTTCTTTGTTTCCTCTCTTCTTTGGCCTCTCTGTGGATAGCAGTGAGAGGCAGAGAGTAGAGATTATATTGGGAAAATTCAAAATTGGCAATAAGAAAGCAAGAAAATTCAATTATTTCATTTAGTCAGCTTAATTAATTGATAATTATTTATTCACTCAGGATAAAATGATTTAGGCTTTCTACTTTCTCCACTTTCTTTTTACTATTCATTAGGTAGAGGCCAGACAGTGGGAAAAAATCAAACTATCCATTTTGGTACTCGTTAACAGTTATTGTAAAAATATGGCGTAGAGGAATATTTTAAACCAATAACTCACATGAGCTTTGGATTATATAGAGATGTTATTTATTCATGTTCTGCTTTAAAGAAAATAAAATTGTGTTCTTTATTTAAACTTCAGGTTTATCTTTTGTCTTAATTAGGATGCTTTTGATTACAAGCTTCAGAATATCTTGCCTCAAACTAGCTGAAGTCTGGAGGTACTGTGACACAAGAGGCTCAATTAAGGATCCAAGATTTTCGCCATATTTCCGCTGTGTTAACTTCATCATCAGTTTCTTAAGACATACTCTCTTGTAATCACAAAGTGATTGACAATGATTTTGGAGCTATAGGCTTTCTTGTTCTAGCCAAACTGGTGAGACAGAATAAAACCGTTCACCAAGTACAACGTAACAGAGTTTCTTTTAGTCCAATTGGGCCAAATGACATCACGTGCCTACCCCAGACCTAGATAGTTTCTACTGTTTGCCTTAAACTAATTGGTGTCTACCTTTAGAGCAGTAATTCTTAAGATGTGGTCCCTGGACCAGCAATTTTAGAATCCCTTGGGAGCTCATTAGAAATATAAATTATCAGGCACCACCCCAGACTCACTAAATCAGAAACTCTGTGGGTAGGGCCCAGTTATCTTAAAAAAAAAAAAAAAAAAAAAACCTCTCAGATAATTTTGGTGCAAGCTATGTTTGAGAACCACTGACCTCCAGAGCAGAATGCCATTGACTTTTTTCGAATAATGCTGGGGACATATACATAGATTAACTACATGTAGTTAGTTTAGGAAGGAATAATAAAGCCAGAATGGATTCTTAGTAGGCAATCACCCTCTCTATACTTTAAAATTAAAATGATTAACTATATCTTCTCTTGTGCAAAGTTGTTTTTATATGATGCATTGCACATCATTTGTCATGAAACTCAAACATACCAAATTTCTTTCTTGTGAAGTCAAATGTGGAAGACAGTACTATTTATTCACCTAATATCATCGACGCTTTCTTCTTTACTAAAATAGATTTGGAGTTTTTTGGGTTGTGTTTTTGTTTTGGATTTTTATCTTTTTTTTTTTCAGTGATGCTACATTTAGCTTCAGGATTACACTGTGACACAATTAGGGCCAATTATATTTAATTCCAGGTTGCTGGGGATTTATGTCAAACATTTACTTTCTTGACGTGGGTGCCACCCTTTCCTCTTTATCATTTTCTCTTTCTTTCTTATGATGGCTGGAGATGTAGCAGCCATTTTACAACTTTGAATGAATGCCAAAGAGAGTTGCAGAGACCTCAGCCGTGACCTATTTTAGCTGCAGAACCAAAAGCCAGCAGTCACATACTTCAGACTTCTGCTTGATTACAGGAAACAAAATAAACTTTATATGTAAGATACCGTTTAGTTGTTTTCTTATTTGCAGCCAAATGCAATCCCAGTTAAATAACATGGAGTAATTGTTTTCATAAATGGAGAAACATGCAGCTTTCCAGTTTCTACATTCTTCCCTTTGTTTTCTAGGCCATATTTTTTGCTAGTCTAAAATATTACAAGGTATATGGCATAGTGTTTAGCTCACATGCTGTAGGCTTGCATCCTCTTTTCCATATCTTACTAGCTATCTTTGGCTTCTCTGGCCCACAGTTTTCTCAAATCTAAAATTAATAAAATTTTAATGTTATTGTTTTAATAATAATATACTAGGGGATTAAATATGTCACTAGACGTACACTGTTAGCCCCATTCCTTATACATTGTAAACCCTGAGAAATGGTGGCTATATGCATTGAAATTCAGTGAGAATGAAAGTGATCTAATAGTGGTCAGCAGCATAGGAAGAAAGTCATAGAAAACAAGGAAAGAAGCCAGCATGAGCTTTATTTTGTTGCAATACTTATTTGGGCACTATAAAACTCATAGCAGCTCACTGTGCCAACATAAGACCTCCAGTAATTATGAATATATACTTTGTCTCTTCTGTCTAGATGACACCTCAACTTTAAGGGAATTCATCACTTGAATTCTCAAGCATAATAGCTGAAACCCCCCCTGAGTAATTTGATATTCTGTAAAATTCAAGTTGGATTCTATATAGACTCCTTAAAACGTAGATCATTGTTTCGATTCTTAACTTTAGAAGGGAGGAACCATGCCTATTTAGTTTGTGTTCTACAATCTTTAAAGCAGATTAAGTGTACAAGTCGGTATTAATGATACTTTTTGTGGATAAAAAGTAAAGCAATTATCACCAAGGAAATTTTTTAAATGTTTTTTAGTCTGGATGTTGTGGTTCTGCTGAGTGGAGTCAGAGATGGGTCTTTCTCCTTATGGTGTGGAGTCACTGATTGCACTGCTGCTTTGACCACCAGAAAGATCTAGAAAGATAGGAGATGATTTAGGGCAAAAGCTCCCAGCATTATGGAAGTAGCAATGCAAAGGTGTCACCTATAAAATATACATATTGTGATCTGCACATTTATGTATCCTGTTAATAATAATTATCTGTACTCCAAAGTAACAGCCACTTGATTCTTACCTTTTATTTTTTGACAGAGAAAAACTTACCAAGTGCTCCATCTTAAGACTTCCCCTGTTAGTTAGGGTCAGATAAGACCATAACTTGTTAAGATATGTTTAGTAATACCAATCCATTAAAATAATCAAATTAATATTTGCCATTTTCAAGAAGCTCTTATAAGAAGTAATTGCTTTTCTTACCTTTGGGTATAATATAACCAGATTTTAAGGCTTAGGCCAAATTTAAATCTCTGTCATCTTATTTTGATTAAAAGGGTACATGGACAATTTATTTTATACAGATTTTAGTATTATTTCTAAGCTGATTGGCTTATCTGTGCCTTATCTGTAGATTTTCCCCCCAAAATTGAGTATAATGTTTAATATGCAGAGTCAGAAAGTCAGATTACTTTGGAAAGAATTAAAAAGTTCTCAACTGCAATTACCTTGCTGAATCCTTTTGATACAATTCTGTGGAAATATGAAAACGGCTTATCCAGAAATTATATCTAAAGTTGACTTACCAGTATTTTAATATTTAGATTTAACTAGGTCTTGAAGTGAAAGACTAGATCCCACAATCCTTAGAATGAGAAAGGTGTATTTGCCCTTAACAATGAGATTATATTTAAGAAGAGTTAGGCTTTCTTTGAAGGCATCATTAAGAAGCAGAAAAAGTCTTCAGTTTTCTGGTCAGGTAGTCCTACCTAGGTTTTAATCCTGACCCCACCATTTTCATAGCTCTGTAATGTTGGTCAAGTTACTTAGCCATCTTTGCACTGCAACTGCTTCGTCTATAAAATGGGGACATAATAATTAACTCCCAGAATTTATAAGTGTAAAAGAAAATGTCTTACATAAAATATCCACAGCAAGTATGTTCATTTAATGTAGTTACCTTAGGAATCAGCAGAGTCTGTATATACATAGTCTGATAATTAACATCAATTTGAATTTCTAAAGATGATTTAGATGATAGGTAGAAAAGATTCCTCTATCCTTCAGGTGGCTCATAAAGTCAGTATTCTTTATGAAACAGGTAGTATCTGTCTCTACTCTGCAGTTATTCCTTGACATCCTTACCTCAAGCTACTCACTCTCACGGTCATATTTCCAGCGACCACACCACCTCAAGAGCCTTCATTTTAAGCATGCTACTCTCTGACTTGTCACCTTAATCCTTTCAGTCTTATCTCCAACCCCTGCTTGACTTCCAATTCATTTACCCCACTGCTTTTTCATTATCATTTACTCCACTAATGTCCTCATTTCCCCAACTTGTTCCATGCTTTATCATTTTAATTACTCCTTTGAATTTATCCCCTCAAAACCCTTGCCCATTCTCCCTGTTACTTGCTTAGAAAAACCCAAACCCTACTCATGCTTGTAAGTGAACAGCCAAAAGTAACAGGAGAAAAATATAACCATGCTTACTGAACTCACTTTCTCTAGCTTCTAATGGACCTTAGCACTGTCTAGCAACCCTACTATATTTCCTGACTTCTTAAACATCTAACACTTCTCTCCAAACAATGCCCTTCCTCACTTGGTCCCCTTCCATCATGCTATGCCCTTGCTGCTTGTTTCACTGAGAATAGAACTTCCTCAGTATTCCCACAAGCAGACCTTACAGCTTCCTGCATCTCTCTGCTCCCTTCCAAGACTGACCCTTATCCCTCTGCTTAAGCATTGGATCTTGCTATTTCCTACTCAAAAGAATTTGTTCCTGCAGTTATATCCGTTTCTTATTACATAATTTTCTCATCTCTATTGTATTTTTAATTGTATTAAACATTTAATTTATTGGTTATTTTGGGGAATTGGATGCATCAACACTGTATTACAGCTGAGCCACTAATCTTATAGTTTTATTAACCATCATTAACTGGTTTGTTCTCATGATGCTGCTGAGGAATCAGCTGTTTCTGCAGAGGTTCAAGGGAAAGGCCTTTTGAGAAATGAGCAAGTTTTTTTCTGTATATGTATAAAAACTTTATTCACTCTGCTAACTTTTTCAGTGTTTAAATTGTTTACAAGATTAGTGGTAATTGGTTTTGCTTTGTTTTGAACCCTAAAGTTTTTTTAACTGGATATATGAAATACATTGCTGGACTTCTTCCCTCTTCGATACCATTGACTTGGCCATTGACTTCGATACCCTTACGCAGCAGCTCCAGCACTATGTGACACCACCCACCCCTGTACTGTATTATTTGTAGCATATGAACATGCTATGATTTATCTCATCTGAAGGAATAAGAAACACATGTTAAAACACCCCAACTTGACCACACATCCCCCTCCAGCTATTTTCCATTTCTTACCACCCTTTAGAGCAAAACTCTCTACAAGAAGAGTAGAGGGACAGCAAAATTTCCAATTCTTCAACTTCCACTCTCTCTTAAATCCACCACTCTCGGCCTGTCATCCCCCAGCACCTTGCCCCACTCCACCTAACCACATTCATTCCATGTTACTATATGCAGTTATCAATTTTTATTTCATTACTCAGCCTTTTATCTTTGAAACCATTGATTTCTTCCTCTTTTGTGATATATTCTTTCTACTTCATTTCCTGAATTACCCCCCTTCTAATTTTCCCCCTACTTCCACTGGCTGTTTCTTCTCAATCTCCTTTATTAATTCATTTTTCTCTTCCTGGCTCCTAAATGTTGGCATGTCCCAGGACTCAGTTCTCAGACCTTTTCTTTTCTCTGTTTCCCTAAGTGATCTTACATAGGCCTGTGGCTTTTTAGTATAATCTCCAAGTCCATGAGTCTCAAAGGTATATCTCTACCTGTGCTTCTCTGAGATCTAAAGTCACATATCCAACTGCCTAATTATGACTTGCAGATCCGCAAGATTGTGCTGACTTAAAATGGCCAAAACTGCATTATTGATTTTCTCCTAAAAACTGCTGTTTCCCGTCTTCTCCCATCTGTAAATAAAATGACACCAGCATCCACTTACTTGCCCACCTGAAACTTAGGAATCATCTGGATTCCTTTATTTCCCTTTCATCTCCTGTAAATTAACAAATCACATTGGCCGTATCTTCAAAATATATCCAGAATACCCCCACTTGTTACCAGTTCCACCAGGCCACTTCACTCTTCTGTAGGCCTATCTCTTATCGGAACTATTACAGATGCCCCCGACTGGTCTTCCTGTTTTCATCCTAGTCTCCTTACAGTCTGTTCTCCACACAGCAGCAAAATTGGCCCATTTAAAATAGAAATAGAATTATAACAGTTTCTTGCTCAAACCCTCCAAGAGCATCCCATAGCACTTGTAACAGTATCCAAAAATCCTTCTTTGCTATGGCCTATAAGGCCCTACATGGGCCCTGGCCACCTCTCCAACCTCATTTTCCAAACCCGTGCCTAGTCACACTGGTCTTTGATGTTCCTCAAACACGTCAAGCTGTTCCTGCCATGGAGCCTTTGTACATGCTGTCTCCTTCTTTAACATCTCTATCCACCCATGCCAAGATGTTCCCATGGCTTGTTCCCTCACTTTGTTTATGATTCACTATCCCCTTACCTATTTTATTTTTCTTAATAGCATTTATGATTTATTAAGTACTTCTTTATTAACATTCTGGCTCCTCCACTACAATATAAGCTCCAGGAAGGCAGAGACTTTATTTTGTTCATTGCTGTGTCCCCAGCACCCTGAACAGCACCTGGCATAGATACATTCTTAATAAACATTTGGGAATGAACACATTGTATTTTTCTTTTTAAAAGTTATCTCATGCAAACAGTCATTGGGTATTTAGTAATACGTCATTGTATAGTGTATTTCTATTAAGAGGAAGAACATAGGTAGAAGAAGACCTGGACAAATGTACATTATCACAGGGACCAGGGAAGAAGAGAGTTGTCATATATTGTGTATTATCAACCAAGACAAATGTTATTGAATGTAAGGAGTGCAAAAGATTAAAGACTTGATTATTGGAGAGAAAATGGAGATTAAGAACGAGTTGACACTTCGACCTAAACAGTGATTAGAGGGGCTGGAGTTGGGAGTTGGAAAGTTGGTAAGGAGATGCAGGTAAAGCCAGGAAGAGCCTTACCATCTCGGTTAAGAGTTTAAACTCTGTCCTCAGGGCTGTAGCAAGTCACTAAAGGGTTGTAAACAAGGTTGTCCCAGGATCACATTCTAATTGCAGGGACACATTAAGGGTGTAGTATGAAGAGGAGACTGAAGAGAGGCCAGACTAGAGACAGAAGGGCAATGCAGTCAAATAGGCCAAATGACAGGGACCTGGACTAGAATGAGAATGGGGAGGAAAAGGAGGGATCAGAAAGCTTAAAACCATGGACTGACAATTATTGGATGGGGACAAGGACATCAGTTGAGACTGAGGAGACAGAGGAGTTGAGCAGTAGATTCAGATTTTTGCTTTGTCAGCTGTAAGTACAAGAGGAGCAGATTTGGAGGATAAAATGATTTCACCATTGGATATTTTGAGTGTCAACTGCTTGTAGGGCATCCAGGTTATGAAGTCCAGTGTCCAGGCAGCTACACATATTAGTCTGAAAATCACAGGGAATATATCTAATTTGAAGAGGAGATTTAGCAGATAAATGGTTAAGCAAGGGGAACTCATCTCCAACTTTCAAGACAGAAGGTGGAAAAGATGGGCTTGGGTGCTGGTAATTTTCTAGGTGAGATGATTGGAAAATGGGAGAGTTCTGTCTGAAGACTGCTGAGTAAGAACCGTGGCCACGTGTTGAGAATGATGGTGGGAAATGGCAGGTTGGGAGGTTTGAGGCTATCAGAGAAAAATTGAAATAGGCACTAAAGAAGCAGAGTGAGCTAAGGATAGCTAGAGAGAATGCTTTGAGAGAGATGATTGAGGGCAACCACTGAGATTGAGAACTAGCAGAGTTTATACTAGGAGCACTCATATTTGAGAGATTACCCTGAGCACCTGAGTTAACTTCATGTGGGTGCCAAGGACAGTTAGCCTCCTGCAGGTTTGGAGTTTCGCCTCATAGATGTTAACAGCTGGATTGTAGGGAAAGGGAATTGAGTGTTTCAAGTAATAGACTATAGACTTTTAACTGGTCAGGGAAGAAAATGGAGACAGGAGGAAGGGCCTGGTAGATGGGGAGGAAGTTGAGGAGATTGAGGAACTAGAGCTTGTAATAAAATGTGATGGGGCAACTGCAAGGGAGGTGGCTGAGAACTGTGAGGGCTGCCATGTTTTGTTCATATCTCTGTTCCCAGTGCTGCTGGGTTGTTGTCTGTAAATGAAGAGTCTTATGGAGTTTGAGGAGCAGCAATATGTAGTGGAAATAGCCTGCTAATATTCTTAAGTTTCTCCTAAAATGCTTTTTAGTTGTAGCCCATGATGAAGAATAGAGAAATTAATGCTATGTTTTATCAAAGATTG
Organism: Homo sapiens; assembly: GCF_000001405.40. NCBI lineage: Eukaryota > Metazoa > Chordata > Mammalia > Primates > Hominidae > Homo > Homo sapiens. Next base: position 17,329,864 of record NC_000003.12, on the reverse strand, counting down.
GATATTGGCAAGGTAGGAGGATGAGGGGTGATAGAATCCAAAGTACTAGTTCTTATCTTTGAAATGGTTATTGTTAGATCTTAGATGGCATCTTTAGGAAGTAAAACCAAGGAGCTGGGGACTGTGAGACCAAGGAAATGTTCAGGAGGGAGTTAATGTGGGAAAAGCATTGGACTAGGGTCAAGAGACCTGCTTTCTGGAGCCACTTCAGTTACTTTAACTATCTCTTTTTATGTTAATAAGTCTAAATATACTTCGTAACTCACTTTGCAAAATTGAGTTTACAATCACTTTTCTGATGTTTTGAAAGTTGTTATAATTTTTATTTTTTATCCTCCATAAAATCAAGGGTATTATTTTATTTTTTTGTGTTTCCACCAATAGTTACTGATGAAAAATAAAACCACCAAGTTCCCATAAAATTAAGGTGACTGAGAATTGCCTTTTTAAAAATTATCAGTTGTAGGTCACTTGGCACCTTAAGGTAAAACATATACATACATAGCTTATTTATTTGTACCTGAACATCAGAGCTGAATATCACCTTTTATTTATACTCACAGTCATACTATGTAAACATGTTTGTTATATAAACCCATTCATGTTGGTGGATGACATAATGAAGACTTAGAACAATAATTCTGAAGTAATCAAGTTATCACCACGGATATTACAAAGGACCTAAGTGAGTTGTCTCCCATAATTAATAAACTTTCATTCTAGCATCAGAAGTCTGTGCCATCCTGTGGCTCTACAGGAGAGATGCCTTTCAGTGACATGAGGTGGTGCTTGCAGAAATGTTTCTCCATTCCAGTATGAGGCAAACTTGTAGAGTCAGGAAGTATCTCTGTAGCACCTTCCTCCAACTCCTTTTTTCCTCTTTCCTCAGTGTTACCCACCAAACATTTCCTTTTTAAAACTATTTCCTCATCCCTTAGCTTAATAATGTTATAAACAATTTATGCCAAAGCATTTGTACCAAATGACCGATAGATATAATTCTAGTATTTGTGGATCCACATTGATGGATCCATTATCCATGAAGAATTCATAAATCCAAAATCCATAAAGAATTTCACAATTCATAAGGAATTTTATGGATTATATGTAGTATTTTGGGTTTTTGAGTTGAGGAAGCTTTGTGAGTATAACTTTCTTTCTAGGTCTCCACTATTTCTGAAGACTTCATCTCATGTCAAAGGAAATAACCCACTTCATTAAAAATAATAGAAGCTAGCAACTCAGCACTGCAAATTTTTGAGTGGCATCGTGACATAAGGAAGGAGGAATACTGTATTGTAAGTTAGGTGATTAGAAGTGAGTCCCAGTTCTGCCACTGTCTCAGTGATGACCGGACAAATCACTTTTCCTCATTTGCCCATTTGTCAGTGGCCTGCTAGATGATTCAAGGTGGACAATCTATGGCAGGTTAGGTCAGTAGGAAGACAGCACAACACACTGACCAATGATCATGGAAATGGATGGAGAGGAATTCTTGGTGATGGTTGTAAAAACAGCTATCTCATCTCACCCAGAAATCTGTAGTGTGTGCTGACAAAGACAGTTTTAAAGGACTTTTTTTTTTTTTTAAATAAAGAGACAGGGTCTCCTCTGTCACTCAGGCTGGAGTGCAGTGGCCTGTTCATGGCTCACTGTGGCCTCAACCTCCCATGCTCAAGCGATCCTCCCACTTCAGCCTCCCAAGTAGCTGGGACTATAGGTGTGTACCACCACACCTGGCTAATTTTTAAAATTTTTGTAGATACAGTGTCTCACTGTGTTATCCAGGCTGGTCTCAAACTCTGGGCCTTAAGCTATCCCCCCATCTTGGCCTCTCAAAAGTGCTGGAATTACAGGTGTTAGCCACCATGCCTGGCAAGAAATAGAGGGTTTTTAAAGTCACATCCAACTCTAGCATATCATAATTTCTACTAGATTTTATAAAGAAAGCTAAGAACAATTATTCAACACATATATATTGAACATCCATTGTATACCAGGTACTGTTCTAGGCACTGATTTTACAGTAATGGGGAAAAAAAACCACATACAGCAACACACAGAAAAATTCATGCCCTATCGAACTTGCTGTTATAGTGGGGGACATAGTAAATACGAGAACATGAAATATAGGTAATGTTAGGCGGTAATAAGTACCATGGAAAAAAATAAATAGGGAAGGGATCTAAGGAGTACAGTTTTTAATATGGAGGTCAGAGAAGGCCTCACTGAGCTGGTAACATTTGAGTAAAGACCTGAAATAGCTATGGGAGCAAGCCATGTATTTTTGTGGGGAGAAAACCTCCAAGCAGATGGCATTGCAAGTACAAAGGTCCTGAAGTAGAACTATGACTGACATGCTCAAACCAGCGAGGCTGAAGCAAAGTGAGCAGGACTGTAGGAAATGAGGTCAAAGGGTACAACTAGGTTGAGTAAGATCTTGAAAGCCATTTTAAGGACATAGATTTTTATTCTGAGATGATAAGCCATTAGAGAACTTTGAGGACAGACATGATGTCGCCTGACTTATCTTTTGAAACGATCTCTCTGGAATCAGTGACTAGAATGGACTATAGGAAGACAAGAGCAGAAAGGAAATTAGTTAAGAGGCTAAATAACAATCTTTTTTTTCACTAGAAGTAAATTTCCACTAGCAAATAAACTTCATGAGGACAGAGATTTTTGTCTGTTTTTGTTACTGCCATAATATAACAGTAGTGGTATTAGGCCATCAAATTTATTCAGTTAAATAAAAGGTAAATTTTTAAATTTAAATGAATGATTGGTTAATCAAGGTGAAAGATAATGGTGTTAATAATGTTGGTATCAAGATGAAAGATCAGGATGGTATCAGTATAGTTGGTGAAAGGTGGTTAGATTCTGAATGTATTTTGAAGGTACAAAAGGATTTGCTGATGAATTAAACGTAGGGTATGAGAGAAAGGGAAATCAATGAAGACTCCAAGGTTTTTGGCTCCTGAGCAACTAGAGGGTTGATTGCTGTCTCCTAAGTTAAGAAAGATAGTGAGAGGAGCAAGAGTTTGGCGTTGGACATTTTCAGTTTCAGATGACTCTTTAATATCTAAGTATAGGCTGGCTGCCCTGGCTCATGCCAGCAATCTCAGGACTTTAGGAGGCCAAGGTGGTTGGGTTACTTGAGCCCAGGAGTTCAAGCCCAACCTGGGCAAAATAGTGAGACTCCATCTCTACAAAAAATAAATTTTAAAATTAGCAGGGCGTGGTGAATACCTGTGGTCTCAGCTACTCAGGAGGCTAAGGCAGGAGAATTGCTTCATCTTGAAAGGTTGAGGCTGCAGTAAGCCATGATTGTACAGCTATACTCCAGCCTGGGCAACAGAGTGAGACCTGGTCTCAAAATAAATAAATAAAATAATAAAAAATATTCAAGTACAGAGGTTCTGGTTCCAAGTAAGATGGAGCAAGCACATTTTACTCTTTTCATCTGACTAAATGCAACTAAAAAGCTTATCAGAATGAATGGAACAGCCATCTGAGGACTGTGAATAGTAACTAATAGCATGTACATTGAAGAAGACCAGAATGGAAGTACCACCAAATTGGCAGGAAGTTTACTGTTTCTTCCCTCTTCAATGTTCCTATTCTGGATGGAACACAGTTTTGCTCTCTTTGATTAGTTATTTCAGGTTCTCTCTTTATCTGTATTTTGAATATGAGAACAAATTTTATGCTGGATTCTATACAGTATTTTTGTGTGTGAGGGTGCCTGTTTATATTTCTATTAGATATTTAATATTCTTTTCTTCCTTACATACTACGTTCTTAGTGCTCTATGAGATGAGTACAGTCATAGAGAATTTATCTACTTCACCATTTTTTCCTCTCACTTGACTTTAATACTATATTAATATAGGTTTTTCGAAAAATTCTCTATTTACCATTTTTGTTTGTGATTACTTAGCATTCAAGGTTTTGTCACTTAATTTTCCTGTATAGGTCATTTTTTTTAAGTCAAGCTTATCGAAATATAGTTTGGCAGACACATACATTTGTACGTGTCTATAGTCAATACGTAAAAGCTGTTCCTGCACTTCAGAATTTTTATTATGCTCCTTTGTAGTCATTCCCTCAATCCCTGGTAATCATTGATCTGTTCAGCCTCTTGTATAGTTTTACCATTTCCAGAATATCATATAAATGTATGTAGCCTTTTAATTCCTGTTTATTCCACTTAGCATAATACATTTAAGATTCATCCATATTGGGCCAGGCGCGGTGGCTCATGCCTGTAATCCCAGCACTTTGGGAGGCCAAGGCAGGTGGATCATAAGGTTGGGAGTTCAAGACCAGCCTGGCCAACATGGTGAAACCCTGTCTCTACTAAAAATACAAAACTTAGCTGGGCATGGAGGCGCATGCCTGTAAATCCCAGCTACTCGGCAGGCTGAGGCAGGTGAATCGCTTCAACCCAGGAGGTGAAGGTTGCAATGAGCCAAGATCACACCATTGCACTCCAGCCTGGGCGACAGGGCAAGACTTCGTCTCAAAAAAAAAAAAAAAAAGATTCATCCATATTATTGCCTCTATCAATAGTTCATTTCTTTTTTTTTTTTTTTTAACTGAGTACTATTCCAGTTTCTGGATATACCACAATTTGTTTATTCTTTTACCAGTTGGAGGACCTGTGGGTTTTTTCAGTTTTGAGCAATTATGAATAAAACCATTACAAATCTACATATGCAGGTGTTTGTGTAAACATATTTGTCTTGGATAAATAGCAAGGAGACAGATCACTGGGTTGTTTGATAAAATATATGTTCAACTTTATAAGAAACAGCAAAATTATTTTCAAACTGCTCTCCAAAATGGCTATGCTATTTTGTATTACCATCAGCAATTTATGAGAGTTTCAATTACTTTGTATCCTTGGTCACCACTAGGATTTGGTTTTGTCATTTCTTAAAAAGCCATTCTAATGGATCTGCAGTAATATCTCATTGCCGTTTTTTGCATTTTCCTGATAATCACATTGAACATCTTTTTGTATGTTTATTTGCTTTTCATACCACTTCTTTGATGAGGTGTCTGTTCTTATATCTTGTCCATTTTTTAAAATGGGGGCATTATTATGATCAAGTTATTAGAGATCTTTGTATATTCAAGAAATGTCTTTTTGCATGTATGTATTTTGTAAATATTTTCTCCTAATGTGTTGCTTGTATTTTCATTTTCATTTTTTTTTGAGACAGAGTCTCACTCTGTTGTCGAGGATAGAGTGCAGTGGTGCAATCTAGGCTTACTGCAACCTCTGCCTCCTGGGTTCAAGCAATTCTTCTGCCTAAGCCTCCCCAGTAGCTGGGATTACAGATGCCCACCACTACACCCGGCTAATTTTTTTGTATTTTTAGTAGACACAAGGCTTCACCATGTTGGCCAGGCTGGTTTTGAACTCCTGACCTCAAGTGATCCGCCTGCCGCGGCCTCCCAAAGTGCTAGGATACAGGTGTGAGCCACCACACCGGGCCTATTTTCATTTTCTTAATGGTACCTTTCAAAGATAAGTTTTTAATTTTTAATAAAATTCAATTTATTAGTTTTTATTATTAGAGTTTTCTATGTCCTAAGAAATCTTTACCTATCAGTGTCACAAGATTTTCTTCTACCTATTTTCAAGGCGTTGTACAATCGTTGCCCTTAGGCCTGTTATCCATTTTGAGTTAATTTTTGTATGTCATGTAAAATATAAGTACGAGGTTCATTGTTTTGTAGTGGATGTGCAGTTATTCCAACATCATTTGTGAAAAAGACCATCCATTTGCCATTGAATTTCCTTGACATGTTTAGCAAGAATCAATTGACCATAAATGTTTGTCTACCTCCAAACTTTGTTCTGTCAATCTAGGCATCTTTTATAATACCAATACTATGTTGTCTTGAATTAAAGTAAAGACTTTTATAGTAATTCTGTATATCACATAATATGAGTCCTCCAACTTTGTTTTTCTTTTTAAAATTGTTTCGAGTATTTTTAGTCCTTTGCTCTTCAATTCACATTTTAGGGTCAGCCTGTTCATTTTTCCAGAAATCAAGGGATTTTAATTAAGATTGCATTGAATCTATAAAATCAGTTTTAGGAAAATAGAAATCTTAACAATATTGATTATTCTAGTCAATAAACATGGTGTAACTTTCTATTTAGGGCTTTGTGATTATCTTTTTTTTTATAGTTTTCAGCACACAGCTATTACATTTATTTTTTATATTCATCCCTAAATATTTTATGGGGTTTATTATAAAGATGCTGTTACTTTTCTTTTCAATTTCTAGTTATTTGTTTCTAGTATATAATGACCTTACATCCTGTATCTTTTCTAAACTCACTCACTAGTTTAAATAGTGTTTTGTTTTTGTACAGTTGTTTGGGATTTTGTAGACAATTATGTCATCTGCACTTACAGTTTTATTTCTTCCTTTCCAGTCTCTATGCCTATTATATATGGTTTGAATTTATTCGCTAATATTTTGTGAAGAATATTTGTGCTTATATTCATGGTGAATATGTGTCTACAGTTTTCTCATAGTGTCTTTGTGAGGTTTTGGAATGCCAGTAATGCTGGCCTCACGATATGAGTCTGCATCTCATATCTTCAAAAAGAGTTTGTGATAAACTGGCGTTATTTCCTTCCTTTTCAGTTGTGGGTTGGTCTGTTTTTCCCGTTTCTTCACATAATTTGTGATTTTTAAAATTCAGTGCTGTAAATTTTGAATGTTATATGATTCAACTTCTCTGAATCTGTAGTCTTTCTTTAAAGAAATGTTGAGTTTACTTTTGGCAGACTGTTAAACTACTTTGAGATTTTTTATTTGATATTTTTGATACTTGTTTTTAAACTTTTTAAAAGTGCAGTTCTAATGTATGTTCTACCCAAGGGCCAATTTAACCCTGCTGCTAAGGCACGATGGCACCTGTCGGGTTTCTACTGAATTTTTCATGGGTATACTAACCTCTCTTCAGTTTGACTGTTCAGAACATGAATATTTCCCAACATTATAAAACCTTGAAGATTTTTTCCACTGCTGTGTAGTAGTTCGTTTTCTGTTATTTCTTCTTTGCTTGGCCTTCTAGAAGTTTACCCTTCATATGCACAACTTACTATTTAGCAAACACTTAAGGACACCCCTTGTGCAGATTTCTGGAGATTATTCTCTGCATAGCTTCCTCCTTTAAAGGTAACAATGTCGTGCACACTTTCCTCGGCCTTGAGTCTGCGTCTTTTAAACTTAGTAAGAGCAATGCATTCTGCTTTGGGTTTCTCCTTCCTGCTCTGTGGTTTCAAAAGCACATCCAGGTAAAAAGCCAGTGATCACAGGATTCATCTGGGGTTTTTCCCCCTTATGTCAGAAATCACAGTGCTGCGCTGCTTATCTTTATTTTGTCCAGTTTTGTAGCTGTTTATCGTATGAGAGCAGTAGAGATATACCCAGTTATTCCATCATGGTCTGAAGGGGAAGTCAGGTCTATTTTTAAAAATAAAATAAAGTCAACCCTATTCTATTACAAGAAAATCACTCCTAATGCAAAGGAAACAGAAACAGAAACATTGAAAACAAAACAATTTGCAGAGGCATAGCAGGAAAAGCAAACAGAAATGAAGGTATGTGTAATGATGTTCATATCAGACAAAGTGAATTTTAAAGCAAATCACATTGAATGAGATAAATTAGAACAATTCATAGTTAAGAAGTTTACAATTCACAATGAAGATCTTTCTTTAATCATTGTACCTCCCCCTCCCCCAAATCACAGCAGAATTTGTATAACATAACAGCTATGAGAAATATAAGGAGAAATACATAGGAATGCAATAGTAGTAAGCTACTTGTACCTCTCGTAATTCATGGTAAATCAGGCAGACTCACTGTAAAGTAAGAGTACAGAGAAACTAGTTATTCACCTTTAATCAGTTAGATATAATTGGTATATATCCAACTCTCTGTACTGTAAACAGAGTGAAATTACTGTATCCATAGAATGTTTAAAGTAGCTATACAAAAATATTCAGTAAATTTTAACACAGTAGAAATAGTATAGTTCACATTTTTTACAAAACTTGAAATTAATCACAAAAGTAGAAAACAACCCTCAAGAAAGAACTAGCACAGAAAATCATAAAACTCTCTTTACTCTTGTACTAAAAGGAAATCAAAACTGAAATTACAAAATTCCTAGAAAATAACGGTAAAGTATATTGATTAGAACCTATTGGTTTTGACTAAAACAGTGCTCTTAGAAATTCTCAGCTTTATACTCTTAAGCTACTAAACAAAAAGAAATAAAAATGTGTGAATTAAATATTCATCTCAAGTAATAAAAATAACAGCAAAATAAATAAAGGAAGCAGTTAAAACTAAAAGCAGTTGTGCTTTAATAGCAAAACATAAATGACAGAAAAAATGCATTGATAAGTGTTTCCTTTTGGAGAAAATAAATAGTAAAAATTTTACGTAGTTCATTTACATAGTTTAAAATAATACACAGGACTGAGCCTAGTGGCATACACCTGTAATCTCAGCACTTTGGGAGGCTTGAGGCCAGGAGTTTGAGACCAACCTGGGCAACATAGTGTCTCTACAAAAAATGTTTTTTTAAAGTAACTGAGCATGGTGACACATGCCTGTACTCCCAGCTACTCAGGAGCCTGAGGCCAGAGGATTGCTTGAGCCTAGGAGTTCAAGGCTGTAGTGAGCTATGATTGGGCCACTGCACTCCAGCCTGGACAACAGAGTGAGACCTTGTCTCTAAAAATAAATTATAGAAAACTATGAAAGCATAAATTAAAATAAATTTCAAAAATAATTTTTCAAACATATACATTTAAGTATAGCCAGGAGTGCTTCCTATCTTAGTTGGTTTGTGAGCAGATTAATTTATGTTCTGGAATGAACCCACTGGTAAATGTATTATAAAGATACCATCATAATAACAGTTTGGATTTGTTGCATAATTAGACAGATTCACAGGTAAAAGAAAATAGAGATTCTGAAACAGACCCTCAATACATATAGAAATGTAATACTATGGTAAAGATAGAATTTCAATTCATTAGGGGAACAATGGATTATTCAGTAATACAGTTTTGAGAACTAACTAGCTTTTTGGTAAATCATGAATGTATATCTCTGTTTTGCACCAAAATGAATACCAGATGAATCAATAATATAAATAAAACTGGAATAAAATGATGAGTGTTATGTTATTAGGTGGGGAGTTCACAAGCCCATAAACTATGAAGAAAAGTTTTGGTAAATATGACATTACAATAAAATTTCTTTCTGGGAAAGGAGTCCTCCCTGTAGCCAAAGAGAGAAAAGTTAGGAATCACTAAAACTTCCTTGGTTCTTGGCAGCATCCCAACACTATATCCTCTTATACACTCTTAAAGTAGTGGTTCTCAAACTTGAGCTTGCATCAGAATCACCCAAAGGGCTTTTTAAAATACAGATTGCTGAACTTTGCCTAGAGCTTCTGATTTAGTAGGTATGAGTGAGTGGGGTTCAAGAATTTGCAGTTTGAACAAATTTTCATGTGATGCTGATGCTGCTGGTTTAGAGACCACACTTTGAAAACCACTGCTTTACAGTTTTCCCAAATTCCCCTTTTTGTGTGTGAAATAACTCAGTGCCATTCTTTGTAATCAAAGATCCTAAATTAAACTAAAGTGCTGAGGTAACATGAAGTAAGCAATTTGCTTCCAAGATATATTTACACGAACAAAGACCTGTACAAAGATAATCAATGCAGCATCACATATAATAACAAAGGAACCTAAATGTCCCCAAAATAAAAGGACTATTTAAGTTACTATACATCCACTTATGGAATACTACACAACCATAATAAAGAGCAAGTTATTTATTTGTATATATGTTTATTTGGAACGATCTTCATTTTAGCAATCATTGTTAAATTTAAAAATATGTGCTCCTGTTTATGCTTTTTTTCTTCTTTTTCTTTTGAGACAGAGTCTCGCTGTGTCGCCCAGGCTGGAGTGCAGTGGTGCAATCTTGGCCCACTGCAAGCTCCGCCTCCCGGGTTCACACCATTCTCCTGCCTCAGCCTCCTGAGTAGCTGGAGCTACAGGTGCCCGCCACCCCACCCGGCTAATTTTTTGTATTTTTAGTAGAGACGGGGTTTCACCATGTTAGCCAGGATGGTCTTGATCTCCTGACCTTGTGATCCGCCCGCCTCTGCCTCCCAGCTGTTTATGCTTTTACCAGGTAAATACCTGCATAAAAATGTCTGTATGTTGTATAAGAACATTGGCTACCCTTGGGAAGGTAGGTTTGCTGTTGGGGAAGGGATTTGGGTTGGGAAGGAAAATTGCTTCTTATTGTACGTCTTGTTAAACTTTTAAGTTCTTTTTCGCCATTTGCAAAAAAAAAAAAAAAACCTATAAATTAGCAAAACAATAACTCCACATAGTTTCCATTTTAATTCACAGACAGTAAAAGAATTAAGAAAGTGAGAAAGATAGTGAGATACGAGGCTATGGTCAGAGAGCAGTGCTTCAGAAGAGATCACGGATTTGGAGCATCTCAGCACTAGAACTCAGCCACAGTAACTGGTAGCTGATGTGGAAAGGAAATGAGTATGTTGACAAAAATAAATTTAAAGTGTTTTATGTGATGGTTCTGCTGCTTCATATTTGAGTTGGTTTACGAGCAGATTAATTTATGAACATATTATAAACCATGATGCCCTCAGTCAACTAAACTTCACTGAGTTTCTGTTCTCTCCATTAGCCCGAAATACAATTCTAGACCTCATAAGTCTTTCTAAAATTGGCTGACCAAAAGTGGCAATTAATTTTTCTTTGTAAGTTCTTAGTTCTTTATAGTTTCCTTAATGAGTTTCCCTGAAAAGAAGCCCTGTAAATCTTGTAGGGTCCTATAGCTGTAATTACCATTGTATTTTAACTGGGGTACTCATGAACTAGCAGATTGCGATTCATCAAAATAAGTCTTTCAGAAAGCACCATTTCTTCTACCCAGAAAAACCCAGCTACCACACAGATGACATAGCAATAGTAGATACTATGCATTCCGAATCCTGTGATTCTCCATGTTAATGTGGAGAGGCGATTTTAAAAATACATAACTGAATTAACTATCCTTTGGAAATTAGAGAAAATATAAAAGAATAGAAAAAACACTGGGCTAGTTGTTATAATATTGTATAATCTGTCTTTGGATGAAATGTGACCTCAGGTTGCGCCATGTTCCTTTGTTGATATATCAGTAAAATGCCTGTTCCTGCCCAGCTTCTTTGGGTCAATGATTACAGACTGGGGGCTGAGCAAAGAAATCACCTTTGTATCTCTGAAACATGCAAGAATTTTTCCCCCAAGTGGTTCTAATGCATGTATTCCACAGACCATTTGCTTTTAAAGAGTTCAGGCTTGTTTCAAGATCAAATGTGGTAGTACTTTTTTTTTAAATTTTATTGTTATTATACTTTAAGTTTTAGGGTACATGTGCACAATGTGCAGGTTTGTTACATATGTATACATGTGCCATGTTGGTGTGCTGCACCCATTAACTCGTCATTTAGTATTAGGTATATCTCCTAAAGCTATCCCTCCCCCCTCCCCCCACCCCACAACAGTCCCCAGAGTGTGATGTTCCCCTTCCTGTGTACATGTGTTCTCATTGTTCAGTTCCCATCTATGAGTGAGAATATGGGGTGTTTGGTTTTTTGTCCTTGCGATAGTTTACTGAGAATGATGATTTCCAGTTTCATCCCTGTCCCTACGAAGGACATGAACTCATCATTTTTTATGGCTGCATAGTATTCCATGGTGTATGTGTGCCACATTTTCTTAATCCAGTCTATCATTGTTGGACATTTGGGTTGGTTCCAAGTCTTTGCTATTGTGAATAGTGCCGCAATAAACATACGTGTGCATGTGTCTTTATAGCAGCATGATTTATAATCCTTTGGGTATATACCCAGTAATGGGATGGCTGGGTCAAATGGAATTTCTAGTTCTAGATCCCTGAGGAATCGCCACACCGACTTCCACAATGGTTGAACTAGTTTACAGTCCAAATGTGGTAGTACTTTTAAAAATCAAAAAATTGATATAAATGCATGGTATTTGCCATTATCAGAAATTGCGTGTGATTATTTTAAAACATTGAGTTGTGATCTTCTGTGCATTAAAAAATACATTTTCCTTGGTTATTATATATTTGTCCTTAAAAAAATATTATATACACATAGATATAATTGATTGTAAAGTTGTATGGGCATTAAATTTAGCTGTCAGACAGGGATAAAATGGAGGAGCCAATCCCCTCCTTAACTCTTTTGTTTCCATTTAGCTTTCACTAGTAGAAAAGGTAATTTATGTCATTTTGAGCTGGACTTCTAGATTTCCAACCAAACCCATATTCTCAAAGTAATGAATGTGGTGGAGTTGACTGCCCTTTCCCTTCATGGCTCCTTCATAGTTTCCTGTTTCCCTCCCTGTCTCTCCCTGCCTTCTTGTGAGTTACCTGGGCCCCATGCAGATACATTCAGCTCTTGATTATCTGTGTTAATGGATAGTAACTGAGACATACATAATCCCAGATGGTGGATAATCCAAAAACCGTTAATACTTGGCTTTGAAATGTATTTAGTAATGTTTTAAATTGTTTTTGCCTTTCTAATTATATGTTGCTATTCTAATTATATGTTGCTAATGTTGCCATTAGTTTGCATCCCCTGAGTACATCCTAGTTGCTTGGGGGATTTAGCGTGGAGGGGGCACAGAAAAATGCAGAGTAACTGTGGTAAACCAGATTGATGGGATTATTATTGAGTTAAAATTTTATTTTGAGTAATTTTTTCCATTAATGATTAAGAGTTGTCAGCATGGCATTCAGTCTATGGCCTAGCACAGTACCTGCCACACTGTTGAAGTTTAGGAAATACTTGTTAAATGAAGATTCTCAGTTTTTCATACCAGTCTTATGATCAAATCAGGGCTGGCATGAGCCAGGAAAAGAAGTCAGTGAAGAAAGTTCATCTCCCCCAACCTCAACCTTTCCACCCTCAGGTCAGTGAAGATGAGTATTGCCAAGTCATGGACATTTTCCCAAGATAGTGCCGATTTACAGACTGTTTGACCAGCTGAGCCACACAGAATAGCTCCTCACTAGCAGTGCCTTAACACAGTGAGCCTTCAAGAAGGGAAATATGCTGTTCTTTTAAAATGCAAGAACGATACTTTGAAATGGGCACAAGGAAGCTGCGAATTCCTTTTAGTAGAATATAACTTTCCATGATAATACAAGCATCCGCAATAACATAAACATAAATATAGAGCAGTTCTTAACCTAAGGTCCCTGAATTAGCCTAACTCCTAAAATGGCTTTCACTTGAGTAGATATGATATGGGGATGGGTGTGTGTATTTTTCAGAAGAGAGGGCTCATACGCTTGATTACATTCTCAAAGGGGTCTGCAACTTCTCTCTACTGATGAATGGAATCTCAGTTTCACTGTTTTATACTTCTCATGAAATGTTTGAAAGTGAGAAACAAAACTCCCATGGCCACTGCCTCACAAACTTGTCTCCATGTGGACTTCAGAACGATCAGGGAAAGTAATTTTGTAAATTTCTCTAACTATAGTTCATTCCAAGCTGGGGACAGGCATAGGCTGAGAAGCCAAGGGTGTATGTTGAAAGACTGAACATGCAAATGGGCAATGGCAACACTATATGTGACAACAGAACTCTGACCCAGATAAGATGCCCCAGAAGCCAAACTACAACCTTTCCAGCAAAATCAGTCCAGAACAGTTAGGCCTTGGTCAGTCGCTGCTAACTTCCCTATTTTTGCCCTACTTTCTGCTTCCACCACAGGACCAACCTAGAGAAAGCCAAATATGTTCCCCAAATCAATCATATATGGTACCCCACGTCTAGTTAGCCCTCTGCCATGCCTACAGCCTTCAGTGGGGCATACCTGAAGCCTCCCCCCGCCCGTCCCCCACACCGTAAAGCTTTATCTTTCCCCTGGCTACTTTGGATTATCTTCCAAACACAGGTAATGGTAGCTGAACTCTCTTGCTATTACAAACTCTGAATGAATAACCTTTGCTTATTCTCATTTGGGGGGTCTTCATTTATTTCCACTTTGCATTGAGATTTGAGAGTTTCCAGGTGAACTCCCTTAACCTGAAATCTCTCTTCCACCACTACATCACAGAGCTGATAGTAATATCACTGGAGAAATGTTTCTTGGAGTTTAGCCCTTTATTTCTCCAGGAATAGCATTTTAAATGCATGTTTTATTTTAGGGATATTTAGACCCACATAGTTGATAGTGTTAAACCTTAGACGTAGAATGGTTCACTGGTAACACAGAATAGAGGAACACAAAATAGATGACCATTCAGCTGCGCTCCCAGTATCATGGGGCTTCTACATGGGGAGTGGGCAAATGCCCTTTTGGGCCTGGCAGTTTTGGTATTATCTCACTTCTGTCACCCTCACATTTGTATCCCTACTTTTTATTGGGTCATGTTTTTATAATAGTGTTTTCCTTGAAAATAAAATATATATAAATTAATACAGATAGAATTCTAAGAGAAATTTGGCTATGGATACTTTGTGTCCCAGTCATTAAATGTGTGCCTGATGGCCATTGGCTGAATGGTTAGACATGTAGAGTGAGCCAGTTTGAAGATACACACTCAAGAGTAGGCTGAGAAGATGCGGAGAGAAACCAGAACTTCCTATGTATGGGTCTTATAGTTTGGTTCCCACACGAGCAGCATCAGTATCTCCTGGGAACTAGTTCAAAATACACATTATCTCTGGGCACAGTGGCAGATGCCTGTATTGACCCCACCTTAAAAAATGATCAGGCTCTCATTAAATCTTCTGTATCAGAAAACTTTGGGGATGGGTTCTAGCAATCTGTGTTTTTACCATCCCTCCAGATACCTCTGCTGCATGCAAAAGTTTCAGGCCACTACTGTAATTAGAAGAGCCATCCAATAACTTTTGCTTTTTCTCTCCTCATGGAGTAACATTTTACATGAATGCATGGTAGATTTTAGGAGCTCTGACAGCCTGAAGCCAAAATATCGACAGGAAACAGGAATCTGTCACCTTGTCCAGTGCCTCTCAAACTTGTACATGCAGATCACCTGGAGGTTTTGTTGAAGTGAAGCTCTGACCCAGGAGCACTATACTGGGGGGCTGAAAGATGCATATCTAACAAGCTGCCAGGTGGTGGTACTGGTCCTAGGATTACACTTTGAATAGCAGGGTCCTAGGAGACCATACACTCAAGCTGAGGAACATTGGAGGTATGGGCATGCAGGGAACTAGAGTTCAGGAAATGAAAGGGGAAGGTTCCTGAGAGGTTAGGAGGCTTTTATAAATTCCTGCATAAATCTGATCACTTACTGCTTAGAATGTATGTTCAGGGATCTCCACAGAGAGATAGGGGAAGCCCAGGGAGAAGACTGATAAGCAGCTAGGCATCCTGTGAAAGGTCCAGCCTGTAGGCCCAAGATCAAGATCATCTGTGGTCAAGAAGAGCTAACTTGAGGAAAAAGATTGATATTAATTAAATAAACATTTTTAACCCCCTACTCTATGCCTCATACCAAATAACCCCTAGGATCCTGCTGGAGAAGAGAGAGAAACCAAAACAACATCCGTAACTTAACTATTTAGCTGAGATTTGTTTATCAGTGCGTTTCTCTGGAAAATGTAAGTGGGAGCAGTAACACTAATAGGTGTGAAACCTTCAAATATCAGGCCTGGGCAAAGCAGTGTCCTAAACCCTGAGCTGCAAGACAGGGTCAGGGCACTTTCTGGAACAGGAAAGAAGAGAAAGAAGAGAGGGCCAGTGATAACCCCGGAGGGTACTTAAAGCTGTGGGTTAGAGATAAGAGGTCAAAGGCAATAAGATACCCTGCTGCTGTTTAGGAATGGAATTTTTCTGACTCTCTTAATAGGTACCCATCTGTGGATTTTGGCCATGTCCCTTTGAATAACAGGAATTCTATTTCCAACGTAATTGTTGTTGGTGAGATTGACTGCTTATGGAAGCATAATGACTGTGGTCTTACTTTCATCCCTGAATAGATCCTGATATTTCTCAGCTTAGTGTTACACCTCATGTCAGTTCTTCCAACAGTGTGTATAAATGTATTAGGAGATTTATGCAGAGGAAGTCGAAAAGTGCTATTCACTGTAGTTAAGATCCCATTGGTATTTGAAATGTCTATGATGGTTTCAAAAAATAAAGTCAGACATGTTTTATTTTTTTAAATGAGTTTCAGATTACGGAGGATAGGAGTAATTATTTTTAGCAAATCTCTATATGCAATTTTAGAAAATTTATTTGATCATAATTTCCTTTCCTGAAGGTAAAATGGTAGAGCAAAGCCTATTTACAGACTTTCTAGAAGTAAAAACTGTCTCTGGTATGAATAAAAAACAGTTTTCATGGAGCCTAAAATTCGTTTTCCCAACGTGTCCAACAACTGCACGTTAACTCTTTGTATATTTAATTCATACACAGCAGTGGCTTCTAAGTAATTTTCTCAAGGAGATACCCAGTAGCTTACTTTTGATGGAACCCAAGTAAGTGATAGGGTAGAGAGGTTACTTCTCAGCAGCTTTCATCCCCATAGTCCCCTCCTGTCAGGGCTAAGATTCCAACTGCTCCCTAGTTGGAATGGACAAGAGGATTCTCACAGAGAGTGCATCGTGTTCATACAACTATAGCTGTATTAGACTATTACCATCATGCATTAGCTTTATTGGAATTTCCTGGTAAATTATATATGCTAAAGTTACTCAGTCCTTGAAGTACCATACTTGTAAGCCAAATAGCAGGCATACATCTGAAAGAGGTATGTGTGTATGAGAGAGAGAAGGAGAGAGAAAATGTTCAAGCATCAAAAGCATGTCATATTATGGTCATCTTCTGTACCCAACATGTTCATGATCATCTTAAATCCCTGGAAAAACATAGATATACAAGGATCTACTTTCCATTCAGACTATTTTTGCAAAGGCATGTTACAGTTGTTCTGACAAAACAGCTTCAAACACTTGCCAAGGAGAATAAATTACAGTAGGAATGGGTGGTAATTATTAGGAACTTATTTTTGGAATAAGAAACCTTCCTTAATAAAGGGCTGTGTACTGCCCTCTGAAAGGAAGAGAGAATTTTCCCAAAGTCAAAAATAGACTTTTAACAGTTCATGTACATATCCTTTGGGGGTTAAATTAGGTTAACATGTGTTCCCAAAAAGGCAAATTCAAGCTGGGTTCAATCCATGGATTACAAAGAACACTTAGAAAGCAAATTGGAATTCTTTAGACACAGTAATTCAAAGTTTCTGTTTTTTCTCTTTTTGAAAAAGAGTTTGATGGCTTAAAGGATTCAAATATATCTTCAAGGCATTCAGATACCAAATAGTTTTTAAAGACCTAATTGAAATAGTTGATTAGATAAAAAATTTACCAAACAGGTAAGCATCCTTCAGTAATGTATTCTGCAGAGCCCTTAGAAGACTAGTAAGTGTAAAACTGGAATAAAATTATTTATTTTGGCCTCCCATTTTTTGTGACTGTTTTCTAAAGAAGTTCAAATTAAATATGAGAATGGCTTGTGACCCTAAGTATAATGAATTCAGTGTTTACTTGCAATTTTAAGACTGTCTACACAGAGTTGATATAAAGGAAAACTCAGGGTGTATTAATTTCAAAAGAACTGAATACAAAGAAACCCAATATAAGAGCCTAAAATCAGTCAAAGAAGTACCCAAGCACAGAGATAAACATTTTTACCTTGCTTTTTCTTGAATACTAATACACAACTTGGATTCTGTGTTTATCCCATAACAGGCATAGATTATTTAAAAATTGTTAGCTTTTAAAAATACAAGTGAACAGAAAGCAAAACACAAAATTGATATCATTGAGCAAAAATCTAACATTGCTTTTTTGTGTAAGCATGCTCACCTAGTGGTATCATTTCGTGATCACAGGTTACTCAAGATGCCCTTATAATGTGTGTTAAATTGAATGTAACGTTTCTACGTTACTTGTTCTTGTAAGGTTACTATGCCCATATCTCACTAAAGAGCCATTAATGGAAAAGAATACGGAAATGAAGACCTAGGATTTAATTTTGTTTCTCTGTATATAACCCACTACAGCCAAGTTGGATTAAGGCTATGTTTATTTAAAGCTCAGTCAAATTGGTCCTTTTCATAAACTCATTGGCAAAAATGAATTTCTCTTGGTGTTTCCGTGGGTCAGTCACCAAGCAATAACACCAACAGTAGTTACTGTTCCCCTGGGAATAGCAGCTTAATTACACAGAAATTTAAAATCGAGAATAGTGGTATAAATGCAAACATAGAGACTTGTCCTGTCTTTGGGTGTTTATTATTAAATTTAGTACCTCAGATACTCTTTTCTGTTTCTGCAGATCTTAATTACTAAGTAGATATGGTAAAATATGAATTATTATATTATCACAAGTGATAAAATATATGTGGTTATGAGCATGGCAGTCTGCAGGTGTAACATACATAAAGCAAGATTGATAGTATAAAGCAATTAAACTGAAGTTATCTTTAAGGGGAAAAGGTTTAATGCTACCCTTAAGTGTAACTTAAACTCTCACTAAATATTTTTAACTGCAATAAAAGCATGTTAATTGTAGGAGTGACTTCTTTACAAGACCTCATTTCTTAGGGTAAGTTTTTCTTTCCAAGAATATAAAAGCTTACTGAAATAATTTCTATTACTAACTCATTCTGTAAAGAGCTTTTTCCTTGGCTTTTAAGCTCAATGAAGAAAGCCCAAAATAGCACAGGAAATTTGTGTGTTGTGAATATATATAAGAACTAAATCCAATTGGGATAAAATGATTAAGTTATTGATAAGGTCATCGTTGGTCCCAAAGCATTCCATTAGTTATATGCTTCTTCTTAAATATTTTGAGAATTTGGCCTGGATTTTCTTATAATTATATATAAAATAGAAGAGACGGCATTTTACTTTAATATCCTCTCATGTACAACTTATTAACAGTCTTTATATAAAAGAAACATGCTAGGCATCTAATGATAAATTTTTTTCTTATGTGGTTTTGGTATTTTTTTCTACCTCCTGGATTATTTTTGTGCCACCACTAACAAGATCAATGCCTGTACTTCCAAATTAGCTATCCCATTGCTTCTCAGTAAAGGTGGCTTTACAGTGGGGTTAACAAGAGTTCTGTAAATACATAAAGCACTTAGCAAAGTGTATAGAGGTCTTTACAAAGAACTTTCTGGATCTCTCTCTCTCTCTCTGTTTCTGTCTTTTACATGCACTCACACACACAGGATTTGGTCCTTGCCCTGGAATTATATAGCAGTGTACTTGGCAAGGTACTTAAAGAGTGAAGCAATATGAAAGATTTATAAAGCAGCACATTGTAGATAATACATTAAAAAGTGCTAAAGACATGCATTGTGTGTAGTTTTGGAGATATTAAATATGTGAACAATTTGACACAGAAAATAAAGATGTATTTTATTCAGTGTAGATTACTAGATGTTTGCAGTTAACCTTCCTGACTGCTGCAGTGAAGATTGCTGCATATGTGTATCTTCAGAGTCAAGAAGGGTGCAAGAGAAGTTTGAGGAATAACTGGGCAGTTTGTTGTAGAAATAATGGGTATAGAAATTATTTCTAGGAAATGGGCTACTTTGGTTTTTTTGTTGTTGTGCTTAAAGCACTATCTGTGATGAAATCTAAGATGTGATTGCTGATAAGAAAATGGCAAGGATTTGAGCTGTAAGGAAAGAGGGGGAAGATTGTATTCCTAACTGTAGTTGTGTATTAACCTTCATCTACTTTCCTCATTGATGGAGGAAAGTTGTGTCAGCCGAATAACTGTAACCACATTCTACATGTTTTCATCGTTTAAGAGTGCAAACATTTGTATCGGTTAAAAATCCTTTGAACAAGGGCCCAAAATGGTTTAGTTCATGTACTTTTTTGCTGTGCCCATCTCTGGTTCCCCTGGTACTCTTTGCAAGATCAGTTAATTCTTTGTAATTAAGAATAGCAGCCTATTTAATTTAGAGATGTTTTTGTACTTCTTGGAATAGTAAATATTAGCATTTGTAATTTGAAAGAATTAGAAATGTGTGGAGAAGTATTTTTTTTCCTAAGCCATGTAAACACAGCCATATTAGACAAAAAAAAATTGTGTTAATCACCCCTCATTTTATTAATAGTAGTGGAGTAAAAATTGAAAATTATAAAAGATAAAAATTATAAAAGACATTGTAACATTTTTAAAAATTGAACATTTAAAACATTTTAAATATTTTAAAGTGGAAAATTATAAAAGATGCTGTAACATTTTTAAGAAGATAAACAATACTTCGGCATTTAAATTTTTTATACTGAAAAATTGAGTAATTGATGTAGTTGAAAATATAATCTAATTATTCTATTGATTAATATGAGAATGTGAATAAAAAAACTTGTGTTTAATCACATGGTTCCTAATAAACTATGATACATATTTGTGAGTATACAGTATTTTGTCACATCTTTGATTTCTCCTTAAATATATTGCTCTCTAAGGAAAATATTTGAATTTTTTTTGCCTTGCTTTAACCCCACAAATGGTTATATTTGGTTTCAAATTTACATAAAATTAACATCTCTTAACTAATTTTTAAAGGTTATTCTATACTATTTGATGGTGCTAAAAATTTGGAATTTTTAATTCTTTGCTATTTGCTAGAATCACATAGAATTCTAGCTGAAGTCCTTAGAAAAAGACTTATGTAAGGAAATTGTAGCCATGTCATGTAAAATTAGAGGTAAATGAATAAAAACATCAAACCAAATTTTTTTCTTATAAGAATTAGATATAAATAGTTTAACATTTATTGAAAGTCTAAAGTGTCACTATTATGTACAATTATATATAGATGTTGCTTAGTATTCACATTAGCTGCTTATGTTTACTCTGTGGCATAGATACTCATTTTCTAGATAATAGAAGTAAGTTTGAAAAACACTCCTCGAAAGGTAGCCTTACTGATCAGGTATATCTGTTGCAAAGCTAAAAAAAATAAGTATGACTATATCCTTCATTTAAAATAACTGTCTATGCTTGACCAAAAAAATGGTTATCTACTGGCTTTTTCCCACACTTAATTTTAAAATGAATTATTTTAAATAGAAGTGAGATGTGAGAACGCAGTTTTCTAAGTTTCTATTGGATTTGTCATACAAATATTTGCAGAAGGGCAATTAACAACAACAGAAAATCAGTAGAGATCATGAAATTTTGGAAAATTTTATTTTTAACTTACAACCTTACCTATGGAAGCAACTACCAGACTACTAAACATTCATTTTTTCTTCACCTTTTGGGAATTTGTGATTTCTATTAAATATGAAAGATTTTGACTTTTTTCATATATATGTATAATACGTGTGTATATAATAGTATTTAATGATGATGGCCTAGTTATACAATTATAAAATTCATTTGAAAGCTTAAAATATAGATTTTACTATATTATATTTTTGATATATAATATTTGCTCACTGTGTTCAGTTAATAGTTTTTCACAGTTACTTGAGAAAATGATCACTCTTTATTCTCAAAAGTACTGTCTTCTGAATTTTTGTTTTGTTTCTTTCCAGAAGGTGGGTGCGGCTGCTATTTGGACGAGAGTTCCCCCTGCAGGACCTTCTGGTGGTCTGGGATGCCTTGTTTGCAGACGGCCTCAGCCTGGGTTTAGTAGATTATATCTTCGTAGCCATGTTACTTTACATCCGAGATGCTTGTAAGTATTAATGACCTTTCCTACATTTGACTAGGTACTCCTGATTTTCAAAAATGTTTTGCCTTTTAAATAGACTTTGTGTTTTATTATTTGATTTGCATGTACCTCAATTTTTGTAGTAGGGTAATATACTGAAATTTCAAAGGAATATACTAAACATCCCTTTTGTTGGTTAACTGTGTACACATTGGGAGATGTGAGTCATTTTATCCTGAGAGAATTAGAATATTCTTCAGAACCATTTTTCTAAAGACTTTACTCCTGCTTTAATCTCCTCATTACACACAGTTGTGAAATGCATATATAAAAGCAAGTATTTGAGATATGTTTAGAGCTCCACCTTCTGACAGGTAGGGAATATTCAAGGATGTTTATCAGGAGATTGGAATTATTTTTATAATATCAACACCTTGCTAATTAAAAAAACAAATACATTTAAAGGTATTTTAACTTTCTTCCAGTTATATTTTAGAAAAATACATTTCTCAGTACAGTGCTGAATGGTAGACGTGTTCCCATCTCCTCAGATGTATGTTATGGTGTCTGTAATAACCGGAAAGCCAGTGTCTAGCCCTTTCGAATAGTCTGATAGTTCTTAGCTTGAAGAAAATATCGGTGTGTATTTTAAATTTCAAAATACTTCAAAATTGTTTTCTGTCTCAGAGAAGTAATCAAAAGTTCACACAATAGAACTTGTTAGCCAAAATATAATTAGGAAAAAGTGCACAAAATTATGTGATTGAATTAGGAAATAGGTAGCTAACATAAAGTAAGACTTTGTCAGAAGAACATACACTTTTTAGAATCATTTATAATTGCGACTGTTAAATTGTTATGTTGTTCTCTTTATTTGTTCATTGAATACCAGTTGTGCCAGATGCTCTTGTTATGCCTCTAGTAACACTAATTTTCTTTAAAATTTTAGATTATACTTTTTTAATTTCCCAAAATTACTTAAATAAGTGACAGGAGCACCACATTTTATCCAAAAAATGTAGATTTTGTTCTGTGCCTCGAAGGTCAAATAGTTTAGGTTTTCTCAAAGTGAAAGTTTCTTCCTTCTGAGCCAGATCTAATCATTTAAGAACATGGAAGTCGTAAGAGGAAACATCAGGAAAGTAGAGAAAGATATTTGAGTAGATTTGATGGATACTGGATTTTATGATATTCAATACTAACCTCTAAGTTGTATTTTTTAATATAAATAATAATAAAAGGAATGAGAAACCTCTTCTAGAAAAAAGAATGCTTTGGATAATATTTATGCAAAATTTTCCAAATCAAACAACTGCTGAAAAGTATTATGATTTTCTGTAATTGTAAACAGTTTACAATTTGCTCTTTTTTGACTTTGGCACATTACCACTATATATTTTTAATTTAATCATCCTGTCTCCTATTCTAAGACCTACTTTTATCATTTTATAAAACATGGCAAATTTTTTGGCACCTGAAGTCCTTACACATTTTTCATCTTTTCACTGATGACTTTATAAAATGTAGAAAAATACAGAAGTAATGAAGTGATTTATTTATTTCAATATTTAACCCAACTTATTTTAATTTTGTTATTTAAGTCTGTAACAGTGGATGAGATCTCCTAAAAATAGAATGAATATTTGTCAGGTATTTACAGATCACTGCTCCTGTCCTCAAGAAGTTTACCAACTAGTAGGGAAGACTGACATAAATGATTTCAAATGAACATATTTGGTACTATAGTTGGGATGTGGACAGGTAGTGTGGAAACTTAAGGAGAGGCACCTAGCTCCCCTCTGGGCTGCTGTGAGTCAATAGAGAAAATTGTGCAGGTGTTGGCAAGCCAAATAAGAGGATCTGCATACAAGACAGAAGGAACAGCATGAACAAAGGCCTGGAAGTGAAAAGCAGCTTATTAGGGATGTATATATTAATGTGTTTCTATAAGCTGTTTGGTATTATTAGAGTACAAAGGGAGAGAGACTAGCCGCAGGTTATGAGACTAAAGAAAGAAACAGGAGGGTCATGATGACAGTCTTCCTATGGTAAGTGATAGGGAGCTATTGAAATGTCCAAAGCAGAAATGTGATCACTTGTAGATCACTTTAGCAGCAATGGGGAAGATGAAATCGAAGGAGAGAAGAGCAAGGACATCAGTTAACAGTTGTGATGGTAGTTCAGGAGAAAAACAGTGGATCAGAGAACTATTCAGAGGTAAAGGTAGCAAGATTTAGTGATTAAATATGATAGGAGAGGGAGAATGGGAAATCTAGAAGAATCTCCAGCTTGGAGGTATGAGTGACTGGGAAATATTTATAACTTGATAGAAAATACAAGGATTAAGAAGTTTTAGGAATGTTAATAATTAACTGGGCTTGACTTTGCTGAGTTTTGAGATATTTATAAGAAATTGTAACCTAAAGATTTGAAAAATAAAGTTAAATGTCAGTGTCAAGGCTACAGATTTAATTTTGCAAATGATTGACAGGTGTTTGTTAAAACCATCACCACAGATGCCACCTGCAAAGAATAGGGTGACTATATATCAAAGTTTGTTTGGGATAGTCTTGGTTTACACCTGCTATCCCAGAATAGTAATTATTTGTCCTTTTTCACTCTTGAAGACATCACATTAGGATCATAAAAATTATATGGTCCTATTACCTAAGGTGGGTACATATGGAAAGAGAACATGGGCAAAGGTGAAACTGGGTTTAACATAAGCATTTCAGAGGCACCAGAGGAGAAGAAGCCAAGGAAGAGCTTAGTTTGTGTTGTAACCCCAGAGAACTGTCTGAGCCAAGCAGAGAAAAGAAGGTCAAGAGTGCCCAGGAATAGTAACACAAGGCGAGAAAAGTCCACTCACTTTGGGAACTGTGGAGGGACAGTCATTGGATACCTTTGCCAGGGTGGATTCAATGGACTGGTTGAGCAGAAGCTGGATTATGGTGGGTTGAAGAGTGAATAGACAGTTAAGAAGTACAGTAGTCTTTTCTTCAGCTTTTTGTTGTTGGTTTTCTTTGTTTGTTTGTTTTTAATATATGCATTACTTTTTCAACTGAAAAGATAACTAAATAAAAACAAAGAATATGGAGATAGCAGATATAGAGTGATCTTTGAGTTAAGGAAGAAGAACGATGTAGCTAGAGGACAGTGCAGGGGCAAGGAAGATTGGATGGCTGTCGTTAGACATTGGAGGCAGGGCAGAACTGATAGAGAGGTTTACTTCTCAAACCAGTCTGAGTTCCTACTTCAAGAATCAGCACTAGTTTTCCCCACCCTGTTCCATGAATTAGATCTATGAAAAAGCCAAGCATGGTGGCTCGAAACTGTAATCCCAGCATTTTGGGAAGGCAAGGCAGGAGAATTGCTTGAGCCTAGGAGTTTGAGACCAGTCTGAGACACGTGGTGAAACCCCATCTCTACAAAAAATAAAATTTGGCCGGGTATAGTGGCTTGTGCCTGTAGTCCTAGCTACTCACGAGGCTGAGGTGGGAGAATCATTTTAGTCCAGGAGGTCAAGGCTGCAGTGAGCCGTGATTGCGCCTCTGCACTCCAGAGTGTGGGTGACAGAGCAAGACCCTGTCTAAACAAAAAAAAGATCTATGAAAAGAGAAAATATCTTCTTTGTTTTGAAGCTTTCACTTGTTTATTGTCTGTTCTTCACACCCCACCCCTAATCCCTGTTCCCCAGTGAGAGACAGGATTTTGTCTGTCTTGGTTTCCCTCCCATATACCAGCATCTAGAATTGGGCCCAGGGCATAGTAAACCTCCAGAAAAATATTTTTTGAGTAAAATGATTGAGGAAATAAGGGCCCAGAGGCAATAGAAAAGAACTGGGTCTGGAGTCCTGTGGAAGACTGGCTGTGGAACAGGAATGAAAAGCTGGTGCTGATGCAGGAAGAAAGCACTAGGCTGCTTTCACAAGTAATCCAGTTCATAAGTGGAGAAGACAGAGAATGGAGGAATTCCATATCTGATAAAGGAGGAAACAAGGTTATCCACTGTGAGTGAGGCAGAGTAGGGTTAGTGGTTTGTGGGAAATGACTTGGAGATGTGATAAAGATAGCTAATTAAGAGCCAAGAAAAAACCATGTGTAGCTGTTGAAGATCCTACAGAGACAAACACTGGGAAGTGGTACCTGGCCTCAAAAAAAAAAAAAAAAAAAAAAAAAAAAGAGGTAGATTGTGATCCAGGCTTCCAAATGAATTAGGCAGGACTAAAGGGAGATAGGAGGGTAGAGGGTGTTGAGTGTTTTTTAAAATAGTGGTTTAAGATGTATAAAGAGGGAAGCACAGCCAGGAAAAGATTAGGGAAAATTGAATATATCAAAGAATTGGGTGAGGTAGAGCATGAGAAAGCTAAATGCATACAAAGTTGTGGTCCGACATAAAGCAGTTCTAGATCTGCTTGGTATGGTTGGAGTACGTGAAGGGGAATTTAAGTCTCTTGAAGACCAAGGGATTGTGAGGAAACTGGGGTTTTACTTTAGTTCTCCATGGACACTTCACCAAGGATCCTAATAGGAAAAGGCGTAGAAGGAAATGTAATGAGCCTGGCACCATAGCCTCAAATAAATGAAAAAGAGTGACCAAGAAAACAGCTTTTATTGAACCAGTCAATTATTCAGAGTCAACCATTCAACCAGTGTTTACCAGTATATGGTACATAGATGATAGTGATGCAGGGACATGATTGATGCATAGAGGCATGGCATTAACTTCAAAGGAAGAAGTTTTATGAAATGATAGGAAGCAATAGTTTGGAAGAATCAAAGAGCAAGGTGGTCCTCCACCTCACATCTGGAGGTTGCAGAGGCAGCAGTGACTCTGAGAGGGTGAGGCTTAGAGGGAAAGACATTGTTCCCTAGAGAAAAGGATTGAGATAGAGGGGAGCAGCAGAAAGAAAAGGGATAGAGAACCAGATTGGACAGAGTTGCATGGGAGGTCAGGACTAATTAGATGAGCTTATATTTTTGGCCATGGTCAAGAACTGAGAGGAAGGTGGGCAATTTGCCAGCCCCAGCTTTCCAAATAAATCACTGGTGTCAAGTTTTTATTTCATGCCAGTGGATTCTGACTCATAATGTCTTGCTAGGGCTTCCAAAGTGGGGATGTTCAGTTACACTTAGTAGTTTAAATCTCATTCATTCAATAAATCTTAAGTGAACACCACTGTACCAGGCTCTGAGCATTACATATGTTCTTTTGGAGCTACTTTTGTAGGATGCTCAGAGGATGTTTCATCTGAGGGAAACTAAAAGAGCCTTCCTTCCGTGATGACATGCCTTCCTTGGGGTGCATGTCTTCTAGGGATTCAGTGGATGGGGATCAAAGGGTCTATGATCATCCTGATAGTGTGCAAAATATTGTGTAGGTATGCCTTTCTCTGGGTCAAATGTCTATAGTTTTCATCAGTTTCTCAAAGGAACACATCCCCCAAAAATAGATAAGATTCACTGCATCTAGTCCAAAATTCTGATTTTGTAGGTACAGATAATAAGGCCCATTATGGGCTGAATTGTATCCCCCCCCTCAACAAAAGATATATTGAAGTCCTAACTTCTAGTACCTGAGAACGTGACCTAATTTGGGAATAGATTGTTGCAAATGTAATTAGTTAAGATGAGGTCATACTAATCCAATATGACTGGTGTCCTCATAAGAAGAAGGAAATTTGGCAAGAGACATGCACAGAGGGAAGACAATGTGAAGGTATATACAGGGAGAAGAAAGCCGTGTGAAGACAGCCAGAAGCAGAGGTTGGAGTGATATTATCTACAAGGCAAGGAATGACAAGGATTTTCAGCCATTACCAGAAGCTAGGAGAGAAATAGGAAACAAATTTTTCCTCTTCAGAAGAAACATGCTGCTAACACCAGAAGCAGGAGAGGCAAGGAGGATTCTCCCCTACAAGTTTCAGAGGGAACATGGTCCTACCAAAACTTTGATTTTGGACTTCTAGCTTTCAGAATTGTGAAACAGTAAATTTCTGTTATTTTAAGCCACCCAGTGTTTGTTACTTTGCTGAATTATATGGATTAAAATTATATACAGAAAGAAACATTGAGCAATAAAGAAATAATGTGAGAGTAATCGTAAACCATTACTCCTGTAATAGTTTATGAATGGTGATACCCCCACCACACTATTTTTTAACTGACTTATTTCATATTGTAAGTCACTCTTGTGATTCCTTGCTTCCCCTGGCTCCACCTACCTAAATCTTACTCCTATTTTCAGGCCTAGGGCAAGGTAGCCTTTTTCCCAAATCTTTTCCTATTATTCTAGCTCTCATTGATTTCACACTTTGCAATCCTATAAGATCATCATCAATACCACTAACTAAGTGCTACATTAGTCATACTCTATTTTACATTTTTCCGTAGTTATTGTGGGTGTTGGTCCTATCTCCTCAACTAGATTGTGAGCTTCCTTGGTACCAGAACCACATTACAATTCTTTCATATCTCTAAAAGCATCTGAAGCTCTTCATGTGCTCAGTTAATATAGTACTTGGGGTAATGCCAGGCCAGAACGTACCATAGAGACCTTGGAGGGGTGGATTTGTGTGCTGTGATTACTAAGAAGACAAGTGCTAGTCTCATTCTTAGAACAACACAAATAAATAATGATTCTTTGAAAATATACTTTCAGCATAGCTTCTTCAAAGAAAGCATGGCCTACTTTTAAAACTAGCTGAAATTTTCACATCTATTTTTTGTTCATTTTATTTTGTTTTTGACTAGTATCAAAAAACATGGTCTCTATTTTAAACATAACATACCTTTTATTTGTCTTGTAAATTGCATTAATAGCTAAAACACTATAAAAAATTGTCTCTATTTTAAACATAACATACCTTTTATTTGTCTTGTAAATTGCATTAATAGCTAAAACACTATAAATTTATTTATAGATTTTCCTTTTTTTTTTTTTTTCTGAGACGGAGTTTTACTCTTGTTACACAGACTGAGTGCAGTGGTGCCATCTGGCTCACTGCAATTCCACCTCCCGGGTTCAAGTGATTCTCCTGCCTCAGCCTCCCAAGTAGCTGGATTACAGGAGCATGCCACCACGCCCAGCTAATTTTTGTATGTTTAGTAGAGACGGGGTTTCACCATGTTGGCTAGGCTTGTCTCGAACTCCTGACCTCAGGTCATCTGCCCACCTCAGCCTCCCGAAGTGCTGGGATTACAGGCATGAGCCACCACGCCGGGCCTAGATTTTCTTAAAAAGAAAGTATTTCTCAAATATTTATTGCCTTTTTAAATGTACTTTCTCTTTGAACACCATAAATGGAAAAGTTTCCTTCTTGGCACTTCTACCCACTTCCTGCCTTGTTTTTTCAGCCAGCGTAAGCATGTTACAATACTCTACTATAATTTTCCTCTGTTTTTGATAGGGATTTCTTTAGCCTTTCCTGGCCTGGCATGGCATGGCAGTTGTGGCCTCTTTGTGATTTCAAATATTACTCCTTTTGATTTCATTTTAGATCTCTACTTATTCTTCAGCCACTGTCTGTCTGCCAGTATTTCCCTCTGTCCTAACCCAGAATTTCTATTTCTCTATTTTCTAGTTAACAGCATGTTCAATGTCATATTGATGTCAAAATGCATTTATTTCAACTACAAATTGTATTTATTTGTCTTTTCTGGAAAAGCATTGCTTAACAGTGATTACAAATTTTAAATATGGTAATGTCACAAAGTTTTATCAAAGCACAAATTGATAGTCTTATTTTTGAAGGAATGTTTAAGCACTTCCTGACTACTAGGTCTCTTCCTTCTGAGACATAAAATGGTGTCAGTTGTTTTTATGATTATATCAGATATTTATATTAATGTACCCTGTTACAAACACCGTTTATACTACTTTATATCTTAGTTTAACAGTCTCCTCATGTTTCACTAACAAAGGCTGATATACCATAGTAGCACATTGTCTGTTATTTTGGGTTTCTTTTTTAATGTTTCCTTTTTTAAAAAAATTGAATTATTGAATTGGATTTTAAGAAAGGTTCTAGGTTCAGCACAAAACTAAGTGGAAAATACAGTTTGCATATACCCACTCCCCCAGATACCCATATTCTCCCCCACTATCACCATCCCACATCAGAATGATACTTTTTTTTTTTTTTTTTTTTTTTTTTTGAGACGGAGTCTCGCTCTGTCGTCCAGGCTGGAGTGCAGTGGCACAATCTCGGCTCACTGCAAGCTCCGCCTCCCGGGTTCACGCCATTCTCCTGCCTCAGCCTCCTGAATAGCTGGGACTACAGGCGCCCGCCACCACATCCAGCTAATTTTTTTGTATTTTTAGTAGAGACGGGGTTTCACCATGTTAGCCAGGATGGTCTCCATCTCCTGACCTTGTGATCCGCCCATCTCGCCCTCTCAAAGTGCTGGGATTACAGGCGTGAGCCACCGCACCCGGCCAGAATGACACATTTTTTACACTTGATAAACCTGCATTGATACAGCATTATTGCCCAAAGTTCATAGTTTTACATTAGGGTTCACTCTTGTGTGTTTGGACCAATGTATAATGACATGTATCCATCATTATAGTATCATACATACAGCAGTCCCTCCTTATCTGCAGTTTAAGTTTCCACAATTTCAGTTATCTGATACCAACCAAGATTCAAAAATATTAAATGGAAAATTCCAAAAATAAAAAAACCTCCTAAGTTTTAAATTGTATCCCATTCTGAGTAGCATGATGAAATCTGTAGCCACCCCACTCTGTTCTGCCCTGGACATGAATCTTCCCTTGTCCAGCATATCCACACCACATAAGCTGCCTGCCCATTTAGCCACTTAATAGCAATCTTGATTATCAAAGCAACTGTTGTTGGTATCACAGTGCTTGTGTTCAAGTAACCCTTGTTTTACTTAAAGCCCTAAAGCTCAAGAGTAGCGATGCTGGCATATTTTTATGATTGTTCTATTTTATTATTAGGTATTGTTGCTAATCTTTTACCATAATTTATAAATTGCCTAACTTATAAATTAAACTTTTATCATAGGTATGTATGTATAGAAAAAAGCATAGTACGTATAGGGCTGAATACTATTTGAGGTTTCAGGTATCCACTGGGGGTCTCAGAACACATCCTAAAAATCCTCTGTGTTCTGCCTATTCATCCCCTGTCTCCCTCTAATTCCTGGAAACTACTGATCTTTTTACTGTCACAATGTCATATAGTCAGATGAATGAAGTCTGTATCCTTTTCAGATTGGCTTTTTTTCCTTAGCAATATGCAGTTAAGTTTCCTCTTGAGTCTTTTCATGGCTTGATGGCACATTTATTTTTAATGCTGACTAATATTCCATTTTCTAGATACAATACAGATTGTTTATTAATTCACCTACTGAAGGACATCTTGGTGACTCCCTCATATACAAGTAAGACCTCCACCCACTTTCTCCTTCCATACATCCCATTTCTCCTTATCACCCCTGCCATAGGAGCCACTCAGTGTCTGCCTTTGTTTGCTTCCACATATTGTTGGCCGACACCTCACTGACCCTAAAGTCTTCCATTTTAGCAATTATCACAGCCCTTAGTATGTATCATTATTATCAGCCCTACCCTAGGTTGCAGTTAATTTTATGTTTCTCTTCCACTGGAATGTGAGAGAAAGTTGAGATTTTAAAAATTCTTTTCATGTCTTTAGAACTTAACTCAGCATTTTAAATAAAACAGGTGTTTAGTATAAATATTAAATGAATGAATACAGTCCAACACAAAAAAAAGATATTGTCAGCACTTCTTAAATACCTTGTGTACTTCAGCCATTTTTACTGACAATGTATATTTCTGATTAAGGCACTAAAAATCACAAAACACAATGAAATAAAGTGTATGTATGTCTATTTTCAGATATAACTAATTCCCAACCTATGGTTTTCCTTCATTTCAATTTAAAATTAAGAGAGTCAAATGTATGAATCAGGCTTACTGATTATTTTCTAAATCTTAATCCCCACCAATTTTTTCAGGCTTCATTTCCATGACATTTTACAGATGCGGAGGTAGAACTTGGGCTTTGATTCTGAGTACTTACCTTTAATTACTACAATAGTGTTCACAGTTTGCATTAAAAGACTTTGTTTTGGCGAGGTGTAGTGGCTCATCATGCCTGTAATCCCAGCACTTTGGGAGGCCAAGGCAGCAGGATCACTGGAGCCCAGGAGTTCAAGACCAGCCTGGGCAACGTAGTGGGACCCCCGTCTCAATTAAAAAAAAAAAAAAAAGAATTAGCCAGGCATGATGGCACACGCCTATAGTCCCAGCCACTAGGAAGGCTGAGGTGGGAGGATCACTTAAGCCCAGGAGGTCAAGGCTTCATTGAGTTGTGATCATGCTACTGGACTATAGCCTGGGTTGACAAGAATGAGATGTGTCTCCAAAAAAGAAATTTTTTTTTTTTTTTTTAGGAGTCTCGCTCTGTCACCCAGGCTGGAGTGCGGTGGTGTGATCTGGGCTCACTGCAACCTCCACTTCCCGGGTCCAAGTGATTCTCCTGCGTCAGCCTCCCGAGTAGCTGGGATTACAGGCGCCCACCACCATGCCCAGCTCTTTTTTTGTATTTTTAGTAGAGACAGGATTTTACCGTGTTAGCCAGGATGGTCTCAATCTCCTGACCTCATGATCCGCCCACCTTGGCCTTCCAAAGTTCTGGGATTACAGGCGTGAGCCACCACGCCTAGCCAAGAAAATTGTTTTTACGCTATATCATCTCATTTGATTTCCTCAGTCGATAAGGAGTTAGAGAAGGTGGAGAAAACAGAAGCCTGTGCACTTAATTGATATCCTTCAAAGTTCATAGTACAAACGGCATTCCTGGAGCTAACATGCCGTCATTCTGACTTTTCTGATACAGTGATCTTTCTCTGCTCACACACTAGCCACTGGCAATTCTGCACTTTTATACTTGCTTACTTACTGCCTTCCAGTTGGCAGCACTATTTATTTAAACATAGAAATTACTGAGTAAAGATCTCTTATGTTATTGCTTGATCTCTTATTAAATGAGATTCTGTTTAAAGTGTATTAAGTGGGAAAAGTAACAATTGTTTAAATCTTTTTCCAAGCCCAAACAGTGAACTACTCTGAATTTGAGATTGTCCTCTTTCCTAAAAGTGAAATTAAAAGTCTTATATTATTCTGCACAAAATCTGCTAGAATAATAAGGACTTACCAAAGAGTATCCAAGTGTTTACATAAGAGTATGTGTTGGTCTTAGGTTTCAAGGATGGTTGTTGTAGTGATTGAATGGTGCTCAAAGAGGCAGTTGTCACAAAGCCAACTGAGGAAGAAAACCCAGAAAGACAAAATCTTACAAGGGTTTTAAACACTAGACTTAAACCACTTTTTGTGGGGGATATGACTGTGTTTTATTTTTGGCTTTCTCCAAAACTGAAGAGAGTAAAATTTTGTTGTTTCTATTTATGTTTTGTACCCCAGCCTCCCACTGACCACTTGTTTTCTGGTCCATTGGCAATCACATTTTGTTTCTTGCCATTTGTACTTAGGAAAGTC
This sequence comes from Homo sapiens, assembly GCF_000001405.40. Lineage (NCBI taxonomy): Eukaryota > Metazoa > Chordata > Mammalia > Primates > Hominidae > Homo > Homo sapiens. Next base: position 17,296,464 of record NC_000003.12, on the reverse strand, counting down.
AAAATAGTAAGGGCCTTTAAATAAAGGTGAAGATGCTGCAGGCAGTAATTATGTGTTTTTTCCTGCATGTAGTAGGCTCTCAACAAATATTTTTTTCAGAGAGCATTACATTTATTGAATGTTTTCTCTATGCCAGGTGTCTGGCAAGGCACTTTCATTGCACATTGGCTTTGTTTTCAGTCAAGTACAATTAACTATGAGAAAAACTTTTTCCTTTTTTAAAAGAAAGAAGGTTTTCTTTTTTGTTAGCTCATTTTATTTTATACTTAATCCATGATTATTTGTTTTTATATGCCTTTTTATAGCTTTTTAGAAACAAGAATTTATGCCTATTTCTAAATATTTGCTATTCTTGGCCTTTGACACTGAGGACTTTTTTCAGTTTGTACCGATACCCCTGTCATGAACTTGCTAAGAATGTAGGAAAGTATAAGACACAGTGGTGTGTGAGGCTTTCAGTCTACACAGACCCAGGTTCAGCCCTGTCTTTGCCCTTCAGGATCTCTGTGGCCTTGGCTGTGCTGTTACCTACTCTGCACTATCTCAGCTATAATAGAGAGTCAATGATAATGCTTTCCTTAGGGGGAATTAGGAGGACTCATGAGACCTTTATAAAATGTATGACTAGTTTTCAGGCATATTATAGGTACTTGATAAGTGATATTTTTGGGGAGTCGGGCAAGAAATTAAAGAAAGTCTGTATAGAGTTTCGTGTTTTGTGGTAGTTTTCATTCTGTTTTATTATGCTGAGAAAGAAAGTATATCTCAATATGAACTTAAATAATTTGAAAAAGTATTGCATGTATTTACAAACATTACAATTGTAAGTGTGGTTAGTTTTGAATTATGTGTAAGTTATTGATCCACATTGCTTTAAACTTTCTCAAAACAGTTACTTTTTCTGCATATCATTACTGATTTCACTTTTGGTTTGTTTGTACCTGCTGGAGAAAGTAAACCATCTCTTCAGACCACTCCAGAATAGTTGTGGGGCACATAAAGGTTCAGACAGAGAAGTCAGCTCTGCCTCATATGGAGGTAATGCTATTCATCAAGGATGAATTGAGCAAGATGGGGAAATGTACCATATAGCAGCTGGCCCACTCTTACAGAAACCCTGTAGATAGAGTAAGCAGGATTGTCTCTATTTTATAAATGGGAGGAATAAAGTTTCAGTGAAGTTGGGCAGCTTGCCTAAATTCACCATATTATAAGTGACTAGGCCAGTGATCTAATCTAGTTCTCATTCCAAATCCATTATCTTTTCTTAGGTACTACTTACCTTTGCTTTTACCTTCCCTAAATCAACTCTTTAGAATGTGCCTTCACTATTTTGTTTTTAAAGCATAAACATACTTCATTTTACATGTAGGTAGATAACAAAACTCAATAATTTTTCTTAATCTTTCACTTCTTACTTCATGTCTCTGCCCTGCTTTGATAGAATAAATATTGGGAAAAGAACACTATTACAGATTAGTTTTTCATGTTCAAAAAAAGTTTACTGTGAAGTTCAAAACTAAATTCTTATTGTGTCAGATCCTTACTAGTTTGTTTTTAAATCAGCTTGTGTAATTCTTTTCTACCTACTTTAAACTGGCTGTAGTTATTCAAAAGGAGATTTAATACTTAGCATATCTAATTGCAAATTAAGGGTATTTCTAAAAGTGTGGATTTTCATTAGCAAATTAGAGATACCATTATCTGAAAGCAGTGAACTTATTTGCTGTTATATTCCTAGTGCAGGTGCCTAGCATAGTCTCTGGATATCTGGCATTTAGTAGATGCTCAGGAAATGCTCATTGCATGCAGTGACTGGATGGATGGATAGAAAGATGAAAGAATGTTAGCTTCCTCATTTGTTTTGCAAGTAGAATATTAATACATTATTTGGCTTCCCTTATATATTTTATAGCTTCTGATAGCTTCAATAGTTTTAACAAGTTATGAAAACAGGATTATTGTTCTGGTCTCTATCTATCTATATGTTTATATCTAAATCAGTCTGTTCTACAGGAGTTCAAGACCAGCCTGGCAACATAGCAAGAGCTTGTCTCTTCAAAAAACTTAAAAATTAGCCAGGCATGGCAGTATGCTTCTCTAGTCCGTAATAGCTACTCCAGAGGCTGGGGCAGGAGGATTGCATGAGCCCAGGAGTTTCAGACTGCAGTGAGCTGTGATCATGCCACTGCACTCTAGCCTGGGTGACAGAGCAAGACCCTGTCTCTGAAAACACATAGTAAATAAATAAATAAATAAATAAATAAATGATTAGTCAATCAATCAAGCTTTTCTGGAGATTGGTTTATGCTGATCTTCTAGTATACTTAAAACTGCTTCACTAGAGTAGTAGTAATACTTTACAATATGCATCCATTATGTCTCTTGATTTTCAAAACAATGGCCTTTCAAAACAAATGTCTTGTAATAGAGTACAGACTCTGCAGCTAGACTTTTGGGTTTCCAATCTTGCCCCTCTAGGGAATCACTGGTAACTTGTACAAGTGACTTAACTTCTCCAAGTATCAATTATTGCATCTGTAAAACAAAGATAATAATTGTACCTTTATAAGAATGTCATAGAAATTAATTGAGATAATGTAGGTAAAGTTCTTAGCATGTGGCCTGGCTACAGAAAGCTTTAATAATTCACTGTTATCTTAGTTATATTAGTAGTAATAGCTGCTTGATATTACACATCTGCCCTTCTGGGCTGTAATTTTCTCCAGAGTAAGGACTCAGTTTTGTTTATCTCTACGTGCTCCCCTAGCATAGGGCCTGTCATGAATGAGGTACTCTGAATAATTATTGGATTGAATAAAGCAGTCAAATAAATTTTTTCAATCAAAAAGTTGTTTTCCCAGTGACTAAACTTAAGCTCACAGAGGTTACCTGAACTGGTTTTAAACAGCTGCTATTAATCAGTCTCATAGATTATATCATTTAATCTTTAGGCAACTTGATGAAAGGTTCAAATAAAGCCCCAGGATTCAAACCTACATCTGTGAGTCATGAGATCAAAACTTTTCCACAAAATTTTCCTGCCTCTTTACAAAATATATAAGAATTCTTTCTTGGTCAATTACTAATAGATAATTACTTTTTGAGTTATAAGGTGAATTGATTAAGTCTTAATTACTTGCTAGATCTCAAAGAAATCTGTACATAAAACCATTATACTGTTCTCAGTATCTTAGCTTTTTGAATTTCTGGAGAAAAAAAGGACAGCAGGTAACTGAAGGTAAATATGAAAACATGAACAAATGAGAGTCTGAACAGACACAGAAAGGGTAGGATAAGTGAGTGCTTTACAAATGAAAGCAGATGTATGAAATTACAAGCTGTCATAGCAGCAATGAAAATGAAGATGATAAAGTGATTCCTTACATAGATTATAATTATTCATTTTGCCCAGTCCTGTCTCCTTTCCCCATAGTGCTTATAGGAGGGGGAGAAGTAGGAAGTTATAGCAAGAAATGGTATTCCAACAGCAGAAGAAAAAATAATCTAAAAATCAAAGATATTTCTAATTATAAATGTTTGGTTTTTGATTTGTGTTGTTTCTATTGAATCACAGTTGTTTTCTTATGGAACATTTTTCAAGTAACTGATTAGTGAAAAAACTTCACTTGCAACCACAGAAGTTAAAACTGTAAAGTTTCTTCACAGTCAGTGCTGTGGAGGCAGTCAGTGTGGTTCATAAAGCAAGCATTGTTAATGGGCCTGACTCTGACAGCAGTGGCAGATAAGATTGTCAAGAAGTAAAGTAGTCTACATAGACCTGCCTGAAAAGATGTGTTTAATAATTACACCCATAATTAGGTTGATTTGAAAAAAAAAATTAAATGACAGGCTACAGAACACATTTAGACTTAACCTATGACAATTATGACACTTTTCCTCCAAGAAATGCTGCTTAGGTATTCTCTCCCTAAATCTCTTGTTACCTTTAGAAAAACAAATAATTAGAAGAAATTCTACTTTTTTAAATTTTGAGTTACGTAATGTTTACCTATACAAAAGAAAATGTAACAAGTTGTAATGCATAATAAGGTAAATATTATTTCATGAAAATCTTAAACTGGTTCTTTTCCATTCATATGGCTTTTATTACTAATTTCTAAGTAGAAAAACAGGAGACATTTAAACATAGCCATATAAATGGCAATAAATATGCACGGTTCTGAGAATTTATGTTGCAGATGTACAAATATCTGTATGTGAAGTTCTTCTTTCCAGCACCCCCTGAGGTTAAGTGCTAATACATTAGATAGCAGTTAACAATACAATGTGTTCCTTCAAAGGCAATTTGGTAAAGATCCCTTCTTCCTACTCCCTTTTATCAAATCAGTTGAGTTATTGGTTTGCTTTCATTGACTCTTAAGTTGTTAGATTTTATATTCTCAGCAATGCAGAATATCTTAAATAGTATTGCATCTGAATTATTTTTTCTTCTTATTTAGTGATCTCTAGTAACTACCAGACCTGTCTCGGCCTTCTGATGCATTACCCATTCATCGGGGATGTACACTCACTGATTCTTAAGGCTCTGTTCCTTAGAGATCCAAAGGTAAGCTTCCCCAGTAGGGTATGCATAATTTTAAGTTGGGTGAAAAATAGGCTTCTCTGTGTAGAGTCTAAGAATTCCAAATGTGGAATTTGCCTAATGGTAGATGAATTGCCTAATGGTAGCATTTGCCTAAAGTTGTAGGCCAAAACCCATATACCTCATTGGCCAGCAACTCAACAGGCAAATTAGGTAGACCTTGCCATGAGAAACTGGAACACATGTCTCTTTTCCCACAGAAGGTTATTCTATGCTTTTCCCTTCCTCACAAGTCAAGGAAATAGTTGAGGAACTACCTCTCCTTACAGCCAAACTGTATTGTCATTGGTACCCCACACAGGGGTTGATTTATCCAAGTAGAACCTTGGGGGCCATATGAAGATCAAGAAAGTAGCTTTATACAAAGGACCAGTTCTATAAGACTGGATACAATGAAACACTAAATTATTTCATATTATGATATGTATTAATATTTCTTATTTGGGCGGTTAAGAGTAATCTAATAAAATAAAGATTTAAACAGACTTTAACACTGATTTCTCTATTTGAGCGTAAAGCAATTCACCAAAATTTTCTTTACACTTCAGAGAAAAAGTGTGCTCTTTTACAACTAATGTTATATTTCTTGAAAATAAGAACATTTAATGATCTAAAAAAATCTGTGAATCCTTGCTACTTTTGAGCCAAACAAAAATATTGGAAGAAGTATGAGAGAGAAAGCTTCAAACACGAATATCAGAATGCCAGGCATTGGATGGTAATCCCAGCCTTTGGCTCTTTGGCAACCCTCCCAACAGTCATGTTGGCAGTTGTCGAACTGTCTCTGAGTCAGTCAGTCTGTCTGTGGGTTCCATTGCCAAAGCTCTGTCTGATCAACTTGGGCCTCCAAGTTTAATGTAAATTTAGATTCTAAAGGATTTCTGTCCTTTCCTTGGTTGTTGACTTCAACCTTTTAGTATATCCTTTATTCTTTGATTGATTTAAAAGAATTCACTTCCTTATGCCTATATCTGTTCTGTAAATTTATGAACTTTCATATCATTTCTCTTACACAAAGCAGTTTCATTAAGCATCAGAAATATAATCCATTATTTCTCCGATGTATAAGGAAGCATACTTTTTTCTGGTAAGGCTTATGAATATGACTATGAAAATTGAAAGTTCCATATTTATATTTTATGTACATATGTATTTGTAAGTTGTATGACTATATACTCCCTACACCCCCAAAAAAACCCCACAAGATGACAAAATATCTGTCAAATAAGACTAACGAATGAGGTTACTGGTCAATGAGGTATGAGTTTTGATCTACAGACTTAGGGCAAATTCTATCAGCTTAGCATTAGGAATTTTTAGAATCATACAGAGTGAAAAACATTGCTAAAATAGCAATTTGAAATTTCTACTTGCATGATTTGTTTTAATTGAAGAAAGAAATGAATATGTTATCAAAACCTATCGATCTTGGTAATTTTTCCCTAGCTAAATATGGTTGATGTTTCTGTGAATCACTCACTCATCCAGCTTCAGAATTCTTTATTCTAAGTTCATCAGTGTTTATTAGTGGAACCTAAATGCCCTTTCATGTTAGTATGATTTTAATGGAGTACTTTTTATCTCAATAAAGTCGTGTACATATAATGAAGCAAATTCTATAAGCATTAAAATATAGATTCTTTAAGGTTTAAGAGAAAAAAATAATAGTGTATCCAAAAAAGGGAATTCCCCACCTTCACATTCAGAGTCTTACCAAGTAAAAACATGATCAGTACAATGACCTTAAACTGATATTCCTGGGACATAATAAATTGGGCATGATGAGGGAGTCATATTTAAAAGGCTCAGTAGAATAAGTTCATGGAATGATGATATCTATAGGAAAAGTAAAGAAAGCTGTGTAGCCTTTGAAAAGGGGCTTTCAGATGGCTAACCCTGCAAAATGGTAGATATAGTTAAGTGTATATGTGGCTGACTCATTAACATCATTTTACAGATTTTAAGTAGTAACTAAAGTCACTTGACACGTGTGTTAATATGGGCCTGTGGCAGTGTAGTGTTCCGTAAGGAACCTGAGTTAGGAATTGGGACCTTGGGTCAAACCTTGGCTCTGCCACCAACATCTTCATTATTTTGGAAAAATCATGCTTGCTGAGCCTTGGGCTTCTCTTTTGTAATATTTGGAGGTTGAATTAAATTGTCTCTGATGACCTGTGTAAGCAGAACATCCTTTGTCTTTGAAGAACTGACTTTTTTTTTTTTTTTGAGATGGAGTCTCGCACTGTCACCAGGCTGGAGTGCAGAGGTGTGGTCTCGGCTCACTGCAACCTCCGCCTCCCAGGTTCAAGCGATTCTCCTGCCTCACCCTCCTGAGTAGCTGGGACTACAGGTGTCCACCATCACACCCGGCTAATTTTTGTATTTTTAGTAGATATGGGGTTTCACTATGTTGGCCAGGATGGTCAAGAACTGACTTTGAATTGACGCAGGATCTCTCTCAGTCACTCTGCCAGCTGGGGACCTCCACAGAAGGCAACATTCCCACCCAGGGCCTCACTCAGCCCTGGGCCTGCCGCAGGAGGCACTACATCCACTCGGCCCGCCATACCATGCCTGGTTTGCACACCAGCCCGGATCCTGTGGCTGCTGTGACTGTGTGCTCAGCTGCCAATGGGAGGGGGTGCATGGGCAAGCGAGTGCAGGGTCTGGCCAGCTGTTCTGAGTGCCAGCACAGACGCAGACTCCATGCGGGGCTTGCAGCTGGACCAGGTGTGTTGCAAGCCACTCCCATGGTAGACTCTGGCATCCAGATAAGGGGAACACAGTGGTGCCCAGGCAGGGGTGCCCACAACCCCGAAGCCCCAGAGGGGATGTTACAGCATGCTGATGAGCTCATTTAGTCCTGTTGTCCGCAACCCAGTGGACTGCAGCGTGTTAACAGCTCTGTCAGTCCCTTGCCTCACTCTGGCTCATGGCTCCGGGGCTGGTTCGGCCTTGCTGCTGCTTCCCATCACAAGGGGTCGCAACCCTCTGCCAGCGGAGGGTAGAGGACCACAGTTGTTACAGCCTTTGGTGTACCCATGTTCAGTGGATCCCTACTTCTGGTCCTGCATCCAAGAACAAGATCATGCTGACAATTGAAGGGTGAGGAGGGTGGAGAAATATCTTATTGAGTGATGAAATAGCTCTCACTGGAGAGGGGATGCAAGGGTGGTCCTCTACCCGAAGTTGGGTGGTTTCTCTCCATGTGGCTAGGTCCGGAGCTTTTATGGGCTCAGAATGGGGAGTGTGTGCTGACTGGTTTGTGAGTATGCAAAAAATGGCTAAAACAAAGGCACCACTTAGAGGTGGGCACAACAGTGTAAAAAACCAATTAGGAAAGGTTAGGTGTATGTAAAATAGGTGAAGGGTGGGGATCAATCAGAAAAGCATGGCAAACAGGAAGACGGGTTTTCAAACCAGTCCATGGATTTACCCCGGGACTTGTAGCTAGGCTTTAAACTGTCTTTGGCTGGAAGGTCAGGTTTCATCAGGGACCCATCCCTGTCTACTTAGGATTCATCTGCTTTCTGCCACCATTACAATGAACTAACGAGGTCCAACCCAGTGCTGCAAAAGTAAAGTGAGAAAAACAGCAAGTTTATCTATTCTATAGAAATCCACAAGTGGACGGGGTTTTCAGTGTTGTTAATGTCAATTATAAAGTCATAAAAGAGGCTATTTATGCTAAGGGGGAAAAAAAGAGGGAAAGATGGTACTAGTACACCTGCCTATAGCCTCTAAAAATTCAGACATCATAGTGCTTTAAATGTTTTCTATTAATAGCAACAGTGAAACACTAAAAATACTGTAATCATTCCTGAATCACATAGATCAGAGTAAGTATATAAACATACAATTCTCAATGAAATTAACTAGTAGAAAGATGAGATTTGAGACATGAAAGCATTCTTTCCCATTTCCTAGTTTCATATGATAGTAGTGTTGAATGCTGCTAACAGGTTCAATAAAATCAAACAAGGAGCTCTGAGCCTTAGTAGGTTCATTGTAAACCTTCAGAAAAGCGCTTTATCCTACCATCATCCCTAAATTGCTCAGTGGAGAATACATTCTGCAAGTATAGCTTGAGACACAAGGTTCTAATTATTTTATATCAGAGATAGCCTTTACTGTGGAAAGATTTCTTATTTGAATAGATAGAAAAAAGTAGGCCTAAAAACTATAATAATAGGATCATACTCCTTCATAGTTTTCCAAGCACTCTGACATTAATCAACAACCCTATGAGGTAGGCAGAGCAGGTTATCTTTCCTCACTTTTTTCAGTAGGGAGGAGGTTAAGTTTATGTGGCTTTCCCAAGGTCAAAAAGCTTATAAGCTCCCAAGCTAGCTAGAGTGGCATCATGACTGTTCTATCTATTCATTCCCTCCTCGGATTCCTGGCGTCTGTTCTGCATTCCCCATGAAACAATTTTCAGGTTCAGATAGGACATGTCCTCCTTTGAGTTCCCACGGCACCTTGTATATATGCATGTGTGTTTTGTAAGTTATTACGCCTTAGGACTGGATCCTGCTCATTTTTTAGCACTCAGCTTTGTGTCCTGCATATCTTGGTATAAAGGAAATAATGATAGAATTGATTTCTGATTCAAGTGCCATGCCTCATTCCAGTTCACCACACTGACTCTAATCTAGTTGAACATCACTAATCGAGAATATTTCTGGAACCCATGTTCACATTCCACAAAAGCCACAGCCAGTGGTTTATTTTTCAGCTGCCATTTTTATCAAGATAGTTAATTAATTATACAACTTGAACTTAAAGAGCATCTAGTTCCTTAATTTGCTATATATCAGAATTATTTAAAATCCTGTTACTACTGTCATATATTATGGAATACAGAAGACATAGCAAAGAATCTAGTTAATTTACTTCCCTTAGGCTGTCAGAGTTTTAGAACTGCAAAGAACCTAGACAGTCTTATCCAGCTTCTCCTTTCATAGATGAAAAAGTGAGAACAAAGATAAAGCTTAGAGACTTATTCAAGGTCACAGAGCTTTTTAGTGGCAGACCAGCAATTGAACCCCCATCCTCAGACCACCTTTCCATGCAGGAGCTGTGGCTTTATTAGTTTTAAAAATAGTGGACCTCTACTTACATATTTCTCATAGAAATTCTTCATCTGTAATAAATGAAACTGCCATATATGTAAGTGGCCCAGGAACTAGTTGAAATTTTTGAAAATGTATGCCTTATGAAGACTGGATATCAAATATCTGTTTTTAGCATCCTATAGTCTGCACATGGTAAATACAACTTCTGTACTTAGCTCTTCAGACCACAGCCCTAATTTTCATTTTCTTGTCTTTATCATATTAGAACTACTAAGCAGATTTCCAAAAACAATCCATGAGATGAAGTTAGAGGGATAGAAGGAGGACAATCTGAAAAATATGAAGTGATTAAAAAACATTGTTCTAGCTAGTTGCTCACATTCAAAAAAAATGTTAAAACCCAATTAGAAACAAAAGTCATAGAAAATGTGAGCATATTGTGTTCCTTAAATAACCAGATGTTCTTTCCTTCCTGAAGGCAGTAAGGGCTAGGAAAAAAGGTTTAAAACTATTGTTTTAAGTTAACGGTGAATTTTGCAAATCTGTTTTTACCCTTTAGCAAATAAAATTCTAATACAGAAACATAAGCAAAGTAATTTTCATTTTTTGGTGTTCTCTTATTTGTGTTGTGTGTTGAAGTGTTAACCTTATCATAAAGACTTATTATAAATGAAATACAGTACATGTATTACCATTTTAGATTATGCAGTAAGAATTTGACGGCTACCATTTGTTTTGAAGACTAGAATATTTGGGAAAAAATATTTCTAGTAACTTGGCAAGCAGTCCTTTTAGCATTGACTGTTATTGTTTATGGAAGAAAATTTCTAGAAATAAGAATTTAATTTCATAGTCATTCTTGTACACAGAAACACACTATAAAAATATAATGTACAATGTACAATGCTTGGCCAGTTCTGATTTGGTTCTTGCTTGAGGTTATATTAAATTTTGTCTTTTTAAATTACAAAAAGTCTGAATTTCAAATTTCAAATTGTATATAGGTACTTTAATTTTTACTCATTTAATTCCAAGAAATCTCACTATACATACAACATTTTTGTCAATATCAAATAAATAACTTTGGTAAAATGTCACATCAAACTTGAAAAGTAGTGGATGGATCTAAGCCTGCTGCCAGTCAGGTGACAATTTTAGAAAATGTTCCTTTCCTTAATGCCATTGTAATCTTTTTCTTTCTGAGCAATAAAGAATCTAAAATCCGGCCGGGCGCGGTGGCTCACGCCTGTAATCCCAGCACTTTGGGAGGCCGAGGCGGGCGGATCACGAGGTCAGGAGATCGAGACCATCCTGGCTAACACGGTGAAACCCCGTCTCTACTAAAAATACAAAAAATTAGCCGGGCGTGGTAGCGGGCGCCTGTAGTCCCAGCTACTCGGGAGGCTGAGGCAGGAGAATGCCGTGAACCCGGGAGGCGGAGCTTGCAGTGAGCCGAGATCGCGCCACTGCACTCCAGCCTGGGCGACAGAGCGAGACTCCGTCTCAAAAAAAAAAAAAAAAAAAAAAAAAAAAAAGAATCTAAAATCCACGTATAGTGACTCTTTGAGGATGATGCACTATATCCATTTATTTACTTTTCATAATGCTTCCAGCAGACGGTCTATTCAGATTTTCTAGTATGTTACTAATCCAATTTTTTGTGATGATGTTATGTTACAGCAAGATTGTTTCCATTACTCCTATTTTCATCTTTTTTTTTTTTTACTCCCAAAACTGGGCATTTCTTAGAAAACTGCCATTCTTCAAATTATTTTTTTGTGTTTATTCTGTTTGTGACATAACAAAAGCTGTTTTTTCTTTGTTTCTGAGCTGTGTGACTAATATTTCCTTTTTCTTTTCTATCACTAGATCACAACCAATTGGATGTTTATTATAGTTGATATTTAGGTATTTAGTGACTAATTAGGTGTATTTTCACATCCAATCAGAAATAAAGACTTTTTGACATAGATTAGCATTTTCTAAAAAGTTAAGTTTTACTTCTGAGTAAATGCTGGCTCTAAAACAAAGATTTGTAAGGAATAATATGAAAATCTTTATTAAACCAGTATTTGAAATTTATTATTTATTGGTTTCAGACATTTCATAATAAGAATCATGTGTTTCTCAAAATACTTTAAGGTTTTCCTAGGGGCCTTAAATAATTTTGAGTTAGTTTTATAGTATTTTGAATTCATTAATTTAACCAGTCCTTATTGTGTATCTTCTGTGCACCAGGTACTGGTTAAATCATGGTGATATAATGGTATATAAAAAAAATACATATGGCTCTTACCATAATAAACAATTAAGCAAGAAAATACAGATTATGATGTGTTATAAAGGGCGCAAATAGGGTAATAATATGGCCAGGCGTGGTGGCTCACGCCTGTAATCCAGCATTTTGGAAGGCAGAGGCAGGCGGATCACTCGAAGTCAGGAGTTCGAGACAAGCCTGGCCAACGTGGCAAAACCCCATCTCTATTAAAAATACAAAAATTAGCCAGACATGGTGGCAGGGGCCTGTAATCTCAGCTACTTGGGAGGCTGAGGCATGAGAATCGCTTGAACTTGGAAGGTGGAGGTTGCAGTGAGCCAAGATTGCACCACTGCACTCCAGCCTGGGTGACAGACCAAGACTCTGTCTAAATTAAAAATACGTGTGTGTGTGTGTGTGTGTGTGTGTGTGTGTGTAAAATAATGAGTGAGGGTAGAATCTGGGCTGAGAGAAGACCTAATTTAGGTAGGTTGGTCAAAAAGCCCTTCTGAGGAGGTGCCATTTCAGGTGGCAGCTAATGGAGGAAAAGGAACCAGCCAGGCAAAGAATAGAGACGAGAACCTCCAGGAAGGGGAATAGCAAATGCAAAAGCTCGAAAGCAGAAAAGAGCTTAGGCTATTGGTGAAATTGAAAGACCAGTATCATTGGAGCCAGGACCAGGGGAACGTGCCTGAGAGTGGTTGATGAGCTAGGGAGGGCTTGCTATTAGTTTGTTCTTCCTATGCAGTCTTACCTGATGGATAAAAAGTAAACTCATTTTTAAGATCACAGTTTGAAATTTCAGAAAGATTACGGGATTCTCGGTGATTCTTGGCAATGATTAAGACATTTTCTTATTATAAACTACTTTTGCTCTTAGCCGGAAGTTCCAAGTAGTCTTAAATGAATTTCTCCCTTGGTAAGCACACTCACTCACACCTCTTGGCCGTCACATGGTCAGGCCAATAAGTTATTGTTTAAGAATACTGTGGCCACGACTCTGAATTCTTTTACTTTGATCTTTTAAGAAATAATCTTAGCTGCCTTCTGTATACCACCAGTCTCAGTCAGTTTTGCTTTCATTTATGTCAACATGCTCCTCTGTGTAGTTGAACCCAAGGGAACCAGACCATTCAGTTTTCTCATCTACCAAACTGAGAGCTTCACTGCATCAGGTACTAGATCTCCAACAGCACTAACCCAGTGTCTGCTCTATGAGAGAAGTTCACCCTGCTGCGTTTATTGGACAAGTCACTTCATTTCTTGAACTGTAGAATGAGGAAACTGGACCACATAATCTCAATGGACCCTTTGGGGTCTATTTTAGCAAGATTCAGTTTGGTTCAACAGACACCACTGCAGAAAGAATAATCAATTCAGACTTAAATGGTCAGAAAGTTTCTTAGAGGAAAGAAACATTCCAACTGGGCTTTGAAGAATTTGCAGGGAGATATTATCCCAGCTTGAGAAAACAGAGGAAGTAGAATTCCTAGAAGTTTCTGAAGTAAGCAACCAGGCAGGGCCTGGCCGTTCTTTATCCAGAGTCACTCAGTGACCGCCTCAGAGACCCAAAGAATGACTATATCGCCCTTAATACCTTGTACATTTGCAAACGCTAATTATTAGAAGTCCATGAAATGTGTAAGGAGTCTCTAATAAATTTTTATTTGGCATTAATTTATATAATGTTTCATGTTATTATTCAACATAAATATTTTCTTTGTTAGTGAAAAGTCAGTGTGAAAAGGATCTCATCCAGTGATCTTTATTTAGCTTTATTGTGTGTAATAGTTGTTCATGGCAACAATATTTGCTGAAAATAAGCATGTCTATTTAGATCTTTAAAGTCAGTTTGGAGATGTTTAGTGATTTTTATTTGGGGCAGCTTGAGAGAGCAATGAAACTTTGTGGAAATGATTGCTCGGCATGTTTTAGAAGACAAGGTTCCTTTAGTGAGACACAACTTAACTCATTAGAATTGTGATTTATTTTTCCTTAAATACCTAAAGAGGAGACTAAAATCCATGGGTTAACTTGTTCTCATTAAGCAAACTTTTCCCAGTAAGCAAAGAATAATCTACAAACCAATCTCCTCCATTTTATTTGATGTCTTACAAGTAAGGAAAATCTAGGTTATTGGGGAGAGATATTTATTTTAAATAGACTACTTAACACTTTAAAGCTATCAGTCCTATGCATGTGTGTTCAGAAAGTCTATGAAGCCCCAAATGGAAAAGTATTAAAATGCATTACAGCGAAATGAATGTGTTATATCCCTGAGGTCAAGGAATCAAGTGGCTGCCCTCCTTTACCGCCGACTTGCTATTTTACCCCCAGGGAAATCATTCAACCTTTTGCTGCCTTAAATTCAGGTTCATTAATTGTTTTTTAAAGGGTGATGTGTGGCTGATAAGGCCTTAATTAGCCTATAATCTCTAACAGTCATTTCCAGCTTTAAGTGCTGTGACTACCTAGCTAATCACTTATTTTTCTTATTATATATGAAATAGTTTGTTCAGAAAGGGACTTCTTAGTATTTCTGTGTCATCTTAAAGTTATGATTTAACGAAATTGAAGATTACAAATCATAAGTTATGAAAAAAAGATTATAAACTTAAAACTGACAGAACAAAAAAACCATCACTTTTTTTAATATAGTGGTTATGGCCACATAAATATTTTATTTGCCTCTTAAGTATATTAACTCAGTAAATATATTATTGCTAATTTAAAATGTTAAGTATATTGATTTTATAGGAAGAAATGCCAATATATTCAAGTAGTAAACTGTATAACTATAATAATCAGCTACTTTATTTAAATATATGCTTTGACATTTTATCTGTCCCCTCTCTCCAAAAAAGCAAAACATTTTATCATGGAGAATTTTAAAGTATATTTCATCCAGTTCAAGCACACATATGATTACCATATTGGGAAATGTAAGTTAGTTTATCATACTGCAAGATTTTCTCTATACCTCAGTAGTGACTGGACCATTCACACGAACCTGGAGTGACCACTTCGTACGCGTGGGTGAGCCTCCAAGCTCCTCCAGACAGAGGCCAGTGTGGCACTATGAAGGAGGTTTTTCTCTGACATTTGATACATGAGTATGGTCCTCATATGCTGATAGTTACACATTTTTCCAAGTGTCTTAATATGATTTGGAAAAGATCTTTATTTACTTAGTTGTTTTTTTCTGGTTTTAAAGAGGAACTTTGTAGTTTGATTCCCCTACACTGTGTCTTTCTCTAAAATACTATTTTTATTCATTTAGCCAAAATATACTAAGCTCCTACTATGTATCAGTAGCATCGTGGAACCATCTTTCAGAAGTCTTGGTTGAAACACGTAAAGATGTATGAATGGGATTTGTGGCAAGTGAGAATGAAGCAGGAAATTTTCCCTGACCCCTTCACGGGTGGGAACTGGTGTGCCCTCTCTGGAGCTAGCTGGCTGCTTTGGCACCGGCAGAGGCAAACTCCACTCACTTGAACCTGTTGCACTCAACCCCTTGCGGGAGGGAGCACTTGCAGGAGCCGGGGTGAGTGCTTTTGGGCACCTGAAGGAGCAAAACTCCATGCGGGCCCCACTGCAGCATCTAGCAGGGAGTACCCCCACTCCCCCACCCTGAAGCCCCAGAAGGAGTGTTACAGTCAATGCTCTTTTAGCTTTGCAGACTGTGGACAGCTTAAGTGTTAATAGCTCAGTGGAGGGTCAGTGTGACAGCCTTTTGCATCCACACGCTTGGTGTCCAAGCTCTTTTTTGGCATCTGGAAAAATCAGGTCGCACGGCTGAATTGAAAGGTGATGAATGCAGAAGATTTTATTGCTGATGAAAGTGGCTCTCAGTGGGAAGGGGAGCTGAGAAGGGGATGGAGCAGGAAGATGATCTTCCCCTGGAGTCCGGCTTTCCAAAGCGACACCATCAAACCATCCCTCTGAAGTCAAGCTGCTTCTCTTTGACGTCAAACCATAGTCTCCAATGTCTAGCTGCTTCTCCTCTTCTCTTCCTCTCCCCTCTCTGCTGGCAGAACCTGGGGTTTTTATGGGTATAGGGTTTTTTATTGGCATGGGATGAGGAGTGGGGCAGGCCGTGGGTGGTTTTGGAAAAGGCAACTTTCCAGCGGGAAAACAGGGATGTTTGGGCCACAGCTCCAGGCTCAAGGGTGGGTCCCTCACCAGGGACCTGCCCTCTTCTGTCCAGAATTTCCCAGCCTCCAGTCCCTATCAAAAGGAATATCCACTTGGCTGATTGCTCATCCTCCTTTAAGTCTTCAGATCCAGGCTTCTCAGTGAAGTTTACCCTAATCACCCTGCAGACCTCCCTGCCCCCATCTCTATAGTAGGTAGTTTACTGATTTGTTATATTATTTTCTATTGTCTGTCTTTCCGTGACATTATATCAACTCCGTGAAGACAATGTTTTTTGTCTGTTTGATTCCCTGATATTTCCAGGGTACCTGCAATAATGAGTGAATGGATGGGATGAATAGTGACTAATTACCTCCAACTAAGCCCTCAAATTTCTCTTCCGGAGGAGAAGTCGATGTTCATTGCAGTTCAGTTACCAAGTGTTTATTGCCTCCATTCTCCTGGGTGCTGGTGATGTAATGAAATAGGGACACATAATCTGTTCAAAAGCTTTCAGTGTAATGCATTGGATCTTAAACCGTGGTGTGCAAAAGAAGCACCTTAGGAAGCTTGTTAAAAATACAGATTCCCAGATATTCTAATGTAAATAGATCTGTGATAGGACCCAGAACTCTGTATTTGTTCTATTCCAAAACTGGTGGCCATGGACAACACTTGAAGAAACAGATACTAGACTGAGAACAAAGTTACTACACAGATTGAAAGCCAAACACCTAAAAAAACCAGAAGCCTAGACTCTAAACCAGTAAGTGGAGTATGTACATGCACAGTGACTATACAAAGATAATCCAAAGGGGTGCAAGAAGAAAATAATGAAACTTCTGTTTATATTCATTTTTTCCAAAAGGAGTAAAGCTTACTAAGTTTTACTATTTAGTGTACAGAAACAGTGGTTCCTTCACATGCCATGTTTGTCAGCCAGTCATGAGCGATCACCTCTGAGGTCTCTTAAGGGAAAGGGGACTGCAGCATACAAAGGGATTGAAAGTGCCCCCTTACTTCTCCATTTGATTTTATGCCTGTGTCTTGTTGGTGTCGCCATGTCCCCAGTTAAGTGGGTTGCATTATCTTAAATGATGGGCATATTTACAATACCTGAGAGATGTCAGGACCCATGAACAACTATTGTGGATTCACTAGATATCTCCAGCTAACGAACTTAAAAGAATTGCCAAATATAATTTCTTTTGTAAAAAAATGTGTGCTTCAAGTTTGCTTACCTTTGTGGTGGTGACAAATAGCTGTCAGTACTATGGTATCATGCAAAATATTTTGAAAACATAAGCAATTTATCTCTTCAAGGTAATGGTAACATTTTAATAATGAAAGTAAGAGCTTTTTCAAAGAAATTCATGATGTGGATAATTTGGAAATGTTTTATCTATTTGTGATGTTCTTAACAAAGATAATTTAAGTGTGTCACTTATTAAAAATTCTCAAAGAACACCTAAAAGTTACAGAATCATAATTTCTCACATGGTTAATAATCTTCCAGATTAAGAGATAAGTCAAGTTAGAAATTGTTTTAAACACAGAAACACAACACCTTTCACTTAGATTTTTAGAAGAGCTAATTAACATTAAGGAATATAGAAATTTTATTAGCCAGATTTTAACAAAAACCTTGGCATAATTGGTGGGTTACAAAATGAATACCATACTTTACCAAGGGCAGCCAACAATCTCTTTTTTTCATTCAGATCTATGTCTCTTTATGAGGTAGCTTTTTCCAGAGTATCAGTCTCAAAAACTCACCTTCACAAAGCATGTAACAGAGGTTTTCAAAAAGTACAGAAGCATATTGAATCATATCACTACTGTTTAAAAAATACCACTGTAAATAAACTATTATGAAAATTAAATATAGCTTAATTCATTTCTATCTCATTTAAATACTCTGTTGTGCATATATTTTCTAATATACAAAATAGGTTAGTACAAGTAGTGGATGCATATGATTTGTAAATAAATAAATATACACATATCGAGGTGCCAGTCCCCTCAATTTTTTAGAGCAAAGGAATAATCAAAGAGGTTGAAGGACCCCTGCTGTATACCACTGGCCACTGAAAACTGACATGGGTGATTCTGATGCTCAGCTAGGATGAGAATCTTGAGGCTGGCTCCCAGCACACACATAGTTCTGTAGTCCCACAGACACACCCGTTAGCAGGGGCAAGTTGAGAAGACACAGGGTCTAAATTTATCCTTATGATGACAGAGTTCTCCCACATTCCTCTGGTAAACTTGATGCTTTTTATATTTCCTAAGGTCTTGAGTTTCACTGAGAAATATACCTATCACATCCTAGTTGTCAAACTGTGTTCTGGTAACATGGGCTCATTGTACACTTTTTCTAGATGGTTCTGATGTTTAAAAATAAGTCATTTTAAACATTCAGTTATAGGACTATTCTGTATTTTGTAATTTCATTACAGCTGGTTAAAACTCTAGAGATCGTTTGATAATACTCTCATTTCCTCCTGAGGCCTGATGAGGGTGCAGTGAGATACCCAGAGTCATCCAGAATTCAGTGGCAGAGCCAAGACCTAGCCCCCTGGCTCCTGTTCCCACTTTGGAGCTATCTGTCTTCTTCCTTCTTCTTGCCCTTGCCTTTCTTGCAGATTCCTAATGCAAAATGTTCTTATTACTCCCACACACTATTTCTTCCCAGTTCTGAACGACCACATTCCTATTAACAAGAAAGTTAACAGGAGCTCTTTGGTCTTCTGTAAGGAACACACAATAATGCATTTCAGCTCGATTACCCTTCCAACAATAGTGTTTACTTCTGACTTCTCACTCATTCATGGTTGGAATACCGAGTTTGAAAATTGATATACTGTTAATTAGTTTGCCAAGTCTTGCCTACGGGTTTCCAAAGAGTAAAGCCCAACGAGATTGATGGGGGAAACAATAATAATAATAATTACTATTCTATAATGAAGTTGACCTTTGACTTTTTTCTTGAACTATGTGCCACCCATGTGAAAGACAGTAAGAAAAAAGTAATAAAATAGAAAATGAGAGGAAACCTGTCAAAAGAGCCAGTTCAAAGGATTAGAGTGATAGTGTGAACTGGAGGGGAGGTGAGAAGAAAAGAGCATGAGAGAAAATATGAAGAATTTCATATTTTCTTTTGAGAATATGAATATCTGAGACTCACATATTCTCACCTTGAGCAACTTTTCTTCTTGAGAATAAAATATGTATGTCTACTATAATGATCGTTTCCTTTAATTGTTAATAGGATATTAGTGAGGTTGACCAACTGCTATAACAAATGAAACCCAGTGTTTCCGTGGCTGAAGGCAGTAGGTGTTTAGTTTTCACATGAGCAATAATCCATTGTAATTCAGACTGGGGTGTCTCAGGCTCACACAGTTCTTCAGGCTTCTGCCAGCTCTGTTAACTTCAGCTTTTACCTTCCATTGTTGCCCTGTACATTGACATTGCCAGCAGGATGAAAAATTAGCATGGCAATTCATGCATGGGAGGTTTTATGATCAGGGATGCAGGTGGCATGTATCACTTTCATTCACATACCATTGGCTAGAACTCAGTCCCGTGGCTCCACCTAATCACGCGAGCCTTTAGAAAACATAGTAGAGCCATGTGCACAGAAAGAAGAAGAAGCACATTTGGTGAGCAGCCAGTCTCTGTCTCCAAAATGGAAATGTTCTGGTTCTTTTACCTCCTGGGCTCATTGAGATGGCTCTCTCTAAGGGAAAAACTAAAAGTTACTGTGGGAAGCTTGTGACCCTCAATCTTACATCCTGAGAAATCTGATTTTGCTAGTGCTGTCAGAAAAGCCAAGTCATCTCTCTGACACAGATCCAAACTGAGCTTGCAAGGCTGATATGTAAAGCCGGCATGTCTCTTGTCTCTTTCTCAGTCTGCAGTGGGGCCTAGAGCAGCTACAAGACTGACATCCATCCTCATGCCCCCATGTTGATCCCATTCACTTTTGGTGGCAGGCTGTTAGGGTCTAGGTGTTTGTGTTTCCCAAAATTCAGATGTTGAAATCTTAACCACCCAAGATGATGATACTAGGAGGTGGGGCCTTTGTGAAGTGATTAGGTCGTGAGGGCTCTCCCCTCATAGTTGGGATTAGTACCTTTGTAAAAGAAACCCCACAAAGCTAGCTCACCCCTTCCACCACGTAAGGAAACAGTGAGAAGGCACTATCTATGAACCGAGGAATGAGCCCTTACCAGACACCAGCTCTGCTGCCACCTTTATCCTGGAATTGTGAGAAATAAATTTGTTCTGTTTATAAGCCACTTAGTTTATGGTATTTTGTTATAACATCCAAACAGACTAAGACACAGACATGGGAGGCCACATCATTATCAGATCACTTACAATGAGGAAAAAAAACAACTTACTTAACTCCATATACCAACATACTATACACCTATGTGGAAAACCCAATCAGAATCATAGATCTCCATGGAGTACCTGGTATCAGGTAGAAGCAGATGGGAAGGCATGTTTAGTGAAACCGGACTCTGAGACTCTTAAGATACCTACTTCACAGTAAGGGTAGTCTTACTGGGGTCCTGGAAATTACACAGTCCATTACCTACTAACTCAGGCCGTCTTTCCCACTGGCTTTGCCCATATGTGCCTCTTTGACTCTTCTCTGCCTCCTTGGCAGACCCCTTTTGATTGACATCTTATTTCATTAGATATATATTAAACATATAAGGGATATGACATCTTCTTTTGTTAGATATATATTAATCATACAAGGGATATAATCAAGTCTTGCTAACCTGGAAACCACCTAGTTACGGGGGGTTGGTTGGTTGGTTGGTTTGTTTAAAGAGACAGAGTCTTACTCTGTGGCCCATGCTGGAGAGCAGTGGCACAATCATAGTTCAGGGCAACCTTGAATTCCTGGGCTCAAGTGGTCCTCCCCATAACCTCCCGAGTAGCTGGGACTACAGGTGTGCACCACTACACCTGGCTAATTTTTTTTCACTCTTTCGTAGAGACGGTTTCTTGCTTTGTTTCTTAGGCAGGTCTCAAACTGACCTCAAGAGATCTTTCTGCCTCAGCCTCCCAAAGTGTTGAGATTACAGGCATAAACCACCATACCCAGCCCACCCAGATTTTTGAGGAAGGCTTTGTATACCTTTTCTCAGAGGCAAATAGTGTTAATTTTGGAATTTGACTGATTCACAATTCTTAGGTGCACCTCAGATTTACTTCTCATTGTTATTAAAATTGGTTTCTGAAGAGGCAAATTGGAAATAATTGTTTCCTCCCCTCACTCACCTTGTTAGGGATACTGACACTTTAACATCTTTTTACTCCATGGTTGCTTCAGTAAATTAAGAGTTCAGTTTTCAGGTTTTCTCTGCACACTATTATTTTTCACTTTTTTGACAGCCCCTTCAAGTTTATCTTCAGTAGTGTTTACTGAAAATGTGTTGAAGATATATGAATTGATAAAGCTGAAAGCTCTGTTTCACTAAATCGTCAGCCCAAAGTCTGTCCATCATCCTGTTAAAAGTTGGAGTTGTTTAGTGACTTGATTCTTTCTGGACTTTTCTTGAGGTTCTTATTGCAATATAAGTGCCTTATTCATCAATTGTCTCTTTTTTTCTACAACAACAGCAATAAAAATAGAGAGTATTTCAGATTTATTCTACTTAAAGTGGGTATTGTATGGTGCCTGCATGGTTTGAGCTGCCTTTGAGGAACAGCACCAGGTGGGAAAATTTGTAGAAGGCAGAAAAGTGACAGGAATAGTTGCAGTGATTTTCGTAAACCCAAGAAAGAGGTAAACCCTCATCTTTCCAGCCATTATCTGGAGAAATCCAGCCAGATTTTCTCATAAAGGTTCTAATTGAACATTTCTATTATGTATTCCACTTACAAGATAATCCACTGATGAGAATGTCAGCTATTAGTTTGAGATCATCTACTTAATTTGCTTAATTAATAACATCTTATTTGAGCTCTCTTATTTGAACTTTCTTGTATTTGAGTTCCAGAGACTAACCAACCACATAGGAAACAGTATTTGGAATAGCAATGAACAAAAACTAAAAAATTTCAGCATATATTTAGGACATATTCATTCAAAAGGAATTGACCTCTGATTAAACAAGGAGGAGAGATTTCAGTATCTTAGAGGTAACACAGTTGATGCCCTAAAGGATTTCATCAGAGGATTTAATGTGTTTTTACCTATGTATATGTTTTTTAAATTAAAGTTCGTATTATTTTTTACCAACTATTCCTTTTGATGTGGGAAAACAAACAGTGGAATAAAGGTAATATGAGCATTCTGTTTCCTTCTTTGCCTTTTTGTTTCCTTTCTTCCTTCTTTTTTTTTTTTTTTTAATTAAATACAGTTAAACTTTGAGCTTCTTGAAAACAGAAAACAGTAGATAACTTCAAGGAACTTTTAAGAAAGAGTATCAACAAGGCTTGGTGGGTAATTAGCTGTAAGCCATGAACAATTTGTTGCATTTCCCAAGTCTTCAACTATTGATTGAGTTACTGGGAAAATATGCAGATTAGCAATTTTTTTTTTTTTTTTTTTGAGATACAGAGTTTTGCTCTTGTCATCCAGGCTAGAGTGCAGTGGCGCGATCTCAGCTCACTGCAACCTCCACCTCCCGGGTTCAAGCGATGCTCCTGCCTCAGCCTCCCAAGTAGCTGGGATTACAGGCGCCTGCCATTACACCTGGCTAATTTTTGTGTTTTTAGTAGAGACAGGGTTTCGCCATGTTGGCCAGGCTGGTCTCGAACACCTGACCTCAGGTGATCCACTCATCTTGGCCTCCCAAGCAGATTAGCAAATTTGCAGAGGGTGGCTGCGTGTAAGAATAAGGTTGGATAATGAGTCAATTCTGAGGAGGTTATGGGATATCCAGGTAGAAATATCCAGAGGGTAATTGGGAATGTATGCCTAGAGCTCTAAGAAGGGATCTGGACCAGAATTACAGACTTAGGAGTCTTCGAGTATAAGTATTAATGGTAGTTGAGAGAATGTAAGTGGTCCAGGAATGATATTTTGGGGAAATGAGATGTGAGCTAGGAAGGGAATCATAGGAAATGGTATCAAAGAGATGGTAGGGTCAAGAAGAAGGAGTGTATGGAGAAGATTCAGAATGTGGGAAAACTGTAAGAAGACAGAATTATAATTGCCTGAGGGTAGATAATTCTAGCAACATGGAAAATGATGAGTGGCAAATGTTACAGAGAAATCAACTGAGATTTAAAATAAATGAGCCTGTTGAAAGTTGTTTACATATTTAGGGTACGCATTGAAGGGGAAATTAAAGTGCTCTTTCAGAATGAAACAGTGACATAAAAAAATAAAAGTCAAGCAATAAGATTGTAGAGGGTTGAGAAAAAGGAAGGGAGAAGTGAAAATAGTGAGGACTGTTGGGATGAAAATAAATGAGCAACATAGTGCTGTTGATTACAAAGGAATGACTATTTTCAAACACATATACTTTAGCATTTCCCAATCAGTTATTTGTTAAAGTAATATGTTCAGTTTTTCATTCTTAATTTTGGGAGATGTGGAAAATTACGAAGTATTATCAATGCCATATACTTGGAACTTGTATTATTTATTCCCAAAGGAAAACTGAGAATTAACAATGTTCTTCATATTTTCATGAACCCTTATGGTATGTTTAGCCAGAAGAAGTTTGAAGATAGAACTGGGTTCAGTTCCTGGCTGTTCCCTTACCATCTCATATAACTTTGGCCAAACTACTAATTATTCCGAACCTCTTTCTTTACCTATAAAATGGTAATGAGTTTTTTTGTGAAAAATTTAAGACTGAGATAATATTTGTAAAAGAACTAATGTGGTCTGGCACCTACTTGGTACCAGTAAATAATAACTGATGTTATATGTTTCTTCCATAAGAGGAAGAAGACTACATGGGCTTGACTTCATTTGTGGCATATTTAAGCTGTGGTTTATTTCATTAAATTTTCTGCTTAATTGATGCCTCATAAATGAGCTAATTCTTTCTTAAACCTTGTCTAAGTTTCCAGTTATATAGAACAACTCCTAAATAATTTAATAGTACAGTGTATCATTTGTTGATTTTTAAAAAAATTGTCTATTGCTTTTTATATACTTGTATAACACATAAAGTTTGAAGATTCTAGATATCAATAATCATTAAGTAGTACAGTCTAGAAAAATAAGTCACAGTGTAACAGCTGATGAGATCTCTAAGAATCGCAACAGCAATAAGTTCATTCTTTCTTCACTAAGCTGCACCTCTCCTTTCCATAACTCTCTCCCAACAACACAAATGTTGTAAATGCCTATTCATCCTTCAGATTACTGTTCCATTGTGACTTCTTCTGATGAGGTTCCCTGTGTAGGTGATATTTCCCTTTTCTCTAGCTGCCTTTAAGATTTTTCCTTTCACATTGGCCTTGGAAAGTCTAATGACTGGGTTGCAGATGGTCGTCTTGTATAGTAACCACATAAACTGAATTAAAAACAAAACCATATGATCATCTCAATAAATGCAGAAAAATCTTTTGGTAAAATCCAATATCCTTTCATGATAAAAAACCCTCGAGAAACTAGGCATTGAAGGAACATACCTCAAAATAATGAGTCATCTATGACAAACCCACAGCCAACATCATACTGAACAGGCAAAAGCTAGAAGCATTCCCCTTAAGAACTGGAAGAAGATAAGGTTGCCCACTCTTGCCACTCCTATTCAACATAGTACTGGAAGTCCTAGCCAAAGCAGTCAGGCAAGAGAATGGAATAAATGGCTTCCAAGTAGGAAAAAAGGTAGTCAGAGTATCTCTCTTCTCTGGCAATATGATGCTATACCTAGAAAACCCTTAAAGACTCCACCAAAAGTCTCCTAGACCTGATAAACAACTTCAGTAAAGTTTCAGGATACAAAATCAATGTAGAAAAATCAGTAGTATATCTGTACACCAATGTAAGCTGAGAACGAAATCAAGAATGTAATCTCCTTCACCATTGCCACAGAAAAGTATCTAGGAGTACATCTTCCCAAGGACATGAAAGGTCTCTACAAGGAGAACTGCAAAACACTGCCGAAAGAAATCATAGGTGACAAAAACAAATGGAAAAACATTCCAGGCTATGGATTGGAAGAATTAATACCATTAAAATGTCCTACTGCCCAAAGCAATCTACAGATTCAAAACTGCTATTTCTATCAAATTCCCAATTCCATTTTTCAGAGTTAGAAAAAACTATTCTAAAATTAATATGAAACTGAAAAAGAGCCTGAATAGCCAAAGCAATCCTAAGCAAAAGGGACAAAGCTGGAGATGTCACATTACCTGACTTCAAACTATACTACAAGGCCACAGTAAGCATAACAGCATGGTACTGCTACAAAAACAAACACATAAGCCAATGGAACAGAATAGAGAACTCAGAAATAAGACAACACACCTGCAGCCAACTGATACTTGACAAAGCTGACAAAAATAAGCAATGGGGAAAAGACTCTCTATTCAATAAGTGGTGCTGGGAAAACTGGCTAACTATATGCAGAAGAATGAAACTGGACTCCTACCTTCACCATATACAACAATTACCTCAAGATAAATCAGAGCCTTAAAAGTGAGACCTCAGCCTATAAAAATCCTAGGGAAAAAAACTGGGAAATCCTCTTCTGGACATCAGCCTTGGCAGATAATTTATGGCTAAGTCCTCAAAAGCAACTGTAACAAAAACTGACAAGTGAGAACTCATTAAACTAAAGGGCTCTGCACAGCAAAAGAAACTATCAACAGAGTAGACAACCTACAGAATGGGAGAAAATATTTGCAAACTTTGCATAATGGGAGAATGCTCACTTACAGTGAAGTAAATGAGCCTTCTACTTACTTCACTGTAAGTCTACTTCTTGTCTACTTCTGAAGAGCTCAATCTTTCTGTGCTAACTCCTGTGAGAGGGTTTCCATTGCTGCGGGACTGATAGCAGAGAGATTTGATATCCAAAATGTATAAGGAACTTAAACAAATCAAGGGAAAAAAATCCATTAAAAAGTAGACAGAGGACATGAACAGACAGTTCTCAAAAGAAAACATACAAGTGTCCAACAAGCATATGAAAAAATGCTCAACATCACTGATCATCAGAGATGCAAATCAAATCTGTAGTGAGATACCATCTCACACCAGTCAGGATGACTATTATTAAAAAGTTGAAAAATAACAGATGTTGGTGAGACTGCGGAGAAAAGGGAACTCTTACACATTGTTGATGGGAATGTAAATTAGTTCAGCCGCTATGGAAAGCAGTTTGGACATTTCTCAAAGAACTAAAAATAGAACTACCATTCAACCCAGCAATCGCATTACTGGGTATATGCCCAAAGGAAAATATATCATTCTAAGTAAAAGATACATACATGCTTATGTTAATTGCAGCCCTATTCACAACAGCAAATACATGGAATAAACCTAGGAGCCCATCAGTGGTGGATTGGATAAAGAAAATGTGGTACATATACACCATGGAACACTACACAGCCATAAAAAGGAATGAAACTGTGTCCTTTACAGCAACATAGATGTAGCTGGAGGCCATAGTCCTAAGTGACTTAACACAGAAACAAAACCAAATTATCACATGTTCTCACTTACAAATGGGAGCTATATCTTGGGTTCAACTGACCTAAACCCAGAAACAGGAGACACTAGAGACTCCAGAAGGAGGGAGGGAGGGAGGGAGGGAGACAAGACCCATAAAACTTCCTATTGGGTACTGTGTTCACCATCTGGGTAATGGGATTAATAGAAGCCCAAACCTTTGTATCATGCAATATACCCTTGAAACAAACCTGTACATGTACCCCATGAATCTAAAATAAAAATTGAAGTTAAAGAAGAAATAGTCAATTTCTGGCTGCAGACTAAGAAAGTTCAGCTACCTCTTAAAACAATCAAGTAATCTGTGGACAGCTCTACTTAGGGAACAGACCACTACAAATCTCTCTGCTATCGGCAGTCCCACAGCAACAGAAACCCTCTCAGAGGAGTTAGCACAGAAAGAGTAGGCTCTTCAGAAGTAGACAACTTACTTCACTGTTCGTGAGCATTCTCCCTTCATTCTCCCCACTGACCCCTCCTAGACTTCTTATTCAGGTGAGGTACTGGATGTTATCTGGGCCAAAACTTGTGCATCTAAATATGCCCCAATCCTAAATGTTACTCCTATCCAGGGCTGGCTGCCATTCATCTGGTGTTGCAGCTTATAACAGTTACTAAAATGTTGAAGTACTTATGTGTAAGTAGCTAAAGAAATTCAGTATCAGAGGGGTTAAATCCTGGCATGGCAGGGGCTTTCCAGGCATTTCTTCCTGGATCCCTATAGGTCCTGATGGTAGCTGCCTATACTAAACCACTTGTTTTATGTTTTGACTACTACCCCGAACATATTCATTCAGTAGTAAAAGAGTTAAGAAACTAGTATAGTAGTATCCATAAGACTAAACCTTCCCAAGAGGAAAGCTGTTAGCCAAAATCACCTTTCAGTTTTCTGGAAAAAGGCATCAAGCCCCCGAATGGTCTCTTGATGGAATTTAAGGGGTCTGGGAAGTTGGATGGGAAAAATTTACATCTTTATTTTCATTAAGCCCTTACTGAAATTTATATTTTCTTCAAATATGGGTATAGGCAACAAACTACAATATTATTAGCAGTATCTGAAACATTGTCACTAATAACACTCACAGAGTTTTCCTATCCGATTACAGTTCATGAAGATATCTTGAAATACTATTTACATTCATTACTACTTTAAAATTATACTAATGATCATACCAGCCACTATATCTTGTCATATAATTATTAATATAAAAGCACATGTGAGTATATTACAACTTTGTTCAGTATTCTGTTACTATTTTTTTATTTTCTTTATTACCCGATATACTTTATTTTATGCATTTTTTAAAACATTATTCTAGAAAGGAGACCAAAATCTTTACCAGAAAGCAGAGGATTCTGTGGCATAAAAAATATTAAGAACACATAGCATAGATATTATGTAAGCAGCATGTAATTGGTTTTCCAATCATTATTATTAAAGTAGTTGGTTTTAAGGCAGAGCTGTATCAAAGATTATTGATTAAAAATATTTTACAACACTATCTGCTATTTAGAGAAATTCACATCTAAGATTAGTGTTCTTTTTTAAAATGACACATGGAGTCTAGAATAAGATAATCCAAAGGCAAAAGTCCATCTACATGGACTCTTCTCCATGGTCTTCTCTGTGGTCTAACTTGACATACTTTCCCCTATATAGATAACAGGCTCACTCAGGAAAATACAACTCAAATCTAGGTGTTATTTGTGTTTGCATCGTGATTTCTTCCTTCACTTAGAAATTTCAAAGTTCATATTTCACTTTTTACTAATAAGATTCACAAAAAATACAGTGGAAGCAAATGACCTTGGTAAGAATGGGTTTTTACAATAAATGAATTTTTAATTCCAAGATGTTTTTTCATTGAAATTACTGCCCCAGTTGCATTAAAAGTGTGGCTGTGCAAAGCTTCCTTCTACCAGGCTTCATGTGCAGGACCTTGGTTTTTGTTGCCTTGGCAATTCCAAAAGCAGGTGTTGAAAGAGAAGAAGACAGGAAAAAGAAGATGGGAGAAAAATTTTCCAAATCAGAGTTCTCAGTCCAAGGACTTATTCTTGGGGGTTCAAAAATTCTAACAGTATTTTTAAATTGCCTCTATTTCGATGGTTACTTGATTAAACTGTTCTAACATTTCTAAAAATAAAAATTTGCAATGATAACTTTTATATCAGACTTTACCTCTGTTTCCCAAATTGGAATCTTTAGGAATATTTTTTTGAGATCACTTTTTTCCTTTTTTTCTTTAACAAAGATTGGGAACCGCTCTTAGGAACAGACAAATGGATTTCCATATTTCTTAAAGCGTTGAAGTAAATCTCTCCCACCCCCACCATTACTGACATTGAAGAAGGAAAAAGGTGAAGAGTTCAGTACTACTGAAAAGAGCCAACCAGTTATCTAAAAGACATATTTTGAGGCCCAGTATTAGCAACAAAGAAAATTTGTAGACCTAAACTCCTACTTTCCATATATATAAATAACAAACTGAGGGTAGGGGGTATGTTACTCTGGCATCTTTCTGCACGCTAAATTCAAAAATGTAAATACATTAGTAAAAGAAAAAAATTTATTTCTCTTCTGGTGTCTATTTATTGTGTGAAGCTAAAGTCGAGCATAACGCACAGGTGGTTTAAAATGCTTCTCTGCCATCTGAGATCTCGGCTTGCCAGGGTATAGATGGGGATGTCACTTTAGGGAATTGGGTTTATTCAGTATGTAAAATGAGGCTGGCATGGCTTCAGAGGTTTTGTCTGTGTCTTTACCCAATTAACGGTGTTTTTGCTTCCTTTTTTTTTAAACTTTTTCTCTTCTAAATTTTCTTTTTTTGGTTTACTCTATAGATGCATAAATGAGAATTACCTAGATTTTTCTATCAATTGCCCTAAGATTCTTAATACCTAGTTTTCACAATATATGTTTTCCCATCAAAATACATAGGAATTATTAGTAAATAAACCAGAAGTCATTTTGATCCTGATGCTGAAATAATATTTTAGTCACAACCAAGTTACAAATATTTATATTCTTTTTTAATGAAAATCTGTATTAATTTGATGGATGCATTGTATTCACACATTTTGAATTTTGTGTATTATTTAAAACAAAAACTAGGTTTTATTTTCCAAATCTGAGGTTTTGTGAATTTATTTTATACTAAGTATATGAAATTAACTCATGGTAAGGCTGTTAAAGAAAAGTGATTTAGATCAGGAAGGTACAGCTCAATATACTATTATGCATAAATATGTATAGTAAAATGAATATTGTCCTTAGTCACAAGTAATATAAGAAGAAAATCAACTCTTGGATAAATGAAGAATAAGAAATAAGATACAAAGTCTAGGTTTGATAATATTTAGATAATATTCAGGCAATATCCCTTATTGATACAGTGTGCATATGTATTTTAAAGGGAATAATTTTGAGAGCATGTGGGATTATAACGTCTGCCTTTTTGATTCCTTGTGTTACTGTATCTGTATTTAATGAAAAGGGCAGTAAGTGGCAATAAGAGACAGAAATGGTGAGACCTTTGTGAACCCTCTAGCAATCAGTGAATATCAGACCACAAATTTTTCCAGCTTTAATTACAGGCAAAAGAAAAGACAAAATTAGCATTTTAATATAGAAATATCTTAGGCTTTAGGAGAATTATGATAAATCTAATGTTGCCTAGTGAACCAGAGAGGGAACATTACAACAAACTGTCTCCTTAGGAATATTTGTTTAAATAAAGGCAACAATACTTAATCCTTATCTTTTTTAGATAATTACCACTATTTCAGGCTGTTCTTTGTTCCAGGTTTAAAATACCTTCAGTTAAAAAAAAAAAAAGCAATTGGCAGTGTTTGTTTTCTATAAAACTATAAGAAGAGAAAAATTCTGTTTGCTTGGCACTAACGAGATAATTATTTTAGGGAGAGTTTTTGCTCTGCAGCTCTAGTTCACGCGTGCCATGGCATCTCTGCACTTGGATGTATTTAGGTTATCTCATTTCAGTTACAGCGTATTAAACTAACTCTTCTTCCATGGCTGAGGTTTGCCCACCTGTCTCCCCTAAAACACCTGCAACATATGTTTGCATAACCCTGTAATGCTTTGCCTTTGGGGTCCTGAGAAATTCCCCCAGAGCTTTTTGCTTATAAACAGCTGAGCAATTCATTTTTCTAATGACGGTTGCTTTCCCCCCAGCATTGAGGCAATAACATATTCACTAAAATAAGGGTCTCATTTTTCATCAAAGAGGAACGTTCGACATATTTTTACAGTGCTGTTTCTCCTTCAGAGCTTTATTTTTCCCCTTTTGTAATCTAGCATGCTATAAAAATTAAGGGTTGGTAGCAAGATATTAGGGGAAAGAAAGCTAAGTAATTCTTCATTTGTCAAATATTTTCTATTCTTCATGCCAAACATACATTATACTGTAAATATTTTTTCCTGTTAAACAAGTGCTATAGAATTTGTCAGTTTAATGTAAAAATTGTGACTATCATTTTTATAGTTTTATAGTTTTATAAAAATGATAATTTGGACATACTGCAGGAAATCACTTTGATTATTATATTCTCATATGCTAGCAAACAAATGCTGCATTAATAGTATGATTTTACACCTTTTTCATATTAATAAACCTATGTGCTCCTATTCTGAGAAATAAGACAGCCTCTCTCCTCACATGAGATCCAGCATTCATATTTTTTCTATGTGTTTTTGCTTTAAAAAATATAATGCCTGTCAAAATCTATCCTAAATTCATGTATAACTATTTGAAGTATGAAACATCACTTTTTCCACCTATTTGTTATCATGAATTTTAGGTCGTCAAACTGTCAGACCTGCCCTCTGATTCATGTCTGTCAGTGCTCAGTGGTATCAAAACGTAACCATAGCTTCCATTTCATTGAGTTCTTATCAAGTGCCTGGTATTGTGCTGGGAACTTAGTTCTCATTGTGTCAATTAATCCTTACTGCAGTTTTGCAGTTGAGTGAACTAGAGCTTAGAATGTAACTAACTCATTACAGTTGCTCCACTAGTAATGGATGGAGCAGGAATCTGAGTACGACCCTCACTGACTCCTGATCCCTTGCCTCACCTATCAGGCACCCTGCGCCTGATGCTAGAGCACATGAGTGCCAATATATTTACCCTAGTGCTTTTGTTTTCAACGTATAACTTCACCTCTACATTAACTCCTGCTGGTACTTTAATAAATTAGAACAGGCATCTCTGGAATTGATATTCTTTTGCTCTTTTCAGTTCTGCCAATATTTATAAATAGCCAGTCCTTTGAAATATACTCTGCTGTTCAAAGCAAGATGAGACTTCTCCTTCTGTAATCTCTATTTGATGATTCAAATGGAGATACCACCTTGGAGTAAAGAACAGGAGTTAGGGGATCAGTCCAGAAAGTACTGTTTGTAATTACCTTTGTTGGATGAGTTTGATTTCTCTAGACTCAGTAGAAGGAAAATATGTACCACCTTATAGTTATGTGTACTTCTTGTAGCATCTAGTATTTAGTTAGGCTTAGTGTGAATTAGCATTTAAATATTTTTATACTATCATAACAAAATGAGTTTGGACTTAAAATATTGAAATGTTGCCATAGGGGTAAGAGTGGCAGAGAGGAGGTAGGTCAGCTGATCTACAGACTTCCATTACAGAGTGCAGAGTATGGCCAAGGGGAGTTGTTCACCATCCAAAGTCAAACTCATTCTTGGACAGAATGTTTGTTTTACCTAAAATTACATTAAAGAGCAGTCTACTCTCATATAATATATACCTCAGAAGTGGACAGAGTTAACTATAACTTAGATCGATTTCAGTTTTTATCTATTTTGATTGCTGTTATTTAAGCATTATTGTAAGTCGATTTTGTGATGATGCTAAATTAACAGAAGCATTTTGCAAAGTCAGAAGCGTAGCATGGGCTTTATTTAGTTTTGATTTGTTATTTGCATATTGTTTCTTCTAGAAAACTTGCATCTACCACTGTCAGTTCTGCTTCTGTAAGTCACTTTGTCCACAAGACTTTAAGATACCTGCCCAAAATTCAGCCTGTCCCTGCCATGGGTTTGATGTTCAGCATTCTTCTTATATTGCTATAAAATAAAATGCTGAAGAAAAAGCTGTAAATAGAGTTTCAACAACATTAACAGAAAAGAGTTGAGTGATACTTGGGCAGTTAATGAACTGAAATCTTGTGAAAGACTTATTTCAGGCCCATCCTGGTTGGCCTAGGAAAGGCATGGTAAACTCAGGATGAACTGAATTTGAATTTGTGATTTCTGTACTTTTCTTTTTTCTTTCTTCATTTCTTTTTTTTCTTTCTCTTTTTTTTTTTTTTTTTTTTGGAGACAGGGTCTCATTCTGTCACCCAGGTTGGAGTGCAGTGACACAATCTTAGCTCACTGCAACTTCCTCCTCCCAGACTCAAGCTGTTCTACCTCAGCCTCAGCCTCCCAAGTAGCTGGGACTACAGGCATGTGCCACCATACTCGGCTGTCTTACCTTTTAAGAGATAGGATCTCGCAGTCACCGAGATTGGAATGCAGTGGCATGATCATAGTTCACTGCAGCCTCAAACTGCATTCAAGTGATCCTCCTGCCTCAGCAGCATGTACCACCATGCCCAGCTAATTTTTTTTATTTTTTGTTGAGACTGTGGTCTTGCTATTTTGCCCAGTCTGGTCTCAAACTCCTGGCCTCAAGCGATCCTCCTACCTCAGCCTCCCAAAGTTCTGGGATTACAGGCATGAACCACTGCACCCAGCCTACATCTTTATGTATAGTTATATAAACTTCCCAGGACATGGAACATAATTGGTATTCCTCTGCACACAGACTAATATCAGTTAAGATATGATTACCATTTTGCTATCTTTCTTCGAAAGGAAAATTCACCAAAACAAACGCATTTAAAAAAAAAATACATTGTCGGCCGGGTGTGGTGGCTCACGCCTGTAATCCCAGCACTTTGGGAGGCCGAGATGGGTGGATCATGAGGTCAGGAGATTGAGACCATCCTGGCTATCATGGTGAAACCTCATCTCTACTAAAAATACAAAAAATTAGCTGGGCGTAGTGGCGGGCGCTTGTAGTCCCAGCTACTCGGGAGGCTGAGGCAGGAGAGTGGCGTGAACCTGGGAGGTGGAGCTTGCAGTGAGCCGAGATCGCGCCACTGCACTCCAACCTGGGCGACAGAGCAAGACCCTGTCTCAAAAAAAAAAAAAAAAAAAAACATTGTTTTGGAAATGCTCATGATAGTTGAAGTCCCGACTGTGTCAAAATGAGTTTAAAATACAGTCATGTACTGCATAATGACATTTGGGTCAACAACAGACCACACATATGATAGTGGTCCCATAAGATTATAATACCATGTTTTTACTGTACCTTTTCTGTTTTAATATGTTTAAGTACACAAATACCACTGTGTTGTACCTGTCTACTGTATTCAATACAGTAACATGCTGTACAGGTTTGTAGCCTGGGGTCAATGAGCTGTATCATATAACCTAGGTGTGTAATAAGCTATACCATCTAGATTTTTGTAAAATATATTCTGTGATGCTCACACAATGATGAAATCACCTAATGACACATTTCTCAGGACGTATCCCCATCATTAAGCAACACATGACTGTAATTGCCAATTGTTCCAATACAGATGAAGACATAATGTTAAAGTGTTGACATAACATGTTCTGCCCAATGAGAAATCACAGTTTTCATGGGGTCTGATTTTTCTTACATATAGAGTTTTACATATATAGAATTCTAGTAGCTCTTATATTTTAGAGGAGATTCCAGAACTTTAAAGGTTAGAAATCATTATATTTTTATAAAGTTTTATTTGAAAAAAAAAAAAAAACTCCTTTAAGAAAAGCAAATATTAGCCAAGCGTGGTGTCTCACACATGTAATAACAGCACTTTGGAAGGCTGAGGTGGGTGGTTCACTTGATTCCAGGAGTTCAAGACCAGCCTGGGCAGCATGGCAAAACCCCATCTGTACAAAACAATAAAAGAATTATCTAGGCATGTTGGTGCATGCGTGTAGTCCCAACTACCAGGAGGCTGAGGTGGGAGGATCACTTGAGCCTGGGATGTCAAGGCTGCAATGAGGCAGAGGTGGGAGGATCACTTGAGCCTGGGATGTCAAGGGTTCAATGAGCCAAGATAGCAGTACTACACTCCAGCCTGGGCGACAGAATGAGACCCTGTCTCCCCCCCCACCCCACCCCACCCCCCAAAAAAGGAGCAAGTATCTCTTCTAAAATATTTCGATTGCATAAAGTGAGAATTCCGCTCATTTAATCTTGTCCCCCTAGGAAAACCATTGATATCATTTTGGTACGTCCCAGTTATCTATCCATTGACCTTTATGTGTACATTTATATATGTATTTTTAACAATGATTTGAACCTGTTACCTAGTTTCAATTTGGTTTTGTTTTGGTTGTTGTTTGTGTGAGATGGTATTCCAAAATTCCTTAACTTTTTAAAACCTTATTTAATAGAGATAAAATTAACTTAATTGAAAGAGAAGAATTATAGGTAAATTGGAAGAACTGTACTTACTGAATCTTAATGTATAAAAATATTGGTATCCTTTTTATTGTTCATGTCTAGATGTTGATTTTTATAGCCATGTAGTGGTGTACGGGTGTTTCAGATGTTTCATTTTATGCTGTCCAGTACAGTAGCCACTTGCCACATGTGGCTGTTTAGCACTTGAAGTGTGGCTAGTCCAAATTGAGATGTGCCATAAGTATAAAATACACACTGGATTTCAAAGACTTTGTACAAAAGGAACAATGTGAAGTATCTCATTAATAACTGTATATGTTGATTACATGTTAAAATCATAATATTTTAGATATACTGAATTAAATAAAATATCACATTTAGTTTCACTTGTTTCCTTTTTATTTTCTTTTTTAAATGTGGCTACTAGAAAATTTTAAATTATAGGTGAAATTTATATTTGTGACCCACTGTTGGACAGTGCTGGTCTAGATCCATCTATATGTCTGTATATTTATGTTTTAGAAACATCACTGTCTTCCCAACAGAAAAGAATAACTTTCAACCATAACCTCTGATTTTATTTTCTTCACATTTCAAATGCTGTTTTTCAACATCATCTTTTGATTCTTTTTTTTGTTTCCAGTACAGTGGTACTTTAAACTACCTCTCCCTTTGATACCAGTAAGTCTCTTAGGAATTTAAATAGGCCTCAGTGAAAGCAATACTTGAGCCTCATTTATATGTTCAAGTTAGATCATTATTCCTAATAATGGCTTTAAGTGCTTAGATAGATCAGCACTCTGTGTCTTGAATTGCTTGTCATTTCTTTATAAAGATGTTTCAAGTAATTGCTCCATGTGATCCCTTCTTTCATTATTTTATGGCAAAAAGTAACATAATCCTTTAGTAGTTTGTTGGAAGTCAGAGAAAAGGGGTCTTTTTTTATTAGCAGAAACAAAATGTATTTCCAGGTACTGAGAATAAAGGGCAAAATTAGTCATGAGCGATAGTCCTGCGAAAGTTAATTTTTAAAATACATCATGAATGCACTGTCAATCTGCCAGTGGCCTTAACCTCTATTTTATTTTCCCATTATACTTGGGTCCAGGTTGTCATCAGCTACCATGAGAAAACCTATGTAATTCCTAGAGAGAGAAAAGTTGCACTGTTAGACTTAATAGTATGGTCGTCATGGAAGCATCAGTTATCTTCATCAAGGCAATTCAGATTTGATTATTGTAGAACTGTGTTGAATACCAAACCAGTGGAGTAGTAGCTGGAGCTAAATCAAGGGATTGTCATTTTTGTCAGATGATTAGGGCTGGCTTGGAAGAGATATGAAAGGGTTGAGCTGTATAAATATTCTCCTTTCAGCAGAAAAAGAAAAGGTCCATCATGGCCATTAAATGCGGCTTGTTCGCTTGATGAATTTCAAACTGTTTAACCTTAGCAATTATATCCCCCCGCAACCCCCCCCGTGCCTGCATGCAAGTGTATCAGTGCCTTGGAATTATGTCTCCAAGGATTGATTTCTGCGCATATTGGTAATTTTCTATTAAGATAATATGCAGCTTTTCCGTGTCCAGATATGTATCTCAAAGGAAGTGCATGCCTTGGTTCAAAAACCTAATTATTAACTTGAATTATCTGCCCAGGTAAACATTAGAACACATTTATTTATAAGGTTTTAAAAACTTTTTATGGTAAATATATGTAATTTAACATTTTAGAGATTATGGTATTCATTTAAATTATGCTGTAAACATGATTGGTTTTTGTAAAGCAGAAGTATATTTGTTTAATTTTTACTCGCCTGTGAGGGATTTGAACATTTAAATAATAGATATGTTTAAATAATAGCAACACATATAAACAGACACCGTGGACCTAATGATTCAAGGACATTTCTGCAATGTTTATAAATAATGTTGCATTCTAGAAAGGGCAGTGTTTTTGCTACTTTTGTGAAAATGTGCATTGGTCAATTTGCTTTTGTATAGTAATGGTTATCCTGGTAATATTTCTACTACCTGGCATATTTTGACCATTTATTAAACTCATAAATAAGGATAGATGACATAGAAATTGCTAACTTTAAAAGAATTGCTGAATTCTGAAAATAACTCATTTTGGAACAAGAAAGTCTCAGTGTGCCATCTAGTGGACACATTTAGCATTCTGGTCATAAAAAACTAATGAC
Source organism: Homo sapiens (assembly GCF_000001405.40). Classification (NCBI taxonomy): domain Eukaryota; kingdom Metazoa; phylum Chordata; class Mammalia; order Primates; family Hominidae; genus Homo; species Homo sapiens. Next base: position 17,258,989 of record NC_000003.12, on the reverse strand, counting down.
TTTCTCTTCCCCCGAAATGCAGTTACCTTGACACCTTATGTCTCTCCATCCCTTGGCATAGTTTGTGGTTGTGTTACATCTCATATAGTTTTTAGATGTTATTATAATTTTATTCATCATATTTTAGGAAAGTTATATTTGAAAATTTTATTTTGAAGTCATCAGAAATCTAATGATGAATAAATATTAACTATGAGAGAGGAAAAAATAAATAATTTTTGTGTTTAATCAGAAGTAAGGAATAATTTAATAAAAGCAAAACCCAATCACACTAATTATTAAACTTTATATTATACATATTCTTTTCTGAAGGGATATTAAAATGATCATTGCTGTCCTCTTATATGTTAATGGATTAAATCATTTAACTAGCTTTTTAAAAATGTATTTTTTTTTAGAGAAATCCAAGACCAGTGACTTATCAATTCCATCCAAATTTAGATTATTACAAAGCACGAGGAGCAGACCTCATGAATAAAAGCCGGTAAGTCCCCTTTTTCTGATGATAGTTATAAATCACAAAGGTAGTCTCAGAGATCATCAGGAAATTTTACATATTGCTGAAAACAATTTTCCAGATTTTAGCATATGTACATAAGGAATCTTTGTTAAATAAATTACCCAAGTTATTTTAAAGGCATAAAAAATGCTATATATTGATGTCAATGGTAAGACGAAAAATAAATATAAGAGTACTTGTTACAATTTGAAGTTAGGCAACTTCATTTTTCTAACATGAATAAACTTGCATAAATTGTGCCTACTTGTATAATCTCTTTCTAGATTTTTGCTGTTGATTGAAAAGAGACAGTTTTATAATATATTTTTAAATTATTTCAGTAACAAAATTAAAAATGTGTTTCCCAACTGTCTTTAGAACTACACAATAAGCTTATAAATGCATCTTGTGTGTACATTTGTGATTGCATACATAGAAATTTTAAGGGTCACTGTAGGAATAAAAAACATTAAAATCCTACTTTTTAAAGAAGTTAACATTGGCAGAAAGGGTTGATGAATGGTTTTGTTCTTTCATAATATCATATTGAGATGTCTCAAGAGTTAACTTGTCAAACCAGAATCATTTCAAATTAGAATGTAATTTCAAAGTTTACTCTGGAAGACTAAAATGTTAGTAATGATAAATGCTGCCAAGTTGTCCGAATTTTCTTCCTCAAGCATTTTGCCTATGTGTTAGCTTTTCTTCAGTAGAATTCCAAGAGCCTAAATATACATTTATGGAATACATATACACAATGTGTTCTGCTGTTACTGGAGAGTTAAAAATAAGTTATAATTCCTGCTGCATAGGAACTCATAGTCTAAGGGATGAGAAGAAGTTTACAACAAAATGGCTAAATTTAAACTTGAAATTTGAACCTTGTCTTAGTGTAATGTTGTTATAAAACTCCCCATCTCTGATTGAAATCTGTTTGCTCCATATATTGATGTACCATGCAATTATGAGACCAGTTCTGTAGCTCATGAGACTTATCTGAAGCTCTTTTCTGTTTGTTCATTTCATCTGAGTCTTGTTACACAAATAAAAATTTATTTGCTATAGTCACTTGATCATTCAACAGAGTTTTAATGACTGCCAGATTGATTATTTTAAACACAGGAGATGCCCAGTAAAAACCCAGACCAAAATCCCTGCCTTCAGTAGTCTTACACCCTAGTCACTTATATTTCTTCCCATTATGTCAGATATTTAGTTTTGTTATGTTTAAAAGAACAAAGTATGTTAGTCTTTTTCTTTATACAAGACCTTTTTAGCTGGAATCCTTTGTCTTCCCCTCCCTCCCAACCCCCACAAGATTATTTTTTACACAACAGCCAACTAAATGTCAATTTATAACAGGTTATATCATACCTCCATGTAAACATCTCCAAAGGCTTCCTATTGCCACTGGCTATCCAGTCTTCTTCCTGAAGCCCTTTCCTATCTCTTTGACCTTATCTCCTTCCACTCTCTCCTTCTCTTCATTCTCATGCTACAGCCACATCAGCCTTCTCTGTTATTTGCCCTTGCTTAGGGCCTGTGCACCTAACTCCTCCCTCCTGCTAGAGCACTTCTGCCACCCCCATCTTCCCATGCCTCTTCATGATTTAAAGCTCAGCCTAAATGTCATCTCAGAGAGGCCACTCTTAACCTCCTGCCTGTCTTCACCTCCCCTATTCACTCTATCCCATCATCATGAACTGAAGTTATATAATTCATTTGTGTATTTATAATCTGTCTCCCCAACGTCTCCACTAAAATCTAAGCCCCTGAGGGCAGGCTTTTGTCTTATTCACCACTTCATGGCACCTAGGACAATGATGACTGGTATAGGGAAGGCACTCAACACATATTTGTTATATGAATTTTTTGAAATATTTTCAACACCTTTTTCTCCACCACAGGAAATGTATTGTACCCATTATTTTCTCCCCTTCATGATTTTCTTCTCTTTAGCCTTCTCTCCCTGCATTTTTCTTCCACAAAATGTTGGTTTTGTTATATATATATAACACATTGAGTTTATATATATATAACACAATGAGTTTATATATATATTATATATATAACACAATGAGTTTATATATATATTATATATATATAAACACATTGAGATTCTTGTGCAAAGTATCTTGAAGATTGGAAGGAACACTTTTTGTCGTCTTTTGCAATTGCAAAGCTTAACATTGAAATTCAACTAAATAAAATGTAGTAATTGAAGCAGAAGACGTCACAACTCAGTAAGCAAGGAAATAGTTAATAGACGGTGCTGGGAAAATTGGCAAATCTTTGAAAAAGTATCAACCACACACAAAAGTAAATTCCAAAGTGCACTGAAACAAGCAAACATAAAAATAAAAATGCAAGTGCCTATCTGACCAATAATCTGACCAATAGTTACTTGAAGACTTTTTAATCTTATTTCAAATTTTTTTTGTTGTTTTTATTTTTTGAGACCGAGTCTCGCTTTGTCGCCCAGGCTGGAGTGCAGTGGCGCAATCTCGGCTTACTGCAAGCTCCGCCTCCCGGGTTCCCGCCATTCTCCTGCCTCAGCCTCCCAAGTAGCTGGGACTACAGGCGCACGCTGCCACGCCTGGCTAATTTTTTGTATTTTTAGTAGACGGGGTTTCACCGTGTTAGCCAAGATGGTCTCAATCTCCTGACCTCGTGATCTGCCCACCTCAGCCTCCCGAAGTGCTGGGATTGCAGGCGTGAGCCACTGCGCCCGGCCTAAATCTTATTTTAAAATTTTTAATTGACAAATAATAATAGTGTGAAGATGTTTTAACCTTTAATGGAGAAAATCACAAAGGAACAACTAATGGATTTTACTATACAACACATATTTTAAAGTAGATATGTAAAAAATAAACTGAATCAAAAGACAAACCAAAAATTAGGAAAATATTTGTAGTGGATGTAACTGGCAAAATATAATATCATTAATGTATGAAGAATTTAGGCAGTTCAGTAAGAAACACAGGATCTGGCCGGGTGCGGTGGCTCACACCTGTAATCCCAGCACTTTGGGAGGCCCAGGAGGGCAGATCACGAAGTCAGGAGATCGAGACCATCCTGGCCAACGTGGTGAAACCCTGTCTCTATTAAAAATACAAAAAATTAGACGGGAGTGGTGGCACTAGCCTGTAGTCCCAGCTACTCGGGAGGCTGAGGCAGTAGAAACGCTGGAACCCAGGAGGTGGAGGTTGCAGTGAGCCGAGATCGTGCCACTGCATTCCAGCCTGGGCGACAGAGAGAGACTTCATCTCAAAAAAAGAAACACAAGATCCTAAGTGGCCATTCTGTCTCTTGCCATGGTCTGCTAAATCCTCTTCTTACTCCAAATATTGGAACAGCCCCAACCCCACACTTCTTTTCTTCTCTATACTCATTCCTTTGAGGATTTCAACTCAGTTCATGGCCTACAGATGGGTCCTTAATTTATGTCTTCAGTTTTACCCATCCCTTGCTACTTACTAATATTTTCTCTTGGATGTCCCACATGTAGCTTAAATTTAGTATTTTTCAAACAGAACTGTTGATTCTACTCCCACACTCACATGCCTGTTATGCCCACAATGTTTCTCACAATAGATACCAAACTTTGTTTCTCTTTGACTCCAACCTTTTTCCTTTCTTGGCCTTAATCTGGAATGAGTGTAACAGCTTTTTCTTCTAGTATATCATCAAACCTAATTGGTAGTCTTGGGACCCCCCCCCCACCCCCGCCACGGTAAAGACAAAGGGTAGGCAAAGATTTCTTATACGGGAAACAAAAAGCACTAGAAAAGATAGATAAAATGAACTTAAAATTAAAGGTTTTTTTGTTCATCAGAATATGCCATTAAGAAAAAGAACAGGCAAGTCACATACTTGGGAGTAATATTTTTAATACATATATCCCGAATATATAAAGAATTTTTGTATGTCAGGAAAAATATAACATAGGCAAAATACTCAACAGCCTCTTCACAAAAGAAGATATAAAAATCATCAATGTGCTATGAAAAGATGTTCAACATTAGTCATCAGGAAAATGCAAATTAAACCACAATGAGATAACATTTCATACCAACTATAATGGATAAAATAAAATAAAAAATTGACAGTAGCAAATGTTGGCAAGGATGTGGAGCAATTAGAACCCTCATGTATTCCTGATGTGAGCAGAAAAGGTATAACTACTTTGTAAAATAGTTTGGTAATTTCTTATGAAGTTAAACATATATCCTGTAATATAGCAGTTTAATTTCTAAGTGTTTATCCGAGGGAAATAAAAACACATATCCAAAAGCCACAACAAACAACATTGAAACAGAATATTCACAGCAGCCTTATTCATAATACCCCAAATCTGGAAATAACCCAATCTCCATCAACAAGAGACCAGGTAAACAATTTGTGGTACATTCAAATAATGGAATACTACTCAGCTATAAAGGAATGAACTAGAGTTGTTCCTGGGGGAATTGGTTCCAGGACCACCTGCATATAGCCAAATCCACGTGTACTTAAGTCCCATAGTCGGCTCTCTCATATAGGAACCTGCATATATGAAAAGTCAGCCTTCTATATACATGAATTTCACATTCCTCTCTCTGCATTTGGTTGAAAAAAATCCGCACGTAAGTGCACCCGTGTAGTTCAAACCTGTGTTGTTCAAGGGTTAAGCATACTGATATATGCAATAACATACATGCATCTCATAAACATTATGCTGAACAAAAAACGCTAGTCAGAGAAGAGAGCATGTTGTATTGTTCCATGTATATGAAGCTCGAGAACGGGCAGCTAGCATGTGGTGATAGAAATCAGAAAGTAGCTACCTCAGGATAAGGGTTTGGAATTGACTCTAAAGAGACATGAGCGAATTTGGGAGTAATAGAAATGTTCATTCTAGGTATATTATTTGGGATGGTGGTTATACAGGTGTACACAAGTGTCAAAACTCATCAGATTGAACATTTAAGATCTGTATATTATATATAAATTATACCTAAGTTTTGTTTTATAAAAAGAAAAAGATGTATTTGCTCTGGACTAGATAGGAGACAATGTTACTGTTTTACCTAAATTGGTTAAGAATTAACAACTCTCTTCAGAAAGAGCACTTTAGTTGTACCACAAATGCTTAGTTATTTGAACACAAAAAATCATAAAGTTGTATTTCTATAGCCATCAGTGTCCTTTGAAATTCTGATCAACAAATTACTAATACTGATAACCATGGACTCCTTGGCTTCATGGCTTGGAGAACATTATTAGCATATTATTTCTTTAATGTAATTTAGCAATAAAACATCTGAAAAAAATACAGTCATTATAGAAGTAAATAGAATTAAGCATTTAAAAAATCTTACCATATAAAATGGAAGTTGTTCAGGAGAATCTTATAATGCTTTTTAGGTTTCAAAACAGTATGTATTTATTCAATCGTTAAACTAAATATTTATTGAATACTATACACAGTGCCAGACGCTGTGCTAGGCCCTGGGAATATGATGATTCTAAGACCCACACCCTGATATCAAGGATGTTTAGGTTTATGTGAGATACCACTCTTAGGCATATGGGTTACTCCACAATTGAAGTGAACAAGTATTCATTCATTTCACAAATGCTTTAATTTCTTCTCTGTGCCAGGTATTGAGAGAACATCAGTGAAAAAGATAGATGTGGTGCCTGTTCTCACAGAGCTCAGATTCTAGTATAAGATTATAGTCATTGGAAGAATCTTTGTGTACCCTGGGAAAACTGCACTTTTCCAGGACATTCTGCTTAGGCCAGCCCTTGAGAGGAGCACTCCTAAGCTGAGGCAGATCCTGATCCCTGGTAGAGATGGGGAATTATTGGCCGCTAGGCTTTCTTGGGGTAAGAATAGTTACCATTACTCCACAGACACATAGAATCCTGCTGAGGAATGTGGATACATCTTAAATGCCCAGGAAACCCTCCTAGTAAGAATCTTCTTTTCCTAGATCCTGGCTTCCTCTTATATGTCAGGCAGGGGTCCTGACTAGCAGCCTTCTACAGAGGACCTACATGCCAGAATTAAAATTCTGGAATCTTTCATCATCAATATCAGTGAAGTTATTTAGGCTCTGTCGGGGCAGAGGAAAACTGGGATAGTTAGCACAGAGAATGTTATTTCTGATCTGCTGGAGTGAGAGATCAAAGAACTAATCTTGGTTTCTTCCATCTCTGTTAAATTTCAATTTTATCAAATGAAATACCTGATTTTGGTTGTGTAAAATTGCTTAAGCAAGTTAAAAGACCTATAGCTGTGGAGTCTGTAAAAAGCCGTCACTAGATAAAGTGACATACTCTTGAGGCAGTACTGACAGCTCAGCTACCATTTATTTTATCACCTCTTCACAGGAGAAAGAATTTTACATTTTGAAAAATTGTGTCATTTTCAAAACAGAAAATCCATGAATGTTCTGGAATAAAGAAAATATGAGATTCTACTCTTAGTGTAGGAGATTGCAGACTTTAAAAAATATGAAGTTCTGTTCTGTGACTATTCAATTGAGCATTTCAGTAGTCACAGATTCTTAAATAAGTTAGATGGATCTTTCTGAAGACTGGTCACAATTTAAATGTACTTTTTTAATAGCAGCAATTTCTGGTTATTTAAGGACAAAATTGGAATAAGATTTTAGTGTTAAATTGTCATTCCAAGCTTTCTGAATGAGTAGGAAAATGTCAATTCCCATTTTTAAAAAGAAATGTGCAAGTAAGTTAAATCAGAGCAAAGTGAATATTATCCATACACGTAATGGAAAATCTATCACTAAAATACCTAGGCAGTTGCTTTTAAAGACTTAATTATAGCAATCCATGGTGAAGCAGAGAAGAGAAATCAGGCTTCTTGATTTTTAGAGATATTCTTATCCATGAAATCACATGTCATCTTTGCATCCTCTTTCCTTATTTGGATATGCAACACAAATAAAAGCCCATTGCCATAGATGTAGCAGGTATTAGCCGCCTGCTTTCCATATGTGTGCCTGTCTCTTGTCTAACCTCCACTTCTAATCGCTTCTACTGGGGGGGGGGGGGTTCCCGTGAGTATATATATTCCCTCTGGATCATCATTACTTCCCCTCTTGCATGACAGCCCCAATGCACCAACTCTTTAATAGCCTCCAAACAGCCAAGGAAATAGTAGCAAGGCCAATTATGGCTAAAGAGCCAAGCCTGGTGAAAGCATCCTAGGCCTTAAGTAGCTTAACAGGAACTTTATCAAAGGTTCCACAGCTACAGTGGTTTTTTTTTTACCACAGATAAAAGAGTGGACCATGATGAACAAATCGCCAGGGAATAATATGGGTTATCAGGGCTCCATATAGAAGTGGAAGAACTCTTTGGTAAGATTATCAAGCTTGTTTCCATTCGTACTCCCTCATTGGTGACTAAGGAAATACAGGCACTTTTACCAGTGCTTGCTCATTAATTATTAATTTGCTAATAGGAAAGGTGCTAATAAGAAAGCTGAAACTTTTTGTTGCTTCAATTTTCATTTCTTTTACTAGTTGTGGATTTGAATTGCTTTGTAAATGTTTATTTGTGCTGTTTGCAATTCTTGCATTTAGTGCCAACAAGACAAACATTGAGTTTATATTTTAATGCAAGAAACAATCAAAATATACCACAATAATTTTTAAAGCTAAAAATAACATCAGGAAGTGAGAATTTCTATAAGAAACACAAAACCAATAACAAAGCAAAGAGACAGAGTTAAAGGAGTTCATTATTTTAAATAGAGTAGTCAAAGTGAGTGTCTCTGAAAAGATGCTATTTGAACAGACTGAATAGTGAGGGTGCCACGTGGATTCTTGGGGAAGAACATTTCCCGTTATAGGAAAATGCAAGTACAAAGCTTCTGAAGTGGAAAAATGATTCTGCGCTTGAGAAATAGTAAGCAGGCCGGTATGGCTGGAGCCCAGTGAACAACACGCAAGGGTGGTAGCAAATGACATTGGTAGTAAATGAGGTTGGAGAGATAGTAGGAGGCTAGATCATGTAGGGCTTGCCTTACAGGCCATTGAAAATGCTTAGGGTTTTATCCTAAGATTTTTGGGAATTCACCAAAGGGCTCTGAATGGTGGAATGATATGATCTGACTTAAATTAATCTGGGTGCTGTGTGGAAAATAGTCTATAAGGAGGAGAGGAAACAGAGACTAGTTAGGAGATGAGCAGCAAGATTAGCAATGATATGGTAACATGGTATTGGCAGTGCAGAGAGAGAAAAGTGATTTGTTTGAGTATATATTTTGACTAGCATTTGCTGATGGACTCAATGTGTAATGTAAGAGAAAAATAGGAGTCAAGGGCAATTCTAACTGGGGATTATTACAAGCACTGGGTAACTGTGTATTATTACAAGCACACCTCATTTTATTGCATTTTTTACATATTGAAGGTTTGTAGCAACCCTGCACTGAGCAAGTCCATCAGCACTGTTTTTTCAATAGCATGTGCTCACTTTGTCTCTGTCATATTTTGGTAATTCTAGCACTATTTCATATGTATTCAGTATTATACCTGTTAAGATGATCTGTAATTAGTGAGCTTTGATGTTAATCTTGTTATCGTTTTGGGGCACCATGAACTGCACCCATATAAGACAGCAAATTTAATCAATAAATACTGTGTGTGTTCTGACTGCTCCACCAACTGGTTCTTTCCTCATCTTTCTCCCTTTCCTTGGGCCTCCCTATTCCTTGAGACTTGGTAATATTGAAATTAGGCTGTATTAGGCCATTTTTGTGTTGCTATAAAGAAATACCTGAGGCTGGGTAATTTATAAAGAAAAGATGTTTAATTGGCTCACAGTTCTTCAGGCTGTACAAGCCTGGTGCCACCATCTGCTGGACTTCTAGGGAGGGCTCAGGGAGTTTTACTCGTGTGAACTCAGAGCAAGAGCTCACTTATCACCAAGGGGATGGCACCAAGCCATTCATGAGGGGTACACCCCCATGATCCAGACACCTCTCACTAGGCCCCACCATCAACACTGGAGACCACATTTCAACATGAGATTTGGAGGGAAAACATATTCAAACCATATGATAGGCCAATTAATAACCCTATAATAGCTTCTAAGTGTTCAAGTGAAAGGAAGAGTTACACATCTCTCACTTTATATCAAAAACTGGAAATGTTGAAGCTTAGTTAGGAAGGCACGTCAGAAGCTGAAATGGGTCGCAAGCTAGATCTCTCGCAGCAAACAACCAAATCATGAAAGCAAAGGAAAAGTTTTTGAAGGAAATTAAAAGTGCTACTCCAGTGGACACATGAATGATAAGAAAATAAACAGCCTTATTGCTGATATGGAGAAAGTTTGAGTGGTCTGGGTAGACAATCAGACCAGTCACAACATTCCCTTATGCCAAAACCTAATCTAGAAGCAAGGCCCTAACTCTTCAATTCTGTAAAGGCAGAGAGGGGTGAGGAAGCTGCAGAAGAAAAGTTGGAAGCTAGTGGAGATTGATTAAGGAGATTTAAGGGAAGAAGTTGTCTCTGTAACATTAAAGTGCAAGGTGAAGCAGCAAGTACTGATATAGAAGCTGCAGCGAGTTATCCAGAAGATGTATCTATGATAATTGATAAAGGGGGCTCGCTACACTGAACAACAGATTTTCGGTATAGATGAAACAGGCTTCTACTGGAAGATGCTGCAAAGGACTTCCGTAGCCAGAGAGGAGGATCAGTGCCTGGCATCAAAATTTCAAAGGGCAGCCTGTCTCTCTGTGTCACTGTTGAGACCTACTGTTCAGAAAAAAAATATTCCTTTCAAAATACTACTTCTGACTAACAATGCACCTGGTCACCCAAGAGCTTGCACCCAAGCATTAATCAAGGAGATTAATGTTGTTTCCATGCCTGCTAATACAATATCTGTTCTGCAGCTCATAGGTCAAGAAGGAATTTTGACTCACAGGCCTTATTATTTAAGAAATACATTTCATAAGGCTATAGCTGCCATAGATAGTGATTCCTCTGATGGTTCTGGACAAGGTAAATTGAAAACCATCTGGAAAGGATTTACCATTCTGGATGCCATTAAGAACATTCATGATTCATGGGAGGATGTCAAAATATCAACATTAACAAGAGTTTGAAAGAAGTTGATTTTAGAAGAAGTTGATTTCAACACTCATCAATGACTCAGAGGGATTCAAGACATCAGGCCGGGCGCAGTGGCTCACGCCTGTAATGCCAGCACTTTGGGAGGCCAAGGCGAGCAGATCACCTGAGGTCAGGAGTTCGAGACCAGCCTGGCCAACATGGTGAAACCCTGTCTCTACCAAAAATACAAAAATTAGCTGGGTGTGGTGGCGGGTGCCTTTAGTCCCAGTTGCTCGCAAGGCTGAGGCAGGAGAATCGCTTGAACCCGGGAGGCAGAGGTTGCAGTGAGCAGAGATTGCACCACCACACTCCAGCCTGGGTGACAGAGCGAGACTCTGTTTAGAAGAAAAAAAAAAAAAAAAATTAGTGGAGGAAGTAACCACATGGGGTGAAAATAGCAAGAGAACTAGAATTATAAGTGGAGCCTAAAATTGTGGCCAAATTGCTGCAGTCTCATGATAAAACTGTAATAGAAGAAGAGAGTTCCTACGGATGGGTAAAGTGGTTTCTTAAGATGGAATCTACTCCTGGTAAATATGCTATGAACATTATTGAAATGACAGCAAAGCATTTAAAATATTACATAAGCTTGGTTGATAAACCAGCAGTAGGGTTTGAAGGGATTGACTCCAATTTTAAAGAAGTTCTGCTGTGGGTAAAATGCTATCAAATAGCATCATGTGCTATTGAGAAACCTTTCTTTAAAAGAAGAGTCAATCAGTGTGGCCAACTTCATTGTTGTCTTATTTTAAGAAATTGCCACAACCACCCCAACATTCAGGAACTACCACCCTGATTAGTCACAAGCCATCAACATTGAGACAAGACCCTCCATCAGCAAAAAGCTTAAGACTCACTAAAGGCTCAGATGATCATTAGCATCTTTTGGCAATAAAGTATTTTTTTAATTAGTATTTTTCCTTTTTTTAGACATAGTGTTATTGCACACTGAATAGACTGCAGTATAATGTAAACAGAACTTTTATATTTACTGGGAAACCAAAAAAATTGTGTAATTCACTATTGTGATACTTGCTTTATTACAGTGGTCTAGAACAGAACTCATAATAATAACTCTGAGGTATGCCTGTACAAACTTTCAGTTGTTCTCTCCCAGTGGAGTGCTTAATTCTCCCAGCAAGATAAATGACAACACATGCAAAGTGTTGCCAAGTAGAGCTGCTCACCTAAGCCTTGGTGTCCCCCAGGATTTTTTACTGGGAGTCAGTCATGTAGGCATGGAATGCCCATGTGACTAACCTTACCTACCCAGTCTCCAATTCCTGCCCAGAGAGGTCAGACTGATACAGTGTGACCCAGGACCCAGGTGAAAAAAAACAGGTGTTTACCATACATCCCATTGTTAGTGTAAACAATTTGGTGTGACCCAAGGCCCAGATATATAAAGACGCTTTTATCAGGCAGGATATTCCAAAGGCTTATAGGTTATCTCCCAGGAATCAGTCAAGGGCCAGTCCTTTGAAAGGTACAGGCTTTGGGCAGCACAGGTATGCTGAGTTAACCCTTTACTGTACAGTCAAAGATAGTCTCTTGTTTTCATCTAAAAGTTGTGTGGTTCTACCATTTGTATTTAAATTTATGATCCACCTCAAAGTAATTTTTGTGTGTAAAATGAGGTAAAGGTTGAGGTTCATCTTTTTCAAGATAGATACCCAGCTGTGTAGCAATATTTGTTAAAAAGTCTTTTCTTTCTCTACTGAATTAAATTGGATCATTGGTTGAAAATCAACTGGCCATATATGTGTGATCCATTTCCACACTCTGTTTTTTCTCTGGTAACACAGTGGCTTAATCATATAACTTTATAGCAAGTCTTGATTTTAAGTAGGCTGAGTCCTCCAACTTTGTTCTTTTTTATTACTTTCACTATTCTAGTTCCTTTGCATTTTCATATAAATTTTACAATCAACTTTCCAATTTCTATAAAAATTGTTGGGATTTTGATTGGAGTTACATTTAATATGTATATCAATTTAGAAAGAACTGATAACTTCAACATTATTGAATTATCTAATCCATGAACATGGGCTATCTCATCCTTTAGTTAGGTCATCTTTAACTTCTCAGCAGTGTTTTATAGTTTTTTTAATTAAGAAAAAATATATTCCTTTGTTTTTCTACATATAATCTGTTCCTTTCTATGCCTGCATTTTAAAATGTGACTGTTTCATTTTGCAGACTCAAATATCTTTATATTTTATTGGCTTCTGTACCCCTACCTTCAAACCATAACAGTTAATTCTTAGTATATGTTTACTGCAGCTGTATTTTTTTTCAATTATGAAGACATATAGTGATTCTCAAAGTGGGAAAAGAGAGGTGAAGAGGGCAAAAACTTCCCAAAGTGTGAACATTTCAGGATTATACTCTCTTCCCTTTCTCATGTGTTAGTCTAGGCCAGAAAATCCCTAATGCTCTAGAGATGCTGCTCGTGTGAACCATGGTTATTTATGGGAATGATTTCATATCCCTCAGATACAGGTGAGAAAATAATTCAAATAATAATTCAAATAGTTCAAATAAATAATTCAAATAATAATTCAAATAGTTCAAAACTACCACTCTCAAAATAGAAATCTCAGTTTCTTTTCCTATATGTATATCTTGAGAAGTTTAATGATTTGATGCATCATGATTAATACATAATAGGTTATTATTTGTTATGTTAGTTTAATCAACATTATAAACTGTATGTTGCCCCAATTACGTAAGCCCCATAGTCTAGCTTACGTCTACTCTTGTCACCAGTGCCAACCTTTTTATTCCTAACAAACACTACTCCTTTTGCTGCTCATCATATAGACGAAAGTTTGCCTGCTGCACATAAAAGAATTAATCTTTATAGCTGAAAGGAAACATGTTTCCCTTGAAATTCAACTCTAAAGGAGTAAGTACTAACAAGCTAACCTTCATCATTTAGTTTTAATAAAGATCTTTAAGAATCTAGAGTTCCTTGAGATGAGCAGTGAGTTCACTTCCTAAAATAACAAACCTTACAGTATGGCAAGCAAATTAAAATTAGATATAGAAGTCTTTCATTGAAGTAAATTTGAAACACTGAACTTCAAAGTTACAGAATTAAGAACTTTAGAAACATTCCTTTTACAGAATTCAAAACCTTTAGCTTACAGATTTTTTGAGATCAGGTCTTGCTCTGTTGCCTAGACAGGAACGCACTGGTGTGATCACAGCTCACTGCAGCCTCGACCTCCCAGGCTCAAGCAGTTCTCCCACCTTAGCCCCTCAAGTAGCTGGGACTACAGGTGCACACCACCATGGCTGGCTTTTTTTTTTTTTTTTTTTTTTTTGTAGAGACAGGGTCTCACTATATCGCCCAGGCTGGTCTTGAACTCCTGGGCTTAAACAGTTGTCCTTCCTCGGCCTTCCAAAGTACTGGGATTACAGGACTGAGCCACCACACCTGGCCTCTAACTTACAGAATTTTTAAATAGAAGTATATCCTGATTATTACCTTAGATGTTAGAATCATCTTGAAAGTATTATGTTGCAACTCTGATGAATGTTTTAAGTTTCCAAATAGATTGATATCTATAAGCATGGAAGAAATAAATATAAACCATAATCCACTCAGCAGATCAATAATGACAGAGTTAGGAGTATACAGGGGTGCAAAGAGAATATTGTTTCTGTCTCCAAACCAGAGATACATAGATATATGTTTAGTGGCATCAATTTATTTTTTCCAAGTATCCCACTGCATTAAATGTTTTTATGGTAGTAAAAAGTATAGATAGAACAATTTGAGAAAATGATAGAAAGAAAATGAGACTATGAAAGAAAGAGAAGGGAAAAGAATAGAAAAGAAAGATTTTGGAAGGAAGATAGGAGGAAGGAAGGGCAGAAGGAATGGAATGGAAACTGAAGGTGAAACTAAGGACACAGGGAAAATAGGCACCTTCATTTGGAGATGGGGTTTGACTGGCATTTCTCAAGGTCCTATACTAGTATACAAGCCTCTTATTTGGTCCTTTTGTCTGAGTGATGTGATAAATGTGACGATAGATGCCATTTGGCACTGCAGATCATAAACTCTTAGAGTTGGAAAGGGGCTTTCATTTAATACTGTCTCTCAGGCATGCCAGGACTAGAACTAGGCTGTGTATCTAAAGATTATTTTTCAATCTCTACTTGTACAGTTCCAGGATTGGAGCCCTTACTTTTGTAAATGAAGCCTGTTTTATCACTAGATAAGATTTCCTATGTCATAGCTTTTGTAACTCACTTTTTTAACTTTTGTAACTCATCTCATTTCTAAGCCACACCAAAAAAGGGCTGCTTTCCTTCATGGCATCCCTCACTATATTGTATGTAGGACTTACTCCTCGGGTTTTGCAGTCATTCCTCTTCCAGCATAGTTTTCAGCTTCTCTACCATTCCACTCCATTTATAAACACAACTCAAATCTTTCAGAAATTAATGCATTACCAAAGCTGATTGCCAAAGTTATACAGCATCTTCTGCAGTGTGAGGACTCATCTAGTATTAATGCAGTCCAAGAATCATAATTTTCTTCAGTGTCATCACTGTGAGCTCATATTAGTCTTGTCAGCCAAACCAAACCCAATCAAAACATTAATGTTTGGGAGTTCTGAATTTTTTTTTTAATTTAAACTCATGTTATCCATGCCTTCTTGTTCTGTATGTAATGTGCAATTATAAAAAGTTTTAAAATAGTTACATGAGCTTTTATTTATCTTTGTTAAATTTTGTTTAATCTTTCATGCTAGCCTGTTGAGATTATTTTAAATTGCAAATTTTTTAGTCTTTTTTTCATTTTTGCTCTTACTACTGTTTTTAATTTGTACACAATAATTGTACACATTTTGGAGGTAGAGTGTGCTATATCATACATGTATACAATATGCAATGATCAAATCAGAATAATTAGCGTATCTGTCACCTCAAACATTTGTCATTTACTTTATGTTGAAAACATTAAAAAATTTGATTCTTCTATTTGATATATTGGGTATCTCTTTAGCCTTTGATCGAAATTCAATAAGCACATATTTTCATTCTTCAGGTCACAAAATAGTATAATTTTCAATCTAAAAAGTACCTAAAATATCATAAAATTCAGCTCCCTTATTTTAGGATAAGGAAACTTGGGTCCAGACAGGATAAATAACTCTCTCATGGTTACACAACTCATTAACAGAAGATTATGACCGTCCTAAAAGATGGATTGGTAACAAGTCTGTGACCCAAGTCTGAGACACATATAATCACCAGTAACACTTGGTGGGTGCTAGAATATTGAACAGTATGCTTGGGGTACAGTTGTTCCACTATATCTGAACACGCATTATTTCCATTATTATTTCCACAGGTACTGACATACATTAACAAAATCTAACAGACCTTTCACACTATCAGATGAGAAGTAAAGTTGCCTTGGAATGACTTTTTAGTGAACCATACTGTCTACTTGTAATAAAAGATATTCATTTCAAAGTAATTAGTAAAAATATTTATATATATATATCGGTTTATTTTCTAAATTGTGCTTTCCATAGTCGTTTTGAAAAATCAGAACATTTTCCCACTTCCATTCCTCCAATATTTCTGTTTTATTCAATAAATCTAAATAAGTAATATATTTAAACTCAAACAAACCCAGCCATCTGAAATTTTTAATTGTACCTAAATAACAAATGAGCCAACAAGGCTATTTAGAAAATGAGAGAAAACTTTCATGCTATTGTTAAAACCAAGCATATGTGTAGCTTTAAATGCTTTTATCGGAAAAGAGGGAGAATAAAGGATGAATAAGTGAATGAATGAACGGAAGTATTCAACCTTGGAAAACACAAGGAAAAGAAATAACAAAAATATATATAAATTAGAATATAGAGAAAAATAATTTGAAATGAATTGAAGTGATTCTTTGACAAAAGTATAGCTAAGCATCTAACAAGATTTTATTGCAGAAAAAGTGAAATAAATATTACATATTTAATATCAAATCTAAAAAATAAACATAGAGGAAGAAAGGAGATAAACTAGAATTTTGTAAATATTTAGATCCAGGAGAGAAAAGGTTGTGGAGAATTTTTATAGAGGTGATAATGTGATAATGGTTTTTTAAAAGCTTCAGAAAGTTTATAGAAATGTAATAAGAACAGGCCATGACTGGAAACTACGAAGGCATTGGAGGCCCTAGAAGCTCTTTCAGTAGAGTGCGGGTCAGAAAGCCAGGCTGCAAGACATCAAGTGGGCAATAAAAATCTAGGAAGAGATAGCTAAAATCACCTATTTTCATTCACAGCGTAGCCTGGAATTTCTTCACCTGTCTGTGAGGAACCAACCTCCCAGAATAGAAATTAATGCAAAACTTACTTTTTAAATATGTTATATTTGATTCTTTTAAGGTTGGAATATCAGATACTGTGTTGGTCTTAAGAACATTTTATGAGATAATTTGGGGTTTTTTTGGGTTTTTTTTAAACATTTATATCCTAGTATACTTGCAACTTTGTCCTGTAGATGCCCATGCAGTATGATGGCATGAATTAACACAACACAGAAATTGAGATCAGTTGACTGTGTTCTCTGCTAACTTTGTATAGTAATGCTTCTCACTAGAAGAGAATCCAGTGTTAAGAAACTGAACATAAGCTCAACAGTGAATTCAGGTCAGAATTGGGTTCTGGTACAGGTATTTTGAGGATATTCTTGGATCTTCAGAAAGTTCACCTCTTGGTACTGACTTAACTTGTTAAATGAGGTTGTGCCAAAAGTTAAGTTCCTGGCAGAATTTTAAAATGATCTCTCCTAAACAGTACTATTTTTAGTAACAGTAGATAGACAATAGTAATGAAAGACTTCAATTAACACAAAATTGGTTACTCATTAGATTTGATATTCAATGTCTTGTTAACTCCAAATTCCTCTTGCTGTTTATTTCAACACTGTTAACACATTGCACTCCATCTTTAATCCAGTCTAATCCCTGCTGTCCATCAGCTCTCTGACAACTACTTTAATTTTCATTAATTTAGCACGCATGACTTAATCATACACATCACAGCCATTAATAATTGTTGGAAGTTGTTTAATATTTCACAGGAAGAATTCTGCTGCTCATATTTCAGTTCTAAATTAGATAACTTTGGTATAAAAACTGTTATGCCTAGAAAAACAGACAAGCTCTGGACAGATTGCTTTCTCTGTATGGCTTACAATTGCTTATATCCGGAAGACACATAATCACCTTCAATTGTTGTTTTGAAAAAAAAATTCTTCTAGAAACTGTGGGTACCAGATGAGGGAGAACATGGTTAAAAACACACAAAAAAATGTTCAACAAAGGAAAACAGTGCTCATCCCCTTTTAAGAGCTATTCAGATGAAAAATTGCTCTGCATAAACTTGATCTATATGTTTTTCATGGTTATTAGTAGTAATGAAGATGCATTAACCGTATTCTCTTGATAATGCTCTAGCAGTTTCTTAGTACTTTTATCAACATATAAATTTTACAACCGGCAATGTGGGAATTTGACTAGTACTTTTTTTGTATAAAAAAGGGTAACAACATTATAACTTCTTCATATCTGGGAATTATGAATCCTGACTTGCAAACAAGCAAAACTAAAATGCAACAGAACTTCAGTCCATGATAGCTTTTCTTTATACTATCACTCACAGGAAATGGGAATGTATGCAGGCTGCTGAGTGGAATATAATGCCAGAGGTGAATGCCTAGTTAATCCAGAATTTATGAGTTTTTTCATTTCATTCATTCTTTTTTCTCAATAAACATATATTGAGTGCCTTCTCTGTTGCCAGCCTATAGTAAATGTAAATTAAGAATGCTCTACTTCACTAGGAAGCACCTAAAAAATGAAAGTAAGTGGTGCATAATCACTTTATATCCTTATCTCCAGTAGGAAACGTTATTTTTAATAATTTTTGGAAGGACATTTACATAGCTCAGTTCTTTAAAGATGAAACTTGATGCCAAAGGAACCATTTGAAATTTTTTTCACACTTCATTGAGTTATAATGAATCGATCTTTCTTTTATAAAGCTGAATTTCATATTTTAAATTTGATTTGTCCTACCTCCAAAGCAATGTAAGTCTCTAATACCTAGCCCATAACATTAGCTAGTAGCATTAGAGAAAACTTTATGGAAGGTAGAAGTCTAGTGTTCTTTCCTTTTTATTATAGAACTATGGATCTGTTCTGTTTTACAGCAACATGTAGTAATGAAAGGATATAGCTGTCATATAAAAGGTAGAATTACCATTTAAGTGCTGACAGCTAGATCTGAGAGAAGGAAATTATAGTAAAAATCAAGTTAATTAAAATCAAATAAGTAGATCTCTTAAAGTTGATTTTCAATTTTCCATTTTTATGAAAAAAGCAAAATGTGAGCTATTTCATTTCTATTAATGATTTGGGCAATAAAAACACAAACTTCAATATTGTCATGGAGCTGGACTCCCCTTTACAACTAAAATAATCTGTAATCATAACTGGTCTTCAAGATAATAGCCCTGAGATACTGCAAGATTCTGAGTCATTTGGGAATTGTTCATCTAACAAATGTTAACTTGGTGCCCTCTATTTGCCAGGCACAGTTATAATACAGGTGCTGGCCAAGAGACAAAATATGAGAGAGAAAGTAGTGGTTAAGAGAGTTGATAGCTGCTGAGAGGTAGAGTCAAATAAGAATAGACCTTTGGAACTGCAATGTGAAGTCATTGGTGACCTTGAGGAATAGCTTTAGGGCAATGGCAAATAGGCCACAGCTGGAGCTTGGTGGACCAAAGACTGAGGAAGCAGAAGTGGCACCTTAATATACCTTGAAAAAACATGTTATAAGTAGAGGAAGAAATGGGATGGTAACTTGAAAGGAACAAGAGTTCAGTAGAGAATTTAGTGTACATATACATATACTCACCATGGTTGTATGCTAATGGAAATGATACAGTAAAGAAGGAGAAAATGATGATGCAGGAGAGGAGGATGCAGGAATAACAACCTCTGAAAGTCAGAGGAAATGGGATTCAAAGCACAAATGGAGAGGCTGGTCTTCCATTGTGGCAGGTGAAAAGACGGACTATGGGTAGATGCTGCTACCATTTAACAAATATTATTAATAAAGTACCTATGATGTACCAGACAATGGCAATATAGTAGTTAACAAAAGAGACAAAAATCCTTGCCCTCATGAAACTTGTATTTGAATGGGGATTGGAAGAAGTGAACAAATGATAACCAAATAAATAAATGAAATATATAGTATGTCAGATGATGAAAAGTGCTATCGAGAAAAATAAACCAGGGAAGTGGAGAAGGAGGATATGGAGCACTGGGGTAGAGAATAAGGACATAACTTTTAGGAATTTACTTCATGACTGTCAGACATATATATTTTCAAAATCATATTAAATTTGACCTAGTACCCATGTGCCAGGGCTGGTAAGAAATCTATTCTTAGCTTCATTTCATAGATGCCCCCTTCTGTGAGGACCCCATGACTTGCCTAGCCTGTCCTTCATAGTCCAGTCGCAGGTTTTAAGCATATATTTATTTATGTGATTATTTGATTAATATACTTCTTCTCTACTAGACTAGAAGTTCCAGGAAGGGAACTGTGTCTATTTTGGGGCAGTTATGTCCTCATAACCCAGCAGGGTTAGCTCTATTTGTTGAATGAATGAATGAAATGTAAATAAGACTGTTTTCCATAAGCTATGTTTTTAAGAAACTCATTATTTATTCTGTAGTAACTTTAAATTTTTCACTTCTCACTTTATATAGCTGGTCTAGTAAATGACCTTTTTCAAAGCAGACAAGGTGTGCTTTTATACCAATTAATTATGTGAAATAGAATCATCCTCTAATGTAAATAATGCTTCTCCATTTCTTTTTTTAACAGGACCAATGCCAAAGGTGCTCCCCTGAATATAAATAAGGTCTCTAATAGCCTGATTAATTTTGGAAGAAAGTTGATTTCCCCAGCAATGGCTCCAGGCAGTGCAGGTGGCCCTGTACCTGGAGGCAACAGCAGTAGCTCCTCCTCTGTTGTAATTCCTACCAGGACCTCAGCAGAGGCCCCAAGCCATCACTTGCAACAGCAACAGCAGCAGCAGAGGCTGATGAAATCAGAAAGCATGCCTGTGCAATTGAACAAAGGTAGGAAAAAATACTAGTAAATCTAAAGAAAACATTCATGGTGTAGCCTGGGATTTCTTCACCTGCCTGTGAGGAACCAATCTCCTAGAATAGAAATTAATGCAAAACTTACTTTTTAAATATGTTATATAAAGTTGGAATACTAGATACCGTGTTGGTCTTAAGAATATTTTATGAGGTAATTTTTTTTTTAACATTTATATCCTAGTATACTTGCAACTTTGTCCTGTAGATGCCCATACAGTATGATGGCATGAATTAACACAACACAGAAATTGAGATCAGTTGACTGTGTTCTCTGCTAACTTTGTATAGTAATGCTTCTCACTAGAAAGGAATCCAAAATGAGAAGTTCCGGTACCATGGGCTTCACTAGTCACAGCATTCGTTGGTGCATTACAGTTGTTTTGAGAAAGTGGGCCACTAGGCTTGCAGTCTCTCACCCAGCTGCTTCACTTCTAAGGAATACAAACTAGAATCTTAAGCAGTGGGGAGGGAGAAACTAAAAGCAGCCAAAGTAAGTGTATGAGTCCATAAAATAAAAGTTAGAACCACAGAATGTTACAGCAGAGGAAACCTGGGAGATCATCCAATCCATATCTCTCAATGGGTAAGTGAGGGCACTGCTGTTGGTAGCACATTTTCTACTGGGACTCAGGTAAGCTAATTTCTGTGTTAGGGCCTTTCCAGAGCTTCACCTCCCTCATGTTTTGTATTCATAAGAGAGCACTTCAGGTTCTTACTCTGAACCTTTGCATTTTTATTTTTCACCTATTTTTGAAGAGTCATAATGTATTAGGTCCCCCTTTTCAAAAGAAATTGGAAACAGCTACATTTATTTTTAGTACTAGGACTCTGCTAACTGTACTCTAGAAGCAAGAAGTTGTATCTTGATGGCAAAAAATACTTAAAAAGCAATCCTAAGACCTCACAAGCAGTTTGGGGCCACTTAGTGTCAGAGCAAACATCCTGACCCAAGTGTCATTCATGTCTTAAAGGGATCCCTCTGTTATATCAGTTTTCAATAATTAGTGTTGACAGTAACATGAGTAATATTGTCAGTAAGAAGATTTTAAAAGTATGTTCCATATACTCTGTTTAAGGAAATTACATTCAAAATTAGTTTCTGATTTTACATAGTGCCATTTAAATCGGTAAACTTAAGTTAAATGGACTTTCTTTCCCAATGATACAAATGTTGAGTATTATTCAATGAGTGTGTGTACACACACATGCACACACCCATGCGTGTCTGTATTCCTCTATTGGTTACATCATGTTATTCTTCTATTTAATTTTTATTTGCCTATGTAAAATACTAGATTTTATATAATTCATATTTAAATTTTTGTGAGAATATTCAAATTACCATGCATAAGAATATATCGGGCATGGTGGTTCACGCATGTAATCCCAGCACTTTGGGAGGCCGAGGTAGATCACGAGGTCAAGAGATGGAGACCATCCTGGCCAACATGGTGAAACCCCGTGTCTACTAAAAATACAAAAATTAGCTGGGCATGGTGGTGCATGCCGGTAGTCCCAGCTACTCAGGAGACTGAGGCAGGAGAATCATTTGAACCTAGGAGGCGGAGGTTGCAGTGAGCCAAGATCGTGCCACTGCACTCCAGCCTGGCAACAGAGCCAGACTCCATCTCAAAAAAAAAAAAAAATCTCGTTGAAAATTACATTATTTTCTTTTTAACGTAGAGCTGTCACACATTTTTTTAAAAAAAGAGACCAAAGCATTAGCATATTGTAAATGTATTTTAATGCCAGGAGATATACCCATTTCCAGAATGGAAATGAATGTTATTTTACATATTTCTTAATTGTACTGTTTTATTGTTCTAAACAAATACGATTTCAATATTGCTTTGATAACAAGCTGTAGTCAGTTGTAATTCTAACTGATGGCAGGCAAATGAGTCAGAGAATCTCTTAATGTTGTAGCTTAAATTTTCTGAGGAACTAAGCCAAATGACTAGAAATATAAAGTTTTGTCTCCAAGGAAATGTCAAGTATTAATATCACAGTAAGTGAGAAAGGAAGTGCATGGAGATGGAACAATTGATGAAAACCAAGTCCCCAGTTATAAGGAGACAACAGAGCACTTAAGCAAAGTATTTGGAACATGATTATCACTAGGGCATTTTAACTGATCCCTGTGCTGAAAGGAAGTAGCCTTGTTTGGCAACCCTTCTATATTTGTACTTGTGTTTTGTTCTTCTCATGTCAATCTACCAAAAAAAAAAAACAAAAATTTGTTTACCTTCAGATTAATGATAAATGTTCCTGCTAATGCTCCTTCCCTCACAAAGGTATGGATAAAACAAAAGGCAAAGAGAACGGTTTGTGGAAGTAGACGATAGAAGATAGTGTAGTTTGCTGCTCTTCTCTATTCATCCATTGATGAGCCCTAAGCAACACCCTGAAGCTCTCTGACCCTCTTCTTTCCTCACCCTGAAATAAGAGATTTGGGCTAATCCCTGGAGAGTCTCCCACCTCTAAAAATCTATGGTTGTTTTGGTAGAATATGTATTAACTCTACAGTGAAAAATACTTCTCCAACATTGGTTCTTTATGCTGGTATTTCCCACATGTATCCTGCTGTGCTGTCACACTGAAAGCTGCAAGCATATCACCTGGTCCCATAGATCAGTGAACACAATATTCAGCCTGTCAGGAGGCTTGTGTTGTGAAGTGATTTCTCTCTCAGAACAGAGTCATCTACTTAGTGCCTTTGAGGAAAGATAATGTAATAGTCTTTTTAGTGTACTCTGCTGGAAAATTTGAAAGTTATGTTGAAAAATGGTTGTTTATAAAGATGAAACTGTTTATGGTTTTCATAATCAGTTAACTTTCAATTACTTGTGCTTGTATGCTTAGATAGGGGGACAGTTGTGTTTGTAATCCAAACTCACATGTGTTGCTTGAAGTACATTCTGTAGTTTGTCTTTGTGTTGGGGTAGGATAGTGAAGGAGCAGCCCAGATGTTCCCTGTAATTGTTTTGGTGATATTTAATGTTAAAATGAGTTGTCAGTCTCTATACATTAATAAGTGATCTAGAAGCAGCAGAGTAAAACAGGTAGCAGGCACAGAATTGAAAATCTCCTTCAAAGATACAGAAAGTAGGCACGCCATTATCAGTGAATTTAGAGTACATATACTATGAAAATCTGGGGCCCATTTCCACTAAAAGCTGTTTATCACTTGTTTGTGGTATGTTCCTATTTATAGATTTTATTTCAATTATAGGAGACTAAATGTGTGTACTGTTAATTGATGATGATGGTATAATTACAACTTAACAGTTTCCGGATTAGCTGGCCATGCTGTAAGTCATAGTGGTCAGAACACTGAGGATATGTCATTTAACTCAAAAGTTGATTTTTTTTACTACTGTATATATTATATAAAAGCTCAAGGGGAAACAAGTCAATTAATCATAAATGATCATGCATAGAAAATATGATGCTTTTTTAAAATGCTTTTTTCTTTAGCCTGTTAGTCTGAAAATAGCATAGGCCTTCAGATGGTGATATATCCAGAGAATGATTCTGTTGACAGTGACTGTGCTTAGTGTTGAACTTTGTCATCCAGGAAGGAAATCAAAGAACCAAAAAGTCTTCCTTCCAAATGTTAGTGCACCTCAGGTTCTTCATGAGATTTCCTGTTATGCTCCTTTTCCTTTCTTATGTTCTTAAAATGCACTTGGTTTTTTTTTTTTCCTGTTTCCTTTGTCTATATTTTAAATTGCTTTTTTAATTTGAACATGTCATTATTTTAAGCACTTACTATAAGTCCAATTTGTAAATGAAATCTTGCCTACAATAAGTATATCAAGTGAAGGGTATGCAGTTCACAGGTTTATTTTTACATGTTGACATTTATAAGTACATGTGGTAACTTAAATCTTTTCATTACTTAATGTGAAATTAGAACTTATTGAGGACTTTATCTTATCACTGAAGAAGTTGGTTTCAAGTTAGTTAAAAATAAATTTTGTCTGATATAGGAGGAAATCAATTTCAAAAGAATGCCTATTTTTAAATAAATGACATATAACTTACTTTTGGATGAAAGGGAAAATATAAAATCACACTAATATTTGTAGCATCATGAAATATGCTCAGCAAAATCTTTTGATTGCTGAAGTTTCCTATACTCTAGTTGAAACTTGTTTGTGTTTTCTTTAAGAAAAACAAACACAAAACATTTCTAGAAAACATGCTCTTAAAGATTATTTTCTTTGAAAATATTTTATATTTTTCTAAGCTTGTGCATTATTTTCTTTTGTACTATATTTTTAGTAATTTGATTAAAGTATTAGAACATTCAGTATAAAAGAAAAGTGAAGTTGATTATTTCCTTTTTATGAAATCTAATTATTTTTTCTTATGAAATCCAGGCGATGTAGTTACAGGAAGCGATGCTCAGGTTTCTGTTCCTGTCCAGACTCTAACTGACCTCCAAGGTACAGTTACCATAACAACATAGTGTTTCTTTTTCTTTGCCTACAGTATTATCATTGCCTACTCCAAAACTCCATTTTTCTTTTTGCCCACCCTCCATTCATACTGTTTTCAATTCACTACCATTGTTCAGCCACTGAGTGGCACTATTGTTAAGAACAAAAGTCCCCTCTCATGTCATACCTTGGTGATGCCGAATATGGCTGTGATGTGGGTTTTCTATTAGGTGTGCACAAGCCTCTTTGCAAAATATGATTCACCCTGTATTTTGTGGTTATTATAACATAGTATACTTTGTGTGCCAGCTCACACTGAGGTGTTCTTTTTGTTACACTGGTGCTCTGTGACAGTATTTGACCAATTAGTTCTGAAAATAGACATCTTATGTGCTACGATTAGCCAGAAATACTTACATTTTGCCTGAAATAATTACAACCTGATTTTGAAATGTTTTTAAGTATTGCCTTTGAATTACGCATTATGTTAACACAATTAAAGTACAGTGTAGCAAATCTTCATTTATGGTAACTGGCAATGGTTTTAAAAAAAGAATGTTTAAATATCATATCCATTTGTTCAAAATATAGAAAATATAGTTTTTAAATAAATACAAAAAGTGATCATCTACCTCCTATGCAATTTTAAAACATATAAATACTTAAAGTGGCTGCATTAATCTTTTATTATGCAGTCTTTTAGATGAAATATGCGATAGAGAGGATTTCTGTGTTAAATGGAAGCCTAGAGTAACTTTAAGAATCTTCTATTCAAATTCAGACTAAAATGATAGCAGTATTAATTAAAATCCATACCATGTTTTTCTTAATTTAAAATACCACATAATATAGTGATGCTAGTAGTATTAAAATACTGTTTTAATAATGATATGTCCTCATATTATCCATTTTTTTAGGGGGGGTGGAACAGAAAAGAATGGGTTGTGATTAAGAGATTGATGTATTGGGTTAACTTAAAAAACAAAAACCCACCACATTGTGGCAATAGAGGAGTAAGCTTTCACTTCTATATATAGTTCTGTGTCTCACAGGTATAGTTTCTGGAGGTATTCTGGTAATTGAACCAGATGAACTTCAAGGGCTTTTCTAGCTCAGGGATTCCATGAAGAGCTGTTCACTCTTGCTGTCTGTTAAATGATCTACATAATAGAAGGGTATAATAGCATGGACAAGAGGAAAGGCAGATAATGTCTACATGATTTCTCTTTAGCTTTGCACTGAGATGAATGTTAATGTGATCATCTGATATGGAGAGAATTTACAAGACTTAAATTTGTTTTCTAAAATTAAATTCTGAGCCCCACAGACAACTTTTTAACATGTGTGTTGTTGTCCCAACATTAATTGCTACAGAGTAGATCTTTGGCTTCTCTGCAAGACATAGGATATGGAGCCCAATTTATACCTATGGAAAGAAAAGCTAAGAGTTGGCTTGCTTATTCTGACTTCTGCTTCTATGCTATTAATAAATCCAGTTTTTTTCCTACAAACCAGAGCCACAGGAGTAACGTAACTGTTTAACTAGAACTTCAAAGAGGGAGGTTATATTGTTTTGTTCAAATACCTCGTGTTATATAAGTAGAATTATCTCATTTGTTTATTCAACAAGTATTTATTGAGTGCCTGCTGCTGTGTCAAGCTCTGTTTTCACTGGTCCCTTGGCTTTCCTTACAGCTTTACCTGGTTGGTTGGGCATTACCTTTGCTTTAGGTGACCCAGTTAAGCCTACATAGTCGGGAACCAGCTCTTTTACTAGATACCCTATTCAGAATCACCTCTGCCTCCCATACCCTAGCAGAGATTGTATCAGTCTGATAAGGAAAGTTCCAGCTACTTTAATAGATGTGAATCACAAATAAACAGCTTTTAGTCTGTGGTGATGATTTTGACAATGATAGACAATGAGAGTACACCTACCTGATTTGGGGAAGTCACTTTTTGTCTTCCTCAACATATTCCCTGAAGAGTACCAAGAAGCAAGGGGAAGTAGAAGTAAACCAAAATAGTGGTAGCAGAAAAAAAAATTCTATCTATGCTTAATATAATCAGTGTCAAGGAATTAAACTACTTAGATTTTCCCAAGTGTCTTTTTTCAAAGCAATGAAGTAAATTTCAAGAAATAAAGTAAGTATCAATACTTTTGATGATTCCTTGATTATAGATAGTCTTTTTTTAATGAAATTTTATGTCTGTATCTTTGACTTTTAACACAGCAGTTATATGGGCTTTTATTTTTAAGAAAAAACCTGAATATAAGGTGAGATTCCATAATTTAGATCAATAAGTAATTTTTAGAGAATTATTCAAAAATTTCATTTTATATCTTGCAGTGTAGGTTGCAATCACACACCAAAAAAAAGCCACAGCAGACTTTGTTTATCAAAGACTTAACTCAGTGAGGTTCTTCAAAATTAGTTTTAGAAATTGCATACTTACCCCCGGAAACCTTTGTCAAGAGATATTTATGAATTTATTCACAAATCAAAAAGCTTTAAACACAGGTACACACACAAGACATATGTTATTTTTAAAGAGAATCTGGAATTTGTAACAACAGAAGTACAGTCAGCCCCCTGTATCCATGGGTTTCACATCTCTGGATTCAGCCAACTACAGGTCAAAAATATTCAGAAAAAAAATGAGTCTCTACTGAACATGTACAGACATTTTTCTTATAACTCCCTAGACAATATGGTATAACCACCATTTACGTAGCATTTACATTGTATTAGGTATTATAAATAATTCAGAGATGACTTAAAGTATAAAGGAGGATATGCGTAGGTTATTTAAAAATAGTACTACCATTTTATATAAGAGACTATAGCATCCTTGGATTTTGGTATCCACAGCGGTCCTGAAACCAATCTCCCATGGATACTGAGAGATGACTAGATTTAGGTATTAACATAAAATGGACCATTAGGAAAGAATTTTAGATTTTTTAAAATAATTTCCATAGGCATCTTTAAAATTTATACTTGTATATATACATTTGTGTTATGGATGTAAATATGCATATACATACGCACAGATATCTATAACATCAGATTATTTTAAATATAAAAAGGTTAAAAAAAAACTTCCTGTCCAGGTAACCACTGTTGATATTCTTAAGGTAAAACTAAAATATGTGACATTAGATGATTCCAATTAATTAAAGGTACTACATGAAAAATGGGAGTAGGGGAGAATCTCCATTTTCTCCTCCCACCTTTCTGCCAGCCCATTTCCCCAAGGGTAACCATTGTTAAGTTTCTTATGATTTCTTCCAGGAGAAAAAAATATATATTAAATTGAGGCATAATGTGGGAGTCACATTAATGTGGTAAGAGCTCATTTGTTTGGAGGTGACTTTCTCTCTGGACCATCAAGAAGAAAGCACTGACAAAAATGTCCCAGTGTAAATGAAAAGCAACAAGTTGGTAGAACAAGGAGAGGGATGTCAAGTCAACCAGAGTAGGACAGAATAATGACAAGAAAAAGAGACAGCTTCCACTCACAAGAGTGAGGGAAGATACCAAAAAAAACAAAAAATGGTCCTCATAGATGGCACTATATTGATTGGCTGCTCTGGTTATTGTTGAGATGTGATAGACCTGAAGCACAACAAGTAGTTCCATTATGTTCAGTATAATCATTTTAAGGCAGAGAAATATATGTAAAATGAATTTTGGGAAACATCAGTTAGCTAGAAAATGCATTTTTGTGGAACATCTATTCCAAAAGACATTGAATAAATGAGTTGTTTTTGGACTGAAAACAAGATCAGAATTTGCCCTTTACGTTCAAAAGGCCTCATTCCATTTTGCTTTAATCTAATTTTAGGTCACATTTACATCAGCCCACTTGGCACAACCCTTATGAGATGGGGAGGGTGGTACAGTTTTGTCTAGCACGGGCTCTGGAGTCAAGCCTGGGTTTGAATTCAGGCTCCATCACTGCCTTGCTGGATGACCTGGGGAAGTTACTTAACCTCTTATTTGTAAAGAGAGAATAAGAGCAGCTACTTCAAGGGTTGTTGCTGGACATCATCACAGCACCTGTTGCATAGTGAGGGCTCTAGGGTGCTACCTGCTCAGGTAGTGGTGATGATAGCACCATTATGTGCTTTCCTCAAATACCTCTCTGAATCTCAGAATCAAATAATGAAGGAGCTCATTCCACACATCTATCTTTTCTTAATTATTATTTCTGATATTCTAAAGACACATGTTTGCATGCAGGTACCCAATCCAACAGCGTTTGACTTTTGTGGTCAAGCTAGAGAATGTCTATTCCAGGGGCTTCAAGTACAACCTGTGTCTGTTCACTCTTGTGACAGCAAGATGCATGTCTTTCATTAGTAGACATTAGCCTTTTTGCTATCTGTCACTCAAGTCTGCAGGAAACAAACTGTTACTATATAGGGACCAGATGCCTCATTGTCTTGGTCACTATATAAAGTCAAGGTTATCCCCTTTCTGTGGCCACAGAACAGGGGTTCCCAGGTTTTTCCCTTTCTGCTTATCTAGGTTATACGTTCCCAGCAAGTCCCCCCGTAGACCTCCTGAACATTTTGCCTTTGGGTGTCCAGTGTCCACCTTCCTCAGATGACCTCAGGTGTACTGGGGTTCTGCCTGTCTATTTAGTAAAATGCCCACCCCCTTTTCTTATTTCCTATCGAATTTGGTAATAGAAAATCCATGAAAATATTATTCATGGGACATGGTAGGAGCTTAATAAGCATTTTTCCTTCCTCTTTCCTTCTCTCTCAGCCATTTTGCAGTCAGGAATCTCCACTGATGCCTATGAAGCTCATTCAGTCATTTTAGGCTCTTGACAAGTTGCCTCCAATGACATAGAGCACACAGGGCACAGTACTTTTATTGAGTGTTTCAGAGAGGGAAAGAGAATGAAGGAAGGACATAAGATAGCTAGACACAGCTGTGTCTCATCCGAACAGTAACTTTGTGCAACTTACAAAAAAAAAAAAAAAGATAACTTCTCTGCAGATGTAGCTCACACCAGGGCACATGACTTAATAAGCAGACCATGGCCTGGATTTCAGTTGCTCTGCCAGGCAGTCTTATGTGATGCATATATGATGGTTCTATACTTAGTGCCAGTTAGTTGAAGTCTGTGGGAAATCATTGAGAAGTGCAGCCAGTGTCCTACCAGGAGGGGTTTCAATGATCCTATCAAGAGAGAACCTGTGAATCCACAATCCAGAGTACTGCATTTTAAACTATGTGCTCTAGATTTGGGAGCCATCTCTATGCCTTCCACTAGACATGGTTTATGTCTACGGAGAGCATATGCTAGACACCACACTAAACCCTTTACATTATCATTTAGGACACACAGCCACTTGTAGATGAGAACTATGGCCAGTGGAGGGTCAGTGACTTGTTCAAGGCCGTACAACTAGGTATCAACCCAGTTCAGACTCAATCCTAGCTGTGTCTGACCCACCAGATAGTGGCTTGGGGAATTCTACCCTGTAAACATCTCTCAAATCTACCACCACAGCCTCAGTTGAAGGCCATAATCTCTTGCCTGGACCAACGCAACAGATGGTCCACTCAACCAAGCCCTTATAATCCTCACTCAATTTTCTGGCCTAAAATCTGTAGTAACTGCCATCAACCACCAATGAAATAAAGGCCAGACCCCTTAACATGAGAATAAGGAGCTCTTCTTGATCTGTCAGACCCTTGATCTGGCCTCATCTTCCCACTATCCTCCACTCCCCAAGACTGGATGATCAAGAGGGAAACTAAGCTCATGTTTAGGGTACCAGCAACTTAGTTTTTTTCTTAAAAAAAAAAAAAAAAACTTTTATTTTAGGTTCAGTGGTACATGTGCAGGCTTGTTATATAGGTAAACGTGTGGCATGGGGGTTTGCTAAACAGATTATTTCATCACCCAGGTACTAAGCCTAGTACCTAATAGTTTTTTTTTATTCTCTCCCTCCTCCCACCCTCCACATTCAAGTAAGCCCCAGTGTCTGTTGTTCTCCTCTTTGTGTCCACGTGTTCTCATCATTAGCTCTCACTTATAAGTGAGAACATGTGGTATTTAGTTTTCTGTTCCTGTGTTAGTTTGCTAAAGATAATGGCCCCCAGCTCCATCTATGTTCCTACAAAGAACATGATGTTCTTTTGTATGGTTGTATAGAATTCCATGGTGTATAATGGGGCACCTTCAACTTTAGAAAAAATTTGATAATTGATCCTCCCCCAAAAAAACATTGAAATAATCATCAAATTTTTTAGAAAGCACTCTGTTGAACTTAATCTTTCCTTTTACTTTGATATTGATATCATTTTCAATTACATATTGATGGCAGGGAGCACCAAAGGTTTTAATCAGGCCCTGATTAAGCTAGATGTTCCTAGTACAATGCCTTTGAAAATACTGTGTTCTCCACTAGAGAGGACCCTCCCTGACCCACCACGACCATTTCCTCTTGAGTTTTAAGATCTAGCTCACACTCTTAATTGTCTGAGACAAGATTGGACACTCCCCCTTTTGCGCACACAAAGTGCTGTTGTTTGTACTTCAGTGTTCGCTTTTGCTACCTAGGGTTGTAGGTTAGTGTGTATACAAGTCTGTATTCCCTGTATGGCTATTTTGGGAGTTTCTTAAGAGCTTCTGTTATGTTCATACTTCCCTCCCCAGTGCTAAACAGAAATTTCTTTAGGCATTTCAAAAGATCACTCTGCATAGGGCTCATTCCCTGATGTTTGGTCACGAATGAAAGACTACATACATGCATTAATACATGTACACCCTAGATGGCTTAAGAATGAGCCTATATTTAATGTATTTAAGAATGTCTTACAATCTAAAATAATTTTAAATAAATGTCATGGGTCAGAAATTCTGAAGACCAAACTGTGAGACAGATTCATGGTTAAGACATTTATTGGGCAGCATCCTTGAGATCAGTACCTGGGGAGTGAAAGAAGCAACACTGGCAGGGAGAGAGCTAAACCGACCGCTTTGCAGTTGCTGCTGGAACCCTCTGGGGCTGGGGTAGTCCTCTAGAGTTGTCCACCTTGAGGCAAGGGGGCCAGCTTTTACTTGTCAACTCAAACCAGTCACTGGATTGGAGTTAATTCCCAGGTAAGGGGCATGACCTTGGGCAAGGAAGCTCTCTTCAGTTGCGGGCAGTTTCCAGAGAAGAACTCAGGGGAGCCATCAACAGCCAGCATTTCCAGCAGCTGGGGGAAATAAGTGCCTTGGACCTGAAGAGGGAATTGGGCAGGGCCCTACAGCAGCGTATTTTAGAATGTGCCCCTAAGAATAGGCTTTAAATTTTCGTGCAACAAAAATGTTTCATGCTGTTCCTCTCTGTCAAAAAAAAAAAAAAAAGGTATGTAGAGAACTTTGGAACCAGTATGTAGCTTATGGGTTACAAGCTTGCTGAGAATACTGACCCCTCAGCTCAGGAGCTGTCCAGGGGAAGCCTGGATGAGCCCACATCCATTTACCCCAGTGTGCTATACAAATGTGATCAGATTCTGTGCATACCAGATACGAAAAAGGCAGAGAAGTCTGAGAGTGCATCCTTTTGTCTTGAGACAAGACTACTCCAGGTACCTGGGCTTTTCCTATGTATCTCCAGAGGAAATACAGTTGTCCCTCAGTATCTGTGGGGGATTGGTTCCAGGACCCCTGCGGATACCAAAATCCACATATGCTCAAGTCTCTTATATAAAATGGTATAGGGTTTTCATATAACCTATGCACATTTTCCTCTATACTTCATCTCTAGATTACCTATAATACCAAATACGATGTAAATGCTATGTTATACTGGGTTTGTTGTTGTTGTTGTTGAGACAGGGTCCCACTCTGTTGCCCAGACTGGAGTACAGTGGTGCAATCATGGCACACTGCAGCCTCTACCTCCTGGGCTCAAGTAATTGTCCCTCTTCAGCTTCCTGAGTAGGTGGGACCACAGGTGTGTGCCATCACACCTGGCTACTTTTTCATTTTTATTGTAGAAATGAGTGGACTACAGGCACGCACCACTACTCTGTCTCACAGTTTGGTTCTCACTATGTTGCCCAGGTTGGTCTCAAACTCCTGGGCTCAGGCAATCCTCCAGTCTCGGCCTCCCAGAGTGCTGAAATTACAGGTGGGAGACACTGCACCCAGCCTGTTATACTGTATTTTTATTTGTACTATTTGTGTTGTACTGTTTGGTTGGTGTTTGTTTTTTGTTTTTTTTTTTTTTTTTGAGACCGAGTCTCACTCTTATCGCCCAGACTGGAGTGCAGTGATGCACTCCCAGCTCACTGCAACCTCCACCTCCCAGGTTCAAGTGATTCTCGTGCCTCAGCCTCCTGAATAGCTGGGATTACAGGCATGCGCCACCATGCCCAGCTAATTTTTGTATTTTTAATAGAGACGGGGTTTCACCATGTTGGCCAGGCTGGTCTCTAACTCCTGACCTCAAGTGATCTGCCTGCCTCGGCCTCCCAAAGTGCTGGGATTACAGGCGTGAGCCACCGCGTCCGGCCTGTTATTTTATATGTATATTTTTGTATTTTTGATCTGTTGGTTAAATATCCAGGTGTGGAACATGGACGGTAGACTGTGCTCTCCATCATCCCTTTGGGAACATGTTCTAGTGACTCCATTTTCTTAAGGGTCTGAATGTTTGTGTTCCCAGAGGGCACAAAAATATGTTAGTAAGCTAATTTTTATAATTGAGGAGAAACATATGTTTTTAATGTGAGATGTGGGCCAGGTTCCTTATTAATACTACCACCAATTTGAAATTTCATAGTTCACAGATAAGTTTTGATAAGAGCTGATCTTAGTATTACCACTGAAAAAGGAAGTTTACTAAGCAGGGTAATAGCTGCAAAAGAAACCTCTGGGTGTTGTTGCCCCTCAAGGGAACAAATGCTTTCAAATTCTTTCTGGATGTTTAATTATTCTCATACAGTAAAGAATTGATAAGCTAACTTATTAAAGCAGGTATTCTAAAGATTTCTCCCAGACATATCATTACCCTATTTTGTTACAATAGTCACAAAATATAATAACCTTCATGTATGAAAAATTTGACTGTTCGTTAGTTTATACCCTTGCTGTCTAACATGGTATCCCCTAGCCACATGTAGCCACTGAGCTCTTGAAATGTATGCTGTGAGTAAAAAATATGCACTGCATTTTGAAGACTTAGTATGAAAAAATGAATGTAAAATTTGTCAATAATTTTTTATTTTGTCTTCATGTCAGGCTGATAATAGATTATTAAAATTAATTTTATCTTTCTTTACTTTTTAAGTGTGAATACTAAAATATTAGAAATTGCATGTGTGGCTCACATTATATTTCTGTTGATCAGCATTGGTGTTTATAATTATTTTCAGATATTCCAGATTGAACATCAGCAAACATTTATGGTAGCTCCACAATGTGCAGGCACTGTGCTAGCTTTTTTCCCAGCAGGTGAAACTGGTAATGACCACACTTCCTGCCCTTAGTGAAATTTGTCCATTGTAATATAAGCAGGAACACTAGTAATTGAATACAAGAAGCCTGACCATCAGATATTTTCTGTTCCTAGGAAAAGCCATTCACAAAATATATGTATCCTAAAAATTGGATAGAAAGGCCTATTTCCAAAACTTTTTTTGTCATTTTGAAATAATAATTCCTTGGAGTCATTCTGCAGGATTCAGAAATTTAAATTTAATTATATATATTGGCATAGTCTTTTTTTCTTTGTTTGTTTGTTTTGTTTTGTTTTGTTTTGTTTTGTTTTTTTGAGACAGAGTCTTGCTCTGTTGTTACCCAGGCTGGAAGGCAGTGGTGCGATCTCAGCTCACTGCAACCTCTGCCTCCAGGGTTCTCCTGCTTCTTCCCAAGTAGCTGGGACTACAGGGTTCAAGTGATTCTCCTGACTCTGCTCGAGTAGCTGGGACTACAGGCACGCACCACCATGCCCAGCTAATTTATATATTTTTTGTAGAGATGGGGTTTCGCCATGTCAGCCAAGCTGGTCATGAACTTCTGACCTCAGGTGATCCACCAGCCTTGGCCTCCCAAAGTGTTGGGATTACAGGTGTGAGCCACCGCACCCCGCCAGCGTAGTCTTTTAAGTTTGGACAAATCTGGGTTTAACTTACGATGCTTCTAGTGGTATTTATAACTGTGTTCTTGAGCAAGTGAATTAAAGCATCCAAGCCTCCATTTTCTCATACATAACCATCTCACAATGTCATTAGGATTAAATGAAATAATATATGTAAAGGTCCAGATATATACATGGACAAGCATTTTGCAAATATCACATTGCTGAAGTGTATTCTAATTTTCTGACTTTTTTGCGGGGGGAATAGGCAAACTAGGGAAATATGTATGTAGAGATGGTTGGAAACAAAAATTAATAGTACCCAGCTACGATATATATAAAATCTAGAATCAAAGAAAAGATTTTTGGGTCTTAATATAATTTCAACATGAAAGCAATTGATTTATACAAACCTGGAAAGCTTCTGAAGATTTTTGTTTTATTATATTGTAATTTCTTTTGAATGGAAAAACTTTTCAACAGATTTTGATAGAATTTTACAGGCAAATTTCATATAATTAGATTTGATATATAATGCCTTCCCCCCTTCAGAAAATATTCAAGACAACTAAATGTTGTAAGATTTAATAGCTATAACTGCTTACGATGGTTTTTTTCATTTTGGAAGAAAATGAAAAAAAGTTATAATGGTCCCCAAAATGCTAACTTTTTCTAGGAGTATAAAAAAATTTAATGCTTCTACCTGAAATTTTAGATTAACTCTGAAATTGAACTGTAATGTCAAATGTTGAGAGTCTAGAGATCATAAGTAGAGTATAATATCACAGGAGTAATAAAGAGAATTTCCCAGAGCTGAAGAAAGATACTGGCCTAGAGATAGAAAAAAAAAAATCCCATAAGCAGGATGAAAGTAAAAATGACACACCCTAGGAACCCCATAAAAGATTTACAAAACTTCAAGGAAACTTCCAGAGAGAACAAACAGAAAGTTTGTTTATAAGATAATCATCAGATAGACATCAGATTTCTCATTGGTAAAACCGAAGGCCGGAAGACATTTAAGTTTGTTTTCAAAGTTCTGAGGAAAAGTTGTTTTGAACTAGTATCTTATTCTCAGCCAAGCTAACATTCAAATGGGAAGAAAAAAAATGGACATTTGGGGACATGTAAGAATTTAGGTCTATCAACAGACCTGCTACCCTCCCCGCTCCCAAATACTTATTTATTTTATACACACACATATCCCATCACTTGTAAAGGTAAAATCATTCTTCTAAAGAACTGTTGAACTAATAAGGAAATGTTTAAAAATTACCAGTGTAGAAGTTCATGATAATGATAGTGCCAATTACCAAAACCCTGAAAGACAGAGATAAAAGGCCACTCAGAAGAAAAGAAATTATTAGAAAACAAGAAAGACTGTAAAATATCTAAACATACAACTCAGGAAGATAGAAAGTGAACATCAGAATACAACTAAAGTAAGTAAAGGTATGAATAAAGATAAAAGAAAAGATGAACAGCACATAATAAAACAGATTACATGAGTGAAACCAAAAGGTAGTTCTTTAAAAACAGTGAAGTAATCCAACATTCAGTAAGTCCGATCAAGAATAAATGAGAGAAAAATACTAACACATTCAAAATAAGAATTATGAAAGAACTGAAGATACAGAAGAAGGATAAGTTGCTGTAAGAGACTACTGTATACAACTTTATAAGTTGAAAATGTAGAGAAGTTTTCTCTTGCTGACTTAAAAATTATCACAAACTTAGTGATGTAAACAATACAAATTTATTTAACATTTCTCTAGGTCAAAAGTCTGACACAGGTTTCTCTAGGCTAAAGTCAAGGTTTCAGGAGGCTCTGAGGAAGAATCTGTTTCCTTGTTTATTTGCTATGTTGGCAGAATTCAGTTCCTTTTACCTATAGGACCAAGGTCCTCATTCCCCTACTGTCTGTTAACTGAGGCCCATTCCCAGCTTCTGGAAGATGACATCTTCCTTGGTTTATGGCCCCATTTCTCCATCCTTAAGGCCAGCAACACCAGGTCAAGCCCTTCTCATGTTTGAACTCTCTCCTCTTTCTTCTTGAGTTCGTTCTCTCTAGCTCATTCTTCTGCCTTCCTCTTCTACTTTAAGAACTCACAGGAAGGGGAACATCACACACTGGGGACTGTTGTGGGGTCGTGGGAGAGGGGAGGGATAGCATTAGGAGATATATCTAATGCTAAATGACGAGTTAATGGGTGCAGCACACCAACATGGCACATGTATACATATGTAACAAACCTGCACGTTGTGCACATGTACCCTAAAACTTAAAATATAATAATAATAAAATTAAAAAAAAAAGAACTCACAGGATTAGGTTGGCCAACCATGATAACCCAAGATACTCTCTCCATCTCAACATCCTTAACCTTATCACACCTGCAAAGTCTCTTCTGCTATGTAAGGTAACAAATTCATAGACTCTGGGAATTAAAGGCTTAGGCATTATTCTGCCTCCCGTATGGTTTTTTAAAGGAAGATATGAATTATCCCAAGAAGAAGAAAATTGACCCAAGAAGAAGTAGAAATCCTTAATAAGGGAACAACAACAACAAAAGAAAATCCCAAAAGTCATTACAGCAATTCCTTTAAAAAATCACTAACACTGGAGGGGTATAAGTCAATAATCCAAACTTTGAAGAGATGAATAAATTCAGTTATATAAGCTTTTAAAAAGATGGAATTTTTTTCATTTTGTCAAAAAGCCTTGTGAATCAAAATGCCATGGCTTCTTGATTTGTCTTTTGTTCTATGGCCTTTTAAAAGTAATTTGAAATTCAAAACTAAGCCATCCTTTTGGTTTAGCTACCATTTTCCACCACCTCCAAGGCAATAAAAGCCACTGGCTTAAGGAGTTCCAAGGAGCAAGGAGAAAATTCATGAAAGGAAAAATTCATGGAAAAAAGGAGAAATTTATGAAAAGAACAAATGAAAAACCTAGATTTATAATACCTAAATTATATTCCACTATATTATCTTAGGGTAAGAAATGCTTCCTAAGCAGGACCCTAAAAATAAAAGACATAAAAGAAAAAGTAGACATACACAGAAAGGATTAATTTCCAGAATTTAGAAAAAACTTTCCTGAATCAGTTTTGGAAAGTAAAATGAGCAGAGAGTTCACAAAGGACCTTAAAGCGGGCTGTAAAAATATGTTAAAAGATACTCAGCCTCTCTAGTTATCAGGAAACTTTAAGCTAACATAGTGAAGTCCTCCTCTATCTGATTAACCACATACACGTTCACATATATAAAATATCATGTCATATCCAGTCTCCACAAAGATGGTAGGCCTTCAGAAATTGCAACAGATTTATAAATTGTTAAAATCTTAAGGCAATTTGGAATTATTTATCTAAATTTAAAATGTGCATATAGTTATACATAGCAGTTCCACTTATATAATTCTACCTTGTAGAGAAATAGCCAACTGTTTGTGCCTAAAGGTGTACCTTTCTAAAATGTTAATTGATGTTTTTGTTTGGAACAGCTAAACATTAGAAGAAACCTAAATGACTACTCAAGAGTGTTAACAGAAATTTTTTCCTCACAGCTCTTAAAAAGAGGACATATGACATAGACAAATTTCCAAGATCAAGGTAGGTTCAGAAAGCAAGTCAGCAGAGAGAAGCACTTTTGGAGTAGCATGGCAGGGGCCCCTGAAAATCTGTTCCTCCATAAAGTCATAAGAACAGTGACAAAAAATGATCAAAATAAACTTTTTCAGAACTCTGGAAGTTAACCAAAGGATGACATCAAGGAAAACTGGCTGAATCTTAGTAAGAAGAGCGAGTTTTATGGCATATTAGCTTACCCTATTCCTGTCACCCTCTTTCGAGCTCTACAGTAGCTTTGAAAACTAGTAAGTAACCTTACAACCACAGGAGGATGCACAATGTATCTGGAGTACCCTAAAACTTCTATGCCCAGTGAATTGTCACCATTTGACATTAATTTAATAAAGTTACTAAAACAGCAACAAATAACAGGAAAAACAAGTTCAGATGGTGGAATAGGATCTGATTCCCAGAATTGCCACATATTATTAAAATGTCCAGTTTTCAATAAAAGTATAAGGTATGAGGAAAAAAAAAAAACCACAGGAAAGTATGGCCCACACAAAGGGGAAAAAGCAGGCAATACAGACTGTGTCAGAGGAAGCCTGGACATTAAACTTACTGGATAAAGACTTTAAGTCAGCTACTGTAAATATGTCAAAGAACTGCAAGAAACCCTGTCTAAAGAACTAAAGGAATGAAAGAGAATAGTGTCTCATCAAATAGAGAAGATCAGTAAAAAAAATAGGGGCTTTATAAAAAGAGAATTAAATAGATATTCTGAAGTTGAAAAATACAGCAACTGAAATTTTAAAAGTTATTACAGGGGCTCAACAGCAGATTTGAGCTGCCAAAGAATCAGAACTTGGAATATATGTCAACTGAAATTATCCAGTTAGAGCAACAGAAAGACAAAGAATAAAAAAAAAAAACAAAAA
The DNA here is from genome assembly GCF_000001405.40 of Homo sapiens. NCBI lineage: Eukaryota > Metazoa > Chordata > Mammalia > Primates > Hominidae > Homo > Homo sapiens. Next base: position 17,219,081 of record NC_000003.12, on the reverse strand, counting down.
GAGCCTCAAGGACCTGCAGAACACCATGAAGCATAATAACATACAGATAGTGAGAGCCTCAGAAGGAGAGAAGGAAAAGAGAGGGGCAGATGGAATAGTTGAAGAAATGCTGGCTGAAATATTTCACAATTTTTATGAAAAGCATTAGTACATACCTCAAAGAAGTCCAATTAACTCCAAGCAGGATAAACTCAGATCTACACCTAGATATATCATAGTCAGACTGTCAAAAGCTGACAACAAAGAGAGTATTGAAAGCAGCAATAGAAGAACAGCTCATGATATACAAGAGTTCCTCAGTAAGATTGACAGCTGACTTCTCATCAAAAACCAGAGAGTTAAGAAGGCAGTAGGATGACATATTCAAAGTGATGAAAAGCCAGTCGGTCTAGAATTCTATTATATATCCAATAAAACTATCCTTCAAAAAGGAAAGAGAAATTCAGACAATTACAGATAAATAGAAACTGAGAGTATTCAATACTAGTAAACCTTCCCTATAAGACATAATAAAGAAAGTCCTTCAGGCTGAAATGAAAGGACACTAGACATCAGTTCAAATCCACACAAAGAAAAAGAGTTCTGATAAAGGTAGCTGTGTAGGCAAATATAAAAGATAATATAAATTTATTTTTCATAAATCTTGTATTGTTAATATGGCAGTACTACCAAATTGATCTACATATTCACTGTAATCCCTATCTAAATCCCAGATGTCTTTTTTGGAGAAAATGGCAAAGTGATCCTAAAATTCATATGGAAATGCAAAGCACCCCTAGTAGCCAAAACAATCTTGAAAGAGAACAAAGCTGGAGAACTCACATGTCTTGATTTCAAAACTTGTTATATAGTTATTTTAATCAAAACAATGTGATACTGACATAAAGATCATCATATATAAATGGAATAGAGTTGAGAGTATGGTAAGTTGATATTCAGCACGGGTGCCAAGATTATTTATGTGGAAAGAGTAGTCTTTTTTACAAATAGTTCTGGGAAAACTAGATATCCACATGCAAAAGAATGAACTTGAGCTACTTCTTCACGCTGTATACAAAAATTAACTCAAAATAAGTCATAGAATTAAATGCAGGAGTTATAACACCCTTAGAAGAAAACTTGAGTAAATCTTCATGACCTCAGGTTAGGCAGTAGTTTCTTAGATATGACACTATGAGCACAAGCAACAAAAGAAAAAATAGGTAGATGAGACTTCATCCAATTAAGCAGTTTTGGGCTTCCAAGGACACCATTAAGAAAGTGAAAAGATATACACAGAACAGAAGAATTTTTTGCAAGTCATGTTTGATAAGGAACTTGCACCCAGAACATATGAAGAGCACTTACAACTCAAAAAGGAAAATACCCCAACTTTTTAAATGGGCAAAAGATTTGAATAAACATTTCTCTGAAGAAGATGAGTGTCTAATAAGCACCTGAAAAGATGCTAAGCATCATGAGCCATTGGAAAATTGCAAATCAAAATCACAATGAAATACCATCTCACACCCACTAGGATGGCTGAAATAAAAAGATAGCTCATAGTAAGTGTTGACAAGCATGTGGAGAAATTGGAACCGTTATACAATACTGATGGAAATGTAAAATGGTGTAGTCACTTTTGAAAACTGGCAGTTTCTCGAAATGTTAAATGCAGAGTTGCCATATTGACCCACCAGTTCCACTTCTAGATATCTACGTGAGACAAAGGGAAACAATATGTCCACATAAAAACTTAAACAGGAATGTTCATAGCAGCATTATTCATAATAGCCAAAAATGTGTATAAGCTAAATGTTCATCAGCTGATGAGTATATAAACTAAATGTGGTACCCATACAATGGAATATTATTTGGCAACTAAAAGGAATGAAGTGCTAATACATGCTATAACATAGATGAACTTTTAAGCACTGTCCCAAGAGAAAGAAGCCAGTCACAGAAGACCACATATAGTATCACTCCATCTACATGACATGTCTAGAAAAGGCAAATTCATAGAGCCAGAAGTAGATTGTGATTGCAGGGACTATGGGAAGAGGGGGTATACTGGAAATAACTGCTAATGGCCATGAGTTTTCTTTTCTCAGTGATTAAGTTGTTCTAAAATAGATAGTTTTGATGGTCATGCATCTCTGTAAGTGTACTGTAAAAAACACTGAATTATATTCTTTTAAAAGGTGAAAGTTATGACATGAATTATATCTCAAAGTGTTGTTTTCACAGTTAATCTGTTTATAATGAAAGTGTATTCACATATAAGTGGGGTAATTTTAAAAAAAGAAAATAATAGGTGGTTCCTGAGATCTTTTTCGGTTCTAATATTCTAGGACCCCGTGTTATTGAGATTATTACCGTGAAAAAGTATCCCTGGGAAGTTAAGGCCTAGAGTCCTGGTGGTGGGTGGGAAACATGGAGGGAGAGAAGGGAAGAAATAAAGGCCTAGGTGGAATTTTCATAGTCTAGGCCCTTATAAGCATAGGATACTTCTAGGCCTTGGGGCCTGTTCTCTACTCTTTCCTAACCTCAGGGGTCCTTCAAGGCTCAGCTCCAATATCATGCATTACAGGTTGGATTCTTCAGGAAGCAGACCCTGATAGAAGTACAGAAAGTTTATTGGGGGAATAACACAGGTGAAAGGAAAAGAGGAGGAATCAGAGTTGGGCAGAGGGATGGGGGCAGACCATGATACAGATCTAACAAGTCTCTGCCAGTTCAAAGGGGAACTCTGCAGGCAAGATTTCCTATTAAAGGAGTCCTGTATTGACTGGAAATGGGTAGACCATTTATTCCCAATCACGAGCTGGGAACCACCCTGAGAAGAGCATGATGTTAGTTCAAAACCTGAGGCAGATCCTGAACAATCTAATAGCTAAAGGCTATCAGCTAACCATCTTCCTTGAAGTCACAAATATTTCCTTAAAGAGGGATGTATCAGCCCTCCAAATCTGCCACACTTCTTCTGAAATGTGGCTTGACTCTCTCCTTCTATCCAAGGGAGAGGTAATAGCTCTCTCCTAAGAAATATAACATTCTGGTTAGCATTCTTGGTTTATCATTTACCTCCTTACCCCTAGGTTCTGCACTCTGGGAGGACAGAAACTTAATCTGAATCCCTGATATTTAATGCAGAGGAAGCGTCAGTGTAATAAAATTGTCTTGAGATCAGGGACAATCAGGGACTCCCAGGTACTGGGAGTAGATAATTACTATTCTAACTATATTGTAACAACTTTGACCCAAGATTGGAGAATGTTAGTCTATAAAGTATCTCTTATTATCTACTTGATTTTCTTCCTACTTCTGGCTGCTGCTTCTCAGTCAGCTTTGCTGCTTTCTTGTGATATCTCTGACTTTTAAATTGTAACGTTTCCAAGGGGCCAATCTGTGGTCCTAAATCCTTTTTCTCTCTATCCCTTCTCCATTGATAACCTCATGTTTAAATACAGTCTCTATGGTACTGACTTCCAAATGTATATCTCTAGCTCACATCTCTCCCCTAAAATCCAGACTCATTTCCCACTGCTTATGTGGCATCTCTATTTGGATATCTGACTAGGCACCATAGACTCAGCAGGTCTAAAACTAAACTGCTGATTTATTCCTAAAACCTGCTTCCCTTCACTCTTCCCCACCTCAGTAAATAGCCGCTCCATCATTCTTCTTGCTTAGGCCAAAAATTGGAAGTTGAGCTTGACTCTTCTCTTTCTCTCATACTCATAATGGGTTCATCCGTAAATCCAGTCAGTTTTGTCCAAAATGTGACCACCTCTCACCACCAAGTCATGATCATTCTGAGTACTTACATTTTTGCGTTAGCAAAAATTGGTTCCTCTGCTTTTGCCTTTGTTCCCCCTGACTCACCCCCACTTGACCATCTCTGATTCTGTTCTCAATACAACAGCCAGAGCAATCCTTTTAAAATGTAAGTCAAATCATGTCACTCCTCTCCTCAAACCCTCTAGTGACATCCCATAGCTTCCCTTCTCAGAGTAAAACTAATCAAAATCATCTACAAATCCCTACCTGTTCTGATCCCCCTGCTTGCTCTCAAACCTCATCTCTCACCCTTCTCCTCCTTGCTCTTAGCTCTAACCATACCGGTCACTTTGTGATCTCCTTGAACACCGAAGATCCTGCATTAGGGCCTTAGCACTTGCTGTTCTTGCATATTTGCTGCAAAGCGGGTACTTCACCTTCTTCAGGTTTTTGCTAAAATGTTAATGTTCCTGAATTTTCAGTGACACTTTCCCTTACCAGAGGGAAGAGGAGAGATGCTTTTTTGAAAAACTTTGGCCAAAGATTTGGATTTTTTAATCTTGCTAATGTAAAGTGCAGTATAATAGATTCTGGTTTCTGTAATTAAGGGATTATTCCATTAGTGAAGAAACACCCAGTCATTTAACCATTGTTTACTGAAACTTTGATTTTTTTTTTTTTTTAGTTCTTTTTATATGTGTGCAATGCTTGGATAATCATAGTATAAAAAACATAGAAAACTATAGTGGTAGATACCTTCACTGTTTTTTTGAAAACCAGTGGCTATTCTGATACATAAAAATGCATGCATTTTAATACTCCATAGTGTCATTATGTTGATAGTATCAACCTAGTGGCATCATAATTGATCATCATTTATTAAAAACAGTAGATCGAATAGCTTAGTGAAAGAGTCTGGTGTTTCATTATTGCTACTTAATTTTTCTTACAGGGCTAAGTTCTAAAAACATCAGTTCATCTCCAAGCGTTGAGAGTTTGCCTGGAGGAAGAGAATTCACTGGCTCTCCACCTTCATCTGCTACTAAAAAAGATTCCTTTTTTAGCAACATCTCACGTTCTCGCTCACACAGCAAAACTATGGGCAGAAAAGAATCTGTAAGTATTTAAGGACAGTTTTCTCTTCGTTCTTCATTTTCTTCTCTAGAGTGCTGCATTTATGAAAGCTCTGTTAGTGCCCAGTTTTATAAAGCTCTTAAAACTTTTATGGACTAAAAGGAATTATTTTATCAAAAGTATTTTATTATTTTACTTTAGTAATATTTTAAGGCTGTAGCCTATATTACACTGGAAAAAAAAAAAAGTAGCATCATTTTAAAATAAGTTGAATCTTTCCCAAATCCCAGTCCTTTTTTTCTCTACAAATGCCTTTTTGTCAAAGCCTGTGTTTTCTTATAAAATTTAACAGATAAATGATGGAACTTGAAACAAACCAAGGTGTTTTTTCCATTTTAAATATTTCTTGAAAATTAAAAATAATTGATTTACCATTTAAAAAGCTATACAAACTACATTTAAATTCTATTTTGATACGCTGTAAAATTCTTTTTTTTTTTTTTTTTTTTTTTTTTGAGACAGAGTCTTAATCTTGGCTCACTGCAGCCTCCACCTCCTGGGTTTAAGCGATTCTCATGCCTCAGCCTCCTGAGAAGCTGGGATTACAGGTGTGTGCCACCATGCCTGGCTAATTTGTGAATTTTTATTAGAGATGGGGTTTTGCCATATTGGCCAGGCTGCTCTGGAACTCTTGGGCTCAAGTGATCTGCCCGCCTTGGCCTTCCAAAATGCTGGGATTACAGACATGAGCCACTGCCTCCAGCCTGTAAAATTCTTTATATACATTTCTCAAAAGGATATAGCTAAGGCATATCCACTGCTTTAAAAACTTGGTTGTGTCTGAAATTATTATAAGCCAACTTCACGTTTAACCACATTTTATAACAGCCATGCATAGCTTAACAACAATGATACATTCAGAGGAATGTGTTGTTACGCAATTTCATCATAGTGCAAACATCATAGAGTGTACTTATACAAACTACATGGTACCGCCTACTACACATCTAAGCTGTATGGTATAGTCTGTTACTCCTAGGCTACAAACCTGTATAGCATGGTGCTGTACTGAATACTGCAGGCAATTATAACACAATGTTAAGTATTTTTGTATCTAAACATATAAAAGGTACAGAAAAATATAAGGTAAGGTATACAGGAAAAAAAATGGTACACCTGTCTAGGGCACTTATGAATGGAGCCTGGAAGTGGCTCTGGGCGAGTGAGTGAGTGAGCAGTGAGTGAATGTGAAGGTCTAGGATTATTGTGCACTACTGTAGACTTTATAAACACTGTACACTTAGGCTACACTAAATTTATTTAAACAATAGTTCTTTCTTCAAAATAAATTAATCTTACCTTATTATAACTTTTACTTTATAAACTTTTATTTTTTTAATTTTTGATTCTTTTGTAATAACACTTAGCTCAAAACAAACGCATTTGATAGATGTACAAAAATGCTTTTTATTATCTTTATTCTATAGCTTTTTTCTATTTTTAAATTTTTTTATTTTACTTTTTAAGCTTTTTTGTTAAAAACGGACACGCACATTAGGCTAGGCCTAACCAGGGTCAGGATCATCAGTATCATTGTTTCCACCTCCACGTTTTGTCCCCCTGGAGGGTCTTTGGGGGCAGTGACACTCATAGAGCTATCACTCCTGTGGTAACAATGCCTTCTTCTGGAATACTTCCTGAAGGACCTGCCTGACATTGTTTTAAAGTTAACTCTTTTTTTATATATATATATAACTAGAAGTACATTATAAAATAATGATAAAAAGTATAATGTAGTAAATACATAAACCAGTAACACAGTCGATTATTATTATTCACTGTACATAATTGTATGTGCCATACTTACATATGACTGGCCGCACAGTAGGCTGGCATTACCGCAAACACTTAATCCATTGCACTATGACATTATGACAGCTATGATGTCACTAGCCAATAGAATTTTTTAGCTCCATTATAGTCTTATGGGACCACCATCATGTATGTGGTCTGTCATTGATCAAAACATCATTATGTGGCACATGACTGTAGTTTAACACCTAATATCTTAATAAGATCTCATCTGCCCAGTGGAAGAGGATGCCAAGGTAATACAGAAAAGGATCTAGCTATAGCTGAAATTATCCTAAATTAGAAAAACAAACAAACTATTAACCTTTGAGAGATAATTATTTAAGGTACATAGAATATCATGTTCTCTATCTGTGTGACTTTGTATGTCTTGGGGCAAGACACTCAGCTTCTGGCGTTTTAACCACCTTATCTGCAAATTAAACATTTTTGCTCTCTGAAGAGTTTACTACCTGCCCTCTTAGGGATCCCTTCAACATGTAGGAACTGTGATTCTGTAGTATATAAAAGAGCAGAGAGGAACTTTAGTTTAAACCTGGCACCTTTAGTGCAAGCATTTAGCTCTGTTCCCTCCTAAAATTCCACTGCAAGGACAACAAGGGCAGTTAGATAAACCCTCAAAGAATAAGAAAACAAGAAAAAACAGTAGCAATAAAAATATTGTTACTTGGAAAACAGATGACAAGTGACAACTAAGCAGCCTAAGAAAGCTGAACCTTAAGTCAGTGGTAGGCAAAAAACAAAGAAGCAGCTTGACTTACATTGTAAAATTCTCCAGAAGCTCAGGAGCTGCAAGTGAAGATGAAGGTAGAACTGAAGACATGACAACTGGTCAGAAGCTTCTGAAAGAGGAATTAGATTCCCTTCCCTATGTCAGCAAAAGACTGAAAATTTAATTCTCTGAAAAGCGTACAAAATGTCTGTGGTCTGAGAGATCAGGCACATTCCAATGTGAACCACCCTACTGGAAAAGGGGTAATGAATATACTTAAATGCTAGATTTGAGACCCCAGGCCTCCGCCACTTGCTTTCCAGAGCACCAGTATGTATAGCCCTTCAGGCAGGAGATTTGGAAGGGTTTTCTCTAGGCAAAAGACACGTATACACAGCTATAAATATACTCACCCTAGGAGTGCTCCAAGGAAACAGCCAGTTACTTCTTAGTGGATCCCACCATTAATGAGCTCCATCCAAACACAGAACTTCCTCTTAGCTTTTTAGTTCATACTATTTTATATGAACAAGACAGCCAAAGATCACCAGACACTTGAAGAGAGGATTTGATAATGAAAGACAAAAACAGAAAAAAGCAACTGGGAAGGAAACAGGCTATGCAGAACAAGAAAACAAAAATCATATTTTAATAGATTTTTTTGTTCTCTAAATGTTATATTTTTTCTAATGTGATACCTTTTCGAATGTATACATTTTTCTAAAATGTAAAACTCAGTGGAAGAGTTGGAAGAGAAAGTGGAGGAAATCTCCCCTGAAAATAGAATATAAAACAAATAAATAGAAGAGAGAAAAAACATAAGAAAATTAGAGAACTGGCCCAGAAATTTTTTAAAATAGGAGTTTCAGAGTGAACAGAGAAAATAAAAGAAAGCAAATATGAAAAATACAATTCGAGAAATTTTTCCATTAATAAAATAACTGAGTTTTAAGGTAGGAAAAAGTCCATAGACTGACCCACACAAGAAAAAACAAACCTACACTCAGATGTATTACTGAAAAAGTTCAGAAATCTGCAAACAAAAGAATTTTACTGACTTGTAGAGTTGGAAAAGAAGGATTCTAACAACGAATGAGGAATTAAAATAGCTACAGACTTCTCAGTAGCAACACCAAAAGCAAGACAATGGAGCGATACTTTGAAAGTTCTGAGAAATGGCTGGGCGTGGTGACTCATGCCTGTAATTCCAGCACTTTGGGAGGCTGAGGCAGGTGGATCACCTGAGGTCAGGAGTTCGAGACCAGCCTGACCAACATGGTGAAACCCCATCGCTACTAAAAATACAGAAATTAGCCAGGCATGGTGGCGGGTGCCTGTAGTCCCAGCTATACGGGAGGCTGAGGCAGGAGAATCACTTGAACCCAGGAGGTGGAGGTTGCATTGAGCCGAGATCGCGCCACTGCACTCAGGCCTGGGCGACAGAGCAAGAATCCGTCTCAAAAAAAAAAAAAAAGTTCTGAAAAAAAATTACTTCTAACCTAGATTCAACATCTGTCTAAACTAGTAGTTAATTTTGAGCATAAAATAAAGCCATGTTTAGACATTAAAGATTCAAAAAAATGATTCTCATGTACCCTGGGAATCCACTGGAGGATATGCTGTACAAAAATGAGGACATAAACTAAGGAGGAGGAGCCTGAGAACTAGAAAATAGAGGATCCAAAGCAAAACAAAAAGATCCCCAGAATGATAATGTTTGTAGATCCGAAGACTATAGCACTGCTAAATAGCAGACCCAGAAAGTAGTAGCAAGCCCAGATTGGAGCAAGTTGGAAGGTTCCAGAAAGATTTATTCAAAAAGATAAAATTGAAAGAATGACTACTATATTTTAACAAATTAAGAGATTTATACAACTAGGCATGAGTTTGGGTGATAACTTTGTAAAAGCTAAACTAACCCCAAAAAAGGACAATTGGTAACACCAAAGGAAAACAAAGTATGTGTAGGAAAAGAAAGAAAGGTTATGATAAACCTTATAACTGAGCTGGGATTAGAATTTACATAGACATTATAATGTAAGCCTGTTGAATATGAATCTAATCAGAATCACACTATACCTGTTGAGAAGATGGAGCGTGGGAACTATGTGCTTGCATGAAGAGCAGAGGGAGCAGGTTGTCTTCCATAGTGGGAAATCAGGGGATAATACTCTCGAGAGAAATCAAGAAGTGGCTAGATAAGTTAGAGAGAAAGGCCAGCTGTGGTGGCTCACGCCTGTAATCCCAACACTTAGGGAGGCTGAGTTGGGAGCATTGCTTGAGTCCAGGAGTTCGAGACCAGCCTGAGCAACATAGTGAGACCTGTCTTTACAAAAAAAATTTGTTTTTAATTAGCCAGGTATGGTGGCATGCAACTGTAGTCCCAGCCACTTGGGAGACTGAGGTAAAAGGATCACCTGAGTCTGGGAGATCAAGTCTGCGTGAGCAGTGACTGTGCCACTGCACTCCAGCATGGGATGCAGAGCAAGAGCTTGTCTTAGATAGACTAGATAGATACATAGATACATAGATGATATAGAGGTGAAAAAACAAAATGGGTAAAAGAATTTAAAATGGTTGTTTCTGGGGAGAAAGAAGTGGAGGGTCGGGTTGTGGGAACTGTTCTTCATAACAGGAACAGTTGTATAAAGCACCATTTCATTGTATTGACCATTTCACTCTATTAACACTTATGTAAGTGTTACATATATAACTTAGATTAAAAATAACAACTAAAAATTACAGCAAAGTAGAATGTATTGGCATAATAAATTAGAAGAGGAGATGATCTGCCTGTACAAAGAACGTGTCTATGAAGAACCAGAGTAAGAGAATAACAAATGAGAAAGGCATATGGAGACAGGTTTCATTTGCATTCTATCATATTTTGGTGGCATATGGATTAGTCTCCAACACCAATTAATTACTTTTCTTTATGATGGTACTTTAACTTAAAACTGAGAAGTTGAGTAAAAATAGAAATAAAGTAAGTCTAACTCTCTACATAGACCTGCTGTGAACCAAGAGACAGAATGCAAGTAATCATTCAAAATTTAGTATATTTGCTAACTTTGGGGAAGGAAGTAGGCAGAAATTTTTAAGATAAATAAGCTCATGGTTTTCCAAGTAATAGTTTTATCTTATTATTTTATTAAATAGTGTGTTAAGTCAGTACACTTTGCCAGTTCTCGCCCATTCTGGGCACTTAATCGGATTGCGCCTCCTTGTCCCTATGATCTGTCAGAATCATATGACTAGTTCTCTCTACTGTGTTGTGACTGAAAGTGATATATATGTATTGTCAATGCAAGACCATCCACAGCTCTCTTTTCCTGTGACACCATGAACAGAACCTCCCTGCTAACTCATGATAGACATGAAGTATGAGTGAGAAATCAGCTTTTGCTGATCTAAGCTTCTAAGCTTCCAACAGTGCACAGTTGGAAAATGCTTAGGCCCATAGCCGGGACTCATTCTCCCATGGGAGCCGCCTGCTGCCACTAGAGTGGTCCCAGGACACCAGAACCTATGACTGGGTACCTACCATACATGGATCCAATTTGCTTTCGTTTCCAGGCCAGTGTGATGTGATACAGCGATATTCCATATCCTCAAAAAAGTTCAAGATAGCTTTTCAGTTAAATTTCTTACACAAACCAGTGGCCAGAAATGAAAGCAAAGACATCTCTTCGTTTGGGTCTCTTGTCCCTTAAACTATATGATGATACCTTTCAGATTTGAAGACTCAGTTTATCTTTTAAAGTGGTTCAGGGTCAAGAAACTGTTTATGTTAATTGCCAAAATAGTGGTAGAAAGAGACATAAAACCTAAAATAATATAGTAGTAGCTATCAGTCTAAGTACAGTAAAATCTGCTTGTAACGGTTTTGAGAAATTATTGTCAAAATCTATATAGGTATGACATATCCTGGACAAGCATCATATAGTGTGTTGTAGAACTTGTTTTCTCTTAATATTGCCTTTTTATGTATCACACATACCCTTTCTATAATCCACAGCCTATCTTCTTTAGATAAAAAGGAAGTATCACATTTATTCCTGTTAATGCCCATGATTTGGCCATATAATGAAAGAGGGCAAGATTCAGCTTAGTCTTTAAAGAGGTAACAATTAAGCCTTGTGCCAGATTTTTATAAAAGACATCATTATACTTCTTTACTGAAATGTGAAAACTAGTAGAAAGTTTTAAAATTGACCTCACTTCATTATTGTTAGTACTATTATTTTGAGGATTGGTATTGGTTTGTCTTGAAGAGAAAGTAAAACATTTTGATACTTTTAATTTTATGCTTTATTTTACATGATAATATAAATGACTTCCAATACTTAGCTTTCTAGAAGTCTATTTTTAGGTGGCCATTCTTCTGTTAAATAAATTTTTACTTTTTTTAGCACTGTTAGTCATGTTCTATGATTGTTGCCAAATCATTTTCTAAGAATATCTTTGCTAAGGTTAAAGTATACAAAAAATAGAGTATAAGAAAAATTCTCAGCCTAGGCAACATAGTGAGACTCCATGTCTACAAAAAATTTAACAAAAAAATTAGCTGGGCATAGTGGCATGCACCTGTAGTCCCAGCTACTTGGGAGGCTGAGGTATGAGGATCACTTGAGCCCAGGAGTTCAAGTCTACAGTGAGCTGTGATTGTGCCACTGACCTCCAGCTTGGGCAGCAGAGCCAAGCCCCTGCCTCAATAAACAAATAAAAAGAAAAACTCAAAAACTGACTTGTCTATGTGAATAAGTTATAATATTTAAGCACACCAGCCAACTAGAAGTATTTTTGTAAATTTCCTGATAAACTGCGTGATATTTTGGTATGATTTGTAATAATTATAATACATACCAACCTTCAAAGATCTGAAAGTATCCATGGTTCAGAATCCTCTCTAAACCACAGGAAATCAAAAAAGGTCTGAGCTGAAAGTCTCTGCATAAAACAGGATGCATAATGAGATACTCCCTTACCTGAAGGCTCACAGCACTACAGGGGGGTGACCATCCTGTGTCTTTATGACCCCTGTGACCCCTGTGTGCATTCGTCATTGCCCTTTGGTAGTTTGAACGTATACTATGGTCATACAAATATAATTTGTTTTTGTAATATTCATCTATTCTTTATCGTGACAAAATACCAAAAAGTGTCAGATAAATGAAAACGAATTTGAAAGCAGACTCTTACTTCTAGAAAACTGGAGAATTGCCTAACCTATTTCAGGCCATGATCTAGAAATTATAATTTAAGACATTATATCTGTTTAAGAAATATAAGAGAGCAATCCTAATGAAGATGCTTAGAGTGAAATTGGAAGGGGGAAAAGTTAAGTAATTAAACTAAATTAAAATATCTCATCCACATGAGATGCATAATATGATTAAATGCCATATGAACAGTAAAGACAGTAAAAAAATGGTGTTAGATGACAGACCACCATGGGCTGTGTTGGTGAGAGATAGATCTGAACCACTGATGTATTTCTTCTCCCATTAAATACAAACGTTATTTTCCCTTAGGAAAATAGCTTCCTAGGACAGGTAGTAGTGGCGGATATTGAGCAGGTAGTCAACAATACCTTCTATAGGAGTTCTCTTCTCCCTCACATCCCCTGACACATCTAAAGTAGTTAGAATTGTATCAAGTTGCTTTGGGTAAAAATAAGAGAAAGTATTATATCAAATGAGGAAATTTGTTGTTTATTATTTCACATAACAAGAGTCCTGAAATAGGTCTACGGTTGGATTATTCAGCTGTTGAGTAGCATCACCATCTTTCCACTCTGCCATCCTTAGTGTGGTAGCTTTATCTTCAACTTGCTCTCATCGTGTTCTCTCAAGCGGGCTGACACAGCCAATTATATCACACACACGTGCATGCACAGCCCTTCTAGAGAAGTCTACTTGGGAATTCCCCAGCAGGCTTTCCTTCCCATATCACTGACCAGAATTAAATTCCATGCCCACTCCTTACCAATCTCTGGTAAGGAGAAGGGTCACGAGAGGCTCATGACAGAGGACCAGTAGTTGGGGGGATGTGATGAGGCAGCCAACAATTTGATAGGTAAATTACGCTTGAAGTATTAATTGCCAAAATGGTTTATTTAATCCTTTCCTGAAGGATTTGCATTTGAAAAGAGCCAGTTCTGCTGTCATCAGTCATATTTTACTGGTAGATTTTCAGGCAACTGGAGTTAAATTGGTGGTTGAAAGGGAGAAATTGAGCAGAGCAGCCTTCCCAGAAGACTAGAATTTTCCTAGTTATCTGATTTTCTTTTCAGTCAGTGATGTATACTTCCTAGGAAAACATGTTATGTGGAAAGCATTGACTTCAGTGGATTTCTTTATGAGCTTAGGGATGGAATTGAAAACTGGAATCTAGAGTTCATCTAATTATAGGATTTTCAAGTGAAAAATACATATATGTAATCTCTTCTTGTTTAATCAGTAGTGTTAATGATAACTGGAATAAAATACAGTCTCATTTAAAATATATTCCCATTTAGTATAGTTTATTGAAATGAATAGATATAAAATGAATTTAAACATCAGCAGTTTAAGTCTCATGATAGTAATTTTAATCTAAGGCCAAATTAACCTGGATATTTGAAACATACATTTAGTCATTCGATGTTTTGTAAACCTTGTTTACAATCTGTCTGCCAGTAAACGTACTCAAGGTCAGGAAGAGTAGACTATATATCTTTGTGAGAGAGTTCTTTCCTTCTTTCTCCATCTTTTTGCATCACCCAAATCATGTAACTCTATTGCAAAGAAATGTGAACATCAAAGGGAGCATCATTAAAAGCCCTCTATTTTCAACAGTTTTAGCATGACATTTTAATTTAGCTTTTGTAAACAGGTTTTACAACCAACTTTTTAAAATCCTTATGGTGCAATACATTTATTTTAAATTAAAAAAAAAATCTGAGAAGGCTGTGAAAGCAGAATCACAGGAAATAGAGTGCTGCAATGTCCTTTGCAGAACAGTGCCCTTTGGGTTGAGTGAAACACTCATTCACCTCATGCTGGGTCTTCTTCCTCCATCACTTATCTTTATCTTCATCCTCTATATAAAATGCAAAGATGCCAGATTGTACCCATGCTGAATACTGCCCGGGAGGCATAGACAATGGTTTGGGGAAAGCTCAAGTAAAGCAATTAGAAATATTTACAATCCCAGGCCAGAAATATTTTGTGGGTTTGAATCATGCTAAATTAAATGTGTCATTGATAGCGTTTGCTTCTTTCTAGTGACCTTTCTTGAAACTTGACATTTGTATATTCTTTCAGTGCCACATTGCCTTGGGGACAGTTATTTGTACCCTAAAGTGCAGATGTGCATGACAGGGAAGGAAAAGAGGGCTTTGACTTGTCTGGGCAATTGGAGGTCAGCCAAGGCCAGAGACCAGATTGCGGAGTCTGCATGGTTGTCCTCTTCTTTCCCCCTCAGTGGCATCACCACCCTCTCCTACACAGTGTCTCCCTGCTCTTAAACCTCTTGTCCCTGGCATCTCATCATTTATCCTTTGAACACCTGTGTAAACTTTTCCAGGAAGTTATATTTTTAATCCACTGGGCTTTCATTGCAGAAAGAATGGCTTTAGTTCTGTCATAGAAATTCTAGGCCTGTTGATAAAGGGGGGATCTGTATCAGGCAGGTGGCCTTCACTTTGCCCCTGAAAACTTAGGGCTAAGGAACTCCCTTTTGGTTGTTCCTCATAGCTAGAGCTTCTATACCCAGACAGTCAGTTGAAGGCTAGGGCACTGTATTAGTCCATTCTCTTATTGCTATCAGGAACTACCTGAGACTGGGTAATTTATAAAGAAAAGAGGCTTAATTGACTCACAGTTCTTCAGGCTGTACAGGAAGCATGGCTGGGGAGGCCTCAGGAAATTTACAATCTTGGCGGAAGGCAAAGAAGAGGCTGGAGAAGGAGAAAGAGAGATTGAAGGGGGAGGTGGTACACACTTTTAAACAACCAAATCTTGTGAGAACTCACTATAACGAGAATAGCAAGGGGGAAATCCACCTCATGATCCAGTCACCTCCCACCAGGCCCTCCTCCAACTCAGAGGATTACAATTCAAGATGAGATTTGGGTGGAGACAGAAATCCAAACCATATTATCCTGTACCTGGCTCCTCCCAAATCTCATGTCCTTCTCATATTGCAAAAGATAATCCTCCCTTCTCAACAGTCCTGTCTTAACTCATTTCATCATTAACTCGAAAGTCCACAGTCCAGAGTCTCATCTGAAACAAGGCAAGTCCCTTCCACCTATGAGCCTGTAAAATTAAAAACTAGTTACTTCCAAGATACAGTGGGGTACTGACACTGGGTAAATATGCCCATTCTGAAAGGGAGAAATCAGCCAAAACAAAGGGGCTACAGGCCCCATGTAAGTCTGAAACCCAGCAGGGCAGTCATTAAATCTTAAAGCTCCAAAATGATCTCCTTTGACTCCATGTCTGACATCCAGACAACACTCATGCAAGGGGTGGGCTTCCAAGGCCTTGGGGATCTCCCTGCTTGGGGCTCTGCAGGGTACAGCCCCCTCAGCTGCTTTCACAAGCTGGCATTTAGTGACTGTGGCATTTCCAGGCACACAGTACAAGCTGTCAATAGATCTACCATTCTGGGGTCTGGAGGACAGTGGCCCTCTTGTCACAACTCCACTAGGCAGTGCCCCAGCGGAGACTCTGTGTGGAGGCTCCAATCCCACATTTCCCCTCTGCACTGCCCTAGTAGAGGTTCTCCATGAGGGCTCAGCCCTATAGCCAACTTCCACCATCCAGCAGTTTCCATACATCCTCTGAAATCTAGGTGGAGGTTCCCAAGCCTCAACTCTTGTCCTCTCAACACCCACAGGCTTAACACTATGTGAAAGCTGCCAAGGTTTATGGGTTGCACCCTCTGGAGCAACAGCCTGCGATATCTTAGGCCCTTTTAGCCATGGATGGAACAGAAGCAACTGGGATACAAGGAGCAGTGTCCCAGGTTTGTGCAGGGTAGCAGGGCCCTGGGCCCAGCCCACAAAACCATTCTTCCCTCCTAGGCCTCTAGGCCTGTGATGGAAGCAGCTGCCACAAAGGTCTCTGAGATGCCTTTGAGACATTTTTCACATTGTCTCGGCTATTAACATTCACCCCTCTTTACTTTGCAAATTTCTGCAGCCAGCTTGAATCCCTCCCAGGAACATGGATTTTTCTTTTCTACCACAGGGACAGGCTGCAAATTTTCCAAACTTTTATGCTCTGCTTCCCTGTTGTATAAGTTCCAGTTTCAGATCATCTCTTTGCTCATGCCTATGACCATATGCTGTTAGAAGCAGCCAGGCTGCATTTGAACACTTTGCTTCTTAGAAATTTCTTCCACCAGATACCCTAAATTGTCATTCTCAATTTCAAAGTTTCACAGATCCCTAGAGCAGGGGCACAATGCCACCAGTCTCTTTACTAATGCATAACAAAAGTGACCTTTACTCTAATTCCCAATAAGTTTCTCATCTTTATCTGAGACTATCTCAGCCTGGACTTCATTGCCTATATCACTATCAGCATTTTGGTCACAACAGTTTAACAAGTTTCCAGGAAGTTCCAAACTTTCCCTCATCTTCCTGTCTTCTTCTGAGCTCTCCAAACTGTTCCAACCTCTGCCTGTTACCAAGTTCCAAAGTCACTTCTACATTTTCAAGTATCTTTGTAGCAATGCTGCCACACTCCTAGTACCAATTTTCTGTATTAGTCCATTCTCATATTACTATAAATAACTACCTGAGACTGGGTAAAGTATAAAGAAAAGATTTAATTGGCTCAAAGTTCCAGATGCTGTACAGGAAGCGTGGCTGGGGAGGCCTCAGGAAACTTCAATCATGGCAGAAGGTGAAGAGGAAGGATTCACATCTTACACAGCCAGAGAAGGAGGAAGTGAGGGGGAGGTGCTACACACTTTTAAAAACCAAATTTCATGAGAACCCATCACAATAACAGCAAGGGCGAAATCCACCCCTGTAATCCAAATGATCCAATCACCTCCCATCCTGCCTCTGCTGTAACACTGGGGATTACAGTTCAAGATGAGATTTGGGCAGGGATGAAAATCCAAATGAGATTTGGGCAGGGACACAAATCCAAACCATATCAGGCACCTTTACCCAAGCTTCCTCTCTTTTCCTGATCTCTGCTATTTACCCTCCCAGCTTTCTGCCCCAAGTTGTCCATGTGTCAGAAATTAATACACCTGGAAGTATTGCTGGCAGTAAGCACCCGGAATCTCATGCCTGAAGCATGGGAGAAAGAGACAACCCAGGGTCTTAAAACCGAGCTCACGCTGTGTTCACTAAGCAGCACACCCTGGTCTGGGGTTCATATTTGCCTAGAGAAGGGGCCGTGTTTTTTTTCACTCTCCAAATTCTGCACTGAAAGAGGGTGAAGTTGGGGAGTAAATTAAATTAAAGGCATGCTTTAAGTTCTTGAAGGCCCTAAGTTAATGAAGAGGGAACTGCAACTGTTGGAAAAAATCAGGACCTTTCTAATTTGTGGCAGTGATGATAAAAAAAAATTTGGATTTTACCAGGAAAACATGTTAGCAGTAACATGAAGAACTAATAAGAAGAGAAAAAAACAAATAATTCTTTTGACCATAAGAATATTAATACCAAGCACACCAAGTCATTTACACAGAGTTCCCCATTCATGCCTAATTATTAATCCTCTTAATACACATGTTTATCATTACAAATTTATCAGATTGACTTTAAGTTGCATTTGACTAAACTATTGTACTTGGCTTGAATAAGATTGACCTTGGTATGGAATGTTTGTACTGCTTGTTGCTCAGGAGAAATTTTTTAAAACATCTGAAAAAACAACTAAAACCCTATTCAGCCGTGATGTTACAGTGTAGCCAAAGGATTTAAAAAGCATTGAATGTATGGATCACCAGAAGGTAATATAATCAAATTTCCAAACTTCCTTTTTATTTAAGATGACAATTTCCCTTAGAATTGTTACCAACTATAGCAGCAGTCCCCAACCTCTTTGTCACCAGGGACCGTTTCACGGAAAACAGTTTTTCCACAGATGCGGTTGCAGGGGCATGGTTTCAGGATCAAACAGGTTCCCTGTTCCACCTCAGATCATCAGACATTAGATTCTCATAAGGAGCACACAACCTAGATCCCTTGCATGTGCAGTTCACAATAGGCTTCACACTCCTATGAGAATCTAATGCTGCTGCTGATCTGACAGGAGGTGGGACTCAGGTGGTAATGCTTGCTTGCCTGCTGCTCACCTCCTACTGTGCAGCATGGTTCCTAACAGGCCGCGAACAACTACTGGTCTGTAGCCCGGGGTTTGGGGACCCCTGAACTATAGTACAGTGTTTATGTACAGTTCTATCTATGGCCTTATCATTTCCAGTCAATATGTTGCTTTCCAAAGTTACTTTGGTCAGTAGACAGGAACTTTAACAGCAAAATATAGTGTTTATAATAAGCCAAGAACAAATTGGCCTTATGTTAAATCCTAAAAAGTTATAGGCTATATTTGAAAAGAGAGAAAAGAATAAGAAAATTATTTCTACTTGAAAAACAATTGTGAAAAGGGAAGCTCCCTCCTTTCCCCTCTCTAGCTCATCAGTTGTTCATAGACCCAAGACTAGACTCAGACTTCTGGCTTTCATGGTCACATTTCTCTACTTTTCTCACCTTTAATGTTCTTACTGTTCTGCTTTAACATTTGATATCTTTCTTATTTTTGCCTCTGTGAGGAACTCTGAAAGATGGCCTGATCTCATTAAATAAACCAAATTCAACCATACCTTGTCCGTGCTACAAAAAGGGCCTTTCAGATCAACATCAAGGATTACCTCCAGGTAATCGCTCTGGCCTCTTGATCATCATCACCTTTTTATTCCTGGTGGCTATCCCAAAGGTGGGACAGTTTGCAACATTTTACCTGAGTCCTTCCATAGGTCCCTTCAGTACATATATATACTACCACATGGTCCAAAATTTGAAGGAGGCCTCAATACAATGTCCCAATCAACTTAAAACAGTGAGAAGTGCTGCCAAATTGCTTAACTTTGGGATGTTCTCAGTTGGATTCTAAGCAACCATTTGGGTTTGAAGCATATTTGTACACTCTACATGCAACTGTTATTCATGTATCATGATGTGAAAATATTCCATAAAATATCAAGAATAATGTTTTTGAAAATAAGAATGAAATCAGCATGATACCAATATGTGATGATGGTAACATTTATGGAAATCTTAAATTCATCTCTAGACAACTGTCAAACTATAATATCATTTTAGCTGGACAGTGATGAAAACATGAATATCTGTTTATTGCACAGGATAAATGAGGTATTGATTGTTTTCTTAATGTCTATAATCAGTCATACATCCTCAGTCCTCTGTTATGACCAGACTTCTTTTTTGACACCCTTGATTTCGGATTTAGATTTGAAGGTTGGGCTGAGACATGAGCTTTTTCTCAAATAAATGAGCAGTCCTAATTTTTTTGCCAGAAATTGTGATTTAAATTTCCAAGATGGACTAACTATAAAACGTTTAAATGCGGAACCTTGCGTTTCACTCTAGAGACTGTCTTTATTTAGTATGCTTTCAGCTACATGTAGCGGAAAATGCAATTCACACTGATTCCGGTAACAAGGAAAGTTATTTAGCTCAAGTTCCAAGGACTTCCCATTCCCGACCATACGTTAGAATGGCCTGGGAGAATGTTTTAATCAATACTGGTCACAGAAGAACTGAGTCAGAATCTTTCCAGTGGAGCATGGGCATTGGTAATTATTAAAAACTTTCTGGAGTATTCAAATATGTAGTCAAGGTTTAGAACCACTAATTTAGAAGCTCACCTGTGTCTTCAAGGATGCAGTTTCTTGCCATCTCTCTGCCCTGACCTGCCCTGCCCTTCCCAGAACGAACTCTTCCCCAGGTTGAAAGCAAGACAGTTGTAATAGTTCTAGACACCATATCCATTCACCAACATCGAGAGGAGAATGACCATGTCTTCTAGGGCATTTTTTAAAGGTAGGTTTGCCAGATAAAACACAAAATGCCCAGTTACATTTGAATTTCAGATAAATAATGAGTAAATTTTTTAGTATAAGTATCTTATATTACATGGGACATATTTATACTAAAAACTTTATTTGATGTTTATATGAAATTCAAATTTAATCCTATGTTCTATGTTTTTATTTCTAAATATGGCAACCCTATCTTAAAGGCGTTTTCAACAGCTACTCACCAAGACTTCCTTTATGTCTTATTGGCCAAAATTCCTAGATTACCCTTAAATCCATCAGGCCCAGCCACTGCCCACAACTGTAGATTGGGTTGGAGGGGGCTCATGGCTGCAGGGCCCTCTTGGGAAGGAGACACAGGGAACACCAGCCCTAGCCCCTATAAAGAACAATAGTACAGGTAACACTTCTGTTTCATAAACACTGAGTGATACCATGATGTCTAGACTAAAACTTTTCTGCAATTACCTTTCTGGAAAAAAATATAAATTTGATTTTCATGAATGTATTTATCTTCATTGAACAGTCGTCTTCAGAACTGTTCTTTTTTTCTTGAGACAGGGACTCATGCTGTCACCCAGGCTGGAGTGCAGTGGCACAATCTCGGCTCCCTGCAACCTCCACCTCCTGGGCTCAAGCAATCCAACCCCTTCTGCCTCCCAAGTAGCTGGGACTACAGGCGCGAGCCACCATGTCCAGCTAATTTTTGTATTTTTTGTAGACATGGGGTTTCACCATGTTGCCCAGGCTGGTCTTGAACTCCTGAGCTCAAGTGACCTGCCTGCCTCAACCACCCAAAATGCTGGAATTACAGTCATGAGCTACTGCACCCCATCCAGCGGAATTGTCAGTTCTGAGGTGACAAATGTTCCCCAAAATCACTATGCTATGCAAAGACATGCATTAAAAACCACAGGGAGTCTAGGCACAGTAACTCATGCCTGTAATCCCAGTGCTTTGAGAGGCTGAGGTGGGAGGATTGCTTGAGGCCAGGAGTTCAAGACCAGCTGGGACAACATAGCAAGACCCCATTTCTACCAAAAAAAATTAGCTGGGCTTGGTGGCACACACCTGTAATTCTAGCTATTTGGGAGGTTGAGGTGAAAAGATCGCTTAAACCTAGGAGTTCAGGGCTGCGATGAGCCATGATCACACCACTGTACTCCAGCCTGGGTAACAGCGAGACTTTGTCTCTAAAATAGTAATAAAAATAATAAGATAAAAACCCCAGGGCTTGTGGGGAAAATTGGATCGAGGTACAACACTAA
This sequence comes from Homo sapiens, assembly GCF_000001405.40. Classification (NCBI taxonomy): domain Eukaryota; kingdom Metazoa; phylum Chordata; class Mammalia; order Primates; family Hominidae; genus Homo; species Homo sapiens. The sequence continues at coordinate 17,197,322 of NC_000003.12, read as the reverse complement.
AAAAAAAGGTCATCAGTGCCACATGAAACAAAGTAGGAACCTAATAAAAGTGGTAGAGTGGTTTTACACGTTAAGTGATTAAGAAATAAATAGTGCAATAAATATGATACTTTACCTTGAAAAATACCTGAAGCTCAGTTGCGGAAGTGGACATTGGAAGGGTTGCAGCTTGTGAGTCACTGTGAAGTGGTGGAGGAGAGTTATCTGGATGGAATCTGATGGATTTGGTTATGGAAGTAGCCCATAACACACACGGAATGGAGGTAGCTGGCAGATATCTGTGTTGCATGCATGTAGGCATTTTGTGTATTCCTGCATTCCTACGTGTAGCTGCGTTCATCTATGTGGAGTTTTCTGCATTCACCCATTATTTCTTGAGGATGATGTTGTGTGTAAGCAAATGTGAACTTCGGGTTATGCTCAATTATTCCCTAATACATTGATCTCATTGAAACAAGTTCACATTTTCAAAACAAGCATTATAACGGAACTGACTCTATACAGTTCATGACATGCAGCTTCTGGATTTGGCGAGTTGGAGGAATGAGAATATAGAAAGGTTACACTCTACATAATTTTCTTGTTCTCAAGTAACAAACCCATGTTAATTAGAAATTTTAGAGTTAATCCATTTTATTAATGGTCAACATATACCCAAAGTATTTCACGACACCAACGTGTGCATCGTGTATGTCTGACTCATATGCTTTGACTCCTCATCAGAATTCTGCAGGAGCCCTTCTCCCTAGGATAAATCCCTCAATTTTAAGGTATGCCCTGTAGGGCCCTTTACAGTCTCACCCTGTTCAGCCTTATCATTAGTCCTCCCTCTTACTCCTCCCCAGCCCCTCAGGAATGCATAGCTGTTTCACTTCCCTTAAACCAAGCATGCTTTCTCATACTTCTGTGTTGTTTCCCTTCACTGTCTCTTCTGACCAGAGTGATTGATGTAGCCACAAAATAGAGTCCCTTCCAGTCTCAGCCCAAGCACCTTGTGTCCCATGGAGCCTTCTCTGCTAGGAGCTTTCAGCACTTGTAATAAGTAGCTGGGGCCCTAGTTAAGCTGCAGATTTCAGAGCCCCTCCCCAAACCTAAAGCAGCAGCATCTTGAGATGGAGGGTGTCCTACGTAATCTGCAAATGTTTCCCGTTTTGAATGTCAGAGAACTACTTGTGTTTACTTATAAGGCTCTTGCAGGCGCTTGTCACTGTATCTTCTGTGCCAGATATTGTGTCTGGCACTCAGTAAACGTTTAGGAATAAATGAATGCTGTTGAGGGTTTTGTGTGTTGTGCAAGTATTGAGATGTCTTAGGCTTTGCTCTGGCGTCCTCTAGAGCCTGAAAAGTTGCTTCATTTCTCAGCAGCATTTACCAACCACTTATTTAAAAAGCTAATAGGAATTGTTGGTATTTAGTGAGAGATGGGGTATAACTTAAGGGATGAACTAACAAAAGTATGATAGGCATATGAATAAACCAGGCAATTTAGAGAATTATTTCCTTCTCACCTTTTTTTCTTTCCAGAAGTCTCAGAAGTGGTAATGTTTATGTTAAAAAAAAAAAAAAAAGAAAGAAATATCAAGGCTGTTCCAAAACTTACTTGCTTTTACCAGTTGTTACTTAAAGTAGTTCTTAAACTGTACTTGATCCTCAGCTTGGATTTGCTGCAGGGTACGGTTTTTTGTCTGTCTCTATTGGGACATTATAGAGGTCAGTTAGCCCAGAGAATAAGTTGTGCAAGTGTGTACATTTCATCTTCACACGGATCAATTAGCTTTGTCATAAGAAAAACAGTCTTGGCTCAGGCCCTTCTATCTGGGCCAGCCATTGTGCAGATGCCTACCCTTGGTGCCAGGAACAGCAAGGGAGAGCACGCAGATGGTTTTGCCCAGCCAGCATTGCTATGAGAAACTCAGCTGGAGGCCCTGGTGCTGGCTGGCTGGTTTCATCAGTTGGTCTTATCACGTGTAAGTGGGGAGGGGGAAAACCCTTGTTAAGTAGAGTAACATCTGTGTTTATTGTCCTGGTGGAGGAGAGAACTACATGGGTTTCCAAATGATTGGTCAGGTTGCCTAATTATAAAAACACAACACAGAAATGACAGCATAAAAGCCCAAAAGATGGGAGCATTTCTCCACAAATGCCATTTAATTAGACTCCCATACATAAGCACTTCTAGGAGACACCTTTTATACCTTTTGAATTTTTACAGGGCTAAGAAGACATACCATATGCATATAATTATTTTAAACTGCAGTTATAGGACTTTTGCAAATAATGAGGTTTGTAACTCTGCAAGTGAGGTTTTATTCTTCCTCTGGTTACACCTATGTGAAGTTGGTCCTAATTAAAGGTTTTATTTCAATTTCCAGTATATTTATTCCAGATTGTAAGCTTATTTACTTTACTTTAGATATTTGTAGCACATGATCCTGTTTTCTGGCACCGTTCTTGTCTTTTCTGTTTACTTTATTATTTTTTGTAGGCAACTTCTAGGAAAGCAAAATTAGATTAAAATGGCTCACAATGTTAAAATGGCAGTAGGTATAAAAGCATGTTTCTAAAGGCTAAAAGTTCTTAATAAATATTACTTATGATTTTTTCAGAAATCATATATTCAGAAAGATATCTTCTGAAAATCAGGGATGAATTTAAATACCATGAATTATGGAAGTATTTTTGCCATTTCCTTTTCATTGCATTTTATGTTTGAAAAGCATCTTTTATTCTCTGATACTTAATACACAGCCTTTGTCAAAAGTTACAGAAGAGAGCATGCATAATCCAATAAAATTAATTCATATTTCACTTGTTTTTAATGAGAAATTGTATAAATGTTTGTGTTTACAATAGAATAAACTGATATCTAATGGTCTAAGAATTAGCTCTAAATAGAATAATAGAGCTACTCAGTACAAAACTAACTCAGGGAGATTGGAAGGCTCTCCTGGAAGCTTGTCACCCTGCTTCTCTCCCCGCTGCATCCTACTCCATGTTGAGAAGAGGTCTTTCGGACTGTCACCAAATACGCTTCTAACCATGCAGCCATCTGTTAAAATTGCCTTAGATCAGATAGATAGTAAAGTACTTCACAGCCTTCCTAGAATGACGGGAAGAGATATTCAGAAGTAAATATTAATAGAAGGTTAGCGTGAGATGAGTTATTTAAATCCTTGCCATCCAAATTGTGGTCCATGGACCAGCTGCATCCCATCCCCTGGGAGATTGTTAGAAATGCAGAATCTTAGGCCCCAACCCAGACCTACTAAATCAGACTCTGCATTTTAACAAGATCCCCAGCTGATTTTTATTCATATTAAAGATCGAAAAAATTGATATTAATAACATTAATTGAATACCAAATAAGGAATGAGATTTTCTACATATAAAGCAAGCTTCAAATATATCCTAGTGTGAGCATGTTCTCCTTGTAAATGGTGGCTAAGTGCTAATAGTTATAGAACACCTTCTGTAAGTGTGTCCTCTGTTCTAAGCATTTTACATGTATTAGCTATTTTAATCCTCAAGCAACGCTATAAGGTCACTGCTAGAATTGCTTCCTATTTTACAAATTAGAAAACTGAGGGAAATAGAGTCTGTGGTTAGCGCTATCTACAAAAGAAGTTATTAGTCATAACTGGGCAATGAAGAATTTCTGCCTTATCAGGTAGACCCGAAGAATAAAAAGGGGTAAGAAATGAAGATCTTTTTTAGTCCCTCAATAAAACTTATAAGCAACAGCTGAATATAAAGGGAAATTTCTTTCCCTTAATTTTGTGAACCTTACATGCACTATTTTTAAAATATTTGTAATCCATACCCCATATGTCGCACCCACGGCAAGCATGTGATCTGAATTAATTATTTTAACCTGCCAACACCTGACTTCAAAAAGAGATTTGAAACTCTTCGCATGTAAACCAATGAAGAGAATGTGAAGTTGATATGTAATTTGTCAATTCTAGGGATATGCTATAAGTCAAGTAGCAATTTGGTAGAGAAAATTTTTGCAGGGAAAAATAAAGGTTTCTCCCTATACTTGACCTTGTGGTCTTGCCCTGCAGCCCCTGTTGGGCTCCTGAAGAGAAGGGGTTTGAATGATCACTATCTATTAGAGCCAGCTGAAGCAGCACAATCAGCGAGGAGCTCTGGGCTGGAGAAAGCCTGACTCATGCCTCACCGGGCCACCCCAATTTTATCACAGGCAATTTTTAACTTTATAAATTATAAGGAGTCAGTATTGTTTAATGTAGAGGTTTTATCCAAGTTTCTGGGGGAAACTAAAGGAGTGAAAAGTGATACAAAATCCTGTGGAGTTTAGGTTTTAGTGACTTTGCTGTAGCCTTCAATAGTCAGGAAGGAGCACTGCTAGTACAGGAGGATGTGGGGTAGAAGGAAAAGGGCTCAGTGATTGTTATGAAAACCCATCCTGTCGGGACAAATCCAGTGTTCCCTGGTAGTGAGGACGTCAGCGGTGGGACACCGCAGTGCTTCAGTGGCTGAAAAACAAGGAAGCCTACCAGTGGGATTTCTGCTACTTGCCCAGCTACCTGGCCATACAAAAGCTGCTTTATTTGTAAACAAGAAGGGGTTGAAATAAATGATCTCTAAAGACATTTCCAGTTCTGAAATGATATAATTGGATAGCATAAATGTGACATCTTGAGCTTTGAATTTCAGTTCAAAATTTCTAAAGGCCATTTCCATTTACATTTAACTTGTTTGTTTACATCCTGTCCAAAAATGGGAACTGCTATTTACTGGGGGATTTTGTAAGCATCTTTATTTTTAAAATATCTTTAAGAATCACGTTATTTCTAGGCAACCCATAAAGAGCAGCATCCACTAACGTTCTCATTTTAATCATATAGAAGGAAGCCCTTTACCATAAGAATGCTATACTACTCCAGGTTTGCACATGGGACAAAATATGCTAATTATTTACCTTTTTTTTTTTTTACAATTTATTTCATAGAAGTTTCTCTATTTAGTGTCGTTTAGAATACAGATTTGTTTAGAGTATAGAATATTACTTGGAGTTTGATTTGGAATCAGTTATGTCTTTTTTCTCCTTGGCAATCACCTTTCACTTTTTTCTTCTCTATTATGTTATTTGCATTATTTGATTTTCTTATTACAAAAATATGATCCAATTTCATTGTAGAAAATCCACCGAAAATTAGCAAAAAGGAGAGAAAAAATCACCCATAATTCCACCATTTGAAAGAAACCAATATAAACTATTTGGGGACTATCCATTATTTTTTTCTATGCATATATATATATTTTTTGAAATCAGAATCATTGTTTACCTACTACTTTGTAACCTGTTTTCCCAATTAGTATGTGATATGTCGTTCTTAAATGTTCTCCTATAAATACATTTTAAAGGTTGCATAAGTTGGGTGCGATGACTCATGCCTATAATCCCAGCACTTTGAGAGGCTGAAGCAGGCGGATCACTTGAGGGCAGGAGTTTGTGACCAGCCTGACCAACATAGTGAAACCCCATCTCTACTAAAAATATATTTAAAAAAAAAAAGCCGGGTGTGGTAGCAGGTGCCTGTAATCCCAGCTACTTGGGAGGCTGAGGCAGGAGAATCGCCTGAACGTGGGAGGCAGAGGTTGCAGTGAGCCAAGATCACACCACTGCACTCCAGCCTGGGCAACAGAGCGAGACTCTGTCTCAAAAAAAATAAATAAAAAATAAGGTTTGCATAGCATACTGTTTATAAATGTTCCACAAGTTACCCAAATCACCCATCATTAGACATTTAGGATTTCTGTGAGGTGCCTATGCCCATATGTGTGCATGTTGCCATTGAATGTGTGATGAATATCCTGGGAGTTATTCTTGCATGCATTCATAATCCTTTGAAATAACTTTCTAGGATTGTATTAAAATTCAGAGACAATAAAATTCACATTTATTGAGTGTTTACCATGTCCTAAGCACTGTGCAAAGTATTTAATCTGGAAAACCTAATGTAATTCAAATCCAGTCCTCCAACAAGCACATGAGGTAGAAACTATTATTATCACCATTTTGTAAACAGGAAACTGAGGCTCAAAGAACTTTGCTATCTGGTCAGAATCACAGAGAAGGTAAGTGTCAAGCCTAGTATATACTGATTTTAAGGCTTGTGATTTATATTCCAGCTTGTTCACCAGTATGGCTGCACAGCTTCACACCTCATACCACTTATTTTAATACTCTTAAAAAGTCTTCTTTGTGCTCTTCTTCTATTTTTTCTGGTGGTATCTTCCTCTGCTGATACCATATGCTTCTGACTTGGATTTCATTCACACCGTGTATGTGTTTTGCCCTTGTGTACACCACAGCTTCCTCCGAACATCCGTGGCCTTTCCACTTTTTCTCCTTGAGACTTTCCGTTTCCTTTACTTCCCACTTCTTGTTCACCCATCTGCTCAAGAAAGACTGGGCGTCTTTCCTGTCTTCTGGTTGCTATATTTAGCCTGTTCCTGCTGCCTACAGTTAGTGTTGGTTCCCTTGTCTGCTTCTCTTGTGATCTGAGGACACCCACTTAGAAGCTAAGCAGAACTCCACCTCAGTGCCATTCCTGCCTCACTATTCCCCTGGAGTTTGAATTAGTCCATGGACAGAAACACCACTGCAGCCTGTATAATAATCTGTCAGCATGGTGTGTGTTGGGGGCAGTGGCCACAGTAGTCTGCATGTCAAACCCCAACCCCGAAAACATAATTATGTGAAGTGAAAATGCAACAGGGATGAACAGAAGAGGAAGGGAAGCCTTTCTGCTGAACCTCAGCTCGTACTATCCCCATGTTCTGGCTCAGCTCAGTGACTGCCTGGTTGCCTAGGTGCCATACTTTCCTGCCTCCTAAAACATCTTTCCTTATTATTTTGTCTAAGCCAAGACTCTCCTTCTTCAGGACCCCTCAAAAACACTAGAAAACCTCCTTTCCTTTCCACATACACAAATTGAAATCATCTTCCCTTTCCAGAATTGTAAGGAGTCCTCTCTCACGTCTCTTCTACAGAACTTATCTTGTACCTCTCTTGGCTTTCTGTACAGGTTTGACCATCCTCTAAACTTTTTCAGTGGCCATGTTTTAGTCATTATTGTATTTCTCACAAGGCCTAACACAATGCAAACAAACATCACTTTTGAAAAAATTAATATATGAATGAATAATAAACTATGAAAGTTTATCCTCTTTTTAACAAAGAAATAGCAGGACTACATTGAATTAATTAATAAAATTGACATATTAAATTTAAACAGCTGAGATACCTAACATTTCAATAGAAGTCTAATGATGCATCAACTATTTGGGGCAGAATGATAGAAACACCACTTATTAAAAAGCAAATTCAAAAAACAATTTCTTCAGATTATTTAGTCAAAAAGAAAATCATTCAACAAACAACAAAACAATACAGCCAATCATATCTGAATGTTTTTGAAGGAAAACAATTTAATAAGCAATTTGGCATTAGGGCTCAGCATTACAGCTGGTGAATCTCAGGTAAAGGAAACTGAAATATGGGATTATTCATGGGAAGGACCATGGTAATGGAGCATAGGAAGGGATGTGTACACAGGGAAGAAATGAGAGTAGCAGGCCAAGTGACTTGGGTTCTCAAAGAGCTATCTAAACCTTAGCATACACTTCCAGAGACTGTGGCTTACAGAGGAGTAGGCCATATTTTATGTCGGAGATAATGAGAGAATATACCTCAGAAGTTTGTGTGAAGAGTAAACATGTTAATACAGCAAAGCTCAGTGTCTGGCGTATTACAATCAATATGAAGGGATTTGATGCTAGTTATTTTTCTCTTCTTATAGAGTGGCCCTCATCTTCTGGTCCTTTGCTATAGGGCACCAATTACAATTGGTGATGTTGCACATTGTAGTCTACAGGTGGCCCAACTTTATCCTCCTCTATCAATTTCTTGCCTTGTACATTAGTTTGCTATCCCATGCTTAAGACGGTGATGGGCTCTTAAGCTTTAATTAATCTTTCTGGGCTAAGCTACATAAAGGTTTTAAAGCCAGAAACTAATGTTTTCCAACAGTGAATCATAAAACTTTGTATTTAAATCCATTTCACTGTCTTAACTTGATTATAAAAAAATTTTTTTAAAGAAAGAATAATTACCTTTATTGAGTGTCTGCTCTGTGCCAGATGCTGTGTTCTCCATATGTTCTCATTTTGTTCTCCCCCGATCCTGCCAGGTGGGGTTGAGTAGACCAAGGAATTAAGGAACTTGTCCAAGATTATACAGCTAATAACTGAGAAAAATAGGATGTGAACCCAGCTGTGTCTATTTCAGCATTCCTTTGTTCCCCACCCTATGCCCTCCTATAATGGAAGGCAGGACATACACATAAAAGTAAATATAATGAACATTTATCTTCAGTGTCTTAGTTACACATAACAATTAACACTAGCTGGTTGGTTTCATAAAACCTCAAGGCAATTAGCCAAGCATTTTTATTACAGAGGACCAGTTTAATGAAAACAAATAACTAAAGCTATCAATGTCTAAAGCATTGTTAGTTGGGAGGAGTGTGGAGGATGAGAAAAGATAAAAATGTAAAGTCAGTTCCCACAGTTTTGGAAGCTTGATTCTTGGCTCTTTCTTTTATGTGTAATTATATAATATAGTGAAGAATAAATGACAAGCCACCCTTTTGCCTCCAAGTGATTCCATTTCTATTTATAAAGTCTGAGTGATAGTTGAAGGGTTTAGAAATGTTTTAAGATTAAGCAAACTCTAGAAGGATAATACACTGGATTTCAGACTATGGACGAGGTTCTTGGTACCTCAGCCTGCTTCAGCCAGAGTAGTCCTCTTTTATCTCACATATTTGGCTTTTGTATAACCATCCCTTTGAAAAAGAAGGTTTATCTGATTCAAAGTTGCCTTTTTCCATGTGTTTATATTGAGACAAACAGATTCTGTTTGTATCAAGATCTACTTGGGTTTTAGGTATTCAAGATGCACTTCAGTGGCTGCCACCAGAGCCCTAAGCAAAAATTGAAAACTTGGAAATTTGTGTTTTTATATCCCTGCATATTTTCCCAGCAAGTGCCCTGGACTGCTACACTCTTAGGACTTCCCCATTAACTATACAAGTTAGAGGGCCCCAGTCTCATCGCAGTCTTTATTACAGTAATGTTCCTGCTAGAGGAATAAAATGTTTTGAGAAAGAGGCCCTCTTTAAGCTCATACTTTCCACCAGCTGTTCAACACCTCACTGCCAACAGGCTGTGCCTATATCCTCTAAAGCGTGTCTTCTAAGTTCTTCCTACCCAGTTTGAGTTCCTTTGCAAAAGAAAATGAATCCATTCAGGTAGGAATGACTGCTGAGTATCAAAGCTCCCAACGGCTTTTGTATTTTAAAATAAGTGGTGGCTAATCCAATTTAAACTAATGCATGGAGTAAATAGAGGAGAAGTTTTTAAGCCAAGAAGCACTGCATTCCTTGTGCCCTTGGTCCACTCTGGGCTGTCAGCACCCCAGTTGGTAGCCACTTGTAAGGCGAAACACAGGCCATAGGTTGGCCCTCTCTTTTTACAAGACTATCAAACTCTGGCTTCGGTACAGTTCTAGACTCCGCTCATTGGGGAGGACCAGGCAGGACCAGGAATAGAACTTATGTTTCCTCATGCCATATGCTAAGTTAGTGTTGTTTTCATTCTGCCACTATTTCTGTTGTCTATTGCTGCATAACAAACTACTCCAAAATCTAGTACTCCCATCATAGATCTGTGGATCAGGAATTTGGGCAGGGCTCAGGCTCTTCTTCTGCTCCACATGGTATTGACTGGGTCACTTACTGGGCTGGCTTCAGCTGGCTTGGGCTGAAAAGTCCAGAAAAACTTTATTCACGTGTCTAGAACTTTTGAGCTTCTCATGTGCCCTCTTTTTCTCTATGTGTTCTCTCCTTTCTTTCAATATTGTAGCCTAAACTTCTTTACAGCATGGTAGCTAGCTTCTAATGAAAGCAGAAGCTGGCAGTCCCCTTAAACTAGCTCAAAATTAGAAGTTTGATTTCGGCTAAATGCTCTGGATCAATGCAAGTCATAGGCCAGTCCAGATTCAAGGACAGGGGGAATACATACTACCTCGTAATGAATGAAGCAACATGCAGAGTCAGGGAGGGAAGAAATTGATGGTGGCCATCTTTGGAGACTAACCTCAATCATTATTAAGCAGCAGATGTAGCCTTCTTTCTCTAATTCCTACAGTTTCCTGTGATAACGAGGGAAATTCAAGCCTGTTCAGAAACAAGTGAGAAAAAGAGTAGAAAAAAAGCCCTGAAATGCCCCATCCTTGTCTACCTTAATGCTCAGCTGCAGAGTTAGGAAGACAACCCCACCTCTCCAAAATTACTTCTAATTATCCTTTGGCTAAGCTTCTTGTAGTATTTGTTCTTATTTGAGTATTGGAGGAGAGGCTGCTACACTTGCAGGATATGTAAAGAACATGGTTAGTGCTTGTAAATCCTACAGTCGACATTTCACAGTAATTTGTTTTTAGAGCTGCTACTATTATGTCTATTTTCTTTTCTTTTCTTTTTTTAATTTTTTTTTTTTTTTTTTTTTTTTTTTTTTTTTTGGAGATAGAGTTTTGCTCTGTCGCCCAGGCTGGAGTGCAGTGGCATGATCTCGGCTCACTTCAACCTTCACCTCCCGGATTCAAGCAATTCTCCTGCCTCAGCCTCCTGAGTAGCTAGGATTACAGGCACTCACCACCACTCCCAGCTAATTTGTTGCATTTTTAGTAGAGATGGGGTTTCACCATGTTGACAAGGCTGGTCTCGAACTCCTGACCTCAAGTGATCTGCCTGCCTCTGCCTCTCAAAGTGCTGGGATTACAGGCATGAGCCACTGCACCCAGCACTACTTCTGTTTTCTGTGTCCAGTGTTTCAATGCCTATTCCTACGGGCTAGTTCTTCAGGCAGCAGTTAAAAACAATAATTTGCAGTGCTGCATGTACATATTGTTAAAATGGGATACATCTACAAGTAACCTTTTCAACTATTAATTTCCATGCACAAGTCAAATTATACTCATTCTCAAAGAGAAAGGATACCTTAGTAGGTTTTTTTTTCCTTCTTTTTTAGTGATACAGAGGATTCTTATGCAAAAGGACAAGTAGATCTAAGACTGGAAAATCAGTTTTCTAGCCTATTCCAGCCCTGGCAGTATCCTTTCTTGGTATCCTAGCTAGCTTTGTTTAGAGTATGCTAAATGATGAGGATTATTCTTTTTCTCTTAAAAAAAAAAAAAACTCCGATAATCTTCCAAATTTCCTTGGGAAACTTTTTGCTTATATTATCTTTTCCTTAAAAAAAAAAAAGAAAAGAAAAAAAGGCTTCATCCTTTTGTTACAGTTCGATTGTTTTTAGATAATTTAACTTAGATAATTATTCAACCCAGAGTACTTTTTCCTAGAAACAAACAAATAAATGAAGTATTTTAGTGTCATATCAAGAGAGAGGAGCAACAATTTATGGGCTGCTGAGGCAAAACTTTTCCAAGCGCTTTAGGAAATCTCACATTTTAAGAGATTATCATTGTCTAGAAAATGATGAGCTATGTCTTTTTTTTTATTTTTTTTTTATTTTTACAAAGTCTAGGTTCCAGGCTTAGAGATTTGTCTTATAAAAAGGGAAATCTTTGGTTTCTCAAATGTGTGAAAAAAACGCAATGTTTTTGTACCAGCTGCTTAGGAAGTGTAGTTCACTGAAATCCAGATTGCCCTCTTAATTTGTGTTGCTCAATGTTGAAGATATATTGTGCACTTTTTAAATACAAGGTTGTATATGCAAATATTTGCAATGCAAGATTGTATATGCAATCTAACTGTAACTTTACACATGGCCTAAAGCTAGAATTCAATTAGAAAAATCCAGACGTTTAAAATTTTCCATTTTACCCTTTTTTTATTTTGTTGGTGGTGGCAGTTGTGATTTTGTTTTTGTTTGCTATTTAGATTTGTCTAGGTTTAAAAAGGTATCATGCTTCTTTAAACTAGTCTAGATCATTTAGAAAACTTTGGAGATTTTATTTGACAATCTCTAAAAAATTTCCATATGTTTATCCCTTTATTTTAGGAAGAAGAATTAGAAGCCCAAATTTCCTTCCTTCAAGGGCAGTTGAATGACCTGGATGCCATGTGCAAATACTGTGCAAAGGTGATGGACACTCATCTTGGTAAGTGAATTACTTTGGCCCTGGGAACGATGAGACTCATCACAATAATAGCCACTAGCAATACTTTGTTCTAGGCCTTGTGCTAAGCTGTTTACATGAATTACCTTATTTAATCCTTACAACAGCTATATAATAGAAGTACTCTTACTCTCACTCTCTACATTATATAGATGAAGAAACCAAGGCATAGAGGGATTAAGAAAATGCCCCAAGATTATATCATTAGTAAATCGAGTGGAAATTCAAAATCAAGCAATCCGATTATAAGCTGGATGCCGTGGCTCACAGCTGTAATCCCAGCACTGTGGAAAGCCAAGGTGGGAAGATTTGAGGCCAGGAATTTGAGACCAGCCTGAGCAACATACTGAGACCCTGTCTCTACCAACACAAAACAACAAATTTTTTTTTTTTTAATTAGCTGGGCATGGTGGCACGTGCCTGTAGTCCCAGCTGCCCAAGAGGCTGAGATGGAAATATTGCTTAAACCCAGGGGTTTGAGGTTGCAGCAAGTTGTGATTGTGCCACTATATTCCAGCCTGGGTGACAGAGTGAGACTCTTTCTCTAAACAAAAATAATAAAATAAAAAATTCTTTAAAAGCAATCTGACTACAAATCTCAACTCCTAGTATATTGCCCTTTGTAAATGTCTACTTACCTCAGACCAAAATGAAATATTGAGTTTTCAAGATCAAATAATCAGCTATATTGCTGTGCCAACCTGTCAGTAATCACTAATGTGATTATTATTTTGACAATTCTTTGTTTTTTTATAAAAATGTGTTTTTTAACCACCTGCCTGAAATGCATGACCTTTTCTTACTTCTGACTGTGCTTATATTCTAAGAAATGTCCCAGTTTGAAGTTCATTTTGCATGTGGGTCATGCATGTCACATTGGAAAGTCTTCAGGCACTGCTCTGCATTTGTAAAGGTGCTATATCTCACATTAGAGATACTTTATGCTGACTCATGTATGAATCACTTCAGTAACTCCATGCTGCTTACAAAAGCTTTTGTCATGCACCATTTTACCATTTTTTAGCCCATTTATGGACAGCCTTTGTTTCTTCACTGTCCAGTGTCTAAGATTGGTAACTTATGAATAAATTAGGAAATTAAGACATGTACTCATGGAAATGGCCAATGTGCTGCTCTGTAGTGTTGAGAAATGGCAATACCAGGTATTATAAGAAATCAGGATGCATCCCACCTGTGAGGAGAAACCAAAGAGAATCCACCAAGGCATCTGGGGCCTTCGTTGGAGGTAAACTCTCTGCCTTCAAACCCCAGCAAGCTCTAAGCCATTACAAGTAACAACGGCTGTCATTTGGATATAGCCTAAACCGTACTGGCCTCAGTAAAATAATAAATGTTCTCTTAAAAGATTTGGAGAGATGCTGATCTAAGTGGCTGGCTGCCTGACAGTGTCTTATTAGCAGCTGGCTGGGTCCTGTTCTACCCTCAGCCATATTCCTACCATCTCAACCACTCCTGCAGGGAAAGGGCTCAAGAGGGAAAAACAGCAGGAGAAACCCTGGTAGATGATTGATAGGGTAGTATCTCTCATCACAGCAAGAAACATTACCCCTGTCACATTTGATCCACCTCTTACAGACTCTCTTAATAAGCTGCTTGATGATCATTTTTAAAAATTCATATAGACCTATAACCAAGTCGCCAGTTCGGTCGCTTACCACTTGCAGAGTCCAATTAACAAGAGTGAGTTCTGGCTGGTATAAGGAGACTTTTTATTCCATAGCTTAGCTTAGGGGAAGAAGTACAGACTTCTGCCCTTAAAGATACCACCTCACTTTGGGGACAGAAAACAAAGGCTTTTAAAGGGGGACTTGGCATGAACAGCAAACAGGGAAGGAACGAGCAGTTAAAGGTCTGTGTCCGTGGCTTCATTGCCTTATCTTCCAGGTGGTTAAGCTGGCGCCAGCACAGGCAGAGCTAGGTTGTAAAGTGACTGTTGTCTGAGATACTCTCCAGTTGGGGGGAGAGTTTCATCTCAGGCATACTGGAGGTTGCAAAGTGACTGTTGTCTCAGAGAAATCTCTGGGTGGGAGAGATTTCCAGTCCTGGAGCTTCTAAGCAAGCACATAGTTAGGTAAGCTTGCCCTGTAGGGAGTGTCTGGTAAAGGGCAGGTAAAGATTGCGTTTAAAGAGCTAGGTAGGAAATGGAGAACAAGGCAAAGGGAGGAAAGAGAAAAGAAGAAAATAATAATTTAAAAAAAAACACAACTCATTCTCTTTCTCTTAGAAAAATGGGGGTAATAAGTTACAGACCTAATTTTACATGAATCTTATATTATCTAATATCATTGCACTTTAAAATACACCAAAAAGAACTAATAAACAGATAGCTTATATAGTTGTATATGACTAATTATGGTTACTTGTTTAAATATAATTTTAATTTTAAAATGAATGTATAGTTTTTGCTTTTCTGGCTACTTGGATGACCTTTGCATTACTTGACTTTAGTTTTCACCAAAGTAAGAGAGCAAAGAAGTGATGGGGAGAAAGATTTACTGGAACTCCACAGAATCCTGCTAGGAAATTCCCAAGTTGTTTGGTACACACAGCAACTTTTAAAGCAGCTTTACTTAAGCCTCGGAATTTTCAAACAGCTTTTGCTCTGACTTTGGTCTTTCAATCAGCACTGAAAGAGCATTTTCTCATTGCATGGGAGGGGGAAACACTTTAATTAAAATGGAAAGAAAAGCCTATACCAGCTGTGAATTTTCAGCTAACCACAAAACTAGATTTGTTTTTGTGTGTACGTTTCACTTTCAGCCAGAACTCGTTCACATAGCTGTTGACTTTTTTTTCCCTCATATAAATAGCATGACTGCGTTTTTAAAGTGGGATTAAGGGATGCTACCAAGAATTCCTGGCTCCACGGCCCACAGATGCATTTCACTTCAAATGCACAATACAACAATGGTTAATTAAAAGATGCTCCTAGATTGTAGGCAACTTTGATTCTAAGCAAAGATTCAAGGAAAACACGAAGATTAAGTTGACTTGATGCTCTTGATTTGTTTTTTAACATATTATGGCTTCTTAAGAAATTATTTTAATACCCTTATTTTTTCCATAGATGTGTTTCTCTTTCTCATTATTAAAGGAGAACAAAATTGGAAGGACTAAGGTGTTCATTAGTAAGGGATTGAATATAATATAGTATAATATAATTCAATCTTTATAAAGATTAAAATGTTAATATAAGTAGATATTAGTGATAGATTATTAGGTGATAAAAACAGATGGCAAAATGGTATATATTTGGCCTGAAAATACTGTTAACAGTGGTTGCCTAGGTAAAAGGAAGGTTATAGAGGGACTTTCCAAGGGACCTAATCTTCTATGCTTAGAAAATAGAAGACATGCCCTGAAAATCTGTGGATGGCTTCAGTGCATGTAACTAGCACTGGGGGGTCAACCTGTATACGTAGCAGGCAGAGCCAGTTGTAAGGGTGGTGAAGTGGTGTCTGAGAAACAGACAACCTCATGAGGCATCAAACAGATCTAGGGTTGAACCCAGGCCCTGTCCCTTAACTCAGCCTGCTTATGAATGTGTCCTCATATGTCGACACATATGTACTTGACATTTCCATCTATCTTGCCAGTTCCTTGCCAAAAAATATTTTTAAACCCTAGTATCAGGAATGGCCCAAAGTGGGTATTAAACACAAGTCATCTCATCTTTCCTTTTAACTCTTTAACTGTCTCTTCTCAGGGAAGAATCTGAGAGACTCTTCCAGCCCATGGCCGTAGAGCTGAGTAATAACTTGTCCAGAGTCTACAACTGGTTAGTTGAAAAGCTGGACTAGTACCACATTTCCCAGTACCCAACTGAATATTCCTCTATCAAATGATGCAAAACGATGCTGGAATTTGGGATGTGCTAGTTCTAAGATGAGGTGTGTGAGCTCCTTGAGCAAGAATAGCTATGTCAGAACTTAATGATGCCTCTGGGGCACTTAGTGACATGAGGGCCACTGAGCCTCCATTATGCACTGGGGTACAGGCTACTGAGGTGGCTGTGAGAGCTGTCTCAGAAACTTACTCTAGGAGTTACTTCTCCAGATCCTTTCCTAATGTTAATTATTTTCGCAAAGTTCCATTCATATCGAGAGAACTCCATCACACCTTATGTTTTCTTTTCTTTTTTTTTTTTTTTTTTGGTGTAAATGTAAGGGGTACAAATGCGCTTTTGATACATGGATATACTGCACAGTGGTGAAGTCTGGGCTTTTAGTGGAACCATCACCCAAATAGTGTACATTGTACCCATTAAGTGATTTCTCATCCCTCACCACCCTCCCACCTTTCTGAGTCTCCAGTGTCTATTATTCCATGCTCTATGTCCATATATACACATTATTTAGCTCCCACTTGTAAGTGAGAACATGCAGAATTTGACTATTTCTGAGTGGTTTCACTTAGCATAATGGCCTCCAGTTCCATCCATGTTGCTGCAGAAGACATGATTTCATTCTTTTTATGGCTGAATAGTATTCCATTTTATATATGTAGCACATTTTCTTTATCCAGTCATCCATCCAATGCCGGACACTTAGGTTGCTTCTCTATCTTTGCTATTACTATATCGCCCTATGTTTTTGTCACACATGCAATAAGTATCTTAAAATGTCAAGTACTATTTAAGGCTGTTTTTATAACTGATAGCAGAACAAATGTAGAGAAAATCCTTTCAGTTAAAAATTATTTAATGACATTTGGTCAAATGGCCCTTTAATTATAGAGATAATAAAATTGACAGGTTAACAGTATTTCCTCACAGTTTTGGAACCCAAAACTAGAAGGCCATTTGTGTTGCCAAAACTACCAAAATTCTAATTTTATTACCTCCAAGTGATGGAATTATTTGAATTCAAAGGTTTAGAGACAGGAATTGAAAATATGTTTTATTAAACCTAAACTTTTCCTGTCAGCTTTAGAAGAGGTTTTTTACATGTTGATTTTTCTGTTGCTATGGTTACTCTCCTTGTCATCCTGACAGTGAGTTGAAAGCCATTGACAGTATTAATCTCTGTGGCTGAGCTTAGGCTATTTTTAGATATGCCGTACTTCACACATAATTGCACGTGGGTGAGCAACCTACGCTAGTCTGATCTGTGAGCAGCTGGGCTGAGCTGCCAGCTGTTTACAGGGAATACATGAGCTGCTCATCCTTCTGGGCTCTAATGCCCATACCCTCCTGCTCCCAATGGAAGTGTTTCCATTCATCTGTTTGGTATTTGGACACCTTGGTTTCCAGCAGCTTGCCCTTTCATTGATGAGTCATACAGATAATTAGATGGTTAAATGCAATTAATGAAGGAAAATTTGATTTCCCATGCTTCTGTTGAGAGTACTGTAGCTCATAGGATCGTAGAATATTAAAGATGTAAAAGCCCTAGAAGTCAACCTAGCTGTTCTTTATTTGCAGATGAGGAAGCCAAGGCCCAGGAAGGGTGAGTGACGCTTCCAGCTAGCTGGCAACGAGAGTCCAGACCTGAATCTAGTCCTTGGCTTCTCTTTCACTGATTAGTCTACTGAGGCCACACTTGAATCAGCAGTAGGATTTCAAATCTTGTTATTTTATTGCACCCATCGTAACTGATTTTGTACTTGTCATAATATTTATGCATGAATTAGCTGAAAAAGGAGGCCAGTTTTGAACATCAGTTTATTTGCCTCCATAAGAACTTTATAAACTTAATTTTCTGATGTTTATAAAAACAACTTTCAATGAATATCTTTGGAAATGTTCAATAGGGCAATTAACAAATGACATTTGAAAAAGTGAGGAAGAAAATGTGATCACCAGACAGCTTTCTCTCTGTCAACTACACTATGAAAAAAGAGTTTCGTGATTATTTTTAAGAATTTTAAATACGCTTTTTATTGCGGGTAGCAGAGTCCTCTATAGGAGGAAAAGATACAATTCACCTGAAGATCTTGTTAAAAATGAAGATTCTGGAGTCTGATGTTGGAGGCACGTGCCTATAGTCTCAGCTACTGGGAATGCTGAGGTGGGAGGATCACTTGAGGCCAGGAGTTCGAGGGTGCAGTGTGCTGTGATCCGGCCTGTGAATAGCGACTGCCCTCCAGCCTGTGCAACATATCAAGATGACGTCTCCAAAAAGGGAACCCTGACCAGCATGGCCATGCCTATAATCCTGGCACTTTGGGAGGCCGAAGCAGGAGGATTGCTTAAGCTCAGGAGTTCAAGACCAGTCTAGATAACAGAGGAGACCTAGTTTCTATTAAAAAAAAAAAATTAAAAATTAGTTGGGCATGGTGGCATATGTCTGTAGTCCCATCTACTCAGGAAGCTGAGCTGGGAGGATCACTTGTGCCAGGAGGTGGCGGATGCTCATGCCACTGCACTCCAGTCTAGGTGAGAGAGCAAGACCCTATCTCTAAAAAAATAAAATAAATAAAAGAGAACTTTTGTTCATTGTTGGTGGGAACATAAATTGGTACAGCTACTATAGAGAACAGTTTGGAGGTTCCTAAAAACTAAAAATTGAGCTAAAAATATGATCCTGCAATTCCATTCCAGGGTATATACTCAAAAGGAAAGGAAATCAGTATATCGAAGAGATATCTGCACTCCCATGTTTTTTTAGCACTGTTCACAATTGCTAACATTTGGAAGCAACCTAAGTGTCCATCAACAGATGAATGGATAAAGAAAATGTGGTATATATAAAGAATGGAGCACTAGGCCAGGCACAGTGGCTCACGCCTGTAATCCCAGCACTTTGGGAGGCCGAGGTGGGTGGATCACGAGGTCAGGAGATCGAGACCATCCTGGCTAACATGGTGAAACCCCGTCTCTACTAAAAATACAAAAAATTAGCCAGGCGTGGTGGTGGGCGCATGTAGTCCCAGCTACTCAGGAGGCTGAGGCAGGAGAATGGCGTGAACCCAGGAGGCAGAGCTTGCAGTGAGCCGAGATCGCGCCACTGCACTCCAGCCTGGGCGACAGAGCGAGACTCCATCTCAAAAAAAAAAAAAAAAAGGAGCACTATTCAGCCATAAAAAGAATGAGATCCTGTCATTTGCAACAACATAGAACTGGAGGTCATTATATTAAATAAGCCAGGCACAGAAAGACAAACTTTTCATGTTCTCTCTTATTTGAGGGATCTAAAAATAAAAACAATTGAACTCATGGAGATAAAGAGTAGAATGATGGTAACACAAAGAATAAATGCTTGAGGTGATGGAGATACCTCATTCACCCTGGTGTGATTATTATGCATTACATGCCCGTATCAAAATATCTGATGTAACCCAAAAATATATACACCTACTAAGTACTTGCAAAAATTTAAAAATAAAAAAAAAAATTTAAGATGCCATCTCAATAGGATTCCGATGCAGTAGGTCTGATGGTGGGACCTGAACTTCTCCATTTCTAGCAGACTTTGAATGACTTGGTGTTACTGGCCCTTGACAGATTCTGAGCAGTAAGGAGTAAGAGAACTTAAATTATTTAGACATGATTCAGCTAATATATTCATAAACATGTTAACATATTCATAACCCTGTTAACATATTCATAACCCCATGCTTCAAACATGCATGCACCTAAACTCTGGGCAGAGAGCCCACTGCCTCCCCTAGCATCCTGATGTAGCCTGCAATCCTCTGAAATTCAGAAGTTCTTTTTCAGCCTCCATCACCTTGTTCTAGTTGAAGTTGTTTCCCCCTGGTTTTATTATTGGAAGACTTGCAACAATTGGTCAGCATCTTCCTTATACCAACCCTATACCTATTTAGAAAAACTTAGCAAACTACACACTAGCTTATCCCTCTTCAGGCCAGGATGCCACCACTCCAATAATAGGGCCTCAGTACAGACTGTCCAACTTTCATCATTTTGCTTTCCATTTTCTGGTTCTTTCCCTTTTTCTTATGTGCTTTTCCACAGGAGGAACCCAAATTGAATTATTTTCTTTCTTTTTTTAAAAAAATTTAATACCAAGTCCATCATCTTTGGTAAACTTACTCTGACTTCAAAGTGTATTAGCATTTTGGTTTCTCTGTCTCTTTTAACTGCTGGATGTAGATATTGCAAGCTGTATTGAAGGGTGACCACAGTGGCCCCCAGTGGCTGCCTTGGCGTTGTAGCACTCCCACAGGGGGTAGCATTCCCACTAAGGATATCCTCACTTAGGCTCCAAGCTTTTCAATGATGTCTTTATTCTTCTAATTCAGTAAGGAAGAGACTTTTCTGGTTAGTAATAGTTCTGTTGGATTTCTTTTCTTTTTTTTTTTTTCAATCATACTTTTAAGTTCTGGGGTGCATGTGCAGAACATGCAGGTTTGTTACATAGGTATACACATGCCATGGTGGTTTGCTGCACCCATCAACCCATCATCTACATTAGGTATTTTTCCTAATACTCTCCCTTCCCTAGCCCCTCACCCTCCAACAGGCCCCAGTGTATGATGTTCCCCTCCCTGTGTCCATGTGCTCTCGTTGTTCAGCTCCCTCTTATGAGTGAGAACATGCAGTGTTTGGTTTTCTGTTCCTGTGTTAGTTTGCTGAGAATGATGGTTTCCAACTTAATATCTAAATAAAAGTCTGATCATTTCTAACAATTATAGTCATACTTGGCAGCTTTGCTATGCAGGCAAGACTCTATTATAGAAGACCAAAATACCAACTTACCAGCCTTCCCAGTTTGAAAGGGGCAAATGTCCTTTGTGTCATTTCATTCCTGGTAGAGCATTTAACACAACAGTAGGATGAAGCTTATATACTTGTCACATACAATAGCAACTGCCATTAGTTCCTATGTGCCAGATTGAGTGCCAGGTACTTCACAAACAGTATCTCTAATCTCCCACTAAGTCTGCAAGTTGAGAGAGAGTATCCCTAGTGTACAGTGGAGGAAATTGTGACTTAGCATGCTCTGCATACTTGGTGGGAGGTTACACAGCTAGGTAATAGCAGAACCAGGCAGGATTCAGTCCCAGCTCTGTCTGATTCTACAGCCTGTTTTCATCCTTTCACACCAGGCTGCCTCTCCATGTTCTCCAGTCCCAACTCTCTTTAGCTAATGATCCAATAGCCACAAAACCCATCTACCTCATCGTCTGTGGAAACAGGCTTACTACAGGTAGCTCAAGGGCTTTGGAGCCACCACAAGCATCTCATGCTGAGGACAAGAGCATATGAGCCAGGGGAGGTGCAGACCAGGATTTAAAGGCTGATGTTCATTGCCTTGGACCATGTTTACATTCTAGCTGCAGAATGGCACTTAACTTTTACTCACTCCTCATGTCAGCAAAACCTTTATGGCCTGAAATGCACAACATATATATTTATCTTAAGCCCAGTTCAAAGAGTCTTACTTGACTAAATGATGTAATTTTAAGGCAGTCACACCCAAACTGCTGTCCTATCTCTTAGCTCCCAAGTAAGGGCATGATGGCAAAACCCCAGATTATTTCATATGACTAAGGCATCAGCTATGTTTCTGTTTTTATTTTTAGAAGTACATATTCTGGCAAAGGCATCTAACCATTACTGGAACTTAGAGACCTTTCAAGTTTAAAAATATGTGTAAAGTCTCCTTTTTTGGTTGACCCTAATGTTATAGCCATATCATGATTATGACAGATTTTACTGGGAGGTGTCATGCTTCCATGTTACTCTCTGGCGCACAGGGTGATAAGTGCTAGGAGAATAATATGCCAAAGAGTAGAGATCAGTAAAGATTCAGAACTCTGTGCCACGCTTACTCAGTTCACTTAAGAGAACTATTGGCCTCAAGAATTGTCTTTAGTGTAATATGCAAATTTGCCTAGTCTTACCCTTAGATTTTCCTAAGTAATGTTCCTCTCCCAGTGCTGAGTTTTGGGTCTTCAGCCATTCTGGCAGCTGGATGCCAAAGAGGATCCTTGATTATATTTCTGTGCAATCTTCATTTTGCTTTTTAAGAAAATTAACTTGGCTCTTAATAGACCATCAATGAATGTTAATTTCTCTTCACCTGCCCCTACCACTTCTCAATCTAAGATCCGGTTAATCATATTAGTATCTCTTAAATCTTCATCTGGGAAATATCTCACCTACATTTATTCCTTAGGGGATAAAAATCAGCCCTAGTGGTAGCAGGAAAGCCCTTGCCTCACATTGGTCACTTAGCCAGTTACCTGCTCTCTCATGTAAAAACAGTTCTGGCTGGGCATGGTGGCTCATGTCTGTAATCCCAGCACTTTAGGAGGCCGAGGCGGGCGGATCACAAGGTCAGGAGTTCGAGACCAGCCTGACCAACATGGTGAAACCCTGTCTCTACTAAAAATACAAAAATTAGCCAGGCATGGTAGCACACGCCTATAATCCCAGCTACTCAGGAAGCTGAGACAGGAGAATTGCTTGAATCCAGGAGGCGGAGGTTGCAGCGAGTCGAGATTGTGCCACTGCACTCCAGCCTGGGCAACAGAGCAAGACTCTGTCTCAAAAACAACAACAACAACAACAAAGACAAAACAGGTTCTAGGGGAATGGTGAGGTGTGGAGTGGTAATCTGAAATTGAGTTCAATGTATATGTAAAAGTTAAGTAAAATTTCAAGGTAGGGAGAGAGAGCAGGAGAGAACAGACCTCTTCAGGAATACCTAAAGTGATACATAGCTTCACTTGAAGAAAACCAGGGTCTCCCCCAGAGTACTAGTGATTTCAGAAACATTAGCAAGGAGCAGTGGGGTTTCAAAGTGATAAGAATACTTTGAATAGAGCACCATATTTAGAACCCAAACACCTTGAGCACCATATTTAGAACCTGGCACCTTTGGTGCCAGGTAGAACAGTGCAGTTTCAGGAAACATTCAGTCTCTGAGCCTCATCATTGAATTATTGTCCAAGAGTGAGAGATAAAGCAAGAGGGACCCAACAACTAGGTGCTACTGGAGGGAAGACTGCTAATGGGAAGCTGATGCTTAGACGTGGTAAGTTTGAGGTGGACTTTGAAGAAAAGGCAGGACATGTCATTATAGGGAAGATGGGAGGGACTTCTAGAAGGGGGAATGGATTTGCAAGGACACACAGAGATACACACCATGTACTGGAGGTTGCATGATGAATTTGATGTCTTCTCCTAGGGTTTGGACAACTATGGCACACACCCTGTGCACAGACATCCCTTTGTCAATGTTCAACAAAAGCCAGTAGTGACAAATGACAGGTCTGCCCCTCTCTCTGACTAATGGCCACCTCTTAAGCCACTGTCACACTGGGCCTGCCTCCCTTAATCCCACCTCTCTATTTTATAACAGCATGCATAGTTCCTCTTTAGAGTCTACTACAGTCCCTTATATGAGATTGTTAAAGATCAGGGTATCTAAATTCCTATCAGAGATGAGAAAGCCTCAAAAAACAGAATCCAGATATCTGAATATTTAAGGTACCAAGGGAGGAGGAAACATAGTAGGCAATAATAGTAATTGCAAGACAGTATGCAGAAATAGAAAGCTTTGATTATCTCATCTAATCCTCTCAGCAACCTTCTGAGATGGGTATTACCCCCATCTCACTGATGGGTTTAGTGACATACAGAAGATCATATCTCAGGGTCATCAAAACCCAAGCCCTTTGGTACCATTGCCAGTGCTCCAAAATGCTCTCTGATAGAAATGATTGTACAATCTGTTGTGCGTATAGGTAACTGCCTGTTTCTGGCTGACCTCACTTCGATCAGTTCCACCATGGAATAAAAGGCAGTACATCTCAAGGCAATCAAGTCAGTGCCAATATCCCATCCTGTGCCTCTGCATATCTCTGGTGCCTTCATCAGTGCCATACAAATAATCATGAAGCTCAGGAGTCTGAAAGATCTGAAATCTAATCCCAGTTCCACCACCTTCAAGTCATGAGACCTCAAATAACAGACCTGGCATTTCTGGGCTTGGCTTCTTTTTCTGTAATATGTTGACAGTTCTCATCTAGAAGGGTTGCTGAGATAGTCACTGAGGTAACATGGCACGTACAAATGAAACGACTGGGTGCGGAGCTTCCATAGTGGGCTTAGGTGTGGTGCTCAGCACTTGATCTGTGCTGTCTCCCTGTTTCTTCACAGCCATCCTATGAGGAGGGTGCTGTTATTACCCCTCAGGCATAAGAAGGTTAAATGCCTTGCCCAGTTCCACCTCTGTTAAAGCCAGATGTTCTGCTTTTGTCCCCTTTCTACTCACTAACACCCTCACCACCACCAAATAAGGCTTATGTTACCTTTTGCACCAGCCATTTAAAACATTTAATTGAAAACACTTGTATTCTAGCATTGAAAAAAATCAAGTTTTTAAGAAATTGAAAAAGTGGTTTGTTTACCATTTTCATTACCCTGAGAGTTCGAGATCTATTTTTGTGGCACTACATTTCATTAAAAATAGTGGCATCACCATGGGATTGTTAGGTGAATGAGATTTTTGTGTGTAATTTCCACAGAAGTGGTTAGTTATGTGACAGTTTCCCCTTTAGTTTCAGTGCTCCAACATTTATAATATGTAATACTTAAATGTGAGGAGATTATAAAGAGTGTAATCTTCCTTTTACACAGAAACAAAGAGAAAGAGCCTTTATGGCAAAATTTATTCTGCCTTTGGCTATGAGGAGAATTGTGTATTACGTTGGAAATGTAAACATTTTATCTTAAGCCATGGAAAGACATCATTACGTTTGTCTACTTTTACATGCAGATGTAACTTACTTAAAACAGTAGATTTGTTACTAGGAGGTTATATGTAAGTAGAATGTTTGTAAATGCCACCTTATATAGGGGAACTGTTAGGGAAATGATTTACATGGTCAGTACTCTTAGTAAAATGTATATTCTTGTACTCAAAACATCTAACAGCCTCTGAAGGTGCCCTTTTGTTTTAATTTGGATTTACCCTAGATTTCTTAAAGTGAGCCTAGTCAGCTTAGTTGATTAAAAAAAGGTTTATCCCTGAAATTAAGTGAACAGTTCATATGTACATGGGTTTTCAGGGGAGGCAGTCATGGTTTTCATCAGATCCTAGAAGGTGGTCCTTGACTCAGTCCATAAATTAAGACGAAAGAATTGCTAGATGAGGGTATGCTGGTGGTGATACTACAGCTCTGAGTTCTTCCCTCTTCTTGGGTGCACCCACTCTGCACTGCTTTCTGTAGCTGTGTTGCACATCAGGCCAGAGCATTGTATTCTGCATGCAGGACAAGATTAGTAGGTTGCATTGTCTTTTATTGAAGGAACTGGATGCTTTTCATCCTGTATAACAATTAGGCAGTCTGGCTGCTGTACTAGGTCCAATATTGTCTCATCCAAACTTATGGTGAGACACCTGGAACCTGTGAACGTGACCTTATTTGGAAATGGGGTCTTTATAGATGTAGTTCAGTGAAGATAAGATCATACTAGATTAGGGCTTACCCTAATCTAGTGGCTGGTGTCCTTATAAGAAGAGGGGAATTTCGATAACAGACATACAGGGAGAATGCCGTGTGATAATGGATGCGAAGACTGGAGCGATGCATCTACAAGCCAAGGAATGCCAAGGATTGTTGACAACCACCAGAAGCTAAGCAGAGTCAAGGAGGAATTCTCTAGAACCTTTGGAGGAAGCATAGCCCTGCCAACAGCTTGATTTCAGACTTAGCCTCCAGAACTGACAGAAAATACATTTCTGTTGTTTTAGGCCACCCAGTTTGTAGTACTCTGTTACAGCAGCTCTAGAAAATGAATACAGCTGCTAATAACATAAACTCCATCCCCCTCCAAAAAGTAGACAAATCAAGAGGTTACTTTTTTTTTTCACAACTGAAAGAAGCCCATAGGTAGACAGTCTAAACAGGGACAGTGGCTCCATGGCGTGCTCTAGGTGCCTCCTTAAACTGTGATCCCTGTCACAGCTTTTGTCTTCACCACCACTCCTTCTCAACTTACCCCTGCAAGCACCACCACTTCCACTCTTGAACAGATGGATTTGTGAGAGGCTCACAGCAAAACAGGGCATGACTAGGACTTCCTGGTTCACAGGTTTTTCGGGCAATGTGGCCAAAATGATTTGGGAAGATCTTGTATAGACACTGTATTGGGATGATAAGTCTATGTCCCTAAACTCACGTGTGCCGAAATTGTGCTCTAAAACTTCATCTCCACCAATGATAATCAAAGGGCTTGAACTTGCCAGTTAAAGGCAATTCAGTCTCTTATAGACTAACCATTTTTTTCTGAGCAAATGCCCACACTTAGTTTCTCTACTCTGTCTCTTCTCCCTGCCAAGATGATGCCAGGGTTCTGGGATGGGCTCACATCTCTCTTTGGTGTTTGAGGAAGAGTTTCTGAGTGCCTTCTAGGTCCTTGCCTCTAAAGAGAGCTTTGTGTTCCTGTACATTTCTGGGTTTCATTTTCCACTAGAGCCACTGACTGCCCTGTGTGCCCATAGACTGTGACCTAAAGGCCGTTGGTCCTTGTTCCTCCTGGCCATGGGCCCCGCCATTACCTTGGGGGCAGAAGCCAGGCAATGTGGCCACATCTTTTCGTTTTAGGATGTGTTCCACAGCAGACTATCAAAGAGGCAAGCAGGAGACAAAGGTCTAGTTAGGAGAGCAAAAGAGCTTACATCGGTTTCTGCAGATTCCCCCTTTGTGCTGGCCTCTGCCCTATGGATATGACCTCCAGGGGGACTTTCTTTAGTTCCTTGAACCCAAAAAGCCCCCTGTTCTTCCTCCAAATGTCCTGATGCTCCTGACTCCACTTGCTGAGCTTCCTTTGGGGGCCTGGGAGCAGTTCCCTTGCTGCCCCCACCTACCCAGTGGGAGCTGGGAAACCTGAGCCCACCTCTCAGCTCAGCAGAGGCAAAATCCATTTCCCTGTCCAAGCATCCGGTGCTGTGTGCCATGCTGCCTCTCACAGCTCAACCTGAAAAGCCATAGCAGTCTTGTAAACAAGGTCATCTTTCTCAATCCTCTAAAACAGGGGTTCCCACTCCTGGGTCATGCACCAGTACTGGCCCGTGGCCTGTTAGGAACCGGGCTGCACAGCAGGAGGTGAGGGGCACGTGAGCCAGCGTTACCACCTGAGCTCCACCTCCTGTCAGATCAGAGGCAGCATTGGATTCTGGTAGGATCGCAAACCCTATTGTGAACTGTGCATGCGAGGGATCAAGGTTGTGCGCTCCTTGTGTGAGACTCCAGTGCCTGATAATCTGAGGTAGAACAGTTTCATCGCGAAACCATTTCCCCCACCGTTTGTGGAAAAATTGTCTTCCATGAAACCAGTCTCTGGTACCAAAAAGGTTGGGGACTGCTGCTCTAAAAGACCTACAGAACTGGTTCTTGTGAATTTTCTGCAGTTGCTTACTGTTAATGTCTTGTTGAATGAATTCTATTTTGTTTTTTGTTTTTTTTATTGAGAGAGAAGAAATTGTTACAGGCTTTTAAGGAAACGAAAAACATTTGCTCTCTAATTATATCTGTCATTCCATTCCCATTCAACTTGCTTTCTTGTTTTGGAGCAGGCCATTCTAATAGCCAAAACTACAGTCAAGTTTTCTCAATAAATAAACGCTGTTGCTTTTCTGCTACAGTATGTAAGAAGACTTATCACCCTGGTTTATGAATTTATTCTTATTGAAGATTCTAATAAATTGTCAGGCTGGAAACATGTTGATGGTATCAGTCATTGCCCTGCCCCTTACTGGAAATACTTTTTGGAAATATTTAGAATAGTAGTGTTTTGATATGCAAGCTCCAAGTGTGTTTTTTCATGTTCATTTATTAATTCATTCCATCAGTCAGTAAATACTTATTGTGTACCTGTAATGCACCAGGCATTATTCTGAGGGCTAGAAATAAAGCTCTGAGCAAGAACACCTTGGAGTTTATATCCTGTTAGGGGGAGATTGACAGTGAATAAACCAGCAAATACATGCATCAAACAATGATAAGTGCTTATAAATACAGTGAAATGATGGTATGGTAGAGACTGGAGAGTCATTTGGGGGCTTCTTTAGTCTGGGTGGGCAGGAAGGCTGCTCTGAGGAAACAACACTGGAGCAGAAAGTTGAACAATAAAGAGAAGCCTGTGCATAGATTTGGAGCAAGAGCCTCCAGGCCAAGGGCACAGCGCACTGGTTCTGCCTCTGCCGATGCGGGGCATTGAGCAAGTGAGGAGTGGTATATTAGCCCTAGTAGCTGTACGGGGCCAAGCATGGAATCTAGGAGTCCCGTAGCAACTGGAACAGTCTTAAGTGAGTGACTAAGAATGTAGCATGGAAGACATTGTAAGTGGGCATTTTTTTACGCCACCAAGAATAAGAAAGCAGATGTTAATGGAGGGTGAACATACTCACTGTAGTGATTCTCAAATCGGTGTATCTATCAGCATGTTTTTTAAAATGTGTTTTAATTGTGCCCTCCTCCCTTCCTCCACCAGCACATCCTCTTGTACTTCCCCGGGAGACTAGGCTTTCCTCCCAACCCCGGCCCCTTGCGAGAATCCTGCCTCAGAACGCCACAGTTCCTGATAGAGCTGTGTGCATCCTGCAGGCACATGAAAGCAGGGAAAGCTAAGGACCACTGAGTGTTTAACATACCAACAGGCAAGCAACTTAGTGTGATGCTGCGCCTGATGGTCAGAAGCTGGCTTGGTGGGTCCCTCAGATCAGGCCTGGAGGAAAGACTTCTCATGTGGCGGCTAAGTCTCCTAGAGGAGACTCCATAGACATTGTCATCTAATGACAATCTGTAGTGCCATGAGTTTGGACTCTCATTTTTACTATTATGTTGAAATGGCAACATGTTTTACTGTTATGAATCCTTAAAGACAGTTTCTTTATTAATTTCAGTCACCTGGAAGGAATCGGTCTTTAGAGAGAGGTAAGGTAACATCATTGACCCATGAGGCTATACAGGAAGCCCAGGCTGAAAAGCTTCCTCCTAGAGATTAGATGAATGGCCCAGGCTGTCAGCCACATCATGTCAGCAAGAGGTACCCAGATCTCTTGTTGGAAGTGAAGACACATCTGTCATGATGAGAGTACATTCATGGAATGTTGGAGGGGAGGCTGTGTGTACCAGGCCCAGTGCTGCCCTCTCCACTCAACCCTGCAGCTTCCCCATCCGCAGTTTGCAGAGCATCTTTTGTGGGAGTAGTTGCTGTGAGATTTGGCAGAAAACTTCCCAAGCCCGTCTGAAGTTATGATGTGGCAGCAGGTAGGTTATGCTCAGAGCATTGGTTATAAAATGTCATTCTTCTATTTTCAGTAAATATTCAAGATGTGATATTACAAGAAAATTTGGAAAAAGAAGATCAAATTCTGGTTTCCCTGGCAGGATTAAAACAGGTATGTGCATTGCTCTGACACTATTTCTTTGTGTCCCGCCTGCCGCGGGGAGGGCCCCCCAGGGCATGGAGCACCATGATGTTAGAGCCAGCATCCCCCTAACCCTCATTTCCTCCCAGACAGAGCCCCTTCTGCATCACCACCTCTTTGTGCCCCCGCTGCTTCTAACAATTATATCTGACTAGCTTGCGACCCACGCTGGTTTTCCATTTCCCACACCACTCCTTCCTCTTACCAAACCCATTCTGTTTGTTCCTTACCCAAAGCTAGTGTGGGTAGACCAGCATCATGTTCAGTCATTCATCCATGAATTCATGAATATTTTTGGGGCACAAGTCATAATTAGTACCTACAGCAGGCCTCAGACCCTCAAGGACCACATTGACCCAAGCCTTGAAGATCTAAATGAGACATAAATGTCAGTGAAAAAGAGTATGCTGTTTCCAAATGCCTACCTATGCTGTGAACAGTCCAGCTCAGGTGGAGCCACTTTAGTGACCAAGGTGTGCAGTGGGGGTGGGTGTACAGGCAAATTGTGCTTCCTGTTTTAAGATAGTGTTAAGTATGTGACTCCCATATGTGACCCTGTGAGAACCTGGCTATTAAATGTCCTGACGTTTTTCTTGCTCACTGCTAAGCCAGCAGCTGTGATAAAATTAGATTTTTTTCTCATTATTTGTTTCTTATAGTAAAATATTAATATTCATACTATAAAAAATGATTGATGACAAGGCTAGTTCAAATGTCTGAGAGATTTAGCTAGCATCTGAAAACAAACTCATCCATTTTTTTCATTTATTTTCTTCTTCTTTGAAAATAGATCAAAGACATTCTAAAAGGTTCCCTGCGTTTTAACCAGAGCCAGCTAGAGGCCGAAGAGAACGAACAGATCACCATTGCGGACAACCACTACTGCTCCAGCGGCCAGGGCCAGGGCCGAGGCCAAGGCCAGAGCGTTCAAATGTCAGGGGCCATTAAACAGGTACAGAAACTCTGAGGAACATGTTACATTAACTCAAAGGGAGCACATTCACATAAGTTCCTCAAAGTTAAGAATACACCCTACCAAAGTTACTTCAAATTACCATGTATGAAGTTCAACTGCGGAGGTGCTGTGTACAGCTGTGCAGGCTGTGCACTCTGTGCTGCAGGGGGTGCCATTCACAATGATACTGGTAAGACAAGTGTCTCCTAGAGCCGTGCGGTGCGTGCCCTACAAACCCGTGTGCAGCAGTGCTGCCTGAGCCTCCTGCCATGCCCATTCTGTGCGATGGGAAAGCTGGATCTCTGTCTTAGTTATCAGTCAGTTGCCTCCAGCTGATGCCTCTTTTCCCCTTTAGGAAGTACTGTCTAGGCTTTCCTAATGCTGTCTCGAGTGGATTTCACTTCGCTAGAACCTTTTTTGCCAAAATTACTTTCTTGCCTTCATGGGGAGGGACTTCTCATTAATGTCTGCCATCTGTGGCAGGGGTCCATAGAGGGCTACAGCGTAAGTATTTCAGGATTTGCAGGCAACATATGGTCATCTGTGTCACATACTGCTTTTTTTTTTCTTTGTATCTTCTTTTTGTTTTTATCACAACCCTTTAAAAATATATAAACCATTCTCAGCTTGGGGGCCATGCAAAAACAGGCCACAGGCTGGATTTGGCCATAGTTTGCTGACCCCTACTCTCAGATGTCAACATTGTATATAATTTATTTTAACACAAAACCACAGAATTTCCTAGCTAGAAAGGATCTTCCTACAGCTTCCTTATGTGCCTAGTCCTGTCTGCTCATTTGACCAGTGAGAAAATGAAGGCCAGAGGACACATACAGGCTCCGAAGCCAGAGGCACTTAGCCTGCCAGGCATTATGTTTTCAGAAGCCCTGCCCCAACCCAGTAAGCTTCAGTCCCACCATGTTGCCCTGCTGTCCATTATCCGATAAGACGAAAAGATTGTTCATTTCCCACCTGTATTTTAAATTATTAATAATATTTTTAAAATCAGCTTACAAAGTTTCATCTTGGAAAATGAACATTAGCAAAATATTATCTAAGTCACTTTCTCAAAAACCAGCATTCAGACACTTGTAAATTATTTTTTGTGTGATTTTAAAACAGCAAAATGACATTTGAGTGGGAATGTTTTTCAGTTTTAAGGGTGCTCTTCCAGAAGAGAGACTCCATGGTTAACTTCCTCTTGAAGCCATATGAAATGTTCATGGAGTGCTTTGACTCTGCATTTGTAGCCACATGAATGCAACAGTGATACTGCCAGTTTAATTTCATTCGTTTCTTCACAAATTCTCCTTCCTTGCACAGATGTTTTATTTTTCAATCATTTATTTATTCAAATATTACTGAGCGTAGGCCCAACCACAATGCATTTCTAATTGACAATTTTATTTAAAACTTTAGCATAATTTTTTAGTTGAGTGTGTCAGTTTACTACAGAAAAAAAGATATTTTAAAATCACTAATGAATTTGTTAAATTTAGAACTTAATGATTATACTTTGCAGTTGTCATCCCTGGTTTCTGTATTTATAAGAACCTACCAATGACCACTGCTGCCCCGGTGGACCCCACTGTGCATACCCAAGATAAGCTAGCCATGAGATGTGTCTGCAGTGAATGAAACTGCACCCTTGTTCTGGCACGGCCTCATCACGTGCAGTATCCAAGAGATACTGCACCTCTGCGTGTGCTTCTGAGACACAGTCAGCCCTTCCTGGGGCTGAAGACCCCACAAGTGAAAATAAAATGGCTTCTCTTCTCTACCTCTTCTCTGCCATGGCCCTTCCCCATAGCTGTTAGCAGTTTATACAAAGCTAGTACTCCTGAAAAGAGTTTTACTGAAGAAGAGAGAAACAGAGAAGCAGTGCTTTCCTCTCTCCTTCAGGGAAATCTTGAGATTTCTTGAGAGAATTCCTGAATTCAAGCAAGCAAGTCAGAAAGAAGCCAAGTGCATGGGGCCTTCCACTGCAAAGCCCAAGGATCTGGGCTAGGCTGATAAGGGCCCAGGGGGTCTACCAGGCATGAGATAGCTGCCAGGTACCCACCTTCTTCCTGCAGGAGCTAACTCATCAGTGCTTGGAGCTGGCTAAGTTTTCCTCCTCACTCCTTGTGGGAGGAGGTACAGAGGGCCGTGGACAGGCTACCCCCAGGAACATGCGCCAAGAGAGCCAAGTGGAAGTTCCGAAGGCTTCCACAGCCTGCTGTGCCAGGAACTGGGTGTCCAAGGCTATGGGATATATCCCCTGCTCTCATGAGCTCCCAGTTATGGAGGGCCAGGGCCTAGGGGAGCAGTGTTAGGCAGGTTCTTGACACATTGGAGATGTAAGCACCACATGTTGGGTTTGTGATGGGTTGTGCCATGGCACATTCCTAACTTAGGGATGGGTTTTCGGTGCTTTCTTGGTTAATCAGTAAATAATGTCTAAAAGATAGTGCAGAAGGGCCAGGCTCCCCTGCCTAGTGACACATGGCTCATGGTCCTCCTGCCGATGCCCTTCCTCAAAAGCAACTGTGAAAGTGTTCTTCCTTTGTGGGAATTCACATGCCCTGCTCCTCACTGTGAGGTTGATGTGACATGGCTCATAGTGTTCTTTCTGTTTGGTTTACAAATCTTACCTCCAGCTCTGAAAACAGCAGTCTTGTGAAATTGTATTCTATAGAGTGAGAAGAGCCACACGCTGTCCCTCCCTTCTCAGCATCTATCCTCACACATTCCTTTGGGAAGTATTTGATGAACTAACTCAAATCAGCTGCAGTAGAAGGCAGGACTTTGTGGGACCCTGGATCCATTATTAGTCAGCCAACGCATCACTTGCCCTTTTGGTACTTGGGTCCCCTGTTTTAATCCGCATATTGTCTACTATTACAGCCACTAGCCACGTATCTATCTATTTAAAATTAAATGCACTAAAATTCAATAGAATTAAAAATTCAGTTCCTCAGTCACACTAGCCACTTTTCAAGTGTTTGGTATCCACCTGTGGCTAGGGGCTGCTGTATTGAGTAGCACAGACAGAGAACGTTTCCATCATCATGGAAAATGTCTGTTGAACACTGCTGGTCTATAGTTGGGCTCACCTGCTTCTACAACCATCCTAAACTCAAGCTATGAAATGAGGTAGGTCTGGGAAGGTGGCAGGAAGCGGGTAAGAGGGATATGTGTTGTGATGATCATGGCTAGTTTTAGGCAGGACTGACAGGTTGAAAACTTTTCTAATTGTGTAAGACTTACCTGTATTGGGTAAAAAGAGAGGATTGACCTAGGGATTTACAAAACTTCTGTAAATGTTATAAATGGCACCAGATAGCAGTTAAGGCTGCTAGGGAAATCCATAAAGAAGTCAACTCTGCCTCTTGAAAAAAATTCTAGGTGGGAGTCCAGAAGAGTGGGGTCTTTTGTTGTGCCTTGTGACATTGGCCAAGCTACCAGGTCTCCTATTTGGGCTCGTTTTCTTGATCTGTAATGCAAAGGGGCAAGGAAGGGGGGGGGGTCAATAAAAGAAAATGGCTGCTAAGGCCCTGTCAGCTCTAACTTGCTTTGTCTACGGCAGTCTGTGACCTTCATCTGGGAATTGGGGGAAGCATGCCAGATAACTACAGTAATGGTAGAAACTACTTTTATTTAGTCAGGGGTTTGAAAAGTATTTCTCCACTTCAGAATCTCACTGACGTCTTCACTGTAAGCTAAAGGAGAATAAGTGATCTCAGTATCTCTGAAGTAGAGGCACCACTCTAAAAACTAGGCCCTGCTAAACATGCTCTTTTATTTTCAACCTAGGATAAGCTCCACCAAGTAGCATTCCAGCCCTGTGTTGTGGTGAGAGGTCAAGATTTTCACAGTTTACAGTGCAGGACAACTGTCCTATGAACAAAGTGTCTACAATTCTGGAAGAAGTCAAACCTGAGGGCCTCTGTTGATTCCCCAGCAGCTTTCAATGCACTCCCCAAAGGCAGCATGGCTCTGACCAGGTGCACCTTATATAGGGACAGTCATGGGGAAGAGATTTGAGTTCTTTTCCTCCAACTCAGAAAAAAGACAGTCCTTCTCTACCAAACAGCTCTGGTGCCATTTGTGATCACATCCCCTGCTATCAGACTACCGTGTGCTATGTTTTTCTTTGCTTGTGTAGGAGTTAATGTGTTAATAGAATGTTAACAACAGCTTTAGAACCTGAGATGAAGAACCTCAAGGCCTGTTGCAGCTCTGTGATCCTAAAGGCCAATTACGTTTATGTTCTCTGACTGAATATCCTAAAGGTTGGTGAATCATCAGAGATGGAAGGTTCCTGAGCCATTATTTAGCCACTTGCCCCCTACATCACTGAGGAGGACATGAGATTTAGAGAGGGGCCTATCAGACAGGGCTCAAGGCCAGATTTCCCTGAGAGCTGTTACTCATTCCCCTTCTTGGCTCTGCACACAGTGCACAGATGGCCTAGGCCATGCCAGTCTGGAGGCCCAAGGACTCAGGAGACACTTCCAGTCAGCGGTCTCCATATATCTCATTAGACTTGAGACCCCAGCACGAGACTCCACCCATGCTGTGGGGAGGGTAGGCAGACAGGGTGAGGGAGGCAGCTGTGGGCACTACATCACCTTACAGCACCACTGGGTGAGGTGTTCTTTCTGCCAGGCTGGCACTGGATGTCCTTGGTCGAACTTTGGCTTTGCTAACCGAAAACCTTTACCTGTGTTCGTGAATGTTAACTTTATTAAGTAAGTTAAAAAATAAAAAGCCACTCATAATTGCTTAGAAAGAAAATAATTTTTGAGTAAACCAATTCTATCTCTATACTTTTTGCCATTATACTTTGCAATTGCCGTTCTTGGTTTTCACATTTGTAGAACCTACCGGTTACCACCATTGCTCCAGGAGACCCCTGTGTGCATACCCAAGATGAGCTAGCAATGAGATCTACATGAGATGAAATACATTAGGCCTTCTGAAAGCTATCCTTCTAGCCAGTAATAGAATCACTCCAGATCTGGCAGCTCACATTAGGGAGCCAGCAGCTGCACATATCATCTCACTATATCATGACAACACATTAGGAGGAAGACACTGTCTTTATCCCTGTTTCACAGATGAAAGTTAAAGTTCAAGGAGGATGGGTGATTTGCATGGCAGGGTCCCACATGACGCTGGTAGGGATTCTGCCTGCAACCTATTGGCCATCTCCTGAGCCTGGGCTCTCCCTGGCAGCACAGACACTGCCTCTGTCTGAAGCTTGTCAAACAGGAGCTTTACTTTGTTCCCCCAGGGAAGCCAGCATTTGGCTTCAGAGGGGCTCACAAGATGCTGCTGGCACTGCACCACTGGTAAACGTGTGGGCTTCAGGGCAGCAGGCCAAACACTGCGTCTTTCAAGGTCGAATGTAGGGTGAGGTGGCCTAGCTTTCCACCACGAGTCCCCCAGTTCACAGGGCCTTCCACTCAGTTCTTTGCCAGTTTCTTCTTTCATCCACCTGTACTTCTGACTGTACTTCACAGGCCTCTTCAGAAACGCCAGGGTGCACTGATAGAGGGAATTCCGATGACTTCATCCTGATTTCCAAAGATGATGATGGGAGCAGTGCCAGGGGCTCCTTCTCCGGCCAGGCCCAGCCTCTTCGCACCCTCAGAAGCACCTCTGGGAAAAGCCAGGCCCCAGTCTGCTCCCCACTGGTGTTCTCAGATCCACTGATGGGCCCAGCCTCAGCTTCCTCCAGCAACCCCAGCTCCAGTCCTGATGACGACAGCAGCAAGGACTCTGGCTTCACCATTGTGAGTCCCCTGGACATCTGACCACAGTGCCCAGTCCTGCCCCACAGGGATCTAGCCACCCTTCAGTGGCCCCAAGGCCAGACTGAGGCTCATCCAGTGGAGAACCTTCTTAAACCACTGCTTCCTTCCCGGCATGCATTTTGCATTGGTCCAGCCCTTTGAAACCCCTTAGAGAGAAGCATATATGGCCACAAAGCACAGAGGCTTAGGTTTGCCACATGCAGACAGGGCTTTCTGGGCCCTTACCTAATCCCCACCCGACTCTTGCTCTGAGTTAGAGCTGAGTTACGTACCCAGTATCACACTCACAGTTAGAAAAGACCGAATCACAATTTAGAATCACTTTTCCTCTGTCCCCTTCTCCCCAGCTAAGAATGTGTGGCACCTCCATCAGTTATACTTAGAAGGAGCAGAAATAGTTATTTTCGTATCTTCTATCCCTCAAAGCATCAGACATGGGAAAATTGGTTTATACCAAGAAAGCTTCCTCTGTGGAAATCTGTCTCAGCCTACTTTATTCCTGCATTGGGAAGCCATATCGCAGAGCTAAATGCAATAGAATGAACCAGAACTAGTGGATTCCAGGGCTGGGGGAAAAAAAAAAAGAAAAAACCTCATTACTGACCTCTCAAAGTTATAAGGATCTCTGCAAACAGGATCTAAGCTTAGGAATAATATTTAGGTGTGATATAGTGTTAGATTTTTTTGATGTATTAAAGAATGCATCTCCAATCCTTAGGCCATATCAACTTTGGCCATCAATATCTCTCCTTAAACAATT
This sequence comes from Homo sapiens, assembly GCF_000001405.40. Lineage (NCBI taxonomy): Eukaryota > Metazoa > Chordata > Mammalia > Primates > Hominidae > Homo > Homo sapiens. The sequence continues at coordinate 17,160,202 of NC_000003.12, read as the reverse complement.
ATATTTCACCTTTTAGAATCTTTCATAGCCAGAAAACAAGATTACTGTAAGCCAGTTTTAGCTGCACTGATTTCAAAAGATATAAGAATATTACTATCCTTCAAATGGAAAATGCGACCTTGACTTTATGGGATAAACATCTTTCAGACAGTCAGTTTTCTAGTCAGGTTTCTCTGGTTTCAGAGCTGTATATACCTGTCAACTGAGGAATAAAGGGAAAAACCCAAGTTCATTCCCACCCAAAGTCAGAATCCCTCATTGGCCTTAAGGTAGCAGTCATAAGACAGAGAATTGGACCTAGAGTCCCTTCTGTGGGGAATAAGGATACCTAGAGAACATTCCACATGCCAAGAGGATGCAGGATTTCTACACAACCCCTTCCCTTCTTGGAAGTCAAGTGTAGGTACTGCAGGGCCTGTGCTCAGCTGTGAACCCCGTATCCTGGGCCCCACTGCCGGGACCGGGTCTGACATGCCAGTGCCTTCCTGGGCTGAGCACAGATTAGAGACTCTCCCCCTTGTCAGTCAGCACCTTAGGAAACCATGATGGGCACAGAGCATCACATGAGCTGTTTCTCTCCTTAAAGAAGATCCCTGGAAAGGATGCTTTTCCTCTCCTTTGCCTGCGCAGGAATTCTAACAGGAGTGGGTGAGGATGGCAGAGGGACACAGTGCCTGTCTCGCCTCCATCAGGGAGAGCAGCCATGCCAGGGATGACTAGCTCTTTGAGCCTGTCCTCAGAGGATGGCGAGGCAGCCGGGCAGTGGAGGCCTTCATGGTAACAAATGAAAGCTCAGTATAGAGGAACAGACACTGTTTACGTCCCTCCCACTGCTAACCTTATATATCTCTATAGACAAATGTGATAATGACATGATTTCCCACCTGCCCTCCAAGAAAATGGTGACTCACTCTCAAGTCAGCTACTGTAGAGAGGGTTCTAATTGGTTCTGCAATTTGCTCTTAAACTCTAGCAGGGAACTCTCCTCTTACCACATCAGCATGTAAGGTGAATAATAACTGGTTTTGCCAGACAGCAGGTTGTCTGACCTTCAACCACTGGGCAATTGCCTGGCAGATGCACACAGTAGCTCCCTGGCTTCTGGCTCTGAGTGTTCCTCTCAGCACCTCTGAGTAAGCTGCTGCCAAGCACATATCCCTATGACAACACTTTGTAAAAGCCGCGGGGCCCCCATACAGCGAGTGACCTTGCAACTGTGCAGGGTTGCCATTGGTCACTTTCTCACCTTGGGAAGGTGTCAGTGTTTTCAGTTCTAAGGTAAGAGGTGTAGAGCTGTTCCCACCAGGGCTCTGGGACAGACTGGAAAGGACCACAGACCTGGCCATCCCTGGGCAGCAGGGCCAGTGTCACCTGCTGACCTCTAGTATTTCCTTTGCCCTAGAGCTAGAGTCATGATAGCTGAGGGTCACTCGCCCTGCAAGAGTCACTAGGCACCCACCATGCCAATAAGGCTCTCCGCTGGCTCCCTGCAGTTGGCTGGGTGTTTAATAGTCACTGAAAACTCCCAGCCCTGCTGCACACTAGAGGCAGGTCCTCTCGGTCCTCTCCATCCTGTGCTTCTGTGGCCCCCAGCAAGCTCACCACCTCCTTGGAGGAGAGAGACATACAAGGACAGTGGGTCATGGGTAGTACCAGCCTCAAATTCCCACAGGCTCATACTCAGACAATTGTATTACTGCCTTATGTTTTTTAAGTGTTTTTTTAAATTCTTCATAGTTGAGTATTATTTGCAATTTTATTAGTTACAGTGCTATTAAAGAATATGTGCTCCTTTTTATTATATTATCAGATACTTATGTTTAATTGTACATTTTTTAAATCCTGAATATATTGTGTTTTGTTAACAAATGTAATCAGTGGAACCCTTCTTACGTTTTGATTATTAGCAGTTAAATACATTTTGTATACATGAAGCTTAGATTAATTCCCATCATCATCATCTCCTGTTTTTATATGTGTCCCTATGTGTTTCATGCATTCCTCTTTGATCAGATTGGAATTTGAGTTAAAATTTAGCTTTGTACATTACGTGTGAGAGTTACAGACTAGCAAGTCTAATTACTTTGCCTTACCTTGAGTGTATGCCACAGGGTCAGATAACACATTAAACATTTAGTTACACTGGATTACTCTTCCAAAGCTGACCTCCTGCTAATGTTCAGAGGTAACTGCAATCCGGAAAGAAATAATATCACTGCAGAAAGAATGTGACTCTAAAAATAAACCAGGACCTCCCTGTGATTTGCCTTGCCTGCAGATGACCAGTTGACTCTTGTGCTGTCAGCCCTGGGGTTGCTAAGGAAGCTGCTTCAGGGAGTTGGGGGTTAGTTGCCCGCTCTCAACAGGAATGCCTCCTCTACTTTGTCAGAGATGCTGAACAAATATCAAACTCTGTGGCAGTCATGCTGGCCTCCTAAGAATAACCTGTGAGTCAGAGTTGATGCACATTATTTTTGTTTTTATTTTATTTTTTTAAGGAACTGCTCCAAGGGTTCATTATAGAACAGGAGTGTGTACGGAGGACTTAGGTCCCCACATAGAGTGGCCGTTCTGTGGCGGCTCCAACCAATTCCATCCCTCCTTTCCTGCGGACACACACCTGGCCCCTGGCCCCTGCCCTGTGTGTCTGGAGGAGGGGCACTGGGGAGGCTGTGGAGCAGAGAGAAGAGGCCGGATACATTGAGGATGGCACCTGGCAAGCCAGGCTTCCTTCTCAAAGGCCAGACTGCTTTCTCAGTGTTACTTACTAAAGCTCTCTTTTTATACTGTTAAAAAGATATATAAAGTTCGTATAAACAGGCTTGAGACCACTTTGATGTAAAAGCTGTCATAGTAGTTTTTCTCACAGTGGCACAATTCATTTGATTGATGGAATATTCAGTGACGCCATGTATGCCCTATCGCTTTTTTCTCATCCATCTTTATGCTATAACTCATACTGATTTAAGAAATGATTTCTCCTTTTGGCAAAGCGACCCCATTCAATATGGTTATAATAAAAGACTAATGTCAAACTGAGACTATAGCTTGACTTATTCCAGGCCACGCGTTGGGGCACAAGGTGCTGACCAGGCCCGGCCCAGAGGAGTCCCTCGGAGTGCATAGCCAGGTGGGGCGTGGACGATGGAACCATGTCCCAGCCCGGACGCAGAGGTTGGTCCAGCCCCAGCACTGTGGTCCAGCCTCACATCACCACTGGGCAGGTCCTAGGCCTCGCCCAGGGCTCACACCCAACTCTGACATTCCCTTCCTCTCTAACTTGGGCTAGTTTCTTAACTTCTGGGGCCTCAGTTTCCTTATCTGCAAACTGAAGAGAGTAGTCACCTAGTTCATAGGGTGTGGTGGGGATTGAAGAGGATAACAATTGAAAGGACTTAGCACAGAGCCTGACATACCATGAAATGCCCGACAGTTTCAAAGACGATGCTTAATTCTGGAAGAGCCCCTGGAGGTCATGTAGTCCTACCCCGACCATTGACAGCCAGGACCTCAGAGGCTGCTGGGAGGCCCGGGTCGCACCCTGAGGCAGCCCTGCTCAGCCCACTGGTCCAAGAGACCATTTTGGGGGCAGCCCCAGTGGCTTGCTATCCATCAGCGCCAGGTTTGCCCTGGTAGCTGCACTTCCACCAATCCAATGTGGGATTGGTGAAAAGGCCACAGGTGAGGTTGGGGGAAAGGTGAGTATAGTCTTAAGTGACAAACTAGGAGGGATGGGGAGGGGGATCTCTATAGCTTAGGCAGAGCCATCATGCCAATGGCAGCTTAGAATTTGCACCTGGGCCCATCTCTAGCCTGGGCCTCTGTCCCCAACCCAGCTAGCAAGTAGCTTTTCCTCTTGTGGGGCACAGCCCCTCCCCACAGGTTCTACCATCAAAAGGTTGGAGGGCCTGGTACACTCCTCAAATGGATCTTGCTAGTGAGGGTGACCCCAGCTTCCTCAGACCAGTGACAGCCACACATGCACTGGCATCCCCCTCTGGCCTCCAGGAGTCTCACCCATGTCCCTTGGGCGTGACTGCTTCAGTGCTTCTGAAACCTCCTCCTGCCCTCCCTGCACCTCTCCACCTGAGGCTGAGCTCCTGGCCCTAGAAAGTTGCTAGCAAGTGTGAGGGAATGACATCTCCTGGGAGCAGCTCTCAGTCAAAGGCTGAGGAGTCAGTGCATAACAACCCAGGCCCCTAGCTCCTGGGTGGAGGCACCCTGATGTGAGTGCTGGTGGCTTCCCTGCAGGGTTAAGCTCCAGTTGCTCTTGAATCTTTTCTCAGGGTCAGCTTCTTGGGGGAATTCAAGCTAAGACACCCTAGACACCCTTCTTCCTGAGCCCCTTCTCCAGGCAGAAGGGTTGTCCCTGGCTCACCCCCTACCAAGGCCAGGGGTGAGTGGGAAGAGAGTGCAGGTTGTTAGGTGGGCCCAGAGTCCTCACAGATGAGGGTGGTGCTGAGAGGCTGCTGCCCCGGCGTCTATGGTTCTTCGAGGGCCAGGGCAGGCCCTCTGTGTGAGTTCTTGCTCCCAGGCCTGCCGAGTTGCCCCCTCTCACAAGTGAACATTACCCACGGCTAATCAGGCCCTGCTGGAGGAGCTACTGACGCGCCATTTCATTTAGTAGTTTGCCTCTGCCACAGCCAGCATTCTTAGCCTTTTAAGGACATGTGTATGTCACCAGTAACTTCTGTGCTCTGAGCAGCGTACCTGTTGGTGAGAGGGGACAGATGACACCGACCCAGAGAGATGACACCGACCCAGAGGATCCATGCAACATTGGGCCACTTGTTCCTCCAGCAGATGTGATTGGACACCTTCAAAGTGTGAGGCTGTACAGGTGCTGGGGACACACAAAATGCCCCTCAGATTGCCGGGAGTGGCTGGAAGAGACATGTTTCTATATTAGGAACAAACAACAACAACAACGACAAAATTAAATACTAAGGTAGCCCAGAAGAAATCCTCTATGCAGCCTGGGAGGGGTGCCAGGAGACCACAGAGGTGAGTGGGGTGAGCGGGGCCCAGCGTGAGCCTGCCGTCCAGCCCTCTGCGGTGAGCGGTGGAGCACTCCCACTTCCTGCTCAGCAAATGGTAGAAACCGAGCTGAGGGGTGGACTTACAGCAGCCAGGCAGTTGCATTTTCCCACGGGCACTTGCAGTAATGGGGATGGCCCCTCAGGAAGGACTTGATGCTGCCCAGCCATTCAGTGATAGCTAACAGAGACTGCATAGGCTGTGCCAGCTGGGGAGCCCCGGAAGGGTCCCGAGGGCATGCCACCGACCCATCATCTGGGATGTAGCTCCAGCAGCTGCCTGGCAGCAGGAGCCCCTCCCATGTGTCAGACCCAGAAAAGTTAAGGGATATTTAACAAGGTGTAAGTATAACTGAAAGGGTCATGGGGCTGCAGCAGATGTCACCCCCAGTCCCCCACAGTGTGCTGTGAAGGGCAGGACAACCAACAAAGGCCATGTTGTAAAGAGATCGTCATTCACTGCCTTTCTGACAACATGCTTGGCCCTCAACATCCCTACCTCCTGCCCTCAGCTCTGCCCCTGGTCCTGAGCTACCCAGCTGTCAATGCCAGGGCCCAGTGGTCCATGCACAGCTTCCTGGCCCTTGGACCATCCCACAGCTTGGTCAGACCCTGCCTTATCCCACCACAGAGAAGGCCTCATTCCCACTTTCAGGTCTGGCCAGTGGCCTTGTTCCTTCGACTCCAGCTCACCTCGTCACCCCCTCACCTGGAAGCAGATACCACCAAGAGTCCCTCCGAGCCCTCAGGATGACAGGTGGTTCCTTGACCACCGCAGCCCCACTGGCGTCCCTCCTGCCCAAGGCTGCACACCTGCCCTTTCCTCTGCCCACAACACCTCTCCCTGCCCTCCAGGTTACAGGGGTGAATGCCAGCTTCAGTGGCCAACCTGCTCTTTGGTGAGGCTCCACCAGAATCCTGCACATTGAACTGCTCCTGAAGTCCCGTTGTTATATTCCGCTTTGTGTCACACAGCAACAATTTATTATGTTTGTGGGTTGTGTGGGGCAGGGATTCAGGTAGGGCACAGTGGGGATGATTTGTCACTGGTACCCCTGTCACATCTGGGTCTTTGGAAGACTCGAAGGCTGGTCTTTGTGATGTCCAGTGGTTGATGCTGGGACCTTAGCTTGGGCTGTCAGCCAGAGCACCTACATGCAGCCTGTGCTTTTTTGCAGCATGGTGGCTGGGATCCAAGAACGAGTGTCTGAGGGGAAGGCAGGTAGGTGGAAGCCATTTCACCTTTTATGACTGGCCTCAGAAGGCACACAGCATCAATTCTGCCACATTCTATTCATCAAGGTAGTCACAAGCCCACGCAGATTCAAGGGGAGTGAAAATCGATAGCACTTATTGATGGGGAGGGTAATGTTCCAGAAGCACATGTGGGACTGGAAGTGCTGCGGCCACTTTTGGAGACTATAATCTGCCATGCTCATTGCAGGCTTCTGCAGGGTAGCAGGAGTGAGACCTCAGTCATCCGGTGGTAGACTAAGGCACTCCAGCCATTCTGGGGAGCTTACAGGCCCCATCCAAACCCTGCAGTATGTGTAGCTGCTCACTCCTCTCCCCCAGGAAACCTTAGATATGTTTTTTAAGCACACCCCAAAACTCTTTGACACCGGTCCCATGAAGAGGCCCTTGAATCTTGGCTCTGTGACTTCTCAACCAGTAGACTATGGAGGACATGATGCGGCATCAGATGGGACTACTTCTTGTCTCTTGGTACATTCACACTTGGAACCTGGCCACCATGCTGCAAGGAAGCCCAAGCAGCAATGTGGAGAGCAGCCAACAGTCAATAACAGCTTACAATACCATCTCGGAAGTGGATCCTTTGGCCTCAATGACACTGTGCAGAGCAGAGACAAGGTATACCCACCAAACCCTTCCCAAAGTACAAAATTGTGAGCAAACTAAATGATTGTTTTAAGCTACTGAGTTTTGGGGAAGGTCGTTATGCAGCAGTGGCTATTTCCTGATAACTCTGACTAGCAGGATCCATCTCTTGTAAACTCTCCCATCTTAGGACTGTACACGTTCTCCAGGCCTTTGTCCTACACCTCCCTGCATTCTGCTGAATATATTCATGTCCAAGTCCAGATTCTGCATTTCTTATCTTGAAAAGAGGGACTCTGAGCCTTAGCTATTTATTTACCCATATTTATGAGCCTACCATGTGCCAAACACTGTGCTGGGGGCTGGAGACATGCAGTGAACAAGATGGATAAGATGCCTGTCCTCAGGGAGCTTGCAGTCCAGTGGGAGAGAAAGGCAATGCCCAGTGAATGAATGAGATAATTTCAGATGGGAAGGATGTGGCAGAGACCCTTCAGGAAGCCCCAGTTCCCTTTCCCCCTGGGGAGGGACACAACTAGACCAGCCTCCCTTGAAGGGACTGAGCTTGGGCCACTGGAGTGTGAGGGGTGAATATGAATATGTAGAGGAGGAGGAGATGAGTAGATGACTCTGGGAGCCCAGAACGGTGGGGTGGGGGAGAGCGCAGAAACCACCTCCTCCCCAGATCTTGAGGACCAGCCAGTCCCAGGTTTTTCCTAAACCTCTTTGTCATTCTTTGCTTTCATTCCCATAAACGTTGCCCCTCCCACAAACATCACCCCTGGGGAAAGAGTCATAATCAACTCTGATCAAATCCCAGGCTGCTTACAGGTTGGGGAAAGATAGAAGCCAGTGTCAACCAACCCCAGTTCATTCAGAGATGTTAGTGTCCATCAGACACCAGTGCCGTGAGCCCTGCCTGCCTGACTCCTCCCTCAAGGTGCCAGGGGTCCATCTATCCCGCTGTCAGCCAATCAAGAGGGGACTATGAGCAAGACAAGCAAGCTCCAGGAGCCTCCATTTCCCCGTCGTTAATATTGGGGGGTGGGGCTGGGGCAAATGCCTAGCTTGGCCACCTCGCAGGGGTGTTGCAAGGGTATTAAGCCTGTCAAACTCCAGGCCCTGGGTCTGGCTGTCACCTGCATTAACTCCTCCCAGTCTCCCCATGGGGGCCGGTGATGGGGAAGGCAAAGCCTTGGGCTGATGTGGCCACATGTGTGCAGACAGCCCAGAAGCTCTGCCCCTCAGGACTTTCCCTCCCCCAGCACCTGAATGGCAGGATTTGGGTGGCTTCTAACTCCTGGAGGTGACAAGCTCTGCATGATCGCAGCAGCCGCTGTGCTTCCATCTACCGTGCAGCACCAGCACCAGGGACCAAACTCACCCTGTCACAAGATATGGAGGCATGTTCCTGGGCATGTGTGTGACTCACCCAGTGTCGCAGCGGTGGTGCGTGGCAAGGCTGCCGCTGGGTTTCTGAGAATCCTGCACCTCAGAGATTCAGAGAAACTCAGACTTTCAGAGAAAGTCTGTCCTGTCCGCTGTCAGCAGAGGCGTTAACCACAGAGCTTGCAGTGGGAGCCCCGAGAACTAGCTCAGCAAGGCCAGGCAGAGTTCATCCTTCCTGTCCCTGAGCTGCTCTGGGGCTGGAGGCCTCATGAAGCAGAGCCAGATGTTAGCTCTGTCCCTGGTGGCAGTGTGGACGTGGCAGACAGGTGAGAGATGGGCCTGCTGGAGTCGAACTGGGGATCCACTTTACCGGATTCCATGGGAACAAAGCAGATACAGGCCTCATGTTATGACCCCTCCTGCGTAGGCTGGGTTTGGTCCCAGCTCGTCCAGGAGACAGTGGGTAGGCCCCACTCTCTCTGACACTCCATCTGAAAAATAAGGAGGCTGGGGTAGAGCTGGCTTTTTTTTTTTTTTTTTTTTTTTTGAGACGATTCTCGCTCTGTTGCCCAGGCTGGAGTGCAGTGGCACGATCTCAACTCACTGCAACCTCCACCTCCTGGGTTTCAAGCAATTCTCCCACCTCAGCTTCCCGAGTAGCTGAGATTACAGGTGCCCACCACCACACCCGGCTAATTTTTCTGTATTTTCAGTAGAGATGGGGTTTCACCATCTTGGCCAGGCTGGTCTTGAACTCCTGACCTCATGATCCACCCACCTTGGCCTCCCAAAGCGCTGGGATTATAGGCATGAGCCACCACGCCCAGCCGAGCAGGCACTTTTTTCAAACTTTTTTGACCAGACCCCACAGTAATAAATACATTTTATGATGAAATTTGACTGGCTTAAAAATATATTCCATGATATATTAAATAGGATTGTGTCTGCTGCTATATAACACACAGGTTCCAAAATGTCAGTTGCTTAAAACAAGAGAAGTCCATTTCTCACAGACATAAGTATCAAAGTGAGGCTTCCTGGTTTGTGTGTGACTCTCCTCCATGCAGTGATTCAGGGACCCAGCCACATTGAGGCTCCATCCTTTAGGACTTTCCCACCAATGTCAGAGACACTTTGACTAAGAAGTAAAGTGTCACTTTTAATCACATTCCACTGGGAAAGCAAGTCACCCAGCGGCCCACCTAGACACAAGGGCAGCCCCTTCCTAGGGACACACTGATACTATGGAGAGGAGTACAGCTTTGCTAGCCAGTCAGCTGCCTCTACCCCCATACCCTAACCCCTGAATACACACACCATACACACCCTGAAACAGAAGGCTCGTGAAACAAACATCCTCATACCGCATGCAATACCTTTCTCATTCTGATACCTCCTCCCCTATTTTATTTGATTCTATTTTACTTTCATAAGTGCTGGATGTGACCCACTAAATTAATCTCATGATCCACTAATGGGTCAATTCCTACAGCTTAAAGATTCAGATGATTCCTTAAAGAAGTGTCCATAATACTAACCAACTCTGAAGAGTGTATGGAGTTCAGTGGCCACATAGTTGATAAGCTTTTTTAGCTAAAAAGAGAACTGCTTGAAGCCATAGCTGTCACTCAGAGGAAGAAGCATGTAAGAAAAGTGGCTTTTAATGCAGAATAAATTGGAATATCCTCCTAATCTATGCAAAGACATAAGAACTGCTCAGGTGTCCAGGGGCAGAAGGCATTTGGGGTTGGGGGGTGGGGGGCAGCAGAAGGACAGTTTCTGAGGGACATGTTGGCTCCAGGCTCTTTTCTGGGAGGATTTGACAAGTGCTTTTCCCAGAATGCAGCCAATTTTGCACAAATTCCAGCCAGGTGGCAATGATCATTCACCAGAATGTAGGAGGAGGACCTAGAGTCTTGGCACCTGCTGTGAAAGATCCTCTATGTCCCCGGGTCTCCCTTCCTCTCCCACCTTGCCTCCCCCGGAAAGGTCCACTCGGCCGCATTCTTGTTGCTGATGTCCTCTGATCCCTGACAGGTCTGCAAAACACTTCTGGGCCTGGTACTCTTCTCTCAGAAACACCTGGGAAATAGCCCCATAACTTGTGACTCCGTTCATGATGTATGGCCCAAAGTGACATTGGGGACACTGACCCCTTTCTTTGAAGAGATGAATCAGACCTCAATAATAACCCAGACACTCCTGCATAAATCTAATTTCAAATATCCAACTAGGCCAGGTGCAGTGGCTCAGGCCTATAATCCCAGCACTTTGGGATAGGAGGATCGCTTGAGCCCAGGAGTTCAAGACCAGCCTGGCAACATAGTGAGATGCCATCTCTATAAAAAATTTAAAAATTAGCTAGGTGTGGTGGCAAGTGCGTGTAGTCCCAGCTACTCAGGAGGCTGAGGTGGAAGGATCACTTGAACTCAGGGAGGTTGAGGCTGCAGTGAGTCATGATTGCACCACTGCACTCCAGCCTGGGTGACAGAGATCCCATCTCAAAAAATAAACTCCAACTAATTTTGGCCCATGCATCACAATTTATACAGCTGTCCCTATTACAAACCCAGAGCAAGGAGTCTGCATGGAAAAGACGTGCAATGGGAGGAATGCAGGCTTGGGCAGCCAGTGGATCTGGGTGCAAGAAGGACCTCTGCCTTACACAAGCTACGTGCCCTTAAGCAACTTGCACAACGTCTCTGAACCTCCGTCCTCTTACCTGCAATTGGGGATGCATTAGGCAATCTCGTGCCTCTCAGGACAATCACTCGTGCCTCTCTGGACACGAGTGAGAAGTGGATGAGTGTACAGCCTGGCTAGTGGTGAGTGCCCGATAGACGCTGGTGTGTCCCATCCCCATGCAGAAAGGCCATAAAACTGTAGTCTGTCTCCAAGTATTTATAGTTAGTGATAGCCAAGGAGGCGGCACGGGTACGTCCTATGGCTTAGTGTACACTGGTCATATGGACACACACCCCTGGGTCCACATACACGCACTCAATAAATATTTATTGAGCATTTCAGACCCTGTTCTAGGCACTGGAGAAGCAGCAGTTTAAAAAAAAGAAAGAAAAGAAAGAAAGAAAGAAAGAAAAAGAAAGAAAGAAAGAAAGAAAGAAAGAAAGAAAGAAAAGAAAGAAAGAAAGAAAGAAAGAAAGAAAGAAAGAAAGAAAGAAGGAAGGAAGGAAGGAAGGAAGGAAGGAAGGAAGGAAGGAAGGAGAGAGAGAGAGAGAGATAGAGAGAGAAAGAAAGAAAGAAAGAAAGAAAACCCAGATACGTCCTTATGGAGCTGACAGTCTAGTGTCGCCATTCCTGCCTGTCACCTCCCTACCCAGCTCCTCTCCTCTCACAGCTGCTTCGAATCTGGGTCATTGGTTCAGGTAAATAAAAGAGTTCAGACAGAGCCATGATGAATACTAATTAGCATTATAATAATGAAAAGAGAACTGGGAAAAATTATTTTATAGGCCACAAAGATATATAATTATATTGTAACATTACGCATAAATGGAAGACTCACAATTGGAAGGGAACCATGGTAGATATAATTCAGAACACCAGATAATCCCAAAATTATTTCTATTGGCTGTCTTAGGCTTTAAAAAATGATTCAACTTTTTAATTTGAAATAATTTTACATGCACATAGAAGTTGCAAAGATAGTGTACAGAGAATTATCTTGTACCCTTCACCCAGCCTCCGCCAATGATAACATCTTACTTAGCCATAGTACCATTTTCAAGACCAGGAAATTGCTGCATTACTAGTTACTGTTAACCAAACTGAAGGCCTTACTGAGATTGTGCTGATTTTTACATGCACTCTTTGTTTTTTTTCTGGTGTTCTATGAAATTTTATCCCACGTATAGATTTGTATAGCCACCACCACAATCAAGATACAGAAAGTTCCATCACCACAAAGAAACTCCCTCATGTTCCCTCCTTATAGTCACAGCCTCCCTGCATGCCTAGCCCCTGGTAACCAGTGAACGGTTCTCCATCACTGTTATTTTGTCGCTTTGAGAATGTTATACAAGTGGAATTATGCAGCATGGAAACTTTAAGGATTGGCTTTTTTCACTTCATCTAATGCTCTTGAGATCCATCCAAGTTGTGTGTATCAAAATTCTTTCCCTTTCATGGCTTCACAGCATTCTACTATATGGAGGCACCGCAGTCGATGCTCACCCCACTGAAGAACATTTGGGTTGTTTGTAGTTTTTAGCTGTTACCAATAAAGCTGCTAAGAACATCTGTGTGCAGATTTTTACATGGCCTTTGATGCACGGAATCTATTACTATTTTTTTTTGAGACAGTTTCTCGCTCTGTCGCCCAGGCTGGAGTGTAGTGGCATAATCTCAGCTCACTACAACCTCCGCCTCCCGGGTTCAAGCAAGTCTCCTGCCTCCGCCTCCTGAGTAGTTGGGATTACAAGGGCACAACACCACACCCGGCTAATTTTTTTTGTATTTTTAGTAGAGATGGGGTTTCCCCATGTTGGCCAGGCTGGTCTCGAACTCCTGACTTCAAATGATCCACCCGCCTCAGGCTCCCAAAGTGCTGGGATTACAGGCATAAGCCACCACGCCCAGCCCGGAATCTATTTTTTATGCCCACTCTCAGCAAACAGATTTTCCTTATATTGCTCCAACCTCATGTGTGAGTCGTTACTTATCTGGATGTAATAGGTGGGGCAACGCAAATGCCTATAACACCACTGAGAGTCGGGAAGAAAGCAGAGAAGAACTTGAGTAGCAATGACAGGTGTGTAAATGTCACCAAGTCACTGCAGGAGGCCCATCAGCCATTGCTCTGTTATTTACATATATTTAACACACACTTAAAAGGTTTGGCCATAGCGTCTCCTTGTCCACAGCCATTCACATGGGGTGGAGATGGCCTTAGACAGCAGCTGACGTTACAACTGATAATATGACAGTGGAGGTGAGACTTAAAAACAGCCCTATAATGCTAGAAACTCGGGCCCATTCAGTGTAGGGTGAATAATCCAATTCACTTCAGTGGCTCAAGGGGCACCTCTTTTACTGCAGCAGAGCCACCTTTGTTCATAGTGGTTACCAGAGTTCTCTAGAGAAGACTGAATTATGATTAGTATGCTTCTCAGCAAGGCAACAACTGATTGTCAAGAGTGATTTCACCCCAAACTATTGAGAGTTACAGAAATCAAAATGCTTCAAGTAGTAAGCTCTAGCAAATTGACTTGAAGAATACCACATACTCTGAGGCCAAGTAAATTAGGTATCATTGTATTAATGATTCCTTTTAATGAACACATTCCAACCAAAGGCATACCAGGCCTACCTATGTTCCATGCCTATACACAGGGTAGACGCAGTGTATTAGTCTGTTTTCATACTTCTATAAAGAACTGCCTGAGACTGAGTAATTTATAAAGGAAGAGGTTTAATTGAGCCACAGTTCAGCAAGACTGGGGAGGCCTCAGGAAACTTACAATCATGGCAGAAGGTGAATGGGAAGCAAGGCTCCTTCCTCACAAGGCATCAGGAAGAAGTGCTGAGTGAAGGGGGAAGAGCCCCTTATGAAACCATCAGATCTCGTGAGAACTCACTGTCACGAGAACAGCCTGGAGGAAACCACCCCCATGATTCAATTACCTCCACCTGGTCTCTCCCTTGGCACGTGGGGATTATGGGGATTACAATTCAAGATGAGATGTGGGTGGGGACACAAAGCCTAACCATATCACACTGCTTGGGGTCAAACTTTTTACCCAAAGAGCATGGCTCTGAAGTCACACGTGCCCAGACACGATTCTCAGTGGGGTGACCTTGCTCAAGGCCTTCATCTCACTGAGCCCCTGTTTCTCCATCAGTAAAATAGGAGTTGCAGTTCCTCCTGCTAGGGTCATAAAGAGAGGGGAATAGGATGAAGGCTTGTGGCACATGCGGGTCTTAGGGAATGTTTATGTGAAAAACAACTTTCACGCGAGAACTTTTCCCTCGAGGCCGTTGCAACCCTTCTACCCTCCTCGACGACGGTATGTATGGGGCCAGTTCTCAGCCACCTTCTGCCTCAGCTTCCCCACTGTCCCTACTCCTATCTGAATCACATCCGCCATTCCCGGCCATTGTCAATCCCAGAGGCTGTGACTTGGTCGGCTCCTAGGCACTTGGGACAAGCTGGCTGGCTGGTAAGGAATTTGACTCCGGGCCTCTGGAGACCACCCCGGCTCCATTTTCCTATTCGCACCTCCCTCTCTCCGTATCCGCCAGCAAACAAGCAACCATCAGTCCTCTCTAGAGATTCGAGGGCTCCCGGGGCATCATCTATAAAGGCTGCAGCCTTTTCTGATGAAATTATCTTCCTTCAGGTGGCAACTTTAAACCTCCCCTTGGCAATCAGGAGCTGCTCACTGCACTCCAGACAGAAACCACTTAACTAGATTCAGGGGGCAAATGTCTTCTTTGTGAGTCTGGCTCAGTTCCTCAGTCTACCTGAGCAGGAAAATGTGGCACCCCATGTGCTGTTTCTTAATGCTGACCAGGAACCTCTCCTGCCTACTGGAGGGGATATGGGTTTGTAAGAGAGTCCTGCTGTGGGAGAAGCTCGGCTCAGACCAAAGGTGGTGAGGTCAGAGGGACACAGGCTTCTGGTCTCGCCACCAACCACTGGTGTGATCAGGGTAAAAGTCCTGTGACCCCAGTGGGGCCTCAGTTTCTTCATCTGCAATAGGATGACAAGACCCTCTCCTAGGACTGTGGTGGGAAATAACAAAGATGGTTGATGTAAGGGCTCTGTATAGGGTCATCATACCGGGGCCAGCAGCAAGGGAATGCGGGACACATTCTTCTCATGGTGAGGGCAGCTGTGCAAGAGATCGATCCCATCTGTGCACACATCCCAGGCCTCTGCATGCATCACATCTGTTAACTCCTGTTGGCCAAAGCAAGTCCTATGGTTGAGCCCAGAGACAGGGGTGGAGCGGGAGGCACACCAGCCCACAGAGCGGCAACCGCAAACTCCGATCCTACGACTAGGGAGGGAGTGAAGAGCTAGAAACGCACCCTCATTGGCCAAGGATGGTGTATAGTTAGGCTGGGATTTGCAACCTGCATTCTCTTGGAGGACACGGCCCACACTGTTTCACCTCCACATAATTACCCTGTGGTGACTCAAATTGAGAATGAGTCTCAACCTTTTTACTTACAGGAAAGAGAGTCTTTCATCAACATCCATCTATAATTTGCCTTAAGTTGTTTTCCCAGCCAGGAAAGGCCTATTTTGCAAGCATTTATTGGCTAGGGCTGTGAGTGTTTTTCATGTATTAACTCATTTAATCCTCACAACAGCCCTATGAGGCAGGTACTGTTGTTTTCCCATTTTAGAGAAGAGAAAGTTGAGGCTCAGAGGGATTAAATAATTTCCGTAGGGTCTCATAGTGCGTAAGTTCCCAGAGATGGGATCTGAACCCAGGCTGGCTCTCTCTCCTCTCCAGAACCTGCACTCTCGCCACCGTGCTTACCCATCAGAGACCCTGGGACCATGGCAATGTGAAAGACTCTGGCAGCGCCCAGGCCACGGGGAAAGCCCCTCCTCTCTCCCACCCACAGTGACATTTCCATCCCCAGATGGCTTAGAGATTCCAGAAGACTCCACTGCTGACAACCATCACTGCTTTTGCAGACATCGCCTCCTTTAGTCCCTACAGCTGCTGTGATATTCATTTTAAAGACAAAAGCCTGTGGGAGGGAGTCATCACTGTGAGCTCCTGATGCAGCTGGGAGTGGAGTCCCAGGGGCTGAGGAGGGAAGAAGGGAGACCTGTAGCCCTGGCTCAGGTAGATGGGGACCCTGGGCCCTGAGGCTGTGGAAAGACGTTGGGGTATCCCGGAGAGAAAGGCAGGAGGCCACGTCTCTGCAGACAGCACCAAAATGGGGCCAGCTTTCCTCACACACCCCAGCTTTCCTCATGGGGTATGGATTAGTCTGTTCTCACACTGCTGTAAAGAAACACCTGAGTATGGGTAATTTTTAATTTATTTTTTATTGTTTTCAAGACAGAGTCTCACTCTGTCACTCAGGCTGGAATGCAGTGGTGTGATCTTGGCTCACTGCAACGTCTGCCTCCCCAGTTCAAGTAATTCTCATGCCTCAGCCTTCCCAGTAGCTGGGATTACAGGCACATGCCACCATGCCTAGCTAATTTTTGTATTTTTAGTAGAGATGGGGTTTCACCATCTTGGCCAGATCGGTCTCAAACTCCTGGGCTCAAGTGACCCACCCACCTCAGCCTCCCAAAGTGCTGGGATTACTAGCACAAGCCACTGTGCCTGGCCTGAGTATGGGTAATTTATAAAGAAAAGAGGTTTAATTGGCTCACAGTTCCACAGGCTGTACAGGAAACATGATGCTGGCATTTGCTCGACTTCTGGGGAGGCCTCAGGAAACTTACAATCATGGTGAAAGGCGAAGGGGAAGCAGGCACTTCTTCCCATGGTGGGATCAGCAGACAGAGAGAAGGAGGAGGTGCTACACACTCAACAAGGTCTCCTGAGAACTCTATCAGGAGAACAGCACCACAGGGGATGGGGCAAACCCGTTCATGAAGGATCCACCCCCATGATCCAATCACCTCCCACCAGGCCCCACCTCCAACACTGGCGATTACAACTGGACATGAGATTTGAGCGGGGACACAGATCCAAACCCAGGGTGACCCACTGGGAGACTGGCATCCAGTCGAACCTGAGCCTTGGTCCCTTCTCCCAACCTGCGGCACAAGAATCACACCAGTAAACATTTCATCTCAGGGAGGACGTTCCTTCTTGGATTCTCTCCCACAGGACCCCTTCCTACCCCCACTGCACCCATTCCTCTCAGCTTGGCCCAAGATGGCCTCTTCCTGACCTGGCCCCAGCCTGCTCACTTGGTCAGTTGAATCAAAGAACATCAGGAATTTGTGGTGTGCTCAAAACACAAGGGAACCTCCAGCAGCTCTGAGGCCATCTGAAACACTCTCGAGGACAAAACTTTTAAGGATAAGGGGGTAAAGTGGCAAGAGGGCCTGATGTGGTCTTTGAGGACCACTTCATGTTTTGAAATTTAGGTGTTTGCAGCCAATATTAAAAAACAGAGATTGCACATGAAAATCGGGATGCATGCCTCTCTTAACGCCTGGGAAGCTCTGTCCGTGGAGCCCACAGCAGGGCTGGACGGGGTGAGCCAGTGAGGCACGCAGGGGCTCAAGGTAAGGAGCCCACCCCTTCAGGCAGCGGCTCCGCGTTCGCTAGGCCTGATGTGGGTCTGGTGGGTGTCTGTATTTACCCCAAGGGACCCTCGAGAAGTCAGGCCACATCCTATGCCTCCTGCTCCCTCTTTTTTCTTTCTTTTTCTGAATTGGCAGCCTATTTTATTTTCTTGAATTAGAATTTACATACAATAAGGTAGATATTAAAGGCTCAACCCATTGATTTCTGACAGATGTTGTCACCTGTGTAAACACCACACCGTCAAGATACAGAATATTCCATCATCCCAGAAAACTCTCTCAGGTCCCCCCAAGTCCTGGCCTCCCCCAAGGCAACCACTGATGTGTGTTCTATTGCCAGGAGCCTTTAGCCGGTTGCAGAACTGCTCAGGAATAGAGTCCCGCAGGGTCCTCAACTGCTATGAAAACAGCTCCTTTTCATCACTAGTGGCATGCCGGTGTGTGGATGTACCATAGCTGGTCTGAACAATTGAGGAGTTTATGGGCTGTTGTGAACACGGCTGATGCATGAACAAGCACCTGTGGGATTTGCTGAATCTCTTAATTGGTCACTTTCATGGGTGGGGGAAAGAAGGTTGATTGGCACCAGTCTTCTGACCCCATTCCCTCCCCCAGCTTTGAAAGATTTAGCTCCATGTTATTTGCCCACCCTTTCTTCAGGGTCTCCCAGGAGTGGATTTGCAGGAAGGAGCAGGGAGGGAAGGGGAGTGGTCAAAGATGGAAGTTTAGTGGAAGACACAAGTCAGAACACACATGCGCACATGCATGCACACACACAAACACATGCATGCACACACACAAACATGCATACACACGCATGCACACACATGCACATGCACACACACACAGGTGCACACACTACCAAGCTGCAGGGTCATGGAGTTGCGGATCCTCTCAGATCAGATCTGCGCTTGGAGGCTGCATTTCATAGATCAGTCTCTTTTCCAGGGCCTGTCATGCCTCTAATTCTATGCACCCAGTGCAGAGCTGCCGGGTTTGCCTTTCTACAGAGACATTATTTGCTCATGTCACCCACCACTCAGGTGCCTTTCATGGGTTCTCTTTGCCCATCTGAGTTCCACAGGCCACAGATGG
Source organism: Homo sapiens (assembly GCF_000001405.40). Lineage (NCBI taxonomy): Eukaryota > Metazoa > Chordata > Mammalia > Primates > Hominidae > Homo > Homo sapiens. The sequence goes on along the minus strand of NC_000003.12, from coordinate 17,141,590 downwards.
CCATTTCCTCCACCTCACACCCGACGACACACCGCATGCTTGTTCTGACCCAGCCCTTTGTGGTTGCTGAGCCTTGGGCTGGGAGGATCAGCCCCCACGCTGTGCCCAGGATGTGCCCCATCCCCTCTGCTGTCATTACTTTTGTGAGCACCTAGGAGCAGGGCCAGATGGCAAGAGAGCCATGGATCCTCTCCTGGGCCACACCTTGGTGCTCAGGCTATGACAGCAGAGGTCTGCCCTGACCAGGAGGAGCCAGTGCTGTGGAAACTGACCTGGCTCCTCAGCCTCCCTTGGCTGCCACGTGGGGGCCCTCCAGGCTCTGGGCACACCAGTCCCCATGCCCCTCAAATGCGCAGGTGAACATGAATGCTACCCTTGCTCAAATATAAGTGACCTCCAAATATCAAGTTCTCCCAGTAACGTCTGTCAGGTTGTCTTGTGACCACCTAGACATTTAGTGATCAAGATAAACTAGTCAAATGTCCCATGTAATACTTGCCTTATTCATTGGTTGCACATAAATCCTAAACGTCTCTCGAAACTGGCATGTCCTGTGCCTGATGGTGAAGCTGCTCTGCTTTGCCAGGAACAGCCCTCTGGTGGGGGTAAGGGTGGAGGTGGGTCCAACTGAGAGTAAATTCCCTATAAGGGGCCGGGACAGAATGTACCGCCAGATTACTACCCGCACCCCCTACCACCCCGAAAGTACACATATCGCTCCCCTTTAGAGGGACCAGGACTGGCTGGTATCCCTGAGGTGTCCAATTGCAGCCAGCCCTGACTCACCCGTGTCCTCATGCCAAGGGCTCTGGACTGGGCCAGAAAGAGGCAGAGACAGAGGAAACAGAGCGCTAGAGAGGGAGACAGAAAGGGAGAGACAGAGAGAGACAGTGATAGACACAGAGAGATAGCATCAGAGAGAGGAGGAGAGAAATAGAGACAAAGCCTTAGAGATACTGAGACAGAGACATTTAAAGACAGAGACAAAGAGATAAGTAGAGACACACAGAGATACAGAGACATACAAAGAGAGACATGCGGACGCACAGAGACGAGAGAGAAAGAAACAGAGCTAAAAAGTGGGGTGGCGGTGGGGGAAGACAAAATCTGAAACAAAAAACAAAACAAAACAAAAGTCTCTCATTGGCGGCTGAACAGGGATCTAATCACCAGGCTCGTCCAGCCTTTCATGTCTGGCAAACTTCTTGAACTGCTGGAAAGATCAAACGCACACAGCTCTTCATGAGTCTAAGACCCTTTTCACCCAGCCCCACATCCCAACCCCAGAAGGCTTTCTCCGAAGGGGCTTTGAGAAATTAAGTTAAAGGCTTTAGAGTCATGGCCAGGAATGCAAGCCCCACCCACCCTACTGCACCCCAGAAGCATGCCCCAGAATAAGGCCACACCAGGGCCCCCAGCATCCTCACCTTCTGCAGCGCAGCAGAGGCCCTGTGAGGAGCCAACCAAATGCTGCCCACCACCACGTGGTGAGTCTCCAGGGAAACGCCAAGACCCCTTGTCCACCTCTCAGGGCCCAACAGAGGACCCCGGGCTCCACAGCAAAGGCAGTGCAAACAGGGAAAGGGATGCGCGGTGCATCATTGCCTGATCGGGGAATGGCTGTGCTGTGTGTGTGTGTGTGTGTGTGTGTGTGTGTGTGTGTGTGTGTGTGTGTGTGGTGTGTGTCTGTCTGTCTCAACACAGCTGTCACCCCGAAGAGGCCAGGAAAAGGGATGCTTCCAAATACAATCGGCATAAAGAAACCTGGAGCCACAGAAGGTCCAGACCAGGAGACAGCAGAATGATTTCAGGGTTGGAACAAAGGCTGGTTCGCTGTGCAAGAGCAGGTCCACCAGCAGCACCAAGTGCTGCCCCGAGCCTGGGATTAAGTGTTTTCTGCTGTGTCACAGACACAGGCCAAGGTGGGCTGTGCTGCCGTGGGCTGGGTGGACGGGCACCCATGTTGCAGGTCATGGCAGCACCACACAGTCCGTAACGATGTGGTTGCATGTCTGTTTCCAACTCCTTGGCCAGGGGAGACTTCCTTTTGGTTTGCTGCCCAACCATGCAAACACCTGCACCTGCAGCCCTGAAAAAATATACCACAGTTGTTGTGCCCTCTGCCCAGGAAGAAATATTCAAAGACAAAATCGCTGCATAACAATGTGACTTCATTGAAAAGCAGCCCCTCCAGCTCAGCAAGTCAGTCCACAAGTGGGCTGTCCCCTACGCACCCAAACTAGCTGCATTTTCAGCCTTACCCAGTGACCCTCTTCAGGTCACTTGGCTGCACAGGAACCCACCACGTGGCCAGGGCCGTGGAATCTGTTGATGGATCAAATTTGGCTCAGAGCTCATGGACATCCACCTCTGCACTCAGAAGACTGTGCCGCAAACACTGGGACCCGCTGCCCAGGAGTGCTTCTCCCTGCCCAAAATGCACAGAGCCAGTTGACAGGAGAGGAGAAGCAGGAGAGAAGTGTGGATAAATCCTTACCACCACATCTCTTGGCTGGGGTAACTGATGAGAGGGTTTTACTCCACCTCCAGGAGCTCCCCAGGGAGGAGGAAGAAACTCCAGGTGCTGGCAGCCCGGATGGGCTTGAAAACAGTGCCCTGCCCTTCCCTGTCTCCCCACACCTGGTAGAGTTTTTGGGCATCACCTTCTAGATTAGCTACTTGTATTTGAGTCCTTGTCTCAGAGTCTGCTTCCGGGGAACCCCGACAAGACAAGTCCCCTGAGTGTCTAGGACTCTTAGGAGAGGAAAGAATGGATCTTGGTCCCCTGCTCTGTCTTCTCCTCCTCAGGCACAAGGGGCCCCCTCAGGGCCAGGGAATGGCTTGGGCTGCTGGCACTGCTTGCCTGGGAAAGGCTCCAGCCCAAGCCTCTGCAGTCCCCCTCACCTCACCATCTCTGCCCCTGGGTAAAATCCCTCTGAAAGAATTACTGCTTTAAAAGAGAGGATGACGTCTCCCAAGAAGACATTTAGCTAAAATGTCAGAGTCACCTACATGGCAACGATGGGCTTAAGCAGAAAATAGTCATTTAAAAAGAGATTACTACAAGCAGGGCACTTGGTGATGGCACCTGGGGCAGCAGCTCTGCAAGACATTGCCTTCAAGTTGAACTGTCACTCAAGGACGGGTGACTCAGTCCCAAGTAACCTTAATAAGAACCCAAGTAACAGGGAAAGCCACTTAAGGGATTGGTAGCTCTGGAGAAACAGAATCTCCTTTTGTTTGTAACTGGATAGAATTAAGGGGATTTCACAAAAGAGGGACTCTTGGGGACTTACTCCAAACCTGGCGACTACAGGCAGCAGGTCTGTCCTCTGGATGGCTGGCCCCTCCCTACTCTGTTTCAAAGTCTAGGGCTTGTGGGCCTGGGCTCTGAACTTGGTCACTGGCCTGGTGGGACCTTTGGATTTGTGATTAAATTCTCCCACACTTGAAGAGGTCCGACTTGTACTGACACAGCCAACTCTTCCCCTGAGCTGGACGTGGCCCCAGGATGGTGCCATTTTTGCCTGGAGCTCCTCTGCAGGTTTTTCAGTGGCCCATGACACTGAGAACACAAAGGCAGAGGTTAAGATGGAAAGAGATTCTTTGGCAAGATGTTTGCTGCTTACTGGGTAACGGTATGCTCTCCACGTTGCCCTGCCTCCCTGCAGAAAGGCAAAGCCACGGGAAGGTTCTAGCCAATGGGCTGTGAGCAGAAGTGCTGCCTGGGACTCCTGGATAAAGCATCTATGGGTCAGCGTGCAGCCCTCCCGCTCTCTCCTTCCCAGCTGTGGTGACTAAAGCCCTGGGTTGAGAAGGAGGCAGCCTGGATTCAAGCACCTGGATTGCTGAGTCACCATGGGGCAGGAGGCTGCCCTGGGAGTCCCCAGACCCTCACTAGAGTCTGTGTTAGCAAGAAAGAAGCCAGCTCTGATTTCAAGGATAATTTGTTACTGTGGCAAGCCTGACCTAACCTGACTAACGTAAATGCCTCAGCACACAGGTGGCATCTGAAGAGTCCCATGAATGGGAGGGAGAACACAGACTGGAGGAGGCAGAGTTGTCTCCGAGTTCTAGCCAGCCCTAGGGGCGTGTGGAGGGCAAAGACGATGTCATCTCCACTTTACACCTGGGGAAACTAAGGCTCAAGGGGGATGAGTCATTTTCCTAAGATTGTACAGTGAGTGTTGGTGCCAGGTCTTCTCACTCAACCCTGGCCTTTTCTGTTTTGCTGTGACAGCTAAAGGGAAGGCTTTGCCAGGTGGCTGTGACTTGAGATGTCACTTTGCAGGAGGGCAGGATCATCTAGTGAGTTACCGAGGAGGAAGGGGAGAGAGGTGAGGAAGTACCTCCTTTGGGCTTGTCCTCACCTCTGCCCCATCAACCTTCCCCAGCATATCCTCCCAGACTCCTGACAGGTGCAGGCCCTTCGCTCTCAGGCTGCTGGGCAGTAGTATGTAGGACCTTGGGTTGGGGAGGGAAGGCATCACCTACCATTGACTGAGGGCTTACTGTGAGGACTCTATATGGGTCAACTCATTTAATTCTCACAACAATCCAATGATCTCCATCACAAATAGAAAATCTGTGACACAGCAAAGTAATTTGTCCATGGTCCAACAGCTAGAGCCAGGATTCCAACAACCGGGGCAATGTAGTCCCAGAGACCTCTCAACATGCTGTGATTCTGCTTCCAGGTATTGGGGAAAATAGAGATGGTGGAGACACAGAGAAATAGACAAACACACAGCCTCACACACACACAGAGCACAGCACTGTTGTAGCCACTCAAGTGGACTCTCCTGGCAGGGATACCCACCAAGCCCTCCTGGGCTGTCAGGGTGTGGCATGCTCCAGCCACCAGACAATTGGTGGACAGCACAGAGTAGGGCAGGAGCAGGGCAGGCCTGCCACAGCATGCGACGGACGTGGAGCCCACGTCAGTTCTTGCTCCTTCCATTCTAGGAACCTTCTGCTTCAGCTGAGCACAGGCATTTTTACAGGAGCCCTTGCCTCAGAACCACCCCATGACCTCCTGGTCAGAAAAGTCCCATCTGTCTCCAAAATACCCCACACAGTGGGCCACAGTCCCGCATGACTGGCCTCCCTGCATCCCTGCACGAAAACTAGGCCACCGTGTCCTTCAGACCATAATGGGAGGCCCTGCGGAGAGCTCCATCAATCACATCACAGGAGAGATAAAGCCTGGCCAGCTGGAAAATTGGGATAAGTACAGCAGCAGAGCCATTCCTCAGCCAGAAGGTTTCTCCCTCCACAGCCTGGGTGCGGGAATGAGAGACCAGTATGTGGCTGTTCTCATGCTCGCAGGCATTATGAAGAGGGTGCTTTGTGTCCCTCACATGCCACCCGTGCTCAATGATCTAAGACCTCCCTCCCCTCCTGCTCCCTAGGTCTACACCATTTGGGGTCAAAGCTGTGCAGCAGGCTCTGGAAGGCACATCCCAGGACCTCTCCCTCCCCTGGTCCCTAATTAATGGCTTCTACAAAACCTCTCAAGTTGGTATTCAACAAATACTGCACCCCTTCTGCTCTGTCTCCAAAGTTTCACACAGTTAGGGGATGTCTTTGAGCCCACAGGGCAGATGGCAATGTTGCCATAAATCTGTGCTCCATCACAGAACCCACCCCCAAGGCAATTTAACCCATGAACTCTCACTCCCCATGCTGGGCAGAGCCTTGTGCTAGGTGCTTTGACTTCATGACTCATTTAATCCTCCCAGCAGTGTTGTGCAGTGGGACATTAGTTAGGACTGAGTTCAGCTGTTAAGTGACAGGCCTCTCTCAGATAACAGTAGCTGCTGGAACCAGTGCCTCTCAGATTTTATTTTGTACACAAGTCACTTGCAGATCTTGTTAAAATGCAGATTCTGATTCAGCAGGTCTGGGGTGGGGGTCAATATTCTGCATTTCTAACAAATTCCCAGATCATACCAATGTGGCTGATCAAGCATCAGAGGCTTAAATTAGATAGTGATCAATTTCCCTGACAGGCGAATGATATCCAAAGGGGAGAGCCATAGGCTGGTATGTGGTTTGATTGTGTCCTTTTCCTCATCCTTTCTCAATATCTATTGTCTTCCTCATAGTACAAGATGGCTGCCCAAGAACCAGCCATCACATCCATATTTTAGCCAGTAGGAAGAAGGAATAGTTGAAGAAATTCAGGCTTGCTCCTTTGGAACACTCCTTAGAAGTTGCGTATGACATTTCTATTTATATCTCATTGTCTAGAACTTAGTCACATATCTCAAGGAAGCCTGGGAAATGTTTGCATTATCCCAGACAATTATGTATGCAGCTAAAAATTGGTGATGGTAGTGGATGGGCTATTATAATACAAAGGAGGACAGGAAGAATGGATATTAGTGACAGGTATTCTCACCTCCATCTTACACATGAGAAAACTGAAGGACAAGGAGCCTAAGAATTTTGACTGAGGAGTAAATGAGTTAATGTATACGCACATGATAACCACTAGTTGATACTTTTCATCCCTGAGCCTGTTTGTAGTGTTATGGATACCTCAAGATGATGTAGCAATGTGCCTGGCACAAAGCAGACACCCCATTGATGTCCTCTTGTCTCGGTATTACCACAAAGGCAGGCCTAAAGACCTCCTGGGTTTGAAATGCCTGGAGAGTTAGGTGCCAAGGACCTCGTCCAGGAGTGTGCCAGAGCCAGGGAAGCCAGATTCCTGTAAGTGAGTTCTCTACCTCCCTCAGCCATAACCAGGCATCTTTAAACCATCTGCACTTGTATAGAGCATGAGTTGAAAATATCTCAAAGCCTGTGCAGGGGCATTTGGAAGGTGTGATATGGCCGCCAAGTAAGGAATGCTTTTCTACCGCTAAGTTACTTGACAAATCCAGAAATACAGGCTTTGGGGATCACCCACATAGCTTCTTGAAACTAAATTTTAAGTGAAAGTTACGAAGGCAGAGACTGGCTAGAAGTTCATGAGTCTACTTCCTCTTCCTGGGCAAGCTGACTGCATTCCCTGGCCCCCTTGCAGGTGACGGTTGCCATGGATGGAAAGGGAGTGGAGGAAAGTGAGCCCCTTCTGGCCCTGGGCGTGAAGGCTGTTCTCTTGCTCTTGGCTTTTCAGCTGACAAATGGAGAGGAGGAAGGGGAGTACTCCACGGAGGCCCTGAGGGTCCATGGCACCAGGCAGCATGCCCTGTGGGTGCCCGCTGGTGTGCCTTTGGGATCCCTTTCCTGGACTCACCGCTTCTTACTCCAAGAAACGTAACCTCCAGCCTGGGAGCTTTCATCGGCAGCAGGGTCGGGCTCCAGCTGCCTGTGGCATGGGCCAGAGTGCTGGGGAGTGCAAGCCCCTCAGCCAGTGGTGAATAAATACCCCCACTCCCACTGCCCTCGAGTGGGATGACTCTGACATGTGTCCTACACAGCGGCCCAGGTCCCCAGCAGGAAGGAGCTCCAAGTGCCCACAGCGATGACAGCTCATGAACACTTCCTCCATCTGCTTCTTTTCCCTGTTTCACTTTCCCACTCTCCTAATGGGGCTTCCTGGGGTCACTCAGGATCTGCTCCTGGGCAGATGCAATCCAAGTCCCAGCACAAGTCTCTTCACATGTCGTGAAAAGCTGTCTACTGAACGCAACAGGACTGTGACAGGAGTGAGAAGTAAACCTTTGAGCATGCTCAGCAAGCTTTTCCTGAAAAGGACCCAAGAGTTAACACTTGAGGCTTGGCGGTCCGCAGTCACTTGGCGGTCATTGGTCTTCCAACCAGTGAACTCTGCTGTCAGCGCAAAAGCAGCCAGAAACAGCACATAAATGAGTGGGTGTGGCTATGCCCCAGAGAAAGATCCTTCACAAAAACCAGGCAACGGGCCGGATCTGGCGTGTGGGCTGCAGTTTGCTGACCCCTGCTTTAGAGCCTGAAGCCACTCAGATTTTGTACTTACTGTTATTGTAGCTAGTATTAATTACTCTGATTCTTGGGATCCAATCCTCTCAGAGAAGGTGGTAGAATAAATTTTGCCTTTCCCAACTATACACACAAATGAGCTGGGGTTTTCTCTGTATTACAGTGATTAAATCTTCCTTTAAAATAAAGTTGAGTTAAAAGGTGAGCTAAGGTGACCCACTTAAAATTTAAAAGTACATTAGTAATGGTTTGGAGAGAGGAAAGGTGGCAAAAATCCTGAAGCCAGTAGGATGCCAGCTATGGACTGAGTTGTGTCCACTCAAAATTCATAGCTGAAGCCCTAATCTCCAAGGTGACGGTATTTGGAGATGAGTCCCTTAGGAGCATCTCAGTCCACTTGCATTCTTATGATGAAATACCTGGTTGGGTAATTTTTTTTTTTTTTTTTTTTTTTTGAGACAGAGTCTTGCTTTGTCGCCCAGGCTGGAGTGCAGTGGCATGATCTCCGCTCACTTCAACCTCAGCCTCCTGAGTTCAAGTGATTCTCCTGTCTCAGCCTCCTGAGTACTGGGATTACAGGCACCCACCACCATGCTGGGCTAATTTTAATTTTTGTATTTTCAGTAGAGACAGGGTTTCACCATGATGGCCAGGCTGGTCTTGTATTCCTGACCTCAAGTGACCCACCCGCCTGGCCTCCCAAAGTGCTGGAATTACAGGCATGAGCCACCGTGCCTGGCCCTGATTGGATAATTGATACAGAATAGAAATGTATTTCTCACAGTCTGGAGGCTGGGAAGCCCAAGATCAAAGTGCCGGCCAGTTCAACACCTGGTAAGGGCTGCTCTCTGCTTCTAAGGTGACACTTTGTTGCTGCATCCTCAGGAAGGGATGAACACTGTGTCCTCATGTGGCAGAAGAGATGGAATGGGATGAACTCACTGCCTCCAGTGTTTCTATCAGGGGCCTAATCCCCTGTGAGGGCTTCACTCTCGTAACTTCATCACGTCCTGAAGGCCCTGCCTCTTAGAACTATCACATATGTGATCAAGTTTCAACATGCAAACGTTGTGGGACACAAGCAGACCACAGCAGTGGGGTAATTAGGTTACGTAAGGTCATGAGGGTGGGCTCTCATGGTGGAATTAGTGTCTTACAAGAAGAGGAGGAGATCGAGATCTCTCTCTCCACTGCACACAAGAGGGTGGCCAGCTGCAAGCCAAGAGAAGATGCCTGGAAATGAAACTTACCCTTCCAGCACCTTGCTGTTGGAATTCCCAGCCTGCAGAACTGTGAGAAGTAAATCTCTGTTGTTTAAGCCGCAGTCTGTGGTAATTTGTCCTGGCAGGGTGAGTTGACTAAGACAACACCTATCTGGGAAAAGCTGCCGAGGGGCTGAGAAGTCAGTGAGAGTTTTCTGCAGAGGAAAATGGGGTAGAACTAACTCACTTCTGGAAGCGTCAGTGTCAGCAGGAAGCGGAGGGCATCTTCTCAGCAGGAGCCCCTGGGTGCCCAGGCACCTGTAGGAGCAATGCTTCATCAAAGGGGTTTCTAAGAGTCCCAGGTCAGGACACAGCAATGAGAAATAGCCAGTGGGCTCACCAACATGTGAGCTGCCTCTGGTCTAAACAAACGAAAGTCAAACCAAACAATGAGGTGCCCAAATAAGCCTTAACTGGCTCCTATCTCTCCTCATAAACCAGCCCCATTGGCTAGTTAAAAAGTCAGTCTCTTCAGGGCCTGGCAGTCTCTCATTTGAAGCCTCCTACTTTGCTATCAGTGTCCCTGTGTCTTGAATTAGCTCATCTCCTTCCTTTTCTGTTTTTCTGTCTTGGGCCTTCCCCATCCCAAGCATGGCCATGTCCTGTCTGGTTAGGGTCCACCTTCTTGGCCCACAGTTCTGCCCTCCCAGAAGCAGTCACTCTGTGGCCCACTTCCCAACTCTGTTCTGTCCTCAGTTCTGTAAACTGTGGCTACGATCATCTGTCTTTGGGTTTCCCATTCCCAGTTCATTCCAGGGGTAAGCTGTTAGTGGAGAGTCCCCTGGCTTCTGCTCCTCAGCTTTAGGAAGTGCTGTGCAGACATCAGCCCATTTATAAATATAGATTTGACTCCTGCTTCCCATCCCAGTTTATGCTGAGCCTTTAACTTGAAAGCAAAACACACTTCTGTAGGCCCCACCCCATTCCTGACCGGTCAGATACTCCAGTGTTGGAACAGAAACTCCATTTTGAGAATGTTCTTAAGGAGAGTCTGATGGGTAAGGCTGGTTAAGAACAGCTTGTGGTAGTTAATTTTATGTGTCAACTTGGCTGGGCCACAGGGTGCCCAGACATTTGGTCAAACATTATTTTGGATGTTTTTGCGAGGGTGTTTTTGGATGAGATGAGCATTTAAATCAGTAAACTGAGTCAAGCAGACTGCCCTCACTAATGTGGGTGAGCCTCATCTGATCAGTTGAAGGCCTGCACAGAAGAAACAAGCTGACCCTTCTCCCGTGGAAGAGACAATCCCCCTTGCCTGGCTGCCTTTAAACCGGGACTTCAGTTTTTTCTTGACTGGACTCAAATAGAAACCTTGGCTCTTCTGTGTTTTTGAACCTGCTGGCATTTGGACTGGAACTACACCATCAGCTGTCCTGGGACTCTGGCTTGCTGACTTGCTCTGCAGATCTTGGGGCTTGGCAGCCTCCATAATCATGTAAAATCAGTTCCTTATTTTACATACATGCCTGTGTAGGCACACACACACGTGTGCACACACATGCACCTTATTGGTTCTATTTCTTTGGGGACCCTGACTGATACACAGCCCTTCTACTGGTCTTGTGTGGTTCTCAGCATTAGCTCATTAGACTCACCTGGAGAGATTTTTAAGACCCAGTAGCTTGTGGGCTCAGTCTAGTCTACAAATATTTGTTTGATCAAAATGGCTTTTTAAATTTTTTTTTTTCAAATTTAGAGTAGGCATATGCTCTTGAGGAGTTTACCATCAGCTCTGCTATTTATTTCCTGTTGTCTTACCCCTGACTGCTTCGTTGGTCCTGCACACCCCCTGCTTCCTAAAAGCACTTATGACCCTTTTCCAAAGTAGCCTTGGTGACCAGCACTCCTTTTGACCAACATTACTATCTCACAATGGGAAGGGCTGAAGGGAATAGAAAAGAAAACAGGGTAGATTGGAGGGGAATCTTAGAGAGGGAAGACCAGGGAAGGGGAACAGCCCCAGCTGAGGTCTCTGGGAAATGAAATCTGTACCACAGTGGAGAGGCGGTTTGGAAGGAAGAAGCAAGGAGACCCTCAGTCAGCCTCCATAACTGTGGTACAGCCCCCCCCCTCCCATCTATGTAGGCTTCTTTCATTTCTCTCAGTCATGTTACATAGTTTTCTATGTAAGAGTCCTTCTTAACTTTCATTAGATTTACTCCTAGATATTTGATGTTTTTGATATTATTAATGGTATCTATAAAAAATTTTTTCTAATGTTGGAACATACAAATATGTTCCTTTGTATATTGCTCTTGGCAACTTCACCGTATTCCCCTATTGATTCTAACAATTTATCTGTAAATTATTTTGGGTTGCTTTATGTAAAAAAATGAAGCTCTATGCCTTACTGCACACTGTACCCCAAAATCTATTCCAGGTGGATCACAGAATCATGAGAGAAAGGAAAGCAATGAAACTTATAAAAGATAACACAGGAGAATATCTTTCTGACCTTGAAGTGAGGAAAATATTTCTTAGGCAGAACCCCCAAAAAAAACACTAAAAATGAAGGGAAGGATTAATACACAGGACTACATTAAAATTGAGAGCATTGGTTCTTCAAAAGACACTGTAAAGAGAAGAAAATTCAGGTCACAGAGTGGGGTGGGGTGTGTGTGTGAGTCATAAATCAAGAAAGGGCTTGTATTAGTCCATTTTCATACTGCTGATGAAGACATACCCAAGTGGCTTGGGGAGGCCAGAATCATGGCAGGAAGCAAAAGGCACTTCTTACACCGCAGTGGCAAGAGAAAATGAGAGGGATGCAAAAGCAGAAACGCCTGATAAAACCATCAGACCTCATGAGACTTACTCACTACCACAAGAACAGTATGGGGGAATCGCCCCCATGATTCAATTATCTCCCACTGGGTCCATCCCACAACAGGTGGGAATTATGGGAGTACAATTCAAGATGAGATTTGAGTGGGGACACAGAACCAAACCATATCATTCTGCCCCGGCCCCTCCAAATCTCATGTTCTCACATTTCAAAACCAATCATGCCTTCCCAACTATCCCCCAAAGTCTTAACTCATTTCAGCCTTAACCCAAAAGTCCACAGTCCAAAGTCTCATTTGAGACAAGGCAAGTCCCTTCTGCCTATGAGCCTGAAAAATCCAAAGCAAGCTAGTTACTTGCTAGATACAATGGGGATACAGGTATTGGGTAAATACAGTCATTCCAAATGCAAGAAATTGGTCAAAACAAAGGGTTTACAGGGCCCATGCAAGTCCAAAATCCAAGGGTGCAGTCAAATTTTAAAGTTGCAAAGTGATCCCCTTTGACTCCAGGTCTCACATTCAGGTTACGCTGATGCAAGAGGTGGGTTCCTATGGTCTTGGGCAGCTCTGCCCCTGTGGCTTTTCAGGGTATAGCCCCACTCCTGGATGCCTTCATGGACTGGCCCTGATGTCTTTTGCAGGCTCATGGTGCAGGCTGTCAGTGGATCTACCATTCTGGGCTCTGGAGGACAGTGGCCCTCTTCTCACAGCTCCACTAGGCAGTGTCCCAGTAGGGACTCTGTGTGGGAACTCCAACAACACAATTCCCTTCTGCACTGCCCTAGCAGAGGTTCTCCGTGAGGGCCCCGACCCTGCAGCAAACTTTTGCCTGGGCATCCAGGCGTTTCCACACCTCTTCTGAAAGCTAGGTGGAAGTTCCCAAACCTCAATTCTTGACTTCTGTGCACTCACAGGCTCCACACCACATGGAAGCTGCCAAGGCTTGAGGCTTCCACCCTCTGAAGCAATAGCCTGAGGTGTACCTTGGCCCCTTTTAGTCATAGCTGGAGTGGCTGGGATGCAGGACACCAAGTCCCTAGACTGCACACAGCACGCCGACACTGGGCCCAGCCCACGAAACCATATTCTCCTAGGCCTCCATGCCTGTGATTGGAGGGGCTGCGGTGAAGACCTCTGACATGCCCTGGAGACATTTCCCCCATTGTCTTGTGGATTAACATTTGGCTCCTTATTACATATACAAATTTTTATAGCCCAGCTTGAACTTCTCCTCAGAAAATAGGTTTTTCTTTTCTATCACATTGTCAGGCTGCACATTTTTCACACTTTTATTCTCTGCTTCCCTTATAAAACTGAATGCCTTTAACAACACCCAAGTCACATCTTGAATGCTTTGCTTCTTAGAAATTTCTTCCACCAGATATCCTGAATCATCTCTCTCAAGTTCAAAGTTCCACAAATCTCTAGGGCAGGGGCAAAATGCCACCAGTCTCTTTGCCAAAACAAAACAAGAGTCATCTTTACTCCAGTTCCCAACAAGTTCCGCATCGCCATCTGAGACCACCTCAGCCTGGGCCTTATTGTCCATATCACTATCAGCATTTTGGGCAAAGCCATTCAACAAGTCTCTAGAAGTTCCCCAATTTCCCACATTTTTCTGTCTTCTTCTGGGCCCTCCAAACTGTTCCAATCTCTGCCTGTTACCCAGTTCCAAAGTCGCTTCCACATTTTCAGGTATCTTTTCAGCAATGCCCCACTCTACTGGTACAATTAACTGTATTAGTCTGTTTTCACACTGCTGATAAAGACATACCTGAGACGGGGAAGAAAAAGAGGTTCAATTGGACTTACAGTTCCACATGTCTGGGGAGGCCTCAGAATCATGGCAGCAGGGGAAAGGCACTTCTTACATGGTGGTAGCAAGAGAAAATGAGGAAGATGCAAAAGCGGAAACCCCTGATAGAACCATCAGATCTCATGAGACTTACTCACTACCACGAGAACAGTATGGGGGAAACCGTCCCCATGATTCAATTACCTCCCACTGGGTCCTCCCACAACACGTGGGAATTATGGGAGTACAGTTCAATTTGAGATTTGGGTGGGGACTCAGAGCCAAACCATATCAGGGCTCATATTCAGAATACATAAAGTCAACAAATCCATTTTAAAAGGGCAGAAAACATAATGGGAAAATATGTGAATGTCTTCATCCGCCATGCCACAAGAGAGGAAATCCAAGTGACCAGTAAACAAAAAAGACGTTCAAATTCACTTGTAATCAGAAAGATGCAAATTAAGACCACAAGAAGAGCCTGTCCCCGCCATCAGCCATCATGTGGCTTGGGGTGGGAGTGAGAATTGTAGGCCACACACTATTCTAATGCAAAATCTGAAATCTAATTTATTAATCTGTTTAGTATTAGATTTTTAGATTAGATTTTAAAATTAGATTTTAATTAAATCTAATGCTAAATATTACAGCTAAGTATTTAAATGCTATCCATCAACCTAGAAAAACTGATTTAAAAGTTTTATCCTCTTGCTTTAACAAATATACCTTAATAATGACAACATTGCAAACATAAAGCTACAGTTTTTATATGACAAAGTCGTTAAATTATCAAAGAAGACTGAATTGAATTAATATTTGCACATCCGTGTGTTCTGTTAATGGGCCTGTGGTATTTGGGTGAATAGTAAATAAATAATAATAAGTGATATGTACTTATTCCATAAGTTATTCTTCTTGCCTCATTTTAGCAAAATTGCTATGTTGTAATCAATACTTTCACATAATTTTAATTTAATTAATAATAATCGAAAGGATTAAAATATATCTTCAAGATATATGCAATTTTATTATTTTTATCAAAAATTTAAATGAAAACAAATGTAAAAATAAAAAAATAACTTTTTGGTATGTTTTCAAAAATTTATTTCTCTCAAAAGTTTTAAAAGTATTAAAATTAAAAGTCAAGCTAAAAATTGTAAGTATTGACTATCAAAATTCTAAATAAGAATTATTTAATTAAAGTCAAGAAATTTTAATTTTTTTAAATAATTAAATCTTATTAAATTTTTTATAAATTAAATGTCTACAGTTTCAGCATTCAGTGTCCACCTAGTTGTTTCTGGGAAGGACCAGTATCCCAGATCATGTTTTTTAATGTCTAGATCAGTCATTCTCAACTGGGGGCAAGTTTGTCCCACAAGAAACATTTGGCAACATTTGGAGACATTTTTGATTGTCACATTAAGGATGGTGGTCCTGTTGACATCTAAGTGCATAGAAGCCAGGGATTCTGCTAAACATTCTACAATACACAGGACAGACACATGCAAGATTTATCTGGCCCCAAACGTCAATAATGTGAAGATTGCAAAGCCCTGGTGTGGACTTGCATAGATGCAAATTGAAAAAGGTCATTGGTTGGCTAACATGACTAAGTGTTCTTCAGCTGTGATTCGTGACTACCTCCAGAACCATGAATTAGAACATGAAGAAAAGCAAGAAAATGGTGCTTGCTATGATTGGGAAATGGAACTCCAATATGCAAGAATCTATTGCATCCATGCCACAGGAGAGAGTGGATTTAACAAGTTAATTAATTTGTGTTTTCCCTTGCTAAGTGCTTCCTCCACTCTAGTCCTTGTCAGCTCTCAAAGCAGTGCCAGCCTCTGATGTTGGCTGTGGCACAACCCACACACCTTCATGATAATTGGCCAGAGTTACATTTTGTTGAGGACAGAGGGCCAGAAATATGGAGAAATGGTTTCCTGAGGCCTTGGCAGTGTTAGGAAGAAATGTGAGGCTCTCTGGAGTGAGTGTGAGGCACAGAGCAGGGGAGCCCTTCTTGCCCAGGTTTGCTTGGTGCTGCTATGTGACACCTCCACTTCCATGTA
Organism: Homo sapiens; assembly: GCF_000001405.40. Lineage (NCBI taxonomy): Eukaryota > Metazoa > Chordata > Mammalia > Primates > Hominidae > Homo > Homo sapiens. Next base: position 17,125,761 of record NC_000003.12, on the reverse strand, counting down.
CCCACCAGAATGGAAATGAAATGAAAATGAAATGAACAACACGATAATACCAAGTGCTGACATGGGTGTGGAGCAATAGCCATCCACATACCCTGCTGGTGGGAGTGTAAATTTTGTGTTAAACTTCTAAAAAAACAGTAATTAAGAAAAATACGCCATATTTACTGTATATTTTTTTGGAAACTAGCAGTATCTGCTGAAGCTTAACGTACATACACCCAGCAATTCCAATTCCAGGTATCTGCCCGACAATGTGGATGAGGCTCACAGACACAATGCCTTTTCCTGTTAACAAATGCAGTATATATTCTTTGTGGACAATTTAGAAAATTAAATGAAAAGGAAAAAAAAGTTGCCATTATTTCTATTACCCAGAGATAAACATTGTTAACATTTTCATAGATTTTCTTTCATGTTTGTAAATGCACTATAGCTTCTTGCTTTAAAAGCATTGTATTTTTCCATCTAATGCGATAATTTGCTATGACATATTTTTAACAGCTGTAAATTATTCTAGCACATGAAGTAATTATTTAATCAGTCACTCTTATTGATAGGTATTGAAGTTGTTTCCAGGTTTCTGCTACACATACACCTTTGCATATCTCTCTGATAATTTCCTGGAATGCATTTTACATGTGGGATGGCTACATCAAAGAGTCAGAAACATTTTCAAGGTTCCTGATGCATATTGTAACTTGCTTTTCCAAAATATAGTGTTAACTCACATTCCCTTCTGGAGTATATGGCACTTTCCTTCCATAGCACTTGCTCTAACTCTGAGCATTGTTGTTTTTTAACCTTTGCCTATTTCATAGATGAAAAATGGTATTTTGTTTTTACTTACCGCTCCTTGATTAGTAGTGATGCTAAATATATTTTTCTGATATTTTATTATTCTATAGAAAATTTGGAAGTCACTATTCTGAAAGAGCAGAGTTGGAGAGACTGAAGTTTACACTAAACAAGCAGAAATATTAGTAACAGGAAATATGTATAGTGCACATTCCACTGTATACAGTGCTACCAAGCACTCTACAATAATTTCTGCCACAGCAGAGAAGCATAATATATGAATACCTGTAACTGATACTGTGAACACATTGGTAATAGGCTACGATACAAGTCCAACTTTATCTTTTTTCTCCCCATCTCTTTAAAATGTATTCACTGTGGTAGAAGCTTTAACCCTGCCTGGGATAAAAACTCTGGTGTGACTTTCCTGCTCATACTTAGGTACTAGACAGTCTTATTTATACAAATAGGCTTAATTTGCTAGTTAGGTTGTCTAGAATCATGGAATAGTCAAAACTCTAAACTTTATTTATTTTGAGACAAGGTCTCACTCTGTCACCCAGGCTGGTGTGCTGGGGCACAATCACGGCTCACCTAATCTTGAACTCCTGGGTTCAAGTGATGCTCCCACCTCAGCCTTCACAGTAGCTGGGAGTACAGGAGCATGCCACCATGCCAAGCTAATTTTTAAATTTTGCTGTAGAGGTGAGGTCTCACTATGTTGCTGAGATTGGTTTTGGACTGGCCTCAAGTGATCCGCCTCAGCCTCCCAAAGTGCTGTGAGCCACCACATTCAGCCAAACTCCAAACTTTAGAATTTAGATTTAGAATTAAGTCTCCTCCCTCTCTCAGCCCCAGGTGGAGTAGCACAGCTCCAGGTGAACTTGGGAGGGGACATGGTCACCACTCCTTCTTCCTCATCTTTCCTCTTGACTTGCTAAGGAAGTGGCCCTGGCCTTTTCTGACAGGGATACAGGACAAGGGATATAGAAAGTTCTTGGCTGGGCACAGTGGCTCATGCCTGCAATGCCAGCACTTCGGGATGCCTATGCGGGAGGATCGCTTGAGCCCGGGAGTTGGAGACCATCCTGGGCAACATGGCGAAACCCTATCTCTAAAAAAAATACAAAAACTAACTGGGCATGTTGGCTCAAGCCAGTGGTCCTAGCTACTTAGGAGGCTGAGGTGGGAACACCATTTGAGCCCAGAAGGTTGAGGCTGCGGTGAGCCGTGATCATGCCCCTGCATTCCAGCCTGGGTGACAGAGTAAGACACTGTCTCAAGAAAGAAAAAGAGCTCTTACTGGTTTGATACTGTCATAAGATGGTTTTTCATACTCTGGGAGTCTGTCAAGCCTTTAGAGCTAACTCTTTGATGAGTAAAGTCATGGATTTATAGAGCTCTTCTGTTGGGTCCTAACTATGGCTCCAGAAGGGAAGGGAAATCCTTCTCCAGACCCTACTCCCTTCCCCACTCCTGGATCTTGAGTGGATCCTGCAGCACAGACCTCTAGGTGGAGTCCATTTGCCCCTCCCCAGCTGTCCTCTCTCTTAGGTGGCCCACTTCTAGCTCATGAAAAACATATGCCTGGTGGCAACGCTGCTGTTTCTCAAACTCAGCCTTCGATTCCCTCCCTTTCTCTGCCCCATGACTCAGTTTGGAAGCTGTAGTCTCTCACCTTAAATTTCCTCGTCACATGTAAGAAATTAAATCTAATGACCCCCATAATTGCGCCATTTCAAACTCCCTGAAGACTCTCTTGTAAAATTGGCCACAATTCTCCATTCTTCCTGTAGCCACACCCCTTTTCAATGTGTCTTTGATGATCCTCCCATTGGAGGTGGGTTAAAATCTTTCTTGAATCTGGGCTGATCTAACGACTTGTTTTGGCCAATAGAGAGCAGTGGAAATAATGATGTACCTTTTCCAGCTTAGACCTGAAGAGTCCTTGTATGCTTCTGCTCACTTCCTTGGACCTCTGCCACTGTGTATGAACAAACCCAGGCTAGCCTGCTGGGGGATGAGAGACAACGTGGAGCAAAACTGGGTCAGTGGATTCATCTCAGACACATGAGCGAGCCCAGACAAGATCAGCAGAACTGATTTGCTGGCCTAGCAGTCAACTCCACATGCATAAGTGAGATCATCCTAGATCAGCTAGCCCCCAGCCAGTGAGCTAAATAAACTCTTGTTATTTAAAGCCCCTGGTTTTTGGAGTGATTTGTTATGCAGCAGTAGCTAACTGATACATCTTTGCTCCCTTGGCTTGAGGCTTTTAATCTCACCTGCTTGGGAGAAAGTGGGGTGAGACTCCCAACTCTGCAGCGGCTCTCCCCAAAAATATTTCTTCATAAACCCTCTCTCCCTTCTAACTCTTTCAATCACTTCAGATCTTTTCAGTGATTTTTGAGAAGTTTAATTCATTCTGTGTCACCTAATTTGAACTTTCTCATTTTGGAAATTCAGTTATTATATATATTAAACTTCCAACTTAGCACGCTGTTACATATCTAGACATGTGATTGCTGGTTAAACTTTATCTTTCACTTAATGCAGGTGACTTATGAATAATTTAACTTATGGCTGCCAATGCCTGGTGTTTCTTCTCATTACTGTCACTTTAATTTGTGAATCTGGTGTCACCGGTGGCCTTCAGTCACTGGGCAAAGTTACTCATCTATTGTGATGCCAAGAGTCAACCTAAGAAGCAAGTTCTGTCCTTCTTAAATTAGTCACCCCTGATATCTCAGGTATGGGTCAAACACTTTCTGATGTATGTAGGGCAGTTACAAATCCCCTCATTTAAGAGATGAAAATCAGATGAACAGATGAATTGACTTGGTTAACGTCAAAGTGCAGGGCCAGAGCCCAGGGTTCCTGACTTCTAGCTGACATGTTTCTTGTTCCCTTGCATTTCACCCCTGTGCCCATCCCAATCATATGGATCAAGGACTTTGTGGCCTTGTAGTCTCTTAATAAAGAGAAAACAATCAAAGATACAGACAGGTGCTTGGCTTGGGGCTTTCCTTAAAAAATCTGGACTAACGCTGCATTTAAAATCCCTCAAAGGCAAGGACCAGACATTCTCTTCAATAAACAGTAAACAAGCTGACTATAAAAGGAAAATTACAGTCGCATGGGGTTATACAGCCTATTTATTTGAATTTCGGTTATTGTTATGAGAATTTATAGTATATTTATCATCATGAAAAGCGTTTATCTTTGGGCAACTGAAGCAATAAGAAAAGCGTAGTATTTAATTTTACCCTCAACATTTCCTTTAATCCAATCTGACACCACAAAAAAAGAATCAGTTAGAATTTACTGGCTCAGGATAATTCCTAATTCTCAGATGGCAGCTGCCAGAAAAGCTAATTAATTCAGATTGACTGCTGGGCTTCATTTTTATTTGGATTTTTAAAAAATGAATGAGGGTAGCAGATCAATAACATATGTGCAGTCTGGCCTCAAATTCTAAAACGTTATCTGCCAGCTGGGTTCTGCATCCTTCTTTCATCCTACAGAGAGAAGTTTCTGGGAGGACAGTGTCTTCCAAATATTAGCAAAAGTCAAAGCCATCTTGGCTGAGTTTGAGAGCAGGGCACCTGGGGAAAGTCTGGGTACTGAATTCAGACAGGTCTGATCTCGGTGTCACTTACTAACTGCGGATTCGCCATTCTGGGCTTCAGTTTTCTCATCTGTAAAATGGGCATGATGTTCCCCACTGCACAGGCTGCCGAAGGGAATCAAATTGCAGAGTAGGTGATCACTGATGATGGTAAGAACATCACAGGGCCGGGCACGGTGCCTCATGCCTATAATCCCAGCACTTTGGGAGGCCTAGGTGGGCAGATCACCTGAGGTCAGGAGTTCAAGACCAGCCTGGCCAACATGGTGAGACCTCGTCTCTACTAAAAATACAAAAATTAGCCAGGCATGGTGGCACAAGCCTTTAATCCCAGCTACTGGGGAGGCTGAGGCACAGGAATCGCTTGAACCCGGGAGACAGAGGCTGCAGTGAGCCCAGATCACGCCCTGCACTCCAGCCTGGGTGACAAAGTGAGACTTTGTCTCAAAAAAACAAAAAAAAAATCACAGACGATGTACCCTGTCACATGTCACACCAGGTCCTCAATGTAAGTGTTGTCTTTTAGAAAATGTTCATCACTTCATTCATTTGTTCAACAAACAGTATTTACTGAACACTTAAACTGGGTCACGGCACGGGTGCTGTGGGTATGCACCAGTGAACAAGATCAACTGGGTCCCAGCCATGATGGTGTTGACATTCTCACTAGGGGAGACAGTACACAAGTAAACAAATAATCTTTGGAAAAAATGGAGCAGGTCCATGAGCTAGAGAGTGAGGAGGCCAGGGAGACCTCAGGCCTTAGGGCTGAGACTGGTCTGATGAGAAGGAGCCAACCTTGTGAGATGAAGGAGAAAGACCAAGTGCACAGGCCTCCGGGGACTCAGCGTGGAATGTGGCTAGACAGGTGGGCATGGGCCAGATTGCATGGGACTTCTAATCGGGGATTGCAAATGTTTTCTGTAAAGGTTGTAGGCATTATGGCCCTTTATGGGTCTCAGTCACAACCACTCAATTCTGCCCTTGTAGCTGATAGCAGCCATAGACAACATGCAAAGATTGGGCATGGCTGTGTTCCAACAAAACTTTATTGACAAAACAGACGACAAGCAGGATTTGGCCCATAGGTTGCTTTTGTTTTAAGTCATGGCAGAGAGTTTCAAGTTGATTCCAGGCACAATGGATTGCCACTTTAAGCAGGGATATGTCCCTATTAGGTCCATGTTTATGACTTTGATCTGGGGCTTTGCATCAATAACAAGCTGAATTAAAGCAGGGCCCCCAGATGTTCTGAACAGAATTCAGGAGTGTCCTCATGCTATGCAGGGCTGGCCAGGAAGAGAATTAAAAGAAGAGGAAGGAGGAGGAGGAGCAAGAGGAGGAACAGAAGAACAAGAGGAAGAATGAAAAGACAGAGAAGGAGAAGGCGATGGGAAGAAGAAAAAGAAGAAGAAAGAGAAGGAGGAGGAGGAGGAGAAGGAGGAGGAGAAGAGGAGGAAGGAGAAAAGGAAGAAGAGGAGAAGAAGGAGGAGGAGAAAGAGGAGGAAAAAAAGAGGAGGAGGAGAAGGAGAAAGGGGATAAGGAGAAAGAGGAGGAGAAGGAGGAAGAAGAGGAGAAGGTGGAGGAGGGGGAGGAGGAGACATATTCCTTGTATTGAATAAAAGGAGTCTTTTTGGTTTGGCTTCTTTCTCTAAAATTATACCTGCAAGACACCTCTTTTGTGAGTCGTGGTGTTAGGTTTATCATCATTGTTCTAAGGTAGGCCATTGTGTGGCTGCATCACAACTTGTTTCTGCATTCTTCTGTTAGTTACATCCCAAGGAGTACATGGGTGCCTAGGAGGCCTCAAAGGCTGAATTCAGATGCTGTGACACAGACTTGGTCCCACAGCCAGGCAGGCCCTGAGTCAGCATCTGGTGCTGGGATTCTGGGGGATCTAGGGCCCCACAGTGGCTTCCGTGCGTCCTGATAGACAGGGAGGAACAGGCTTGCGAGTGTGAATCCCTGACAAGCCCTGGCCCAGCCCTCCACCCTTCCAAGCTTCTGGTTTATTTCAGATAAAGAGCATCAACAACCCAGATCTGAGGCTGGCAGGTGGACAGTGGAGGTGGGGATGGGGTGGTGGGAGGGGGGCTTTCTACTCTTGATTTTGTTCATTCATCCCCACTCTTGGTCAGCAGACACGTGCTGAGGCAACCACACCTGTCCTGGAATGTTGAAGAGGTTTCATAAGATTCGGAAAATAGCCACTGATGGGAACTCCCCCTGTACTCTCTCCCCTCTTCCTACCCCCCAGGCCCTGCCTGGGACTTCCCTGGGTATCCACTAAGCCCTGCCAGGCTACCACAGCTTCTATGCCCCAGCCTACCCCTCTGGCCAAAGCAGGCCTCCACCTGGCGGGAGGGAGAGGCACCTTGTCCTGGTGCTCGCACCCTGGCTGGCAGACACGTGCCACCCAGAAGCCCCCTGAGGCTGGGGCCACCCACGTTACTGTATTGTCCACACTGCAGTGTGCCAGTTGTTAGGCACTGAGAATACCACATCTGCCTCCCTCAGACAGTTGGAGCGAGAGCTACTTGGATGGCTAGGCTTGATCCTTGATAGCAAGGCTACAGAGAACAAAAGTAATAATAACCATAATAGAGATGATGATAAGGCTAACTAGAGGTAGTGTTCCTCAGCTCTTACCACATTCCAGGCACAGTTCTAATCCTCATAACCTCACTCTGAGGTGGGTACACAGGAGGGTTATAAAGAAAGGGTAAGTAGTCTGGGTGCGGTGGCTCATGCCCGTAATCCCAGCACTTTGGGAGGCCAAGGTGGGCAGATCACTTGAGGTCAAGAGTTCAAGACCAGCCTGGCCAATATGGTGAAACCCTGTCTCTACTAAAAATACAAAAATTAGTCCGGCGTGGTGGTGCACACCTGGAGTCCCAGCTACTCAGGAGGGTGAGGCAGGAGAATTGCTTGAACCTGGGAGATGGAGGTTGCAGTGAGCTGAGATTGCACCACTGCACTCCAGCCTGGGTGACAGAGCGAGAATCTGTCACAGAAACATAAAAGACAAGTAGAGGGTAGCAAGGTGGCCTGAAGGGTGGGAGACAGGCAGGGAGAGGGACATGCCAGAAGGTGGATCAGTATCTCTGCCAGTGCTGTGGAGGGAGGGGTGCGAGAGCGTGTGGTGGGAGGCCGGGTAGGGCGAGCACTTGTGGGGATGCTGCCTGCGGAGGTGTTTGGGCCTTATTCTGGAGGAGACATACACTGCACGCTATTTTCTGGTGATTTATTGATCTACACATCTTGCTCCACCTCATTTCCTCTCATACAGCAACAGTGATGAGGACAGTGGCTGAAAATACAAGTGGTGTCAGCAATGATCCATTGATGTGAGCCCCTCTGTTCTTTCCCATCTCCTGCCAGCCGCCAACATGTTGCATATGGTTCTTCATATGACTCTCTCCCACGCTGTTTAAAGGTATGTGTGAAACCTTACTCACAGCAATGTCACACAATACCATAAGAAAGAACACAATGAAGCCAACGGTGAGAATTTAGAACAAGCTGCTTGTCAGCTCTAATTGCTGTCCTGGGTCCCTACTTCATCAACACCCTCTCCCCAGCCAGACATTCTCATCAGCTCCCTTGGTTGTAAATTCCATGCCTGTGTGCTAATGACCCCCCAAATGTGTCTTGCCAGTCTTGACTGCTCCTCTAAGCTCCAAACTCATATATCGAACTGCCTACTTGACATCTCCATGTAGATGGTTAATAGGGTCTCAACCTCAGCGTGTCCAAACAAGAACTCTTGATCTCCCTGGAATGTGCTGTTTCCCTAAACTTCCCTGCTTCATTTCTCAAGCCAGAATCTCAGATGTTATCTCAGGTTCGTTCTTTTCCTCATCCTACCCATCTGGTTGCTTGGAAAGTCTTTATCCCCAACGTAGTGATAGCTTGTTGAGAGACGAAGGTGCACCAATCCACAGCTGGATGTTGCATCAAGTAGAAGATGATCAGGTGGCCTGAAGGGTGGGACTAAGATGTACCATCTTACTTGATGGTGCATCCAACATAGCTTGGATCACCCTTGTCTCGCCATGTCTCTTGCTACCTTTGTCGCTTAGACTGTCATAGCCCCTCGCCATGGATGATTGGGTCAGCACCCTGACTGGTTTACAGGGTTCCAAATTATCCATTCCTGCCCATTTCTCCAGGTTCATCTAGTGCCACTCTTCCCTTTGCCTATCTCTTCCCAGTCTCCACCTAACTGAGCTGCTTCCTGCCTTAGAGCCTCTGCACATGCTCCTCTCTCTGCCTGGAATGCTATTTCCACCCTCTTCATATAAGTGAATCCCACCTTTTCAGTGTCATGTTTTCAGAGTGGCCTTAACATAAGTATCTGAGGTAGAATCCCTCCTGCTGTTCTTTGCTGGAACTCCACTTGTCTCTGTAAAACTCATATTACAACTTGTGTAATTTCATTTACAGGTCTGTTTGTTTGTTGCCTGTGACACCTTAATGGAGTTAGCTGGAGTTCTCTTTCCCCAGCATGTAGAACAGCGCCTGGCACATACAAGTGCTTGATAAATTAAGTGTAGAATGAATGCAGATGGTATAATGCCTTCATTTGTTTGCTGATTAGAAAGAACAAAAATCCTGTCAAAAGCATACATATGTGAGGCATAATTTATTTATGGGACTTTTTTGCTGACATATATTTCCTATGTGATGCATCACATTTAGGTCAAAAAAATATCAAAAGTGATAGAGCTCTAAAGAACTGCTTAGCTGACAAAGACAAAAACTCTGGACCAGAGACCCTCAGGGAGGCGGCTGTGTATGAGGGCCTTGCTGGGCTGGATATACTGGGTCCATCTACAAAGGTCTGTTGTGTGATTATAGTGCTCAGCCCTGCTCAGTTACGCAATTCAGATAAGCTAAATTACCTAGGGCCTGTGGCAGCGAAGAACCTTTCCTGGCAGAGCCCTGGTCTTGTTTCCAGGATACAAAACCCGTTTCTTCTGGACTGAGGTCCAAATTCACACTTGGCGGTGAGGGGCAGGACCCACCACAAGGAGAGCATCTGTTTTTCAGAAAGAAAAGGGTAATGATGAAAAGAAACCATGGGGTGCTGGCTTTAAGGAAGGAGGTGCTGTGAGGACAGTTACACAGAGTGTTGGCAGGAATGGGGCTTAATCCTTATCTATCACTCCGGGGAAGTCACTTGACTTCTTTAGGCCTAAATTTCTTAATCTGAAAGCCACGGTTCCCAAACTTCCTTTATATGTGCTTTAAAAACAGGTTTTCTAGCCTGGGCAACATAGTGAGACCTTGTCTGTATAAATAATAATTTAAAAATTAGGCCGGAAGTGCTGGCTTATGCCTGTAATCCCAGCACTTTGGGAGGCCGAGGCGGGCGGATCATAGCCCGCGTAGTGGCACTTGCCTGTAATCCCAGCTACTGGGGAGGCTGAGGCAGGAAATTGCTTGAACCCTGGAGGCGGAGGTTATAGTGAACCGAGATTGGGCCACTACACTCCAGCCTGGGTGACATAGTAAGACTCTGTCTCAAAACAAATAAATAAATAAAATAAAATAATAAATAAATAAAATTAGCTGGACATAGTGGTGCATATCCATAGTCCCAGTTACTCAAGAAGCTGAGGCAGGAGAATTGGTTGAGCCCAGGAGGTTGAGGCTGCAGTGAGCCGTGATTGTGCCACTGCACTCCAGCCTGGGTGACAGAGCAGCCTGGGTGACAGAGCGAGTCTCAAAAAACAAAAACCAAAAAATTCCTGAGGTTTAATTCATTTTAAGTAGACAGTTCAAGGCTTTGATAAGTGTGTACACCTATGTAATGACCACCCTACTCAAGGTATGGCACATTTCCATAATTCCCACACATTCTGTGTCCCCATCCAATCAGTCCTCTTTTGCTCAACACTGGTTGAGATGACTCACGGTGCTGCGTGCATCAGTAGCTTGCTCTTTTTCACTGCTGAGTAGAAGCCCATTGTTCCAGTCAGCTCAGGCTGCTATAACAGTGCCATAGACTCAGTGACTTATAAACAAGATATTTCTCTCTCACAGTTTTGGAGGCTGGAAGCCTGAGATCACGGTGCCAGCATGGTCAGGTTCTGGGGAGAGCTCTCTTCCAGGTTGCAAACTGCTGACTCCTAGTGTGTCCTCACATGGCGGAAAGAGGCAAGAGAGCCCTCTGGGGAGACTTTCATAAGGGCACTAATCCTATTCATGAAGGCGCCACCCTCCTGACCTAATCATCTACCAAAGGCCCCACCTCCTAATACCATCATCTTGGGGTTTAGGATCTCAACACACAAACATACAGTCCATAACACCCACTGTTTAAATACATCGCAATTTGTATACCCTTTCACCTCTTGGTGGACTTTTGGATTTGGGTTGTTTCCAGTTTGGAGCTACTATGAATAAGGTTGTCATGTACAAATCTTTGTATAGGCATATGTTTTCATTTTTCTTTGGTGAATTCCTAGGAGTACAAACTTTGTTAGACGCAGAACCCTAATGTGTTAGGAGGATTACAGTGAAAGAAGGGTGGGTTCCTGGAGCTATGCCCTTACACCCATGGTAACCCAAGTCACCTCTCTGGGACCCAAGGGGTCCTGCGGTTGGTGGCTCCAGCCAACCCTTCTGTGTGGTCAGTCTGATCTGCCTGAGGGCCCCTCTCAAAAAGGGGAAACCTTCTCTGGCTGCAGGTATGGGTACAATGAGAGGAGTCTTCTCTTACTCCTGTGAGCCAATGCTAAGATTTTTCTGACCAGGAAAGATCTAGGGTACAAATGAGCATCCAATCCTGATTTATTATAAATTATGGTGTGTATGATATATCACAAAAAATTATCTTAAATCAATAGTAAATGATTATAAATGTCACATACTTGCACTTACAAATCCACTCAATTTTTCTGAAATTTTCCATTTTTCCTGTGAAAATGATGAGACAAATCTAAATGCTTTGTATAGATTATTGGTAGAATTCATTTTTGTAACTCTTTTAGTAGAACAGAATATTATCTAGACTCTTGTTATTCAAAGTGTGGATCTCAAGCAGGCAACAGGCAGCTCTGGGAGCTTGTAAATGCCGAATCTGAGCCCTGTGTCATATTTACATTTGATATTTTGGAGGGGCCTGGGCAGAATGATATGGTTTGGCTGTGTCTCCACCCAAATCTCATCTTGAATTGCAATTCCCATAATTCTCACATTTTGTGGGAGGGACCAGGTGGAGATAATGGGGGCAGTTACCTCCCTGCTGTTTTTGTGAAAGCAAGTTAGTTCTCATGAGATCTGATGGTTTTATATGTGGCTTTCCCCCTTTTGCTCAGCACTTCTCCTTGCTGCCACCGTGTGAAGAAGGACATGTTTGCTTCCCCTTTTGCCATGATTGTAAGTTTCCTGAGGCCTCCCCAGCCATGCAGAACTGTGAGTCAATTAAACTTATTTCCTTTATAAATTACCCAGTCTTGGACAGTCCTTTATAGTAGCATGAGAACAGACTAATACACCACACAATACACCATCTCTACCCCTGCTGCTCAGCTGCTGGGTTCAGAACAACCAGAATGAAAAATATGTAAGCCTTCACCTGACATGTGATATTCCTTTGACCAGTACATTTCAGATTGCCAACCTATACATACTATGGCATCATTTTCATAGGACATACAATTACTATTAGGCATAATCTCTAACATTAAATAAAATGGTAAGAAGAGAGTTGCAAGAGTACTGAAATTGGAATCAGAAGTCCTGGAGTCTGGTTTTACACTTAAATCCTGGCTAGTTCTCTGCCTTAAGCACAACTTTTTCTTACCTTAACCTCTCTTGCCTCAGTTTCTGCATTTTAAATATTTAAAACAAATACTGAATTAGATCAACCCAATGGACATTGCTAGGTCTGAAATGCTATTATGCCAACCATTTCATTTACCTAAACCCAAAGGAGACACATTTTAACTCCTGATATATTCCTACAGAGACTGCAAAATTCCAAGGCTCAAGCCTCATCAAGACCACCTAAATCTGTGAATATGACTTGGATTTGTCTTTTTCACTTAATTATCATCCATATTGATTTTCAAAATTTCTGAGATATAGAAAATGCATGATCCAACAGCAGATGTGGGAAGAAAAGAGGAAAAAGACCTGTACTTCAACCAGGGAAATTCTTTTCCTTCTCCTATATGTCCCTGCCAATTAAATGGAGACCCATGCTCTTTATATTGAAGGCAAATTTTTATCCCTTTCTCTTTCTCTGAATCAATCTATATGACTTTCCCTTGCTGGAAAAGAAAAGAAGGCGCTCCAAATTCTACTTCTACTAAGCTCCAGTTATTAGGAGCGTTTTCCATATCTTAACTAGTTTCCACAATTGTCAAAAGTCCATTTTCTGAATTTTCCATTATGTAACCTATATTGTATATAATGCTATATATAATGTATTATAACCTATATAATATAGGCTACACAATTAAAATTCAGAAAATGGATTTTTGATTTTATATATATATATATATATATATATATATATATATATGTATGAATTCTAAGAGGAGATGGAAGGTTATTATATTATACTCTTCCCTGAAAACAGGCTGCTTTCACGGTTGTCCCAGGAAGTCACTGTCTACCTTGATTTCAGCTTGCATGGACATGAGGCTTCCACTGTCTCTTGATAACCCATTGTCATGCAGCTTTCCTGGGGTCAGGAAGTTTCTGGCTCTGAACCACCATGTTCCCTGTTTTTGAGGAGAACAGAGAGCAGCTTCATCATTGACATGAAGCCTGACATTACTCAGCTGCTAACCTATTAGTTATTTTCACTTGGCTAACACAGCCCAAGGAGCTGTGTCCAAAGCTCCTTCCCGTCTGCTTACTTTGGGTGGGCTCTTCCTCAGTTTCCTCTTATGCTTTAGGTGAAAGAATCTCCACAGTAAACAGAGATGAAGACTCACATCCACAGAAGAGCATTCTCAATGTTTTCTTCTGCAATCACTTGGTAGAATATATTTACATTCAATATATTTATATGATCGGGTATGTTTCTCCATGAACAGAAATTTTAAGGACTGCCCCTTTCTCCTTTGTGAGAAAGTAAAAACACAGCCCCGCAACACAACAGTGGTGTGGTAACTCTAAGTGATATTACGGTTCACAAGTACCCCAATAGTGGACAACTGCCACAATCATTAATGCAACAGTTATGGAGCTAGGGGCTGCTCATCGCTCACAATGCCAAAGATACTGTGGGCTCTGAGATATTTCTTTCTTTCTGCCTGGCCAGTGTGTGTGTGTGTGTGTGTGTGTGTGTGTGTGTGTGTGTGTGTGTAATCTTAATGAGAATGTCTTCAGAGTGACATTTATTCTTCAGTTGGCCACAGTCCTCACCGCTCCTGATTGTACTCTCATCAGTTTCACACATTTACATCACCAGCCTGGCTCCTGGAAGCATTTCTGTGTACAACTCTTGCCCATTTCCCTTTCCCAATGATGATAATCATCATTTATCCCCCATTACACTTCTCTTTGAATAGTTCTGATTGACATTTAGCCTCACTGACTCATGACGATTGTGATGCACTGACGTCTTCTGCAGTGGGTGCTCTGCTAACCCTGGGTGAATCAGCCCTGGCCCATCTTGTGTTTGGACTGTTTGTCCTTCCTGTGTTTATAGCTGTAATTTATCCTTGTGGATGTAAAATCTGTTGATACATGTCCCCTTTTACTAAAGTCTTAAAATATTTAAATCTGTCCTTCCAAGTTACTAACGATAACATCCTGTTTGGTTTTCTTTGCAGGGCCAATATATTTGTCTGTCTTATCCGCGATTAAAATAGGGTTACATGCAGTGAACTCTGACGAACCATGCCTGTGGAGGTAACAGAGGTATAGATATTCCCCAAATAACTTGCATCAACCTTGGAATATAATCACTCAGTTAACCATACACATGCATTTTAAGGATAATGCATGTGGCTACTTCATGCTCAAACTAATTCTCTCTCAGGGCCGCCCTCTTGTCAGCATTCCAGCAGCAGACGTAAGGTAAGTTTACATAAATTTAGCTATGAGTTACCACTGGTTGAAATGACTGTCATATAGGCCCCAGCCCAATCCGCCTCCTCCAGGCTGGGTGTGAACTGTGACTTGGACAGGTGTGTGGGCTGAAGAAGGAAGGATGTGTGAAAGCCTCTGGCTATGAGCCTTCCCTCCCACACCCATGGCAGACATCACTGATGGGTCAATGCCTTGTGAAGGACTTTATCAGCTAGTGATATTTACCTGGGCATGAGTTTTCAGGGAGGGGTAACTGTTACTCATTATTCCTTATTTAAATAATAATGATGTGATTTCTCAGAAGAATTCATACTCCACTAAATTTAAAAGCACTCGAGATGTCAGCTTGACTGCCATTTCCTGCTTGTGCCCCTATGATGAGGCCTGAGAGTAGACAAATTCTATCCTCTACACCAGTTCCCCAATTCAGGGGAAAGACCCAGAGGACAACACACTTGCACGAAAACCTTCCCAGCCATGAGCATCGAGCAAGCAGTTCTGCATTCATAAAAAGGAACAGAGTTCTATGGACGTCCTGACACACTATGAAAAATATTAGCGTAAAAGAGAGGAGGACCAAGACAAACACACAGAACAACTGTCCACAGAGGTAATAATGGAGAGAAAAAAATTTAGAAGGATCTAAATGGGTCCTAATTACAGTCACAAAACAGGAATAGTTCCCATAAAAAGAAGTAATCACCAGAAAAAAGGTCTTAAAAACAGGAAATATTAAAGCCAGCATCATATGAATCAATCTAAGAACTGAACAAGAAAGCATCAAGAAAGTCTCCTAAGACATGGAGCAAAAGCACAAGAGATGAATAAAATGAAGGACAGTTAAGGGACCCTGTGGATTGATCTAGGAGGTTTAACATCCATCTACAATCGTCCCCTGGTGTCTGTTGGGGATTGGTTCCAGGACCCCCGCAGACATCAAAAATCCATGAATGCTCAAGTTCTGTATATAAAATGGTGTCATATTTGCATACAATCTATGCACATCTTCTAGTATCCTTTAATCACTAGATTACTTATAATACCTAATACAATGTAAAAGCTATGTAAATAGTTGTTATACTCTATTGTTTAGGAAATAATGACAAGAAAAAAAGGTCTGTATGCTTTCAGTGCAGACACAACCATCCTTTGTTCATTTATTTTTTATTTATTTTTATTTTTAAATTTTTTTTTTGCTGGACACCATTAATTAGAGGTACATCTTTTTTACAAAAATATTTTCTATCCGCTGTTAGTAGAACCTACAAATGTGGATTCCATAGATACAAAAGGCTGGCTGTAATAGGAATTCTGGAGAGAAAGAATAGGCAGAATAGAGAGATTATAATTAAATAAACAGTAGAAAAATATTTCCAGAGTTGACACACAAGATTTCATAATAAAAGGGCCTATCAGTGATCAAGCAGGACATTAAATATCACTGACACACTGAAGACTCTCAAACCTGTGTCCCTGACGTCTCGCTGCCTAGACCATTTGACATATACACTGGCTCCATCAGTCTATCTGGCACATCAATTTAGATAGGTCCTAACACTTTTAATGTTTTTCTCCAAACCTGCTTTCCCCCAGGTCTTGCTGCTTTCATTGAATGGCATGCTGTTCACCTAGTTGCTCAGGTGAAAACCAAGGAGCCATCCTTGATTTCATTTCCTTTCCTCCTGCATCCAATTAAGATCCACATCTGATAACATCTCCCCATCTCTACGGCCACACTCTATTCCAAACCACCATCATTGCTTGCCTGGTTGACAGCAATAGCTTCCTAACAGATCTTCCTGTTCCTCCTCTAGACCCTTTATAATCCCATTTTCCATACAACAGTGAGAGTGATCTTTAAAGTGGAAATCAGATCATATTCCCCCCTAGTTTATCCAGAATAAGATCCGAGTTCCTTGCAGGTTCTGCAGGGTCTATCTCCTTTTTGGCTCTCAGACCTCATCTCCTACCCCTTTCAAGAATTGATGACAAATTATCCAGTCACCCAGGGATTTTCTGTTTCCAGACATCCAGTCCGTTCCTGCCTTGGTCCTTTGGGGTCATGTTCCCTTTCTACTAGTGCTCCTTCCCAGATTGCTACATGGCTCCTTCTCGTTATTCAGAGCTCTGCTTCAGTGTCACTTTAGAGAGGGTCCCCACCCCTAATCACCTCATCCAAAGCACCCTCTCATCCTGCACCAGTTTACTATGACCTATTCCATTCTCCTGTTGTATTTTCTTGGTACTTACCGATATCTGAAGGTTTCTCATCTGCTTATTTGTTCATATTTTATTGTCTATTTCCCCCATTAGAATGTAACCTCCATAAGAACAGGAATCTTATTGCTTCATTCCCAGCCTCTAGGGTTCCTAGCAATCAATATCTATAATAACTATTTGTTGAATGAATGAATAAACTTATATGTATCATCACAACATTTTAGAACAGCAAAAAAGCAAGAATAAATCTAAAAAGTTCCCAGGAAAATGAAACAGCTTACAAAGGAACAAGATCAGAAACTTACCTGTTTTCTTATAAGCAATATTAGTTCTAGAAAAAAAAAGGTAGTGATACTTCAAGGTTCCCAGAGTAAATGGTTTTGAGCCTAGAATTAGATACCCAGCCAAACTTTCAATCATATATGAGAACAGTAAATAAGTTTTGAATGTGGAAAGACTCAGAAAATCTGCCTTCTATAGACACTTTATGAAAGAATGACTCACAAGTATACTCAGAAAAAAAAAAGAAAGAAGAAAATAGAATGCAAGAAAGAGCAATATATACTCAAATTAAGTCAGCATGGAAATAACTAAAAGTGAATCCCAGAATTAAACCTGTGCAGCATGCCTAACAAGTAATTTGTCCAAATTAAAACAAGAAATCAGAAGGTTCCGAGAAGAAAACATCTTCAAAAGAAAATAAGCTGTAGGCTAGGTGTGGTGGCTCACGCCTGAAATCCCAGCACTTTGGGACACCGAGGTGGGTGGATTTCTTGAGCTCACGTGTTCGAGACCAGCCTGGGCAACATGGCAAAACCTTGTCTCTACAAGAAGTACAAAAATTAGCTGGGCATGGTGGTGGCTGCCTGTAATTTCAGCTGTTCCAGAGTCTGAGGCACAAGAATCGTGAACCTGGGAGGCAGAGGTTGCAGTGAGCAGAGATCACACCACTGCGCTCCAGCCTGGGTGACAGAGAGACACTCTGTCTCAAATAATAATAATAATAAGTTGTAACACATTATATGATTAAGAAACAAGGAAAATTTTACTGATAAGGGAAAAGCATGAAATAATAGTAATAATAATATAGTATATTCCCCACTCCACTCCTACTTCCAATTGTTTTTCTCCTAATTTTTCTGGTATATTTTTCTTTTTAAGATATAAAATCAGCTTTATTAAGGTATAATTTACATACAATAAAATGTAAAGATATCAAATGTACAATTTAATGAGTTTTGACAGATGTCATGTACGTTGTAACTATAACTAGGTACACTAGTTGTACTATTTGTACTAGTTGTATACTAGTTGCAACCAGGTATACTACACCAATCATGATTTTGACTTATTACACCTATATTACATGTAAATCACTCAGGAAAGTTCCCTTTGGGGTCAACTCCCACTACAACCCACCCCACTCTAGGAAACCACTCACATGATTTCTATTACTATCTCTTAGTTTTGCCTATTCTAGAACTAATGGAACTATGCAGTATGTAGTCTGTAGTGTCCGGAGTTATTCACTCAGCAAGAGGTTTTATAGAGTCACTCATGTTTGTTGCAGGTACCACCTTATTCTTATAGTTGAACATACATCTATTTCCTGAATATAGCGCAATTCGTTTTTCCATTTTCATATTGATGGTCATTTGGGTAGTTTAAGGTTTTTGAATAGTATGAATATGAATAAAGCTACTATAAATATTCTTGTGTGAGTCTTACAGTAGATATAAGTTGGAATTATAATTGTTAGTTCATAGGTCAGGTGTATGTTTAACAATATTTAAGAATGTCCAACTATTTTCCAAGTGGTTGTACCATTTTCTTTCCAACAGTGATGTATAAGAATTATATTTTCACCAACATTTAGTATTGTCAGTTTTATTAGTCCATTTTCACACTGCTGATAAAGACATACTGGAGACTGGGCAATTTACAAAGGAAAGAAGTTTAACAGACTCACAGTTCCAAGTGGCTGACGAGGCCTTGCAATCATGGCAAAGGCAAGGAGGAACAAATCACGTCTTACATGGATGGCAGCGGGCAGAGAGCTTGTGCAGGAAAATTCCACCTTATAAAACCATCAGATCTTGTGAGACTTATTTGCTATCATGAGAACAGCATGGGAAAGACCTGCCCCCATGATTCAATTACCTCCCGCCAGGTCCCTCCCACAACACGTGGAAATTCAAGATGAGATTTGGGTGGGGACACAGCCAAACCATATCATCAGTCTTTAAAATTTTATCCATATTAGTGAGTGTGGAGTGACATATGTTGTGGTTTTAATTTCCATTTCCCTAATGACTTACACAGTTGAGTATCTTTTCAAGTGCTTTTTGGCTATTGTTATATTTTATGTCAATTGTTGTTTATCTATGATTTTTATCATATCGGTTTGCTTTCTGACTGTTGAGTTGTAGGAGTTCTTTAAATATTCTGGAAACAAGTCCTTTATCAAATATAGTGTTGCAAATACTTTCTCCCAGTCTGTGGCTTGAGTTTTGTCTTAATAGTGTCATTTGAAGGGCAGAAGTTTATTTTAAAATCAAATTTATGAAGTTTTTGTATTTAATAATGCCAGTTGTTTTCTATTTTTCTATTTGTCCCATGTACTCTTTGCTCCTTTTTTGCCCTCTTTTTCTGCTTTAAGTACTTTTTTATTCTATTTTACTTCTTTGTTGGCTTATTAGCTATAACTCTTTATTTTGTTATTTTAGTAGTTTCCCAGGGCTTATAGTCTACATCATTAACATATAGTAGCCTACATTAAGTGCAATTATACCATTTCATACATAGCATAAAAACCCTGCAATAATATACTTTCATTTCTCCCCTCTAGGACTTCGTACAATTGTTGTCATACTATGTATGCATATAAAGCCCACATTGTCACTTATCTTTTAAAGAGATTTAAACAATAAGAAAAAAATTAAAATGCATTTATTTAATATATATGTAGTTACCATTTCAAGTACTCTTCTTTTTTGTGTGAGCAGATCAATATTTCTATCTGGTTTCATTTTCTACTTCCTAAGAACTTTAAAAAACTGTTCTTTTAATGTGAGTCTGTTGGTAATGAATTGCTTCAGCTTCTGTACATACAAAATAATTTTTTTCTACTCTTAAAAGACATTTTTTGCTGGTATAGAAATCTAGGAAGAATTTTTTTCTTAGAGTCAGTACATTGAAGATATTGCTTCACTACCTTCTCACTTACATTGTTTCTGAAGACAAACTGCTACCATCCTTATTTTTGCTCTTCTATATAAAATGTCTTTTTTTCTCTAGCTTTCTGTACAATTTTTTTCTTTATCACTGTGGGTTTTAAACAATTTAACTATGGTATGTGCCATGGTGTAGTTTTCTTCATGCATCTTATTCCTGGGGTTTGTTGAGCTTCCTGAATCTGTGGGTTTACAATGCACACCAAATGTGAAAAATGTTTGGATATTATTTTTTCAACTTTTTTTTTCTGTCCTGCTCACTCCTGTCCTTCAGATACTCCAATTATATTTACATGAGGCCACTTGAAGTTGTCCCACAGCTCACTGATACTCTGTTCATTAAAAAAAATTATTTTAAATTTTTGTGGGCACCTAGTAGGTGAAATTTATGGAGTACATGAGATATTTTAGTACAGGTATGCAATGCATAATAATCATATCATGAAAAATAGGGTATCCATCCCCTCAAGCATTTATCCTTTGTGTTACAAACAATCTAATTATACTCTTTTAGTTACTTTGAAATGTACATTTAAATTATTATTATTGTCCCCTGCTGTGCTATCAAATACTAGATGTTATTCCTTTTGTCTAGTTTTGGTACTATTAACCATCCCCACCTTCCCCAACACCCACTCACTACCCTTCCCAGCCTCTGGTAACCATCTTTCTACACTCTATGTCCAAGAGTTCAATTATTTTGATTTTTTTATATCCCACAAATAAGTGAGAACATGTGATGTTTGTCTTTCTGTGCCTTGCTTGTTTCACTTAACATAATGACCTCCAGTTCCACCCATGTTATTGCAGATGACAGAGTTTCATTTTTTTTGTGGCTGAATAGTATACCGTTGTGTATAAGTACCACATTTTCTTTATCCATACATCTGTTGATGGACAGTTAGGTTGCTTCCAAATCTTGGCTTTTGTGAACAGTGCTGCAATAAACATGGGAGTGCAGAAATCTCTTTGTTATACTGATTTCCTTTCTTTTGGGTATATACTTAGCAGTAGAATTGCTGGATCATATGGTAGCTCAGCTTTTAGTTCTTTGAGGGACCTCCAAACTGTTCTCCAGAGTGGTTGTACTAATTTACATTCCCACCAACAGTGTATGAGGGTTCCTTTTTCTCCACATCCTTGTCAACATTTGTTATTGCCTGATATTGGATGAAGTCCTTTATCCTCACACCTTTAACTGGGGTGAGATGGTATCTAATTGTAGTTTTGATTTGCATTTCTCTGATGATCAATGATGCTGAGAAATTTATCATATACCTGTTTGCCATTTGTATGTCTTCTTTTGAGAAATGTCTATTCAAATCTTTTGCCCATTTTAAAATTAGATTATTAGATTTTTTTCTACAGACCTGTTTAAGCTGCTTATATATTCTGGTTATTAGTCCCTTGTCAGGTGGATAGTTTGCAAACATTTTCTCCCATTCTGTGGGTTTTCTCTTTATTTTGTTGATTGTTTGCTGTGCAGAAGCTTTTTAACTTGATGTGATCCCATTTGTCTATTTTTGCTTTGGTTGCCTGTGCTAGTGGGTATTACTCAAGAAATTTTTGCCCAGACCAATATCCTGAAGAGTTTCCCTAATGTTTTCTTGTAGTAGTTTCATAGTTTGAGGCCTTAGATTTAAGTCTTTAATCCATTTTGATTTTATTTTTGTATATGGCAAGAGATAAGGATCTAGTTTTATTCTTCTGCATGTGGATATCCAGTTTTTCCAGCACCATTTATTAAAGAGACAGTGTTTTCCCCAGTGTATGTTTTTTTTACCACCTTTGTCGAAAATGAGTTCACTGTAGGTGTGTGGATTTGTTTCTGTGTTCTGTATTCTGTTCTGTTCGTCTATGTGTCTGCTTTTATGCCAGTACCATGCTGCTTTGGTTACTATAACTCCATAGTATAATTTGAAGTCAGGTAATGTGATTCCTCCAGTTTTGTTCTTTTTGCTCAGAATAGCTTTAGCTATTCTGGGTGGTCTTTTGTGGTTTCATATAAGTGTTACAATTTTCTTTTTCAATTTCTGTGAAGAATGTCAGTAGTATTTTGATAGGGATTGCATCATATCTATAGATTGCTCTGGGCCATATGGAAATTTTAACAATATTGATTCTTCCAATCCATGAATAAGGAATACTTTTCCATTTTTTGGCACTAACAGATAGTGCCATACTGTAATACATGGCTCTGTAATATATGGCTTTTATTATGTTCAGGGATATTCCTTCTATACCCAGTTTTTTGAGGGATTTTTTTTTTATCATGATGGAATATTAAGCTTTATCAAATGCTTTTTCAGCATCAGCTGAAATGATCATTTGGTTTTTGTCCTTCATTCGGTTGATAGGCTGTATCACATTGATTAATTTGCATATGTTGAGCCATTCCTGTACACATGGATAAATTCCACTTGGTTATGATGAATGATCTTTCTAATGTGTTGCTGAATTTGGTTTGCTAGTATTTTGTTGAGAATTATTGCATCAATATTTATCACAGATATTGGCCTGTAGTTTTCTTTTTTTGAACTCTCTTTGTCTGGTTTTAGTATCAGGTTAATACTGGCCTTATAGAATGTGTTTTGAAGTATTCCCTCCTCTTCTATTTTTCGGAATAGTTTGAGTAGGGTTGGTATTAATTCTTCTTTAAATGTTTGGTAGAATTCAAAAGTGAAGTCACCGTGTCCCAGACTTTTTTTAGTAGGACACTTTTTATTATAGCTTCAACCTTGTTACTTGTTATTGTTCTGTTCAGGTTTTGGATTTCTTCTTGGTTAAATCTTGGTAGGTTGTACGTGTCTAGGAATGTATCCATTTCTTCTAGATTTTCCAATTTATGGGCATATAGTTGTTCATTGTAGCCACTAATGACCCTTTGAGGTTCTGTAGTAGCAGTTGCAATGTCTCCTTTTTCATCTTTGATTTTATTTATTTTGGCCTGCTTTCTTTTTTCTTAGTCTGGCTAAAGGTTGGCAATTTTGTTATCTTTTCAAAAGCCAGCTTTTTGTTTCATTGATCTTTTGTGTTTTTTTCTTTATTTCAATTTCATTTATTTCTGCTCTTACTAAAACCTCTTTTTTTCTTCTAATTCTGGATTTGGTTTGCCCTTGCTTTTCTAGTTCTTTAAGATGAATCATTAGGTCATTTATTTGAAGTTTTTCTTCCTTTTTGATGTAGGCATTTACAGCTATAACTTTCCCTTTTAGTATTACTTTTACTGTATCCCATAGGTTTTGGTATGTTGTGTTTCCATTATCATTTGTTTTAAGAAATTTTTCAATTTCCTTCTTAATTTCTTAATTGACCCACTGGTCATTCAGGAGCCTATTATTTAATTTCCATATGTTTGTGTAGTTTCCAAAATTCCTCTTGCTATTGATTTGTAGTTTTAGTCCCTTGTAGTCAGAGAAGAATGCTTGATATTCTTTAAATGTTTTTGAATATTTTAAATTTGTTTTGTGACCCAACATATGGTCTATCCTTGAGAATGATCCATGGTCTGGGGAGAAAAATTTTGCAGCTATTTGATGAAATGTTCTGTAAATATCTATTAGGTCCATTTGTTCTATCGTATAGAGTAAGTCTGATGTTTCTTTGTTGATTTTTTGTCTGGGAGATCTGGCCAATGCTGACAATGGGGTGTTAAAGTCTCCAGCTATCATATTGGGGTCTATCTCTGTCTTTAGCTCTAATAATATTTGCTTTATACAGCTTGCTGCTCCAGTGTTGGGTGTGTATATATTTACACTATCTATATCCTTTTGTTGAAGTGACCCTTTTGTCATTGTATAATGACCTTCTTTTCCTCGTCTTACAGTTTTTGTCGTGAAATCTACTTTTTTGATGTAAGTATAGCTTCTCCTGCTCTTTTTTTTGGTTTTCATTGGCATGAAATATCATTTTCCATCTCTTTATTTTCAGTCTGTATGTATTTTTATAGGTGAAGCATGTTTCTGGTAGGCAACAGATCATTGTGTCTTATTTTTTCATCCATTCAGCCACTCTATGTCTTTTGATTGGAAAGTTTAGTACATTTTGCATTAAATGTAATTATTGATAAGTAGCAATTTATGCCTGCCATTGTGTTATTTGTTTTCTGGTCTTCTCTTCCTTCTTTCCTTCCTTCTTGTCTTCCTTTTGGTGATGGTTGTTCATTTTTTGTTTTATGTTTTCTTTTATGTCTGTGCTTTATTTTGGATACTTTGTATTACTGCTATGTCTTCAGGTTTAATCTTTTCTTTTGCAAAATCTACTCCACCATTAATCCCATCCATTGTATTTTTTATCTCACATATTGAAATTTTTATCCCTAGAGGTTTGATTTGGGCCTTTTAAGAAATATTATCCATGTCACTACTTAACTTTTTGAACATAAGAAATACAGCTATAGTAAGGGTTTAATACTCCTGTCTACTAATTCTGACATCTATGCCAGTTTTGGCTTGGTTTTAATTTTCTCCTCATTATAGGTGATATTTTTCTGCTTCTTTGCATGCTTAGTAATTCTCTTTTGGAAACATTTGTGAATTTTACCATTTTGGGTCCTGATCAGGCAAGCAGTTCAGTTACTTGAAAACAGTTTGATCTTTTCAGGTCTTGCTTTAAAATGTTTTAGGTGGGACCAGAGCAGTGTATATTTTGGGGCCAATTATTACCTACTTGAGACAAGACCCTTCTGAAGTATGAGGATCTCTGATTGACACTATCCTAGCCCTATGTACTGTGTACTGTTCTCTCTAATCCATACATTTTCAAAGATGGCAATATTGCTCCCAAAGGGACAAAATTTAGTTTTTAGGGAAAAAATTTAACTGTGTATGCATAAAGCAAAGTTATACATAATATTTGTATCATATATATATCATATACATAATGTATCACATATACATTAATATCTGTGGCATAAAAATTTCATGGGGGAGAATGATTATGAAAATGTATAAAATGACTTCCATGAGGGTTGATAATTGTTAAAAGGTTGGTTGTTGCTCCAGTTATTTTGAGTGGTTCTGTGCTTTGCCTCAGGTAGTGTTCTCACAGGTGTGGTGACCAGTACTCTGCTGGATGCCAGAGGGGCACTCTACAGATGCCTGCTCTTTGTGTGGCTCTCTCCTCTTGGTTGCTCTGTCCTGAAAACTCTAGCCACCTTGGTCTCCCAGGTATCTCACCTCCATTGCTTCAATTCAGGGGGTCTTCTAGGCTCTGCCTGGCTTTCTCCTTCTTGCATCATGGCCTGGAAACTCAAAGTTACAAGCTGGAGCAATCATAGAGCTCATCCCATTTGTTTCCCTTTTCTAAGTCATCACTGTCTTTCTATGCTAAGGGTCCGGGGTTATGACAACTATTGTTTCATATATATATTTTCTGCTTTGGGTTGTTTTATGTGGAAAATCTGTTCTCTACCTTGGCTGAAGGTGGAAGTTAACATATTCACTTTTGAATGGCACAAGTTTGGTGGCATAGGATCACAAATGTCTCCTTTTTTGCAGGTTTGGCCACACTATTTGTGTAATAAATTAATTCTTATGCAATTATAATATTATAAAGGCTGGTTATTACTTTCCAATTTTAGAACCAATCTTACAGAAGCACGGAGAGTTTATAGTCACAGAAGAGAATATTAATGCTATCTAGAGACTGCTGATGTGGCAAGTAGAGTAGCAGGTGGTTGGGAGTTAAAAGTGCAGAAGTTACCCAGGAATTGAACTCAGCTCTGCACCAAGCGGACCTAATAGACATCTACAGAACTCTCCACCCCAAATCAACAGAATATACATTTTTTTCAGCGCCACACCACACCTTTTCCAAAATTGACCACATACTTGGAAGTAAAGCTCTCCTCAGCAAATGTAAAAGAACAGAAATTATAACAAACTATCTCTCAGACCACAGTGCAATCAAACTAGAACTCAGGATGAAGAATCTCACTCAAAACCGCTCAACTGCATGGAAACTGAACAACCTGCTCCTGAATGACTACTGGGTACATAACGAAATGAAGGCAGAAATAAAG
Organism: Homo sapiens; assembly: GCF_000001405.40. Lineage (NCBI taxonomy): Eukaryota > Metazoa > Chordata > Mammalia > Primates > Hominidae > Homo > Homo sapiens. The sequence continues at coordinate 17,099,807 of NC_000003.12, read as the reverse complement.
ATGTTCTTTGAAACCAATGAGAACAAAGACACAACATACCAGAATCTCTGGGACACATTCAAAGCAGTGTGTAGAGGCAAATTTATAGCACTAAATGCCCACAAGAGAAAGCAGGAAAGATCCAAAATTGACACCCTAACATCACAATTAAAAGAACTAGAAAAGCAAGAGCAAACACATTCAAAAGCTAGCAGAAGGCAAGAAATAACTAAGATCAGAGCAGAACCAAAGGAAATAGAGACACAAAAAACCCTTCAAAAAATTAATGAATCCAGGAGCTGGTTTTTTGAAAGGATCAACAAAATTGATAGACCACTAGCAAGACTAATAAAGAAAAAAAGAGAGAAGAATCAAATAGACGCAATAAAAAATGATAAAGGGGATATCACCATCGATCCCACAGAAATACAAACTACCATCAGAGAATACTACAAACACCTCTACACAAATAAACTAGAAAATCTAGAAGAAATGGATAAATTCCTCGACACATACACTCTCCCAAGACTAAACCAGGAAGAAGTTGAATCTCTGAATAGACCAATAACAGGATCTGAAATTGTGGCAATAATCAATAGCTTACCAACCAAAAAGAGTCGAGGACCAGATGGATTCACAGCTGAATTCTACCAGAGGTACAATGAGGAACTGGTACCATTCCTTCTGAAACTATTCCAATCAATAGAAAAAGAGGGAATCCTCCCTAACTCATTTTATGAGGCCAGCATCATTCTGATACCAAAGCCAGGCAGAGACACAACAAAAAAAGAGAATTTTAGACCAATATCCTCGATGAACATTGATGCAAAAATCCTCAATAAAATACTGGCAAACCGAATCCAGCAGCACATCAAAAAGCTTATCCACCATGATCAAGTGGGCTTCATCCCTGGGATGCAAGGCTGGTTCAATATACGCAAATCAATAAATGTAATCCAGCATATAAACAGAGCCAAAGACAAAAACCACATGATTATCTCAATAGATGCAGAAAAAGCCTTTGACAAAATTCAACAACTCTTCATGCTAAAAGCTCTCAATAAATTAGGTATTGATGGGACGTATTTCAAAATTATAAGAGCTATCTAGGACAAACCCACAGCCAATATCATACTGAATGGGCAAAAACTGGAAGCATTCCCTTTGAAAACTGGCACAAGACAGGGATGCCCTCTCTCACCACTCTTATTCAACATAGTGTTGGAAGTTCTGGCCAGGGCAATTAGGCAGGAGAAGGAAATAAAGTGTATTCAATTAGGAAAAGAGGAAGTCAAATTGTCCCTGTTTGCAGATGACATGATTGTATATCTAGAAAACCCCATTGTCTCAGCCCAAAATCTCCTTAAGCTGATAAGCAACTTCAGCAAAGTCTCAGGATACAAAATCAATGTACAAAAATCACAAGCATTCTTATACACCAACAACAGACAAACAGAGAGCCAAATCATGAGTGAACTCCCATTCACAATTGCTTCAAAGAGAATAAAATACCTAGGAATCTAACTTACAAGGGATGTGAAGGACCTCTTCAAGGAGAACTACAAACCACTGCTCAAGGAAATAAAAGAGGATACAAACAAACGGAAGAACATTCCATGCTCATGGGTAGGAAGAATCAATATCGTGAAAATGGCCATACTGCCCAAGGTAATTTACAGATTCAATGCCATCCCCATCAAGCTACCAATGACTTTCTTCACAGAATTGGAAAAAACTACTTTAAAGTTCATATGGAACCAAAAAAGAGCCCGCATCGCCAAGTCAATCCTAAGCCAAAAGAACAAAGCTGGAGGCATTACACTACCTGACTTCAAACTATACCACAAGGCTACAGTAACCAAAACAGCATGGTACTGGTACCAAAACAGAGATATAGATCAATGGAACAGAACGGAGCCCTCAGAAATAACGCCGCATATCTACAACTATCTGATCTTTGACAAACCTGACAAAAACAAGCAATGGGGAAAGGATTCCCTATTTAATAAATGGTGCTGGGAAAACTGGCTAGCCATATGTAGAAAGCTGAAACTGGATCCCTTCCTTACACCTTATACAAAAATCAATTCAAGATGGATTAAAGACTTAAACGTTAGACCTAAAACCATAAAAACCCTAGAAGGAAACCTAGGCATTACCATTCAGGACATAGGCATGGGCAAGGACTTCATGTCTAAAACACCAAAAGCAATGGCAACAAAAGCCAAAATTGACAAATGAGATCTAAATAAAATAAAGAGCTTCTGCACAGCAAAAGAAACTACCATCAGAGTGAACAGGCAACCTACAAAATGGGAGAAAATTTTTGCAACCTACTCATCTGACAAAGGGCTAATATCCAGAATCTACAATGAACTCAAATAAATTTACAAGAAAAAAACAAAGAACCCCATCAAAAAGTGGGCAAAGGACATGAACAGACACTTCTCAAAAGAAGACATTTATGCAGCCAAAAAACACATGAAAAAATGCTCATCATCACTGGCCATCAGAGAAATGCAAATCAAAACCACAATGAGATACCATCTCACACCAGTTAGAATGGCAATCATTAAAAAGTCAGGAAACAACAGGTGCTGGAGAGGATGTGGAGAAATAGGAACACTTTTACACTGTTGGTGGGACTGTAAACTAGTTCAACCATTGTGGAAGTCAGTGTGGCGATTCCTCAGGGATCTAGAACTGGAAATACCATTTGACCCAGCCATCCCATTACTGGGTATATACCCAAAGGACTATAAATCATGCTGCTATAAAGACACATGCACACGTATGTTTATTGCGGCACTATTCACAATAGCAAAGACTTGGAACCAACCCAAACGTCCAACAATGATAGACTGGATTAAGAAAATGTGGCACATATACACCATGGAATACGATGCAGCCATAAAAAATGATGAGTTCATGTCCGTTGTAGGGACATGGATGAAATTGGAAAACATCATTCTCAGTAAACTATCACAAGAACAAAAAACCAAACACCACATATTCTCACTCATAGGTGGGAATTGAACAATGAGAACACATGGACACAGGAAGGGGAATATCACGCTGGGGACTGTTGTGGGGTGGGGGGAGGGGGGAGGGATAGCATTGGGAGATATACCTAATGCTAGATGACGAGTTAGTGGGTGCAGTGCACCAGCATGGCACATGTATACATATGTAACTAACCTGCACAATGTGCACATGTACCCTAAAACTTAAAGTATAATTAAAAAATAAAAATAAAAAAATAAAAGTGCAGAAGTTTTGGAGGGAAACAATAGAGAACATGAATTTTCTGATTTAACATGTGGTGGATCAAAGTATGAAAGTCAACAATTGATGCATCAATAAGCAATTTTAATTATATTATTAAAAGTTATTAAGGTAATCCAGTAGAACTAAAATGAAAATGTTCTTAATAGGGATTGGGAATGGAAGGAGAGCAAAGAGAAGAGGTAGTGAAATGAGCCACATTTTTCATCTCCCTTCGTGTGATGTCAGCATGTCTTTTTAAAGTTGATAAAGCAGAAAGCAGAGGTATAAACATATTGTCAATCACTGCACTGTCCATTATGGTAGCCACTAGCCACATGGGGCTACTGACTTACTGAAATACGGCAAGTGCAGCTGTGAAACTACATATTTTATTGTATTACATTTTTATTAATTAAAATTTAAATTTATAGCAACATGTAGCTCATGCCTATCATATTAGACAGCACAGATTTAGATGTTTCTATCATCATAGAAAGTTCTATTTTACAGCACTGGTCCAGAGTTTGTGAGATAATTGTCAGAAGAATCAAAACCAGAAATTACACATGATAAGTTCTTAGCACTGAGGCTTGGGGAGATGAGGGGAGGACTTTACTCTTCATATTATACCTCCTTCATGCTTTGAATATTTATCACCTATCTTATATTTTGTTATATGTTCAGAATGCTCACCTTGACCTGTCATCTCAATGGCTACAATGATCCATTTCCAAAGGATTTTTTACAATGGTTTTTGGTTTAGAGTCTTGTGTGAGATTTTAAAAATATTTTTAGAGGGGAGACACTTGTTCTTATACATTTGAATAGTTACATCTAAACATAAGTTGTTAAACTGTTGATCCCTACTTTCTACCTAACATCTAACATCTGTGGCTTTGAATAAATACATAAATATTCTAGTTGATAAAACTGAATTGCTCATTGCCTTCACTTATGTACTCAATGCTTTGATTTCTCTGATCCTTAAAAAGAGCTAAGCGTTTCCTTGACAGTAAAAGTCAGAACTTCTCAGGGAGAGGAGGAGGGCATTTGTTGGTGGCATCTGAACATTGCCATGTAAGGAGGCATTGGCCATGCTGTTTCCCATGGGGAGTGGGAGAAGGGCAGTGTGAGGGGGCACATGCACTTTTTAAATTTACATTTGTCAGCATTTGACTTTTTTTGGTAACAATGAGCATGTACTTCTTTTGTAATTAAGTAAAACGAATGCAAAGTGGGTTAAATATAATACAACTAAATGGTTGGCACTAATCTTTTAGGAAAACAAGAACAAACTCCCTAACAAGGACTGCCAAGCCCTCCCTGAGAGGTCCCCGTGCCCTTGCAACTCCCTCGACACCCTCTCCTTTTCCTTCTCTGCACCCCAGTCTCACTGTCCTTTCAGGTCCTCAAGCAAGGCTGCACTCCCTCCTGCCACCAGCCTTTGCAGAATGCTGGGCTCTTGGTCTAAATTGCCTGAATTGCTTTCCACTCCTCTATCCCCTGCTGCTGACCCTTTTCTTTGGGGTGGGGCAAGTAGGGAGAGCATCTTTGCCTTCAGGTCTCAACTCAAATACCGCTTTCTCAGGGAAGCTTCCACAGTAGACTGTATTTTCCAAAAATAGTCTTAACATCTCCTATCCCATATCATCTTCCACAATGTGACCTTGCCACCCTCTGGTCGAGTTCACCCTCTTGGACCTGGGCAGGACCTAGCGACTTGCCTAAACAATAGGATGTAGCAACAGGGACATGCCGAGGCTTCTGAGGATAGGCCTCCAGGAGCCTCAGGAAGAAAAGCTGCTTCCATGTGTGTCTTTGGAATGCTTGCCCTTGGGACAATCCCTCTCGGAATGCAGTGTCCTGCAGTGAGGGCTCCAAGCCACATGGAGAGACCTATGCCGATGCTCTGGTCCACAGCCCCAGCTGAGCTCCCTGCAGTGGCTGTGCCAGCTAGTGAGCCAGCCGGCAGTTCAGCCCAGTCACATAACTAAAGCCCCTGCTAACATCTGCCAGCGCCTGCACAAGAGACCCTAAGTAAGAAAACTGAGGTGAGCCCAGTCAACACACAAAAGCCCCAGACATGAGAACAAATGACTGTTTCAGGTTTTAGGGGTTGGGTTACAGAGCAGTAAATACTCTCTCCATCTTCTCAAGAGTGGTGAGGCCCCGTTAAACACCCTCATGGTCCCACCTATCAATAACGAATGGCAACATTACAACAAGTCCACTGCGAGCTGGGTGCTGGTCTAAGTGCTTTACAAACAACTCATAAGACAGCACTAAACAAAATACTTCCACAATTACAGAGGTAAGGTAGGTTAAGCACACCTTCCCTCAGCACTCAGCTAGGAAGTGATGGGATGGAACCCAGGCAGCCTCTCAGTGGGGCCTCTTCATAGCACTTCCCATAGTTTTAATTGCACCTATACCTTTGGAATTATTTGAATAAATGTATCTCTCTTCCCAATTACACTGTGAGTTCCATGGGGGCTGGGACCATGCCTGTTTTCATCCAGAGTGAATCCCTGGTGTCTCAAATGTGCTAAATAAAATCAGAGTCTCAGTGGCTTCTAGAGAGTTCATGTATCGCATTTAAGAAGAATAAAGCTGGGCGCGGTGGCTCACGCCTGTAATCCCAGCACTTTGGGAGGCCAAGGATTGGGATCACTTGAGTTCAGGAGTTCGAGACCAGCCTGGCCAACATGGTGAAACCCCGTCTCTACTAAAAATACAAAAATCAGCAGGGAGTGGTGGCGCACACCTGTAGTTCTGGCTACTCGGGAGGCTGAGGCAGGAGAATCACTTGAACCTGAGGCAAGAGTTGCAGTGAGCCGAGATTGCACCACTGCACTCTAGCCTATGCAACTGAGCGAGATTCTGTTTCAAAAAAAAAAAGAAGAGGAAAATGCCAACTGCCTCATTATACTTTACAAGATAGTACCCATCTTGTAGTTTAGAGGTTATATATATATATATATATATCTGGAATTCAGAAGAATGGTTGGGAATATAGGCTTTGGAGCAGGCAAAGCTGAGTTTAAATCCTGACTTGAGCACTCCATGGCCTTAGTTACGTTAACTAACCTGTCTAAAGTCTTCATTTCTTCATCTGTAACATCAGACAAGTACTTTGCCGGTTGAGAAGATGAAATGATATGTGCAAAGTGTCTTGGACACAGTCCTTGGCTCACAGCCCCAACAAAGAGTCCCACTGTCAAATATTAGAAATAGAAAATTCTTACAACTGACAGCAAATGTTAGGTCTGTTCACAGCAAATATTGGCCGAGACATGAGCAACCACTGAACCTGAAGACAGATATATCCAGCTTCAGCATTCTTCCTCATTGGATGGGTAAATCAGAACTATGCTGTAACTGCACTAAATTTGCATTTATAACTTTTTAAAACGCTTGATTGAAGATTCAACACATTCAAAGTACCTCAACATACTAAATGAGGCCGCATGGCAAAGACCACATGTGGAAACATTTGCAAGCTGGATGGCTTTCCCCATTCAGTGCTTCACAGCCCAACTCCATGTGGGTGAGGAAGAGCAGCCTCCCTAGGGGCTGCCCACCACCCTAAGAACTCTGCTCCATGCCCTGGTCCCTGGGTCACACCTGCCCGGAGATGGTAAGCATTTGTGTTTAGATGGCTTCTTTCCCATTGTTTAGAAGCCATGCCTGCTAAAGACAGAAAATAGACCAATGCCTGCAAGATTTTAAGTAGCTGAGAGGATACACTGAATATGTATGTGGAAAGAGGAAGCAGAATGTACTTAGTGTGTTCCTAGAGGCCTCAGGATTTACTCTGTGGGACTGACATCAACATAACTGCTGGAAATGTGACACTGGGCTTGATTGCAGTGTGACGTTTCATTTCCTACTGAATTGACCAGGTGTTTTCCATGATTTCTGTGCATTTTTGTCCAAATCTGAATTTTCCTGTGTCCTCAGCAGAGACTTACCAGTTGTTTTCATGCTACCTCTGATTGTATATATTCCTCCTAATTGGGAATAATGCAGTTTGTGTGTGTGTCTATAGTGTGCCCTATGTATGCATTAGTCAAATTCACAAGGAATTATTGGTATTTACAATGAGTAACTTAAATGGGTGCCCCCCCACCCATTTATGGAATGCAGATAATGGGAGGAAGCAAGCATGTTACCCCTGCTGTCACTACAACTTATGCAACCCAGGAGCAGGGATCTCACTTTTATTTGATCTGCGGGGGTTATAATAAGGCCTCCACAGATTCAATCCAGAGTGGATCAGTCAGTCCTTTATAAGAAAAAGCTGTTTATAAAGGTCCATAAATCATAACCTTGGCCCTTACCAGTTTAATGAATGTTTTCTGTTTCCATATGAATGGGAAAAAAAGAATAGAATAGCTCAATTGGCTGTGAATTTGTGCTCTGCTGATACGAGTCATCATCCTCGAGGGAGGATGGTGCATTTACTGGGGGAAGATCTAGATAAACAGGAGAAACGCTGAGGCTTTGGGAACAACTCCCGACAGGCATGCCTGCTATTCCCATCACTTGGCTTATTCCTCTGATGAGATGGGTCAAAAGAAGGTTGACATTTTATCATGGAAAGGTGGAGCAAACCCCGGGCTGGGTTCAGCACCAACACTACCTCTAACAGACTTTTTGACACCAGGCAATGCATTTTTTATTTTCATCTGCAACTTTGGCATCTGAAAAAGAAAGTGTAGGACTGAATGATCTCTCAGACTCCTTCAATTATAAAATTGTTGACTCTAAGCCTGTATAAACTACAATAAATTACATGTGTCTTACTATCAGTTATTCAAATCACATATTAGATAATGCCTGTCATTACTAGAAATGTAGAATTTTTTTCAATTTCATTATACTTTAAAAGATAGAAATTTTTCATGATTTCTGGATTTTTCACTTTAAATTGAATATTGCTATTTACTTCCAGCTAAGTTTAAGTATTTTTAACAATCTAAGTTATACATTATTTCATTTCTCATTCTGTAAGTTTACTTTTAGTTCTCTATTTTCTATTCATTTTTACCCCGTGTAGAGTTCATTTCTGAGCTAAGGGCCTAAGCTACTGGCTGGTGGTTAGTTGGGTGTGCAGGGAACAGCAACATTATCCAAGGAACAGGCTTATTTTCCAACGAATTATATCCAGAGAAGGGCAGTGGAGATGGCGTACCTTAACTTAAGCACACTATTAGAATGCAAATGACAAGAACTGAGCAAAGAATTGTTTTTTTAAGAGGATATTGAGGAGACTGGACAGAAACAAATGAACAACAGCGCCTGAGCATCTCTTGAACTGTGAGGAAATCACTAATAAGATACTCAGCTGAAGATTACATATACTTATCTGGCTCACATACCTGAGTCAATGAATAGAAAAGAAGGGATTGTTGAAGATTTAGAGTAAATATTTACCCTTCCAAAATTTGAAAGCAGTTTTGGTTTGGGAGAAGCAGTAATTAGGCTGCAGTGTTCAGTATCTTGAAAGCACGAAGTCTCACTGATTTGCAAAATAAAAGCTTGGATTAAAAACTCAGCTGGCAGAAAATTATCTTTCAAAAGTGAAGGAGAAACAGAGACTTTCTCAGACAAACATAAATTGAAGGAATTTGTTGCCAGTAGAACTGGAGGAAAGCTACACCTTCTCCTGCCCCTCTAACTACTTTTGACTTACTCTTTGCCAGATTCTGAGGTGCACATTACTACAGACCTAATTCAGAAGCATCAAGAGGGCAGCTGTGGGTATCTCGGTTCACTTTACAGTCAGCTGCTGTTGCTTAAAGCTGTTGAAACCTTACCAAAAGCAAAATAAGGTCAGCCCCGACAAGCAACTTATTTTTGACAAAGCTGTTCAAGTAAGTGGCTACACTTAAGAGTAGAATATTTTGAGCTAGAAATCTTAAAAGTTAAGGCTTCATTAAACACATGTACTGCTATTGGAGAAATATCATAAAACATCTTTTTAATGTGAACACTACTTCATACAATGAAAAACTATTTACAATGTATTGTTTCCAGATTGGCTGCTTTTACATCATCTCTACCCATGTGCTGACTCGGCATGTATCTTCAGCCAGGGAGCTTCAGTCCAATTGCACATTCTCCTCGATGGCTCTCCAAGGACCCCGGGGATTCAGGGAACCCGTCCACTTACATTCTCTTTAGTAATTATGGCTCAGCAAGCATGCCACCAAAATCATCTAGAACCCAGAGACTCTGGCAACCCCATATAAGTAAAAATGTGTAGATCAGGTTTTTTTCTCCAATAAATAATAATTTGACAATCCAATCCATTTCCATCTTAAGAAATTGTTTTCACTTAGGAAAATGTTTCTCAGTGGAGCTAGAGTGAATAATCTTTCTTCATACTGGAACTGAGTTAGAATGTCTTTGTATACAAATATAGCATATTTTGGCCAGCAATATAATTGCCTGTTAAAGAGTTTATTTGCCTTCACACGCAGGATTGCTACATACATTCACAGTTTTAATAGACTGTAATTAGCTATTCCAGTTGTGCTTTAAAATCCCGAATATTATTCTCATTAGTGAGTGCAAAGCAAATGTCCCATCTGACTACAATTGGTCCTAGAGTTATAAACTCCATAATGGTTTATTGTAAGTTTCCTCATTCTCCAGTTTCATCGTTTGCTTTTTCGGGTATGACTTCCAAGCTCCGGCGTGGCTTCTGGACATCAGCATTTTCGGTGCCTGGTTTATTCAGTCCACATGAAACAGCAGCAAAATGGATTTGTTTCAGGTTCTCCAATGTCTCATTCTTAGCATATTTCAAAAGATCTGCTTGTCCCTATAACAAAACATGCAATTAAACAGTATTAGATATGACATAACTTAGTGTTATACTTCAACAATATCTATCTTTCACTGAAATAGAAGTATTCTGATTCCACAAGAAGGCATAATTATTTCTTATTGGCACTGCATCTGAATAGGTCAATTTTAATAAAAAGTGAGTTTGTTTTCCCAGTTTCAACACCACACTCCAAGAGTATGCTGCCTTTCTGGCCCTTTCTATTTATAGATCTGCATGGGGTTCTGTGTGCATGAACTATTCCTGTCTATCCTGGTTAAAATTACATCTTTCATTAGTTGTTTGGCCAATCTTGTTTTTTCCCTTTTAAGGTTTGATTAAAAAAAAAACTTTTTATTTTGAAATAAGTATAAACTCACAGAAGGATACAAATATAGTACAGAGAGGTCTTGTATACCCTTTCCCAAATTTCCCCCAATGGTTATGTCTCACATAACTATAGCACAATATCAAAACCAAGACACTGATGGGGGTACAAAGTGTGCCTATGCTTCTGTGTGACTTCATCACATGTGTGGGTTCACGTAACCACCGTGGCAACCAAGGCACAGCACTGCACCAGCACCACCAGGAAGTCACACCCACCCCTCCTCTCCACCATCCCTAAACCCTGGCAACCACTAATCTGTTCTCCATCTCTGAAGCCCACACAGCCTTTGGTAAGTGCTGGCAGCCGTGGGCACGCAGCAGGTCCTCACTGAGCATTTGCTGAAAGAAAGAGTGAAGCAAAGGATTTTCTACTTTGGATATACTTTCTCAGCCAAATTTTAATTTCTTTTCTGAGGTCTGACCATCAACTTGATCTATATGCAGTATAACATGATATAGGTCAGAAAACAGTGGGCGAATTGAAGCACAGTCACTGGGAGTCTGGAATCGGTGCTGACAATGGGCCAATGAAGTTTGTCACCCTCTTTGCTCTTGACATTTTGGACCAGAGAATTCTTTGGAGGTGGGGAGCTGTCTTGTGTATTTTCAGATATTTAGCAGCACCCCTAGCATACCCTAATGTTTGCAGACATTGCTAACTGTCTCTTGAGTGGGAGGGTGAGCTACCCCCAGTTGAAAACCACTGGGCTAATGCATCAGCCAACAATTCCAAAATTATCGAGCAGAAGAGATGATGTGGTGCTCTATTGCTGTAAATTCCAACACTCCTACTTTGCTTTTTTGTTCTATTTTTCCTTCCAAATTTAACCTGCCTTCCACTAACAGTTTTTTCTACTTACACTATTACCTTTTCTTCTTTCTCACTCTCCTTGCTTGCTATTTTTTCCCATCCCCTTGGGTTCTCAATTTATTCTATTATTTTCTTTATGATTCCTCTGTAGTTTGACTTTTCTTTGTCCTACTTACACCTCCTCCGCCTTTCCCTCTTTCTGAACTGCCTCCCAGTGTGGGTCCCCTTTAAGGCATTCCTGTCCAGCAGGAGCTTGGGGCCAGCTGCAGAGAGCAATGGGTAGGGACTTACCTTGGCTGGCAAATGGACTATAGTCAAATGTCAGCCACTGGTGAGATCAAATTGCAAGGCAATTTTAAACCGTCATGAGGCCCAAATCCACAGAACAGTTTGCTGCCTACCACTTACCATGCATGGTTTTCCTGCTTTACAGAGTCCTTTAATTAGTAACTATAAATAGATGTTCCCTTGCGTAGATTAACTAAAGGAGCTTCATTTTTATTCATTCTTACTAGTCACTGAACTCACATGTTGAAAATTTACTAGTTATGAGGTCTTTGTATATATAGCATATTGTGTCAGGAGTATAATTTCATGTTAAATAGTGTATTTCCCTTCACAAGCAGAATTGCTACACACATTCACAGTTTTAATAGACTAACTAGTCTTTGTGTTTTAAAACTCCAAATATTATTTTTTAAAATTAATAAACTTTAATTTTTAGGACAGTTTTAGGTTCACAGCAAAACAGAGCAGAAACCACAGAGAGTTCCCTTACGCTCCCTCCCTACGCAAACCTTCTCTAGTAGCCACATCCCGCACCACAGTGGTATACTTGTTACAATCAATGAACCTATGTTGCCACATCCCCTCAAGTCTATTGCCTAAATTAGGGCTCACCCTTGGTTTTGTGTATTCCATGGGTTTTGAAAAATGTATAACAACATCTATCTACCCTTACACGATCATGCAGAATAGTTCCACCACCCTAAAATTCCTCTGTGCTTTGCTAGTCATCCTTCCCCACTCCCAACCCCTGGCAACCATTGATCTTTTTATTGTCTCCACAGTTCTGCCTTTTCAACAATGTCGTCTAGTTGGAAACACAGTGTGTAGCCTTTTTGGATTGGCTTCTTTCGCTTAGTAATATGCATTTAAATTTCCTCCATGTCGTCTCATGGCTTGATAGCTCATATCTTTTTAGTGCTGAATAATATTCCATTGTCTGGATGCACTGCAGTTTATTTATCCATTCATTTACTTCAGGACATCTATGTTGCTTCCAAATTTTGGCAATTAAAAATAACTCTGCTATAAGCATCTGTATGCAGATTTTTGTGTTGACATAAGTTTCCAATTCATTTAGGTACATTCCAAGGGGTATGATCGCTGGATCATATGGTAAGAGTATGTTTAGTTCTGTAAGAACTACAGATAGTTTGACAGTTTCTTCCAAATTGTCTGCACCATTTTGCATTTCCACCAGCATAAATGAAAGTTCCTGTTGTTTCACATCCTCGCCAGCATTTGGTGATGTTAGTTTTGTATTTTGGCTACTGTAATAGATGTGTATTGGTATCTCATTGTTGTTTTAATATATAATTTCCTAGTGACATGTGATGCTAATATACTTTCCATTTGTATATCTTCTTTGGCGAGGTGACTGTTCAGACTTTTGCCCAGTTTTTAATCAGGTTGTTTCCTTACTGTTGAGTTTTAAGGGTTCTTTGCATTTTTTAAGAGCTCTTTGACTGCTCAGACTTTTGCCCAGTTTTTAATCAGGTTGTTTCCTTACTGTTGAGTTTTAAGAGTTCTTTGCATATTTTGGAAAACAGTACTTTATCAGGTGTGTCCTTTGCAAGTATTTTCTCCCAGACTGTGGCTTCTCTTCTCATTCTCTTGACATTGTCTTTATAGAGCAGAAGTTTTAAATTTTAAGGAAGTCCAACTTACCCATTCTTCCTTTAATGGATTGTCTATGGTGGTGTATCTGAAAAAGCACTGCCATATCCAAGGTCGCCTAGATTTTATCCTGTGTTATCTTCTAGGAATTCTATAGCTTTGTGTTTTATCTTTAGGTCTATGATCTATTTTGAGTTAATTCTTGTGAAGGGTGTAAGATTTGTGCCTAGACTGAATTTTTCATGTGGATGTCCAGTTTTTCCAGCATGAATTGTTGAAAAGATGAAGTCTCTATTCCACTGTATTGCCTTTGCCTCTTTGCCAAAGATTGAGTAACTGCTTTGTGTGGGTCTATTTCTGGGCTCTTCTATCCTGTTCTGCTGATCTATTTGTCTATTCTTTTCACACTGTTTTATTTCCTGTAGCTTTGCAGTAAGTTTTAAAGTCAGATAAAGTCTGTCCTCTGATTTTATTCTTCTCCTTTAATATTGTGTTGGCTATTCTGGGTCTTTTGTTTCTCTCTTTAAACTTTGGAATCGGTTTGTCAATTTCCACAAAATAACTTGGTGGATTTATTTATTTATCTATTTTTATGCTTGCTGGAAGTTTGAGATTATGTTGAATCTATATATCAAGTTGGGAAGAACTGATATCTTGACAATATTAAGTCTTCCCATCCATGAATATGGAATATCTCTCCATTTACTTAATTCTTTGATACCTTTCACCAGAGTTTTATAGTTTTCCTCATATAAGTCATATATATGTTGTTAGATTTATACCTGAATATTTTATTTCTGGGGGTTCTAATGTAAATGGTCATGTGTTTTTAATTTCGAATTCCACTTGTTCTTTGCTGGTATATAAGAAATAAATTGGGCCGGGCATGGTGGCTCACGCCTGTAATCCCAGCACTTTGGGAGGCCGAGGCGGGCGGATCATGAGGTCAGGAGATCGAGACCATCCTGGCTAACATGGTGAAACCCCGTCTCTACTAAAAATACAAAAAATTAGCCGGGCGTGGTGGCGGGCGCCTGTAGTCCCAGCTACTTGGGAGGCTGAGGCAGAGAATGGCGTGAACCCAGGAGGTGGAGCTTGCAGTGAGCCGAGATCACACCACTGCACTCCAGCCTGGGCAACAAGAGCGACACTCTGTCTCACAAAGTGAGACTCCGCCTTAAAAAAAAAAAGAAATAAATTGGCTGGGTGTGGTGGCTCATGCCTGTAATCCCAGCACTTTGGGAGGCTAAGGCTTGAGCCTCAGGAGTTCAATACTGGCCTGGGCAACCTGGCGAAACCCCATCTCTATATAAAAATACAAAAATTAGCTGGGTATGTTGGTGTGCACCTGAAGTACCAGCTACTTGTGAGGCTGAGGTGGGAGGATCACCTGAGCCCAGGGAAGTCAAGGCTGCAGTGAGCCATGATCATGCCAGTACACTCCAGCCTGGGTGACAGAGTGAGACCCTGTCTCAAAATTTTTTTTTTCTTAAAAAAAGAAATCAATTGATTTTTGTATACTAACCTTGTTTCCTGCAACCCTGCCATAATTGCTCATTATATTGTTCGAGGAGATTTTTTTGTCAATTCTTTTGGATTTTCTACATAGATGATTATATCATCTGTGAACAGAGACAGTTTTATTTCTTCCTTCTCAAGATATATACCTTTTATTTTATTTTCTTGTCTTTCTTCATTAGCTAGGACTGGACTTCCAGGTCAATGTTGAAAGCAGTGGTGTCAGAGAACATCTTTGCTTTGTCCCTAATCTTATCGGGAATGCTTTCAGTTTCTCACCTTTAAATATGATGTAAGCAGTATGATTTTTGTAGATGTTCCTTATCAAGTTGAGTAAGGTCCTCTCTATTCCTAGTTCACTGAGAATTTTTGTCATGAATGGGAGTTGAATTTTGTCAAACTTTTTTTGCATCTACTGATACAACCACGAGCTTTGTCTTCTTTAGCCTGTTGATATGATGAATGACATTAGTTGATTTTCAAAAGTTAAATCAACCTTGTATACCCAGTATAAATCCCATTTGATCATGGTGAATAATTCTTTTTATTCATTTTTGGATTTTAATTGTTAATATTTTGTTAAGGATTTTTGCATCTGTGTTGATGAGAGATACTGGTCTATTGTTTTCTTTTCTTGTAATGTCTTTGGTTTGGTATTAAGGTAAAACTGGGTTGGTAGAATGAGTTAGGAAGTATTCACTCTGCTTCTATTTTCTGGAAGATATTGTAGAGAATTGGTATCATTTCTTTCTTAAATGTTTAGCAGAAACCAGTGAACCTATCTGTGCTGGTGCTTTTTGTTTTGGAGGCTTATTAATTATTGATTTGATTTCCTTAATAGATATAGAATTATTCAGATTGTATATTTCTTCTCATATGAGTTTTGGCAGATGGTACCTTTCAAGGAATTGGCCTATTTCATCTAGGTTTTCAAGTTTGTGGGCATAGAATTGTTCATAATATTCCTTCATTATCCTTTTAGTGTCCATAAAATCTGTGGTGATATCCTTTATTTCATTTCTGACATTAGTAATTTGTATCATCTCTTTCTTAGTTAGCTTGACTAAAGACTTACTGATTTTAATAAGGTTTTCAAAGGACTAGCTTTTGGTTTTACTGATTTTTCTCTATGTATTTTCTGTTTTTAATGTCATTGATGTATGCTCTTATTTTTATTAATAAAAATTAGTACCTACCAAAATGCCTATCTAGGCATCATTCTTTTGGACATCACATGTCCAGTTGAGTTTCTGATATCCTGCTACTACTCCTACTACCAGCTACTCTTCAGTCAAAGCAACTCCATTCTTGCAGTGACCTGGACCAAGGACCCTGGTGTCATTATTCATTCTTCCCTTTTTCTTCCATCTATCATCCCATCTGTCAGTAGGTCCTAGTGTCACAATCTTCAAAACATATATATAAAGTTTCTCACCACTTTTTACCATCTTCACTGCCAACATTGTGGTTTAAGCCACCATAATCTTTCTTGGAGTTTATTCTGACTGGTCTTCTTTCTCCATGTTCAACGTGACAGCCAGAGAGCTCAAATTAAAACACAGGACATCCCTTTCCCTCTGTTCAAAACCCTTCAGCAGCTCCCCAAATAACTTAGAGTGAGAGTCAAAGTCCTTGCCCACAGCCTCATCTGACTTCCTTCACTCACCTACCCACCCTGTATTGTTCACTCAGCCTCTGATATGCTACGCTCCTAAATGTTCCTCAAACCCATCAGGTCCTCTCTAGTCCAACCTCAATGTCTATGCACTCATTGTTCCCTCTGCAGGGAATGCCCTTGCCCCAGAAATGCACGTAGCTAGCTCCTTCCCCTCCCCTTGATGCCATCTTGACTCTGATGCCCTCTTCACAGCAGCGCCTTCCCTGACAGCCCCATCTTGTCTAATTAGAACTCCCACTTCCTGTCCATAATTCTCCTTACTGCTTCCCTGCCTTGCTTTTTCCATAACACCTATTGCCATACTCTACTGCTTGGTTTATTGTCTGTCTCTTCCACTAAATGTAAACTTCACGAGGGCAGGAATTTTTGTCTTCTGATCACTGCTGTATCCTCAGAGCCTAGAACAGTGCCAGGTACAGAGTAAGGGCTCCATAACCATCTGTTGAATGCAATTAAAGTATTGTAATTAAAGTAAAATGTGAAAGTCTCCCCTTTAATCTCACAGCTGCCCCCTAAACAATGAGTTTTGTCTTTTTCTTGGCATTATATATATATTACAAATAGGTATTTTATTTTACTTTTAATGTAAATACAATCAAGCAATCTATATTGTTCTTTG
The DNA here is from genome assembly GCF_000001405.40 of Homo sapiens. Taxonomy (NCBI): domain Eukaryota; kingdom Metazoa; phylum Chordata; class Mammalia; order Primates; family Hominidae; genus Homo; species Homo sapiens. The sequence continues at coordinate 17,082,811 of NC_000003.12, read as the reverse complement.
GTTTCCTTTTTTCTTCACGAAAAGTTATGTCTTAGTGATCTTTCCGTGTCAGCATATATAGATCTACCACATGATGACAGGGTATTTAAAAACAAAAATCCCCAGATGGCATATGATAATTAATGTGGTAATAACAGAATTCTTCATCTGGTTGAATCTTATGTTTCTCAACTTCAGAGAAGTAATCATGGTATCTTAAACAGAATAGGCCTTTGGACATTACCAAGGCGAGACACAAAGGACTCCCAAAGGCAATAAATCTGGGCTTGAGGAGCTGCTGAACTTTGTCCACATCACTTTCATTTTGTTCTATGTGTCTAAGACTACATGTTTAAGATGTCTTGGAGGTAAGGCATGTAGCATGAGTGAAGAACAATTCTGGCCAGGCGCGGTGGCTCATGCCTGTAATCCCAGCACTTTGGGAGGCCGAGGCGGGCGGATCACCTCAGGTCAGGAGTACACGGTGAAACCTCGTCTCTACTAAAAATACAAAAAAAAAAAATTAGCTGGCATGGTGGCGGGTGCCTGTAAACCCAGCTACTTGGGAGGCTGAGGCACAAGAATTGCTTGAACCCAGGAGGCAAAGGTTGCAGTGAGCTGAGACCACACCATTGCACTCCAGCCGGGGCAACAAGAACAAAACTCTGTCTCAAAAAAAAAAAAAAAAAAAAACTCTGAAAGAGGTGGGGGTGTTTGTTGTAGCAGTGTTCATATTTCATTGCTTCAAAAGACTTGAAAAGAGCAAAGGTTACTTAAAACACTGCCACCCACTGACACAGGGTGTCTGGTTTTGAAGACTCCTTCCACAAAGCTGGCTTTGCAATGTTTTCAGTTGAACAACTCAAATGTCATTTGATTTCGCACATTCTGGTTTGAATTTTTTTAACTTATTCTATTTTGTTTTCATCTTGAAAGAGTTATAACAACCTTAGGTCAAAATATTTAAGGTTCTTACTTAGGCCCAGAAAGTAATCTTTAAAAGATGTAACTAAGGGCAGTGGCTGGATCCCAGCAGCTCTTGCTGCGAGTCTGGCGTGACTGTGCTTTTTCTGGCTGAGCCTGTGGCTTACCTGGGATTGGATCAGAGGCCAGAGCAGCCAGGAAAAGAATGATGGCAGCTCCAAATGCCAGAACCGCACCCCAGCTGTGCTCAACCCTCGGCTAATCACCATACTTTCTGTATGACCACAAAAGATGTTCTAGTTTTTAATATATTAAAAATATTTCAAGACACATCTGTTAGTGCTACATTTTAGGAGCCATTTAACAATCACAAGTCATTGCTTTTATTCAGACGTAGGGGCAAAACAACAGGGATTCTACATCTGGCTAATTTTTTCAAAGTCCTTTTGTCCAACTATCTATTAGAGAAAAACAGTTGTCTTACTTCTGAGGTGAGGGATCCAGTGCGGCAGCTAAGACTTCCCCTGCCCTCTGCCACCTGTGTAATGGCCACATGCTTGGATGTTGAAGACAGCAAAGATTAGCACCTTCCATTCCCTGGGGGCCAGCAGACACTTTTCTTCCAAATCACATGCAGTGTGAGGGAGGAGAAGGAGGAGGGTACTCATACCATTATGGGAGTCTGAGGCACAAAAATACTCCTCCTTCCTGTCTTTCTTATCTATTTGGGAATGCAGAGAGGAACACAGCAGAATTTAGATACCTTCACTGATACCACCTGCTCCACAAAGAGGGGATGCAAGGGAAGTGCTATTACCATTCTCGTTTCATAAAAAGGACACTGAGTTTAGAGAGATTACGGGTAGAGTCTGAACAGCAAATCACACTGAAACACACACACCTTTCTCTCTGGTATGTTTGTTTTATTTTCCTGTTGGATAAACTAAACTGTGAGGCCACAACTATAGAGAGTTGAACCCCACAGACTGCATGCAATATTTTAAAGCAAGCAGGTTGAAACACACACTACATTTTTCATGTATCCAGCACATCAACAACTGTGTAGACAATTCACTCTTCCTGTGATTAAAAGCAGAAACAGAAATATGGATTTCCACTGTGTGTTTGTTGAATGAGGAATGAGTGAACAAAAGAATGAAACGGGTGTGGTGGCTCACACCTGTAATCCCAGCACTTTGGGAGGCCGAGGTGGGCGGATCACCTGAGGTCAGGAGTTCAAGACCAGCCTGGCCAACATGGTGAAATCCTGTCTCTACTAAAAATACAAAAATTAGCCAGGCATGGTGGCGGGCGACTGTAATCCCAGCTACTCGGGAGGCTGAGGCAGGAGAATCACTTGAACCCGGGAGGTGGAGGTTGCAGTGAGCCAAGATCACACCACTGCACTCCAGCCTGGGGGACAGAGAAAGACTCCGTCTGGAAAAAAAAAGAAGAATGAATGGATTGTAGGAGTCTTGGCTACGGATTCTAAATCGCCTCTCATTATTATACATTGATAGTTCCCCTTTCAAGAGTTCTTTTGAGGCTGGCTGAGATCGTGGCACATTCATCAGAATTAAGGAAGGCCTCCTAGCTTGGTCAGGTCCACTTCCCACTGAAGTCTCAGTAAACCTTACGGTTGAAAAAAGACTCCCTAATCATCAGTCACCTAAACCTACAGCAACAGGACACAGGCTTTTGTACAGGACGTTAGGCTCATTTTAAGAGTGCGTGATGTTTTCTGTCCTTTTGGCTTCCTGTATGTGCACTCACACGTTTGATGGGCATGGAACATGAGCTGCAAATCAGCTTGTCTCCCCACAGCAGGAAGACCGCCTTCCCTCCACCCTGACCTCCACCCCAAAGGGTGCAAAGAAGCTGCCAGAGGGGGATGAAGGGTTCTGTGCAGGAGCGGAAAGGAGAGCCCTCTAAGCACAGCTCCTGCCCTTGGTTTTTGCTGGATCCAAAGAGATGTTTCTGTGGTTCGAGGCAGTGTCTTGATGATGAAGGGATAGTGGGCTGCATGGATCTGACTTTCCATGTGGCTCCCTTTGCCTGCCACACTTTTTGCCTATATTTGGGCTGTCATCACATTCACAGTTAGTCTCCAATTTTCCCATGGTTGTGCTCAGAGGTTTGTACAAAAGTTAATAATTTTAAATATGATTCAATTTTTTAAATTCAGAATGAATGCCTTCATCCTTAGAAACAATTTTACTTTTCCTTCACCAAAGACGGAGGGTTGGGGGCTCCTCGGCAGCACCACGGAGGAGGCGGTGTCTGAATTGGGGAAACTCAGGGCAGGAAAGGACGGCGGCAGGCCCAGGGGCTGATGCTGCCTGCCACAGAGGAGTGACCGTGACTCCAACATATGGCACCTCTGGAGCCCAACCATTTAGCAGCATGATTTCTATGCTACAAAGCTTTCTAGGTTCTGACTGACTACATCTCCCTCTGCTACAGACCTGGCCATGGGAAGGGCTAAATTCCACCATGCAGTAGGACAGTGGCCTCGTCTGGCACAGAGCTGGCCACTCTGGTGGCAGAGGTAGGGTTAGCATTCAGGAGCAGCCTTTGGAGTCTCCAGACAGTGGAGGTGAGCCATGACCTAAGCACAGAAGGTGGGGTGTCAGGAGAGGGTTCCAGGCAGGGACCAGGGCCAGAGGGGAGGGGAGGGTGGCCCAGCTGTGTAGAGAGAGGATGCAGAGAGCGAGGGGACACTGAGAGGCAAGTGGGGCTGGGCCATGGGCGTGAGAGCCCTTGGAAACACCAGGGAAAATAGCATGCACGTAAGCACCTCCTTCGCGCTATTAATCTTTCAAGCACACCATTTACACAGTCAAACATTAGCTGAGTAATCACAAACTCCACATGAGTGGGGTCCCAATGTTTGAGGTTTTACTGTATTTCAAATGGACCAGAAAGAACAGCCTGCCTAATGACAAACGCTACTATAGTTTGATTTTCTGAGCCATTCTGAGAAATTTTCACACACTAAATAGAGAAATGGCTTTCAGTCAATTATAGCTTTTCAGGAAAAGAGACAACATACTATACTACCTATAATAAATAAAAATAACTAAAAGATATGAGCCTCAATAAAAGGAGTCATACATCAACCATCATGGTAATTTCAAAAAGGAAACAAATGCCAGTCTTTAAGTCTTCAAGATAAGCACTGTACCTCAGGTAAAAATGAAGAAAATCAAGACAAATGTCTACCAGGTGCAAAAACCATCTGGTTTATTGATTTATGTTTTGGCAGAAGTTTTAGGTTCCTAAAGAGAATGAATCTCTAATTACTTTTAGGGTTTATTGATAGCCTTGTTTCTGATGGTAGAGGGGCACAGGTCAGGAGAGCTAGCCTGGCAGCCATTCATCTGGAAAACATCTTCGGTTGTAACAAGCTTAATTCAAGTCCAAGATACGATATAGATGCTATAAAAAAAAAAAGCCCAGCCATCCCAGCCACCCCAGATGAGATCCAGCCATGTGAGTACCTTCTTCGATGTTCCAGGCCAAGCTGAGTTCCCAGCAGAACAAATCTCTTAAGTGATCCCAGCTAATATCACATGGAGCAGCAAAACCATCTGGCTGAGCCCAGCTAACCCAAGAATCACGAGAAATGAGAAGTCATTGTTTCAAGCCACTAGTTTTGCAGTGGTTTGTTATACAGCAATAGATAACCGAAACAGCCACTAAAGGGAGCCATATTTTGTGCTGACAATACCTTCCTGGACAAAGTGGATTAAAGCAGGGGGAGAACCTGATCCAAGGACACTTAATACAAGAGGAGGTTTATCGGGACCACTGGTCTGCAGCTAAAAGGCTAGGCTGAGGCAGGAAATACAAATAGATTGAGTACTTGAAATAAATGCTTAGAGGATATGGTAAAGAACAGACCAAGGCCAGAACAAGTTATAAAGCAGTAGAAACTCTGAGTGAACAGAACGAGCCAGCCAGCAGAGGAAGCAGAATGGAGAAGAGGCAGAAAGATAAGCAGAAAGACCCCTGTTCCACAGAGAGGAGCAGCTACCTCGGGGGCTGCCAGGTTTCCGAACAGCTTGCTATTGTCATGAGGCTGGACTGCAGTTTCCGGTCTCCAAGTTCCCTGAGGTCCCTGTCCCTCTCATGATCCCTTGTGTGAGCCAGCATCTGTGGCGACTCCTCTGTGAGCTGGCCAGAGTGAGTTTCTACTCTTGGTAACCAAAACAGACCAATGAAAACAGGACTCTTCTAGTATGAGATTCTACCATTTTAGGAATGGCAATCAATTGACACAGTGAAAATTACCACCAGTACAGTGAATATTTTGGTAACTGGAAAATAAAGGTAGAGGAAGTCTTGATTAAGCTGGTGGATTGAAAATGCATTACAGAATTTCCATTCTACATTCCTGATGAAATGAGCAAAAACAAAGCCAAGCAAAAAGCCACAAACAGCAGCAAAACTAAAAAAAGGGTATAATCATTCTATGAACTAAAACTCACAGAAGTCATGTTGGCAAGTCATAAAAGTCCTGAAAGTTCTATCTCAAACACAACCAAACCAGAGAGATGCAAACGGAGTGAGCATTCTGTTTCATGGAGTAGCAGATGGGGCAGAGGGTGGGAAGAAAGAAATGACACAGGAAAAGTTGGAAGTGTGGCTGGCATACAATTAGAAAACCAGACAGAATGCAGAAAACAATGATTTTCAGATAGTACAACACAGTGATCCTGAGAGAAGAAATACAAACAACCGTGTCCAGCTTACTGCTTGCAGTTTCCAGATGCAGTGCAGGAAAGGGGAACTCAAACAGAGCCCAGCAGTCCCACTGGGGTGAGAAGACAGAGTGTGGAGTTCAGGGAGCCGACAGTGGCTAGAACATGAGGGGCCAAGAGTGGAGAGGAAGAGGCTGGAAAACGGCTATTGTGAATATATGACATGTCTTCAAGAAGGTAGAGGATATGACTAGCATGAACAGAAACATGACAAATTTGAAATTAAAAAACTGAATAGGATTAATGGCAGATTAGATATTACAGAAAACAGAAGTGTTGCTTGAAAATATAGCAATATTGCTCAAGGACATGGCAATAAAAATATCAAGAATTAAAAAAGAAAACAAAAAGGAAACGGCTGAGTGCGGTAATTCTTACACCTTGGGAGGCTGAAGTGGGAGGATTGTTTGAGGCCAGGAGTTTGAAACCAACCTGGGGAACATGGCAAAACCTAGTCTCTACAAAAAACGTACAAATTATCCAGGCATGGTAGCACGTGCCTGTGGTCCCAGCTACTCAGGAGGCTGAGATGAGAGGATCATTTCGGCCCAGAAGGTTGAGGCTGCAATGAGTAGTGTTCACGCCACTGCACTCCAGCCTGGGCAAGAGTGAGATCCTGTCTCAAAAAAATTTTTTTTTAAACCACAGAAAGTACTTAAAAACTAATGAATAAGCATCTGTGATTGTGGGATAATATCAAGCAGTATATTTATACATATAATTGGAGTTACAGAAGGAGATGGTAGAAAGGGTAAGACAGAAACAAATTTCAGGAAATAATCACCAAAAAGTTTCCAAATTTGTTAAAAACTACAAATTCACATATCTAAAAATCTCAACCAACCCCAAGCAGAAGAAACATAAAGAAAACCACATTAGAGTCAGTCAGATATTTTTTAAAACTCACGTACACACAAAGATGCTCAACCCCCATCCACTTACTGGAATGACAAAACTGATAATTCCAAGTGTTGACAAGGATGTGGTGCAACTAAAACCCTTGCAACACTGCTGGGGAAAGGCAAAATGGAACATCAGTTGTTTTTAAAGCACTGTGGCAGTTTCTTATCAGTCTCACACACATTTGCCATGTGACCCAGCAATCCCACTCATATTTACCCAAGAAGAATAAAAGCATGTCCATACAAAGACTGATATGTGAATGTTCATTGCAGGTTTATTTGTAATAGCTAAAAATTGGAAACAACACAAATGTCCATAAATTGGTGCAGGTATAAACAAAATGTGTTATATCCATAAAACAGAATACTATTTAGCAATAAAAAGGAATGGAGTACTGAAACCTACATTAACTTGTATGACTCAAAAGCACAATGCTACATGAAATAAGCCAGGCAGAAAAGACTGTATGCCATGTAATTCCATTTATATGACATTCTGGCACAGGTCAAACTATAGAGATAGAAATGAGATAAGTGGTTGCCAACATAAAGGATTTTACTACAAAGGGGCACAATGCAATTTGGGGGAGCAGGGTGACAACAATGCCCTACCATCATTGTGCTGGGGGTTGCATGACTCCAGACATACTTTATTTTATCACACTTCACAGATACTGCATTTTTTTTTTTTTTTTTTTACACATTGAAGGTTTGTGGCAACCTTGCGTCAAGCAAGTCTACAGTGTCATTTTTCCAACAGCATGTGTTCACTTTGTGTTTCTGTGTCACTCTTTGGTAATTCTTGCAATATTTCAAACTTTTTCACTATTATTATATTAGTTATTGTGATTTGTGATTGGTGGTCTTTGATGTTACTAATTATTTTGGGGCACCATAAAGTGTGCCCTTCCTTATAAGACAGCAAACTTAATTGGTAAATGTTGTGTGTGTTCTGACTGTTCCACTGGTCACTCTCCATCTCTGTCTCTTCAGGCCTCCCTAATGACATGCAAAGTTCCTGAGACATAACAATATGAAAATTAGGCCAAAAAATAACCTTACAAAGGCCTCCAAGTGTTCAAGTGAAAAGAAGAGTTGCACTTGAAATAAAAAACTAGAAATAATGAAGCTTACTGAGGAAGGCCAAGTTCAAGTCAAAAGCCAACATGAGCCAAAAGCTAGGTCTCTTGCACCAAACATTTATCCAAGTTGTTAATGCAAAGGAAAAGTTTGTGAAGGAAATTTAAAGTGCTATTCTACTGAACTCATGAATGATAAGAAAGCAAAACTGCCTTATTGCTGATATGGAGAAAGTTTGAGTGGTCTCAATAGGAGATCAAACCAGCCACAATGTTCTCTTAAGCCAAAGCCTAATCCAGAGCAAGGCCCTAACTCTCTTCAATTCTATGAAGTCTAAGAGAGGTAAGAAAGTTGCAGAAGACAAGCTGGAGGCTAGCAGTGGTTGGGTCATAGGTTTAAGGAAATAAGCCATCTCCACCACATCAAAGTGCAATGCGAAGCAGCAAGTGCTGATGTAGAAGGTGCAGTGAGTTACCCAGAAGATTTAGCCAAGATCATTGATGAAGGTGGCTATACTAAACAACAGATTTTCAATGTAGATGAAACAGCCTTCTATTGAAAGAAGATGCCATCTAGGGCTTTCATGGCTCAAAAGGAGAAGTCAATGCTTGGCTTCAAGGGTTCAAAGGACAGTTTGATATTCTTGTTAGGGAATAATGCAGCTGGTGGCTGTAAGTAGCAGCCGATGCTAATTGGCCATTCTGAAAATCCTAGGGCCCTTAAGTATTATGCTAAATTTACTCTGCCCGTGCTCTATAAATGGATCAATAAAGCCTAGATGAGAACATACGTGTTTACAGCATGGTTTCCTGAATATTTTAAGCCCACAGCTGGGACCTACTGCTCAGTAAAAAAGATTCCTTTCACAATATTACTGCATATCAACAATGTACCTGGTCATCCAAGCACTCTGATAGGGATGCACAAGGAGATTAATATTGCTTTCATGCCTGCTAATACAATATCCATTCTGCAGCCCATGGATCAAAGAGTAATTTTGACTTTCAAGTTTTATTATTTAAGAAATACATTTCATAAGGCTATAGCTGCCATAGATAGTGATTCCTCTGATGAATCGGGGTAAAGTAAATTGAAGACCTTCTGGAAAGGATTCACCATTCTAAGACGCCATTAATAACATTCATGATTCATGGGAGAGGTCAGAATGTCAACATTAACAGGAGTCTGGAAGAAGCTGATTTTGGAGGAAGTTGATCCCAGCCCTCATGGTTGACTTGGATGGGTTCATGACGACAGTGGGGAAAGTAAATGCAGATGGAATGAAAATAACTAGAGAACTAGAATTAGAAATAGAGCCTGAAGAGGTGACTAAATTGCTGCAATCTCATCATAAAACTGTAATGCATGAGGAGTTGCTTCTTATGAATGAGCAAAGAAAGTGGTTTCTTGAGATGGAATCTCCTCCTGGTGAAGATGCTGTGAACATTGCTGTAATTACAGCAAAGGAGTTAGAATATTACATACACTTAATTGATAAAGGAATGGCGGGGTTTGAGAAGACTGATTTTCAAAGAAGTTCTACTGTGGGTAAAATGCTACTGAACAGCATTGCACGCTACAGAGAAATCTGTGGTGAAACAAAGAGTCCATCAGTGTAGCAAGCTCCACTGTCTTATTTTAAGAAATTGCCACAAGCCACCCCAGCCTTCAGCAACCACCACCCTCATCAGTCATCACCCATTAACATGGAGGTGAGACCCTCCACCAGCAAAAGGATTACAACTAACTGAGGGCTTAGATGATTATTAGCATTTTTTAGCAATAAAGCATTTTTAAATTAAGCTATGTACATTGATTTTTAGACATAAAAGCTACTGCACACTTAATAGACTACATTATAGTGTAAATATAACTTTTATATATACTGGGAAACCAAAAAAATCATGTGACTCACTTTATTGTGATATTTGCTTTATTGCCATGGTCTGGAACTGATCAAGCAGTCTCCAAGGTACGCCTGTACATACACTTGTCAAAACTCATAGGATTTTGTGCTCAAAATTGGTGAATTTTATTTTACAAACATTATGTCTCAAAGTTGACACACAAAAAATGATGCTGACTATCTAATGGAGGGAGGTTTCAAAGTTGGCTTCTAAATCAAAGAAGCAATGGGAGGCCTGTGGGAATGGATTACACCCTCTCCCTAGTTTGCAGCAGAAACCCTAGAACAGGACATTTTACAAACTCTGAGAAGAGAAGGCTGGGTCCAATATCTTAAGAAGCCTGGCAAAGACACCCGCTGGCTTTATCTCTTTTCCCTGCTATTCCTGTAGGTTGCAGGAAAGCATGGGTGACTTCCCAGACTGATGGTGACAGTGAACCAATTTAAATACTGAACTTCAAGTGACATGGCAATTATAGTTTCAAGACCAAATATGAATACTTTTAACATGGACAATAAAAAAATAACAATATGATCTATCTAGTAATATTAGAGAATGCTCATATTGTCTTTTTTTTTTTTTTTTTCTTTGAGACAGTCTCGCTCTGTCACCCAGGCTGGAGTGCAGTGGCATGATCTTGGCTCACTGCAACCTCCGCCTCCTGGGTTCAAGCGATTCTCCTGCCTCAGCCTCCCAAGTAGCTGGGATTACAAGCACCCGCCACCATGCCCAACTAATTTTTGTATTTTCAGTAGAGACGGGGTTTCGTCATGTTGGCCAGGCTGGTCTTGAACTCCTGACCTCAGGTGATCCATGCAGCTCGGCCTCCCAAAGTGCTGGGATTACAGGTGTGAGCTACCATGCCCGGCCCATATTGTCATCTTTCATAGCAGGACAACCAACAATACTTATAACTAAAACATGTAGCTTTAAAAATACCCAGCAAAATGACTTCTATTAACATTTCTCATAATCCCTTTTCTTAACCTCAAAGGGATCTTTTGGGAAATGGAAATAAATCTTTGTTATGGTAGAAATTGCTCACCAATTCATTTAGCATCTTTATGGTTAAATAAAATGAAATTTAGTACTTAAAAATTTTTAAAGAACAATTATATTAGAATTCTATCAGTCAGGCGTGATGGCTCACACCTGTAATCCCAGCACTTTGGAAGGCTGAGGTGGGCAGATTACCTGAGGTCAGGAGTTCGAAACTAGCCTGGCCAAGATAGTGAAACCCTGTCTCTACTAAACATACAAAAATTAGCTGGGCATGGTGGCACATGCATATAGTCCCAGCTATTTGGGAGGCTGAGGCAGGAGAATCACTTGAACCCAGGAGGCAGAGGTTGCAGTGAGCCGAGATTGTGCCACTGGACTCCAGCCTGGGTGACAGAGTGAGACTCCATCTCAAAAAAGAAAAAAAAAAAAGAATTATGTCTGCTGACATAACTTATTTTATAATATCTGAGACATTAGTGCTTGTGAGATGTGCCAGTATTTTATGTAGCACTAAGAAATAAAAATCATTGCCAATTTAACCAGGATATAATGCAAAGATGCCATGGACTATAAGATATATGCTAATTTCAAACATACCGAAAGTGTGAAAAAAAGTATGACTTAGAATCATTAAAATATATACTGATCCATCCAGACATATTCATATAGAAAGGTTCCTGGAATAAAGTCACCTACGTCTAATAATGGTTATTTCTCAGAGGGAGAATCTTGGGTCACTTAAAAACATTTTTCTATTTTAAAAAAGATAGATTTATAACAACAAATGAATGCTTTTTTATTCAAGAAAAAAAATGACTGGAAGTAAGTATGCCAAGATGTTAATAGTAGATAATTCTGGGTGTGGCAGTTATAGATGACTTTATTTCTTCTTTGTTCATTTCTGAATTTTAAAAGAACCTTCAAAATAAAAAAAAACTAAACTAGGCAAGTAAAGATTCATAAAAACTGGGACAGACATCCTTCAATGAAACGACACTTTTAGTGGCAGGAACTCCTCTCAGGGTGATCAATGGTCCCAGTTTGCCCAGATTGTCCTGGTTTTAGCACTGAATGTCTTGCTTCTAGGATGGCTGGCCACCCTACCTCCTTATGGTTCAAATGACTATGGTGATGCATCAGGAAAGCTTTTGATTCTAGGACAACAATAATAAGGTTTTTTTGTGTGTGCCTCAGAATCCCCCAAGAAACTTGTTAAATAAGCAGATTCCTGGGTTCCAAGCCTGGAGATTCTGGTCTGGGAAGTCTGGGATGAGGCTTAGGAGAGGGCATGTTTAAGCATCCCAGGTAATTCTCAAGCCTTGGACTGTTTCAGAGCTCCTTCAGCAGTCTTCCTGGCTTCCTCCTTCATTTCCTCTTCTCTGCATTTCCGGGGTCATCTGAAACCCTCCCTAAGCATTTGTGCTACTGGGAGCCTCCTGCTGTGTGTTTACTGCTGGCCATCTGCCTGGAGCGCTGCCACCTCTCCTAGCTCACTGCAAACAAAAAGTAATGGGAGGAACTCGACAGATCCCATGCCCTCCCGCCAGGAAAATACTGGTAGCTCAACTTAGACCTAAATTCACGTTCAAGATTCCCTGTCAGCACTCATTCTAAAGAAAGTTTAAACCAGTGACATACAGGAATGAAAAAAAAACCCCATTCTACAGAAATGACACACAGATCTTTCCAATTCTTCCTCATGCCTCACTTACATTCTACCATCCTTAAACACCATCTGTAGCAAATATTATCCTGGAAATTAAAAAAAGACCTATTACCCCATCCTATACATTTACTTCCATATGAACATAAGTCTGAGGTGTTAATTCTCTCTCCTGGACACAATTCAAAAGAAAGTAGGTTTCTTCAGTGTATCTATTTGGTCCAATTACTTCTAAAATATGGCACACTGCTTTATGTCAGCTGTTTTTCATTAATATGTGCATCAGGCTCCCATTTTTGGTGGCTCTCAGCCCAGTGCTTCTCAAACTTTAATGTGCCTAAGAATCACCTGGGGATCTTGTAAAAATGCAGGTTCTGAATCAGCAGGACTAGGGTGGGACTTGAGATTCTGAATTTCTAACAAGTTCCCCTCTGAGGCCCAGGTTGCTGGTTCCCGGACCACACATGAGTAGGAAGGGTACTTGACAAGCCAAAGTTTGGTCCCTATGTCTATATTTGCCTCTAATAAAATTAAAGCAAAGTGAGCATTTGTTCCTACCACAGGGCTTAATCTGCTGTGATATATTTTCTTGAGTTTACAGGAAATTTATAGTGTACCCCCCACCTCTGACCAGGAGTGAGTCAGCAAATTGTAAAGCCAAATCCTTTTTCGTTGTAAATTCTTATGTTTGCTGTTTACTGATCTGCAAACAATCAGGGTTAAAGTATAAGCAAAATAGGTATATAAGAAAAGTACATATGTGAAAAGGGAAATGTCTGAAGAAGTCAAGAAAATGATCTTAATTATAAAAATAAGTAGACGTTTAACGTGAGAAAAATGCAAATGGCGACTAGCTTTGGAAGATACCTTTTATTACATCAAATCTGAAAATTATTGTCAGCTCCAAGGATGGAGCTTTTAACTTCAGGGGGAATGAGGAAATTTAAAAAGGCAGCTGTGATAATGTCTTTATGGTCTTGAATCTGTTGGGGCTCAGAAAACAATACCCCAAAAGATGACACTTTGACATGCTGAACTAAAGAAGCAGGCTCACGGTTTCTCTGACCACCCCCACCACATATCTCTCAGTCCTCTCTCTCCCAAAGATGAGGCTGTTCAAGTACCCTGATCTAACTAGAAACTGGACCCACCAAAGAGAAGCACAAATGCCTCTGATCTCCTCTCTGAAATTTCATTAACCAGAGAAGACTAAAATTTACAGAAGAAGAGACTGAAAATTAAACACCACAACTACAGCACAGAAGAACTTCCTCCCAAACTAGTTTTCCTTCTCAGACCATTCAGTTCCCAAAGAGAATCATTTACTATCCCATTTCTGAGCACTGGGCCCATTCATTTCCCCTAAAATTCATTTACTACCCCTCAAAAATGGCCACATTTCCCCCATGTCCCTCCACTATGAAGAAGGGTTTGTATGCATCAAGACCACACTGGGTTGTTAGGTAATCATCCTCCTGCCATTCCCCATGCTTCTGCACCTTAAATAAATATAATATGTAGGCCTTTTTATGCCTGCTAATCTGTCAATTGTCAGGTCGTTTTCAAGGCAGCTTCAGCGGGTGAAAGGGAAGCCTTCCTTTCTTCCCTACAAATTCAGCTGAGCATAAAGTTTGGAAGGCAAACACCAGAGAGTAATTTTACATTTATTAATTGTCCAAGACCTGGAATGAAATAACCTCTGTGTTATTATTATTTATGCTCTGTGAGTAACACTGAGAAGAACTATTGAGGTAAAGCTCAAAAAAGTTTCGAGGTACATACACAGCATTATTTTAAAAATTATGTCACATTACATATAAAATAGAAAATCAGCCTGAGAGAATGCACAGCAAAAGGCCAACAGTAATTGTCTCTCGATGATGGGATTGTGTTTACCTTTGATTATTGCTCTTTTGACATTTTTGACAATGAAAATATATTATTTTTATAATAAAAAATAAAAAGTTAATTTTTAACAACTGTTATGCCAAAATAGATATGCATAGAGATAGCAGATAGCATTTCCCTTCAAGAAATATTTCTTTCAATAGCAATTCTTTTATGTATTTCCTTTGATTATGCTCCATACAATTCTTTTCTATTTATTTCTGGGATCATATGAACATTATAGCCATAATTACACTTTAAAGTGTTAAATGAAATTTGAGTAACTAGAATCTTTAAATTCCCAATCATTCCTCTGTAATCAATATTTTCTATTTTACATATAGCAACTGGCATTTATGAACTTTAAAATGTCTCAAGGATAAAATGACAAAAGTCCTTTGTCTATCAGGACTTACAATGTGCCAATCATAGAAGTTCCCCTGTTCTTCAACTGATCTACAATGTCAAACTGTTGTGCCTACAGACTCTAGAAGGGCAGAGTTCTTCATGTGATTTCTGCATCCATTCTACAATCTCAGTGGCTGACCATGTACAATGCAGGAAATGTTATACTAAGAGAGGGAAGCATGCTGAAAGAGGCTGCAAAATCACCAGCATCAGAAACAACTCTATAGATACCTTTAAGATGGTAATATTCCAGGTAAAGCTCTCCACTGCTTTTTGTAGTTTTCTTTCCTTCAAACCTTCCTTGGTGCCTATGCTGTGCAAGTGTTCATGGAATTCCATGGCTGAAAGAAATAAAAAAGACAAAGTATATTAACTCCCATCCAATCTGTGGTAATGAACTGGAAATATTTCTTTTTCTAGGTACAGCTAAAATGATTCCAACCTCCAGTGGAATTTCATAAATGTGTCCATTTAAGAATGTAATAATGGGGACAAAACACTGAAAAATTATGGCAGCAACAAGGCAGAAGGCATCTTCGAAGTCAGCAATTGTTCCTCATTGTTCTGAAGGGAAACAGGGCACCTATGATCATTGTTATTCTTATTTTAGAGAAGGGAAGCTCAGCAAGCTTCAGAGATGGGAAGCTGCCAAGGGAGCAGAAAGAAGGGCTGGGACCAGCATCTGGACTTGGACTCTCAGAAGGCAGATTTAAGCTCCACTGAGGACACAGTGGAGACGAGGGATAGAAAGAACGCAAAGTAATGTATTTTCTGTCACAGAAAGGGTCAATCTGAGGTCAGAGACCAAGCCCACAGTACAAGGATGGGAGTGGAGAAAGACCCTGAACTCTAACTCTGCATTTATTCTACACCAGAATTTATATAATAAATAAATAATCCCTACTGCTGTTCAAAACAATTTCTGCAAGATCTGTAGATCCTCTAATTCAAATTTAGTTTACAGGGTTTTCACATAAATTTAAAAATTTTATGCTTTTTTTTCCATTAGGTGGAAAATCTTAATTCCTAATCACACCAATATAACTCTAATAGTAAGACCGCTGAATCCAATTTAAACATTCTTAGCATTTTTTTGTCCTTAAGAGTATATGTAATTGAGAATGTTCAGTGAAAAATATGATGTTCTAGGGTCAGCTGGAATAATTCTTTTCTCTCTGTGGTTATGCTACTCACAATGTACAATTAGGTCATGTGTTTCTTTTTTCTCATTTTACATGTATGTGGTGGAGGGAAGTGCTTTTTTTGGATGTAATTTGTTTTATGGATTATATCAAAACGTTACATAATTCCAAAATTAAACTACATATCAAGGTGAATTCAGATAAGTCTTGCCTCCTTTATGGTCTTCTCTACCTTGATCCTTCTTCCCCTTATATGTTATTAGTTTTTTATTGTATTGTTTCTCTTTGCAAATATAATCAAATGTGTACATATTATTAATAATCTTCCTTTCTTACATGAAAGTAGCATACTATGTACAGTGTCCTGCATGTTGGTTGTTTTCTTTCTTTTTCTCACACAATTGCATAGTGGAGTTCACTCCATGTCAGTGTATAGAGCTCTTCCTCACTCTTTTCTGTGACAGCTACAGAGACTCCAATGTGTAGATGAACTAGCATTTATTTAACCAGTCCCCTACTGAAGGACGTTGCATTGTTTAAAAACTTTTGCTATTACATATAATTTAGAACTGTTGTAAATTTTACAAGACATTTTGTACATTCTTTTGCACACTTTTACTCTTCAGTTGGGCATTCCAACTTCTAATTCCCTTTCTATGCAACACCATTTCGAAGCAACTCTTTACATGGTGATTGACAACAACTTTATTCCTTAGTGTCTTTAAATATCAAGCAAAAGCTGACACACATATGATAAACACAATAAATGGCCAATTTAGGCTTTTTACTTCTGTGTTTCTTTTTCCTACCTAACCAGGAGCCATGGTCCTACTTCCTGTTATGCTAATAAGGTATGGGAACCTCACTGGTTTTGGGAAAGAACAGTAACTAGTAAGATTCATTCCACTCTCCAGGGAACTAACGCATGGACCACTCCCCTTTTCTCCAACTTTTCTTTTACTGATGATGGTACCTGAGAACATCCCAACTTGGTTAACCGAATAAGCCCCTTCCACCCCAATGCCACACACACACTTTCCCCACTCTTCACATCCGGGAGACTCCCTGGAGTGTGCTGCATGACTCAGATCCACCCGTTGGGTTCCTAATGATAAGACTGATGTGCTTGGCTTTTCTAAGTTTTAATACTGGACTTCAGCAAGAGTTCTGGATTTCCAAACAGGAATAATTAATACTCATTATGTTTCTGGCAGTCAGGAGGTACCATATTCTCATAAGTATCACTGAGGCTTGCAGAATGGAATCCATGACTGGAATTGTAGGAAAGGGAAGAGACACAAGAGTGGGAGGGAGGGGGTAGCTCTCTACAAACAAGAAATATGACTCCATGGACTGCAAGATGAACAGGAAAAGAAACTGGGAGGAAAAATGCAAGTGATGTTAACTAACGCAGGACCACATATTACAACTGCTTGACTGGATGTGGGCTCTTCGCAATGATTTTTTATGGCATTTCAAAACTGGCACAAGGTGGAACAATAATAGTGGGGGATTTTTCTAACATCAAGGTATCCGCATGGAAGCCTCATTCTGCTAGGGGCAGACTGTTTATGGTGCCTTGCTGAACACTTGATCACCTGTAAGGTAATGAGGCAATGACAGGAACTGGTATACTGGGCTTAATTCCAACTCACATAATGTAAGTATGGAACAGCAGAAGAAGGGAATGCTGAGCTTAGACAAACAGCTACTCTAGGTCTTAAGAAAACAGCTTTCAGAAACTTCAGAAAGTATGAGTCTAGGGCCAGAGGCTGTTACAGAACAGGCTGCCTTGAGAAGGATTGGGGACTTGAAGATGCAACAGAGTTGAAAGGATAAAAAATGATATAGATAAGGAAGAAATGGGGAAACATTTAAAGAAACAAGTGTAGCTGCATACATGGCTGCTATCTAAAAAGCTCATATTTTACAAGTCTATTAAAAAAATGAGACAAGACCACTCCCCCTTATCTTACTCCTCTTAAAATACCTCTAGCCCAATAAAAGTTCACAGGGACATGCAAAATGTTTTATTAGTGAAGCTCTTTTTAAAAACAGGCAAAAAGGTGACAAATTGAACACTGGAAATACTAAGTTAAAAATAAAAAACTCAGAATCCAAAAAAGTGACTGAGACTATCAATCCCATTGTCATTTATTTAATTATTTGATTTGCTGCATAACACATCTGTTTCTTTTAAACATGTCTTTTTTTTTTTTTTTTTTTGAGACAGAGTCTCACTCTGCTGCCCAGGTGAGGGTGCAGTGGTGTGATCTCGGCTCACTGCAACCTCTGCCTCCTGGGTTCAAGCAATTCTCCTGCCTCAGCCTCCCAAGTAGCTGGGATTACAGGCACGTGCCACCACACGTGGCTAATTTTTGTATTTTTAGTACAGATGGGGTTTCACCATGTTGGTCAGGCTGGTCATTTAAACATTTCTGTGTTATTAACTTAGAAATGACTGATCCAACAGAAATGACAAAATCCACCACAGTGGATTTTGCTAATCAACTAATTTGAAGCATATATTGATTGTATTTTTTTAAGAAAAGGGTTCTCACCTTGACTTTTCACTGTCTCCCTGTGACATGCGAGCGCCAGGGCAAGGACGAAAGATACGCAACCAAGGGAATCACAAGGCAACTTACCAGGCACTTCACATACGCTATATAAGAAATGCAGACAGAGGCTACAGCACTTTCCTAAGGAAGTGGTGAAGAAGGATTTTAATCTTGGTTTGTCTGATATAATCATATGTGTAAAATAATTATTCTGTGGGCAGAACATTGTAAGGGCTATTGCATAGGTACCAGTTATAAGGGAAGCAAGAGAGAGAGAGAGAATGAGATTATACATTTGAACTGGATCAGTCTGTCTATATAAAACAAAATAAATCCATTAAGATATCTAAGATGCAAATTGCATTGTTCTCTTGGAACTAAATTACTAGGAAATCTACTCCTAGCATGTCACAGGAGGTCTTCACAGTTCTTTACAACAACAGTGGTGTATAAAGAACTTTTCTGGGTGAGAAGTTAAGTAACCACCTCATTTTTCAAATTATTTTCAGCAAAGAAACATTAGCCCAACGAAAAAGTCCTTCTCTTACTAAAAAGCTGAAGAGTAGCATCTCTTCTCCTTCTGTAAGTCATACTATTCTGTCTAAAGACTAGATAGAGTGAATTTTAAAGTAGCTGGCGAAAATCAGGTAAGAAGTAAAAAGCTTAAGACTAAGTCACACTCCCTCTCCACTCCCTCAAGAAGTCAAGTTGGTTTTGTTTTAAAACTCCTTGCACTTTAATTACAGGAAGAGAAGAGATGTGAGACTCCCACTATGGGGATGCGAAAGGAGCATGACCCAGTGTTGGGAAGAGCTGTGGGTGGGCAAGCAGCTGTGTGAACCTGTGACTGCAGTTGAACAGGCAAAAGTGGAGACTGTTACAGTAATCCAGATAATTTAAAGAGCATGTGAGGAGGGTCTGGGGGAACTTGTCAGAGAATGGTGGGGACAGGCAGCACAGAGAAGTCACGTGGAGACTAGATAGTGCATCTCAAACCTCAACGAGTAACAGAATCACTGGAGGTGTGTGTTTAAAGTGCAGGCTCCTGTGTCTCCCTGGAGGTTCTGATTTAGGAGGTCTGTGGTGGGCCCAGCCACAGACATTTTCAGATTTGCATGCAAGAGGACTTGGGATCATTTTGAAGAAAATCCGATTAGGAAGATGGGGAGATGGGACTGAGAGATGCGAAGTCCATGTTCAGTAGGCATTAGAGGGTCATTATTAGAGGGGTATATCAGAAAATCTAAGAACTGTAAGACTGTCTATCCTAAAAAAAAAGAAGGAAGGAGGGAATGAAGAAGAAGAAAGGAATGAAGGGAGGAAGGGAGGAAGGGAGGAAGGGAGGAAGGCAGGGAGGGAGGGAGGGAGGAAGGAAGAGAAAGAGACACAAGTGTTTTTTGTTGATGAATTATAGGTAAGAAAAACCTACATATTTAATAAAAATAATTGGAATTTTATTGATCCTGAGAAAGTTTCTCTTGTGATGATCATCTGCATATTTAGAAGGTCATATTTAGAAATTTTTAAATTGTGGATTTAAGCCAAAAGAGTCCTAATATTCTTACAGAGTGTGGCTCTTAGCTTATGTGGCCAGAGCATTGCCTGCTGGACCTATGGAAAGCCACCAGGCAGACACTGGGGAGAATAAACAGGAAGGCAGATTCAGGACGGTGTCAAGGTTGCTGCTGCCGCCGCTGCTTAGGGATAGTGACAAGAATTCCCACTGTGAAAACAATCTTCAGGTTCAGAAATAGAAACCAGGCCAATAATAATGAGGGAATAAGAACTGGGATTTTTTTTCTTTCAAAAACAAGTTCCATTCCCTGCATGTTTCCAATATCTTCCAAACACTATACCAACACATTTGTATCCTAAATTTGTATATTTTAGAGCCAAGTATAGTTGTTCACATTATCTTGAAGTTAATTGTTTAACAAAATAATTGTATTTTTTCTATTAGCCAATGTCCCATATACCAGTCTAATTTAAACTAAATGGCACTATAAAAGTCTCAAATAAAGTATGGCTTCATCCATCTTTTCTTTAAAGGTGAAACGTAACACTTTGGGGCAGCTATTAAAGACAGAGGGGGAGGAACTAGGATTCCTTGATTCTACAACCATGTTGCCACCCAAGTAAGACAAGAGGTAACAGTTAATTCTAGCCAAAGAAATGGAAAAAACTTCATTTGAAAACCAAAACTAAGTAGGTAAACAGTCCTTTGGAAGTGTGACACAATTGCTATGTGCTATATATTTCGCAGTCAGAATATACAGTGTGTTTAAAGACATCAAAGTTTGAAGGCTGTGAGCATATTACATGAATCCAATAAAACATGCAGGAATACCAATTAATGCTTAGGGGTAAATTATGTTCAGAGATCAGCAAATGACCTGATCAGAGATTATGTTCAGAGATCAGCAAAAGACCTGGCTGGCCTGGTGTGGCTGCTCTTTCAACAAAATGATTGTCTTTGAGCCTCAGTTGCTCTGTTCCAAAGAACCAACCATTAGGTTCCTTTGACTCCATGACCCCAAGTTTCTGTTCCTAGGGAAAAGCAGTGGGTTATTTTTCTTCTGGAATGTTAACCATGAGGAAACCTGCCGCAATTTCTTTGTGATAATGAACTTGAGAACTAAGGGTATAAATAGTAGGTCATCAAGCAGCAGAGAAAGGACACATGGAAAATCCTTAGGTGATGTCAATGAGAGTTTAATTCAGTTCTGGTCGAAAGGGAATGGAAGATATAGGCTGTGTGAACAAAGAACAGAATGAAGCCATCAGTTCATGGTGAGGACTGCCCAAATCATGTAACTTTTGCTTTATAGCTATAATGTTAAATTTTAAAAATTGGTATGGCCATACAAAATTACATTATTGAATTTTTATATAAAGAAACATATTTTAGAAATTTATTGCTTCTTTCATGTTATCTCTAAAATCTAAACAGCTAGGATTTTTTATATGTGTAGGTGTTGATTACACATAATTTTCCAATTATTATTTCAAAATACTTTATAATTTAAATATTTTAAATAGTTTTTTCCTGAAGGGCTTAAAAGCTTAATGACAAAAAATGAATTATAATGTTGATAAAATGTCAGGTTTTATAAAAATTAATAAATGGGTGCAAAAATTTCAAGATGGCATAATTAAATTAACTCAGAACATTTAGTACAACTGCATACAACTATACTGGGATATAGTGAAGAGAAATTTCCACTTCTATCAAGTTTTCTGCTTCCCATCAGAGATAACAAACTTAGATGAAAACCAAACAGCCCTAAAAATAAAAATAGGATATATACAATAAAAAGATATCAAAAAGAGGCTTTTGCTTTGAAAGGAAGTGAGGGCCAAGTCAGAAACATGGCATCATCTCCTTTTTCGATGAAATGAATGCCATTTATTCTTGCCAAACGTAAAGCAGACGACCTTTCAAACATTCTGGTTGGGATTTTCTCTACCAATCTAAATGATATGAAAATAAAATATAGCATGTAGCACATGGCTAAAATTTTAGAAGCAAATATAGTTTTAAAAATTCTTCATAAGGAGACATATTGATCTTAAATGGATACACTTAAAGATTAGTTTTTCAACTGAAAATTTACTTTGCTGTCCCAAAAAGCTCTTTTCTCACAAACACAACCAGTATAAAAATTTTTGTGTATAGATTAAAAAACAAATTAAAAGCAAAAGCTAAAATCTTTTAAATGGTGACAAAATATATATTTATATTTTTAATTTATTTCCAATTCCCCAAATTAGGTGTAGTGATATATTTCCTGAAAGATGGAATACCATATAACACAGGTGCGTTTGGGACCTCATTCAAGAGGTAGCTATATCAACAGTATTAAAAGTACCTTAACATAACATGGTCTGTACATGACTTATGGTATGATATCACACTACTTAGAGAACAAAATATGGATAGCTGATAATTTTATAAGAATATGTATAATTTATATATAGTACCTGTTTAAATGTACAGCCTTTGTAAACTATATGCTCTGCCTCAAAACTCCGGAGGTCTGAAGTTTGGGTGTGCGGCCTACCTGTGGGTGTTTACATCCTAATCCTTGTGGAGATGTGGAAATGCCTAATTGCTTTTCAGATAGTTCCAGTTGGTAGCCTCCTTTTCTTGGCCTTCATCCCAAACAATCTGGGCATTAACAAAAGCCAAATTATTTTAAGATGGATTTTGAACTGTTAAATCCCATTCCACATGAGATGGAAAAGATAAACCAGGTTTCTTAAATATATGCCTGAAACCCAGATGGATGACAAGATCCTTGCAATGCCAAATCCACAGCAGTACAATTTGTGAATGAATTATATGAGGGAGGTTTTCTTCTTCTGCCAGCACTTTCCATCTGGGTAGATCTAGGTGAGATGAAGTTGCATAACTTTCAGCCCTTTGTGGAATCTAATTACCATGCCACCATTCTAAACACACAACCACGTGACTCACCTGGGTGGGATAATACGAAGAATAATGCGCTTAGCAAGACCCTCCTCACTTCATTTCACCGAGAAATAAAGAGGTCTTCTTCACCACAGTCATGCACAGAGGAGTTCTGTTAGACCCAGAACATTTTTGTTTGGATCGCCACTTTCACATCGATACTTTCCTGCTCTCCCACAGTTTGGCATGATTACCATAACATACAAGGCCCTCGTGACTGCAGACTGCAGCCTGTCCATGTTTCTCCTTCTTTTTGACACCTCTTCCGATTTTAATTTTCAACAGATAATGTAGTCATATGGTTCCACAATTTTAAAAGTATAAACTGAAATACAGGGAACTGTCTTTCCTTTCCCCATCTCCCAGCCTCCTTGTTTCCCTCCCCTTCTCAGGCAACCACTGTTATTCCTTCTTAGGTATCCTTCCAGAGAGATGCACACACAGCACAAACGGCATATTCTCCCTGCCTCTTTAAAGCAAATGTTAGCAAATAACACACATGGTTTCTCTTGCTTTTACAACTATCTATATCTATATATCTATATATGCATGTAAGATCTTTCTTATATATGTATATATATGTCTGGAGGCAAGTATATATATGTATATGTGTGTATATATACACACATATACACTCATATATACAGAAATACATATACACATATATATACACACACACACATATATATATACACACACACATACACACATACATACCTCTTTATTCTTTTTTTTTTTTTTTTTGAGACAGATTCTCGCTCTGTCACCTAGGCTGGAGTGCAGTGGTGCAATCTCGGCTCACTGCAACCTCTGCCTCCCAGGTTTGAGTGATTCTCATGCCTCAGCCTCCCTAGTAGCTTGGACTACAGGCACGTGCTGTCACAGTTGATTTTTGAATTCTTTATTCTTTATACAGTGGCATAATGTTCCATTATAAGGATGTATCATAATGTATGTCCCAGGGCCCTCCTGGTAAGCATTTAAGTTGTCCTCAATATTACAACAAAAACCTTTGCACATATGACTTTCCCTAAGTATTTGATCATATTTATAGAATAATCTCTGAAACAATGGAATTATTGGTTGGAAGTATATAGAATTTGAAATTCTGAAATTTACTGCCATACGGGCTTCCCTATATATGGACCCAATTTACATGCCCTCCCTCCCCCAAATCTGAGTTATCAGCTTCCCCGATATCCTTACCAATCCATTGTCATTTATATGTGATGGAATTCTGGGGTCTTTAATACAAACATCTGAAAAATGGTATCTCCTTGAAATACCTCATTCACTAGACTTCCAGAAGATCAGTGTTCTCCTCCCACCTCTCTGGCTGCCATACCTTAACCTTCTGTTTGTTCTTCTGCATCTTGCTGACATATAAACATTAGGGGCCAGCGATCCCTCTTCTATGTCTATGGTCATCTCTTATATGAGCTCAGTCTCCCAGCTTGAAAGATCACCTTTGCAATGATAGCTCCCAAATTTAATAATTCCAGTATTGATCTCTCCTCCAAACTTTAGACTTGGAGGTGAACTAGGCGTATCAAACTTAACTTGTCCAAAAACAAACCCCTGATCTTCCCTTTCAAGACCAGGCCTGCCCCAGTCTTCAGCATCTTGGTAAATAGCAGCTCCATCCTTCCAAGATGAAGCCAAAAACCATCTCTTTCTCTCCTCCTATGCCACATTCAATCCATCAATAAGTAGTTAGCACAACCTTCAGAATGTTTGTTTTTGCCATACGAAATTCTTTTACATGCAGTCTAACACCAAATTTGTTTGCTTAATATTATGTTAAAGCTTCTGGGATTATATTAGTTCCTGGCCTGCATCTCCACCTCATTTGCTGTTCCTGTTTTTCCCATGTGATATTCCATGTTGCTCACTGCTGCTGCTGGCCGGGGCTGTATTGCCCTGCATACACTCTTCTGTCTGTGTCCACTTGCCTTGGCTCTTAGACAAACCACCTTCTTGACTTAACTCCTGCCCTAAAGTCTGGTTCAACTATCCCCACAGACAGACCTCCCCACTCCTCCTCTGTGTGATCAGGGCTCTACGGCAGTGCGCACTCACTCCTGCACTTACAACCTAGGCTGCACTTACACTTATGAGTGGCTTAGATGCCTGTCTCCAATACTTGACCTGGAGCCCTCTTAGGGGAGGGTCCATATCCCGTTTTTCTGTGGAATCTCCAGCTCCTGGTCAGACGGAGAGTAAGAGCTCGTTTGTTGAACAAATAAATATGCGGCATTCTGTATTCAATTCAGCTCAACAGATATTTATTGAGTGCTGGCTTTGTACCAAACACTGTTCTTGGCATTTGGGAAACGTTATGAACAAACAAAGGTCCCTTGCCCTCAAGGAGTTTCCACTCTAGTAGGAGAAACACAGACAACAAGTGATGGGCATAAGTAAATTATATGGGGTGTTACAAGGAAACAATTATTACAGAGAACTCATCCACTCAAGCGGCCCTTCTATTTGGATGACAGCCAATTCTATCTGTAGGCCTCATCTCTATCTGAAGCTTCACTATAATTGTTTTGACAACTTACTAGCTATTTCCATTTGAGCATCCTACTGTGATCTCATATGTGTCAAACCTGAAACAGACCTTCACAACCAACTTCTTCCTAAACTAATACTTCAGGCATTCACATTCTTTTTCTGGGAGTAATATATGAACACGGAGGGCAGAGGAGACAGAACCAATCACTGAGTCCCCGAGTGAGTCCTAAACTATCTAGTGACCTCACTGCTTGTAACAGTTTCCCGAAGTCTTTAAGACACTGACAGATAGAACTTGAGACAAGGGCTTTATCACCAAATAAGTTTGAGAAATGCTGAGTTAAAAATGAAGGATATTTAGCATGCTAATGTGTACTGAGAATCTCCAAAGGGGATAAGTTGCATTATAAAAATTTGATGATGAAGTCCTTTGCCCGAGGAACATGACTAGTGTTGCATGAATTAGGCTTTAGTAAATGTTGGCTTAAAAAAAATCAATCCCAAATGTTTTAGACTTGAGTTAAAAGGCTTCCATAATTGGGCCCAGCCTGTATTTCCAACCTAATTTTTACTGTTTCCTGAAGCAAATATTTCCCTTCACCCAGGACAATATATTTCATGTGCACTGAAAGTACACCTTGATGATAAAGTCTGCTAAGCTTTGGCCCATCTAAAATGCCCTGTTCCTTCTGCTTAACTTATACAAATCCTGCATTCCCTCAAGCCCCTAGTTCAAGCTCCACCTCCTTTCCTAACAACAAAAGCCTCTGAGACTGCTCCTTTCTTCAAATTTCATTTATACCTGTTATCTATACCACTCACTTGGTTGTGTTTTACTGTAACTTTCCATGATGGTATAGACATTATTATCCTTTTTTTGCATCTCCAATAAGTAATTAGTATAATAACTTGTCATGAAACAAATTCCACAAATGCATGACTGTGTTTTTTCTTTAATATGTTAATATGTTATTGACACAGCACTGACCTATAATGAGAATACAGTGACCTATACTAAAAGAACATGGGTTAATTGAAGTTGCTTTATATTCCTTATTATTATAAGAAAGTTTATCTCCAAATACTGTTAAAACATTCTTAGAATGCATTTGTTCACTTTTATTCAATTATTTGTATATTCCCTTTTACAATCCCTTATATATTTATAATATACTATAGGATTTGTAGACCATAGAATTTGAGAGCTGGAAAAGCCTTAGAGATAATCTGGGCCAAATCACTTTATATTAAACCTAAGGATACCTAATATACACACATACATGTGTGTATATATATAACCTTCTGGTATTTGTATGAGAAAGGTGATTCATTTTGTCTGTGGACTTTACTTGAATTGTAGTTCTTCTCAGCTTTAATAAGAAATTATAATGGGAATTCTCATAACCAAATGGTTTATTTATGCAAGTGCCAGAGTTAAAAACAGCCTGAGAGTTACTCGTGACCCCTCTTCAGCAGAACATCTGCTGAGATGACCCTGAGAGTTGCTATTTAAAT
This sequence comes from Homo sapiens, assembly GCF_000001405.40. Lineage (NCBI taxonomy): Eukaryota > Metazoa > Chordata > Mammalia > Primates > Hominidae > Homo > Homo sapiens. The sequence goes on along the minus strand of NC_000003.12, from coordinate 17,056,093 downwards.
ACAAGGGGATGCTTTCAGAGACTCCATGGGTTTACGAAGGAAGGAGGGAGGAAGATGTGACAAGAGAGCACAGTGTTGGGATTTAATCACAGAACAGGTACCCCGGGAAGGGCAAGTGTCCCCAAAACTTCCCTCCCCTTCATTTGTGGCACTGGGGAAATGTCACTGGTGAAAGCTATGTTCTATGCTGCTCTAGAAAGATAATTTTGCTGTCATTCAATCACACAGCTGGTGCATGCCTGAGTCTGAGCAGTCACTCACACTCTCCCTGTGAGAGACAGAGGAGAGAGGCTTAGGGAAAGAGCATGAACTCAGAAGAGGGCCTGCTCTGCTCTACCCTCAAAAGAGAAGTTCTCAAAACCTGAATGTGCTCACCACAATGCAAATTCCTGAGTCTCACTCCCAGATGGTCAATATTTTGGGAATGATGTAAAGAGACTGCATTTTCAACAAGCATTCCCAGGGGATTCTGATCACACGTATGAAAAATAACATTCGTGTGAAAGTTGATGTGGGAATCCTTCTTTTCTTTGCATGACTCTGTGAATATATGATGTGGGAATCTTAGAGCAGAATTAGGGTGAAGGTTACAGGGACGGTTGAGGTGTGGTGAGACAGCGGTTTCTAGAGACCAGTTGCTTATTTTGAAGTTTTTGCTCTGAATGAGTTGGCCTAGTTGTTGTCTTTGTGGTCATTTCCTCTGCCATCCCTTATCAGTGATGAAGGTCCTTAGTGAGGGAATTAAAATGAGAAAGAGGCCACTGAGGACCTTGCTACTTCTCTTCTTCCCTTGACTTCACTAATTATTAGTTAATTAATTAGTAAATGCCTAAAAGAAGATGTGGTGGTTCAATATCCAGTCTTTAAGAGAAAAGATGCTGTGGATTTCAAATGGGGCCTGGGAGTCTGATGCAGGTTTCCTGTGTCTCATCTTCAAAGTGTTAACTTTCCTCCTTGAAAGTAATGATGATGGGCTACAATTTATGTGTCCTGTAACATTGTATGGGATGACTTGTTTAATCTTTTAATCTTTTTCAGTAACTGTAATCCAGCCATTCCCAAATTGCTGTTTATGTAACTGATCTTAGTTCACTGTAATTTAGAAGGCATAGGGCCATCAGGGAATCACATAATCCACTGCCACTTAGAAGAAGGAAAATGAGGCAGAGAGGGTCAAGTGACTAAACTAAAGTCACACAGCAGGGACATGGTACAGAGGGCACCAGAACATGGGTCTCTCAATTCCCAGGAAAGAACCTTTCACTTCTGTAAAACAGAGCTGAGAAACATTCTGACATAAATGAGAACTGATACGATTTGGATCTGTGTCTCCATCCAAATCTCATGTTGAAATATAATCCCCAGTGCTGGAGGTGGGTCCTGGTGGGAGGTAATTGGATCATGGGGGTAGCATTCTCATAAATGGTTTAGCACCATCCCCCCTTGGTAGTATATAGTAAGTTCTCAAGAGATCTGGTTGTTTAAAAATGTATGGCACCTCCCCACTCTCTTTCTCCTGCTTGGGCCATGTGAAGATGACTGCTCCTGCTTTGCCTTCCACCATGACTGTAAGTTTCCTGAAGCCTCATAAAACAGAAACTGATACTGAGAAGCAGGGCATTGCTTGAAGATGTGAAAGCAGCTTTGGAACTGGTAATGGGCAAAAGTTGGAACAGTTTGGAGAGCTCAGAAAAAGACAGGAAGATGAGGGAAAGTTTGGAACTTCCTAGAGACTTGTTAAATTGTTGTGACCAAAATACTGATAGTGACATGGACAATGAAGTCCAGGCTCAGGAGGTCTCAGATGGAAATGAGGAACTTATTGGGAACTGGAGTAGAGGTCACTTTTGCTATGCTTTAGCAAAGAGCCTGGCTGCACTGTATCCCTGCTCTAGGGATCTGTGGAACCTTGAACTTGAGAGTGATGATTTAGGATATCTGGCAGAAGAAATTCCTAAGCAGCAAAGTGTTCAAGATGTAGCCTGGCTGCTTCTAACAACCTATGCTCATATGCACAGGAAGAGAAATGACCTGAAACTGGAATTTATATTTAACAGGGAAACAGAGCATAAAAGTTGGAAAAATTTGCAGCCTGGCCATGTGGTAGAAAAGAAAAGCCCATTTTCAGAGGAGGAATTCAAGCAGGCTGCAGAAATTTTATAACTAAAAGGCAAATACTAATAGTCAGGACAATGGGGAAAAGGCCTGAAAAGTATTTCAGAGACCTTCCTGACAGCCCCTCCTATCACAGACCTGAGGCCTAGGCAGGAAGAATGGTTTCATGGACCAGGTCCAGGGCCCAGCTGCTCTGTACAGCCCCTGGACACTGCTCCCTGTAGTCCCTTTCTTTTGGCTGATTTCTCCCTTTCGAAACGGGATTATTTACTCAATCCCTATATCCCCATTGTAACTTGGAAGTAAGTAACTTGTTCTGATTTTACAGGCTTATAGGTGGAAGGGACTTGCCTTGTTCAGATCAAACTTTGGACTTTTGAGTTAATGCTGGAATGAGTTAAGACTTTGGGGGATTATTGGGAAGGGATGATTGTATTTTGAAATGTGAGAAGGACATGAGATCTGGGAGGGGCCAGGGCAGAATAAATGGTTTGAATCTGTGTCTCCACCCAAATCTAATGTTGAAACATAACCCCCAGTGCTAGAGGTGGGGCCTGGTGGGAGGTGACTGAATCATGGGGCAGAGTTCTCATGAATGGTTCAACACCATCCCCCCTTTTGAGTTCTCATGAGATCTGGTTGTTTAAAAGAGCGCATCACCTCCTCCAACCCTCCTGCTCCAGCCATGTAAGATGGGCCTGCTTCTCCTTCACCTTCTGCCATGATTGTAAGTTTCCTGAGACCTACACAGAAGCTGAGAAGATGCCAGCATCATGCTTCCTGTACAGCCTGTGGAACCATGAGCCAATTAAGCATGAGCCCATTTCTTTCTAAATTACCCAGTCTCAGTTATTTCTTTATAGCAGTACGAGAACAGACTAATACAAAACAAAAAGTTATAAGGCTCTCAGGTTTCCATTTGCAAATATAATTGACCCTTCAACAACAGGGGTGTTAGGGGCATTGACTCTGCATGCAGTCAAAAATCTGCATGTAACTTTTGACTCCCCAAAAAGTTTACTAATAATAGCCTACTTTGGACCTGATGGATGCTTTACTGGTAACATAAACAGTTGATTAACACATATTTTGTATATGATATGTATTATGTACTATATTCTTACAATAAGGTAAGATAAAGAAAAGAAAACATTAAGAAAATCACGAGGAAGAGAAAATGTATTTACTATTTATCACGTGGAAGTGGATCATCACAAAGGTCTTCATCCTCATCATCTTCTAGCAGAGTAGGCTAAGGAGAAGGAAGGAGAGAAGGGGTTGGTCTTGCTGTCTCAGAGGTGGCAGAGGCAGAAGAGGTGGAGGAGGCAGAAGGAAAGGCAGGGGAGGCAGGCACACTCAGTGTAACTTTACAGCAATGCATTGCAATTTCTGTCTTTTTTGCTTTTTCACTTCTCTAAAAATGCTTCCATACAGTACCAGTACTTCTTCCACTTTTTGCTTTAGTTTCAGTGCCAGTATCATCAGGAGGATCTTTGTCATAAAAGAAGTCATAAGCAGTCTTGAATAATAGGAACCCTTCTTCCAGATTGTCTGATATCAATTTGTTTGGGGGCACTGCTTCTTCTACATATTCTTCATTGTCTGGCACTGGTTTGGAAGCACTCATCTCCGTCAAGTTATCTTCTGTTAATTCCTCTGGTGTGGTGTCCATGAGCTCTTGATTTTCTCCAAAATCCATAACCTGAGACCTTCACCCCCCCCCAATTTTTTTTTTTTTTTTTGCCATATTCACAATCTATTTCATGATTTCTTTCAGCAGCTCTGTTATAAATCGTGTGAACATCTGGACGGTTTTCTCCAGCAGGAATTTATTGTTTTGGACTCGATGACTTTCATGGATTTTTCTGTAGCAACAATGGTATCTTCAACAGGATTTTGAATCCTTCTAAACATGTATGATGTCCTCTCTATTGGGGGTTCTCTTCCACAGCATTAATAATCCTTTCCATATAGCATCCTCTGTAATGAGCCTTAAAGGTACTTATGACCCTTTAATCTACATGCTGACTTGGAGACATTGTGCTTGGGGGAAAAGAGACCATTTCATGGCTTTCAGTGTTGAACTCATGGGGTTCTGGGTGACCAAGGGCATTGTCCAATATCAAAAGAAAATTAAAAGGCATTCCCTTACTGGCAAGGTACTTCCTGACTTCAGGAACAAAGCATCATGAAACTAATATAGAAGAAGCTCTTGTTGTTCAGGCCTCCATGTTGTACAACCAAAAGACTGGCAGCTGGTGTTTATCTTTCCCCTTTAAGGCTTGGGCATTAGCAGCTTTATAGATGGGGGCAGTCCTGACCATAAACCTGACTGCATCTGCACAAAACAGTAGAGTTAGCCTATCCTTTCCTGCCCTAAATCCTGCTGTTTGCTTCTCTTCCTTACTAACAATTCTCCACTGTGACTTTTTTTTCCCCCCAGAACAGGGTACTTTCAGCTTCATTAAACACCTGTTCAGGCAGATATCCTTTCTCCTCAATGGTTTTTTTAAATTTTATTTTTATTTTAAATTTTTATAGGTGCATAGCAGGTATATATACTTATGGGGTACGTGACATGTTTTGATACAGGCATGTAATGCATAATAATGGAAAATGGAATATCTATCCACTTAATAAGCATTTATCATTTGTGTTACAAACAATCCTATAATACTCTTCATTGTTTTAAAATGTACAATAAAATTATTAATGACTACAGCACCCCTGTTGCGCTATCAAATACTAGGTCTTACTCGTTCTTCCTAACTTTTATTTTTTGGTACGCATTAACCATCCCCACCTCCCCCGCCCTGACCTCCCATTGCCTTTCCCAGCCTCGGGTAACCATCTTTCCATTCTCTATCTCCATTAAGTTCAATTGTTTTGATTTTTAGATTCCAAAAATAATTGGGAACATGTGATGTTTGTCTTTCTGTGCTTGGCTTATTCCACTTAACATAATGACTTCCAGTTCCATCCATGTTGCAAATGATAGGATCTCATTCTTTTCCATGGCTGAATAGCACTCCATTGTGTATAAGTATCACACACAATATCCATTCAACTGTTGGTAGATGCTTAGGTTGCTTCCACATCTTGGCTAGTGTGAACAATGCTGCAAAAAACATGGGAGTGCAGGTATCTCTTTGATATACTGATTTCCTTTCTTTTGGGTATACATGCAGCAGTGGGATTGCTCGATCATATGGTAGCTCTATTTTTAGTTTTTTTGAGGAACCTTCAAACTGCTCTCCATAATGGTTGTACTAATTTACATTCCCACCAACAATGTATGAGGGTTCCCTTTTCTCCACAGCCTCGCCAGAATTTGTTATTGACTGACTTTTGGATAAAAGCCATTTTAACTGCAGTGAGATGATATCTCATTTAGTTTTGATTTGCATTTGTCTGAGGATCAATGATATTGAGCACCTTTTCATATGCCTGTTTTTCATTTGTATGTCTTCTTTTGAGAAATTCCTATTAAACATTTTGCCCATTTTAAAATTGGATTATTAGACTTTTTTTCCTACAGAGTTGTTTGAGCTCCTTATATACTCGGGTTATTAATTCCTTGTCCCATTCAGTGTGTTATTTCTCCATTTTGTTGTTTGTTTCCTTTACTGTGTGGAAGCCTTTTAACTTGATGTGATCCCATTTGTTCATTTTTGCTTTGGTTGCCTGTGCTTGTAGGGTATTACTCAAGAAATCGTTGCCTAATCCAATGCCTGGAAAGTTTCCCCAATGTTTTCTTGCAGTAGTTTCACAGTTTGATGTCACAGATTTAAATTTTGATTTGATTTCTGTATAAGGAGAGAGATAGGGGTCCAGTTTCATTCTTCTGCATATGGATATCCCGTTTTCCCTGCACGATTTACTGAAGACACTGTGTTTTCCCCACTGTATAATCTTGACACCCTTGTCAAAATGAGTTCATTGTAGGTGTGTGGATTTCTTTCTGGGTTCTCTATTCTGTTCCATTGGTCTATGTGTCTGCTTTTATACCATTATCATGCGATTTTGATTACTATAATTCTGCAGTATTATTTGAAGGCAGGTAATATGATTCCTCCAGTATTGTTCTTTTTGCTCCAGATAGCTTTGAATATTCTGGGTCTTTAGGGGTTCCATATAAATGTTAGGATTTTTTTTTTCAATTTCCATGAAGAATGTCACTGGAATTTTGATAGCGATTGTATTGAATCTGTATATTGCTTTGGGTAGTATGGACATTTTAACAATATTGATTCTTCCAATCCATGAACATGAAATATCTTTCCATTTTTTTATGTGTGCCCTCTTTAATTTCTTTCATTAGTGTTTTATAGTTTTCATTAATAGAGATGTTTCACTTCTTTAAGTTAATTCCTAGGTATTTAATTTTATTTGGGGCTATTTTAAGTGGGATTACTTTTTAAATTTCCTTTTCAAATTGTTCACTGTTGGCATATAGAAATGCTACTGATTTTTGCATGCTGATTTTGTATCCTACAGCTTTACTGCATTTGTTTATCAGTTCTAACAGATTTTTGGTGGAGTCTTTAGGCTTTTCCAAACATAAGATCATATTATCTGCAAACAAGGATAATTTGACTCAATGATTTTCTTAATGGCATCTGGGAACTTGTCTGCTGCCTGCTGGTTGACAGAAGCTGCTTCGCCTATTACCTTGACATTTTTTAAGCCAAACCTCTTTCTAAAATTATCAAACCATCCTTTGCTGGCATTAAATTCTCTAGCTTTGGATCCTTTACTTTAAATTGTCATATAATGACTTCACTTTTTTTTAAATCATATTAGTCTATAGGTGTGCCTTTTGTATAGCAATCCTGTACCCACCTAAAAGCTGTATTTTCAATGTGAGATAAAAAAAAACTTTGCACAAGAAGTGCAAGGTTTTCGTACCTGCTGGTATGGCTGCAAAAATAGCTTCATGAATTTTCTTTTCTTTTTTTTTAGAACAGTCCTTATGCTGGATTTCTTTATCCTGAAATAGCAGTCAACTGCAGACCTCAATCTATGGTATATACTAAGCAATTCAACTCTTTCTTGTAATGTCATGACTCTTCTCTGCTTCTTGGGAGCACTTACAGTATCACCAGTGGCACTTCATATAGGTCCCATGGTGTTACTTAAGGTTTATGGTATTGCACTAAACATGATGAATAATATGCCGTAACTGTGAGAGATCACTTTTTACTGTGAATGCAACTTACTGGAATGATAAACTGCTCAGTCAGAGATGATTAGCATCACACAGCGTTTTAAGCAGATACTCCCAACACTTGAGCTCAGCACAACAGCAACAGGAGGTGGCTATGAAATTATTACAGTAGCAAAGTATGTTTTGGAGTTAATTTTAGCAGTTATGAGTTAATAGTGCATCTTACATTGTTTACATTTTTCTTAACTGTGAAAGACGTCATGTATGGGCTTTAAGTGTGTGCATAAGTTTTGATAAATTTTAACCTTTTATAACAGATTTGTGCATATTTTATGGCAGTAAATGATAAAATAGACTAGTACCTACATATATTTTATGCATTTGTGGCCTTTTTCTTAAATTTTTTGATATTTCCATGCTACATGGTTCATCTGTCTTTTTTCAAATTGTTGCCAACCTCCAAAAAATGTTTCAGTATATTTATTGAAAAAACTCACATATATGTGGACCCATGCTGTTCAAACTTGTGTTGTCCAAGGGTCAACTGTATTTTCAAACAGAACACTTGTTAAGTGCTTTCAGAATGAATCTCGCAGATGATTTTCTTTACTATGTTGGGCAAGATGATGTGCATGAACCAAGTGACAGGTGGTGATGGCTTACTTATCTGATAACCTCAGCTCCTAGGAGCACACTGAGATCTGAGGAGTTTGAAAAAAAAAAAAAAGTCTCTGAGCAATTAAATCCAGGTCATGTAGGTCTGGCCTGACATTCTGCTGGTTTTCCCCATGCAGGAGTGTGTCGGGGCCTCATCCTCTTTTATGTAAGATAAATCGCTTGGTCACAGGGGAGACATCAACTGCTCAGCAGACTGGAAGCAGCAAATGTAAGAGAAAAAAAGAGCAGTATACAAACAGACAGTTGGAAATACAGTACAAAGCAGTAGGAAGTGAGAGTTTAATGAAAGGAGATGGAATTTAACTATTAACACCATGTCCAGATCTGAACAGTCACAGCAGGCAGGCTGCTGTGTGTGCAGGTTAAGGGGCCTCCAAACTTAAAGCCTCCAAGAAATCACTGCATTAAACTGCAGCATCTCAAGATGACCCTGGGTCTTTAAAACAAATGTTCAAATTATTTTTGGCAAATCAAATTTAAGAAAGCAGGGATGGATAAGATCCACTGAAAATTTCCCATTAAATTGATTAAAATGAAGGGTAATTAAAGCTTTTATTATTTGGAAAGTTATTTTCTTTGATCCCACTTTACTCAGTGAAGATGCAACCCTGGCCATGCATGAAAATACGCTGGAGCTTTTAGCAAAGAACCTTCCATTTAAAGAGGTGTGGAGAGGGCTGGGTCATCTTTCATTTAGTTTGATCCTCCCTCCTAACAGTCATTCTGAAAGTGCACAGAACAGATTCTCCTGCTCTCATCCTCCCAGGCATGCAGGCATCACCTCTGCCTGAGGCATGCCCATGAAAGCAGGGAAGCCAGCAGGTGTCCTATGCGGGCTCTTTGCGCCTCTGCAACCTAACACTCTCCCAGGCCTTGTGGGTGTGGGATCACATCTTTGGGAACATCCTCAGTTCCTGTGGCAGCTTTTGCCCCTTGATTCCTTCCTTCTTTTTTCTTCGAATTTAGTTTTTATTTTTGCTAGAATTATGCATGTACGTAAAGAACCAAATAATTGTCCACAATTCTCCCTCCCCAGAAGCAGTCACATTCAATGCCTTTAGCTGATTGTTTCCCTTCCTTAGTATTTATGTTCATATTTCCAAGTAACATGCTTATATTGTTTACTTAGAACTGTTTTTCAAGCATCACCTATTAAATTCCCCATATGGAGAATGAGAATTTTGCTATTTTTAACCTCCCCACTGTCAGGACACAGAGATCTAAGCGTTAATTAATCCAGCTTCTACACAGTTCCTGTCTTTTATAACTAGCTTTAACCCAGTTCCCAGAGGTACCTGGTCACCAGGTTAGATCTGAGCTGGTGGTTGGCCTGTGAGTCAGGCTGTGTCAGGCCCCCCAAGACCAGCTTCAGATTGAGGTTCCTGAGTGGGCAGCTAAGCCAATTATCACTTGTTCAGCTGTTACTCAGTTTCTAGAATTTTGTTGCTCCCGATTTCTTTGTCCTTATGGATTTGTGGCTTAAAGAAAAACCCTCTACTGTCATTTTAATGAGGTTTTAGAGTAGAGATTAAAAGCATTTGTTAATTCACCATCTTTAACAGGATGTCATTGATTTGTTTTTTTCCTCCTCCAGAGAACAATTTATTTTCCATTTAAAATTACCTGATAGAAACACCTAGCTCACTGAGGGAAAGCATTTGGGTTTCCTTCTTGATCGTCTTCCTATCCTTTATTAAGCATACCAATTCAGTGACTAGAAAGGAAATTATAATCCAAAAATGGGCTGCAGTTTTGGCATTTAAAGAGACAAAAACATAGATATTAGAAAGCGGAAAAGACTTTGGCCCTGATATTAGAAAGTGGAAAAGACTTTGGCCCTGAAAGAATTTGACAAATCTTTTCCCAACTTTTATACATTTCTAACAAATGAACTTTTATGATGTTTCTCCCTCTGCAGACTCCTGTTCAGCTCTCCTGCTGGTGTTCCTTACCAATCTCCTACTTGAGAACATGTATGCATGTGTTCGCCTGGGCTTATGAATTATAGAGACCCATTCTTGCATGGCCACATCACTTCTCACTCCCATGGCGGCCCAGACTCACGCATCCCATATCACCCCTGCAGGATCTGATATTTAATCAGTCCCTTTGACTGGCACTGCTGATCTCTGACTCTGAGCAAAGTCCCCATACTCTTGCCCCTGTCTTGAATCCCCGCTTTCACTTCCTCACCCCCAAAGTTGGTGTTCTCCTATGACACTACTTCCCTGTTTACCTCGTCAATGGAAAACACTCCTCTCTTTTTCAGAATTTTTCTAAATGTCACGGCTTTCTGTATTATCTCAGACGAGGAGCCTTTCTCCCTTTCTGAGGTCAAGTGTTTCATGACTGTACTTCATTCCTGACCTCACATCCTTCATCCTGAATCTCTGTCTCATCTATTAATGTCTTCCTCTTCACTGGGTCGTTTATATACTCCTAGCAACATGGTTTTATTATTAAAATTTCTCTTTTACCCCAACTCTCTGTGTCACTGCATTCTCTTCTTAACAGAGAGGACTATGCAGGCAGGCTGCCTCCAACTGCGCATCTCCGAGTTGTTTCCACTGCTCTTTCCATGGTCCCTTTGGGTCCTCCACTGCTGGGATGCATAGGTTCCTAGCCTACCTTGGTTGGAGGTCTTCACTTCTCAGCATTCCTCTCCTGCCACGCTTCCTCTTCCCAGTACTAACATCAGCATAGCATGTTCCTATGTAAAAAATAGATTACACAGCCAAGAGCCTGAACCCTTCTGAACTGGGGACATTTTTTAACATGTGTTTGGGGGTGGATGTCTGACTCTTTATTTCCACTCAGTTATTTAAACAAGGTTTTAACTAATAAAAATATATGTTTGTGCTTTAAAATTCGAAATACATCTAAAATAATCCTCTCTTGCAGCACTTTGGTGACCTATATCTGTTGGCAAGCAGAATAACAATTACTTATCAAAAGTAAGATCTTATGCAACTGTCTTTGAGCCCAAAACAAATTAGCAATTCTTCATATGACTAATGACTATATGTCCTTACCATAATTGTAAACATGAGAAACAAAAGATCAAGGGACTCTAAAATAAGTACTTGGGATAACAGAAGGGCTGTGTAGGCGTTCATCAGTAACTGTGAAACCAAAAGATAATCTTTACACGCTTCTAAAGATCTTTAAACCCAGAGCAACTTGAACCATTACACAGTGGTTATTCTCCCCCCATCCTAATCAAAATCCCTAATAGATAAGATTCTTCAGCTTTTTAAGTACAAGCACATGTATCCCTTACTGAAATCAAACATAAACAGAAAGCCACATTATACTGAAAATTATCAAATCTCATAAACCAGTGAATTGACAATAACTCAAATTGTTGAATAGTTTTTTTTCTGATAAACAGTTTTTTTCAAATTCCACAAAGTCCACAATTTTCATAGCAATACATGCATTGAATGGAATCAAATAATTAAAATAAAATCATATTTAGTTAATATTTGGGCAACTACTCTGTGCAGAATGTTAGAACAGATGTCATGGGTAAGATACAGAGAGCAGCTTGATATATAATCTTAGTGCTTTAGGAGGTTATTATCCTGTTTACAAGATGGAATGCATTAATAAAATACACAATAACTGAAGAAGCCCTACCAACTGAAGCAAATTAAAGGTTTAAAGGGCTGAATAGAATGCTTTAGGTAACATAAATCCTGGAATCTTGAAAGGTCTCCCAGAAGACTGTTGAGATAATTGAAAAAGAAGAAAGTACAGATTGGCAGAGAGGGCAGAGAAAGAAGTCTCAGCAGATGAGTGATGTGTGCAAATCTGATTAAGTAGAAACACAGGGAATGGGGACAGGCAGCCCAAAGCAGAGGGTAGATGGCTCACCATCCCTTCCCTTCCTCCCTCACTCTCCAGAAGCACCTTCCTTATCTATTGCCAACTGCCTCCCATCAGGTCTGCCCATGGACATTCTCTGCACACAGCTATTATGGTCAGTACCTGAAAGCTCAGTCCCTCTCCTGTTCTACACAAACACCAATGTCTCCCCAGTGCCTCACACACCAACTTGAGACTCCTGAGTAACACACGGTAAGTATTCAATATATTTACTGTGTTTACTTCCATATCTCCTGTTCAATAATTTGCAGATTGTGTTAATAATTTGTAGATTGTGTTGTAGATAAAAATTGTGTTTGAATAATTAAATGTAGATTGTAGGGAGAGTTAGCCTGCAAAGGACTAGAAGTAGAAAGACCACTTTGCTAACAATATTTGCTGACAAGATGAGTAAAACAAGATGGGGATTGTGGAGTTTGTTGATTAGTCACTAATATGAATACTCTTTCAATAGATATTAGAAAAAAAATGTCACACATATCCTTATCTTCAATCTATTTTAAACAAGTTCATTTCTGAGATAAGGGATTTTTTTTTTCAGGGTAGGCAATATAGTTTCTTGGTTTTAAAGAACAGCAACGAAAAAAACCTTAGAAAGTCAGGACAATTTTTTTTTTTTATGACTTGAAAATATTCTCCATAATAGAATCTCCCAAATCAACACTCAAAAAATCAGAAAATTAAAAGAACTCCATTTTGTGTATTTTTATTACAATGCAGAATACTGAATTTTTTGGTTTTACCACAGCTAAAATTAATGGGATGATTGTTTATATAAGAAGAATTTTATAGTCTGGTATAACATTTGGATGTTAAATTAATGAATTTATCAGCACGCGAAAATGCCAGTGTACTAAAAAGTGTCAGGAGGTTGTAACTGGAATCCATCTCCTTTACAAGAAGCCATTCTCCCTCTACTCAAGCCTTACCTATCCTACTGTGTACCAGAGTCACGGGTGACCAGCAGGAGCTTTGGCAACACAGTTAACACTGAAGAAGAGATTAGTGCAGAGTTTCTCAATTTTGGCTGTACATTAGAAACACCTGGGAATTTAAAATAGTTATTAATTCCCAGCCCCATACCTCAGACCAATGTTAATGTATTTTGAATGGTCCCCTCAGGTGAGTTTGTTACCCAAGGCTGAGAACCACTGAATTGGTATTTTCTTTAGCCATAGAAAAATAATTTTCTTATTTGATTTTCTTGATATAGCATCCAAAAAATGAAATAGTTTTGGGGCAAAGTATATGATGCTATTAATTTCATTTAAAGAGAGGAAACAAACTTTCACTTACCTGCCTTCTGACAATGTACGATCTTTTCATATACAGCATCTGCATTTTCAATCAACGCCTTGAGGGACTGAATCATCTGCAAAGGGAACATCCAGACATGAGATTACACCTGACAACTAGATCCCCTCCTGCATTCATGCACAAGGCTCTTCTCCTAAAACAGGCTGATGTGATGATATTAAACGCTTTTTTATCTGACTTTCCACTACTCAACTTCAAATGTGCATGTGAAAATGATAACATCACACATCCCCACATAATGGTTAAAACAAGATGTGAATAGTATTACTTTCCAAGTGCAGTGAGGCTAGTACAACACTGCACTTGAACCCTGAGCTAATATACTGAACTGAGTTCATTTCAGCGTGAAAAGCTACAAATATGCGTGCAAATCTGATCTGAGTTTTAAAATTTGGTTATCCATTTTAACAAAATTTTCAACTTCATCTTATAGAAAACTTCAACACCTACACACTTCACTCATTTCAGCCAAAATGTCTTCATCTGAAATTCAGTTTAAAACATACAATGAGAATTAAAAAATAGCATTTATTTATTTGATACCATTCATCACTAATAGTACCTCTAAAACTAGTATTTTTATGTTCCTATTAATGGTTTTTAAAATGTTCAAATTTGAATTCTTGTTCCAAATTGCATGTGCTTGTTTTAAGAGCCCAAGCTTGAAGAAGGGAAAGAATCAGTGAACAGCTGATCCATTATTTTACTCACCAAAAAGCTAGGAAAAGATCCCTCTGAAGTAATCTTGTTGGCTCTAAAATCACTATGAAAAGGAAATGGGATAGCCAGAAACAAGTCTCATGGCTCAAATGGGTACAATTATGATATCTACCTTAGTATAAATTTTACATATTTGTATTTAAATATCCAAATATTTTGCATTATAATATTACTCATCTATTTTACATGACCATCATATTTTAAGTAATAAACACCCAACCATTCCTTTCATTTCTGCCTCATTTTTTTTCTTTTTATTTTTTTAAGAGACACGGTCTGTTCTGTCAGCCAGGCTGGAGTGCAGTGGTGCAATCATAGCTCAGTGCACTCTCCAACTCCTAGGCACAAGTAATCCTCCAGCCTCCATCTCCCAGGTAGCTGGGACTACAGGTGTGTGCCACCATGCTTGGCTAATTTTTAAAATTTTCTGTAGAGATGGGATCTTGCTATGTTGCCCAGGCTGGTCTTACACTCCTAGGCTCAAGTGATCTTCCCACCTCGGCCTCCCAAGTGCTGGCATTACAGGCATAAGCCACCGCACCTGGCCTGCCTTATTTTTCTTTATAGCATTTATCACTAATTGCCATAGTAATTATCTTATAGTAACTAAATATATGCAGGTTGGATTATTTGCATAATTCAAAAACCACCATATTTTTGGTAAGTTACACTTATTTAAAATATAACCAACATGTCTCTTAAAAAGTGTACTAGCTTCTTAAGCTTAGTCAGATAGTATTTATCAACTTGCACAGTTCTAAAAAAATGGTAAACATCAAAAGTTTAAAGGCCAAGGCAGGCATTTATTTACGCCTTCATAATGTATCTTTAATCATCGCTGGGGTCTACTGCAGGCAGCCCCTGTGTGGAAACCAGGGATACCTGACCTACAGGATACAACCCCTGTCCTCAAGAAGTCCACAGCCTATGGCAGAGTTTGCACTTTGGAATTCAGTATTTTCACATTCATTCTTCAAGATCTGAGTCATTCCCATAAATTAAAATATTCTATTTTACAGCTTGACGTATTGAACAGGCAGCAATAAAAATGAATCGTTAAGAACTTTATTATACTGATATAAAGTCGTTTGTACCATTACATAATTTGCATATTGAAAAGGTCCATACCGTCATCAGTAACCTTTTTCAGCTTTGATGTCAAGCCAAATGAGAGATACAAAGAAGCAAGGACTTCTTCAAGCAAGGATGGTGATTGTTACAGCTCAGTATCAAAGAACTGGCCAACTGTGCCCCCATCATTCAAATAGGAGAAGGAAAAAAAAATATGATCAAGGAAATGAACCCAGTCATTAAACAAATGAGGACAGGAGCAAAAGCAGGAGTGGAGGAGAACAAAACAGCAGCATTAAGCAGAGGCTCACACATGCAGATGAGAAACTCATCTTGGGAGTGGTGTAGCGGCAGAAACAGCAAAGATTTACATGGGTTCTAATCCTGGTTCTATTACTCATTAGCTTTGTCATCTAGGACAAGATATTTAACCTCATAACCCTAATTTCCTACCCATAAAATAAGCTTATTAAAGACATTACACCTCATAATGTGAGGATTAAATGAAAGGATGTGTGAGGAGCGACTGGCACAATGAAGACACTTGCAAGCGGCAGCTGTCACGGCTGACTCCCCATTTATCCAGGAGGCCTGGCAGAGCATTTTCTGGTAGCCCCAAATTAGCTGAATGCCCTCCTTTCATATGTTCACTGGCAATGTTTCCAATACTCATTACTAATTTTAGTTCCACTTGAAAAGCTGGGTGTGATGAAGCTCAGAGAAACAAGTTGCATTATTATTCTTAGAATCATCTTCCAGTTTAAGTATCACCAAAGGATAAATAATTATGCACCTTCCAGCTATAAAATATACGTTAAGGCTGAATAAATGCACATCCATCTCAAGAGTCCAGATATAGAAGCTCATCTGCCTCCTAAACTCTGTAACACTTGGAGGATCATTTGTTTATTCTTGGGACAATCGTTTACTGAGGCCCTCTATGTGTGAGACCCTGAGCTAAGGGCTGAGAATGAAGCACATGTACCCTAGAACTTAAAGTATATATATAAAAAAAAGAACAATTGCTGCACTGGGACTATGGTACAGAAATAAAACAGATGCACAAAGAATAACTAAAAAGGTGGGATTGCTATTGTAACCTGTGAGCTATTGGATGTGATAAAATTCAATATTCTGAAGCTACAGCCCTTTGGCAGGATATTTAATGGTGAAGCACTTGTAGTGTAATGGTATCCATGTTGACAGCCACAGAAGGATCCACTTGTGGCTTAGATTTCAATACAGGAAGTTCCTCTGCTGATAATGACAGTGAATATCGTCCCCCGATTCATGAGTAGTATATAAAATATGAAGATGACTAATACTTCAGGGTGGAGAACACAATAGTGAGAAGCCATTCCTCCTAGGTTTGCAAGTAAACAGCAGGAGGCATTTGCAGACTGTATTAGAGGGGAATTCCAGAAGGAACCAGCCTAGGAGAAGGTAGGCCCATAGTAAACAATGAGCAAAGCTTAGACAAGGCAGGCAGAAAACTTATCCAGACCTCAGCAGAGATGATTCATGTTGTCACACCTGTTATAAAATATTTGTACTACTTGCTTCAGAAGGAAGTATCTTTTTATCATTTTGGGGTACATATTTATAATTAAATTAATGTATGGTTAACAGTTCATAGTTCTTGTTCTTAACAGGCATATATTAATCTTCAACTTTTGCACTATTGCATAAATTCTCCTTGAGTCTAAGAGCTCCTCTAGGTACTCTTAAGGAAGCTCTCAGGACTGTGGGCTCCTATAGCAACACCAGGTGAAGAGTCCAGCAGGCTTAGAGGACAGGTTAGGCGATGGGCCTTCAGGCCCCTACTCAGCAGGCTGATGTTTCCCTTTCATTCTGCCATCAATTATGATTGAATGTAGTGCACATGGCACTGAGGATGCAGCAGAGGCAACATGGGGCCACCAGCTGATCTAGCAGGGGCCACTTTCTGTCTGGATCTGCTACTTTATAACAAGCTGTGATTATAAATAGTACAAGTGTTGGTTGAATGCATCAAGATGAAAGTGATTCAACATCTCTGCATCAGTATGTACTTGGTGCTTTCTATTTTATTTACTGATCACATTATCCATGTGAGGTGAGTAATTATGAGGTTAGTTTTACACATGTGAACACTGAAGACCTACCTGAAACATAAGCAACCTTTCAAGGTAATCTGGTATTATAGGCAAAATAACTGTAATTAGTAAGTCATGAAACTGGTATTCTGTTTGGTCTTGAAGCCTCTGCTTTTCCCACAAAACCATTATAGGTCTTGACACATGAGTGGCAACTGCACAAGTGAAGAGGAAAGGCCGTTTCAATCCGAAGAAAGCACAAAAGCAGAGGAAATTTTGTAACTCCTAAAAGGTGCTACACACAATTACAATAGTAATATCATCTCAGCTACTAACATTGACCCAAAGTTGTTTTTTAGAACAATGTTTCTATAAAGCACTTTGAGAAAACATTTTAAAATGACAGCAATAAATTACTTGGCTCTATTTTACAATTCATTATTATAAATAATAAATAATTTATATTTAATGTGAAACTACTAGAATAAGCATCTCAGATTAGACAAAAACAGATGTGCAGGTAGTAATATCGATGCATGAGCCAAAGGAAAAAACTACTTTATCTTGTTTTCTCTGTGTATATTACACTGATACGTCACTAGAATGCAAGGCCAAGTAGAATGGTTAATTATATAAGCATTATTTGCATTAATGCAAATGCATGAATTTCATCAAGCCCCTATAAACACACAGGTGTAAGTCTTGGCACAGCAATCAGACACCCTGCTGCCAGCCTGAGTAACTCGCCACATGGATGCTTATATTGTTTTTTCTAGGGCAAGATGATTTTATATAGTTGTTGCTAATGGATTTTATATCACTGGCCTGTTACCAGTACCTCCTACATTTCTGGAACTAAAGTGTTTGGAAAATCTATGGATGTAACATAGCCTAGAAATCTATTTCATAAATTTGATCACCTCTAATATAAGATTTTAATGTAGAATTTGAGCAGATGAAAAGCAGGAAATTTTAACTAAAGGCAAAGTAAAAATTAAAATTTATATTTTATTAAGCTGGAAAGAAACCAGATATGCCTTTTATCGGAGTGCTATGTTTTGAAAGTAACTCCCATGTTAGTGTAAAGTAAACTTCTCTGTTTATAGATACAGCTATGAGAAGGGTTATTATTACATAAATATATTATATATTACTAGATTTCTATAGACTGCTCCTTCATATTCTGTTTTGAAACTTGCTTATCAACTAGGAAAATTCCATTTTCAGAATAAGCAAGTCTGTGGTTTTATATAAGGACCCTATGTCTGATTTCAGACAATTCACTGAATTGCCCTTCATCTTAAGAACACAGATTTTGCTAATAATTATAAAAGTAGTTTGTCAATAATTTTATATACTTGGGTGAAAGAAATTTTAGTAATAACATCTGAATTCTAGATTTTTTTCCCCTTTATCTTGTTTTGAATCTCAGTTTCAGATAGAAAATCCCAACCTCTAAACTGCTTTCTTTGCCTGTCCTGCTCAACACAGATGTGGCTACTGCATCTTCTGTTGTAGCTGTTTCTAATGAAGTTACAAAGTCTGAGAAGTCCTTAAGTTGCTATAAAAGAAAAAGGCTAGACAGTAAAAAAACTTTGTTCTTTCACATGGATTCTATGATTACTTGACACATAACAGGGAAGTATCTTTCCAAACTCAAAAAATGAAAAGATTATCATTCTCAAACATGCCAATGGACTTACAAAAATGGTGCAGTATACACCTGGCCCTAACCACTGAATGCCCCCCAAACTGCCATGACCACCTTGGAGATCCATGATAGGCCTCAGTGGACCAGTAAACGCCCAGGTGGCAAGATGTGGCTTCAGGCACCACCAGGCTCAGGATGACCTTGGGAGGACTGGACCAAAGCAGGACTTGCTTCTCTGGACTCCAGGGATGAATACAGAACAGTAAATGTGATCATGGATAAGGTTTTCAGAAAATAGGAACTAATTCAATCCAAAGTAATTTTTTCCCATCTAGTCAGAATTTTCTGAATGGCAGCCTCTGTTATGGTTTAAATGTGTCCCCTTCAAAATTCAAGTATTGTCAATGTGATCATATTAACAGGCAGGGCCTTTAAAAGGTGATGAAGCCATGATGGCTCCTTCCTAGTCAATGGGATTAAGGTCCTTATAAAAGAGGTTTCACACAGCATTCAGCTAGCATGCCCTTCTGTCTCCCACCACGTGAGGAGCCACTCAGAAGACCTTCACCAGATACTGAGCCTTGATTTTGGACTTCTCAGCCTCCAGAACTGTGAGAAAATAAATTTCAGTTTTTATAAATTGCACAGGCTGTGATATTCTGTTTCAACAACACAAAATGGACTAAAACAGCCTCTTAAAGCTCAACGTCCCTGGTGGGTGGTCAGCCTTGTGCTGTTTGGCCCTGCAAAGCCAGTTAGTTCACTAATGCCATGAATGGGACAGAAAGTAAGATCAAGATGCCCTTGGGAATTTGTAAGCTTTGGTGCTTTTTTCTGCACTCTTGAGAGAAACACCTCTCTGAGTTAACAATATAATCTCTCTTTTTAACACTTTAAAATAATTATTACTGTGCGGGTGAAGAATTTTAGTTTGATTCTAAAACATCGGGATTTGAGACTTCTCAACTGAAATCCAGAGGTAAGTTTTTCCTTTACTAAAGCTTCCAAGTACAGAAAAATGTTACAAAGTTGAACTAATGGAAGAGGCACCATTTATAAAGTTATTGTTGGAAAATACAACGTACTTTTAAATACTTGAACATAATATAAGTCACAAATTTACACTGAAATACTGAAAGATTATTGCTGTAGAGGTCTTTGGCCAGCTGTGCGCTACAATTAAACCCAGCTCCCCTTTCCATCTCACATGGGGAGAGCATTGTGGCTGCAGTCCACTGTGGGGAGGACAGAGAGCTGGTGCCTATCCAGGGGCCGAGGTCTGCCATATCATTAAGAGCTGTGGTC
Organism: Homo sapiens; assembly: GCF_000001405.40. Taxonomy (NCBI): domain Eukaryota; kingdom Metazoa; phylum Chordata; class Mammalia; order Primates; family Hominidae; genus Homo; species Homo sapiens. The sequence goes on along the minus strand of NC_000003.12, from coordinate 17,036,106 downwards.
GTCCTCCCTTCCAGCAAGGTCACTATGAAAACACTTTCTAAATAACAAACCGTTTCCAGAGTAACTTGTCCTAGGTTTCTTATGAAACTTCATTTCCACTACCACATCTTCCACTACGCAAATTATAGGGGGGAAAAAACCCTATATAAAAGAAAGTTGTAGAAAGAACTTGACATGCGCTTGATAAAAAGCACTACTCAACTGTTAACAAACATACAGAGGAGCATATTTGGGTGCTGCCACACACAGGACCCCGCTGCAGGCATGATGTGGAAGGCCAGGACTTGAAATCATGTAAAATATTGTTAAGCTTTCTAGGCACCTCAACTCGTATTAGAGAATGTAAGGAAACATGGATAGAAGAGGAGTGAGGGCCAGATTGGATAAGATATAAACTTCTACACTGCAGAGTTTGAATTTAATCACAAACCCTTGACAATTTTAAGCAGAGGTGTTATGAACAAAGTAAAATTTCAGAACCATGAACAAGCATCAGTGTGAAGGAAGAAATGGGAGATGGCACAAAAGTGGGAACAGGAAGCAGGTGGGGGCCACTGCTATATGAGAGACATGAGAGGCAGCAGAGGGGCTGGGAAAGAAAGGATGACATGAACACATTACATGGAGGAGGACTCCAAGGCTGATTTGCTGTGGGCACAGAAGGAAGAGCCAAGATAAGAGAGAAAACTGGTCAGGATAAGAAAAATTGTAACACACCTTACAATTATAGAGTGCTTTACGGTTTACAACTAAACATGTTACACACCCCACAGTTACAGAGTGCTTTACAGTTTACAAGTAAACATGTTACACACCCCACAGTTATAGAGTGCTTTACGGTTCCTTTAAGTATGTTAACGTATTTAGGATGTGAACTTCCAGCTTAGTTGAATTGAACTGGTGGTTACAATAGGGAAGTCTAAGAACCTCGAGTACAACCGGAAATTATGTGACAGCTTGCTTCTGGCACTGGATAATTGAAAATTTTCTCCACAGAGGTAGTGGCTGAGATGAAAGAATGTCTACATTTCTGAGGGAGAAATTTTAAAGATGAATGAATGTTGCATGATGCTCCAGAATCACTGGAATAAGCAGAGAGAATAATAACTAGTATGACAGGTGCAAGAGTGGTCCGAGGGCAGGAAAAGAACAAGGATGCTAAACATTTACAGGCGTGTACAGAGAGAGGTGCTGGGAGAGTGAGTCCACAGTATTGGAAGCTGCGGATCTGGTCATTTGGTGATCTTGAGTAACTGTGGAGAATATACAGTAAGTCTTCTCTTAACATGGACAGCTTCTTGGAAACTGCGACTTTCAGTGAACAAGGTACAATGAAACCAATTTTACCCTAGGCTAACTGATATAAACAAGGGTTAAGTTTCCACAGCGTATTTCTGGTCACAAAAACGTCATCAAACTTCTCAATAAAGATCAAAACACTTCTAATTTTAAATGCTGAAATAAATGTGAACTATACATACATTTAAGAAAGATTAATGAAAACAAGTAAGATCATTATTTACTCAATTTGTGGTGAATTCGTGACAGTAGTCATAGTGGTGGTGTATTAAATCAACAAATGTTTGCAAAATGAAAATTTTCAGAGGAACCTCCTACTACCACACAGCTCAAAAACAGTTAACAAATATTGCCGTGCATTTGGATGAATGTCAAATACCTGATAATTTTTTTTATTTCCCAATAACTTATATTCATTCATTCATTTATTTATTCATTTTCCAACCCACTTATTCCAATCCACTTATCAAAGGTGGCCAGAGCCTATCCCAGCAGGTCAGGGTAAAAGGGGGAACCCACCCTGGACAGGATGCCATCCCATCGCAGGGCACACTCACACACACATCCACACTCACTCACACTGAAACCCTGAAGATTGTCCAACTCATCTGAAGCTCACATCTTTGCTATGTGGGAGGAAACTGGTGTACCTGGTGTACCTGGAGGAAACCTACACAGATGTGGGGAGAACCTGCAAACTCCATACAAGTGGCCCCAGCTGGGAATCAATTATTTTTTCCTCTTCAGTGTTATAATGAAATGATGCTGAACAAAATGACATTATTCAAGGATCGGCTGTAACTGCAGTATGACAGTTCTGCAATCCTAAAACTCACCTCACTATACAAAATTGTGCAATAAAAACCACAGGGCTTATAAGGAAAGTGGGTTAGGGGCACAACACTAAAAAATTTTGCAGTGACACATAAAAAAAGACATCAAATAAAAACAATATCACAGTTCTGCATATGTTAAATGGTTAAAGAATGAAAAAATACTACAATAAACATGGCACTTAACCTTGAAAAAGACCTGAAGGTTGCTGGTGGAAGTGGGTGTTGGAGGAGTTGCAGCTTGTGAGTCACTGTGAAGTGGTGGAAGGAGGGTGATCTGAAATCTAACGGAAAATTGTAACACAAGATGTAGAGGGTGTAGCTCATAACACATTTTGTGAATTGAAGAATATGGTGGATGTTTGAGGGGTGTGTGTGTAATTTCAGTTCACACAAACTTGTGCACACGCAAATGCAAAATTTTTGGTATGCTCAAATTGTTACCTAACATATAAACTGCATTCAAGCAAGTTTGAATTTTCAAAACAAGTATTTGTAGTAGAACTTACTATAGAAGGGAGAATACTTCAAAATATTTCCAAAAAATTTGTTTACAAAATTCTTCTATGGAATTTTATTTGAAGTCTAAGTTAAATTCTCAGTTTCTGCCACGTTCAAAGCATGGTTTTGGCGTCATATAAGTCTGCCTGAACACTGTATTCAACTATTTTAATGATCATTTCTTGCCAGAGAACAGATGCCAAATGCTATATAAATCTGGAATGAATTATGAATTAAGAGTGACCCAGGGTCCACATGTAGGAAGCTAGCTATTCTCAACTTTTTCCAATATACTCTAACTTTTCATAAAGCTCACTTCAGAGCTAGGGTAGTACCTAAGGGATCAATGTGTCTTTCCTGTTACATAACTTTTATCTAAACCCTGATACGGTCTGAACCTCTTATGTACTACATTTCAGATAAAATCCTATAAAATAACATCCCATCTTATCTGTAGGTAGCTAGTTGAATTTTCAAATTATAAAAAGCCTCCTCTAACACAATCAATGTCTCTATCACTTCTCAGCCTAAATTAATATATAATCATATTCACACACTTAGAAGCGGGCCATATTTCACAGGTTAAACTTTAAGTGCAGTTTCTGAATGTAATCACCATACAAACATAAGATACAGGCATATGCTTATCATATACAAGTGTAATATGGGTGTCTCCTGCATTCACTCAATAACCATTTGGATACAGCATAACATTCATGAAATAAATAGTATCATGTAGTCAAAAGAACCAGTTTATTGCCTTTGGTTCCTACTTTCCACAGGTGCTGTGTGTCCAATGCGCACTGCATGGACCTACTGTTTACAGTTGTGGGTATTTCTGAGAGGCACTTCCCACATTAGCCACTAGAAGTCCTTAGTAATACACATTTGTTAGGCTGGGAGGAGAGGAAAAAGGAGCAAAGATAAGGAAAAACAGCACAAAGAGGATAGTGGGCAAAAAATAAAAAAGCACATCTACAGGATTAAAAGAAAAAAAATCGACAAAATCACAGAGGCAGAGCTTAGGGGAATCAAAACAATGAATGCACTAGGGTGGTTTATGTCACCAAAAACTGTGCTTTTAAACCAGGTAAGAAATTTTTATTTTTATGCAGACAAGTGAGTGAGCCATAAAGTCACAACCAAACTTAGATTTAAAAGGCATTCACTACTATTTCTAGATTGAGATTTAGCATTTCCAGAAGTCTCCATGTGGTCCCCAATACATTTAAATAGACCAGAGGCAATAGTTTGAAAAGGTCGCTGGAGGGGTTCCAGTTGTACCAAAAGATTGGTTATGAAGTCAATGAATATACGTTAAATACTTATCCTACTCTAAATTTTTGGAAAATATTTAAAATTTCTAAACCTCAAATTTTAGTTTTTAACCAAAACTTTAAGTTAAGAAATATAAGTTATTTAATCTTATTTCACGAAATAAACAGAATTTCAAAAAATGGAAGGAGTTTTGAATTTGATCTTGTAGTTTCTGGTCCTGAACAATTTGATATTCATAGGAAAAGCAAAAAAAAAAAAAAAAAAAAGGTGAAAATTGAGCAACAAAACAGAACCTAAACTACCCTGCAAAGGAACTCTGCTGCAATTATAAAACTATCCAGAAAAGCTATATAATAATTTCTGCCAGTTTATGTGGTAATTTATTATGCTATGCTTTTCTATATGAAGAGCATGCACATGCATTTAAATGATAATAATCCTTTTACTTCTCTAGTTTATTATCAACCTTACATGACCAGAAGTCTTGTTAGGGGAGAACTTGGTATGCTATACATCATTTTGTACATGATTACTGTGGGAAACCTTATACAATAGTCTCACATTAAACAATCTACTTTACAGCACATGATAAATTGCTTTGCACCATGGTCACCTCAAGGATGTACACATACACAAACCCCATCCTCTCCCAGCCACTTTTCAGCTTTTCTAAGCTACATTAATGATATGTTTACACGACATCCTTATCCCATCCCAGACAGCATGAAATTTATGTGTGCCTTGTGCTCAAGTATTCTCTGCAGACATGAAAGGAGGAAGGGATGTGGGTAGGTGAAGGGATTTAGCAACTTAGAAGGAACTTTCAACAGGTACTGTGAGCAGCCAGGTGCAGTCCAGTGAGGATGTAGTCCACAGCCACTTTGCTGGCTTACTCTCTAGTAAGTGCCTGGAAAGAGGGCCTATGGCCTCACTGTCTCTCCCTTGGTCTTGGAAACATTAAAGATAGTGAGTTCAGACGCTACATCCTGAATGGAGGGTAGTGTCTCCAAAAAACTGATGAGAATGGTTCAAAACCTGCTCTGAATCATTCCCGTGGGAGGACAGGGGAACTTGAGCTGGTTAAACCCAATTATTCAGTGAGCAAGCTACTTCTGAAGAGTACATTAGGAACTTCTGGATGCTACGTTAACTCTTTCAAGTCACTAAGGACCCTTTAGTTCTGACATGCTCATTTAAAACTATTACTAAATTAATTAAATTTAAAAGGATACAATTTGAATTAAACATAGTACCACTTTTATTACTGCCTATTTACATCAAGTCTTTTCTCCAAGGGGATGAAGGTGATTTAGAAACTCCTAATTAACAGAAGGTAATTTAATCATAGTCTTACTGTAAAGTATCATTAGTTTCTCTCAAGTCTGTGATAACTAAGTATAGACGTTCGTTGAAAGAGGAAAGCAATTGAAGACTTCTCTGTAATGAAAAGCAATACTTTTTTTAAACACAGCAGAGTGTCCACAGTTCTCCAGGAATAACAGAGCTGGAAGAATGCATCTGAGCAGCTACTAGAGTATTTACTGTATAAACCCAGGTGTGGCGTTCTTCCTGATGTTGACCACATAACTCACATGTTCTGGTATCTTCCCCTTTCAGAGCAGAGAGACAACTTGCTTAGCAAGATGATGGGAGAACTTACCTTTTGCTTTTCATTTTGAACTTTAAACCTGACTTTATGAAATGGAGTAATCATGCTCTGTATAAATAACAAAGTGGGGCATGACAAATGCTGCTCTGGAATATGGAGTGATGTTAAAATAAACTCACACAAAGGTCTTCAAGCTTCAGGAGCTATATGCAACCAGCCTTTGAAAACTAATAATGACAATCATAATGACAATGATTTATTGAGTATTTATTATGTTCTAGGCTATTTACAGGTACATAGTCTTATAATCCTTTGAGGTTGTGATCTAATGCCCATTGTAGAGTTTAAAAAATAGGTTTGGGCTGGGCACAGTGGCTCACACCTGTAATCCCAGCACTTTAGGAGGTTGAGGTTGGAGGATCGCTTAAGGCCAGGAGTTCAAGACCAGCCTGGGTAACATAGCGAGACCCCATTTCTTAAAAAAATGAGAGAAACAGCCTTGCCCCCAGTCACACAAGCAAGCACTAGTGCAGGAGCTAGCTCATTAGCAGGGGCTCATCTGCTTCCTAGGGTGCAGTCTTGTGCATAGGTGTTCACACTCCATGCATACATACCTGGGTGGTCTGTGAATATACCACTGTTCTTATTAAGATGTGTCCTTTGCAAAACATGCCAGGGAATATCTTCTGTTGCCCTGGGAGCCAGCTCATGGTGGCAGGTGAGATAAGGATGAAGACAAGGATTTCCCAAGGTGGAGCTAGAGCTGGTGGATGCTGTGTGTGGTTGAGGGGAAGGGGAGCCAAGGCTTTCTTCCCTGGGAGATGTGTTTTGGCTCACTCACCAGGGTCAGTAGGTGTTGGAGAGTGGGGGCCTGTAGCAGTTGGGGGAAAGTGGCTCTCTGGCTTTCAAGAATTTCTCTGCTCAGCTCAAACGGACCCTATCCCTACCCAAGGCTTCCCTTTTCTGGTGTGACCCCAGTCCATGTGCTAACATCATTGTACACCACAGCCTCTGACTATTAGCTCATGTAACAATTGATTTATGAGCATGCTTGGGAAAAAAATCATAAAACACTGTACACATATGAGGGATGTTCCCACCTCAGGCAGCTTAACTGAACCAGGTTTCTCTCCTATCATAGCCAGGTGAATAACTAGGGGCCCTCACATTTTCCTCCTCCTCTCTTCTGCACTAAGCTCTTCTATACAGTTGTTTTTTTTTTTCTTTCTTTCTTTCTTTTTTTTAAGGGCATACGAATCTTTAAGGAGGGAATTGCAGATAGGATAAAGGATCCTCTGATAAAAGCTGGGGAGACATCTAGGGTCTGAACAAGAGGTGAAAGATCCAGGAGCTGGGATGCTGAGATCTTCCTTCTCAGGACCAGTCTCTCCTGCCTCTGGTCCCTCTCTCCCTACAAGCATCTGGAGTTGTCCAAGCACCTCAGGCATCCTCCTCTTCTTGGACCAGCAAAGCCAGCCCTCACTGCCTTAGAACATAAGTGCTTCCATACAGACCTAAGACTGGAAGAGCAGCCACTCTACCCTCTGCGCCCCCTTCCCCGAGGCATTTTGTGTGCATGGAAATAAAAATCAAGTTCGGGGAATACAGGGACATATGGGAAAGACATGTAGGGTAAGAAGGGCACCTGATATCTGTGTCCTGGAGATCAAGGTTATTTTCATTCATTCACCAAAAATGGATTTTGAGTACCTGCTGTGTGCCAGGTTCTGCTGTCGGTGCTGAGAACGCAATGTTGCATAGGACACATGGGCCCTGTTATCCTGGAGCTCAGATTTCAGGGAGAGGAAGAGAGGTACTTTTAAAAAAGGAATTCCCAGCACTTTGGGAGGCTGAGGTGAGTGGATTGTTTGAGCTCAGAAGTTCAAGACCAGCCTGAGCAACATGGCAAAACCCCACCTCTGCAAAAAAACAAAACAACAAAATGAGCCGGGCATGCTGGTGCGTGCCTGTAGTCCCAACTACTCAGGAGGCTGAGGCAGGAGAATTGTTTGAGCCCAGGAGGCAGAGGCTGCAGTGAGTCAACAGTTCGTCACTGCAATCCAGCCTGGGTGACAGGAGTGAAACCCTGTCTCAAAAAAAAAAAGAAAAAAAAAAGGATCAAGCTAATGAATGTATAATTATAAGTTGTGACGAGTATAAGAAGGAGGTGAATAGCATAAACAACAGTAAGGTGTGGGAATCCAGAGGCTTCAGAGCATCTTTCCCATTCCTCAGGTGGGAGAGGGTTTCATGGGATTAGTCTCCACCTCAAGCACTTTTATAATCCCTTCCTTTAAACTGAGTGTGGTTAGCACAGCCTGGATTTTACAGTTTGAGAGAAAGTCCTCCTCCTCGCCTTAGGAAAGGGTGAGAGGAAATGAGGGGTTTTCAGAGACGATGCAGAGCTGCTCACTAACTCTACCCAATTCCCTTCTCTCCACCCAGCCCTTCAGCCCCTCAGCAAGAAATGCTTGATTTGGCTGAGAGAAGGAGTACTATTTAAACTCAATTCTTGGACTGGCTCATTTTTAATGCCTCATTACCAAGCAGCACAACCATGGTTATACATAAACACTAAATATATGTGAGGTTAAATTAGTTACAAATGTTATTGAGTTATAGCACACAGCTCAGGTGGATTGTCACCACTTCCCACTGACGTAGCATGCTTGCCTCACGGGCGCTATTAAAATCAGAGCAAACGTTAATTTCCACTGGCTTTTTCCTCTTTTAGTTTCCACCTCTTGTTTCTTTAGGTTTCTGACCGTAACAATTAGTAGAACCATATTCAGGCTCATTGCTTTTTCCAGCAGAGGAGTGCTCAGGCAACGATAACAGTCTCCTCCTTCCTCCAGGTTAACGATTAGAATCCCATTCTTATGTATCAAAACTCAAAATGCAGTGAGTACATTTTAAAGGAAAGGAAGGAAGAAAAGAAAGAAAGGAAAAAGAGAAAAGAAAGAAAGAGAAAGTCATAATTTAGGTTGGCAAAGGTGACTTTGAAAATCACTGTATCAAAATACCCTAAGGACTTTTACCCAATCCACTTTTGGAAGTGTTGGCAAATTTGTTCTGTACAGAGCCAGACAGTAAACATTGTAGGCTGCTAGGCTTAGGCTTAGTTTCTGTCGCAACTACCCTACTCAACTTTGCCACTGTAGTGAGAAAGCAGTCATTGATAGTATTTAATGGAGGTGGTTGTTCTCCAAAAACACTTCATTTATGGAGAGCAAAATTTGAAGTTCATATGACTTTCATATCACAAGATATTATTTTTTATTTTTCCAATAAATTAAAAATGTAAAAACCATTCTCAGCTTTCAGACTATACAGAAACATGTGTTTCTCAGCTCCTCCTCTAAAATGTTACATGATGCATCACTTGGTAAAACTGGACTCAAAGTACTTGAGATAATATAGTTTGATATGCGACATGCACTTTTTAGGAAAGAACATGAAAAATCAAGTGTAGTTGGTATTTTAAAAGAATAAACACATATTACGATATATGTTGGACAAAAAATTTTGGCTATGGAGAATTCTAACGTTTAACAATAAAGACAGGGCTTAGTTTTAGGAAAACAGCTTAAAATTCGTACCATCCCAGTTATATTTAGCTAAATAATGAAATAGCTGTTTCTATTCACAAAGATAGAATTTATTTTGTTTTGTTTTTTTTTCTAATACAAGATAAACGATCTATTTATTTATTTATTTTTTGAGACAGGGTCTCAGTCTGTCACCCAGACTGGAGTGTAGTGGTGTGATCTCAGCTCACTGCAACCTCTGCCTCCTGGGTTCAAGTGATCCTCCCACCTCAGCCTCCTGAGCAGCTGGGACTAAAGGCATGCACCATCATGCCTGGCTAATTTGTGAATTTTAGTAGAGATGGGGTTTCACCATGTCGGCCAGGCTGGTCTCAAACTCCTAGATTAAGTCTGCCTCGGCCTCCCAAAGTGCTGGGATTACAGCATGAGTAATCTGTCCCAGATAAGTGATTTAAAAGCTAAAGTTATTTCATGCCGCAGAATTACATAAATGATGGTATGGCCCCATCTGATGTCTGTCCAGTGTCAGAATATAACTACAAAGAAAACTAGAATGATCAACATTGATTTCAAAGAAAATATCTGAATTAAATATTTCTGTAGGTAGATGAATAATCTCACATAAAATCTCCATATAAAAATCCCTAACATTTAGCCCTAAACATCTGACTAATACTAATGTGGTAGGGAAACAAATGTTTTAAACTCCTTAACATGTTAGTTTTCAGCTAATTGGTAATTAAGCTTGTAGAGTTAAACTTGACTCTTAACACATCATGTTGTCTACCCACTGTGTGAGAGTAATTTTCTTATGGCTCAGAATTTTAAATGCCCTAATTAAGTTAGAAAAGGCTTAAAACCATTATTAAATGCTATTTTTATTCCTGATAAATTCGTCTGGTAGTAAAATCAGCTTACTGGTATTAAAAGTGGTTATTTTGGTGGGGTGAGTGGCATTAATTATTTCACAGCAATCTGGGGGAATAGAAGTGAAGAGAATGAAAAACAGGAGCTGTTAAATAAACTAACGAGTGACAGTTCCCACAGTCCCCACTGACAGAGCAGTTACTGTGCAGAAGGGACTCACCCTCCAGACACGTGCGCTGCTCTGAGAGGTTTGGTGAGGGTGACGGTGAGTCTTCCCACTCATGTGAAAATGAGAGGCAATGCTGAATTGTATCTCTTATGAACATGAGGTCAAATGTAACGTAACAACAAAATATGAGCTTCAAAGCTTATGAAATGTCAAACTTTATTTATAGAAATACATCAGCTGTGGAGAAAAATCATTACCTCATTATTCAGAAGGTTGTGAAGAAACACCTTAGAATTTTTTTCCAGCTCATGACCAGGGACATAACAGACAGAAAAAAGGGTCAGAAATTAGCACACCTTACTGCCAGAAGGTGGCCCAAGTAGGTGTCAACAATCACATTTACAAAACAATTCTGAAATATCTGATTTCTCATATAAACTGGTTATTTCAATAGCTTCATTTTATAAAGTATATTCCATCCAAATTATTCCATTTTTTCTTATAAAATGTGATTGTACATCCCAAAAGCTCATGTCCACAAATATAGAGCAGCTCATCATGGCACTTACAAACAAACCCATGTCTCACCACTAACAATTTGATTGAAGTGACTGATATAACTTCAGTCTTCCCAACTCAACTCCACTGGACATGTAACACTGACAAATTTCTCCATAAAAAAGTATATACCTCTCTAAACTACATAAGAATGGGTGGCAATAGATTGAATTAATTCCTGAAGAATGGATCTTGCATTTATAGAGCCAAGGAAGGATATCAAGAACATAAGGATTCTAAACAATAAAATTATATTATCACTGCAACTTTACACACTTTCTAAACTCTAACCTGAATATGTTCCATCTTCATTCACAGGTGCAGTGAACAACCACGACAGGCTTCACATCATCCTACCTGGTCAGAAGTTGCCACCATTAGGACAACTAATTAAATTCAACAGTAAAGGTGTATATCCCGTGCCCTCCAATAGGGTGTGGCTCAAGGAGTACTTGGGGTTTCAAACGGGGCCCACACTCATGAAGCGCCCAGGTTTCTATCACTAGTCTCCATAAACATATGGATGAAGATGAACACATCTGTTTTTCTTTCAAAGTAGCCAGCACAAGCTGGCACAGCCGCCTCTGTGCCCACAGCACAGATTGAAGGATCAAGGAGCAACATGGGTCTCCTCTGGGTCCCAAGTAATAGGGAGCAGGAGGCTCCCAGCTCAAAGGGAGAAGGAGGCTGAATGCATTAATGAGCTATGAGTCACATGTTCTAGGTCAGCTAGTCTTCATTTTCGTCAATCTGAAAAGATTTGGAACTCACAAACTGCATAAAGACATACAAATTACCACACATGGAAAGCCAATTAAGCTCTTTGTTTCTTTGATCATTGCTTTTCTGTTTGAATTTCCACAAAGAGGACAATCACAATCCACAAAACTGAATGTAGAGACAATACTATTCTGTGCATACTACAAAAATAATTACACAATTTAAGATACTGCACAGATCCTAGATGCTATAAAAACTTTTTTTAAAAAGGGCTTTATACTATTGCCAGTAGTGTTTGATGCACGTTTCAACAGTAAATAAAAAATCTTGATGCTGGAAAGATTCAATTGCTAGAAGAAAATAGACATGAAGTGTATGTTCTTAAAGATATTCCTCTCACACTTCACCCTCCTTTTTCTCTCTCTTGGCAATTATTAGGCTTAACTCAAATTCTTCATCAATCTCAACACACCAAAGGGATGCCACTTTTCCAGGATGCTCTACGAAAAAATGTTATTCACCTAACAAAAATAGTCAAGGTAACAGAGCAATTTGGCTCCACTGTTCTTGATGATCACAATATAATCCTTCCAGCTGGCTTAGTTCTTAAAGTTATCACATCATACTTCTAACTCTACCTCTTGGACCCTCCCAGAAATACCTAGGCCTTTCTCTGGGAGATATTTCAGGAAGAATGTCTTTAAGGCAAACCAGAGGATGAACTGCAGCAGAGAGGGAAAGGCTGCAGGCTGGGTGGCTTCAACAGTCTCACAAGTGTGATGGGGATGGTGTCAATAAGTTATTTCTTTTCACAGATGCTGCCATAGTTAATGAATCATGTTTTCCCTGGAGCTTTCCACCTATTCAAAGGACAAGTTTCAGAGCTTGGATGAGGAGCAACTATCTTATGAACACAGAGACATTTGTCAGTTTTAAAGGTCAAATTAGATTTTTGCTCAGGTTCCCACCAAAATGATAGACTTGAAAATCAGGATTTATCAAACTATGTTCTAAATTATTTCAACATATCGAGTGTATTAGTCTGTTTTCATGCTGCTGATAAAGACATACCCGAGACTGGGAATAAAAGGAGGATTAATATGACTTACAGTTCCACATGGCTGGGGAGGTCTCACAATCATGGCAGAAGGTGAAAGGCATTTCTTACATGGTGGTGGCAAGAGAGAATAAGAAAGAAGCAAAGTGGAAATCCCTGATAAACCCATCAGGTTTCATGAGACTTATTCACTATCACAAGAATAGCACAGGAAAGACTGGCCCCCATGATTCAACTACCTCCCCCTGGGTCCCTCCCACAACACGGGGGAATTCTGGGAGATACAATTCAAGTTGAGATTTGGGTGGGGACACAGCCAAACCATATCATGGGGAAACAACCCGTAGATCACAGAGTGTTATCCCCTAAGGTGGAGGAGACTTCCTTCCAAATACAAAGGTTGAGCCAAGGGAATTGCAGCTCTGAGGCAGGAGGAAAGGAGCTGGCTCTTGCAGCTTTCTTGACGAGAGAACAGAGAGGAGGAAATAACGCCTCTTGCAGTATTGAGTGACTCATGTTGGAGCTGGGAAATCCCCCCACTATGTACCCACCTCGAGGTGAATAGAAAGTGGAGGAGAGGATGGTGGCTTTAGATGTTTAGACATTCTTTGCCAAGAACACAAAAAGAAGGGTTTGCAACCACACCCTCTCCAAGCAACCACTGGCCACTTTGTGAAGGAAGAGGGGGAAAGAGAGAAAGTCAGAGAGACTGAGCATTTTACCTAAAGAGCTTAGCATTTACAGTCCAAAACGAATAACGTAATGAATGCAATAGATGAAGTTTACCAACAGAATTAAAATCCAGGGACATCTACCTCCCTCATAAGAGAGGTAAGAAAGTTACATTTTCTTTTTCACCTGGGATGAGTATGAAGCTTGAACTCAAACTCTGCCATACAGCATAAGGTGATTAAAGGCTCAACTAGAATTAGGGCCACAGAAATGAGAAGTCAGCCAGCATTGCCTCCTCCACTCAATTAAAGTTTATTTATTCAAAGTCTAGTAATGACAAAAAGTTTACTGAATAAATGGGGATAAGGAAGCTAAGTGCTTCCTCGCAGCTTTGGAAACTGCCAGTTGACCAAAAGAACTGTGTATATTATCTCCAGAGCACTAACAGAATTTTAAAGATACATAAAATCCTTTTCTTTCTTTCTTTCTTTTTTTTAAATTTCCTGTAAGGGTCCTTGACAGAGAGAAGAACTTAGCAAAGAACTTAGGAGGCACCTTCAGCCACTGCAGAAACACAGAGAAACTATCGAAAAAGTATCAAAAATAAGCCTTGAAGAAATTATACAGGAGCAAAATCCAATATTCGATGTGGAATTTGATGGGAACATAGGAAGTAACTCCTCTACTTTTGCATAGGAAGAAAAAAGACTACAGTACTTCGAATATCTTAGTTTTATAAAAAATGTAGTAGTATTCTTTTGCGTAAAGCATAGGTTTACAAAGAAGTTCCCTAACTTTTCTTGAGCTTTGGGTTTCAGATATATTCATATTTTCTACCAGATTCAGGGAACTAAAGTGTTTGAAAAATTAGCAATCTGCCTTTGCCCCTTTAAAAAACAATAAAAATGCTCTAAACAGAAAAGTAAAACCATGGAGACCCTATCAAATACATGGCCCTAAACCACTGCCCCCTAACAGTTCTCTAGGTGGTGATGGCTCAAATGAAATCTACCCAGGAACTGAAGTGATGCTAACAGCCGGGTCCCATTTCTCATTCACCAATAGGGCTGGATGGCACCCCAGCTCTTGTTTCCTTGCTTACTTTGCAATTTTAAATCAGACTGTTAGTATGTCAGATGACATAGTAGCTTGCTTAATAGCATTTATCATTTCTTGTCTGAGGACATCATCTGACAACATGTTGAAATCTATTAAAGTCATCCTCCCAGAGAGTTTAGAGATGGATATCCAACTTAATGGATAAAAGCTGCTCTGTGATGCTATGTGATTAAGTCTCTTTCAAGCAGACTGCCATCCCCTAAAGTGCTACTCTTTCCTCAACTGTTCCTTGCTTAGTATCTGGGGTGTGTGTGTGTGTGTGTGTGTGTGTGTGTGTGTGTAAGAATACTTTAAGAATATGTGTTCCTCAGTGGTTTCTGTGGAGACATGTTAAGCTAGAAAACTGGATCAGAAGGAAAATCTTACAATTACCACCACTTACATGCTTGAAGCACAATCTCCCAAAGGTTTCTCAATCTCCCAGCTCCCGATCACTGTGTGGTGGCCTGGTACTTCTCATCTGATAATACATGTGATGTTACCAGCACACTGTATCGTTTAAACATTTATTTTCACTTCCACTGGCTTGGTAACTTGAACCATTACAAAATGGCTCATCAATGGTTTTGATGATTTCAGAGAAACTGATTTTGGAAACATTGGCTGGACCTCTCCAGTCATCAGATTAAACAACAGCCTTTGGGTTTCAAATCATCACTCTGTAGGATGCATCTACCTTTCCCAAAACTCCCTTCCACCCTCCCTTCCTTCTTTCATTCATTTTTAGCTTATTCTTATCCCAAAGCACAATATTCCATCTGGTCTTTTTTCTACAGTTATAAAAGTTGGTAGTGTCGACAACTCTAATTAAAAGAAGCTTTTAATGACTGAGGCAGGAGAGTGATAAAAGAAGCCACAAAGGAGATGGGGATCAATAGTAACCTTATTACAGATCATCTCTGGCTTGGTCCAAACCAGCAGACTCCATTAATTATGAAGTGTGATTTATCTCTTCACTGAATTAAGAAGTAACAAGAAAAAGTATATGACACCATACCAACAACTTAACCCAGAATGTTCATGATGCTGCATGTCAACTGCCAACATTTCTGTGTAAGGAAAAAAACCTTCATTTCACATATTTTATTTAAATAACCTTGTTTTATTTAAGAAATATTTAAAGTCATGTGTTAGAAGAGACTACTCAGCAACTTAAATAAAAACACTCAGAGAGAGCAAATAATATCCTCCCAGACAAAGCATCTTGTTCTTCCCTTTAAAAAGTACTATTTTCTACTGGGGAAATGGATTCCTCAGAGTATGCTTTCTTAATTAAACCTGAAGGCAATTAAAATCAAGACTTTTGTGAAGTTGCAAAAAAAAATGACTGAAAAAATTAATTTCAAAGGGAAAGTACAGAGAATGGAACTGCAATGACAAGAATGAATTCACGTATAATCTCTGAACAGGTGGGGCTGCCCATTTGCTGTGTATGTGAACCACCGTACTGCCTGTAAGAGAGAGATGGGCTTCATTTTCTTTATTTTTTTCCTCTTCTCTCCTTTTTCCTCTCTACAACTTCAATTTAATTACAATGACTAAAGCATAGTCCATGACAGAAAAACTGCAGCAAAATTAACAAAAAACTTTAGAAAAGAACTTACTTTTTATGTAATACGTCACAAAATATTTAAATTTTCAATGTTTTCTCTCTATAGAGGAAGAATGTTGACTCCTTGGTCTCTATATGTTAGTACAGGTCTCATAACAATTTTAAACATTCAAGTTTAAAACAGGTGGTAAATCTGCATCTAATAAAGATAGCTAGAGAATGGAATTATCACTCTCAACATAAAAAGAATAGTAAAAGTCACTTCAGTTTAAAAAGATGATGAATTAGATCACTTACATTGATGGGGGAGAGGAGATGCACCGAAATGCCAGTGCAAATCCATTCTTAAAAACACTGTGTACTATGAAGAGTATCCAGATATTCCCTAGAATCTCTTAAACTCAGGTTACATATTCCTTATTTTCTCTTACCAGCCCTTAATTACATGAGCGAACAAGCTCAATCTTGATCTTGATTGTCAATAGTGGGTGTATTCAAGCTCATTTATATATATTTTAAGTAAAATAAACTTTTGTTTTCTGAAATTATAAACAATGTGTTCAGACATTTATGATTGCATTTCTTTGAGTGGGATTTGATCTACTGATTACAGTTTTCTTTATTTTAAGTGCATTAAATCTGCCTTTTAATATATGTGAAAATGCAAAATGAAGAATTTTCTATCTTTATGGGGCACAAGAACAAAAAATAAGGTGCCTGTGACTTCAAGAGCCCCACATGAATAACTGTATATTATTATTATTACAGTTACTTGGGCTTTATTGCTACATTGATCATTCATCTACACATTCTATACAGTTAATTTTTCTGATCTGGATTGCAGAAAAAAATTGGACAGAGATACCACTTGGGTGCCAACCCCGGTTCTGCCATTAATTTGTTGTGCTACAGGGTTTCCATTTTCTCACGTGCAAAATAAAGGTGCTCAATAGGTGGTCTCTGAGTTCTATTTCACTCCAAGCCTCCCAGAGTCCATAATGCCTAATTCTGAGCATAGCCCTTTGCTCAAAAATGTGCAAGGACTCCCTACTATTTGTTACAGTCCAAGCCTGGATTTCCCAGAATATGTGCTTGAGCATATTTCACCTGTGAGCATGTTTCACCCTACGAACTCATCTTGCAATAGCCTCCTCTTTACCAGTTGAATTCCAACTCATTCTTACAGGTCTAGTTCAAGGCCGATGTTTCACTGAAGTCTTCCTAATCTCTGAACCTGAAACTAACCATTCTCTCCTTTGAAGATTCAAATAATTCATTTATATATTTTAAAATATCTATTTACTATCTATTGTCTATCATCTTATCAGTTATCTATAAACATACTGCAGCATCTCTTCAACTAAATTATAAGCTCCTCAAAGGAAAAAAAAAGTCTTTTTCATCTTTATATTACCTCATGTTGCCTACAATAGTCACTGGTACACAGTAGGCACTCAATAAATACTTGCTGTTGATGAGTGAGCAGTGCACGTGCTAAGAGCTTATAAATGGGTGTTGAATTCATCACCAAAAATACAGTAACTTATTTTGTATCTGTTTTATTGAAATAAACCAATTAAATTTCTATTATATGCCACTTCAAAACAACCAAACGTGACATCTTTAAAGCAAATCAATTATTTGGTTCAAAAGTTTGACCCTCTGACTTTATGGTCATGATGTATGATATAATCATGTATGCTGTCCAATGCAATAAATAAGGGGTTGTGGGCAAAAGCCCAACCACATGGCTTAATAATGGAGCCCAGGCCCCATCTGTTGAAAAAAAGTAGATAGGTATGAAAAAAGGGACTCAAGGGTCACTTCCATTAAGAGAGGCAGAGAGGACAAGCTGACTGGAGGAAGATGAGCCCTCACAGGTTGAGCCCCAAAATCATGGGATGAAGTACTTAAGGACACTGAGCTTAAGGGGACAAAGACGCCTCATTTAAATGCCCTGTAAGCCTCCATTTGCATGAGGCCCCCTTCCAGCCCTGCTACAATTTCCCTACCTAGGGTTGCTATGTGCAGCTTTTGTGCTCTAGGTTCTAGCAGGAGAGGACTCTAGGGCCCTTGCTCACCATTGGGAGGAAGAAGGGTCATCTGTGTGCCCCAGGCCTCCAGGCACAAGTTCAGCAGGTGCCTTCTATCCCACACTCATGTCTCTGACTCCAGCACTGCTAATAGGGTCATTCCCACTTTCCATCCCAGTCCAGTTCCTACTAAAACTCCCTTAATCTGCCTAGTCTAAGGAGGTGTGTGAATTTCTCTTCTTCTCCACTCCTGAATGGCTCTGATACCTGTCTTCTTGAGCTAGGTCCCAGGCTCACCCCACCACAGGAGCCACGAGAGCACCACAAGTCCTGTAAAAGCACAATTCTGGCAGTTTTCAAGGCCTGTTTGTTGGTAGTAATCACGGCAGCCATTAGGACAACGATCTGCATTCTCCGTTTTCACAAAGAAACTAGCACACTTCTGAAATACTATTTTATTAATACAGTCTAGATATTGAAAAGTAATCACAATCTTGATAGCATAAATACACATCTGTACATTTTAGGAGGTACCATGGCACTGTCCTCACAGGAAGACACACTTTAGGCATGTAGACTGGCCATGACACAGGAGTTCTGGAGGAGTTTCTCAACTTGCCTTTACTTCTCATTCGCCTCCATACATTATACATGGGAAGTCAACAGAATGAAATAAGATCTTATTTCTAAGGTTAATTTTGGGGCAAGCTCAACATAACATTACAAAAATAAAGAGCTATATTTAGAGTTACGGGCTGTCCGAGACCTTTAGTACATTTCCCATCAATATTTAATCTATTCTGGCTAGCTTTAATAAATTGTCACAAGGTAAGAAACCATTAAGTCACTAAAAAGAACTGCAAAATATTACAAGAGTTATAATATTGCTGCAGCCATAATTTAAATTTAATTTTAAATATTTTATTAGCTTATTTTATCAGATGGAATTAACAGAACATATCGATAAATTAGGCAGTATAAGGCTGCACAGCTATTTCAATTATACATTATAAAAGAGTAATTTTATAATTTAAAAATTTTAAGCAAGCTAGCATATTCTGTCTTGCCAAATCTATAACAACATAATGATACAGTTAGACGCAAATAAGAGTTACATATTAAGAGCTAGCATCTACCAATCCAAGAGGAAGAGGCAGGGAACCAAGGAGCAATGAGCCATTCCTGAGCCGAATATTGCTATGAGTGCCATAAAGGTTGCTGGTGGCCATGAGGATTTTTAACATAGACCATGAGAAACCAGCTATGATCACACACTCTTGATAGAGCAGAAATCAGCCCCTGAACTTGGCCTGCCCTGTTATGCTGTTATCACCTCCACGGGGTACTACCACCCCACCCTCAAGAAGTCCCTGTTAAAAAGCTCGCCATGAAGAAATGTCACTGTATGACTGTCATAGAAATCAAGCAAATGTCTTAGGGGGTAAATCATATTAGATTTTGGTCAATGAAACAGGTATGTGATTTTATTTGTGGCTTATGCTTAAAAAGCGTTTATAAATATCAGATACTTTTTTGGCTTCATCTCATAAAACTTAAGTCAAGAACTATTTAGGCAGTCTGGTTCATAGCATGTAAAAGATCTTCAGACTTTTCCATTTTTACCCCTTCTTCTATTTCCCCACCAAAGGAATCTCAGCATGCTTCCTGTGTTGATGTTGGTCCCCAGCCTCACTTTCTCTCCTGGTGGACTTGATGGCTCCCCGAGGATGGGGCTGTTCATATGAGTCTTTGTGGACCCCTTTGGCACTCAGCACAGTGGCACTCAGCACCTGAGGCTCATCAGACACCTGACCCTGGCCTCCCTCCTCTCTGCAGGAGGGTGCCACTCTATGTAGTTTGCTTGCAGTGTCCAATATTCAGTTCCTGGTGTCTCTTAAGGTTACCATGAATGCTAAGAAGGAAACAGCCCCCACTACAATGTGTGACTACTTCATAGGAATCTACAAAATGCACAAATATCACTTTTTTTAAGGTAATGAACTCATAAGCTGTTTAAAACACTGCATTCTTCTGACTTGTACTTCTAGACTTATTCATCCAAAGACTGAAGAAGGATTTTCCAAAATATATTCTCTAGAATCTTTGTTTTTAGAAATAGTATTCCAATGGTCAAGTCAATTTGTGAAACTGGAAATACTCTATCACTATCTTGGAACTCATGGTGATAGCAAATAAAAGGTTCTAAGAAATCCTGCAGTAAAGATATCTGATTACTTTTGTTCAAACTAGTATTTCCCAAAATTATTTAGTCAAGGAACTTTCCCCCCATGTGATATTTACTAACATCCTATGAAACCCTTCCCCTATGTGATATTTACTAACATCCTAAGAAACCTACGAAGTAGTCACAATTGAGAAGTGCTGGCCCAACGTCTTTTTTCTTTCCCTTGAATTGCATAAATCCCTCTAAATTACAGCTTTCAGACAACTTATGAAACAGTCAAAAATATTTCTGTTTAGGTTTATGATGCCGATCCTGTTTTGTCCTTGAGCACAGCAAGCTACATCAGAAGAAACCTAGAGTTTCGTGGTCTTAGCTTGTGCTTTTGGAGTGGAGGAGGTAGCAGATGAGGTACTCACCCCCAAGTACTCTAAATAGTACTGAAGACAGACTGGCCCATCTGGGAGGGGAGTGTCCAACACCAACCCTTAACCCTGATAGGTTGAAGAGTCAATGACAGCTTCAACTACATCATACACTTGAAATGGGTGTCCTTCACCCAATAAATTCTCTCTTAGAGTTATGATAAATAAAAAAATTACAGTAAGAGCAGGATGTGATTAAGAAAATGCAAGGTAAATCTTAAGTAGAAAAATGTAATATTCTAGGTGTCCTGAGGATACCCCATTAGTGTTAAGCTCATTACAAATACAAGTATCACAGAGCAGCTCCTGTAAGAAGGGAAACCATAGCCTAGTGCAGAGTCATGTGATACAGGCACCTGTCCCTCATGGCATTACATTTTTAAGTTAAATTTCTTGCCTTTACCAGTTGAAAAAATGAAAATAAAATGAAAACAAATAATCAATGACTGGCTGCAGGAGAAGATTTTTAAAAACTCGTTCCTACATCTGTGTGGAAAATAGTGCATCCTTTAAAAATCAATTCAGATATAGCTGAGAAGCTAACTAATGTTTAATCCAACTGAGGTGAGTGTCTCTGAATTCTGCTTTCAAAAACAACAAAACACTAATCTCTTTCAAATACAGCAAGGTCAGGGGAATTACTTCTCCAGCATAGGTGAATGAAGCATGAAATAGGAAAGTGCACTTCAGCAAAAGCTCCAAAGTATGTCTGCTGTGTTGTCTTAGGATATCTCTCTCACCCAGGCTATGTAAACGGACAAAGGACAACTCACCATGTCATAAGTTGTTACGATCTTCTTCAGAACCTCCGGCACAATTCCCTGCAGCTCCATTGTGGGGTACTGCTCGCTGAGATTTAGGACCACTAGGGGTGTGTTATCGGGCCCCAGAAAGCGGGGAGACACCGCCAACATGCACTGCATGAGATTGGCCACAGAGGAGAGGCCACACAGCTCCTTGAATGACACCACCGCATTCTGTTAAATGGAATGAAAGGAGCATTTGTAATTAACTGGGGGTTTTACTTTCTCATGGATATTATATTTGATATATCTGATTATGCTTGAACCACCTGGTACAAAAGTTATTAACAGTGTTATAACAGAATTGGCTAATGATTGTTTTATCCTGGGAAAAATGGCTGTCATCCAAAGTAAATGCTGTTATGGACATTTGTAACACCAATTTATCAAAAGTACTGAAAATGCAAATAAGTCAAATTCTTCTGAAGGGCAAGGCTTCTTTTCAGCCCAAAGTTCATAGTAGTGCTGATGCGGATATGCAACTATGAGCAAACAGAGCGAATAGCTTCTGCATTCAAAGAGGGTAAAGATTTAGGAGAAAAAAAAATCAAATCAGATTTAAAATAAGTATCAAATATGCCAGCCATACAAAAGGGAAAGAAATATTTGCAAGGTAGAAACCTGAATCTCTCATCTATTTATGCCTGCTGGCTCAAAATCTAAAGAACCTTTGAGGATGCTACTGTTCTCTGTTGAGTCTGCCCAGCAGGGACCTTGGTTACCTGTGACCTTCCCCTATTAGTGTCACTGCTGATCCCAATGCCTCTCTCTCTCTTTTTTCTAATCACCAGAGATATGCCATTTAAATACCCATTAAAGAAAAACCTTCAACACTATAAAATGCCATGAGCTGGCCTTCTATGAACACTTACTAAGTGCTAAGCCATACTAGGCATATTTATTACACATTACTTCCATTTAATCCACACAGCAAGCCATGTTATGGATGAGAAGACTGAGCCTTAGCTATAATCCTTCTCTGTTTGTCTAGCGTCACACAGCTAGTAAGTGAAGGAGTCAAGATTTTACCTGAAAGCTGCTGATGTTAAGGCCCATGCTTTGAGTCACCGTGAGTAATAACAGGCCAATTATAATCATAATAAGAGTCAGGTGGGCTATTTCAGGCACACTTGGGTCCTGGTCTAGGCCGGGCATGCGGGCAGAGGGGGTGGACCTAGGCCCTGCAGGCCTGTGCCTTCTGCTCTCAAATAATGCAGGTTCTTGGGAATGAACACTTTAGTTTTAAATTTAAACATTTCATTTTTATTAATATTGCTTTAAATATGGACATCAAACTATAGATCATTGGCTCAAATCACTTTGATATTGACAGTTACAGAAATCAATCATGACTGTGATATTTAAAGTGCAGTTCCCCAGTCACTCTTATTACACCACTTACTCATACCTGCAGTTGTTCTATTTGTTTATCTGCCTGCCTCCTGTCTGTTTCCCCTTCCCACTGCCTGCCCCCAACTAGCATGCAAGCCCCTTAAAGGCAGGCAGTCAATCTGTTTGTTCACCACTGCATCTTCATGGCCTAGATTGCTTGTGCATGGCAGGTGCTCATTCAGTATCACTACCGACTGCTTTGTCAGGTTCAGTGCAGATGAGGCTTTGGAAAAGACAATGCTTGAGCTCTGACAAATCCTCAAAGGAATTCTGTGTCACACACACCACAGCAGCCACTGGGCAGTGGACAATGCGCTTGCTCAGAGCTGAGGGTTTACCAAACCACTTTCACCCTCAAAAACAGGGAAAAGCCCTTCATATGTCTGTTATGCTTTTACTTTAAGAGAAAGAAAACAAATTTCCTTATTGTGGGAAGGTCTTTTATTCACGAAGTACACATAGAATTAGTTGATAGGGAAAAAACGTTGAATTTTCTCAGTCAGATTTTATTTGTTGGCATCATTCTCATTGGTCATTTTAAAATATAATTTTTAAAATACAAAATAAACAGACATGGAGCACTTATCACACACACACCACTTCTCACACACTATGACAGGTTAGGGCTGCTGTCTGCATGAGGCAGGCCCTTGCTGTCTAGCTCTGTGTCACTCAGGGGTCCTAGCGTATGGCTAGATGTGTGGGCGATCCTTAATTAAATATGTAATTCCTAACTGACTGCTTTTAGCCATTATATATTTCAGAGGTAATTATTATCTTAAACTTCTAATAAATACAGACATCTCTTTTACTTACAGAATTAGCTATCCTCTCAAATCAAAAGGAGGCTCACTATGCATACACATATATTTATGGCTCATTTAAAGGTTTCCCATCTCCTCAGCATTACAGCTTCGTAAGAAAGGACTGGATCACATCCATTTTACTTTGACCTATATCCTTTTTATTTTGATAGATCATCAATTTGTGTTCCAGGTAAGGAATATTCAGAAATCCCAGAGATTCCCATGTATACTATTAGAAAAAAACAAGGAACTGTTCAGCAGTCATTAACAGGGACTGGGATGAAGGTGTGTAACACAGCAACGAGACTCACTTATCCCAATATGTAATCAATATTTTCAACATCAACTGTACCTTTAGGAAGTTAAATGATAAAAAACAGACTAGTGGCAAACATTCTAAGAACTAATCAGAATTTAAAAACTACTTAAATATACTATTATTAAAAAACCAATATATTTATAAACTATGGACATGTACAAAGTAGGAAAACCATTGAGTAAATGATTAAACACAAGCACGCACCTGCATGTTTTCTCTCAGATCTGTGGCATCCCGTATAGGGGGCTGGGCATTCTTGAATACCTCATCCACGGTTTTAATCCACAGTGTTCTCAAAGATGCATATTCCCTGGATTTCTTCCCTTTTCTCACAGAAAGGCCCCTTTTATGAGGCTTTCCTCCTCCTCTTCGGTTAGTAATAGCCACGTGGACAAATAAAGAAGCATGTGCAAGGACCTCTCCAGTTAAGGACTGCAGGGGGACATGGCGGTAGCCCGTCTGTAAACATTCAAAGGGAATTGTGTACTGGCCGATGAATTCATCCCCAATGTAGTCATCATCCAGCACTACAAAGCGCACCATGGCCAGTTCAGGCAGGTTGATTTGAAATTCAAAGCTTTCATCAAAAATGGGAGCGTCTCCATTCTGGTGCACTGTTTTTGTCCTTTGTTCTGCACAATCAGCAGGGATTCCATGGATTTCAACATAGACATAAGGATCTACCACATCACCTTTGGCACCTGATCCTTTGGGCTTGGGAAAGTTCTGCCCACTGATGATTTTAATGTGAAGAAGTTGAGGTGAGACCCCTGGGACAGAGTCTTTTGTATTGGCGCTGAAGAAGGAGACCTCCTCCCTCATGATGGCTGGCCGGAGGACATAGCCACAGTTTCCGTTCTGCCTAAACCAGCCAATATTCAGGTCCATCATCAGTCCTGGTGTCTGAAAGTTCATGGCTACAATTTGGCAACCACATTTCCAAAAATCTTGAGGATTCATGTTACTGGAATCAATTCTCATTGGACTGGGAAAAACCCTAGCAAGAAAACGTTTGTTGTAATTTACAAAGTCCCCTGGATTTTCATTGGCGTACTTGCTGGCAAGCACTTCATTAAAGGAACAGACTTCCCAGTACTTCTGAACCTGAAACGACACCTGAAATTCTTTGAACTGAACTGATTTGCAGATGCTGACCAGTTCAGACAGTTCTTTACAAAGCTGAAATCGCTTCACAGGCACATTATTGGGTTGCTCCATGTTCTCTTTTCCCATCCTCTGAGACATTTCTGCTCCTTCATCTTCGTCAGTAACATCTCCTTCTACCCCAGAGCAATTTGAGGACAGCTTCTTTGCTTTAATTAGTATTTTCCCTTTCAGGACATCTGGGGATGGTAGATAAGATTCCTCAACATTGGGTGATGTTGTATAGAGCTTGTCTCCTAAAAGTTTCTTCATGTGCTGAACCATTACCTTCTGTTGTTTAATGGAACAGTGGTTTTCTAAACACAAGATAAGAGGATACTCTGAAGCAAAGAATGCATACTTGTTAATAATATCAATGACACTGCGGAAAACTATCTGAGAGGTCATGGTGTGGCCTGTGTAAATTACAGGTTCATTGTCCGGCCCATCCCATACATCTAATTCAACACTCCGGCAACCCATTTTAAGAGCTCGAATATATCCTGTGATGTCGGAGGGACCTCGGAACTGATCCTCTATTAAGTATGTATTATGAGATGAGTTTATAAAGTAATGAGACAGAGGTTGCTTCATATCCTGACAGACCTTCTTATGTTCTGGATCGAATATATAACAGTCAGGTGACATAAGGTAATTAGTGAACCCGTCTATGGAGAGCCAGCCCTTTTCCTGACCCTCTTTGGATGGTTCATATTTGTGAATAATTTCAAGGCTTATTTCCTCATTTATATGTGCCACACCCTGTTCTGCCTCAAGAAACATCATAAGGTCCTTGGTATCAAGGAATTCTTTATTGCTTGAAAACTGAACTAAAAGGAAATAAATTTCAGGTCTAGTACAAAGCTCATGAAAAACCTCAATAAATTCTTCCTTTGTGACCTCGGTACCAGCTTTGTCCTTTGATTTATGCAATTCTTTGAACTTAAGCTCAATTTTGCTCGTTTTTAAACCAGGATTGAGGTTTCTGATACATTGCACAGCATTACACAGAGTTATATGTCCAAGGTTATCTACATCAATTTCACTAAACATTTGTGAAACCCAAGAAGTCCTCATGTTATCTTGGCTACTTTCTAACATATCAAGTGTATGTTTTCCATAAGAAATTAGGTACCGCAGTCCTGTAACCCAGATGTTTGCAACATCTGCGGAGTTGGCAACCAAATCCAGTGACTCATAATTCTCTCCATATATGACGGAAAACGCACAATCTTCAGATATCTGGTCAGAAATGCCATTGCTGCGGAATATGTCTGTGTTTTTTCCTGTTCTCACTTCCTTGATGGATTTAATGTCAATCTTGGCTTTCTCAGAATCCTTCTTAGATGGCTCCCACCTTAGGCTCTGCATGTCAGCATCCAGTAAAAAGTACCTATGATAAATTCTAGAGTTGGAGCGAACCTTTTTGAGTTCTGAACCCTCAACCATTGAATTAATACAATCACTTGCACTGCTGATCTTCTTCTCTGTTGGCATGCTGCTGAATGAGACTGTCTTTTTCCGTTCCCTCTTCTGTTTTGTACCATCCTGAGAGGAAAAAAAGACCGTATATTAGAATAACATAAATATAGGTTTCTATGTTCAAGATTATGAATAGAAATTTAATTTCCTAGAAAAAAATCATACTATTAAGATTTCCTATTCTAGATTCCTGTGATGAATGATACTCATTCATCTCTAAAGCTCAGAATTGGCCTTGCAGTTGACAGCCTAATACCAACAGGTATGAAATCATTATTGAATAATTGCAATTCATATTTATCAAGAAGAACAATTTCAGGCCAGGGACGGAGGTTCACACCTATAAACTCAGCACTTTGGGAGGCTAAGGCAGGAGGATTGCTTGAGGTGAGGAGTTTGAGACCAACCTGGGTAATACAGTGAGATCCCATCTCTACAAAAAAAAATTTTTTTTGGCCGGGCATGGTGGCTCATGCCTGTAATCCCAGCACTTTGGGAGGCCAAGAAGGGGCAGATCACCCAAGGTCAGAAGTTTGAGACCAGCCTGGCCAACGTGCTGAAACCCTGTCTCTACTAAAAATACAAAAATTAGCCGGGCATGGTGGCGGGTGCCTGTAATCCCACCTACTCGGGAGGCTGAGGCAGGAGAATCGTTTGAATCCGTGAGGCAAAGGTTGCAGTGAGCTGAGATTGTGTCACTGCACTCCAGCCTGGGCAACAGAGTGAGAATCCGTCTCAAAAAAAAAAAAAATTAATTAGCCAGATATGGTGGCTCATGCCTGTAGTCCTAGCTATTCAGGGGGCTGAGATGGGAAGATTGCTTGAGCCCAGGAGATTGAGGCTGCAATGAGCTATGATCTTGCCACAGCACTCCAATGTGGACAACAGAACAAGATCCTGTCTCAAAAAATAGAAAGAAAGAAACAATTTTCAGAGCCCAGAGAAAAGTGAAAATGCAGGATTCCCTGATTAAAAATTATTAAGAATTTCAAGGTGACAGAGGAGCTAAGTGAAGCCCAGGGCTCTTCTGAGTCAGTGTGAAGCCTGTGCAACTGTACAGGTCATACACCATGAAACAGGCCCTGTTTCTACGTACGCCTCCTACACCAATACTTCTCAAAGGCTTGTCACCAGACCACCTGCCTCAGAATCATCTGGGTTACCTGGTTACAATGCAGATTGCTAGGCCCATGGAACCAGCTCCCTGGGGCTGGTGCCCAGGAATTTACATCAAGGTAGCACTCCATGTGACGGAGGATGTACACTAAAGTTTAAAAACCATTTCCTGACTACTTGGGCTAAGACGTCTAGACTATTTCTGGAAACTATTTGCACCAAATGATGAGAAACAGCTAAGTAGAAACCAATTAAGTAACTGTTAAATGGGAATTCCAGCAGAAATTCCTCTCTCCAAAGTCTCATACTAGATCAGTCATCAGTATACATCAGATAGACATGTAAGTCTGAGATGAAGGGCTAGATTATAGCTGTTGGAGCTCCTAAAATCGTAGAGTTGGATTTATTAAAACCTATTACTATGCCCCAATGCTCAGAACAATGTCACCTTGTACCTTAATATTAATAGATTATTAAAAGGACTAAGTTTAAAACTTCAGGCAGCACTTATTTCTAAAGAAGTTAGCATCACCAGTAAGGCACTGTTCAACTTTCCTGCTTAAGGTAACATGTTCTCATCTTAAGGGGCTGACATCCACATCTGTGTGTGTATTTAAGTCCTTCCTTGTATGGAGACCTTTATTATTTGAAAAGAGTGCTCAAATTACCTCAAAAGATCTTTCACAATTTTAAACCTAAAAGATGATACTGCCTTTCAGTATGTGTATAAAATCTATGACAAATTTTCAGTATTCATTGTATTTATAAATAAGAAATAGGGATGGGAGTTGGAATTATATCACTTTCATGACAAAGAAAAGAACATTGTTGAATATTATCCAAAGGCAATTCTAATTTTCCTGCTCTGGATAGAAAATATCTGTATTTTAAAAAGCTATTATGCTATACTCTATCTCTGAAATTTAAAACCACTTTTACTTTCTAACTACCTATACTTCCAAAAGCAATTTGCAGAAGGTAATTAAACTTAAACTTTAAATCATATGGGTATCATTTTCCTCAAAGTTTCAAAATGAACCATAGAAGCTTTTGTGATCTGGGTGCCAAGACAAAACATAAAAGCCACAAGGTAGAATATTTCTTTACAATTATATCCTCAGAACAATAAAGTGCAAAATACATAAAAACTGTGGTAATTGTATCTGTAAGATACATTATATTAAAGCCATTTCAAATCCCTAAAGCATAGATTGTATTACATCAATTTGAGTGAGTTAGCATGAAATTAGTTTTGTAATCAGCCATGCATAAGGACATGAAACAAATGTATAATTTTCTATTTTTCAGAATGACGTCTTTAGTTTTTTTTTCCCAGTAGAGACGGGGTTTCACCATGTTAGCCAGGATGGTCTCGATCTCCTGACCTCGTGATCCGTCTGCGTCAGCCTCCCAAAGTGCTAGGATTACAGGTGTGAGCCACCACGCCTGACCGATGTCTTTAGTTTTTAAAAGACGCATTTACCTTTGATAAAGACAACATACTGACTCAGTTAGGGAATTTTATAATCTTTATATATCGTGTCTCAAAGATGACACTAGTAGAACAATTACAAAAATATATGGATGTGGTTTATCCACTGATCCATTAAGAAATATATAGTATTTTCCCAACATTGTAATCTTTTATTCTTTCATTTTTACAGGCTGATTAATATTCTGTTACACTTTCTAATTTGTTATAAATGATACATTTCAGATAAACAGGTTTCTTTTTTATTAAGAGGGAAAAGGCCTAATAGCAAAGTAAGTTAATAACATACACACATGCTCACATACCCATGTATGTGGAACAGGCAGCAGCTTAAACACCACACTGTGGCTTTAAGAACATTGCCATGCTTTTCACAAACCAGCCCAGGCTTTGAATGGAGACTTCTGGTTATCAATTGCAGACACATGAACATGATGACCACCCAACCACGGGCAGATATAATGACATCAAGGACACCCCTTAGCAGAGACTTCCTGTCTCTTCCTCTCCCTCCATCTGCTGTTGCCTAGAACTGTCTCCATAGCACACCAAGGCCTGAATCTGCTTCTCCTTCCTCACTAGCAGATAAAGTGATCAGAAAACACCAATAGAGGAGTATGCTTGTTTAGAGACCAATAAGGAAGAGAACAGATGTGAGCTTGCACTCCTTAATGGGTGGACCAGAATCTCTGGCTGGGAGCAACAAGTGGATGTGAATACAGGAGAAGCTGGCGAAATGGTCTTCCACAGTCAGCAGAAAAGGAAGGGGAGGACAGAAGCACTTGTGTGGGAGGGAAGGAGAACTGGTGTTCAATGGCAGGAGACTGAGCCCCAAATTGCCTAATTCCTGGAATCCTTATCCCACTCTTACTCATTTCAACTTGTCTTTCATTGTTCAGCCTGGCAGTGATCAAATACTTGCCTAAGCTAAGTAGCTGGTCAGAAGCAGAGAGCTGGGATCTATTGTTTATGCTGCCTTGTAATGCAAGTTAGTTTAAACTAAATAATGAAGATTATTCAACCTACATGTGCTATACATATACCTTTTTAACTGGAAGAACATTAAATGCATAATACTCACATGCATTAACCATCTAAAACCAGAGGAAAAAATGCAGGTTTCTGCTGAGACACTTGTGCCTCAAAATACTTTTAAAAAATAGTATAAACTATTTCTCAGAATTGGCTGTTATACTGTGAAGGAGTACTCATCACCCAAAGCTTCTGAGTGGTGAATACAACAGAAGGGAAACTTGGTGCAATTCTGCTACTCTATTAGAACTTAGTAACCTCAAGAGAAAGAATACACAAACAATGTCCGGACTGCAAGAAAACCGGCTTCCAAAGAACCTACCTCCATATCAACCCTGAAATTTTGCATTTCTTGACAATCTTAAAATTTAGAACTAGAAAGAAACAAAGGTTCATTTGTACATTAGCCAACAGAATAACAATTTCATACCGGGAATGATTTTAGATAAAGCAATGAACTAGAAAGAGACTAGGGAAACATTCTGCACCACAGCAAATTCAGGAAAAATAGAAATGTTTATACGACTCATATTTAGCATTAAAAACATAAATAGCCATATTGAGTCCTATGGAAAAACATACATCTTTCTAACATAACTGCCTACTTTATTTAATAGAAGGCTGTCACTAAAAATAGGAGGCCACTAAAATTACCATCTGGGATACTTAGGTAGTGGCAATTTCATAAATGGGCATGGGTAATTTCATAAATTCTCATCCTGAAACGGGATAAGGAATAGGTGAACCTCATTTCATCGGCTGGCAACAAAGTGTCTGGCACTGATTCAATCGATTTAGCTCGCTCTGGAGAAGAGGAACAAGAAACCAAGTTGTGGAGCTGCAGTCTTGTCTAAGGGCACACAGATAGTTAATGCCCTGCTGGAAGAAAATTACCTCCTGTTTCCTATTCCATTTGAAAGACTTGAAAGACTTCCACTTGAAAGACTCCTGTCTTTCAAGCCTCATTTGTTCCCATTTTCTGTTTGATTATTCCTCAAAAAACATCATGAGAAAATGATGTTTCAATATCCAGATTCAATACCCTGGCAAAACAGTCACCAAGTCTAAGCAGTCATTCTGGTGTGGGGCTAGGGTGTGGGCATGGGGTGGCTCAGAATGGGGAGAGGGTGTAGTATGAAAACAAAGCAGCCATTTATCTCTCTGGTTTGCTTGAATCAAGTTATTTAATCTGAAATATAAATAACATTAAAGAAAGGTAGGGGATCACCATGTTTATCAAGGGGGATTTAGAATTAGAGTTGAGAAACTGGGGGTTAGAAAAATTTCTCTTTTACACAACAATACAAAACTAAACAAAAAAACCCAAGAAAGAACTTGAAGTCCATTAAATGAGCACAGCAAGGCCTGACCTTTCTTCAGCTCAATAACAATAACTCTGAATTGAAAGAATAAGTCATGCCAGGCACATAAGGGCTACCCTGCAAAGTTTTTCACACATCTTTAAAACTTTGATGTGCTCTTTAAGATGAGAAAAAAGAAGAAAAGGGGGAATTTGGAGCAAGACAGTCACTCTGAAGGTCATTTTATAAAATAAAATGAAATGAAAAAGAATAAAATAATATAAAGGAAAGCTAGGTACAGTTAAATGCTGCTTCTTGCTCATGTGGAAAGGCCCTTTATTGCAAGTAACAGAAACTCCTTGGCCTGTGGATGCCTCTCCTCCATGGGCGCTCCTCTTCTGTCATGTCCTCTACAGTATTCTGTATTCCAAAAGCTCACCCCTGCCCTAGCTTTGCAGAGTCTATGAGGGCTCAGATCTTAGGAGCCTATGGGTGACTTAAAAAGTCATGAAGTGGGGGCAAGTAAAGTTTAGATGGCGGTTTACAACACAGAAAGCCAAAACAGAATATCACTTCTACCCTAACAAGAAAAAGCCCAATAATCTATAAAATCATAACTGTTCTTGTATGCATCAGAGAGCCACGGTCACACAGAAACCAAGGGAACGGAATTTCAAAGAGTGACACGCCCCTCCAAGGAGAAATAGGACACAAGAAACTGTTCTGGGTTTGGTAGAGCGTGGGAAGAAGATGTGGCCACCATGGAAGCAGGTAAGAGGAAATCAGATAAAATTTTAAGGAATTCTTAAAAGCCAAGTGTGACCCAGTGTATCCATCTAGGGTAACCGGGAGTGCCAGACACAGGAAGAGTTTGCACTCATTTGTAAATCTTCTCCATGGGTGCTCCTGAGAAAAACTGGGGGTAGAACAGGGCCACTGGGAAAAGGGTAGAAGCAGAACCCATCCACCTCTGGAACCAGGCAAAGATCCATTGCCCCAGGGGGTAGCAGAACCTCTTGTAATCAGGAGCTTGCATCAACAAAAGCACAGCTCTGCTATGACCAGTAGAGTGGCAGAAAACTATCACCTGCCCAAATTCTAAACAGATACAGGCAGAGTTTGGCTGCCACAGGGAGCAGGGCAGGTTAGGACAGGTGAGAAGGCCCATTCCTGAGGCCCAGGTGCATAGGGCTGCCTAAGACTGAAACTGGATCAGCAGGACCAAAACTTCTCCCTGACCCTACCAGAAGCCTAGCACCAAAATGCAAGCAGTCTACCATTACAGGAGGGACAAGAACATGGGAAGAGACCCCTTTCTGACACAGGCATTCACAGGTGAGAGCTGAGGGCAGAGCAGGAACTCTGAGTAAACCCTCTAGTATGCTACCTGCTTCCTTCACACAAAACACAAGGTAACAGTAGCCCACCAGTGGAGAAATTTGAAGCCAGTGGTACATTGAAGGTAACAATGGCAACACAAATCCCAAACCTGGCTCAATTACTGACTCAATCTTCCCAACACTAATGACCTGGAAGAAGAGATATGCCCATTTCTGAGCACATCATTTACTTCAGTCTCTATTAACCATGATTTTTGTATCCAATAAAAATTGCAGGTCATACCAAAAAAGTAAAAAGAAAAACAAAACAAAAACAACAAAAAAACATTGTCAAGAGATAAAGCAATCAACAGAGCCAGACTCTAGAAGTGACTCAGAAGATGCTGAAACTATTAAATGGGAAGATTAAAACAACTATGATTAATATGTTAAAAGATCTAGTGGAAAAAGTGGACAATATGCATGATCAGATGGTATATTTCCACAGAAAGATGGGAATTATAAAATATGGTCCAAAGGAAATACTGTTAAAAAAAAAACCCACATCAGAGATGATGAATTCCTTGATAGGGTAATAAGCAGACTAAATACAGTCAAGAAAAGAATCTGTAAACTTGCAGATAGGTCAATAGAAATTATCCAAATGAAAATACAAGGAAACAGAAGAGTATATACATATTTTTTTTAGAAAAACAAAACAGAGCATCTAAGAGCTGTTATCTAACATACGTGAAAACAAAGTCCCTGTAGGAAAAACAGGAGAGATAATAGGGCAACAAAATATTTGAAGAGATAATGTCCTAGAATTTTCCAAGTTAAGCAGCTCAAGAATAAGAAGCTCAAGCAGGATCAAACACACACACACACCTGGATATGTCATAGTTACACTGCTGAAAACCAATTAAAGAGAAAGCTTTGAGGCAGCCAAAGAAAAAAGAAAGTCACATACAGAAAAAGATCAATAAGAATTCTAGTTCAGATGATGGGGAAAAATTCAAAGTCTTTCCTCTAAGATCTGGAACAGGACAAGGATGTCCATTTTTTACCACTTTTATTCAACATAGTATTTGTAGTCCTAGCCAGAGTAATTAGGCAACAGAAAGAGAGAAAGGGGATCCAAATTGGAAAGAAATAAGTCAAACTGTCCTTGTTTGTAGATGACATGATCTTATATTTAAAAAAATCTAAAGACTCCATCAACAAACTCTTAGAACTGATAAACAAATTCAGCAAAGTTGCAAGATAAAAAATTAGTATCTTTACTAATAGTATCATTACTGTATGTCAACAGTGAAATCAAAATTAGTATCATTACTATATGCCAATAGTGAAATCAAGAAAGCAATCACATTTATGATAGTTATAAAAATAAATAGGAATAAATGTAACCAAAGAAGTGAAATATCTCTACAATGAAAATGATAGAGCACTAATGAAACTGAAGAAGATACACCAAAACAATGGAAAGCCATCCCGTGTTCATGCATTACAAGAATTAATATTGTTAAGATGTCCATACTACCCAAAATGATCTATCAATTTAATGCAATACTTATCAATGACATTCTGCACAGAAGTAAAAAAAAAAATCCTAACATTCATATGGAACCCCAAAAGACCCCAAATAGCCAAAGCAATACTGAGTAAAAAGAACAAAGCTGGAGGCATCATCATACTACCTGACTACAAAATATACTACAAAGCTATAGTAACCAAAACAGCATGGTACGGGCATCAAAACAGACACATAGACCAATGGAACAGAACAGAGAACCCAGAAATAAATCAATGCATTTACAGCCAACTAATTTTCAACAAAGGCACCAAGAACATACATTAAGGAAAGGACAGTCTCTTCAATAAACAGTGCTAGGAAAACCAGATATCCATATGCAAAGAATAAAACTAGATCCCTATCTCTTACCATATACAAAAATCAAATCAAAATGGATTAAAGACTTAAATGTAAGACCTGAAACTATGAAACTACTAGAAGAAAACACTGGGGAAACAATTCAGCTGGGCAAGATGTTTTTTAGGATAAGATTTCAAAAGCACAAGTCACAAAAACAAAAATAAATAAATGGGATTACATTTGTAAAAACAGCAAAAGAAACAATCAACAGAGTGAAAAGAGAGAGTCTACAGAATGGGAGAAAATATGTGCAAACTGTCCAATGAGGCATTAATAACAGCAGCAAAAAAAAGCAATTAAAAATGGGCAAATTATCTAAATAGACATTTTCAAAAAATACATACAAATGGCCAACAAGTATATGAAAAAACGCTCAGCATCACTAATCATCAGGGAAATGCTTATCAAAACCACAATGAGGATATCATCGCATCCCTGTTAAATTGGCTATTATCAAAAAGAGAAAAAAAAAGCTGGTGTAGATGTGAAGAAAGGTATACTGTTAGTGGAAATGTAAATTAGTATAGCCATTTTGGAAAACAGTATGAAAGTTTCTCAAAAAAGCTAAAAATAGAACTACCATATAATCCAGTAATCCCTCTGCTGGATATATATCCAAAAGAAAGGAAATCAGTGCATTGAAGAAATACCGGCACATCCATGTTTATCACAGTGCTATTCACAATAGCCAAAATATGGACTCAATCTAAGAGTCCATTAATGGATGGATAGGTTTTTAAAATATGGTAAGTATACATAATGGAATATTATTCACCCATAAAAAGAACAAAATACTGTCATTTGCAGCAACATGGATGGAACTGGAGGACATCATTAAATAAATCAGACACAGAAAGACGAATGTCACATGTACTCATAGGTGAGAGCTAAAAAACTTAAACTCATGGAGGTAGAGAGTAGAATGGTGGTTATCAGAGGCTTGGGAAGGGCAGGAAGGAGGGGGAATAAAGAGAAGATGGTTAATGGGTATAAAATGACAGAAGAAATAAGTTCTAGAGTTTGACAGCACAGTAGGTTGACTATAGTCATTAATACTTTATTGTATATTTCAAAAGAGGAGATTTGGAATATTCTCAACACAAAGAAATTATAAATGTTTGACATGACTGATGTCCTAATTACCCTGATTTGATCATTTTACATTGTATGCATGTATCAAAATATCACATGTACTCCCACAAATATATATAATAATAATGTATCAATTGAAAAAAATACAAGATAATTCTAGTTCAGATGGATTACAGGTGATCCACTTATATCTACAAGTTGTTTACTTGGCCACCAGCCTGCAAATGTACTACATATAATGGACAGTTTTATGGGAAAAGTTATTCTCTTTTAAAGGACTGTAGTCCCTAAATTCACCTGTGCTTTCAAAGACAAAGGCATCTCTAACTTAGATGTTAGTCTTTGAAAGGTCACAGGGGAGTTTCAGAGGCTCTACAAGACTGTGATTAGATTCTCAAAGGGATCTGCAAACTCACCTCCCTTCCTCTAAGAAGTTTAGAATCATGGCCTTATTAACATAAACTTTAGAAGACAAAGAGGAAGATTATCACTTCCTAAGAGAAAATGTCAACCTTAAATGCCAGAGTAAAGGCAGAGAATAAATGTTTTACAGAGTTGTGAAGGAAATTTTAAGGCTATCCAAAAGAGAAATGACAATCTGGGAAACAGGGAAGAAATGAAAACTACATAATTTATAGATATAAGTAACACAATTTTATTAATAAAAACAGCAAAATCAAGCACACAAAAAACTTTTATTGATAGCTGTGAAATGGTTTTCTTTATACCAGAGTAGAACAAAATAATTCAATAGTTTATCAACTTTCTAGTTTAGGAATCACCCACAGAAATACTATGCGCCACAAGATGTGAGCTAGCACTGCATGTCCTCTGTGCCTCGGTTTCCTCACCTGTAAAATAGCCATCAAAATAATACCTATTCCCCAAATGTTATTTATGGTACCTACCTCACAGGGTTGTTACAATGATAAGATGAGTTCATATTTGAAAACTGCTCTAAACACTGCCTGGAATTTGGTACACTGTACATTAGATCCTGTTCAATAAATACATTTCAGTCTGAAATTATTTCTTCATGGAAGAATAACAAAGACAAATACCATCATAAATGTGTCACTGCAATACTCTAAACACTTAGGATTTGTTGAAAGATAATCCTATCACAGAAGAAACAGAATGAACGTCACCCTCTCTGAGTCTTGTTTAACTGATGCACAACCAAACGTATGTGATGCCCAAGATATACTAGGAAACTGTCAAAGATAGCCAGCTGCCCTCTCAAAAAGCTTCAGAAGGCTGCATCCCCACACCCATAGGGAAAAAAAACCATTTCTCAAAGTCTTGTGTTAATTTTAAAGCCCATCAATTTAATTAAAATGATCATTTAAGTCTTGTATAAGTATTCACATAAGAGTACAAATTTGAAGCAATGATCCCCATAATCTCCAGAATATTTTTATCTAAAAAATGATCAAATGACCTCACTCAAAGCACTTTGTGACTGGAATTATTCAGATGATTCCATTTCACACTCTCCTGTTATTTGCAATGTGGATAAACCTACAGCACCCAAAACAGCTACATGTGAAGAAAACAAATTTCCAATTTCTGTAACAGGAAGCTTTCAAAGTCAGGTTAAAGGTTCCAAATAATTCAAATATGTAATGGGTTACATCTGCCTTTAAAACAAGGGTATCTCTAATTGTGAAATCATAGGACCATAATGACATACAATACTGCTTTCACAACAACACTCTTTTGGCAAAGCATTTTCACTACTACCAAAATGTTTCCTGAAAGTAAATATATAAAGCCACAGTCTACATCTGTGTCCAGTGCAAACTGCAATAAAATTCACAGTTTTCTCCAGTAGTGAAAAACTTAACGGTAAGCACCGAGCTCCTATAAATTACACTAGTGATCCTTTAGATTCTAGTGAAAATAATGATGTTAATACATTTTAATTTATGATCTATTATAATGGTACTTAAGTGGCTGGCAAAATTTGGTGTGAAAACTGTGTTTCTCAACTGTGGATATGTAGTTTCATATTCAGCACATTACAGAGCCTGCTGACTTCCTATACTACAGAGCTATTTAAAGATGTAGTTATATAACTTTAATTGGTAATAACTGTCTAGTAAATTGCATTGAATTTTAAAAGGTATGCAAGTTGAATCACATAATGCGAAAAATATGATCAATTCTAAGAGTAACTTCTCAATCATTAATTTTCTTTCCCCTACACTGTGCTGGTTCTTCACTATTTCAGGATAACTTTGAAAAAAAAATTATTTTCCTCATTTTTTAATCTTTAACTCTGGCACTGCTTGGGGTTGAGGGAAAAAATGCAATCCAGGGGTTGATGCAGGAGTGAGAAGGAAAGTTTCTTAGAGATCCATCAGCATGCAGGGGCAAAGCTATTGCCCTGGGACACATCACATCCACCAGAGCAAACAAAGAATAGTAACTCTTCAAGTCAGAAATTTTAATAATTCCATAATTATTTTAAAATTAAGGAGAATTGCCCCACTGACAATTTATTATGTGATCACTTTGTTTATTATTTCCTATCTTGTCTTGTAGGAAAATAACTTCTTCCTGGGGCCTTTTTTAACCAAATGGTTTATCTGCATATGAAATTAATGTGTGTGGCTGGACACAGTGGCTCATGCCTGTAATCCCAGCACTTTGGGAGGCCGAGGCAGGTGGATCATGAGGTCAGGAGATCAAGACCATCCTGGCTAATACTGTGAAACCCCATCTCTACTAAAAATACAAAAAATTAGCCAGGTCTGGTGGCAGGCGCCTGTAATCCCAGCTACTTGGGAGGCTGAGGCAGGGGAATTGCTTGAACCCCGGAGGTGGAGGTTGCAGTGAGCTGAGATTGCGCCACTGCATCACTGCACTCCAGCCTGGACAACAGAGTGAGACTCCATCTCAAAAAAAAAAAAAAAAGAAAAGAAATTAATGTGTATGTGGAGGGGGACAATTAGATTGGAAAAATAAGAAAAGAAACTAAATAATGAATTACATAAAAGGGAAACTCAGCTTTCTACAAAACACTCATAAGTTCCAAACCATTCATGAGCCACCCTAGTTCAGCCCTCAGTGTTCTCTCTTCTCTAAACTCTTACGGTATTTATAGTGTCTACCCTGTAATTTAGCATAATTAATTACAGTCTTATTCAGTTATCTAATTGTTTTATGTGGGTCAGTCTTATCTCCTCAAGTAGAAGGTAAACTTTTAAAGGGAATGGGCCTTATCTTCTATAGCCTCTGGCCGGACCAATTTTGATAGTCAGAATAGAAAATCTTTTCAATGAACTGGTCATCTTAATAAAGCCAATGATGGCCTTGGAACTAAAAGAAAGACAAAATAAGCTAATTCTTTAACTTATCAAAATAACTGTTTATGTAAGGTATATGTGTTTTTAAAAGAAGCATAAGTCATTTTTTTGTTTCTTCAATTGAGGGGTGACAGATCATATAACTTTTATATCAAGCATCTTCAAAAGAATTTTTCGAAACATCTCAGTACAAGAGGTCTTTTGGATGTAAAATAGTATGAAGACAAAGTTGATAGTACAAGGACAGATAGGTAAATAATTAAATTTTAAGATTTTTCAACTTTGGCTGTTTTATCTATAATATTTATTTAAAAATCAAATAATTACAATTCTATAGCAATACCAGTCAATGTTCAAATGAGTATTTCTGTAACAAAATGTTCACTGCCTACCAAACGGCCACATGGAGATAAATCTGTTAACAAAACTTTTTTTTTTTTGATAACAGCATCCTCTGTGTTCTGACTTATAAATTGGGTCTCTACCATATCTCTTTTTCAGCTCTTTCCTCAAATTCCTGTAAAACCAAATTCACCCTGGCTTCCTGACCAGCTTCCTTATGTCACTGGCCCATTTCCCTTATGGTCCCACTGTCTGAATCTTCTGGCCTAGGAATTTGGAATCATATATAGCTCAAATTTATTAATTACACAGTTACTATGTATTCAACAATCCTATAACACGAGTATTATCAAGATCTTCAGTTCCAGAGAGATAAGGTAACTTGCCTACAGGTGTCCAGCTGGAGGCTGGAAGGGAAGAGGGTGGTCTACTCTCTTCCTTCCTGGGTAGGAAGGCCCTGAGTCCAGGGCAGGATGTGGTGTCAGTCTCGCCTACGGGAAGGCCTAAGTCTCCTGATGCCCTGAGTCGCAGCCCACTCCTCTCACTATAACCATTCCTGCAACAATGGCTACTTCTGCCAGTTCTTGAGTGCTCTCCATGTGCTAAGCCTGGGACTCAGTGTTTTGCTTCTTTCTATTCCTCAAAACAACTCAGTAGGTGTGCTCACCTAATTGTTCCAGGTTAGATTGCAGCTTCCCAGAGTAGGATATCTATGTTCCTCAGCCACTTCTGGGGCCAGTGCTGATTTCCCTGCCCATATTATTCTCTGTCCTAACCTTTCATCTCCAAATGTGGCCCCATCCTAGAGGTCTGGCTGAAACCCTAGGCCTTCGGTGAAAGGGTTTACTTTACTTGAGTGTGGCTAACCTCTCTTCTCTTAAATCCTTTTGTGCTTAAAGTCAGTACCATAGAGACAACACATGTTTGTAAAATCTGTAAACCTTCCCAACCAGAGTATACACTTTTAAGAAGCAGAATTCAGGCTGAAAAAATTTATTTTTGGCTTATTGAATCCTCCACGGAGCCTACGGCCACATTACACATAGAGTTGTCTAATACATCACAAAAAAGAGCAGATTATACTTGTCAATGGAAAAAAAATAAGCCCAATTTTAGTAATGTAATCCAAAGTCTACAGCTAAAGTGCTAAAATCAAAATGGTTTAAAATACAAAACTTCAAATATTAGATTTTAATATATTATGTGGAGAAGAGAAAGCCAATCAGAGTGAACAACAATTACATGGATTTGGGGTAGTAAAGAGACTGCAATGTTGGAAGAAGCTCACAAGCCTGGGGGAAGGATCAGAAAAAAGCTAGCCTGCCTCTGTTGTGAGGGGAGCCAGCACCTCCTTAGAGAAGGCCCTGCGGCCTGAGAGTGCACGTTCCTGGGCTGCAGACAGAACAAATACAAATTTGTACAAAACTGATAATCATCTGCATTTCCCCTTTGTGTGCAAATACAACTCACCACCTGTTTTAAAAGGTCAACAAACGGAAGAAGTCTCTTTTGTTTTACCACACTAAGAATCACCAGCTTATACATGTAGGCATTTATTTTGTTTCTGCCTTAACACCCTAAATAAACTACACTAAAGGACATATGATGTTTAAATAGCCTCTGGCTGGAAAAATTCATGCAGGGGATCAAGTTCCCAAGAACTAAGTCCTTGCCCAGCCCTTGGCTGGAATTTCCTTCTGATGGGCATGGATCTTGTGGGGAGGACAATGTGACCACCTGCTTAGCTGTGCAGGATCCTGCTGTTGCTTGGCTTCCAAGAAGGGGAGCCCTGCAGGCACTGGCCTGTGCTCACCACACACCTTTGGACACTCTAATTCAGATTCTCCAATCTCAGCTCTTGCCTCTTCCATACTCTGGCCTTCTCACCTATCTCATCACGATGCCTGTATAGCCCACAAATGGGGAAGAGATGCAAATGGGGATTATTTGCTGGATGTAATAACGGAGCTGTGGTGAGCACTGTGGAGAGCAGGTAGTGGTTCCTTTCACAAAGGGAACACGGTGGTAGAAGGGGGATGTCAGAAGCTAAATATCAAGTCTCTTGAGCCCCCGAATGAATGAATGAATGAACTCAAAGAGCACCACTTGTAGGATCACCATTTCAAACACCAAGTAGAAATCTATATATTTTAAAAACAGTTTTAAAATAATTACAATTATCTCAAAATGTTATAATATGCATTGCTGTAAATCCACTTTGCAAAATTAATGAGTAATTTAAAAATTCCAGCAAATCTCAAATCCACTGCTTTTCTACTTAGAGGTG
The DNA here is from genome assembly GCF_000001405.40 of Homo sapiens. Taxonomy (NCBI): domain Eukaryota; kingdom Metazoa; phylum Chordata; class Mammalia; order Primates; family Hominidae; genus Homo; species Homo sapiens. The sequence continues at coordinate 16,994,511 of NC_000003.12, read as the reverse complement.
TTATATGCAAATGAAAGATTTCCTAACACAAACATCTGCTGAAGTGGCACAGACATGCTCACAGTCTTTGTATCTACTTGGCAGAGAGCAACAATATACATCCACTTTATGTCATACCCATAGTAAGCTCCATTTTTTTTTAATTAAAAGCCATGCTTGGGTTAAGAAATCAATAAAAACGTCAATATCTGCATGGCCCGAATCCAGAAGACTCAAGTGATTAATCTAAAGCATTTGCAAAATAGAGTAATGTGAATTTGGACTGCAGAAGGTCCAGTTCTGCCATTTTCCTGAATCACTGTATACCTTTCTAAAACCATAAGTCCCTTCCAAATTAATTAGCTTATCAAACTAAAATAAAAAGCAGTTTTAAAAACCAGCAAAATCTCATCATTAATGTATTTTAAGTGGCATATGCTGCCAGTGACTAAAGCAATTTAACTGCTTCAATGAATCTTGTGTCACCATTACCAGGCCTCACTGCTGTTAAGTCCCATCTACTGAGAGAAAATTACCAGGGGTAAATGTACAATTAATTTCACACAGGCACCAAATTCATTCTAAATACAGCTTCCTGAACCTAGCTCATGTTTTAAATAATATGCCACAGAACATATGATTAAGAGGGTCTCTATACCATTTTATATAGACTATAAAACCAAGAAGCTCAGGCAATCCTACAAAGTACACACTGCGTAGTAGTTTTGAGAGTTGGAACTGGAAGGGCCTTGCATTAATATGGATGCTGATGTGAGAATAAAATATAGGCATTTATAAGTCATGCTTAGATTTTACATAAAAGTATTATAATGCAAGCTTAAAATGCCACATCTAATTATACTGTATTTTATTTCATTAAAGTTATCCAGAAATAAAAACATGGACAAATTCTACCTGCAAGCTAATTACCAAATCCCCTTATTAAAAAGCAGGATGCTATCCTTATTCCAAGAGTCAGGCTGCCATACCAATTACCAATTCTAACAAGGCTTTAATTCCAGAGTTTTGAAGCTGACCCTTCAGTCCATTACGCAACTCTATACTGACTCACTAAAGTTCAAGCTACTTAGAGAGGAGACCTTTGGAGAGAGAGCACTGGGAATGAAATGGTGTCCCAACAGAAGGTTCTGACAGGAGGGAACACATGAGGTCCCCAGCACCTGCAAACCACAGGAATGGCTGGAACCACCAGCAACTGGTGAACTATATTACCCAAGGTAGAATGACATCTAAAGTGGGACAGTTAAAAAGAGTGAATGTGGGTATCAATAAACATGCCACATCAACAGGGACTGCCCTGGGCAAACTGAAACATATGATCATCCTACCTGAAAGTGACCTTATTAATAATGTGTTAAGTTCTAAGTCCCAGGCACTGGAAATGCAGGTACAATCAAAGTATAATCTCAGCTACAGGGGTATTCTCATCCTGACTGGCAGTCAGGCAGGTTGCCAGTTCTAGTCTGTCTGGACACTTTCAACTCGTAGGCTTCACCAAAGGTCTCCTCACCTTTCAACCTGTAGGCTTCACCTTGTCCAGTCTGGGAGTCCATGCTACCCAGGCCAGGAACCCACTTCTACCTGCTTGTGAAGTCTGGCTTAGTCTTGCTGCCTTGAACCCAGGAGATGAACAGCCATGTGTATCTTTGGGCATGGTGGCTGAATCCTTATGACTGCTTTTTGTTTATTTCCTGAGGCTGGCTACAGTTCTCCCTACCCTCTGCCCCTTCATGGGCATGGATCCTTAATCCAATCCTTAGCCTGCCTGGCTAGAACTGAGTCCTTGCCCAGCCCTTGGCTGGAATTTCCTTCTGATGGGCATGGATCTTGTGGGGAGGACAATGTGGCCACCTGCTTCGCTATGCAGGATCCTGCTCTTGCTTGGCTACCAGGAAGGGGAGCCCTGCAGGCACTGGCCTGTGCTCACCACACACCTTTGGATGCTGTAATTCAGATTCTCCAATCTCAGCTCTTGCCTCTCCCACACTCTGGCCTTCTCACCTATCTCACCACAATGCCTGTATAGCCCACAAATGGGGAAGAGATGCAAATGGGGGTTATTTGCTGGATGTGATAACGGAGGTGTGGTGAGCACTGTGGAGGGCAGTTAGTGGTTCCCTTCACAAAGGGAACACAGTGGTAGAAGGCGGATGTTAGAAGTTAAATGTGAGTTCTCAGAGCTGAAGAAAGGAGGTGAGGTGCCAGGAAGGGTGAAGGCACTGATGGCTGGGCTGTTCCAGGTGACCTTCTTAAGAGATCACTGGTCAGTTTTTCTGATGATTGAATCAGGGCCATCACCACTCCACCCCGATCACCACCCAATCCCTCTGCCCTGTTCATATGCATGTGTATTGTATCTCTCATTTTAAGTCAAAACACTAATATATTACACACATATGACATCACTACTATCACATGTCACCACTGACAATCTTGGACTCTCTAATATCCCTCCATCATCTGAAAATTCAACTCTTCAAGTTCAGAAATTCTTTGCAGGGCTGCTGAGTTGAGTCTGTGGCTCATGGCACTTAAGAAATGCACCTAAAAATTAGATTATCTTTTAATGTAATTTGAATCATCTCCCCTCCTCCCTCAATCTAAATATGATGGTAAAATTCACTTGGGTTTACTGAAAATTATAATGGCAACACAGAAATCACATTTTGTCCTCTGGAAAGAACTGGAGTTTTAGCTAAACCATGTTTTATTCCAATTATAAATTTATTTTTTAAGTAATTTAGTTGTACTTTTGAAAGCATTACTTTGAAAGCATTAATTTAATAAGACTAAAACTTGAAAACACAGGCTATAAAAAATAAGATACAACCAGGAATACGGGAAAACCAACCCTCTCCATGGCCTGTATCCATTCTCCAGGGGCAGTCTCATCTTGTGACCCACTACCCCATACTTCCAGACAAAACTGGAAGGTTCCTTGAGTTAGAAGATATAATGGATTTTCTTTATCAATTAATTTTTCTTTAAGAATTAAAAAGAACATTTCAAAAAGAATGAAGAGAATAAAGTATGGAGAATAAAACCCATGATCCAGAAAAATCCACAGTAGCTCACAGCACTCAGAGAGGTGATCAGAATCCTAATAATTCTCACCACCACATACCTCAGCTTTTCAAGCCACATGGTAACTACTGTCTGCCGTTAAATGCAGTTGTGCCCATGGAAAGGAGGTGAGCTAACCTTTACTGAGCTACTATTATGAATCCTCAACTCTGTGAAGCAGGACCTATCATCCCATTTCAGAGGTTAAATAGTACCCAGGCAGGTCAGTTCCTCCTCCTCCTCCCCTGCTCTGTTCGGTAGCCACAGGGCTAGCCCTCATGGAAGACTTCTTCAGATCCCAACTCAGCTGGATGCCCACTGGGTTATGCACATGAGGCTCTGACAGCAGACTGAAGGCTGGGTAAGAAGAAGGGCAAAGCCGGGGAATGGGTGGTTCCCTCCTCCTCTCTCTGCAGGGCAAGGTGAGTGTCTCCAGCAAACGCTGCATCCCCTCTGAGTTCCCAAAGCCCCATCACCTGCTCCCTGTCTCTCTATCCTGTGGGTGGGGATAGTTATCTGCTGTTGACAACCTTTGGGTGGCATCACCAATCTCAATCTCATTTGGCCTCCTGGTTCTTCCACTACCTGTAATAATTCCTTATATTAAATTATCTCTATTTTAAATGTTCTTTTTCCAGTTGGACCCCGAGTGACTCAATGCTCAAACTGTGCAGCCTTGGGAAGTCAATAAACCTCTCCAAACCTCAGCTGCTATTTTATAAAATGAAGAAAATAACTACTTGTTCTTAATTACTTTAAAGGGTTTGATAAGGCACAAAGGAGATAATAAATATGAAAGCGCTGTAGAGGCTGACCTAACTAAGATTTTTACATTACAAGTCCTCGAGTCTTACTTACTGGAATTACTGGAAAGGCAAAAAGGAGTTCACTGAAATTAACTTCCAAGTTAATCTCTTGGACCTAAATAGTAAAAACTACACAAAGCTGCCTTTTAAGAGCTCATTGCAAGCTTACAAACACTTTGGTCTCTCATAAAAGGAAAGTTGGTTGGCTGATGCCTCTAATGCTTCCGCAGGGCCTCTGACCACCAATGCAGAAGGGAGTTAAAATGCATGAACTCAGGCAGCCCTTTATAGAGTACCTAAGTGAAAAAGACTGGGTGTCAGGCTCTGGTCTGTCTTCTGCACCAGCCCTTCCTGTGTAGCTAACCCTAAAACAGGGACTACAATAATAGTACTGTATCCTAGGGTTGTTGTTATTAAACAAGATAAGGTAGAAATGCCCACTAAAGATTCTGATGCTCCCAATAAATGTCAAGTATAATTAATGTGGTTGACATTACTACTGCTATCATCATCACCATCATCGTCATCGTCATCCTCATCATTCTCTCCTATATAATGCATTTTGTGAGGATTTGATCAGAGCTATCTCCTCTGCCTATATCATTCCCAGTTGAGTGACAATCTCAGATACGCTTCCTTGACATCTTTACATGCTTCAGGCAATCATTATTAGATGAGAATGGCCATCCTTTCCCCTCTTTCCTTTCTTATTATTCCTATCCTGTCTGAGCACCTACAAACCTTGGTTTCAGCATTACTACTATTTTTTATCATACAGTGAAAAAAAAACTACGCTATCTAGCTACATATTTACATAATAATGGGCCAATTAAAGGGCTAACAAGAAATCATTATGCTTCTATTGCTATTGTTTGTGGTTATAAACATTTGTATTTATGGGGTGGACACTTAATTATCTTTGGGTAGATGAATACTTTCCCTTAGTGACAGTATTGGGAGGAAGCAGAGACAATGTCTACATCAATGGTGTCCAAAAATGTATGAGCGCCACATATGTAATTGAAAATTTTCTACTAGTCACATTAACAAATCTAAAAAGAAACAGGTAAAATAAACTTCAATAATTTTATTTAACTCAAAATATCCAAAATACTATCATTTCCACATGTAGTCAATATAAAAGTTATGGAGATACCTGGATTCTTTTCAAGTCTTTGAAATCCACCATATTTTACATTTACAGCACATCTCAATTTGGACTGCGCACATTTTTTAGTGCTCAATAATCAAAGCGGGGCTAGCAGCTAGTGTATCTGACAGTGCAGGTCTAGATGATAAGCTTTTTAAGGGCAAGGACTTGTCATATTTTAATTCCAAATTCACCCTGACTTTTCTAATGTGGTGCTTTGCCCAAAGAAAGCACTCACCAAATATTCATTGAACTCAGAAATGAGTATCTGGAAAGAGGGACTATCATTCATATATGTAAATGAGGCCAATATAAATTTTTTTGGAAGAATAACATTTTGTAGGTCTTACACCTTTAAAAATTACAAATGAACATAATTGCTAAAAATCCCAGTGTTCACTCACCTCAAATCACCCCAAATGCCATAAAGAGAAAGCAATGTTACAACTGTTCTCAAAAAAGTGAGAGAGAGAGAACAAAAACAGCTCTGTTATAGACATCTATTATAGATCTCTATAATAATTGACCAAATAAATCATCAAATACTATTTAAATGACCTCATATGCCTGATAGTATCTAAGAGGCTATAATGTATGCTAGGACACAAATATAACTTGAAATGGAATTAAAAACTAATATTACAACCAGGTTAATTTATGAAAATGATGAATACCTTTTTTTTCCTCCATGTTATGAAAAGCATATTTTGCTTGAAAGTTTAAAGGCTTAATAGATGCAAATTACATTTCACTTTCAGCTACCTAGTTGATACAAATCAGCTTGCTCAGTCAGGATAACCACTTAAAAATAATTTGTAGTTCCTGAAGGCCACAACATTATACCATTTATAGAACTGCAGTACAGACACAGCCAAAAAAAAGATGGTAGCTTCTTTCAACCTGTGGTAATCATAAATGTCAAGTTCCTTTTGACAACCGATGCCACTGTCCACTGAAAAGACTACCCAGACCGCAGCCACCGTCAGCAATGGCTTCATAGAACTCAAGAGGGATTCCATTTCCCTCAAGAAAAGGAAATGGTCAATCTCAACAAAAGTTGTATGAAACTGCAAAATACTTGGTGTATCTTCACTAAGACTGTGAAATGAATTTCTAAGGAAAAGTCAACTAGCACTAAAGGCACTCACATGAAAGGGTGCTTAAAGCGCTCTTTCCTTCACCATGACAGAACTGGTTTCTGTTGGTTCTAAATATACCCCGACCAAATTAAAAGAAAAAGATGTCTTTTGCTTTTAAATGTATCTGGCTCTTGTGTTGAAGCCCCTGTTTACTGGGGAAGGAGGAACTGAGTTATTCAACCAATTCCAATACAGTTGTGCAGAGCGGAGACACTCCACGACCTTTTTACTTTTAGCAAAAAATCTTCATTGGACTACAACTTGGTTTCTTTAGCCTAGTAGAATTTCCATCGGATCCCAGGCTTGACAAATCCATGGTTCTCTGGTTACTAATGAAATACCAATGTTTAGCTTGCTCGTTCATTTATATTTTTACCATCAAAATCCTTACAAAGCACACAGCTAATAGCTTCATTTATTTGGCCAAGAACTGGCATAGTATATTTACTTTTTAAATTATTACATTTACTTTAATTTTCCATCTATTGAAAGTTGTTTGTGCTGTCCTTTACATTTAGTAAAAGACAAATAGTGCTTTTTATAATCTCCATAATGGTAACTTTCAAACATTTAAACTTTGAGAGAAAAGAAGAGAATACGTGAATCAAAATTTATATCACATTACTTTTTAAAATATACTTTTAGGCTTGTGATCAGTTTACTTTTCTCCAAAGGCAGCATTTGTCTCTTTAGTCATTAGAAAACTTACTGGCATATTTTGAATCTTATTTAGTGTCAGTTTTTCATGTATTGTCCAATTCTAAACACAGATCTTTGAACTGCTGGAGAGCCACTTGAGTAGAGCCTGTATTAATAAATGTCACGTATTTTTCAGTAATTCAACAATGTTGTAAAGATGATAAATTTCATACTGCTGACAATCTATCACTGTCTGAAATAGTTTTCTACCTTAACTTGTGACTTTCATTCAGTAAATATTTACTGAAAAGACTGCCACATGCCAGATGTTCCTGGGCTCTGGGGTTACCAAGCAGAACTCAGCCCTGGCCTTCCAAGCACTCACAGTGCAGAGGGGCTGCTGTGCCTGCTCTTCAAACCTCTCCTGCTAGGAAGCGTTTCTGAATTTCAGCAAATGTGGGCCAATAAAGAGCACTGTCATTAACACCTGACAGACCTGGGTCCACGTCTGGCTCTGCCTGCTAGGAGCTGATGACCTCAGGCTACTCAGTTGTCCTCTCTTGGCCTCGATTTCCTCTTCCGTTACACAAGGATAATAATTTATTCTACAAGGTTGCTGTGAAAGTCAAATAAAATAATGAAGGTACAGGAAAAAAAAGTCTGACATTTATGGGGTCTGGCACCCAGACCCCATAAATGTCAGACTTCTTCCTCTAGTTCCTCTTAAAAATACATAGCTTTCTATATCAAATGGCTTCTCTATTTATAAAGCAAAGAGATAGATGAACTGTAAATCATAAACATGTATTAGGTATACCAAATATTTAGAAGCTGTATGTAACAAGGACTCCTGGTACACTTGACGGGCTATCGTCAGCTTGATCCCCATCCTACGTTTCTCTAATAGGTCTCTCTTTTTGGTCAATTGTTAGGTTCTCATTTGCTTTTCCTCCATTAGAGTTTTAAAAGCAGTTCTACCATCCCTAATGCAGGAGCTAAAGAACCCCTAGGGGGCCAGGTGAGATGGCTCATGCCTGTAATCCCAGCACTTTGGGAAGCTGAGGTGGGCAGATCACTTGAGGTCAGGAGTTAGAGACCAGCCTGGCCAACACGGTGAAACCCCATCCCTACTAAAAATACAAAAAATTAGCTGGGTGTGGTGGTGTGCATCTGTAATCCCAGCTACTCAGGAGGCTGAGGCAGGAGAATTGCTTGAACTCAGGCGGTGGGGGTTGCAGTGAGCCGATATCATGCCACTGCATTCCAGCCTGGATGACAGAGTGAGATCTTGTCTTTCAAGAAAGAAAAAAAGAACCTCTAGGGATGCGGCCCTTTCATCTCTGGGGTGGTTCACACTAGAACTGTAGGGTCCGGAAGGAACTAACATAGTGAATAATTATGGTGTGCCAGGCCCAGCACTAGGGGAACCATATGCATTACCTTGTGTGAACCCAACTCCTCTGAGATGTTGATACTATCTTCTACCTTCTACAAAGAAACCCAATACTCAGGGAGGCTAAGAAAGTTGTCCACAACGACAAAGCTATAAGTAGTCCAACATCATTTCTAGTCATTTTTTTTCCTCAGTTGGGTTGATGGCTGGCTGCTTTCCCCCTACAGCTCCTTGTGCCTGTTCATATTGGTTGGACAAGGTGTCTCCCACCCAGACTAGAGTTCCCTATGTCTTGGCTCCACTAGCCACTCCCAATAACATGCCCAAAGCCGCTCAGACTTATGGGCTTCTTATGTCATGGTTCCATTAACTAGCTTTTTATTTTGTTCTCTTCCTCCTGGTATCTCCAAGGGGCTGCCGGGAATATTGAAAACTGTCCCATTTCCCTCAATGTTGATGACCAGTCTGTTTCTTTTGCCTAGCCCTCAGCAGCTGCCACTGGAAACAACTGTGCACTATCCCATGCTTAATTCCCATGTGCTCTTACTAAAGGTGAATATAGTACACCTATGCCTTCTACTAAGAATAAGTTAATATAAAGTGAAAGGTGATCTCCTAGGAACTGCACAGTTTTCACTTCTCTTGGCAGTGCCTGGGCACAGGTAATATAGAGGCAATAACACTATGTCCTCCTCATAGAGTCCCTTTTTGGAGACAAAAGCATTGGGAGTACACAAATTAAGCATAGACAGAGATACAGGCCTCTCAGCTCCCTAAGGAAATAAACTAAAAATGATACCAGATAAGAATAATAAGCTAAAAATTTCCCTCTCTTTTACCCTTTGATGTTTCTATGTGTGCAATATCGAATATCACATTGATCAAGTATACTGTTAACTTCAGAGATAAGACAGCCTATTTTATGTTTTCTATTTTGGCCTTTAGTTTACTTCAATTCAATAAAAAATGATTAAGCGTTGTGGGCCACGTACTATGGAAGTACTAGAAAAGCATGTAGTGGAGATGAAAGATATAAATAATTTCAAGACAATGTAATTAGAAGCTAATATAGAGGTATGCCCAGGGAGCTATAGGCACCCGGAGTGGAGCTACCATTCCCAGCCTTAAAATTCAGAGAATGCTTCCCAGGGCCTCTTGAGCCCTAAAATAACTAAAACATACAGGTCAAGCTACTACATACTTGAACGAAGAGAAGTAAAGAATTCCACAAACAATTCTCTTTGAAAATGATAACAATCCTATGCCCAGAAATCAGGGAATGAAACTTCTTGTGCTTATACTTCATGAAAACAGTTATCTTAGCTTCTTTCAAGTAATCTATTTATTCATGAAATTGTTAGTGTTAGGGATAATAGGGACTTTTTTTTTTAAGACGTAGTCTCGCTCTGTTGCCCAGGCTGGAGTGCAGTGGTGTGATCTTGGCTCACTGCAAGCTCCGCCTTCCAGGTTCACATCATTATCCTGCCTCAGCGTCCCGAGTAGCTGGGACTACAGGTGCCCGCCACCACACCTGGCTAATTTTTTGTATTTTTAGTAGAGACAGGGTTTCACCATGTTAGCCAGGATGGTCTCCATCTCCTGACCTCGTGATCTGCCTGCCTGGGCCTCCCAAAGTGCTGGGATTACAGGCGTGAGCCAGCGCACCTGGCCAGGTCTGATTCTTAAATAACAACCCTTAAGTCATAATCCTTTTTTGCTATTGGTGACATCCTCTTTTTTCTGACTTTCCATGTCAATTATGATTTATCATCAGCTCATTTTCTAATTTACAGAGATTAGAAACCACGCAGATTAATACAAACAGATAAATCCTGAAAAGATCCATATAAAAACAACAAACTCTAACAATTCTGCCCACACTGAAAGTCTTTTAATCAAAGAAACACAGAAATGATTTATTACTTAATAAAACCTTATTTCTCTGAAATTCCAGAAGTTTACAACCAATTATAAGTCTATTAAGCAGAATCAATAAATGAAGTGGAAAGGAAGAACCAGTGAAAATAGCTAGTGGCAAGTTATTCTTATTCTTAGAATTGTTAGAGCCTTATTTCTTCTCTAAAAATATCAGAATTTAAAAAACCAAATTAGCTCTGTTTAGGCTATTCCTCATTTCTACTAAAAATAAGTAACACCACCTGTCAACTGGGGCTATGTTATTTAAGCTTTGCATATTAGTAAAGAAATACCCTCCACGCGTTCATGAACCAAAAGACATAATAACATAGCTTCTGGCAGAACCATAGAATTATCCCATTTCCTGTCTTGAGTGTAAAGAACAATTTACCTAAATGGTTGAAAATAAATATCTTTCATATTTTGATTGTCTTCATAATATACAGTAAAATACAATTTGCTGCTGACCCACTTTGACGTACAAAATCATTACATTTGAAAATGTGACTGCAAAATGCAATGAAAGCATTAGGCATATTCCACATTAATTAACAATCAGAATGTGCTCAAATGATAACTTATAAATGTTTCAGGATACTTTTCTAGATAAAGTAGAAAGGGTCTTTACAGTGAGAATTTCTCTGTCCCTATTAAAGTCTTCTGACTTTAAATTGGTCATTATTAGTATTATAAATTGACTTAGTAGTGGACAATTCTCACCATCTCATTTGGTTAGAGTTAGAGCAGAGTTCTTTTTTTGTTTTTTTGAGACAGAGTTTTCTTCTCGACTCACTGCAACCTCCGCTTCCCGGGTTCAAGTGATTCTCCTGCCTCAGCCTCCTGAGTAGCTGGGATTACAGGTGCCGGCCACCACGCCCAACTAATTTTTTGTATTTTTGGTACAGACGGGGTTTCACCATGTTGGCCAGGCTGGCCTTGAACTCCTGACCTCAGGTGATCCGCCCGCCTCGGCCTCCCAAAGTGTAGGGATTACAAGCATGAGCCACCATGCCCGGCCCAAGTTCAAGCAGAGTTCTAAAGACACTGAAGCTCATATCCCATATGGGTGACTTTATTCCCACAAGAGTCACTTACTCTGCTTTGAACCATGGCCATAAATTATAGACGTTTAAACTTGGTTAGGCATTGTAAATCCAAAGGAAAATGGATTAGTTAGGGACTGCTGAATCATGACAAGTCTAACCCTAAAGAAAACAAAACACATCCTTTAGTAACAACTATGCTTAATATGTGTACAAGGTAATACGCACTAATGAAATTAGCAGTGTGGGAGAAATTAGACCTAGTGGGATTTTTTCTTCAAAATGTTATTTAGTATATACTTTATATCATGTTTAAATTAATATAAAAACTTAAAGACAAAAATATACTATTGCCATGGAAAAACAATTCAAAACAAAAGCCCACTAATGGTAGATAACAGATTAGTATTTACATAAAATACAGAAATGTAGATATGGGTGAGGCCACAGTTATACAGAAATAAAAATATACTCATGAATTAAAGTAAATTTATTTTTGCCATTAAAGAAGGAAGAAGGGATTTAATTTTTAGAAACAACTAAGAATATAGCTTTTTTTTTCCTTTATTTTTCAAATAAGAAAATACGTAGCTGTAGAACAGCTTTTCTCTTTTCAGTAAAGGAAAGAGAAGAAAATTTGGCTATGACGCAGGAGCGGTCAATGCTGTTTAAAAAGGAAGTCATATCCCACTGTGTTAAGGGGCTCTTAAGGAAGAGGAAAAAGAGGAGACATAATCGCTAGACACTACGTACTATATCAAATCAGGCAGGCCCAGGCAACACCCCATCCCAGGCTCTATTTACTTCTGACACTTGCTTCTCAATTCAAAAATCTTGGAGAGTACTTTACACAGAAGTGTGCATTTCTGTCTTGGCTTTGGGCTGTATTAACGGGATTTGATAAATGTGCTGCACTGATGATGACAGATACCATCTCCTCCACCTGAAAACACATACACCCCCCAAACAGGGAAAGAAAAAAATGGCAAGTCACTTGAACACTGTGGCTCAGAAGCTCTCACAGAATTCTCTGGGGCATAAACAACAGTTCCTAAAAACCTGCTTTAAAATTGATACGATGAAAAAGAGGGCAGAGGCTATATGAAGCAAAGAGGCACTAATACAGGACAGGTCTTAATTTTAAAATTTGAAGAAAGATTTATGTGGTATATTCACTTCAACTGGACAGATATTTACAAAGTGTCTCCCAGGTGCCATACATTTTTCTAATGGACTCTGGGTTTTCGGATATAAAGCAAATGCATTCTCTGCTTCAGATATTCCTCCTTTGCACCACTTCCATAGAAATCAAACTATTAACCAGAAAACGTATTTTTAGAAATATGTACCCAGCCTACTTACAAAGAATCTGAAGAGGCCTATGGTCACAGCATAATATAAAAGAGGATAATTTAAGATGAAGGAAATAGAACATCTAAAAGGAGCTTTGGGATAAGATATCACCATACTCCTGAGGTGAATAAACAGCAATAGTCAGATACTAAATTTTTGTTACAGAAAAGTCACAAATGGCAATACACAGGGTTACACATCTTTTACTACCCAGCAAAATTAAACAAGCAACAGTCCTTGCACAGACTTTCAGGAACTAAATTCAAGATGCAATTCATCACATGGTTCTTGTATAAACAGCACTGTGAAATAAAGTGGACCACAACTACTTTTGTACTAAGGGAACCCTAAGATGTGAAAGTTAGTAATTAAATTAATCTTCAAATACAGTTTTTGCCCATGCTGCAAACGAAATAAGAATTTTTCAGAAGATACCCCTATAGATATGTACACAAAGATAGAACAATTACAATTGAACCAAATAACCAAACTCACAGAAAACTTGATTACTATTTTAAACTCCATATGATGCCCCGTTAACACTGACATTACACATTTCTCCTAGTCAGTGAAAATGAAGATGGATTTGCAATTTTAGTCATTAGATTACTGTTGACTCTTTTTCTAGACCATCAATATAAACCTTTGACGTATGTTGTGATTTTAAAAGAGAAACAAAAAAACTTAACTGATATAAAATTCACTTAAATTAAAATGGAAAGTAACCTGGGGGAAAATGTACTTGCTTCCATTTTTGCTACTTGATCAATATATTATTGATTAATGAGCATATTTCTAGTAAATATAAATTATCACAATCATGGTTGAAAGTGATTTGCCTCTCCCTCTCCCTCTCCCCCGAGTCTCCCTCTCCCTCTCTTTCCACGGTCTCCCTCTGATGCCGAGCCGAAGCTGGACGGTACTGCTGCCATCTCGGCTCACTGCAACCTCCCTGCCTGATTCTCTTGCCTCAGCTTGCCGAGTGCCTGCGATTGCAGGCGCGCGCCACCACGCTTGACTGGTTTTCGTATTTTTTTGGTGGAGACGAGGTTTCGCTGTGTTGGCCGGGCTGGTCTCCAGCTCCTAACCGTGAGTGATCCGCCAGCCTCGGCCTCCCGAGGTGCCGGGATTGCAGACGGAGTCTCGTTCACTCAGTGCTCAATGGTGCCCAGGCTGGAGTGCAGTGGCGTGATCTTGGCTGGCTACAACCTCCACCTCCCAGCAGCCTGCCTTGGCCTCCCAAAGTGCCGAGATTGCAGCCTCTGCCCGGCCGCCACCCCGTCTGGGAAGCGAGGGGCGTCTCCGCCTGGCCGCCCATCGTCTGGGATGTGAGGATCCCCTCTGCCTGGCTGCCCAGTCTGGAAAGTGAGGAGCGTCTCTGCCCGGCTGCCATCCCATCTAGGAAGTGAGGAGCGCCTCTTCCCGGCCGCCATCACATCTGGGAAGTGAGGAGCGTCTCTGCCCGGCCGCCCATCGTCTGAGATGTGGGGAGCACCTCTGCCCTGCCGCCCCGTCCGGGATGTGAGGAGCGTCTCTGCCCGGCCGCCCCGTCTGAGAAGTGAGGAGACCCTCTGCCTGGCAACCGCCCCGTCTGAGAAGTGAGGAGCCCCTCCGGCCGGCAGCCGCCCTGTCTGAGAAGTGAGGAGCCCCTCCGCCCAGCAGCCACCCCGTCTGGGAAGTGAGGAGCGTCTCCGCCCGGCCAGCCGCCCCGTCCAAGAGGGAGGTGGGGGGGGTCAGCCCCCCGCCCGGCCAGCCGCCCCATCCGGCAGGTGAGGGGTGCCTCTGCCCGGCCACCCCTACTGGGAAGTGAGGAGCCCCTCTGCCCGGCCAGCCACTCAGTCCAGGAGGGAGGTGAGGGGGTCAGCCCCCCCACCCGGCCAGCTGCCCCGTCCGGGAGGGAGGTGGGGTGGTCAGCCCCCTACCTGGCCAGCCGCCCCGTCCCGGAGGTGAGGGGCACCTCTGCCCGGCCGCCCCTACTGGGAAGTGAGGAGCCCCTCTGCCCGGCCAGCTGCCCCATCCAGGAGGGAGGTTGGGGGGGTCAGCCCCCCGTCCGGCCAGCCGCCCTGTCTGGGAGGTGAGGGTCGCCTCTGCCTGGCCGTGCCTACTGGGAAGTGAGGAGCCCCTCTGCCCGGCCACCACCCCGTCTGGGAGGTGTACCCAACAGCTCATTGAGAACGGGCCATGATGACAATGGCGGTTTTGTGGAATAGAAAGGGGGGAAAGGTGGGGAAAAGATTGAGAAATCGGATGGTTGCCGTGTCTGTGTAGAAAGAGGTAGACATGGGAGACTTTTCATTTTGTTCTGTACTAAGAAAAATTCTTCTGCCTTGGGATCCTGTTGATCGGTGACCTTACCCCCAACCCTGTGCTCTCTGAAACATGTGCTGTATCCACTCAGGGTTGAATGGATTAAGGGCGGTGCAAGATGTGCTTTGTTAGACAGATGCTTGAAGGCAGCATGCTGGTTAAGAGTCATCACCACTCCCTAATCTCAAGTAATCAGGGACACAAACACTGCGGAAGGCCACAGGGTCCTCTGCCTAGGAAAACCAGAGACCTTTGTTCACTTGTTTATCTGCTGACCTTCCCTCCACTATTGTCCTGTGACCCTGCCAAATCCCCCTCTGCGAGAAACACCCAAGAATGATTAAAAAAAAAAAAAAAGAAAGTGATTTGATAAACTTTACTTTTCAAAGTGGTAGTTCAAATTAAACCACATTTTAAATAGGGTTCATATATGCAAAATACCCTGGGGGATGAAGGGAACATAGCCATGAGAATTAAAAGAAACTGACAGTTCATGCCATAGATTTAATTGAGGCTTTTAACCACAAAATACATGTGGCCTATAATACGTAAGTCACATCATGAGGTGATTTTGAAATACTAATCAAATTTAGAGATCCCTACTTGGGCTTAGAATGGTCTAGCGGCTTACCATCCAAAAGTCAATAAGGCAACAACAGTAATAAAAACAAATTGCTGGTGCTGTGAATGAGTAAATATTCCAAAAAGAAGGCATCATTCCTTAGAATTACCTTTTCTTAACAATTATTCTCTTTGGGCAAGTATCTCCGTATCCACCAAAGATTCTAAAAGAAGAACAAGGGCTGGCTAAAAGAAAATTAAGCACAAGTTTTCCTATGCTTTGGCAAAGGGCAAAGTCTGCTTCATTCTCTGCCAACGAAACCTCCTAATGTGAAAAGTCATTTTCAATAAGGTTCCAACATATAAAATTGTTGCCAGGATTCTGGGCTTGTTGCACTGACACGATGTCCTCTGGCAACTGAGCATGCCAGTGCCTCTATGGTAAGAAAACTAATGAGCTTGTAAGAATGTCCTTACATCGTTACATCCTCAAGAACACTGTGGACAACAGAACTTCTCCACAGTTAGAACAGTTATCTCCCTTTCAGTGGTGATATCTAGTCTGACCCAAACCCACTGAACTGCAAAAGAAATGAAGGCAGGCTTCAGTCCACCCCTTTGCTACTTCCCATTATATGCCTTTCTCTTTCTCTCCTCTCATCTCACCAGACAAGGAGTTCCTAAGTGGCAGCTAACTGAAACAGAACTGTGAGTAATAAGAAAAATAAAGTTTTGGATTGCTGTTACCAGCCTCCAGAGCAAAGCATCTTACTCAGCTTGTGAGTGTTGATGAAATTGAGGACCACAGATACATAAGTCACAATATCTTTTAATCTGTCTTGCCATCATTTGTTTTAAATCTTCGATTAATTTTTGTAAGTTGTCCACCTCTCAACAATAAAAAGGGTAGGGTATTTATTTCTTCTCCTGTCCTTTTACTACATTTTAAATACACAAAGAAAAGCAAACTTTAAGACAGTCCAGAAACTGGGTAATCAGCCCAAAATTATATGTATTGGCTGAACAGATTCCTAACTTACGTATTGCTATGTTCTGAATGTCTATGTCTCACTAAAATTCAGATGTTGTAACCTAATCCCCAATGTGATAATATTAAGGGGTGGGGCCTATAGGAGGTGATTAGGTCATGAGGGCAGAGCCCTAATAAATGGGATTAGTGCCCTTATAAAAGAGGCATGAAGGACTTTGTTTGTCCCTTCCACCATGTGAGGATGCAGCAAGATTAGGTGCCATCTATGAAGCAGAGGGCAGTCCTAACCTCTGCTAAATCTATTGGCACCTAGATCTTGGACTTTCCACCCTCGAGAACTGTGAGAAATAAATTTTCATTGTTTATAAGCTACCCAGTCAAGGATATTTTGTAATGGTGGCCTGGGCAAACTAAGCATGTATCAAACATAATACAAAAGGACTACTGGAGGCTCCAATGAGTATTACTTCATTAACACCAGTACAAAATACTGGGCAAGGCTACAATCTGCAATGAGACACACACCTTGTCTTCTAGAACCTTATAGAGGCTATAAGAAATACCTAAGTGGTCTACCATAAGTAAAAGAGGTTTCTGAAAGGGCTGTGATGTTCAGAATTCAGAGAGAGTGGGGGACCTGAGCTCCTCCATGGAATAATAGATCTGAATGGATTAAAAGAGGAAGGAACTGGCAAGAAAAGGCATTTCAAGTAAAAGGAATGTCATGAGAGTGAAAATGCTTCCAGAGTGACTATGAAGGGAAGCTAGTGTGGTGTGGTCTGAGTTCAGGCTGTGGGAGGGGAACAATGAGGGCTGAAAAGTAACCTGAGGCAAATCACAGGAACTATGAATGCCAGCCAGGGAGTAAGTACTTACAGGACTATGTTCTAGGATATACTAGTTTGAAATCATTCCCCACTACTCAGGAGAAAAAGAAAATACAAATCATAACATAAAGTGGTGTGAAATAATTCACTCAATAAATAAATATATGTGTGTATATATACGTATATGTATTGTGTGTGTGTGTGTGTGCGTATTCAATGGCTACTCCAACACCTATCACAATGCCTTGTGTGAACTTGGAAGACTTTGATTTTTTTAATGAATAATGTCCATTATATTTAAGACTCAGTACTAAGGTACTAGACAACATGGACTACCAAAATGAACAGATGTGGATTCTATCCTTAAGGTGTTTTCATGTATTTAGATGGGCCCCAGCCAGGGACCAGGAGTTTGGGACTCTGGCTAATACAAATGATAGCAGCCTTTAAGAAGGGAGTGATCTATGACAGGTCAGCCACCCAAATGCCACCCTAGTGTGGGCCAATGGAAGACTCAAAGTTCAAGAAGTAGCTAAAGATTGAAATAAATAAGCCCCACAAATAAGGACAACACTGTCCCTCCCTCCATCTCCCCACTCTCTCAAGGGTAAAATGATTACCTAATGACCCTTTTTCCTTTAAGAGATGACAATGTTCCATGGGCGTTGTTGTGATGGTTAATTTTACGTGTCACCTTGGCTAGGCTATGCTGTGCAGTTTTTTGGTCAAACATTAGTCTAGGTGTTGCTGTGAAGGTATTCTTTTAGATGGGATTAATATTTACAGTAAATAAATTGACTTTAAGTAAAGCAGATTAGCCTCCATAAATGTGGATGGGACCTCATCAAATTAGTTGAAGGCCTTAAGAGCAAAAACAGGTTTCTCCTAAGAAGAAAGAATTCTGCCTCCAGATGAAATACAGAAAATCTTCCTGAGTTTCCAGCCTTTGAATTTAAGACTGAACATCAACTCTTACCTGAATCTCTAGGCTGTTGCCAACTTTCCCTACAGATTTTGGAGATGCCAGCCCCTACAACTGCATGAGCCAATTTCTTAAAAATTTTTCCATGTTCCCCAACCCCTCTCCACACACACATACACAGACACACACACATATATACACGCACAAATATCATATTGGTTCTGTTTTTCTGTAGAACTCTGACTAATACAATTGTGATCTGCACTGTGGCTTCGTTTAGAGCCATCCCCTCTTTTCTCAATAGCTGTTTGAGATGTCCATTTTGTTTCCTTGCCCACTTCTTCTCAGAAGCAACCACCTGGATGGGCAAGGTTGAACTCTTCCCTCCCTGTCCTACCAGTTCTTTCTAAAACGGGAATTAAGGCACTGCAGGCACTGTGCTTCAGCCAACCTAATACAGAGTACCACCAGCAGCCCCATCACACCAGACCTGAGCCAAAGAGAGCTACACCTCCACAGATATTGGCAGAAGTCTCCCTGCTGGCAAATGGGGCCTAGAAGAGTCCTGTTGTCTCAGGCAGGTCATGATGGCACTCAGGATGAATTATGCCCCATGCACTCAGAGGATTTCAGTCCAGCGACTTCCTTTTCCCAATGCAATCATCCTGGACTTCTGTCCAACTAGTCTTCCAGCCTTTCAGCTAAGGGCACACCTCCTCACACACACACTCCTGCCGCCCCACGTCCCAACCACTTGGAAGAACCGCCATGGTATAATTCCAGTATGGGCCTGTGTCTGAGCATCACCATGACCTAGAAGCCCTAACAACAAGTCTTATCCCATCTGGGCCTCTCAGACCCTTCTGCCAGTTTGAACAGTCAAGAAAGCTACATCCTTTGGATTCTGTAATTAGGAATTCTGATCCCTCACAAGGGTCCCAAACTATTATAATAAAGGCGCCTAATAAGCTGCTATTATGCTCTACACTAGATATTTCAAAGCAGCTGAACCTACTAACTAAAAGAGCAATGGCCTGAAATCTGAGTGATTCTGGGCTTCACTGAGCTATGCCATGAGTAAGCGAATAAGGAACCAAATCATAGACTCACTCTCCCTTATTACTTGGAAAGGTCACCAAGACTTCCCTGGGGAGCTGGCCCCAAACAAACCCCGTGACAAGTCTGTATGTCAAGGGTCCATCTTTCTATCTCTGCCTTAGTGTAATCTGAAGCTCAAGGGAAGAACTTTTTTTGGTTCTTTGAGACATTTTAGAGGAAGGCAATAGTCTTGGAGCCCAGACTGGAATTCTCCATGCCTTACTGCCTCTTCTAGAAAGGCCAGACCTGAAGTAAGCACCCTTTCCTCTACTTGAGCAGACCAGCTCACCTTAGAAGCCTGTAACTGGGAAAAAGGGCCAGTACCAGAACCGAAACTAAACAGAAGCAGGAGACTCCGGAGGAATTCCAAGTGTCTGGGCCATGGATTTAAGCCCTTCCCCTCTACATACACTCAATTTTGTAAGGTCAATTTCAAGACAACCCAATACTCATCTATTATGTAAAGTGAGACATAACTGTATTTTCAAAGGTACTAAATCTTAGTGCTACTGAGAAAACACTTTTGGACTTAGACTTCACTTGGTAAATGACAGATGGCACAGAAAGATAATCATGATCCTAAACAGAAACCATTAATGGTGGCAGCAAGAGACATACAAAGTGCTGTGAAGACCCAGGCAGGAGAGATCATGTCCCTTTGGGAAACATAAGTCTGGAGCTCTCAAGAGCATCTTACTTGTATGTTAAGGTGCCTCCTGGACATTTCTTTTTGTTAGTCTCAAAGGCACCTCAATTTCAGAATGTAGCAAACTAGACATAGCTGGTCTTTGGTGGAGTTCTCCATCTCAGCATGAGTTCCACTATCCATTTTTCTAAAGCCTAGGCACATTTTTGACCAACCCACTCTTCCTTCTGTTCCTTCCATTGACACTACCTCCTAAATCCCCGCTGAAACCCATCCACTTCTATCCTTTCCACCACCACATTATGTCTCTGAGGTCATCCAATGGCCTCCTAGCTTGCTACTGTCACCCAGTCCTGCCCTCTAGTCCACTTTCCACTGCAGCTGTGAGACCCGATTTTGATTCCTGCCTGCTTAAAACTCTTTAACGTTTTCCCTCCCCTCTCATGATAGAGATAGCCCTCATTAAGATGGCCCACAAGTCCCTGCAAGGACTGGCCCCTACCTCCCAAGTCCTGGCTCATGCCCTGCCTCACTCTCCCCACCACTCTCCCTGATACTTCCCAAGGCCCATCATCTACTGAGCCTTTGCTTATTCTGTTCTAGTTGCCTAGAATGCCCTTTCCTTATTCTCTTCTCTTTGCTTAGTTCAACTCCTACTCAGTCTTCAGATTTCAGAACAATTGTCACTACCTGGATCTCCATAATAAGGTCTAACTCTCCTACTATATGTTCTCACAATACCATATACCTCTTCTGTGTAATACTTACCATCATTGTAATTTTATATCTATTTCTCTCATTATATAATGAATGTCTGTCCCTCCCACTAGATTATAAGCTCCTTGAGAGCAAAATCATGACTATTTCTATTTACCAGTATAGACCTAAATGAAAACTGACAAACCTAAATAAAAATTTGCTGAATGAATGAGTATATGAAAGTAAATGGTCCAAGGTCACAACAGAATACTGACAACAGCAGCAGAGGTATTTAAGTTAGCAGTCTTCTCACTCCCCTGGTGATTCTTCCTGATCACACTGTAGGGTTCTCAGTGTTTTCATGAGCAATACTCTTTAAAACTCATTTTTTTCCACTTTACTATCTTAAAGCATAATTTTAAAGTATTTAAGGAATACAGAGATTTCTAGCAATTTATGTAGTTTAAAGAGATCATTCACTGGAGAGCCCAAAATTCAAATGCAGGAAATGCAGAGAATACCTGTGAAATACTATACAAGATGACATCCCCAAGACACAGTCATCAGATTCTCCAAGGTAGAAATGAAAAAAAAAAAAAAAAGTTAAAGGCAGGTCAGCAGAAACCCTACAAGCCAGAAGAGATTGTGGGCCTATATTCAGCATTCCTAAATAAAAGAAATTCCAACCAATAATTTCGTGGCAGAGCCAAACTAAGCTTCATAAGCAAGGGAGAAATAAGATCATTTTCAGACAGACAAATGTTAAGGAAATCTATTATCACCTGACCTGCCTTACAAGAGGTCCTTAAGGGAGTGCTTAAGATGGAGAGGAAAGACTTATTGGTCACCACAAAAACACACTTAAATACATAGACCATTGATACTATAAAGCAATCACGCAACCGAGTCTGCATAATAATCAGCTAACAACATGATGACAGGATCAAATCTGCACATATCAATATTAATCTTGGATGTAAATGGGATAAGTGTCCCAATTAAAAGGCACAG
Source organism: Homo sapiens (assembly GCF_000001405.40). Classification (NCBI taxonomy): domain Eukaryota; kingdom Metazoa; phylum Chordata; class Mammalia; order Primates; family Hominidae; genus Homo; species Homo sapiens. The sequence goes on along the minus strand of NC_000003.12, from coordinate 16,972,946 downwards.
AGTAGCAAGCAGGATAAAGAGGCAAGAACCAACTGTATGCTGTCTTTAAGAGACCCATTTTATATGCAATGACATCCATAGGCTCAAAGTAAACAGATGGAGAAAAATCTACCAAGCAAATGGAAAACAGAAAAAAACAGGAGTTACTATTATAATTTCAGACAAAACAGATTTCAAAACAATAATGATCAAAAAAGACAAAGAAGGGCAATACATAATGGTAAAGGATACAATTCAACAAGGAGACCTAAATATATATGCACCCAACACAGGAGCGCCCAGATTCATAAAGCAATTTCTTAGAGACCTATGAAGACTTGGATAATCACACAATAATAGTGGGAGACTTCAACACTGAGACTTCAACCCCCACCAACAATGTTAGATCATCAAGGCAGGGAACTAACAAAGATATTCGGAACTTGAACTTAACACTTAACAGACATCTACAGAACTCTCCACCCCAAAACAACAGAATATACATTCTTCTTATTTGCACATGGCACGTACTCTAAAACTGACCACACAACAAAAATCAGCCATGAAACAAACTTCAGCAAATTCAGAAAAGCCAAAATCATACCAACCACACTCAAAACCACTGCACAATAAAAATATAAATCAAGTTGCTTATCAGCTTAAGGAGATTTTGGGCTGAGACAATGGGGTTTTCGAGATATACAATCATGTCATCTGCAAACAGGGACAATTTGACTTCCTCTTTTCCTAACTGAATACCCTTTATTTCCTTCTCCTGCCTAATTGCCCTGGCCAGAACTTCCAACACTATGTTGAATAGGAGTGGTGAGAGGGGGCATCCCTGTCTTGTGCCAGTTTTCAAAGGGAATGCTTCCAGTTTTTGCCCATTCAGTATGATACTGGCTGTGGGTATGTCATAGATAGCTCTTATTATTTTGAGATACGTCCCATCAATACCTAATTTATTGAGAGTTTTTAGCATGAAGGGCTGTTGAATTTTGTCAAAGGCCTTTTCTGCATCTATTGAGATAATCATGTGGTTTTTGTCTTTGGTTCTGTTTATATGCTGGAATCAATGTACGAAAATCACAAGCATTCTTATACACCAATAACAGACAAACAGAGAGCCAAATCATGAGTGAACTCCCATTCACAATTGCTTCAAAGAGAATAAAATACCTAGGAATCCAGCTTACAAGGGACATGAAGGACCTCTTCAAGGAGAACTACAAACCACTGCTCAAGGAAATAAAAGAGGATACAAACAAATGGAAGAACATTCCATGCTCATGGGTAGGAAGAATCAATATCGTGAAAATGGCCATATCGCCCAAGGTAATTTATAGATTCAGTGCCATCCCCTTCAAGCTACCAATGACTTTCTTCACAGAATTAGAAAAAACTACTTTAAAGTTCATATGGAACCAAAAAAGAGCCCGCATTGCCAAGTCAATCCTAAGCCAAAAGAACAAAGCTGGAGGCATCACGCTACCTGACTTCAAACTATACTACAAGGCTACAGTAACCTTGGTACCAAAACAGAGATACAGATCAATGGAACAGAACAGAGCCCTCAGAAATAACGCTGCATATCTACAAATATCTGATCTTTGACAAACCTGACAAAAACAAGCAATGGGGAAAGGATTCCCTATTTAATAAATGGTGCGGGGAAAACTGGCTAGCCATATGTAGAAAGCTGAAACTGGATCCCTTCCTTACACCTTATACAAAAATTAATTCAAGATGGATTAAAGACTTAAACATTAGACCTAAAACCATAAAAACCCTAGAAGAAAACCTAGGCATTACCATTCAGGACATAGGCATGGGCAAGGACTTCATGTCTAAAACACCAAAAGCAATGGCAACAAAAGCCAAAATTGACAAATGGGATCTAATTAAACTAAAGAGCTTCTGTACAGCAAAAGAAACTACCATCAGAGTGAACAGGCAACCTACAGAATGGGAGAAAATTTTCGCAACCTACTTATCTGATAAAAGGCTAATATCCAGAATCTACAATGAACTCAAACAAATTTACAAGAAAAAAACAAACAACCCCATCAAAAAGTGGGCGAAGGACATGAACAGACACTTCTCAAAAGAAGACATTTATGCAGCCAAAAGACACATGAAAAAATGCTCACCATCACTGGCCATCAGAGAAATGCAAATCAAAACCACAATGAGATACCATCTCACACCAGTTAGAATGGCAATCATTAAAAAGTCAGGAAACAACAGGTGCTGGAGAGGATGTGGAGAAATAGGAACACTTTTACACTGTTGGTGGGACTGTAAACTAGTTCAACCATTGTGGAAGACAGTGTGGCGATTCCTCAGGGATCTAGAACTAGAAATACCATTTGACCCAGCCATCCCATTATTGGGTATATACCCAAAGGACTATAAATCATGCTGCTATAAAGACACATGCACACGTATGTTTATTGCGGCACTATTCACAATAGCAAAGACTTGGAACCAACCCAAATGTCCAACAATGATAGACTGGATTAAGAAAATGTGGCACATATACACCATGGAATACTATGCAGCCATAAAAAATGATGAGTTCATGTCCTTTGTAGGGACATGGATGAAATTGGAAATCATCATTCTCAGTAAACTATTACAAGAACAAAAAACCAAACACCGCATGTTCTCACTTATTGGTGGGAATTGAACAATGAGAACACATGGACACAGGAAGGGGAACATCACACTCTGGGGACTGTTGTGGGCTGGGGGGAGGGGGGAGAGATAGCATTAGGCGATATACCTAATGCTAAATGATGAGTTAATGGGTGCAGCATACCAGCATGGCACATGTATACATATGTAACTAAGCTGCACATTGTGCACATGTACCCTAAAACTTAAAGTGTAATAATAATAAAATAAAATATATATATATATATATATAAATCAAAGCCAAGACAATCATTCAAAGCTATACAATTACATAGAAATTAAACAACTGTTCCTGAATGGCTTTTGGGTAAACAAGGAAATTAAGGCAGTAATCAAGAAATTCTTGGCAAGTAATGAGAACAAAGATAGAACATACCAGAATCTCTGGGACACAGATAAACGCCCACATTAAAAAGTTAGAAGGATCTCAAATGAACAACCTAACATCACACTTTGAGGAACTAGAAAAACAAGAGCAAACCAATACCAAAGCTAGCAGAAGAAAAGAACCAAAATCAGAGCTGAACTGGATGAAAATGAGACACGAAAAACATACAAAGGATCAATGAATCCAGGAGTTGGTTATTTGTAGGAATAAATAAGACGGATAGACTGCTAGCTAGACTAATAGAGAAGAAAAAAGAGAAGACCCAAATAAATACAATCAGAAATGACAAAGGGGATATAATCACTGACCCCACAGAAATACAAAAAACCCCTCAGAGACTACTATGAAAACCTCTATGCACACAAACTAGAAAACTCAGAAGAAATGGATAAATTCCTGGAAACATACAACCTCCCAAGATTGAACCAGAAAGGAATTGAATCCCTGAACAGACCAAAGAAGTTCCAAAACTGAATTCGTAATAAAAAGCCTACGAACTAGAAAAAGCCCAGGACCAGAGAGATTCACAGCTCAATTCTACCACATGCAAAAAGAAGAGCTGGTATCATTTCTACTGAAACTATTACAAAAAACTGAGGAGGAGTGACTCCTTCCTAACTCATTCTATGAGGCCAGCATCATCCTGATACCACAACCTGGAAGAGACACAACAAAAAAAGAAAACTTCAGGCCAATATCCTTGATGAACATAGATGCAAAAATTCTCAACAAAATACTAGCAAACTTAATCCAGCAACACATCAAAAAGCTAATCCATCATGATCAAGTAGGCTTTATCCCTGAGATGCAAGGTTGGTTCAACATACACAAATCAGTAAATGCAATTCATTACATAAACAGAACTTAAAAACCACATGAACATCTCATTAGATGTAGAAAAGGCTTTCAATAAAATCCAACATCCTTCGTGTTAAAAACCCTCCATAAACTAGGCTTTGAAAGAATATACCTCAAAATAATAACAGCCATCTATAACAAACCCACGGCCAACATCATACTGAATGGGCAAAAGCTGGAAGCATTCCTTCCTTGAGAACTGGAATAAGACAAGGACACTCATTCCCACCACTCCTAGCCAGAGCAATCAGGCAAGAGAAAGAAATAAAAGGCATCCAAACTGGAAGGGAGAAAGTCAAACTATCTCTGTTTGCAGACATACGATTCTATACCTGGAACACCCCATAGTTTCTGTCCCAAATCTCCTTGATCTGATAAACAATTTGAGCAAAATTTCAGGATACAAAATCAACGTACAAAAATAAATAGCATTTATATACACCAACAACAACCAAGCTAAGAGCCAAATCAAGAATACAATCCTATTCACAATAGCCACAAAAAGAATAAAATATCTATAAATACAGCTAACCAGGGAGGTGAAAGATCTCTACAATGAGAATTCCAAAACACTGCTCAAAGAAATCAGAGATGACACAAACAAATGGAAAAACATTCCATGCTCATGGATAGGAAGAATCAATATCATTCAAATGGACCTACTGACCAAAGGAATTTATAGATTCAATGCTATTCCTATCAAACTACCAATGATGATGTTCTCAGAATTAGAAAAAAACTATGTTAAAATTGGTATGGAACCAAAAAAGATCCTGAATAGCCAAGGTGACTGTTGAACCTAAGCAAATAAAATATAAAGCTAGAGACACCAAATTACCTAACTTCAAACTATACTGGAAGGCTACAGCAACCAAAACAGCATGGTACTGGCTGTCTTGAGACACATGGATCAATGGAATGGGATGGAGCCCAGAAATAATGCTGCATACCTAAAACCATCTGATCTCCAACAAAGTAGACAAAAACAAGCAATAGGGAAAGGACTCCCTATTCAATAAGTGGTTCTGGGATAACTGGCTAGCCATATGCAGAAGATTGAAACTGGATCCCTTCCTTATACCATATGCAAAAATCAACTCAAGATGGACTAAAGACTTAAATGTAAAACCTAAAACTATAAAAATTCTGGAAGATAACGTAAGAAATGCTATTTGAGACATAGGTCTTGGCAAAAATTTCATGATGAAGACACCAAAAGCAATTGCAACAAAAAATAAAATTGACAAATGGGACTTAATTAAACTAAAGATCTTTTGCACAGGAAAAGAAACTATCAAAAGAATAAACACACAACTTACAGAATGAGAGAAAATATTTGCACACTATGCATCCCACAAAGGTCTAGTATCAAGAATCTATAAGGAACTTAAGCAAATTAACAAACAAAAAAAACCCCATTAAAAAGTAGGCAAAGGACACCAACAGACACTTTTCAAAAGAAGACATACATAGGTGGCCAACAAGCATACGAAAGAAATGCTCAACAATAATCATTAGAGAAATGCAAATCAAAACCACAATGAGATACCATCTCATACCAGTCAGAATGGCGACTATTAAAAAGCCAAAAAATAACAGATGCTATTGAAGTTACAGAGAAAAGGGAATGCTTTATACATTGCTAGTGGAAAAGTAAATTAGTTCAACCATTGTGGAAAGCAGTTTGGCGTTTTCTCAAAGAAATTCAACAGAATTACATTCACCCTAGCAATCCCATTATTGGATACATACCCAAAGGAATACAAATTGTTCTACCATAGAGACACATGCATGTGTTTGTTCACTGCAGGACTACTCACAATAGCAAAGACGCAGAATAAACCTAAATACCCATCAACAGTAGAATGGGTAAAGAAAATGTGGTACATATACACCATGGAATACTACACAGCCATAAAAAGAACAAGATCATGTCATTTGCAGCAACATAAATGGAGCCAGAGGCCATTATCCTAAGCAAACTAATGCAGGAAAACCAAATACTGCATGTTCTCACTTGTAAGTGGGAGCTAAACATTGAGTACAGAGGGATACACAGAAGGGAAGAACAGGCACCAGGGCCTAATTCAGGGTGGAGGGTGGGAGGAGGGTGAGGATCAAAACACTACCTAACAGGTACTATGCTTATTACCTGAGTAATGAAATAATTTGCACATCAAACTCCCGTGACCTCTGAACTTAAAATAAAAGTAAAAAAAATCATTTGCAAACTAGAAAATCTAGAAGAAATGGATAAATTCCTGGACACATACACCCTCCCAAGACTAAACCAGGAAGAAGTTAAATCTCTGAATAGACCAATGACAGGCTCTGAAATTGAGGCAATAATTAATAGCATACTAACCAAAAAAAAAGTCCAGGACCAGAAGGATTCACGGCCGAATTCTACCAGAGGTACAAGGAGGAGCTGGTACCATTCTTTCTGAGACTACAATCAACAGAAAAAGAAGGTATCCTCCCTAACTCATTTTATGAGGCCAACATCATCCTGATACCAAAGTCTGGCAGAGACACAACAAAAAAAGAGAATTTTAGACCAATATCCTTGATGAACATTGATGCAAAAATCCTCAATAAAATACTGGCAAACCGAATCCAGCAACACATTAAAAAGCTTATCCACCATGATCAAGTGGGCTTCATCCCTGGGATGCAAGGCTGGTTCAACATACGCAAATCAATAAACATAATCCAGCATATAAACAGAACCAAAAACAAAAACCACATGATTATCTCAATAGATGCAGAAAAGGCCTTTGACAAAATTCAACAGCCTTTCATGCTAAAAACTCTCAATAAGTTCAGTATTGATGGGATGTATCTCAAAATAATAAGAGCTATTTATGACAAACTCACAGCCAATATCATACTGAATGGGCAAAAACTGGAAGCATTCCCTTTGAAAACTGGCACAAGACAGGGATGCCCTCTCTCACCACTCCTATTCAACATAGTGTTGGAAGTTCTGGCCAGGGCAATTAGGCAGGAGAAAGAAATAAAGGGTATTCAATTAGGAAAATAGGAAGTCAAATTGTCCCTGTTTGCAGATGACATGTGTATTTAGAAAATCCCATCGTCTCAGCCCCAAATCTCCTTAAGCTGATAAGCAACTTCAGCAAAGTCTCAGGATACAAAATCAATGTGCAAAAATCACAAGCATTCTTATACACCAATAACAGACAAACAGAGAGCCAAATCATGAGTGAACTCCCATTCACAATTGCTTCAAAGAGAATAAAATACCTAGGAATCCAGCTTACAAGGGATGGGAAGGACCTCCTCAAGGAGAACTACAAACCACTGCTCAACGAAATAAAAGAGGATACAAACAAATGGAAGAACATTCCATGCTCATGGATAGGAAGAATCAATATCGTGAAAATGGCCATACTGCCCAAGGTAATTTATAGATTCAATGCCATCCCCATCAAGCTACCAATGACTTTCTTCACAGAATTGGAAAAAACTACTTTAAAGTTCATATGGAACCAAAAAAGAGCCCGCATTGCCAAGAGAATCCTAAGCCAAAAGAACAAAGCTGGAGGCATCACGCTACCTGACTTCAAACTATACTACAAGGCTACAGTAACCAAAACAGCATGGTACTGGTACCAAAACAGACATATAGACCAATGGAACAGAACAGAGCCCTCAGAAATAATACCACACATCTACAACCATCTGATCTTTGACAAACCTGACAAAAACAAGAAACGGGAGAAAGGATTCCCTATTTAATAAACGGTGCTGGGAAAACTGGCTAGCCATATGGAGAAAGCTGAAACTGGATCCCTTCCTTATACCTTATACAAAAATTAATTCAAGATGGATTAAAGACTTAAATGTTAGACCAAAATCATAAAAATCCTAGAAGAAAACCTGGGCAATACCATTCAGGACATAGGCATGGGCAAGGACTTCATGTCTAAAACACCAAAAGCAATGGCAACAAAAGCCAAAATTGACCAATGGGATCTAATTAAACTAAAGAGCTTCTGCACAGCAAAAGAAACTACCATCAGAGTGAACAGGCAACCTACAGAATGGGAGAACATTTTTGCAATCTACTTATCTGACAAAGGGCTAATATCCAGCATCTACAATGAACTCAAACAAATTTACAAGAAAAAAACAAACAACCCTATCAAAAAGTGGGCAAAGGACATGAACAGACACTTCTCAAAAGAAGACATTTATGCAGCCAACAGACACATGAAAAAATGCTCATCATCACTGGCCATCAGAGAAATGCAAATCAAAACCACAATGAGATACCATCTCACACCAGTTAGAATGGCAATCATTAAAAAGTCAGGAAACAACAGGTGCTGGAGAGGATGTGGAGAAATAGGAACACTTTTACACTGTTGGTGGGACTGTAAACTAGTTCAACCATTGTGGAAGACAGTGTGGGGATTCCTCAAGGATCTAGAACTAGAAATACCATTTGACCCAGCCATCCCATTACTGGGTATATACCCAAAGGATTATAATCATGCTGCTATAAAGACACATGCACACGTATTTTTATTGCAGCACTATTCACAATAGCAAAGACTTGGAACCAACCCAAATGCCCATCAATGATAGACTGGATTAAGAAAATGTGGCACATATACACCATGGGATACTATGCAGCCATTAAAAAGGATGAGTTCATGTACTTTGTAGGGACATGGATGAAGCTGGAAACCATCATTCTCAGGAAACTATCGCAAGGACAGAAAACCAAACACCGCATGTTCTCACTCACAGGTGGCAACTGAACAATGAGAACACTTAGACACAGGAAGGGGAACATGACACTGGGGCCTGTCGTGGGGAGGGGGGAGGGGAGAGGGATAGCATTAGGAGATATACCTAATGTAAATGACGAGTTAATGGGTGCAGCACACCAACATGGCACATGCATACATATGTAACAAACCTGCACGTTGTGCACATGTACCCTAGAACTTAAAGTATAATAAAATAATAATAATAATAATTTGCTAATCCTGGGTAACTTTAATTATTATAACTTTTACATTCTTTATTTCAAACACTCTCACTGACTGACTACAATGTCTGAGCACAGTGCCAGGTATAAGAAAGTAAACCAACACATTTCCTGCCTGTGCTCAGTAGTTAACAGTGTGGGCTTTGGAGTTCCAGCATTTAGGTTCCAATTCCTGACCAGCCACTTAGGAGAAGGGTGACTTGAGAAAAAAAAAAAAATTGCTTAACCTTCTCAAGCCTCAATTAACTCATTTGTACAATGGTGATAATAATTCAAGTATGGTCATAGGTTATTCTGAGAGATGATATTCTAAGTGTAAGCATTATAATCACAGGGCCTTTTGAGTACTTTTATGAGTATATGCTGGGGGTTAAATAAGATTGCTCTCTATTCTACTTTCAAAGAATTCAGTCACAAGGATGAGAAAATGATTAATAAACATAATTTTAATCTAAAGTCATAAATGCTATGCTCAGGTATGTATATTTGCTGGCATAGGATCAGAACATGCAATTTTATTATTTGATTTTATAATATCTATTCATGAATTGCTAACAATTCATGAATTACTAATATACATTTTCTCTCATGATAAGCTATTAAATATTTCAATAGCTTCTCAAGCTAATTTTCCATCTTCATGATTATGATGGCTTGCTACATTTTTCAAAGTTTAAAATATATTGCTTAAAATACTAACATATGTGTGTATGTATATATATATGTAGATGTGTGATCCATTTTAAATTCATGTAATTAATCTGAAGACAAGTAGAAATCTTTTAGCATTACCTATGTATTAGGTCACTATACCCTTTCATTAGCACTAAATAATCAAAATTTTTTAATATTGCAAATTAATAGTATTTAAAATTTGTGATAATGAAAATCTTTACATAAATATGTAAAATAATCTCAACCAATTATTTTCCAAACTATTCCTTACTGCTTTTCATGGTTGAAAAAATATCTTAGCTACATCTACCCAATATACTATTAATTCAAAAGAAGCTATTTTTATTTAATCTTGATTGTAATTTCCCATTACCTTTTTTAAGTTTGAAAAGATATATTGGTTCAAGTACTTGCAAGTGTGTTTATGTATTCATATGTGTGTATGTACATATGTATGTATGTGTATGTATAAACACACACGTATTCTTTGCTTTTCACTACTAGCTCCAATTATCTTTAGGAATAAGAAGGAGATTTCAATACTTTGAGGAATTTTTTTCCAAATCTTTTATTCGTTAATTTTTCTTTTTGGTTTAGAAAGGCCCTAGTAATTCCTTTTTGTGCTCTTCATTTTATTTTTCAAAGCAGTTGTAATCCTTTTGCTCCCCTCTGATTTGAATTTCATCATATAAAATTTTAACAATATCAAGTTTTATCAGTAACAGACAATGCCACAGGGCAGGATAAGGATTATGAAAATATCAATGAGTATATCCATTCCTTTAATTCTCTTCACTAATTATTTATAGTTAGGTTATTAAAAACAATTGACTCTGAATTATTAATATTGAGAACTATAATAGCATAAGAATCAAACATCAAAGGTCCTTGGGGAAAAAAAAAAAAGAAAGCTCCTGGATGAGGCTCCTGATTGCAGTGAGAATCCAGAGAACCTAACAGATGGGTCGTGGGGCAGGCTAAGCAGCAAAGGTTGGTCATCACTCAAGGAGAGAGGCATCTTGTACTGACCAGAAGTTATCAGTATATCTCTGCTAGCTCAGCTCTCCATTTCATACTAAATCAACTGATCATCCCCTTTCAAAATAAATCTTTTTTAAAATAACCTGTTCTCTAATATCCCTTTCTCTTTATTCTTTCAACTGTCTATTCCTTACATATGTACTGCCATAAGAGGAAAATGTCTACTTATCCCTGTAGTTGGTGCTATTCTGACCTACTCCTGGGCGTCCATGCTCCCTGAGCTTCCCCATAATCCCTGTGGATATTGGATCTTTCAACTGCCATTCAGCTTGCTCATCAGTCCCAGATTCCTCCCGGCAGGAGCTGAGATGCTGGGCACCCTGCAGTGCTCTGAACATGAGAGGGTTCACCTCTTACCAAACAAACCCCTTATCCACCTGGTGTTGCTCCTCTGTTGGGTATCCACTAGAGCTGTCTCAGACCCTTTCCCCTCACCGCCTTTGCCCCCTTGGGTCCTGGGAAGGTCAAGATTCTTCTAATTCCTACATGGGGGTTTCACATACTCTACCTTCCTCCCTATCCCACAACTCTCATTCTCATTCAATGAGCCTGTCTCTTACTTCACCTAGAATAGAAGGCATCAAAATGAGAATGCTTCCTCTGCTTCTGGTGCTGCTTTCTGCGTCCCATTCTGGTTGGAAATGTTATTCCTGTCTGGTGGGAAGCTGATGTCCCTACCTGTGCCCTGGACCCCATTCCCTTCACACAGTCTTCAAAGGGACACCACTCTGCCAGTTACCCTTCACCTGAATCTTTATCATCTCCCTCATTAGCACTTTCCCTCAGGATTAAACTTCCTTAAACCCTTGTCTGAAAACAAAACATTCAGATAAAGTTTCCCTCCACTTCATGTCCCACTGCATTTCAACTTTATGTTGACTTGTCAGTCTCTATCGGTAGACTAAGCTCTTTGAAGGCTCTATCTCATTGCCTAGCATGGCCTGACACACAGTAGGTGCTCACTAAGTATGTGCTGAATAAATAAATAAATGAGTGAATAGAATATATGGAAATGTGCAGTGGAAAGGTCTTTGGATTTGATATAAGAACTTCAACTTCTAGTCCCAGTCTCAACATTTGCTAGTGGTATACACTAAATACCACGAGTATACAATGAAATCGTTTTATGTTTTAAATGTTAGAAGGTTATCCTAAGGAAAGCGTGGGGTCTCCATCTCCACTGAAACACGAGGACATATACCTCAACAGCATATATTTCATTTAGAAAACATTGCTTTAATTCCATAAACACTAGACCCTGTCATATCTAACAGAAACTTTTTGTGTTTTGCTGAATATAGATGATTGGATTGTTTGAAATCTTATTTTCTTTATATTTTCTCAACTTGCTAAGTATTTAAACTGATAACAATTAATAACCATGAAGTCATTATTGAAATTATTCTTTGTATATTATTGGTCACCAGAGGAGACAGAGAAGGGTATGAAATATATTCTCACTCTTAAGCTTAAAGTAAGTTAGGAAAATGGAGCCTATAATATTTTTTAGGAAATGGTAGTATATGGAAAGGCTTCTGAGGGAAGGTGATGGGACCATTTATTTATCCACATACAAGACATAAATGAAAAATACTCAATTACAGGACTGACTTCAGATGTTGTTGATTCAGAGATATTTTGGTGGTCCTTGAAAGGTGGGTAGGACTAAGAATGGGGTGAAGCAGGCAATACAAACAAGAAGGACTTAACGTAACTAAAATTACCAAAAGAAAGAATGCAGCTTACCAAACGTCAAGTGGTGCTGAGTAGGTGGGAGACAGAGGGAGGGACAAACTCCCAAGGGCCCTGAGAGTCAGGTCCAGGAGCTAAGCAAATGTCAAAGCAAATAAGGAACAGCTAGATGATTAGTGCTTCCTATAGTGTTTAGAAATTGTCACTAGGCAGTGATGACCCTGAGGGACTGGGAAAGGAGTTAACAGGCAGAAGGCCAGGCGAGGTAAGATGGACCAGTGTGGCGGCACTGTGCTGGGGGAGCTGACATAAATCAGCATGTGACTCCATACAAGACAATGGAGTGGGCTGATTTATGTGAGGCTTCTTGATTTTCAGCTAAATCACTAATAAAGGTTGTCCTCTTTACAGAGATCTGAATGATAGTGGTGATATGCTGAAGGAAGGAATTTTGATGAACTAGTTTTATGGAGAAGATGAACTTTTTTTTTTGAGATGGAGTCTTCCTCTGTCGCCCACGCTGGAGTGCAGTGGCGCAATCTCGGCTCACTGCAAGCTCCGCCTCCCAGGTTCACGCCATTCTCCTGCCTCAGCCTCCTGAGTAGCTGGGACTACAGGTGCCTGCCACCACGCCCAGCTAATCTTTTGTATTTTTAGCAGAGACGGGGTTTCACTATGTTAGCCAGGATGGTCTTGATCCCCTGACCTCGTGATCCGCCTGCCTCGGCCTACCAAAGTGCTGGGATTACAGGCATGAGCCACAGCACCCGGTGGACCTTCTTACACCTAAAGAATTACAGGTTCTCAAGCTGGAAGAGACACTGTAGTGGGACATCTGGTTGAAAAAGTTCTAAACACAGATGGGATATGGTATTGACGACCAAGTAGGTGTTCAAGGATAGGACCACAATGAGGAAGCCATCAGCATAGAGGTGATATCTGCTGCTTGTGAGAACTCTCCAAGGGGGAACATATTGATAGAAAAGAGCATGGACAGGAGGGAAGGTCCATGCTCTTTTCTTCCTGAGGGAAGGTGATGCACGCAGTCAGAGAGAAGGAAAAGCAACCAGCAAGGAAGGCTAGGAAGACTATGAAAGGTGGAAGAGAATTGAGACAGATAATGCGATAAAAGCCACAAGGAATAAAAATTATCATAAAGGGCAGAGTCAGCAACATTACTGCTGTGGAAAGGTCAACGCAAGAAATAATGAACAAGAGACCTTTGAATTTCGTAAAATAAAGATCAAGGGTAACAGTAAAGAAAGTTGTTCAGTAAATTGGTGGAAATGAAAATTGGTTTGGAGAGACGCAGAGATAGGAGCGTGGACCACCTGTTCAACATGTTTTGTAGTAAAAGGGAGCAAAAGAGACTAAGAGGCAAGAGGCACATGATATTACAACAGGGAAGCCTGGGTGTATGGCAGAATTCAGAGGGAACAAGCCAGAGATCTTTGAGGGTGAGGATAAATGTGGAAGCAGGAGCTGCAGTGGAAAAGGGAGACACTGTCAAACACAGGTGAAGGGGTTAGCACTGGAGCAGAGTTGGGGCATCCTTTGCTCTGCTACTGGTTGGGAAGCTGGAAGGATAATATAAATCCAAGGATGGTCTGAGGTGTTGGTGAGGTTTGGTAGTGGAAAACAGAGTGCAAAGATAACTAATCCCAAAAGAGGGACTCGAGTTAGGGGGAAAGGTCTACAACAGTCATAGGATCCAGCCCCATGGAGGGCAAAGCCAAAGGGAACCAGCAGCCTGATCTGGCAGTTCTGCAAACCCAGCCTTCATCATTGCTCCTGACACAGATGTGCATTCTCAACAGTTTATTAAACAAATACTTATAGAAAACAAATACCAATGTAGAGCTTCCAGGTGTGGAAAAGAGAGTCAGATAAAATCTAATGCATGAATTGAAAGGGAGTAAAAGTGGAAGGTTTGCAGTTACCCACAGTGACTTTATTTTTTATATATAAGAGTTTGACACATTAAATTGGTCCATTAGTTTTTTTCTTCTTTCTAATATTTGTTTCATCATCCAAAATGTCACTCATTTCAATTACATGCCAATGATCCTAAACAATGGTTTTAACCTATCTACAAAGTTAAATAGCAGATGGAATTTTTTTGCTTGCACTTTTTTTATTACAGTCTTATTTTGAATGCTGTACCCACCCACATTTACTGTACATCAAATGCATTTTCAGATACCAGAAATAAAATGAGGAAACATGCAAATGGTGGGTATATAAGCTGAAACAATACAACATTTTTACAAACATTGTTTTAAAAATCTAGTTTCATAATTATCTACAATTAATGGTTCATTGTTCATCCTTTTCTAAGCTTGGCTTTCACTTAAAGTTTTATCGTAGCTAAACATTAAAGAAAGGATAACAGTACTGCTCAAAAAATGTATATGTGGAAAGGAACTATCAGTACCAGCCTCTGCAAAAAGATGCCAAAATGTAAAGACCATCAAGGCTAGGAAGAAACTGCATCAACTAACGAGCACAATAACCAGCTAACATCATAATGACAGGATCAAATCCACATATAACAATATTAACTTTAAATGTAAATGGACTGCATGCTCCAATTAAAAGACACAGACTGGCAAATTGGATAAAGAGTCAAGACCCATCAGTGTGCTGTATTCAGGAAACCCATCTCACGTGCAGAGACACACACAGGCTCAAAATAAAGGGATGGAGGAAGACCTACCAAGCAAATGGAAAACAAAAAAGGCAGGGGTTGCAATCCTAGTCTCTGATAAAACAGACTTTAAACCAACAAAGATCAAAAGAGATAAAGAAGGCCATTACATAATGGTAAAGGGATCAATTCAACAAGAAGAGCTAACTATCCTAAATATATATGCCCCCAATACAGGAGCACCCAGATTCATAAAGCAAGTCCTCAGTGACCTACAAACAGACTGAGACTCCCACACAATAATAATGGGAGACTTTAACACCCCACTGTCAACATTAGACAGATCAACGAGACAGAAAGTTAACAAGGATACCCAGGAATTGAACTCAGCTCTGCACCAAGCAGACCTAACAGACATCTACAGAACTGTCCACCCCAAATCAACAGAATATACATTTTTTTCAGCACCACACCACACCTATTCCAAAATTGACCACATACTTGGAAGTAAAGCACTCCTCAGCAAATGTAAAAGAACAGAAATTATAACAAACTGTCTCTCAGACCACAGTGCAATCAAACTAGAACTTAGGATTAAGAAACTCACTCAAAACCGCTCAACTACATGGAAACTGAACAACCTGCTCCTGAGTGACTACTGGGTACATAACGAAATGAAGGCGGAAATAAAGATGTTCTTTGAAACCAACGAGAACAAACACACAACATACCAGAATCTCTGGGACACATTCAAAGCAGTGTGTAGAGGGAAATTTATAGCACTAAATGCCCACAAGAGAAAGCAGGAAAGATCCAAAATTGACACCCTAACATCACAATTAAAAGAACTAGAAAAGCAACAGCAAACACATGCAAAAGCTAGCAGAAGACAAGAAACAACTAAAATCAGAGCAGAACTGAAGGAAATAGAGACACAAAAAACCCTTCAAAAATTAATGAATCCAGGAGCTGGTTTTTTGAAAAGATGGACAAAATTGATAGACTGCTAGCAAGACTAATAAAGAAGAAAAGAGAGAAGAATCAAATAGATGCAATAAAAAATGATAAAGGGGATATCACCACTGATCCCACAGAAATACAGACTACCATCAGAGAATACTACAAACACCTCTACGCAAATAAACTAGAAAATCTAGAAGAAATGGATAAATTCCTGGACACATACACCCTCCCAAGACCAAACCAGGAAGAAGTTGAATCTCTGAACAGACCAATAACAGGCTCTGAAATTGCGGCAATAATCAATAGCTTACCAACCAAAAAGAGTCCAGGACCAGATGGATTCACAGCCGAATTCTACCAGAGGTACAAGGAGGAGCTGGTACCATTCCTTCTGAAACTATTCCAATCAATAGAAAAAGAGGGAATCCTGCCTAACTCATTTTATGAGGTCAGCATCATCCTGATACCAAAGCCTGGCAGAGACACAACAAAAAAAGAGAATTTTAGACCAATATCCTTGATGAACATTGATGCAAAAATCCTCAATAAAATACTGGCAAACCGAATCCAGCAGCACATCAAAAAGCTTATCCACCATGATCAAGTGGGCTTCATCCCCGGGATGCAAGGCTGGTTCAACATATGCAAATCAATAAACATAATCCAGCATATAAACAGAACCAAAAACAAAAACCACATGATTATCTCAATAGATGCAGAAAAGGCCTTTGACAAAATTCAACAGCCCTTCATGCTAAAAACTCTCAATAAATTAGGTATTGATGGGACGTATCTCAAAATAATAAGAGCTATTTATGACAAACCCACAGCCAATATCATACTGAATGGGCAAAAACTGGAAGCATTCCCTTTGAAAACTGGCACAAGACAGGCATGCCCTCTCTCACCACTCCTATTCAACATAGTGTTGGAAGTTCTGGCCAGGGCAATTAGGCAGGAGAAGGAAATCAAGGGTATTCAATTAGGAAAAGAGGAAGTCAAATTGTCCCTGTTTGCAGATGACATGATTGTATATCTCGAAAACCCCATTGTCTCAGCCCAAAATCTCCTTAAGCTGATAAGCAACTTCAGCAAAGTCTCAGGACACAAAATCAATGTGCAAAAATCACAAGCATTCTTATACACCAATAACAGACAAACAGAGAGCCAAATCATGAGTGAACTCCCATTCACAATTGCTTCAAAGAGAATAAAATACCTAGGAATCCAGCTTACAAGGGATGGGAAGGACCTCCTCAAGGAGAACTACAAACCACTGCTCAACGAAATAAAAGAGGATACAAACAAATGGAAGAACATTCCATGCTCATGGGTAGGAAGAACCAATATGGTGAAAATGGCCATACTGCCCAAGGTAATTTATAGATTCAATGCCATCCCCATCAAGCTACCAATGACTTTCTTCACAGAATTGGAAAAAACTACTTTAAAGTTCATATGGAACCAAAAAAGAGCCCGCATTGCCAAGTCAATCCTAAGCCAAAAGAACAAAGCTGGAGGCATCACGCTACCTGACTTCAAACTATACTATAAGGCTACAGTAACCAAAACAGCATGGTACTGGTACCAAAACAGAGATATAGATCAATGGAACAGAACAGAGCCCTCAGAAATAATACCACACATCTACAACCATCTGATCTTTGACAAACCTGAGAAAAACAAGAAATGGGAGGAAAGATTCCCTATTTAATAAATGGTGCTGGGAAAACTGGCTAGCCATATGTAGAAAGCTGAAACTGGATGCCTTCCTTACACCTTATACAAAAATTAATTCAAGATGGATTAAAGACTTACATGTTAGACCTAAAACCATACAAACCCTAGAAGAAAACCTAGGCATTACCATTCAGGACGTAGTCATGTGCAAGGACTTCATGTCTAAAACACCAAAAGCAATGGCAACAAAAGCCAAAATTGACAAATGGGATCTAATTAAACTAAAGAGCTTCTGCACAGCAAAAGAAACTACCATCAGAGTGAACAGGCAACCTACAGAATGGGAGAACATTTTTACAACCTACTCATCTGACAAAGGGCTGATATCCAGAATCTACAATGAACTCAAACAAATTTACAAGAAAATACAAACAACCCCATCAAAAAGTGGGCAAAGGACTTGAACAGACACTTCTCAAAAGAAGACATTTATGCAGCCAAAAAACACACCAAAAAATGCTCACCATCACTGGCCATCAGAGAAATGCAAATTAAAACCACAATGAGATACCATCTCACACCAGTTAGAATGGCAATCATTAAAAAGTCAGGAAACAACAGGTGCTGGAGAGGATGTGGAGAAATAGGAACACTTTTACACTGTTGGTGGGACTGTAAACTAGTTCAACCATTGTGGAAGTCAGTGTGGGGATTCCTCAGGGATCTAGAACTAGAAATACCATTTGACCCAGCCATCCCATTACTGGGTATATACCCAAAGGATTATAAATCATGCTGCTATAAAGACACATGCACACGTATGTTTATTGCGGCACTATTCACAATAGCAAAGACTTGGAACCAACCTAAATGTCCAACAACGATAGACTGGATTAAGAAAATGTGGCACATATACACCATGGAATACTATGCAGCCATAAAAAATGATGAGTGCATGTCCTTTGCAGGGACATGGATGAAACTGGAAACCATCATTCTCAGCAAACTATCGCAAGGACAAAAAACCAAACACCGCATGTGCTCACTCATTGGTGGGAATTGAACAATGAGAACACATGGACACAGGAAGGGCAACATCACACTCCAGTGACTGTTGTGGGCTGGGGGGAGCGGGGAGGGATAGCATTAGGAGATATACCTAATGTTAAATGGCGAGTTAATGGGTGCAGCACACCAACATGGCACATGTATACACATGTAACAAACCTGCACACTGTGCACATGTACCCTAAAACTTAAAGTATAATAATAATAAAATTAAAAACAAACAAACAAAAATGTATATGTCACTGAGTAAAAATTATATCTTAATATTGTGTGAAACAGCAGGTATTTTAAAGTTCATCAGTTACATTACATCAAATCAACTCAAAATTGAAATATTTACACTGGATCTTTTCAACTTTATATGATACTTGGGACCCATCATAAATAACAAATTCTCTTAAAACGTATTTCTATGTCTACTATAAAAGATACAATGGTGCAAACAAGTTCTATTATGTTTGATTAAAAAAAAAACTATGGAGGTTTTTAAAGTCTGGACTAATGGTACTAATTTTAACCCATCTAATTCCTTTCTCAGACAGGTAACGCCCACTTTGGGATTATCCAGCTTGTACACAATGAATTTCAGTGAAATCAGCATTAGTTCACTGAAGTCAGAAATGACTAAATTCCAACCATTTGACTTCTAGCACATTATCATCTTACCATCACAAAAATAGTAACATTAATGTCTTATATCCATGAAAAAGAGATTTTTAGAGAACAAGCTCTTCAAGGGCAGTGATCCTATCTATTTTACATGCTTATTACACAGGTGGGCCTACTACCACACACAGAAAGGAAATACATAAACAGTATTACAGTGATATAATCTTCTACCTTTTAGATTTAATTTTTATTAAAATTTGTTTAATGTAATTCATGTTTTCTGTACAAATTCAAAATGATAGAAATACATGAAGTGAAATCACACATATTCAGCCCTTTGCTCACAGGTAGGTATTGTTATTTCCTATGTATTACTCCAGAAAATTATAATGCATTACATGTGATGTATGCACAACCACCCCATTTTTACACAAATGGGATCATACTATGCATAGTGTTTTGCACCTTGCTTCATTCACATAATATGTCTTGGTCAGTTTTTCATGTCATTACCCATAAAGCTCCAATTTATTTTTAAGACTTGTTTAATGTTTCCTTTTTTATATATAATGCAATTCATTTTAGTAGGTTTATACTGAGTATTAGAATTACATTTTTTAAATTTTTCTGTATTATAAACAAGGTAGTAAAATCATTCTGTACTTTTATAGGAACTTCTGATTAATTCATAGCAGTGAACTTTCTGGGTCAAAGAATATAAATACTCAAAATTTTAACACATCCTGTTAAGCTGCCCTCGGTAAGTTGCAATTTTGCATTATATACAAGCTAGACAAAAGAAATTATTTCGCAAAAGATGCTTCCAACTACATATATTTTATTATAAGGTAAATAATCATGGTAAACATTCAGAAAAACAAATATAAAGAAAAAATTAAATTATATCATCACTCAAGAAATAATTCAAAAATAACCTTTTATTGTATGCATATACTTAATGTACATGTATTGTTTTTCTCAACATGTGATCATACTATATACAAATTTGTATCCTGCTTTATTAAATAAAGATGCCAGGAATAATTTCCCCCATAATCTTAAATATTCTTTTTAAAATATGATTTTTTAAAGCCTACATATTTATTCATTTATTTAACCACTAGACATTTACTTCTGATTTTTCACTATTACAAATAATGCATAAAAGCATCTTTGATTGTATTTTTATTTCCTTGAGTTAAACAGGTTCCTAAAAGTAGTTAGAACAGAACAGGTTCTTTTTTTTTTTTTTTTTTTTTTTTTTTTTTTGCTTTAAGTTCTGGGATACATGTGCAGAACGTGCAGGTTTGCTACATAGGTATACATTTGCTACATAGGTATCCATGTGCCATGGTGGTTTGCTGCACCTATCAACCTGTCATCTAGGTTTTAAGCCATGTATGCATTAGGTATTTGTCCTAATGCTCTCCCTCCCCTTGTCTCCCACCCCACGACAGGCCCCAGTGTGTGATGTTCCCCTCCCTGTGTCCATGTGTTCTCATTGTTCAACTCCCACTTATGAGTGAGAACATGCAGTGTTTCTTTACTTTAAATGAATGGATGATATATTTGTAAGTCCTCAGGTTTCTATCATCTGTTACATAGAACCCCATCTACATAGATGGCTTCTCGCTCAGGCCATAGCAGGCACCAGGGTCTCATCAGATGATGAGAAAATCTGAATAATAATTTACTAAGCTTTAATTTTTTGTATATTCACAAAAAAAAGATCTTGTATTAGGCCACAGAGTAGCACTCAAAAACATTCCCAAACAGAAAACATACAGGCCAAATTACCTGACAGATCTAAACAACTCAAAGAATTCTATACATGCAGAAATTTAAAAACACTTCAGAAACTTTTAGGTCAAAGTAAAAAAGTGAAAATGAAAATCACCAGCAGTTTAAAAATGAATGATATGTGTGCACTATACACTAAATCCTATGTATTACTGGAAAAGTAGCACTCAGGAAAATTTATAGCCTTAAATGCTGGTTTAGAAAATGAGAACAATAAAAAGTAAGTCGCCAAAAATTTCAATTCAAAAAGTTAAAAACAAGAGAAAGAAAATAAACATATAGAAAAGAGAAATTAATATAGCAATAAAAAGATGAATGAGAAATCAAGAAACAGAAAATAGTAGAGTTAATGAATAAAACCAAAACCTGGTGATTTCAAAGACACCTAAGCCAGTCAAATATTTGGCAAAATGAATTTCAAAAAGAAAAAGGATAGAATTATTACTTTCAAAATTCAGATAGTATGTTAAAATTTAATATAAATGAACTAAAAAATAAAACAGATGACCAATTTTCCAGGAAGATATAATTACCAAAATTAACTCAAAAAGAAAACCACTGAGATGGATATCCAAACAAAAATAGAAAAGGTGCTCAAAGATCTACCTCTTAAAACGGCACAATGCTCAGGTCATTTTAGGTGAATTATACCATATTCTGAAAGAATAGGTAAATTCTATGTTACATAAACTACTCAGGAAAAAAAACAGAAAGCCATTCAGTTTATTTTGAGTCTAGCACAGGGTTTCTCAAACAGCACTGTTGACATTTTAGACAGAATCATTATTTGGGGTGGAAGAGAGGCTGTCATGTGTATTGTCTGGTTGATCATAGCCCTCATACACAAACCAGACAATGACAAAACAAAAAAAGAAAACCATAGATCATCCAAACTTATGAACAAAGATTCAGAAGGCCTAAATAAAATCCTGGCTAATCAATATATCTAGAACAAGCAGAAATACAATGGTGGTTTTAGAAGAGAAAAAAATCTATGAAGGTCATTACTACATTAACAAATTAAAAGATAAAAACCATATGATTGTGTTAATTATTGCAGAGAAAAGGATTTGATAAAATGCAAAACACATTCATGGTAAGACTCCAACATGCTAGAAATAGAAGTTTTCTTTAATCTGAAAAAGAGAATCTACGAGAAGCCAATAGTAAACTTTTTAGTTAATGATGAGATGGTAGAAGCCTCCCAATAGAAGAATAAGACTTACTCTAGCTAAAGCAGCATCGAAAAAAAAAAAGCAAAATAAAACAAATATTAGCAATAAACACACAACACTGTCAGTATTTTAAAATCTCTACATGAAGAGCTAAGAGAATCAACAGGCTAAGAGATCAACAGTAGATCTACAAGGATGTCAGCAAGGAGATCAAATACAAGACCAAAACCAGAAATTATTAGCTCTTAAATACACCAATTTAAAAAACTTAGAAATAAATCCCATTCAAAATAACAATTTAAAATGCTTGGTATGCAAGCCTGTTAAGAAAAAATAGATAAAACTTTAGTGAAGGACATAAGGTAATTAAAGAAGAGACATATCTTGTCCCTGTATGGGAAGACTCAATACTATGAAGATGTTATTTTCTCCAAAATTAATTTATAAAATTCATATAATCCCTAACAAAATCCCAAATGGAATTTGCAAGGAATTGAGAGGTTGATGCCAAAAAAGGAAAGCAAACAAATACAAGATAGTTGAAGTAATCTTAGAAAAGAAGAGCAAAGGTCTTGTCCTACCAGATATCGAAAAACCTTGTGAAGATACAGCAATTAAAACATCATGATACTGGTACAGGAATAGATGACCAGATTAATAGAACAAAATGCATATTCCAGAGACAGTCCAATGAATACAAGGGAATTCAAAATATAAGAAAGGTGGCATTCCAAATGATGGGAAAGGGATTAACTATGAAACAAATGGTATTGAAATAACTGGCTGTCCATTTGCAAAAAATACAAAATAATTATACCTGTTTTTCACACAAGTCACACACACCCAAAATATTCCAGAATAATTAAAGACCTAAGCCTAAAATAACATATAAGCAGAAATGACTACATTACTTGCGTGCCCCAGTGAGAAATGAAAATGCACGACTTTCAAGACGGCAACAGCAGAGAATTAAACAAAGTGGGAGGAGGATGGAGGGGATTCTGAGCACAAGAAAAGATAAATTTGACTACATCTAAATTTAAAACTTCTGCCTGATAAAAGATACTATAAACAAAGTCAAAAGGCATGCCACAGAGGAAGAAACATTTACAATTCCTATGAGACAGAAGACTAATATCCAAAATACATGAAGAATGCCCACTAATCAATAAGAAAAAGATAAACAAATATTTAAAAATGGATATAGGATCAAGGATAATTTGTAGAAGAGGAAATTAAAGTGCCATTAAACAAGCTCATGAATACTCATGCAAAGGCAATTGCAAATCAAAACAATATTTTTTTATACCACAGATAAAGTTTGACAATATCAAACATTAGCAAGTGTGTAGGGAAACTGCCAGAGGGAGAGCGCAGTGGCACCTGTGAGAGGATAACCTGGCAGTATCGAAGTAGAAATGGACACACCTTCTACCCAGCAATTCTATCTTTCATTTTCTATTATAGAGAAGAGCTTTGCACATACATGTTCACAAGGAGTCATGTACTAGGATTCTACTGCTGAACCACTCATAATAGCCCAAATCAGGAAAAAATCTAAATGACCATCAATAGGGGAATGGTTAAAAAATTATGATATATACATATTATTTGTCATACATGCATATAATAAATGCTATGTAGCAGTCCAAAATGCACCCAACAGTTGCGTTGTCTGAACTGCCTTTTATGGCTTATGGCAAACTATGATATATTATAGTTGACCTCGAGACAATGCACAGCAAAGTCATCTCTAAATCAAATGCAGAAATAGTTTATGTACCTTCATTAAACATACTGGATTTTTTCAAACATTTCATTCAGGTTTTATATAAAAATTCTCAGTACATTTGAACTCTGGGATTTTCTCTCTGGTAGATAAGTACAATGATATTTTCAAATTAATGGAATAAGGAATCTGTTCTCTATTCATTCCCATCTAAATAGAGTTTCAAAGAGATGCTGAGAACTTTCCTCAGATTAGTAAATTCAAGTACTCACTGTGTATTTACCTCTGTCACTGACCATGCTCTGTACCTCTAAAGTCTCTTCCATTTCATTAAATGAAAGTAGTGAATGAATACTAAGAAATGCTTTTTAAAAACAATAGTTTTATTGAGATATAATTCACACACCACACAATACATCTATTTAAAGTGTACAATTCAATGACTTTTAGTATATTCACAGAGTTCTGCAATCATCACCATAATCAATTTTAGTACATTTTTATCACCCTAAAAATAAACTCCACACCCATTAGCAGTCACTCCCCTTGTCCCCCCAACCCCCGACCCCAGCCCTAGGCAACCACTAATCCACCTTCTGCCCCACACAGATCTGCCCTATTGCAGACATTTCATATAAACGGATTTATAAATATACGGCCTTTTGTGTCTGGCTTCTTTTACTTAGCATAATGTTTTCAAGGTTTAACCACTGTGTAGCATGCATCAGTACTTCATTTCTTCTTATTGCCAAATATTCCATGGTATGGATATACCACATTATATTTATCCATTAATAAGTTGATGAATATTTGGGCTGCTTTTACTTTTGAGATATTAACAATTATGCTGCTATGAACATTCCTGCATAATTCAAATGCTGTTTAAGAAAAACAACTCAATGTAAATATCTGCTGGATGATTTAGAAAGGAGGACAATTAAAACATGTTTTTCTTTATTCATCCCTACCAAATAATCCTTAATGAATCAAATGAGCTATTTTATAAAACTAATGAAAAGACAATAATTATTGATGTAATATTAACCATAATTAACTTCCAAATTAACCCTCTCTTAAATGCTAAATTTTAAGAAATGAGTTTTTGTAACCGGAGAAATACTCTCAACCAGCAATTAATTTTTTTATTAGAATTTATCAAGAGAAAGAATGAAAGGGCTTTCTGGAAAGTGGTGTGGGTAGAGAATTAAAATATTGCCAGTCACTGAGGTAATTATAAACATTTTGGTGGCAAAGGTAGTTTCTTTTCTGACTTGGGGTAAATTTTATAATTATTTGGAATACTAAAATAAATGGAGACAAAACTGTTGAAAAGCAGGCAGAGGATATTCCGTTTCTAAAACACTTCCACCCCATGGATGTGATGAAATACTCTCCAAAAGTGCAAAACACCAAACAGGTAGGAAGTGTCAACCCAAAGGCTTTGCAGATGGGCCTTTCTTTCTGACAGTCGCAGTAGGAATCATTATTCCTCCAGCCCCATTTTCTGAGTGTGGTTCTAGGAACAACTGCACCATCGCTTCTCCTGAGGAGTTCAAATCTCCTGTTGTCCAATCTCACAACTGTAAGAGTTTAACAAAATCTTTATTTACTGCTCTTTTAGCAGTTTATGTTGCACTCCCACACAAAATAATGATGACTCATAAGAATAAAACTTTAGCTGGATGCGGTGGCTCGCGCCTATAATCCCAGCACTTTGGGAGGCTGTGGTAGGAGGATCGCTTGAAGCCAGGAGTTTGAGGCCAGCCTGAGTGAGACCCTGTCTCTAAAAAAAAAAAAATAAAATTAGCCAGTTGTGGTGGCATGTGCCTGTGGTCCAAGCTACTTGGGAGGCTGAGGTGGGAGGATCACCTGAGCCCAGGGGGTCGAGGCTGCAGTGAGCCATGACCGTGCCACTGCACTCCAGCCTGGGCAACAGAGCAAAACTCTGTCTCAAAAAAAAAAAAAAAAAAAAGAATGAAACTTTAATTTTATATTCATTCATTTACTCTTATATGGGAAAACTAATATAAAAGAAAAGCTCTCCCTGATTATCTTTTTAAAAGGTGGAAAGAAACTATTAATAATTTTAAAATATTATAAGAAATTTGAAGTAAAATGACTTATGACAGGACTTATAACTTCTATAAACTTTCTAATTAGCTACACAGAGCAACAATGGAATCAAAGGAAAGAAGACACACCATATTCCATTTATAGACTAGAAAAGCAAAATGAAAAAACAAAACAAAATTTAAAACAGTTACAAGAAAACAGTCAACCATTAAGTTGCATTCCAAAAGTTTCTACATAGGTCGGTTGTTTACAACCCTGAATTCATTCTCCCATAAAAACTGTAATATAAATAGTCCTTATAATCTCAGACCAACCCAGAAAAGCCTATTTAATCCACAATGTAACTGAAATAATGTAGGCAGACAACTTAAACATAAGGGAAAATTACTGTTGAAATACTAGTAGTTAAACCAAACAGAAAACAATTTAAATTCAATTAAAAATATTTTTTAAAGCTTTCATTTTGATCCTCCTACTCCATCTAGTATATGAAGAAAAACAATAGTAACTGAAGGAGAACGAAGACTGGAAACTCTCTTCTGTGGAATTCCGAAGCGTCCGCTAGGCCCAATGAAGCACTGGGAAAGCTGGTGAACAAGGTGCGCTCTCCGCTGCCTCCTTTTTGCTTCTCATTTCCCGCTATTTAAACCACCTTTCCCCTTCTTCTCTTCTATCCAAATCCTTCCCATTTCCAATATTCAATTTAAGTCTTTCTATTTCCACAAAGGCTACCTCAGTCTGGAAGATTCTTGACTTAGACTCAAAGCCTGTTGCTCTCACAAATTTACACTGTTTCTCTGGTGATTAATGTTTATGGACCGCCACTGTTCTTGTTCTTTTTAGTAACAGGCATCTGTTGGCTAACAAAGGGATCCGATGTGATGGTGGAAAAGAGAAAAGTAGTGAAACGTATGACATAACTCTAAGAGAAAGTGAAAAGAGGGAAAGGTAGAGAGGATGTGAATAAACCTGCAGAAGATAAAAGGAAGCGATGGGTAAATGGCGCTTGGGTCAGAAAGGTCTCTACTTCATTCATAAAGTGGAACCATGACCCCAGGGTCTACAAATTTGCTGTGTGTGGGAAAGAAATGGAAACAGAGTGGCTATATGACCGATGACTGCTGATGTTAACATATTCATTAGACTGTTTATTGAGCACTTCCTATATAGAGTATGCCACTGGACAGTAGAAGGAATATGAGGAATTGTTTCTGATCAAGGACTTTGCAGTCTGGGGTGGGGGCAGACAACACACTATAGTAAATCCAGAATATATCAAAAGTCACAAGAGAGGTGGTGCTATAGGAGCACAAACTGAGAGTAGGAGACTGGAAGGAAGCCAAAAAACACATCCATTCATTCCAAACATGTTTATAGAGTGCTGAACATGTACCAGGCAATGTTCTAGGTGCTGTGGATATACAAGGAACAAAGCAGAAAAAAACTTCACCCTTCAGGGCACTTATAATAAAAAACCAACACAATATTTCAAAATACAAGTAAAATACATGGCATGTAAGATATATAATATAAATACTACGGAGAAAAGCCAGAAAGAGAAGACAAGTGCTGTGTGTGCATGTGTGTGTATGTGTGTGTGTGTGTGTGTGTGTATGTGTTTGTGTCTGTGATTTTAAACAGGTGATAGGGTAAAGCCTTGCTGAGAAGATGATTTTTGAGTAAAGATCTGAAATACGTGAGGTTGAGCACCACAGCTATCTGCAGGAAGAGTGTTCCAGGCAGAGGGAACTGGGAAGCACACAGCAATGTGTGCTTTAAAAAAATCTGGAATAGGCTGGGCACAGTGGCTCACACCTGTAATCCCAGCACTCTGGGAGGCCCAGGTGGGTGGATCACCTGAGGTCAGGAGTTCGAGACCAGCCTGGCCAACATGGTGAAACCCCGTCTCTACTAAAAGTACAAAAATTACCCGGGTGTGGTGGCAGGCGACTGTAATCCCAGCTACTCGGGAGGCTGAGGTAGGAGAATTGCTTGAACCCAGGAGGTGGAGGTTCCAGTGACCCAAGATCACGCCACTGCACTCCAGCCTGGGCGACAGAAGGAGACTCTGTCTCAAATAAAAAAAAAAAAAACCCGGAGTACAATACATTTTTATTAACTAAAGTCCTCAAAAAATAAAAACATGACTTTATTTTCTTACAGTTCTGGTGCTGCAAGTCCAAGATTAAGGTGCTCCAGGTTTCTTCCCAGGCCTCTCTCCTTGGCTTGCCAATGGCCATCTCCTCTCTGTGTCTTCACATGGTCTGTTTATCTCTGTGTGCCTGTGCTAATCTCCCTTATGAGGACACATATTAGATTAGAGCCCATCCCAATGACCTCATTTAATGTTAATTACCTCTTTAAAGGCCCTATCTCTAAGTACAGTTACAGTCTGAGGCACTAAGGGTTAAAACTTCAACAGATGAATTTTGAGGGGGCACAGTTCAGCCTAGTAACAGGTGTCAACGATGACTCCAATGTTCTTGGCCTGACCACCTGGAAAGATGGAGAGTCATCTGGCTCCCCATTGAAAAATGGGTAGGCTTCTGGCACGTTAGAAGTGGAAATCCTAATAATAAAAAGATTGACTAACCTGTATTGAGTGTTTAGTATGTATGTAAGGCATCATGCTAAGCACTTTATGTGCATTACACTTCACTGAATCCTTACAACATCATTATAATGTTAGTATTATCATCTCCATATACAGATCAGGCAGCTGAGGCTCAATAAGGTTATACAATTTTCCCAAGGTCACACAGCTAGTAAGTGCAATAAAGAGAATTTGGATCCCTGCACTGTGATTACAACAGTCATGCCCTTAACCATTGCCTATTCCACTTCTCCCAGGGAAAGCTATGAGTTGAAGGCATGAAACCATATGTAATAAAAAGTGACCTTAAACATAATACCCAAGAGATCATCAAGCTCAACTCCACCTTTCACAGAAGTAAGCAAGGATCCAAAGGGTGATTAAGTTATTTGCACAAATCAAGCTACCTAGAAGAGACCTTAATTAGAAAATTATTTTATAATGCTAAAAAAATAGAAACAACCTAAACATAGCTTAAAGATTATGGAATAACCTTACAAAAAACACCATGCAACCCTTAAAACAATGATACAGAGCTACACTGATTACATGGATGGATATCTGTTATATTTTTTAAGCAGATAATAACATTTTAGAACAATCTTTTAAAAACACATATGTTATGTATACATGCAAAAACAAAGATGACTATAGACTAAAAAGGACAGACCATAAGAAAGTAGGTAATTTTCACTTTCTTTTATAAGCCTTTCTGCAGTCTGATTTTTATAGTAAATATGCATTGTTTGTAAAATCTGAAAAATAATAATGTTATTGCCAATAGAGAAAGTTCTTTGAAAACTATTTCCTTCATAATTTGCTGCTCAAACTCCTCCCAGCTTGGGGCTCTCAGGATAGGCTGGCACTCAAGTCTTCTTGGGGTAATTCCTGTTAGGTGGCTTTGACTATACCTAAAGCAACACTCAGGAGGCCATTTGTCAATGGAAGGGTTTTAGAGCTAGTACAGAGGATAATTGTTCTCACAGTTAATAACTCATTTAGACTCAGAGAATCAACTTTTCACAAATGAAGTGTCTGACTTCAAGAAGCACAAGGATATTATTCAGTAGTGTTTTTAATAATATAAAATCTGTCAAGACTGTCATTTATGTCAACGTGTCAGAAGTATAAAATAAAGCACTCATAATAATGTTTAAAAGGAGGAGGCAGATAAGGACATGAAAGAGAGAGCAAGGAAACTGCTTCAGGGCAAGTCAAACAGAATGTAGTTGTAGCATCACACTTAATCTTTATTAATTCAATCTAGCTGGACAACAAACAATTATTGAGCTCATTTTTCTATGCACAGCACCATGCTATGCCTACAGGGATAAAGAAAAGTTAGGCATGCCCCCTTAAGGAACACTATCATTTTTAGATACGTGGTCTATGACACTAAAACTTGTTTCCTGTATTAAGTGGAGGTCCCCAAATTAAGTGGAAGTCATTTGATAACTAATTTCTCTTTTACAAGTGTTGTTTACAGTTGTTTCTTTTATTCTTTGCTTTTAAGGAGGTGGAAGGGAGGAATGGGATGAAATGAGGAAGAAAAAGGCATAGTAGCAGTGAAAACATGAGAAAGCAATAAAAGTATTAAGAACAAATAAAAATTTGAAAAAGAGAATAGGACAATGAGAAGAATGGAAAAGTGGCAAGCGTGATAGAGTCATGTCTGGCTCCCTGCTAGGACAGAAGAAATGTGGTGACCCCTTAAAGGAGCATCCCGCATCTCCTGCCATGTGCTTCGGTGCTGAAAATCCATCAGTGAGCACCTGGGAGGGAAGGACGCACTCCTTCTCTTTCAGGGCTTGTTTTCTAGCCTGCCAGCAGGAAAAGGTAATGGGAAGTTGATAGGAAACCTTTCACCTGCCACTCTTTCCTTCCTCCACCATCCTGGTTGCAGGAAAAGCCATTCACTTAGCCTAATGTGGTAGGAGCTCGGTTTCCCTAAACAAATAAAAAAGAGCTCACTTTCGCCTATGTAATTGCAGAATCTGCACATACACATTTGACAAAAGAGAACAAGGCACTCTCCTCAGCAGATTCTCACTCCAGATTTCCTACATAGGGTTCTATTGGTCCACTGGACAAGGAGGCTCAGTCTGGGGGCCCACAGTTATTAACTCACTTAGACTCAGAGAAGTAACTTTTCACAAATCATTTATTTCATCCTAGGAATTCACATACTTCACGGTTTCTCCTCACCTTTGCTTTTTCAAGAATTAGCAGATTCCATTTAACAAGTTTTTATTGACTAAAGCTTTGCTTAACACTAGGGCTAAAAAGATAAGAATGGTCCCGGTTCTTAAGGAGTTTACAATTCATGGAGTAACATGAACAGATAATCTCAGTATAGCATCACAAATCTGTTTTCCAAGCCTTTTTTTTTTTACTGTGCCCTTGAAAAAAACTTATACCACACCTATATACAAGTACAGACAAACATACAAAACAGCATTTTCTCTTCTAGTCTATTCTGTTCGGTTTTATTTAACTTAAAAAAAATGGGTCACAATTACAGGGTGAGAGATAGTTGCGGTGCTATGGAAGAACAGAGGAGGGGCCCTCAGCCCAGCCAAGATTATGAAGATGAAGTTTGTGCTGAGAAGAATCAAAGTGAGCTTAGCAGAGAGGAGGAAAGATATTCCAGGCAGAGTCAACATCATGAGGCTTCGAGGCAAAAAGCATGCAGTATACTCATTTGTCTTACTGGCATGGATATTTTCACAGCACATACTGTGACAGGCGATGCATGGGGTGCTAAGTAGACAGGGGCGTCGTGACTGTCACGGAGAGACTCTGTAGCTGGTGCTGCTGAGGCTGGGGCTGGAGTTGGGTGCTTGGCTGAAGGGTTTTTAAAAGAGAATCATCTGATTGGCCTTTTCCAGAAATCACTCTGGCTATGGGGCAACTTAGTTTAAAAAGAGCCAAAAATGGAAGAAAAAAGAATGGTCAAGAGGCTAATGCAACAGTGGAATTGAGAGGTGATGGGGGTTTTTAACTTGTGATGAGTGAAGGAGACATGAGATATCCCAGTAATGATGTCAGCAGGCAATAGAGATAAATGTGACAGTCATGAGCATACAGCAGGGAGTTAAAGCTGTGAGTATGGATGGCAAAGTGGTGAGAACAGGGGACAAAGGACTGAATCCATGGGAGCCCCCTTCTCTTAGTAGTAGGAAAAGGCCAAAGAGGTCAGAAGGAGAGGAAAGCTGCAGGCAGGGTTAGAATAAGCAAGCCTACAGAGTACAGAGGTGGAAGCCAAGGGCTCGTAGCATAAAGAGGACTGCAGGCCTACAAAATTAAAAGCAGCAGCAGGTCCAGCAGTAGTAACTGCAACAGCACTGTTTAGTAGAAGTAGGAGCAGCAGCCATCCCTCATGAAGCACTTCCTGTGGGCTGGCACCACGCTAAATGCATTGGACAATTTATGATATATCACATACTCATCACATTTGATCTTTATAATAAAAGAAGCTATTATCATATCTTATAATATGAGGTTTAGACAGGTTAAATAACTTGCCTGATATCACTCAGTTTGTAGCAGAGCCAAGATTTGAACCTCTATCCTATCTGATGCCAAGACTTATTTTATTTTATTTTATTTTAATTTTTCCAACTCTTATTTTAGGTTTAGGGAGTATATTTTGTGACATGAGTAAATTGCATGTTGCTGAGGTTTGGTGCACGATTGAGCCTGTCACCCAGGTAGTGAGCACAGTATCCGATAGGTAGTTTTTCAACCCACGCCCCTCTTCCACCCTCTAGCCCCCAGTACCTACTGTTGCAAGGTCTATTTTAAAATAGCTCAGTTTACAACATGGAACTTAGTTGTGGCCTTTGCAAAAGCAAACGCAAGATTACACAGTTGTGGGAACACAGGAAAAGAGACATAAGGAGAGAGAGAGTTGAACTTTTTTTGATTAAAAAGGACGAGGGAAACTAAACAAGAGAAAGAAAGGGCTGGTTTCGGATGTGAGAAGTGAACAGGTTCAGAGGCTGCAAGGAAAGTCATTCTAGTGAAAGTTTTTTGAAGAAGAGGCAGGAAGGACAATGGGAAAGGGCACGAGTCAGAACTCAATGGAGGTGCTGGCCCGCCGGGAGGGACATCTGGACGAGGGAGGGTGCTGCCTAGGAACTTCACACAAGATGGTAATCCAGACATCTCATGGCTTCCTGTCATTTCATGTGTCCTTTTCTTACTTTCCATGGTCTCCTCCAAACCCCACTCATTTAGGGCTTTGAATGCCACTGTCTCAAATATGGATTTTTAAAAATAGTATGACTCTTCTTCTTTAGACCCTAAGCCCTCAGGTACCACCCACCACTCATGTGCCTGGGTCTTCCCTCTGTTCCCCCAATGCCCGGAAGGAAAATAGACTGTTTCTTCCCCTTCTATGCTGTCCTAGAAACAAACGTTTTTCTGAGGTTTTCTAAATATGTTACTTCGTAGGAAAACACGGAGTGGAAATCATGAAAAGGATCTCCCGAATAAAAGCTGTCCCCAATATTTTGTGCAGTGTAAACAGAATGAGACCTGGATTTTTGTATATTCAGAGGCTCTATAAGTCTATCCTCATTTTTGTTCCACTGAGGCTTAATCCATCTTTATAAATTTTATTCTAGAAATAACTACTTTTTTATTGTTTCACCCAATTTTAATACACTGCACACACATATCTGATAGTTTTCACATTTATTTATGTGTTTGTGGTCTGCTTTGTCTACAGGTGTCTGTCCAGCACAACATTCACAAATAACTGTGGAATGAAAGATTCTCCCTTTAAACCTGCTCCCTTGAAAACCACCTCTTTCAAGGCAGTCTATATAATCATACCATCTGGCAAAGCTAAGTGCTAGTAGCAGAGCTCATACCCATGACTTTCATAGTTCCATGTCCCAATAAACTCAACCAACAGATTTTTCTAAAATAAGCATTTAAAGATAATAATGCACAGACTAAAGATTTATATTTGTTTCTATATCAATAGACCTATTAAACTCTAGAAGACTAAACACTAGTAGTTTGGACTACTAATCCAAATTCCAACAGCTACTAGACTCTCACCCTAAAAGAAAATATGACAAGAAAGAGTGTGTGATTACCCGCTTACCCTTTGCTATCTACAGGGAGAATTGTACTTTCAACATCTGCACAGCATGGATGGGCCTTAGTTGATTTTCAGGAAGCCAAAACATACAGCATGGATTCACAGTAATATTTCTAGGAATCTCTATATTTATATGGAGACAAGATCAGATGATTCAAGGAAACTACACAGCTAGCTGTTAAGTTTTTAAAGTTGAATAAAAGTCAGAAATGAAACTAATATCCTCCCTCAAACACTTATATAAATTTTCTTCATATTTCTGAATTCTTTCGCTCTAGTTTTGGAGTAACAGTGTTAGCTATCTCTGTTTCAGGTACAAATATGAAAACAGTAAACTGAATAGAAATCCTTGATTTAAAGAACTCATGCCTGGGTGGGGCATAAACAAAAGGAGAAAAGGTACAGGGAAAAGAAGCTCAAAAGACATTTTGTGCTCCCTGCATTTCCAAGAAGGCTTCCAGCTATGACATCCTGGTGTCCATCCTATCATACTGCTTCTCAAGCTACCTTTGCACTATACATGCAACAAAAAAGATTACTATTTCCTGGTTTCACATAGAAATGTATTTAAATAAGGGACAATCAAAATCTGTTAGGGAAAGAAAATGGTTAATACACAATCTTCCATAAGTGTACTGTCTTCCCTTAGCCTATGGCTTTCCCCTTCTACCATCCAGTCAACTCCCACCGCAGATACAACGTGGTAAGGATGGACAGAAAGAAAATGAGGATGGCTGAGGCTTCTTGTATTTCTTTCCGAACTCTTGTTTTCTATAATACTACTTCTTCCTCTGTCAGCAATGATTATTGAAATGATCATTGGAAGCTGGTAATTCTAAGTTTTAATTATTATTTTATAGCCCTTTAAAACTGCATTACAAGGTATTTACACACTGTGGAAGTAGTTCATCTTAATTTAATTATCCAAAAGCTTTATAAAATCATCAAAAATTTTAAAGAACAGATCCACCAAACATGATTAACTGCTTGCCCAGTATAAGCAAGTCAATGTTTTTGGCAGAGATTTATAATTCACTCCAGTTCAGTAATTAGTAAAAATACATGTAACAATGATTTAACACGATTGCATTATACAGGTAGTCATGCTTGAAAGCAGTACTATGTAAGACATGTATATTTTAATATGGAACATCAAATTACACGTGAATTGCCACCTTTCAAACCAACTTTTCATAAGGTAATTTCTGTTGCATTACAAAAAAATCCAATTTAAAACTGTAACCTGTTATCCAAAATTAATGCAAGTACAACATTTGCTGCTACAGACTGAGTACATGACGTGGCTCCTTTGGCTTTTGTTTGATTTATACTCTCAGCGTTCATAAAAAAGAAACATCTTTTTAAAATCGGCAACAGGGAGGGGGAAATTCAACCATATGCGAGGAAAACACACACCACTAATTTCTAGTCAAGTGTATAACTTGGAGTCATTAAAATATGTAGTCAAGTAAGGTTTTTGAAACAAACTTTGGCTGATTTTCCAGATTTTCCACAGCAGGTGGGTGCTTCATCTGAATTGGTCAACCATCCATAGAAAGCCGCAACAGCAAATCTTATGCGGCCAGCACAACCTAGAAGGGCAGGCGGATATTTTAGGAAGGAAGTTTCCTGTTCTTTGATTTATGCTATTAGCACAGCAAATAACTAAATTTAACAACCATAACTGACTCACCATAGAAATACCATGATTCCTACCCTTTGCCTGAACTCAACTGAGATCAGTCTCTCTAGAAAATAACCTCCCAGGTTCTCAACCTGTCCTCAGGTCTCAGTTCACTGATTTCATTTCAATATAACAAATTTAGTTAGTGCCTTGGAATGCTATGAAATTTAATTATATTTTCATGAAGTTTAGTTACAGGGTTCCTCCCGGTAGCCTATTCTTGCTCTGAAGACAAATTACTTGAAAATAGACCATATAAAAGTCAAATACAAACTCCGATCTGACCAATCCTGCTTCCTCTGCATTGGCTATACCAGTGGTTCTCAACCAGGGATAATCTGCTCCTGAGGGGACATTTGGCAATGCTGGGGACACTTTTTTATTGTCATGGCTGATGGGGGTGTTACTGGCATTTAGTGGGTAGAGATCAGCTAGTGGGTAGAAACCACGGATATTACTAAACATCCTATAACACAAACGAGAGCCCCCGCTCACCCCGCCAAAAATTATCCAGTTCAAAATGTTCATAGTACTGAGGCTGAAAAATCCTGGACTATAAAGATAAGATTGAAGGGTTAATACGTACACCTGGACAACATCAGAAAGCCTGTGCTGTCATGAAGAAAAAAAAGAATGGCTTCCAATACCCATTTTTTCCTGATCTCTGATATGCCAAGAGTAGTTGATTCCAGCCTCGTTTTTTTGAAAAAATATGGCTTAGCCTGCTGAAAAAAAAGTATTGACAAAGTTATATATTATTTTCATAGTTAATATCTACAGCCTTAAAAATATCTATGCACCCCAAAATTATCTCCCCAGGGAAACAACTTTTTGTTCTTTCAGGAATAAAATTACACTTAGATTTTCCAAAAATTCATGTAGAAAGATAAACTTTTAACATATGATGCCTGCTTGTTTGCTTTTTCTTTCTTTCTTTTTTTTTTAAACAATCTGGCAAAAACACAGAGAACAGACAAACCACAGAGTTTATCAAACAGATACACATGGCACTCTGGGTGGCCTGAAAGCCACCAAACTCCACCTCACTCTTGCAAACAGCACTTACTGGGAACCAGGGCTTCGATAAGGAGCCCATGGTCATGCTAATGTGGACAACACAGCCACCCTGAGCCAAGCACATATAAACAGTCCTATCGCCAGATTCCAGCTAAATTTCTCCTAAACAATTTAGGCAACTCCAGAATTTAAAAACAAAAAATTTCCATTAGGTACCTAAATTACTTGTAAAAGTTTTAGGAAATGTTTAGCTTGCTGCCAAATGATAAATGTCCAGGACTGTGGCATTTTATTTCCTAAGATTCCTTAAGTCATTTTGAGGCTTTGCTTTAATACTGTGGTCAAGGCTCTACAACCTTTGATCTTGTTCTGATGGCCTCAAGAGAATGGGTTGTCTTTGGATGTTCTGCCTAGAAAGGAACCTACCAACATACAAAGATTAGAGCCACCACGGACCTGAAAAGTCATTTTGATGTTAACTAGTGTTTCAAATAGGAAGGATAACATGAGCTATCAGTGAAATGCAGGTTGCACTACATAAACCATTGGCAATATTTTACAATCTGGATCCTGAACTTTCTCATGCACTCTGGATTTCAAACATTCTATTCTGAATGGGTGTTGGGAGCCATTCTTTCTTTTTTTATTTTTTAGCAATGGCACAGGTTCCCTGATGTTGCCCAGGTATAAGTATTAGTCCTTAAATCTTATCTCTCTATAATCTATCAACATATATAACATCAAATGTCCCAGAAATTCCAATATTATTACTCTCTAAAACTGCTTCTGCCACACAAATGCATAAAAATTATTTGTTACATAGACTAGGTTGTCCCGATTTTTGGTTCAGAAAAAAAAATTATTATTCCGATCAAAAAGAGATAGATTCCTACAACACATATCCGAAAATTCCGGATGAATTAAAGACCCGAAGGTAAAAAATGAAAATAAATGTGAATATTTATAAAAATCCCACTATTTATACCTCAACCTGGGGTTGAGGAAGAATTTTCTTCACACTGAACTACAGGCATAAAGCATGAACAAAATATTTTATTACATTAAAAAACTTTCTGATCAACAAAATATAAACAAAAGCATAAATAAATGAGAGAAATCCTGCAACAAATAGAAAAGACAAAGGGTTAAGCAACTAAAGAGTAATAGAGCTCTTAGAAATAAAAAAGACAAAGATAAACACCTCAGGGGGAAAATAAGCAAAGATATGAATATGTAATTTGTGGAAATATAATTAGTTGATAAGCATGAAAAAAACTTCAACTTTGCCAGTACTCACAGAAATGCAAATTAAAATAAAGAAAAGGTATGTATTTTCTTCCTATCAGATTGGTGTCAATTCAAAGCGATAATACTCAGTGAGGCTGAAGCTAGTGCCCTAATTGGTAATGGACAATTGGCGTATTAGCCTTTCTGGAGGCAATTTGACTACATTATTGAAATATTTCAAGATCTTTCCTTTGACTCAGCAAGTCTACTTCCAGGATTTGTCCAAAAGAAATAATGAGGATGGTTTCATAAAGATGCAAGAATAATATGTTAAATGCATTGCACATAATCTTTTTGTTAAAAGTGAACAACCAGAGGGCTGAGGGTCTCTGCCTCCATGCCCACGTCTCAAAATTGCTAACTCCTGTTGATTCCACTGTCTGAAGAGCTCTTCTGTGTCTACTTCTTCCTAGTTGCACTGCCATTTCCTAGTTCAGGCCACCATCACCTTTCACTTGGATTACTGCAACAGCTTCCTACATAGCATCCCATCCCTTTCCGGTTTACTCTCCACCTGGCAGGCAGGATGAGATTTTTAAACACAAATCAAATAACCTCCCACTCCTGATAAAGGTCTTCACTGGCCTCCCATAGCCTTATGTCCAACCTCCTTGACACTTATGGAGAGCTACGGTGATTCCAATGCCTGATTACCTTGCCAGTCTCCTCTCCAGACTGCCAACAGATACACTTCTGAAGCTCAAACGGGCCATGATGATCTCTGGGCATGCTGGTGTTCCCTCTCCTAGAACACAGTTCCTCACACTATTCTACCCTTTCCTAACCTATGTTCCTCACATTCTCCAGGGCTCAGCTTAGCAGGAACTTCCTTAGGGTCAATCTCTCCTGCTTCTCCAGCACTTGAGTGAAATGTAGCTCTTAGGCACCCACTGTCCACAGCATCCTGCACTTACCCAAAACCACAGCACTGGCCACATTATGTGGATTTAACTGTGGGTCATCAGTTTACAGGTGTCTCGGGTCACTTCTATCATTGCATGACCTTTTCAGAGAACACAAAAGCCTTTGCATGCCCAATATCTAGGGCTCCTTTCCTTATTCATACACCAAGACTTTTTTGTTCGTTTGTTTTTGAGACAGTCTCACTCTGTCGTTCAGGCTGGAGTGCAGTGGTGCAATCTGGGCTCACTGCAACCTCCGCCTCCTGGGTTCAAGCGATTCTCCTGCCTCCGCCTCCTGAGTAGCTGGGATTACAGGCACCCACCATCATGCCCGGCTAATTTCTGTATTTTTAGTAGAGACAGGTTTCACCATGTTGGCCAAGCTGGTCTCGAACTCCTGACCTCAGGTGATCTGCCCCCCTCAGCCTCCAAGAGAGCTGGGATTACAGACATGAGCCACCACACCTAAATATTCCTCAAGAAACTGGCTAAATAAATTACACATCTATACAATGGATGTGTACTTTACACATCCATCTACACAATGGATGTATACTACACAACCATAAGAAAAAAAATAAAACATTTACTTGGAAAACATCAGGAAATAGTGTAAGGTTAAAAAAAAAAGAAATAAAAATGCTGAACAATATTCTAGTATGCTGCTACAGTGTATGAAAAAGCAGGCATATGAATATATGTGCTGATTCATGAGTCAAATATCTCTCTGGAAGGACACTGGGAAGGGAAACTGAGTGGGTGAAGTCAAAATGGGGAGAAAGGACT
This sequence comes from Homo sapiens, assembly GCF_000001405.40. NCBI lineage: Eukaryota > Metazoa > Chordata > Mammalia > Primates > Hominidae > Homo > Homo sapiens. The sequence continues at coordinate 16,933,470 of NC_000003.12, read as the reverse complement.
TTCCCTGTATAATCTTTTACTGTTTGGCTTTGTTAGTATATTTCATATTTCAATGATAGCTTACTTTGGATTTTTGTTTAACTAAGTAGTCGTAAGCGTTTTAGACAAAACTCTTTAGAGGAGAAACACAAAGGCTAATCTTCCACCACTCCCAAAATGAAACAAAACAAACACCTTACAATTTCCAGTGCTCTTGAACAAGGCTGTGGAGAGGTGGCAGCGGTGTCTTCCCTGCCCGGTGATGGAGCACGTCACAGGGGAGCACTGCTGCCTTCTCTCTCGGGTCTGCTTTGCTCCTCTTTTGCAGTCCTTCACTCAAATTTCCTGAGCAGCAACCACTGTAAAATACTCCGGCTGTCCAATAATACTTAGGTACGTTTCATTTTCTTAGAGGCAATGTGAAACTATGACAGTTTCTTCTCACAAAGTGGTGCTGGAATCAACCTTAAAGGAAAAGCAAAACTACGAATTTCTACAGCCAAGAGTACTAACTACAAATTCTGCTTTTGTGTCCCATAATATTAGAAAATAAATGAATGGATGAACTAAAGAAAAGAAGAAGAAGGAAAAAAGAAAGAAAATCTTCTCCAACAGACTTCTCCTTTTCCTTTGACTTGGAACAGCCATCATGGCAAGACAGAGTGAGGCTGTTTCTTCTTAATCAGTACTGGGCTACAGAGTCCATCTACAACTAATAAGTTGTAATTCATGCCTTAGATCTGTTTTCCCTGCAGCTAAAAGATACGTTCAAGGGAGTAATATGCTCTGGATCTCCTGTATTTTCTAGCACTGATCAGCTACCGTGCATTATCTACCAGCATATGGCTGTAGAGAGAAGGACCTCTCCAAAAAGAGAACTGCAATGGAGAGAGAGAAAATTCAGCAGAAATCCCAAACAAAATATGGTAATTATGAAACATCTTACTTCTTGTCTTATTACCAAGATGAAAATAAATACCTCCAAACAAAACTGCTAAATTTAACTACCAAGATTTTTAAAAGTACACCCTGAATTCAATATTATCTAAGACATGGAAGAGGACTAATGGTACTCCAAAATGCTTAAGTGAGAAGAAAAAAATTCAATCTAATTGTCTTAGGAAAACATCAGATGAAATAATATGCATGTTATTCCCAAACAAAGGATGTTACTAACCTGAAATAAAGATAGATATTGAAAAGTTAGTCCTTGAGACAATGCGTATGCTAACAGCTGATACTACCTAAACCACATAGCAGAATGGTTTTCAAATCCAGGCCTAAGAAATACATATAAATTCAGATTCAACTAAAAATTAAGAGCTATCCTAATTCTGGCAGCCATAACGAATTACCATAGACTGGTAGCTTAAAACAACATAAATTTGTTTCTCACAGTTCTGAAGGCTGGAAGTGTGAGATCAGGGTGCCAGTGTGGTCGGGTTCTGGTGAGGGCCCTCTCCAGGCTGCAGATGGCCACCTTTTCCTTATATCTTCACATGGCAGAAAGACAGTGAGCTAGCTCTCTGGCCTCTTCTTATAAGGGCACTAATCCCATTCATGAGGGCTCCTCCTTCATGACCTAATTATCTCAAATCATCACACTGGGGATTGTATCTCAATGTATGAATTTTGCAGGGATACAAACATGCAATCATAAGTTTATTCTATGTCAGAACTTAGTGTCTTACCTATACAAGATGCTTTCATATCCAACATCTCATCAAGTTCTTAAAATAACCTTGTCAGGGAGGTGTTATTCTCATTGCAAGGGAGAAAACTGAACCTTAAAAAAAGAGACTTGCCTGGGGTCATTCACGTAATAAATGGCAGCAACCGAACTGGAACCTGGACCCTCAGACTCTAAGACCAATGCATGTTCTCTATAAATAATATTTGTGAGGTTTTCTTTTCTATCCCTTAAAGGCAACAGTTGTTAGTTAAACTTCATTTAGACAGAACATTGACAATGCAACCAGGTTATTCTGTCTGCTGATAAAGAAAGTCTCTATTTAAATTGTTTTTATAGGAACAGAACATTTACGTGCTTTTTTTCTAAGGGAGAGGAGAGAATGAAATGGGAAGAGAAAAAGACTAAAATGAGATCAAATACAAATAAGCATTTAATTGTTCCTCTTCTATTTCATACATCTTTTTCTAATTCAAGTCACTTAAATATAGTCAATAGCTTTTGTGCTTACATATGTGCCAGACACGGATCTAAGTACAATCTGGGTTCCTACTCTCAAAGATCTCAGAATGTAGCAGAAGAGCCAGACCTTCAAATAAAATTTTACCACAAAGTTTCATGAGCATTAGAGTTAAAAAAAAAAATAAATGGCAATCCAGAGGAAGAAGTGAATGCATCTTCCTGGGAAGGAGGTTCAGAGAGGAATGGCTTGCCAAGGATGTAGTATTTGGGCTGAGGAATGGGAACTGGCCAGCAGGAAGCATTATCTTCCAAGCAGAAGGCATTGGAGTTACAGATATGGATCCTACCCTACTACCTGCCTTTACAGAGGAAAAAATAGAAGACTGACATGCCTAGAATATCATCTTGGAAAATGGAGTAGTCAAATGTACACGGGAGTTAGCAAAACGGGAGATAAAGATGGTGCCAAGATTTCTTGCTTGTGTCATAAAGAATGTCATTAATGGACATAGGAACTCATGCAGGAGCAGCAGACTTAAGGAGAAAATCATGAATAACATTTGGGACATGCTGGAGTTCAGGTGCTTGTAGGAGAGCTCCACAAAGCATAAGAAAATAAGCGACTTGAGATTAGGAGGGATGATGGGGTTCACAGAACTGAGGAGTCATCCCTTAGGGAGTTTACAGAAGTATCACTTGTTTACTACTCTAGGTTCAATTTCTTAGAGACGAACAGAGGCTGAAGAAGGCTGTATCACAAGAAACAACTCTGATTTGTGGTAAAACCCTAGGAGTTTAAGAAAACAGTACACTACAACTCTTTCATTTATAGCAGTTCTGATCAAAACAGAGATATAATCAGCAAAGGTCCTATTCATACATTGGTTGGACTATAGATCTACAGATAGAATAAATAACAATTAGGAGACTTTCAAACACAGCTGTTCCCAATACTGGTTCTTCCCTGCAGTATTTGAGGGAGGGCCATTGTTTTCTCTCAGCCACAAGTATTTATGAACTTGGAACGCTCCCTCAAATTTGGGTGTTCTTTCATCTACTCGTGAAATCTCGCCTGTCTTTAAAATGAGGGAAACAAAAATATGAACCCATGAGGTTGCTTTCTCAAGTTAAATGGAGAAATAATAAAAAACATACTCTAACCCACATTAAATGTTTTATACTAAGAGAAAAGGGAATAAACTAGGAATCTTTACTGCAGAAGAGCACTGTTCTAGGTTCTGAGACAGAAGCCATGCCAGGCGAATTCTGGCTGCACAATACCACTCTAACTTGAAAGTCACAGGAGTCTTGTGTGTCCTTGGGCAACTCACCTCCCACGATACTTCTCCATGTCTAAAAGAGAGGCCTCTGTCTTCCCAAGACTCTCTGAGAGCCTGTGAGAAGTAACATGCAGGCCTTACTTGGAGGGTCTTGGGAGAAGTCTATAAACAAAGCCCAAAGACCTCAGGGCTACCAATTAGCACAGTATCAAAATGCATGCCAGCTATTCACTAGTTCCTTTGAATGTATGCATGCAGCACCTTCTTCATACTCAAATAGTTCCTATGTCAGGATACAGAGAGAATTCTCCTTTCTTCAAGTTTCAGAAGGACTCAACTTCCCCAGGCCTCCAAGATTTGGAGATGGTGAGAAATCCTCCTGCCCAGTACAGGAGACTGGGAAAGAGGAAAGTTTGCTATTCCTGGTCAGAAAAACAGCACATCAACGGTCAGCAGAAAAGGAGGAGATGCTGGAAGTTCTATCTGTGCACAGAGAAATCAGGAAGAGAGCCAATGGCTGCTGTTCAATAAAGTTAGATTTGGGAGGCTTTCTCTAAAAGTTAAGAATGATTGCAAAGTGAGTTGAGTATGCATTCCAAGCCAACTCCCAGAGTGTCTGATAACTTCACCAGGAAGCTCTGATTCCTGCCCGCCTTCCCAGAAGTCTTTTTGGGAAACCTCTTTTCTTGCCTTTCAGGATTTAAAAATATGTTGTCATTATGGAGAGAAGGTCAAAATGGTCCACTAAACTCTCATTTTCAGGAACCTACAAATCTTAACTCTGGTAGCCTCTATAGGCTCTGAGACAAGTCCTAGTGCAGAGCAGTTTCTTTCCTCCTCCCTGTAGCCCATTCCCTCCTCCCCTCTCTCCCACGATCCTTGGTTTCCTAGTTGTCTCTCACTCCTGTGCTTAGTATCATCATCATCATTTCTGCGCAGGTATCCTCACCGCTCAGAATTACTCTTCTCTATGCTGCGGCTGTGGTGTACGTTCAAAGCCAGCACTCAAATTCCAAGTCTCTTGTGCAGCAATCACCACCACCCCCCTGCCCAATCCCATTCACAACTAACCTTGAGAAAATTCTAAACTCACAGCCTCTACGTTTCACTTCCCACTCACTCTCAAACCATCTGTCCCTCCGCTGAAATGGATTTTTGCCAAGGTCACCCACAACCTCCAAGAAGCAAATTCATGAATGTTTCTGAGTCCTCATGTCATTTGATAATAATAAGGATAGCATCACCGAATATTTACTAAGCATTTCTTATATGCCAAGCATGGTACTCCATACTTCTCATACTTTAGCTAGGCTTCACAACAAGTAGATGAAGTAGGCTTTACAATTATACTGCTTTTATAAATTGAGCCTTTGCAAAGTAATACAACAGGTGACAAATATCACACAACCTGCAAGCTAGGCAGTTAGGATTCAAACTCTAGCTCAGCTCCAGAGCCCAGGCCCTCAACCCTGCAGGTTGCAGCTTCCTCTCTGCAGCATCAGACTGCACCCTTTGCCTGGCTCTGTACTTTCTCCTATGTCCTTCTTGGTCTCTATCTGGGGCTGCTCTTCCTCGGTGCACCCTTAAACATGGATTTCCCCAAGGTTCTACCCTAAGCTTCTCATCCCTGGAGGACTCTCATACAGTCCCTTGCCTCAATTATTATACACAGAAATGCAAAATCGGCCTCTGTAGGCATTCTACTGCCTGGTCTCCCAAACTGGTCTACCTCCACAGATGTCTCAGCTAAAACATGTACAACATGGACTCAGCTCATCTACTCAATGTGAATGAAGTGCCCATTCTGAGATGCTCTCTCAGCCTCTTGGAGGGCCTCCCTCCTAGCACTAACCACATTGTGTTGTAGTTACTGGGTCCATCTGCCTATCCTGTGTATCACCATTGCCTCCCCAGTGCCTAACATAGGAGCTAGCATGCAGTACATGCTCACACAGCAATTATGAAATTAGGTAATGCAGAGCCTTTGGCTGGTCATGTAACCTCCCTAGACCTCAATTTCCTCACCTGGAAAATGAGAGTTGGAGCACAGGAATGGGAGTATGTTCCATCCTGCAAGCTGCCTTTGAAAAACGGGCTGCTGTCAAATAAGCTGAAACATGCTGCATGTTCGCCTCTTGGCAATTCACTTTAGATATCACATTGAAAGCTCTGACAATTTTTTGCTGTTGTCTAAATAAGGGTTTCCCAAACTTATTTGACAACAGAATATTTTCCTGGAGTATCCCAGCCCCTCCAACATGAGTGGTGCTCCATGGAGTGTACACTTTGGCAAACCCCAGATCAGTGGTTCTCATTGTGTGTGGTGGGGGCGGGGGAAACAGGCAGGTAGGGGGAACCCTGCACTACTGACATCTAGTGGGTAGAGCCTACATCCTACAATGCACAGAACAGCCCCCACAACAAATAATTATCAATGCAAAATTGTCAATGGTGCCCAGGCTGAGAAACCCTGTGCTAGACCAACCTTTACAACCAAAGTCCCTTCCAGCTCTTAAACTTCTGATGCCACCAAGCCATAAAAACTTGTTCATGCCCCAGATACAGATAATGGGACATCTCATTTAGAACAAAGACTAAGCAATGATGCATTCCTTTTAAACTAACAAAAAAGGTTTGATCAGAATGTTTGCTAACCATTCTTGCCTATTGTCATATTTGTCTTCTATTGTTTATTTCATTTTTTTTTGTATTTTATTATCAATCTTTTATTTACAACACATTTGTAGCATAATATTATGGAGCAATCACTGGAAAAATATTCACTTTGGTCACTATTAAAAAATTAAAGAGAAATGTGACAGTTTACACCATATTGTGCATCAGGTGTTTTGCAAACATTCTGTGAAGGGTTTACCCAGTTCTTCCGTAAAGAATAACTTAAAGGTAGTGCTAAAAGGGATGACGATTTTGTTTAACATTTCACTTTAGCTATAAAAAAAATTAGTCTGTGTTCAAATTACATTTGCTTCAGGGAAGAAAGAAAAGAAAAATAAATTGCTTTAAATTAAATACATATCAAGGACAAAATGAATAACTAGCAAATAAATATTTTTAATTGATTTTTTTCAGCCACCCACTTCCCGTTCTTCCTTAGCCTTAAAAAAAAATGTGGCCGGGCGCGGTGGCTTACATCTGTAATCCTAGCACTTTGGGAGGCCAAGGCAGGTGGATCACAAGGTCAGGAGACCGAGACCATCCTGGCTAACACAGTGAAACCGTCTCTACTAAAAATACAAAAAATTAGCCAACCATGGTGGCGGGTGCCTGTAGTCTCAGCTACTCGGGAGGCTGAAGCAGGAGAATGGCGTGAATCCAGGAGGCAGAGCCTGCAGTGAGCCAAGATTGCACCACTGCACTCCAGCGTGGGAGACAGAGGGAGACTCTGTCTCAAAAAAAAAAAAGGTTTTGATTATAAATGATTTTGTTTGCTAGATGAAAAATCTGATCACTATATTAAAATAGGCTTTGTCTCTAAGTAGTTTCAGAGAGTATTTTAAGACATTATTTATCTTTCAAAAAATTACATTTAAATAATGACATAACAGTAATAATAATAACAATAGTTAACATTTATTTAGCACTTAGGAAATGCCAGGCAACTGTTTTGCATACATGACCTCATTCTAATACAGGAACATCTAGAGGTAGATACTGTTAATCCCACTTTACAGAGGAGGAAAATGAAGTTTTTCTTCAAGAAAAGGCATTATTCCTCAAAGTGACACTGCTAGGAAGTAGTAAAGCCAGCCCTTGCATCTGTCTGATTCTGGAGCATTTGATTATGAATAATGGGCTTTTTTTGTTTGTTTGAGAGCAACTTAAAGCTGATTAAATAGAAATGTCAATTATCATGAAGAATCAGCAAAAGACTTAATTCTGATGGGCATGGCAGTAATACTCAGAAGCTCTGGTGAGGCTGATCAAAAAAAATAATAATTTTAACTGTTTTCATGCAGACATTCTCCTTGCAAATTGTCAGCATTTGAAACATTTCATTTATAGAAGTATAAGTCAATATGGCCCACTCCTTTTCTTTGTGAACTTGAACTTGTCACCTAAAAGCAAATTGGGCTGCTTTAGAAAACAATCTCACAGTTTTTCAAAAAACTAAATATAGAGTTACCATAGAACCCATCAATTCCACTTCTAGATATATACCCAAAGAGAAATTAAAATATACATCCACACAAAAACTTGTATACTAATGATCATAGCAGCATAGTCCATAATAGCCAAAAGGTAGAAATAACTCACATGTTCTTTAACTGATGAATGGATAAACTGTGGCATATCCATACAATGGAATATTTTTCAGACATAAAAAGGAATGAAGTATTGATACATGCTGCAACATGGATGAACCTTTAAAATATTATGCTAAGTGAAAGAAGCCAGTTGGAAAAGGCCATATATTGTATGATTCCATTTATATAAAATGTTTAGGGAAGGCAAATTCAGAGAGACAGTAATTTAGTGGTTGCCAGGGACTGGGAGTAACTGTGATTGGGCAAGGTATGAAAAGAGACATGAAAGTGTTCTGCAATTAGATAGTGGTAATGGTTGCATAACTATAAATACAATAAAACTAATGGATTGTATGCCCTTAAAAAATAGATTGTATGGTATGAGAATTGCATCTCAAAAAATTAAAAACATTAGATAGCAGCAATAAAGAAAATGAGCAATAGAGCTCATGTTTATAACTTGAACTGGCTAAGATAAATATATGTGCAAACAGAATTTTGGAATTCTAAGTGTACATGCTGGTTAACCATACTGGCCTAAATCATTTTACATTAAAAAAAAAAAAAACCCTGGCCGGGCGCGGTGGCTCACGCCTGTAATCCCAGCACTTTGGGAGGCTGAGGTGGGCGGATCACGAGGTCAGGAGATTGAGACCATCCTGGCTAACATGGTGAAACCCTGTCTCTACTAAAAATACAAAAAATTAGCGGGGCATGATGGCAGGCACCTGTAGTCCCAGCTACACGGGAGGCTGAGGCAGGAGAATGGTGTGAACCCGTGAGGCAGAGGTTGCAGTGAGCCGAGATTGTGCCACTGCACTCCAGCCTGGGTGACAGAGCGAGACTCCATCTCAAAAAAAAAACAAACAAACTTGTATTCTGTAGATTTAAATTCCATACACATGGAATCAAGCTGAATAAAATCTAAAATCCTGACCTAGAGGTATACTCTAATACCTAGTAAAAATCATTGCTTTAAGACTATCGTGGTTATTTGCAATCACTGACTTATACTGAACAATGCTGGTAAACTACCCTCCATGGTGCTGCTGGAAACAGGGCAGTGGCCCTTATAGAGTGAAAGGAGAAATCTATCACTCTGCATTTTCTCTGCCAATGACCTTTAACTGGTATAGTCCAACAGAGAGTGACTGTAGGATATAGAAAAGGTTAACTTGCTAGGGCCGAGTGCATGCTCAGGAAAGACCTGAGATACCCCTAAACTCTCACCTCTGGCTGACCTCCAGGGTCTGTGCAAATAGGAAGTGAAGGCTAAGACAGAGTTGTAAACTGCTGGTTCAGTATTAAAATATGTTTCGACATATACACAGAAGCCAAGTACAAAGACTAGAGTTGTTTCTGGTATTTTGTCCCAGGTGTTTGAGGAAATTTCTGTCAATCACTAACTGACTGCTAAGCTAATGGAACAGAAGCTTCAATGGACATATATGATAAAGAATATAGACTTTATAAAATTAGTATAGAAATGTCACTAACCAAATCAAAAACAACAACTACAATAAGCAGCAACAAACCCTGGGGAGTGGGGGAAATCTCATTTCCAGAGTTGCCACATTATAATATTAAAAATTACAGTTTTCAACAAAACTACATGGTATGCAAAGGGATGAAGTATTGCCCATACACAGGAAAAAAGGCAACTAGTAAAAACTGCCTGAGGAAACCCACACATTGGATGTACTAATCAAAGATTTTTAATCAACCATGTTAAATACACTCAAAGAGCTAAAGGGAATCGTGCACAAAGAACTAAAGGAAATCATGAGAATGATGTCTTACCAAACAGAGAAGATCAACAAATAGATCAAAATGACTTTTTAAAGGGAGCCAAACAGAAATTCTGGAGTTGAGAAGTATAATAACTTAAAAGAAAATTTCACTAGAAGGGCTCAACAGCAGAAGGAATCAGCAAACTTGAAGATAGGTCACTTGAGATTACCCAATCTGAGGAGCAGAAAGAAAAAGAAATGAAGGAAAATGAGTAGTCTAAGAAACTGGTAGGACACCATTAATTATGCCAATATATGCATAATAGGAGTTCCACAATGAAAGGAGAGGAAGGCACAGAAAGAATATTTGAAGAAATAATGGCTGAAAACTCCCCAAATCTGATGACAAATGAAAAATAATGTTTAATTAAGGGTGGTACTAACAGAAGTGGTTATGTGAGTGTATGAAGGTCAAATGAACCAAGCCCCATGCCCCCAGGTGTTTCTGACACAAGAAGAGTGAAAGTCTGAAAGAATAGAATTCCTTATCAATAAAAGTCCATTGAGAGGTGGGCGCTGTGCTAAAGACCCTGAAGAGGGCAAGAGGAAATGGCAGGCAGAAATCCAAGCCTCTGCCTGTGCAACCCTGGCCACTCTCACTGGTCTTCAGCCTTCTGCTGTCATTGCTCTCTTGCTCCTTTTGCAGCTGTGCTGCAACCTCCCTCGTCTTCCCCTCTCCTCACTGCTAGATCACCTGATGTGATACCTGCCCTCCAGCTAACCAGCTGCCTGCCCCCACCTCCACTCTCAAATCACCAGGGTGGTGAACAGCCACTGTTATGGACTGAGCTCTCCCTTATCCCTCCAACAGGAGACAAAAGACTGAGACCCCTACCCTAGATGTTGTAGAGTCTGAGTCACTCTGGTCAGGTATTCCAACACAAATCACATTTTAATGGCTGGTTGGTGGTTGTGGGGGAGCCGAGCTTATTTTGACACTTAAAAATATTTTATTATACTTAGTGATCTTTTAAATTCATTCTTAGAAAGAGGTTGCTATATTTTAAATATGTATTATAGAGGGGTTATTGTTTTCTCAAATGAATCCTTTTTTTCACCTTTACAGTAAGTATTGATAGGGAAATCAAGGTTTCATATGCACTATTTTGCCTTCAGAAGCTTTTCTGTTTCTCCAAGGTATTAATGGATGCCTTGATGGAGGGTGGGTGAGGGAAGGGTTGTCTTTTATTAAACCCTGTACTTTACCCTCTTTTGAGGTGGTATATTTAGCTGTCTCTAACATTATTTTTTTCTTAATATATTTTTTCTTAATAATATTTTTATTTTTATTACTATGGGCTAGGAAAGTATTCTATGCCCATTCACAGGTAGAGTTTCATTTGCTCATTCCCAATTATGATATTTGGTACAATACTGACAGAAATATCCCATACAGGATATCTTCAACAGCACCTAATATTGTTTCTAAGCCCTCTGTTAAAAATGCATACATGCATAGGAAGAGTATAAATGCATACATGCATAGGAAGAGTACAAATGCATACATGCATAGGAAGACATATTTCCCTAATTTGGCCTCCTCCATAGCTATATATGGTGGAATTACGAGATCTTAGGAATGATTTCTTTTGAGAAAGGAAGTAATCTTTCATGAGAGTTGAGACACAATGCATCAAAGAAAGTTCCATCCAGTTAGAAAAGCATGAAGTGATTTTAAATCTTTAAAGTTACCAATTTTAGACCTTTATAAAATTTCAGAATTGTTTTAAAGCTTTGAGGGAGGTAATATGCTTAAAATAGGTTTGACTTAGCATTCCTATTAAAACTCTAAATCAGAGTGCTGAATTCTGAATACTGAAATTCTTCCTGAATAAGTTTTAACATAACAAAAACTGCAGAGCCAAATTCTTCTAGCAGTAAAGATTCTGCTTCATACGAATTTTAAAAGTTCATAACTATTAAAAAGTATAAATTTTCCTCCTACCCTGACATAGATTAAAAATAGCTTTTGTTGTATCACATTCTTTTTAAATAGTTGCATGCAACTTTTTTCTCTCTTTTTTTGCTCTGCTAAAAATATGTATAACTCAACCAACCTACTAAAATCAAAGAATCTTTAATTTTCTTTTTCCCATAGCTTCCAGTTTCTTGGATGAGATTTTTCCATACAGTTATCTTAATATTTCCTGTGTCCTTACTTAAAGAACAGTTCAATCTGGACCCTTCACAATCAAATTCTTTCTTGATGATTGCCTGATTAATAGAAAGGTGGTGGTTATAAAGATCATGTTAAAATGATTTACACCTGTCTTCAGAAAAAAATTCTGCACTGGTATATGAAAATAAATTAGTGATATTCTGGGAATTTAGAATCTTGTTCCCTCAAAGTCTGCCATACTTCTATTTCACATTGTTGCAATATACAGGGAGCAGTACATCTCCTGTTTTTCTCATTCACATCCTCACCTAGCTTTTGAAGAATGCTGAAGGTCTGTTGAAATAAGATCCCCTTTTAGGAAAATCCAGATACTGTTTTCCTCAAAAGATTATTCTCAGCTCATGTGTTCAATAATCTTACCCTTTCCTAGATACTCTATCAGCTTGCCAAGAATGGATGTGAGATTCACCAATTCACACTTTCTCAAAGTGTCTGGAGCAAGTAAGTCACATTTCCAATACATCAGACCGCCCCAATCCCTTGGTCACGATATTGAAAGCTTTCTTATATGATGAAACAGATGATTAAATTAAAACTAAAATAATCTACTTGACACTAATTATTTGAAAGACTCTTTTCAAAGGCAACCTTATTCTGGAACAGTCCATTTTAAAAATATATGACTAAAATATCTGACTAGCTCTCTCCCTACCATGTAGCATGTATTTGTTGCTATAAACACACTTAAGAAGCTGAGAGCTTTGCTCCATGCCCTTAGGAAAACTTACCATATGAGCTAGGCCCACAAATAAAATAAAACTTGTAATGTTTAAAGATGCTTTTCAGTCAAAATGTTAAGCACCTTTTCAAAAAATGGCCTTAATCTGTTTTGTTCATCTGCATAAAATTCCTAATTCAAACTTTCATTGAAATGAGAAATAATTTTAATGGCCATTACCACACCAAACTTCCTTTAAAGGACAAAAATAAAGGAAAGCTATAAATGTGGAATTACCAAAACACATTTATAGATTATGATTTGGTGCGAGAAATTAGTATTCAAACTGTTTTCTTGTATTCTCACGTAGTAGTGGTTGTAATACAGTGGTTATCAATCCAATAAAATCCTATTTATTCACAGTATTTGAGGAACTGAGTGGCCTATGGTTAAATGAGAAGAAAATATAGTTTTAAAATGAATTAAAACACCATACAAGCATTTTCACTCCTGCATTCTTTAAGTATGCCCTCCCTAAAGGCCCTCTCCATCCTCATCAATAGCCATGCTAGTGTGTAATAGCCACTCACAGGGCTCAAAGCACTTGCTCTCGTTATCTCTCGCCCTAATTTATATATCTGCTTTTAAATTTTTGGTTGACCTTTCCAGTTCAGATTCTCAATAAGTGAGAATTTATCATATAATCATAGTAAGCAATAAAATTAACTTTTATAAATTAACTTTAAATATTTATGTGGAATACCCTTGAGAATTATACAATACTAATAATGCCTTATTATATCATCTATAAAAGAAAAATATATAAAGATTAAGATCATATCTAATAAATATAATTTTAAAAAGTTAAATGATATTCTAAAGCCACTCAAATCAGTAAATAATATCCTCTGTTGCCTTCTAAAGAGGCTGTTCCAGAATCTGGAATCCATGATCAAGTGACTCAAGTACCTATTGTTCCATTTACATGCAACAGTGTGGAAGATGCTTCAGAGGTCAAAGTAACTCAACTACAAACACAAACAGTACCATTAACAAAATATTATGGAAAAATAATTTCAATTTGTGTAAAAACACACAGGATATTTGCCTCACTGATTTCTACTCTCAGAGGCAGTCAGGAAAATAAAATTGGGGTTGACAAGATTATACTCTGGTGATTAAGTTTTAGACAGATGCCATATATGTGGTATATATATGGATATTCATTATTCTATAATTTGCCTGAGTGAATTTTCAATTGCTTTGTTAATTCTGACCCCACAGCTTACAGAAAATACCATTTCAGAAGTCCATGTTCACAGAATCTTTGCAATGAGGATTCCCAAGAAGAACACTTATGCATGTGCCAATACCTCAGGTGACTCTTCCTCACTTTGAGGGAAGCACCTCCAAGAAAACAGGTGTCCCCTCAACCAGACTCCAAAAAAGGCCAGTCATAAGGAGTATACTTTTTCTGTAGGCCAACTATATAGGCTGCAGAATTCACAAGCTAGTGGAAGGCTAAATATTAAAGAGCTAAGCACACAACTTTAAAAGTCAGAAAAATAGCAAAAAGAATAAACCCAAAGAAAGAAAAAGTAAAGAAATAAGGATAATGGAAATAATAAAGATAACATCAGAAATTAATGAAACCGAAAAGGGATACAATAGAACAATACATAAAATCAACAAAGCCACAAATTAATGCTTAAAAAGATTATGAAACTGATAAATCTCTGGCATACCTGATCAGTAAAAAAGGACAAACAATTCTAGTAAGGAAAAGAGGAACAAAACTACATATGCAGTGGGTTGTAAAAAGGCGAGATAATTTGATGAACATTATGCTAATAAATTTGAAAATGTAGGCGAAATGGACAAATTCCTAATACCTTATAACTAAATAGTACAAAAATAATGCAGTGCCTAGACTTCAAACTAGCTAGTATATAAAGGCACTATTAAACTCAGAAGAACAAGTTTCAGAAATTCAACTGTACTATTTCCTATTAAATTATTATTTAGTAATTTAAATTTTGGCTCCAAATGAGTGAATTCAGTTTTTTGGTTCAAACAAATAAAACTAAAAATTTTAATTAAACTATTTCACAACGAAGTATTATGGTTAACAACTGCTCTAAGTTTAAGAATGATGTCCATATATTTTTAAATAATTTATTTAATCCAGAGTTTTCCTGAAGTACTTCTATTTAACTTTTGGGATTAGTGGATACAAGTTTATACATGCTGTCAAGTGTAAAGTGATTAGGATTTATTAACTTTCTGAAACTTAGCTGAATGACCTTTGTACTCCTATATTTAACATTAACTTTGACTGCTTTATTCCAGTGCTATGTGAGCACAAAGAGCAACAAAATCAAAGAATTATATAACTAGGTGAGGTTTCAGCCCTTTATAGATGAAGAAACTGAGACCCAGCAAAGTCAAGTCCTTGCCCAGGTCATTATACTGGCTTAGCCTTTTTCCTTCAACACATAAAGTTATGGTAATTCTACATCCTGTGGAACATAATTCTTTCCCATCACCTTAACTATTACGGTAATATGAAGCTATTGTTCAAACCCCAAAATGCATCTCTCTGTGGCATACTATTTAGAGCCAGTATAGCCATTAACATTAGGGGACTTTCCATACATTGCATAAAGAGACTATTTTCCTATTTGGTTCCCAGACTCACCTATTATTCTTTGAAATTAATTGCATTTTCATACATAAAAATCTATCATAAATAGGAGAAAAGGAGGAAATCGCTTTATCACTGAGACACAAATTGAATTTTGTGATTAATAGTTAAAGTCTTCTCTGTCATAAATATATAATTTTTCAATAACCAGCTACTTAAAAAATGAGATTTTCATATAAAGCACAAAAACTATCTATTGTTTTAACATCTCTCTCCTTTTGTCTTCCTGGTTTAAATGCCTTGCTGACTGTAAAGTTCACAGTGATAATCTGTTCTTCCTTATAATAACCTGGCACAATCTTACAGCCTTACTTTAGTTTCTCAGATTAAGGGTATGAACCAAGACTGTGTTGAACAGTGCTCCTTTGATTCAGTCATGCAAAAGTTATCTGTCAGATGGTAATATACATAGGTAAAAAGGGGGATATTCACGTACTCATCCAAATTTTTTCTACATAATATCAAATTTTCAAATAATGAGACATTTGAATGATTCACATAAGAAAATAGAAGTCTGGCATTATGGAATCAAAACATCAAGATGACTGAGTTTCCCTTTTGCATAAGTTCCCAAGATGACCACCACAATATTGCATCCTACATGATCCTCTTCAGTGTGCACCTGCCACTCCCCCACCAAGGAGTGGGGTCTCATTTCCATCTCTCTGAATCAGTGCTGGTCTATGAATCACTTGTAACTAAAAGAATGCAGTCAAAGTGACTCAGTGTAACTTCTAAGCTTAGGTCAGAAGAGGCCATGCAGCTTTTATCTAGTTCTCCTGGGAGGCTTACTCTGGGGAACATCCAACTATCTGGAACTATCATGAGTGGAGAGGCTACACATAGACACTCTGGCTGACACTCTCAGCTGAGCCCAACAGTCCTGCTATCCCTGCAAAGGTACCCAACATGTGAGTATGGAAGCCATCCTGGAAGTGAACCCTCCAGCTTCTAGTCATCAGAATCCCCACAGCTAGTTGAAGCCCCAGACATCAGAGAGCAGAGACAAGACATTTCTGATGTGTCCTGTTCAAACTGTCAACCCACAGAATTCATGATCATAATAAAATGGTCACTGTTCTATGCCACTAAGTTTGAGGTGGTTTGTTATATAGTTTGTAGGTAACCAAATGAGCATGTTTTGACCTAAAACAAAAGCTGTTAAGACTCTACATTACTGCTGAACCTAGTAATAGGACTAATTATTCTAATTTATTGGTTAGGTAACCAGATAGCCCAGAAAGCTAAAAAGATCCTTCAGACATGACTCTAATTGAAAGGAAGAGGAATACACTGTTACACAGAGGATGTGTGTCCTTAACAAAATGGGACCGTGTCCTATGTACATCCGGATGTGAAGGACAGAAAGGGGCTAAGTACCAGGAAAAGGCTGGGCCAGGGAAGGAAGAGCCTTTTATAGCATAGCTATCTCATTCTCCAGTTACTGCCAGGCAACCTACTGAGGAAACTATGAGTCTCCCAGGGGCTCGTACGACAAAGAACACAGGCAAGGGGAGGTGGGGAGATAAAGAACACATAAGTTGTTCCTCCACCCTTTGAGGTACAGGATGACACATGGATAATGTACGATCACAAAAGAGAGAAGGAAGCCAAAGATATAAGTAACCATACAGCCTTGAATACCAAAGAGGAAAAATCAAGGATTTTAACTATCTTTATCTTTTATCTTTCAAAATTCTGTAATATATTTATGGTTTAGGTCTCTTTAAGTAATTGATATCAAAGTAATTGTAAATGTTCATCATCAATTATTTGGACTTTTCCTCTTAATTAAAAAGATCATAGCATTATATGAAGCACACTCATTTGATGCCACAATGCCACTGATTCTTTACATGGATGGTATTAATTTACTTCTTTTAGAATATTTTCTTTGACATACTGGGTGCTCTTGGCAGAAAGTTATTCCTGGAGTTTTGGCAATATTGAACTCAAATGCCAAGCTCCAGAATATATTTTTTCCATCAGAAATAATTTAAGGAGAAGCTACTTCCCACCTGACCATTCCTCTATGCTATGGGCCATTTTCTTATTTTCCTTCTTTAATGCTGGAGGGAGGATACTCTCAGTAGATGCAGGGACTAATTCACTACAGAAACCCATCTGCCTCAGTGAAACCTATAACCCAACAAAGGATGTTATATTTTTTTAAACAAAATAAGTGAGAAACTACCAGCTCAAAAGCAACATATTTGGATAGTCATTGTTTTAAGGGGCTGAATAGTCTTATATTTCACATTCCACATTCTTCCCCAAACCTCTGTTCCACAGTGTGGCAGGTTTACTGAGTCAACTGTACCGTGCTGGTGCTATAATATTAAAGTCGGCTGTCGTCTGCAACAAGCGAAGGAAAAACTTTTAGTCAGATGAAAACACAGAATGCTTTTTAAGATTATGGGCCCTTACTAAGCATGCTTTGATTTAATTAATTATGAATAATGGAAACCTTAGCAGGCTGTGTTACATGCTCGTGAATCACCTCCTGAGGTGTGAGCGAGTTGAGCCTGGACTTTCTTCATGTTATTTATTGCATTCCCTGCTTCTGAAATGTAAGCTGAATGAGGCGTCCCTCCTTCTCTCTCTATCCTTTCCTTCTACTTCTCTCTCCTTTCACAAAGCTGTTAGTGGTGGATGGGAAGGCAAAGCAGAAGCATTGTCCTTTTCCCTATGTGAAACCTGGCCTGACCCAAATAATGTCAAAATAACCTTTTAAGAAACAAAGTTTCCCATAGTTCAGTTGATGAATTTGGAAGGAAAAACTGCATAAACAGAATAAATCAATGAGAAGTAGTTTCCTAATGACAGAGATGAAACACTATCTGAATAAGAAGAGGAAAAAAATAATAAAATTAAAAGGAAAAATATGAGAGCAGCAAAGAAACCTACCTATACTACAAAAAAATATATCTAAACCACAGGGAAGTAACTGTTGCCAGTGCCAAGAAAACCCATGAATTATGGAGCATGAATAACTATAACAGGAAATATACACTGAAAAATTTCAAAGATTCTAACAGTAAATATATGCCAGCTTTTTCTATTTCATGGTTTGGCTAAATATCAGTGTACAGTGAATGTGTGTATATTAGTACCCAGAATCTCTCACCTTAAAAATAAAAAAGACTGCAAGGTAAATAAATAAATAGGCAAGGTGAGAATAAATATAAAAATTTCAATGACGTCTGAAGCAACTTCTAGACCTTTATCAAAAGCATGAACCTCATAGCGAGAAGAATGTTCACTAATGTTATGCATTGCTCAGCTTATGTTAATTTTGTTTTACCACATTATAAAAGATATGTTTTAATTGATTTGTTCCAACATCCGTCTACTAAGACAGCTTTAAAGCAGATCAAATCTTCATTTCCTTAAACTCAAAAGTATTGTCTTTCAATTTATACAAATATTTTAGGCCAGAGGCAGTGGCTCATGCCTATAATCCCAGCACTTTGGGTAGCTGAGGTGGAAGGATCACTTGAGGATAGGTGTTCAAGACCAGCCTGGGCAACACTGCAAGATCTCTTGTCTACAGAAAAATTTAAAAATTAGCTGGACATTGTGGCATTTGACTGTATGTCTCAGCAACTCAGGAGGCTGAGGAGGGAGGGTCACTTGAGTCTAGGAGGCTGAGGCTGCTATGTTCATGCCACTGCACTCCAGCCTGGGTGACAGAGTGAGACCCTGTCTCTAAAAACAATAAAAAATACATAAAATAAATAAAGAAATATTTTATGAATTAATCTTTAAATCACACATACCCCCTAAATCCTGTAACAAGAAGACGCTAACAAATTCTATACAAATTTTTAATCATTCATTTTAACTTCATGAAAACCAAAGTTTACCAAATCTACGCAAAAAGATAGATACCTACATATTTTAATACAATGAAATTGGACCACCAAGAGAAAAAAAAAAACCTGGAAATTTAAATTCAGTTTATCATGTAAGAACACTTATATTTTAATTTATAAGCTGAGAATCCAATTCAACATACTAATTTTAATGACAGATGAATTTGAGAAATACATCTTTTGAAAACTTTCTTTCTTTTAGAAAACTTGACAACTTTCTTATGATCTTTCTCTTAGATCATATTAGTGTTTAAGACAATTAAATTGAATATGTTGCTCCCTAATTCCTCCACTCACTGTTCTATATATTTCTCCACATATAAAACTCACTGTATTATCCTCATGAAAACTTTATAGACTATATTAAGATCTATGTTAGAGTTACCTTAATTTTCTCTCCAACTACTTTCTCTCTCCACAACTCATAACTAAAGCACTTCTCATAAGTAATGGCATACACTGAAAGTCCCAAATTAAGAAGAAAGAAAAAGATCAACACTGGCTAAACACAACTGAATTGCATTTTAGAGCCACAAATTTAAAACATTATGACAACACATAGCATGGCTGCTAAAGGGCCCCAGGATCAGAGAATCTGGCAAGTCATATATCACAGGGTGTTGAAGAAAACATTTTTAAAAGAAACACATTATAGTGGGTGTTACATTAATGCTACAGTCCCTGTATTTCGATAATCTGAAATAAGGGTCTCCCTTTTATTCATAATAGGAGCAAAATTTACAGGCAGATCTTTCTTCCATAAAATCATTAATTTCTAAATCTAGCACCCCCAGTGTTCTATTCAAAATTATTATGAAGATCTTTTTAGCAATACACTGTCACAAAAATAATGACTACATGACAGCTATTTTTTACATATATACACATACATAAATATATTTATATATTCATATTCTATTCAGTAATTGGACTTCATTTCTCTTTCTCAAAACAAGGTCATTTCACAAAATCTTTGACTAAATGTAAATATTTGTTTTTCTTAAAATTTAAATCTATAATTTAAAATGATATAATTTGAGGTAAACATATCAGAAGGCAGTCAACCATTAAAATATTAATTCGTTTGCTTACTAATCATAACAGAATCCCAGCAATAATCTGAAAATATAATTGAGAAAAATTTTACACCACACCTTACATCATTAGG
This sequence comes from Homo sapiens, assembly GCF_000001405.40. Classification (NCBI taxonomy): domain Eukaryota; kingdom Metazoa; phylum Chordata; class Mammalia; order Primates; family Hominidae; genus Homo; species Homo sapiens. Next base: position 16,913,420 of record NC_000003.12, on the reverse strand, counting down.
TAGTGATCCTCTTTCTAAATGAAAATTAGTAAACCCACAGAAGAGTCTTACTAGATAAAAGATACAGGGCACACCTACAACCAAATTTCCAGCGAATGGGTAAGAAAAGTCCCTAGAGGAAAGCTGGGCTTGCTAACCAAAAGGAGAGGGAGAGTAATTCTGGAATAGGGTACAGATTACAAGACTACAAGAGAGGTGAAGTAATGTCAGTTTGCGAGGCCCAGTCTGGCCAAGACGGAGGTTGGTGAGAAGCAGAAGAAGATGCTAGAGTAGTACTGATGATACATGGGAGGTCCTGGAAACCAAGAGGAAGGTTAGGGCTTCAGCCTCAGAGCAAAGGGTATCATAGAACATGTTGAGAGAATTTCACAAAGTAGTGCTGTAGGAGAACTAATCTGGAAACTGTGAAAAAGGATTTGGGGGAAAGGGAGAAGAACAGAAGGAAGGGAGGTTAATTCTTGTAATTATCTAAGCATGTGTTGGAGACAGGAGCCTGGTACCAGCATCAGAAACAATGGGACAGATGTGGGGGATGATGAGAATACAGTCAGCTGGTGGGAGGAGGCCATCTTCCAACACCAATGTCTCAAAAAGCGTTTTGTTCCATTGGCTGGTTTGGTTGGAAAGTGCATTATTTATAGATCTAACATGAATTTATCTCACAGTCAACAGCAATTCAGAATTGTGCATTAATATTTTTTAAAGCAAAGAAAACAGTCAAAGAAAGCAGAATAATTCAGTGGAGAGAGCACCTGGTCTCACAGTCAGAAGCCCACAAATCTATTTCTGGCTTTTTGAGCAATGTTGCTCATCACCTTGCACAACTGAATCAGTCTCAGTTCCCTTCAAAGAAAAATGGTAAAGCAAACTAATATGACTGTTGAAGTGTTACAAGGGCAGAAACAAACTCAAATCTTTGAAAGTGCTTGAAGTAAAACCACTATACACATGTTAAACCACTAACAAGTAATATTTTCTAAATATACCACATGGACCTTCAATTTTGTCCAACTATATACATTCTTTCTTTTGATAAGGACACAGATGTCCAAACACATGAATACCAAAATTCACCATTCTACCTACTTGTTTCATCCTTCCATGTCAGTTTTGCTTCTAAGGTTAAAGACCAATCACAATCTTGATAAAATTTTGAAACACTATTTGGCTATTTAAAAAAAAAAACTGACGTGAAGTATTTCCATAAATTCAAACCCAGATCAAATATTTTAAAACAAAAATAATTTAATGGTTGCATTAAACCACTGGGGAGGGTGACTATGAGGCAAGGCATCCATATACTACTACATATTAAGTATCCCTTCTCTGGAATGCTTGGAACCAGAAGCGTTTCAGATTTTTTTGGGATTTTGGAATATTTGCATATACCTAATGAGACATCTTAGGGATAGAATCCAAGTCTATACAAGAAATTCATTTATGTTTCATATACATCTTATACATATAGCCTGAAGGTAATTTTATACAATATTGTTAATAATTTTGTGTACGAAACAAAGTTTATGTACACTGAAAGCAAAGGTGCTGTTAGGGTATGGAATTTTCCACTTGTGGTATCATGTTGGTACCCAAAAAGTTTCAGATTTTGGAACATTTTGGATATTTGAATTACAGATGCTCAGCCTGTATTCATGAAAACAAAGGGACAAATAAATGATCATTTGTATTTTGCATGAAAATTGATTATCAGGAACACCTAAAAATAACTAGAGACAGTTCAGGTTTCCTCTTCACCATTTGAGTTGTGACTGCATGAACTCTGGGAGTCCAGCACCTTTGTATGACAAAAGTGAAGCTTATAGATGATTAGCTAATTGGGAAAGGAGGCACTGAACTCCTCTTTCTTAAAGATCTGGGTTTGTTCCAAAGAAAATATAATCTAATATATGAGTTAGATTCAGATTTCCTAGAACTAGGGAGACAAACTAAGTAAATTCTAAAGATACTCTGGAGTATTCTTTGTCTGCTCCTTAGTTTTAAATAGTGTCCCTACTCTCCCACTAAGCTATGATATTAAAATAAAAATAACTTTGCAAATATAAAATTAAGAATATATTAATGCAAAACTATGGAGAAAACTTTGGAGCCTGACAGACCTGTATTCAAATCAGAGCTGTGCTCATTACTTTTTTTTTTTTTTTTTTTTTGAGACAGAGTCTTGCTCTGTGGCCCAGGCTGGAATACAGTGGCGCTATCTCGGCTCACTACAACCTCCGCCCCCCGGGTTCAAGTGATTCTCCTGCCTCAGCCTCCGGAGTAGCTGGGATTATAGGCACATGCCACCACGCCCAGCTAATTTTTGTATTTTGGGTTGAGATGGGGTTTCACCATGTTGGCCAGGTTGGTCTCGAACTCCTGGCCTCAAGTGATCCACCCACCTTCGCCTCCCAAAGTGCTGGGATTACAGGGTGAGCCACCGTGCCTGGCCCCATTACAAATTCTACATTGGGAATAATACTTACAGCACACTATCACTAGTTATATCTCGAAGATAAAACCAAAGTGTTTGTTGATAGACTTGATGTAGTACATGAGATAAGAAAGGAGTCAAGGATGACTCCAAGGCCTGAGCAACTGAAAGGATATTATCAAACTAAGAAAGAAGGCTACAGATGGAGCAGGCTGGGTGGGGAAAAGGGGGGGTTGTGTTTCAGATATGAAAAGTGAAAGATCTAGTAGGATATAGTGGAAAAATCTAGTAGGACATATATGCTTGGATCATAGAAGAGAGTCGGGGTAGAGATGTATATTTGGGAGTGGTTGGCATATAAATGACACTTAAAGCCACAAGACGGGATGAGAATATCAGGATAGTGTGAACAGATAGAAAGAAGGCTGGGATCACTCCAATGCTGCAAGCAAACAGAAGAGAAGCAAACAGAAAAGGGGACTGAAAAGACTGATGCGTGAGACAGGAGGAGAACTGGGAGAGTAGGGAGCCCTGGAAGCCAAGCGAAGTAAGTGTGCCAAGAAGGGGAATGATCAGCCATGCCAAACACTACTGACGGGTGAAGTAAGGGGAGGACTGCAAACTGACTTGAGGGATTTAGGAACTTGGAGGGTATTGGTGACCTTGACAAGAGTGGCTTTGGAGAAAAGTGACAGTGAGGACCTGAAGGGAGCAGCTTTAAAAAAAAACAGGAGCAAGGAATTGAAGACAGTGAGCACTGACAACTCTTCAAATTGTTTTTGCTGCAAAGGGGGCAAAGAAATTGTGCAGTAGCCAGCAGGAGAAGTTGCAACAAGAAAATATGAAAGAAATCTCAGAATGTTTGATGCTGATGGGAATAATCCAGTAGAGAGTGAAAACTGGTGCTACAGGAGAGGTGGGGAGAGCTGCTTATGAATTAGCTGAGGAGGGAAGAAGGATTGAGATCTTTTGTGTGGATGGAGAGATCAGCTTTGGGCAGGATCCAGGCGAGTTCATCTTGGTAAGGTGACAGAAGGCAGAATCTGTGTGTGTGATGTGATCATAGTGGGCCATAGCCAAATAACAATAATGGTAATCAGTCAGACCAATATTGTTTCCTAGGAATGGGAAGGGAAGAGCCTTTAACGTAGGAAGAAACCATCCCGATCTTTAAATTTCTGAATTATTCAAAAAAGATGGCGTTTAAGCTAATGGAGGTTGTTTTAAACCAAAAAAGACAGAATTATTTTTGATATCTCTCTGGCTTTTGCTGAACAGAAATAGGACTCCAGAGAAATATTATATCAGTTATAGAATAGAAAGGAAGTTACAGAATATATTAATAAAAGAATATCTGGGTTGCAGTGTGCAAATTTCAATCCCAGGACACATACAAGTTAATATTCTTGTTCCCAATCCTCTTGATACCTTAGTCATTATCTGCTTAGTGTACCTTAAATCAATGATCCTGAAATATATTTAATAAGAAAACACTAATAGTAAAAATAGCGATATCTAAAACCATTGGGTGCTTTGGTGTGCCAAACCCTGTGCTAAATGTAATAGATTCACTCTCATTTAATCAGCACAGCAGTCCTCTGTAGGAACACTATTATTATTTCCTTTTCCTAGATGAGGAAGCTACAAGAAGATATGCAATCTGCTCAACAAACAGTAAGTGGCAGAGCTAAAATTTGAACACAGGTCCTTGCTATTAAGTAACAGCAAAAACCTGTATATTGAGAGTGTACATTTTAAGTTACCACACCAAGAACTGAAACTCAAAACAAGGATAACAATTTCAAATATTTTAAATGTACTAGAAAAAACATTAAAACACTGCTCTCTTGAATAAGCAAAATATTTCTTTTACATATGTGCAGCAGGCAGATAACATAAGCTCTTCTATATTACTCCTGAGACACACTGATAACCATGGTCTGCCCTCTGGGATGTCATCATATACTAACACTACTTTTATAATACGGGAAAAAATAGAAAGAAGGCTGAAGCATACTTTGTTCCAGATATCTAGTTAACTTAAGATGTCACGATGCTTCTCACATACTACCATAATTTTCCAAATTACACATCTTCAGAAAATAAATGTATGTTGATACATTATATATTTCCAATAGTCTCTACTCATATCACACTTTTATTAATTTCATCTTCATCTGAATAAACAAGCTATTTTTAAGCCCAGCACCAAAAATGTATAATAAACCACCTGGAACACAGCCTCAATCCCCAACACCCCAACCTGAGCTGCCCACCTCCCAGACTGCCAACCTTTGTCACTCCACCAAACATGCTGTGCTGTGCATTCACGGGTCCCGGCTTATGCTGTTCCCTGTGCCTGAAGATTATCCACCACCTCCCCCAAGCAGTGGATGTGGTGGGTGCCCTGTCCAAATCCCTGCAACTGCCCTTAGTGTTAGCTACTAATAGCTCTCAGCTAATCCAGGGATGTTATATCCTCCTGCCCACAGACAATGAGGAACTGACTAGGGTACATTAAAAGAAAAAAGAGACACGTCAACCATTGAAACGTATGGGATCTTAACTGGACCCTAAATTAAACAAACTAATTTTTTTAAAGCTATGCCTCTTAAAAATAATTGGAACACTGTTGATAGTTGATGATATTGAGGAATTATTATTATTTTACAGATATAATAATATTGTGGATGGTAAAAATATGTTTATGGATAATACGGTGTCTGGAATTTGCTTTAAAATAACACAGGATGGGGATAAGTGGATAGGAATGCAGAGGAAACAATATTAGCCATGAGCTGATAACTGCTGAAGGTGGGAGATGGGTATATAAGAGTTTATCATACTATTCTCTCTATTTGTGTCCATTTCCCATAATAAAAAGTTTAAATAGAGAGACAGAAAACCCACGAAAGGGAGGTAGGGAGTCAAACATACAATAGGAATGACAAACAGTATCAAATCAGCCCACACAGTATTTTCACTTATATTTGCTTAAACATCATCTGGAATAAAATATTGACATGAATACATATCATTGGAATAAAAAAAAATTAAAGATTCATTTAACTTGTTTTGAAATAAAACAAATTGAATACAATGAAATGAATTGATATTTATTTCTTTCGTGCAGTCATTATGAAGGCAGGTAAAGCAAACAACCAAATTCTACTTCAAGGGCACAACTCCTGAAGTAAATCTAGACTTTTGTTATGCTGTACGTTAATACCAAAAAAAAAATTGCTAATAATTATTGAAAGCTGTGCTTTACTTGCATGACTTCAATTAATTCTCTCAAAAACCCAATGAAACTAATCTCATCATTATATACATTTTAGAGATAAGGAAACTAAGGCCAATAGGTGACCCCCCAGTCTGACTCACACCAGCCAGCTTACTCCAAAGCCTAAGCCCCTAATGGAGTGCTCTGGGGAACTGGGCATCATAATGCCCTAACACCTTAGCACAGAGTTAACAAAGCAACAGCATTTGGGCAAGGAGTCCTGAATAGTGGTAGGTGCTCCAAGCATCTGACTAATAAAATGTGTGGCTGACCCAACACTGGTATCACTGGGCTGCCTTTCTGGTGGTTATGGTTTCTGTTATCTGTGCACACAAATCACAGGCTTGTCTGGTTAACATTCAGTCCTATAAAGTTGTGTTGTTCCTAGGTGATAAGCCTACCCAAGAACTAAATTCATAATCTAGCCCCTTTTGTAACAAAATGAACAAATAAGTGGCTATTTTTTTAGACTATCATGAAAAACACCGGAAAGTTTAAACTATAAACTGACAAATTTTGAGGTATAAGTTATTAGTAAAACCTCCAATCTCAAAATTTCCTTTCATGAAACAGGGCTTAAATTAAATATATAAGTAGAAAGGAGGATGATAAGACACTAAAAACTAAACGAACATGGTCAAACTCATTTTCAGATAACAGCTTGCAAAAATAATTTATCTGAGTTGCTAAAGAAAGGAAACAGGATTCAGAAGTTATAAGAATGATCTCTTAAACTCTGCAACTCAGCGGGGAAAAAACACCTTCCAAGTTACCACAGGGCCTTCCCCAAGTCTGCAACCACATGGCTGTGTTTTAGACTGGGTGGAGCACAGAGTAAACAAACAGTTTCTATTTTTAGCATGTTTTTCCTGGCCACTCTGAAATTTCCTAGTCACAAATTATTGCCTGTTATCTTTTAAAATAGATTTTTACTCAAAGAATTCATAGAAAACTTCTCAGAATCAGGAAAAGACATACAAGTTATTACATAAAACTAATTTATGAAGCTTTATTTTAGAAAATAATTTATTATGTAAAAAGTATTACATATATTCACAAAATAAACTGGAAAGAATGCTTAAAATATTTTTCATTGCAAATACACTCAGAAGAGTAAATCTTTTCAAACTCTGTAGAATATTCATTACTGATATTAATACAGTAAAATTTTAGTTTTAAAAACTGAAATTTGATTAAAATTTTGAAAATTATTATCTTTGCAAAAATTAACAATACAAGAAATCTATATCAAAAATATAAGTTCCACATTAACGAATTCAAAATTGTTTCTTTGAAATGTAAATTAATAATATGCTTAATGCCTTCTCTCAACTTTATTCAAAAATAATAGATTGAGAGTAAAAAGAACATATTCGCTTGTATATTCCACATCTTCCTTATACATTTTAGAAAAAAAATCAAGAGATGATCTGCACACCTCAGGGCCAACTTATTCACTGGGTACAACAGGCACAATGCTTACAGCCCCACAATATTTTTAGGGGCTCACACAAATGTTTTAATTTCTTTTAAAATCAGAAGGGAAAAAAGGACCTTTAGCTCAGATAAAACGTTTTAATATATAATATTAACAGATCTGACCAACACAGTCATAAAATATAATTTTCAATTTTTTTTTTTTATGGAGGAAGGAGCCTACAAAGGAAAAGGGCCTGAAAGTCATTAATGCAGTCCTGCTGCATATAAAGTCCTCCCTAGCCCAAAAGCCTCTCCAGGTGGATCTGGATTATTCTTGCCAAAGCAGAAGATGGTTAATGGTGCCCTGGCTGGGCCTGGAGAGTTATGGGCACTCATCAACACCTACTCCATTTTCAGGGCCCCTGCCTCCCTCTCAATTACCTCCCTCCAGGCTCACCAAAGATTGGGGTACACAACTAATAGGCTCCCTGTATGCTGTCGCTATTCTGAGGAGGTCTAAACAGTGAGCTAGAGCTGCTGCAACAGCAGAAGCTTGCTCTGAATCAGTTGTTTGGCTGTTTGTTTAATTTCAGATCCCTTTGAAAATTTGATGAAAACCTCTCAGAAACATATGCACATGCCTACAAAATTTTGCAATTAATTTTTTGGTATACAATTTCATCATTGGAAATTTATTTCCTTTACATAGAAAATTTTAAATTTGTGTAAATAATTATACTTCTCACTCTCATTTAAATGCAAAAATCAACTGGCTGCTTTCCAAAAAATTAAAATGAATGTAAATTGCACAGATAAAAAAGAAAGTACATTTTATACTAAAAGAAAATTTCCATTAGAAGGCTGCTATTTTGGTTTGATACAGAGGTTGAAACTGGAGCCTGGTGTTTGACAGCCAATCAGCTTTGACTTCCAGTTTTTCTTTTAAGGATAAAAGACAGAGAGGTAGTACTGAGTGGGGAATCACAGACCACTCTGCCAGGCTAGGATAGCATGTGTAAAGAAGTGTGAAAATCCCCCAAAACCTCTTCTGGTTACATCACTTGCATCACTCGCTGTGCCCACACACCCTGGGGCCTTCTGTGGCAAGGACAGCACCACTGATGCTGTCTGTGTCATGAAGGAGAGGATTCAGTCCACATTTTAATGGGACTGTCACAACAAAAATAATCCTCAAAAGCATTCTCTAGTTTCTCCTGGAGTATACAGGCTTCTGCTTGCAAAAAGACTGCCAGAGCTGTACCATTCCTGTATTAGTCTTTTCCCACGCTGCTATGAAGAAATACCTGAGACTAGATAATTCATAAAAGAAAGAGGTTTAATTGACTCACAGTTCTGCAGGGCTGGGAAGGCCTCAGGAAACTTACAATCATGGCAGAAGGGGAAGCAAACACATTCTTCTTTACATGGCAGCAGCAAGGAGAAGTACAGAGCTAAGGTGAGGGAAAGCCCCTTATAAAACCATCAGATCTCATGAGAACTCACTCACTATCATGAGAACAGCATGGAGGTAACCGCCCCCATGATTCAATTACCTCCCACCAGGTCCCTCCCATGACATGTAGGGATTACGGGAACTACAATTCAAGATGAAATTTGGGTGGGGACACAGCCAAACCATATCAATTCCTGACTGGCCAGCAGATGCACTTGGTTGTCTGCTTCCAGGCTGTGCTTCCAGGATGGCAGCTGGGTAAAAGCATTCCTACTTTTTCAGCAGCATACACATCATGTTGATGGCAAAGCCTTGAATTGAAAGACAGGCCTCATTCAAAGGGCTGAGAGCCACCAAATAAGCCAACCCACCAGTAAACTCCTCCCTGTGAAAACAGTTTTCCCTTTTTTAAAACACAAGCATTCTCTCCACACCCCCGCCACACACACATACCCCAAACCGGTTCTCTAGAAAACCAGTAAACGTAAGTGTTAACAAAATGAACTCCAAAGTTTGCTTTTTTTTTTTGTCAAGATCTCTTGAAAAGGTTAAGGAGTGAAATTCATGTTTCTGACTCTGGCCAAATTGACAACTGTGCGGGCAGTCAACGCATCAAATGTTTTTCAGGATTACTGGCCAGCAGACTTGACAAAACTAAGCAGGGATGTAGAAAGCTCCAAGTTCCCACAACACATGGGACTTTTTTCACCAAAACAGCAAAGCCAGATTAGCTACCCAACATCTAGGTGCTCCTCCTTCACAGGACTAAAGTTTTCTTACCATCACAATGTTAGAGTTCAAAGATATCCATTGCCACTGTACTTCTGAAAAAAGATCACAAAAGCTGAATTTTTTTGATAGTCTCCACATGCACATAATCAACGAAAACTAACATGTGATTGTAATGAAGAATGCCAGTGGGCTCACCCAGGTGCAGGCTGAAGGGACCTGTCTGCCAAAACCTGCTTAAGAATATTAGAAGAAATGTCAGCAACCTTGAGTGTGTATGATACCATGTTCCAGAAACTGCTTCAAACCTTTCCTTCTACACTCAGCCACAAAACCAACCTGATCATTTCCCAAAAATAAAGCTTCACAGGGTTTCTCCAGTTAGGTGTGACTTCTCCCACTTGACCATATAACACATGACTTTGCTGAACCGTTGGGGCTCTGTCCTGTCATACATCTGAGCACCCACTGCTGGGCACATCAGAACTCCTACCGATTCCACACTTTCACTGGCAAGAACCTTGCTGTAAAACCAGCACAGGGGCTTTTGTGCCTTATCATATTGAGCAATGAAAGTAAAATTTAAGGGCAGGAGCTCCAGTGTACTTTGCTTTCTTAGTATTTTTCCAATATAAGAGACAGATATCTGTGACCACATGGCAGGACAGGCCTGTTTCAGTGCCTGTCGAACAGGAACTAAATCAGTTCCATAACATGAAAGTCACCCCCATAGCAACTTACAGACCACGCATAGTATCAATGCATCCTACCCAATATTCGCCTGCAGCAAAATACCTTAGTAACATCTTTGGCATAAAAAATAATTTTTTTCAAATAAACTTCAAAATAACAAGAAAAGTCAATGGGAAAAAATTATTAATCATGGATACCAGGATAAGAACTGATATCCCAGTCTAAAGATGATCACAGTTGAAATTAAACCTTAAAAGAAAATAATTGCTTCACCTGAATACTCCTTTTCAAAATACTTAAAAATCGTCCCTCTCTGGCATGCAAATATGCCCAATTCCTAACTTATAAGACCTTTCCTACGAAAAACAAATGCTTCTGAGCCAGATCCCAATTACATTTGCTTTGTATTTCAAATGAACCAGTGCATGGCAAATGATGGTAAGAGACTCAAAGATTAATGAAGGTTGAGGGTAGAGGCAGACTAACACCTACATACTTGTATGATTCCTTCCAAAGCATGCACATGCGCVCACACACACACACACACACACACACACACGCACTGCATTTTTTTTTTTTTTTTTTTGAGATGGAGTGTAGCTCTGTTTACCAGGCTGGAGTGCAGTGGCATGATCTCAGCTCACTATAACCTCTGCCTCCTGGGTTCAAGCGATTCTCCTGCCTCAGCCTCCTGAGTAGCTGGGATTACAGGCACGCATCACCATGCCCAGCTAACTTTTGTATTTCTAATAGAGACAGGGTTTCACCATGTTGGCCAGGCTGGTCTCAAACCCCTGACCTTCAGTGATCTACCTGCCTTGGCATCCTAAAGTGCTGGGATTACAGGCATGAGCCACCGTGCCTGGCCCCAAAGCATTTTAGAGAGAAAGTTACACTTAAGAGTTAAATCACTTTAATTCAGTTCAGCCCATGTTCTTGCTATAGAAATCATGCACTTGTTTAATTTTAATAGCAGCATGTATCAGAACTGATCATTTCTCTTAGAAAAAGGTAAATGCATGGAAATCACGCAATTGTTTAATTTTAATAGCAGCCCCTATCAGAACTGATCATTTCTCTTCAAAAAGGTAAATGCACTCTCTTATGAAAGAAGACCTTGCTGTAATTTCTTAACCTTGCCAACTCCTTAAAAAAAATACTCTCTCTTTCATCCAGTCCGATTCAATGGCCATAAAGGAGAATGGATAGTGGTGTCATCTGCCAAACTAAATAACTTCAGAAAAGGACCAGATAGGAGGAGGGGGCAGGATAAGACAGGGAAGGTTGGATGTGAATACATTGTAGTGAGATGGCTGGGGGCATGCTAGAGGGGATGCAGAGCAGACAGCAGTGTCTGGGCTCAGAGGGCAAATCTGAGCTGGAAACATCAATGTGAGAGTCACCAGTGAATCCATGGGTAACTGCAGCTATGGCTATGGAACAAGTTGTCCAGAATGAGGCATGGAATGAGAGAAGGAGACCTATTCACTGTGTGGCACAGACAGCCCTGATGATCTTCACAAGCGGGGCAGGGTGGAGGGGTGAATGGAAGGAAAGCAAATGCAGAAAGAGATCACAGACACTCTTTAGATACAGCTGAAAACAGGGAGAAGAGAGTTTAGGAGGTAGCTGAAGAGAGAGCTGAGAAGGCTAGAGAGAGGCTACTGCTACCTTTCTTGTTTTTTAGAACGTGAGAATGCTTACAGGCTGATGGGGGAAACACGGCACAGACAGAGAAGTTAAAGACACAGGAGGGAGAGGATGCGATCCAGAGTACAGGGACAACTGGAGGAGAGGCAGCTCCCTGCCTGTTAATTAACAGAGGAGGACCAGTGTACAGGTCTCAAGACAAAGGCTAAAGGGTTTCTCTAAGACACAAGTGGTAAGACTATATGCTAAGGACGGTGAGGGGGTGGTGACAGGATGGACATACATAGATGCCCTTGCCAACAGTTGCCCATTTGTGTGGGCACTGCCCAAGTCGAGGATGCAGACTTGGACTATGGAGTGGAGTCCTGCTCTCTGCAAAGCTCCCTACACAAAGGAGGACAGCCTGAGACCTTGACCTCATCAGCACCAGCTCCCCACTGGGTCACATGGCTCCAGTATGTGGCCCCCACATTCTGAAGAGTCTTTAATATCTCAGGAGCAGCCCCTTCCATGTAACTCTTGAAAGCAACAGGTGGCTTCCAGAATGGCCAGGGGAGATACTGTTGCTTTATTGGAACAAACAGGTCTGACTTGCCAAATAAATTTAGTGCATAAATATAATTTTTTGAAACTTCAAGGACAAACAGCTGCTCTGCCTTATCAAAATAAGCAGTGGAGCAGTTAATTTTTCTAAGTAACAGTGGGCCAGCAACACACAATCAAGGCGTTAAACTTCAGTTCCTTTCACAGAAGAAAAACAACTCTTTGGTTTCTCAACTAGCAAACAATTCACCACCTCAAACAGTGCCACTCCAAGATTATCTTTTGATGATACTGAGTTTCCATTTTTGAAGTGAGAGAGAAATGAATTGCTACCTTCCCAATTTACACGTATAAAATGTGAGAAGGTACCCAAGTGGCATGGAGAGTAACCAGCAGATCTGAGTCCAAAGCCCAACCTTGCCAAAGTCTAGTGTGACCACGTGTATTTTACATGGGCCTCAACTTTTTCACCTGCAAAATGGAGGCCACTGATGATGTCCACCGAACGGGAGCATTGTGAGAGCCCACTAAGCTGATGTTAAAGGTGGTCTTGCAGGGATGAAAGAGCTATGCAAATATGAGGTGTTATTAGCATACAAACTAACTTTCCCAGACTTTTTTGGTTATGAAGTTTTTTGCATTTTTATAACATCTTGCTTCAGGAGCTTTAAAAACCTTTTAAAACATCAGGATAATAATCCTAATGAAATGAGCAAATCAACATATAGCTTTATTTCAATATACTGTAGAGAGAATACGGTGAGATACAGAGTTTAACTGATTTTCTTAAAAGTCAAAATGCATGCTAGATATAAAGTTTATAGCTTCTTTCTTCTGAATTTGATATGCTCTATGAGGAAAACAAGGATGATTTGTAATTTTATCAGTTAAAATTTTTATTGTCTTTTTAAGTCTAGTGACAATACTAAACACACAGAAATAACTGTTTAAATTAATCTTATTGCCCTGACTTCTTAAATTCTTCTCTGAATTTTTACCTCTGTCAAGAAGAAAAAATGAAGGTTATTTTCTTTAGTAAACAGTCACTGCTACCTCAGTAACAGAATTCTTCAAGACTCTGAGATTAAGATCTCAACAGTCTTATCCAGGTAGCAACTAAAACAATCGTGCCCAACCCACCCAAGTTCAGAGTGCTGAAAACTAATACAAATGATGGACTGGGCCTGCAGTTACATGTTTCCATTTAAAAGGGTAATTAAACCAAAGCCACAGTGAACCAAAATAAAAATAAAAAACTAAAACATGATATTCAAAAAAGCAAAGCAGGGAATGTTGAAAAGAACATTTCAAATAAGAGATGGGAAAAAGTAAACGTGCCCTCTAAAATAGGATAGTTTCTTGTTAGGGTGTTTTGACGGGGGGCGGCGGGGGGGATATTTTAATGGATTTATTAGCAAATTTTCAGGAACAGCACAGATCTTTCTCACATAAATAATCAAATCAACAGCAAAATAGCAAAAACTGAATCATTCAGACCAAGAGCTCTTCCCAAGATCCATACAGGTTTTACTTACCATGTCAGTCATGCGAAAAGTACTTGCCCTGGTCCCGAAAAGACATACAAGAAATCAAGCAGACAAGATTTCACGCACTTTTTACAGAAAAAAGAGGAGAAAACACAGTCTTCTGGACACATTTAACACTTCAACCAAGCAGAGGTGCAGACCCGAATCAGAACTCATGACTCTCAAGTTGCAGCTCTTGGTCTCCACAGGCCAGCTCCCCAACTAGTGTCCAGGTCTCTGGTGTGAACTTCTGCACAGAAATTCAGGGAATTCAGCCTCTGTACCTACTTGATACTCTGTTGTTGCTGTTTTCAAACATGACCCCAATGGGCTGCTCTGTTTAGATACAGCAGAAAAGCCTAAGGCTGGACTAACAGTCCTCTCTATGTAGAAAAGCAGCCCTCTTGTGAAGGTAGATGCTCAACTGTTCCTCTCCCTGCTGAGACGCTCCATCCATATACAGGCTAAGCTGTCTGCTGGTGTTGTTTCCACAGTGGCCACAGCTCCATGACATGCCTTGAGGCCAAGATTCAACTCACCACTAAAGTGAGAATCATGGTGCAAAGGGCATCCCCTCGATAGTGACAGATACACAGCACTCTGCAGCTTACTGTACCTTTCCTTGTTCCTCCATTCTTCTCTCTACCACCTTTTGAAGCACAACCTCCTGACAAACACGCCCCAGCACAGCACTAATGGTTACTGCCAAGTATTACTGCCAAATGGCCTGCCAAGGCGTGGGTCCCCGCAACCCCCTCCCCCTCCACCCTCCAACCCCTGCCACAGCTGGCTGGGGCCTCTGGCCCCAAGCAATCTCCTCATGTTATCTAGACAATTATATCATTTTCCATGTGTGACCTGGTGTGGAAAGGTTTTAAGTGCCATTTTGGAACATAACTAATAGATCCCGTGGTCCCTGTTGTTCCCAGGAATGACGGCCCTGAGAGTTGCCAAACTGTATCTGGGGACAGCTTTATCAAGCCCTGTTATTTTGGTGGTATCTTCTAAGCCATCCTCCACCTTGTCTTACTTTACTGTCTGGCAACCAGTAATGATGAGGACAGGTCAGGGCCACTGCCACAGAGGCCACACATCTCACCAACTTCCCAGTAAGGAGCCCAGTAGAACGCTTGCTATGTGGCTATGTGCCTGTTTCTCTCGCACTATTTCACTCTCTTGCTTCCAGACCCCTCCGGGTAGCATTCATACCCGGCAGCTATTCCTTAGGACAAAAGGGCTATTTAACTATTTTAAAATCTTTTTCAACAATACTTTTTTTCCTAACAATGAAGATGGGTAAGATCTGGCTAATTATGCTGTAGGAAAGGAAACCTCTCTTATTCTTCACTTGGTAAATATTACTGAGTACTGAATGTTCCAAAAAAAAAAGGCTGTAGATTTTCTCTCCCCAAAGAATATTAAAGTTCATTTCTACTACACCTCCCATTTAGAATACGTAAATAAAACTGCCTGTCAAAGGTATATGTGTTAACAATTGTGTCACAATCAAGATAGGGACAGCTTGAGAAAACTTTGCTGCTGCCAAACTGTTGGTGCCTCTCCGGCCTCTAAACAGGGGTCTCCAAGGACTTGGCCTTCCCCTCAGGTCACTACTCTTCCTTGGTGCCTACTCAAGACAAGTGAGGGGCACAAGCTTCTTGGCTAGAAGACTCATCCTTGTCAATGTGGAAGAGAAAAAAAAAATGACCTAAAAAAATAAATGGGAATGACAACCTCTAATAATTTGTGCAGTCCAGTTGAGGAGAAAATGAGTACACACTGCATAACTAAGGTTACAAACAAGTAACGACTGAAATCTTCATGTTACTGCTTTGCAGCCAATAAAATATGTTTTATAGATGCCTCAGGAGTTCAATGTTCATTCCTCTTTACCGCGAAGGTCAGCATGGCAAGAGGAAAATGCTCTAGCATTCAGAAAGTACACATTCACGCAAAGGTCATGACGTGCCAACCCAGATGTCAGCCCACCCTCGGGCGGAGCACTGGAGCATCACCAGATGGTTCACATCCTCCCCGCATAAATCACCCTTACAAACAGACACCTGTCTGGCAAGTGCCGATTTATAATCTTCTGTGAGTAAACAGCGTTTTTACTACACTCATTTAGCAAAGTGAAACATCCAATCACCTCTCTCTAGAAATAGTGCTAGTGCCTCTGCCAAACTAATTCTTTCTAAAGACAATTTTTCCTAGGGAGGCTCCTCCTTCATGCTGCAGAATGCCATGGGTACACCTATATAGTTTCTCTTGTGAGGGATGGACAAGAGCCCAGGGACTCGCCAGGAACTACAGGGACTAGGAGCTGCACAGTAATGATTAATCAAGGGGGATTAAGGCTCCAAATAACCAACCCAGGGCCTTTTTTTTTTTTAATTGACATAATTTTTACCTTTACCTAGATCAAAAAAAGACACATAGGGCAGACTGTCATTTTCACATATAAAATCTATTTCTCCAAATTTTACTAAGGAATTATTCCCCTTCATTGACATTTTATATCCCCTCCAAAAAAGGGCAGCTCGACTCCCTTAAAGAAAAACTCCACCGCGGCAAGTTAAGGTTTAATCCTGCCCCCTACACCCCACCAGCCACATGCTCACCAACTATCATCTGCAGGATTCCGGGAGCTGTTTGTTCTCTCATATCTAACAGAGCTACACAGGGAAGTCGAGAACCCAACATATAAGAAAGGTTTCACAGCTGTTGTTAACCCTGGCTATACTTTAAAATCTCCCAGGGCACTTTAGGAAACCCCCAGAGGTTCTGATTCAATTGCAGCCAGGTGGGGTCTTCACATTAGTATGTTTTAGAATCCAGGTAATTCCAATGTGTCTTAAAATGACCCATCTGAAGATTATTTCCCCTTCGTCCTTTCCTACCCAAAAGAATATTTAGATTAGGCAGAATAAGTGTTCAGTAGAGCTAAAACTCTCTGTTGACCGACCACCTGAGATCCTAGGTATGCTATTACTTAGCAGTGATCAAACAACTCTCCATTTTGTCCGTATATCTGGATAACTGGTTTTGCTCTGTTAACTGCTTTTGAGACCAAAAAGCTCTATCTAGAAAACTGTTATGTGAAGAGCAGGTGCTCCACAAACGAGTGGTTCTCAAAGTTTTATTATGAGCAGCACATTTTCAAATATTAAAACTTTCGAGTGCACCTGAAGCTCAAAACTACACTAAACAAATCATAAAAACTCCAAGCAATCACGACTGCAGTGTAAGATGACTGCAGTGACCAACACACTCTTCACTAATGTGTCAACTTTCCACCCAGGCCCAGCTCCTTTTGTGCTTTCAGTATATTCCAAGGAAGATCCAGTCCTCAGGCTCTTCCAGCAAGCTGCCCCTCTCTCCACCCACCCCCTCTCCAGGCCATCAACTAGTGCAGGGCTTTAGCAGGTCTCACCACGTACAAGTGTCCACAGCAGCAGAAATGTTTCACATGCTGATCCACAGACAGCAAAAAACTGTAAAAGGCACGGCCCTAAATAGTGCAGGAGGAAGTAACCAATTGGTATCTGAGTTTGATTAATGTTCACAATTTAATTGTTTGAATAAACTTAATTTGTTGCAGTATGATAGACTTCCAGAAAAAAAATCCTAAGTGTAAAACCTAATGGATTTTTACAAAGTAAACCCACATTTGGAATCACCAACCAGATGCAGAAACCAAACATCACTGGCACCCAGTAGGACCCTTGCTTCCTCCCTCAATTATTATCCCCAAGTGTAACCACTATTATAACTTCTACCACTCCAAATTAGTTTAGCTGCTTTTGAACTTTATATAATTATAATCAAAAATATGTATTCTTTTGTGGCTGGTTTATTTCCCTTAGCATTATGCTTGGGAGACTCAAGCAGTGCATAGGGCAGTCATCTGCTGTTTCTGTTCTTTCTTCCTTTTCCTCATAGGATTCCACTGTATGATACGCTATTTTATAAGATAGGCATTTGAGTTGTTGCTTTCAATTTGGGACTGTTAGAATTAATGCTGCTTTAAGGACTCTTGGAAATGTCTTTCAATATACATATGGAGTAACTCCTGTTAGGTATATACCTAGCCAGAAAGACAGTGTGGTAAGTATATAAGGACTTTATGTGTATGTAACAAAATAGACTCCAAAAACAGACCCATACATAAATGGCCACTTGATCTAGGATCGAAGACCAATGCAGTGCAGTGGGAAAGAGATTCTATTTTCAAATAAATGGTGCTGAATTAATTGGATATTTATATGGAAAGAAAATCTTTAACCCTACCTCACACCACACACACAAAATGAAATCCAGATCTAAACATGAAAAATAGAACAATAAGACTCCAGTGGTTAAATAAATGACTATCTTCATAGAATTAGGCTAAGTAAACATTTCTGAAACAGGACTCAAAAATAATAACCATAAAGAAAAATACTGATACACTGAACTTCTCTAAAATTAAGAATTTTCATTAAAATATACCCTTTAAGACAGTGAAAAAGCAAGTCACATACTAGAAGACATTTTCAACATATATCTATATCGATATAGATACATGTTTCAACATATATCTATATCGATATAGATACATGTTTCAACATATATCTATATCTATATAGATACGTGTTTCAACATATCTATATATGTTGAAAATGTCTTTTGTGATATATCACAAAACATATATATCATCTGAATAATTACATTGGCATTTAATATAAGCTATTAGCACGGATTGATAGAAATAAAAATCTAAGCGATATCCTTTATTTTCTTCAATAATAAACATTAAACCATATAAACAACTTGAATATATATATATATCACAAAAGACATATTCAGAAAATGTAAATTAAGTCCTACATACCATTTTTTTWAAAATAAAAACAACCTGACTTTTTAAATGGGCAAAAGACTTGAACAAGCATTTTCACAAAAGAGAATATCCAAATGGCCAAGAAACATATGAAAAGATGTTCAACATCATTAGCCATGAGAGAAATTCAGCCAAAAAGCCACAGTGAAGTACCATTACATAACCGTCACAATAGTTACAATCAAAAAGCAAAAAGACAAAGAAACACTGATAATACCAAATGTGTGCATTTAGAGCACCTAGCATTCATATAACCTGGTAGGTGTGTAAATTGGCTGGACCAGTTAGGAAAATCACCTAATAGTATCTACTAAAGCTGAATGTACACATGTCTGTCCTATGATATAGTAATTCTACTGCTAATATTATTTTTAATGTATAGAAAATTATTTCTGGAAATATACATAAACCAGGGAAAGCTTTGGAAGAGCATACAGATCTCTTTCAACAAATCATCAAATACTCCACAGATGAAGACATTCTCAAAACCAGTATTTCAATAGGAATTTTATTAGCTTCAATATGAAAACATCTGAATAATTATATTGGCATTTAATATATTAGCATGGATTGATAGAAATAAAAATCTAAGCAATATCCTTTATTCAATAATAAACATTAAATCATATAAATAACTTGAAAAAATACATTTACTATGACTACAGAATATCAGAGTTTAGAATAAAAAATAAAAGGTAGCAGGAAACCATATGGAGAGAGTCATATGGCTTGTAATTCTGATGGTAGCTGCAAATGAGGTCACTTAACCCTCTGTGACCACACTAATTGGTCAAAAGCAACAGAGGCTTCATCAGCAATGCTCATAGGGAACAGCCTATCCCTTCCTGGGCATTTTCAATTTAAAGAGCATACACCTGCTACCCATCAGTCCATCAGTCTCTGAGAGAGAGACACAGGATTTGTGTCAACCTAGCACTACATTATTTGGTTTGCTCTTAATCTTTACGATTTATAAACAGTCTTCAGGGTATATGCATACACAAGTATAGCATGTGTACACATGCAGCTATCTATAGCAAAAAACAAATTCACAAAAAATAGCTATTTTTTTAATCTAGAAGACCACATCTTGTTCTATTAATACTCACATACTGCAGTATTACATAACAAATTTTTCCAATTCTGTTATGCTAATATGCAAATAAATGAATTCAACCATAGCTAGGAGCTAAATGTACTAATCAGTATGGCCTTGTGTATCTCTAACTACAAAAGAATTTTACATGATCTCTTTCCGCTGTGAAAATCTCATGAATCTCCATGATTAATCACTTTTAAACCCAGCTGCTTGGTTTCTGGGATGTTAATATCTGCAATATCCAAATCAGTACATTTAGCACACTCCAAAAATATACTGAATATTGACTACACAGTAATGTGTTGTATTATTGTATTCTAAAATTCTATAATTAGTTGACAATTCCGAAACAATAATAGAAGAAGCCCACCTAAAAAAACAAACCATTACTAGTTGTTACCTGCTTTACCTTCCAGGACCCTAAAAATGCATAGAACTATAAATCAACTTTTTGTTAAAAAAGAAATAAAAATGGAAACTAACCCCCCTAAAAGAATTTCTAATCCATCAAAGGAGAGCAGAGAGGAAAAGGACAAGGTCCTGGTTTGCAGATCAGACAGAAACTTGAGGCACGATGGGCAGGACTATGGTTATGGCTTCATGTTGGTTAGGTACACATTGGTTTCATCATAAGATTCAGCCACAAAAAGCCAAACTTTTCTCATTAAAAATTAGTTGTCTATTTTAGTACTGGTAGAAACTGCTAAGATCAAGAAGTCAGAATGGCTTGGGCAAGTAGGAGAAGAAAGAAAAAATCAAAGTCATCCAGAGGATGGAGTGGGAGAGGGTGATGGAGCAGTTCAAAACATGGACAGTCAAACCTGGTCAGAATGCTGGCTTTGCCTCTTACAGCCTCTCTAACCTTGCTTGGAAATTCCCAAACCTTGTAGAATGGGTTCCCTTGTCTGTAAGGGGAATGATAATGTCTCCTTACAGGTTCTGGTGAGACTTGCATGAGACGATGCATACAAAGCATCTCCTAGTATCTCTTCTTCACCCAATCCTTGCACTGCAACAAAGGGCAGAATTTCTACCATTACATGACAAAACATGCTGAGGAATTAGAGATCGCACTCCTACAACTCTTATCAGTACTCCAGATTCCTTATGTATTTTATTTTTAATTATTAATTTTATAGCACTTCCAATGAATACCATGTGACTAGCAAATATTAATGACAATAGGAGTTTAAGTAATTCAGTTCCTCAAAAATAAACAACAACTGAGCAAAAACTACAGATATCACTTAAAGAAACCAAATACCAAAAAACAGATTAAATCCCTTAGCAAACAATAATGTTCTCTTGCCATCCTTTTTAAACTTTGACAGCAGAATATAAATCAAAAGAAAATTTCAAAGGCCTATTCTTATTTCAGGGCACAAAAGGGAGCAATCATTTATATTAACATCTTCCAGAACAGTTATAGAATTAACCAAATTCCTAGATCCATCTTTAAATGAAGGTATTTCCTTTGTTTTCAAAATTATGTACATGAATAAATTTCTTCTTTGAAGCACACATCCCACTGAGTTTTATATTCCAATCAAAACCAGTTGGAGTTAAGTCTAAATAACATCTTCATCCAACTCCTAAGACTCATTCTTGTCCCCTTATTTATCCATTCACACATTTATTCAACAAATACATACTTAAACAAATACTTTTCACAAGACATTAAACTAGGTGTTTTCATAAATTCAGGATGAAAAAGATGTAGTTGCCTAAGAGGCAGAAGGACTGTATGGAGATACAGGGAGAGTGGTGGCTGGAAGACAGAGAAATAATTCATTCTAACTGGGAAGTGGTTAACTGAGGAAAACCTTAAAGATTACTAAGAGAGAAGGAAACCTGAGGAAACAGAGGTGTCACCATAAAGGCTAAGTTTAGGCACAGAGGGGAATCTCATGGGGCTCCAGCATAGGTTGTAAGGCAGTTTGTGAAAAGAAGATTACAAGTAAGATGACCATATTATTTATCGTCCAAGCTGAGATGCCTTTGAGAGTTAAAGGAGGCACTATTAATAATCTTGTCACAGCAAAAGATGTAAACCTGGATTGTCCTGGGCAAAGCAAGACATGTGGGTGCTTGGCACAATGAAATTGTATGTTCAATACCCTTTGATCCCATAGTTGGGGCTATTTACATGTGTGTGCAGTTGTACTGAGGTATCAGATTTAGAAAGACACCAAAACAATTATTGAAAGCATTTATGGAACATGCCTGAGAAATTTCCCTAGGCACATTCTGCATATTTCAAAAGACAAAACTTTCAAAACGAGCATGGCCATGTTAGTCTGCTCACCTCTCTAAAGGAGTCTGCTCAACTAAAAATCAGAAAAACACACTAATGCTTATTAGGTGCCACACACTGCTCACACATCAATCATCTCCTTTAATCTTTACAACAATGCTATGAGAGGAGGTTTTATTCTACCTGTTTTAGAGATGGAGTAACTGGACATACAGACTTCAGTATCTTGCCCAAGGCCATAAAGAAAGGAACCAGGGAAGCCAGGATCTAATCCAAGCCCCTAACTACAGACTTTCTATTGTTCCCACCACAATTCTGCCTCCTGAATAATCCAGATACGCAACATGTGGCCTGGGGGCAGCCCTCGACCACAGGATGCAGCCCAGCTGAGATTACTAGCTAAAATATGGTTCACCTAATTACCCCTGCCATGGGACCAAGTGCTAGTGGTAAGAGGGCCTAACAACCTGCCCTGGTTTGCCATTCTGGAATGGGTGGGTGCCAAGTGTCCTGCCAGAAGGCTGGACCATTCACATAATTGTTGCTGAAGCTCAATGCAATGAGTTATATACTTTGGGCACCCTAAAGCTATGGAATTACTCTGATACAAAGAATAGTGGCTGGCTCTAGCGGCTCTGACTTCAGTTTGAGTCACAAACGACACTCATGCTAAGCACAACCCTCTCAATTTACCAATCTTATCAGTAGAAAAAAGCTCAGCAGGCAGCTTACAAACATAACAGTCGCAGATCCTGTGGTCCACTGGTAAAAGTATTTGAATCCCACCAATATAGAACAGAAAAGAAGTTAAAGTAATCCAGAAGTCTGGTAGATAAGTAAATAACTGGCATCCAAAACTTAGTATTAAGAAGGAAGAAAGCATCTATTCTTGAACACATAAGTATAAAGTCTGAAGAAAAACTATAAATGTTCATACTTCATTTATATCTGCATTTAGGCTGTAAATAATGTTGCCCTATTTTGTTGAATATTGAAGCCTGGGTAACTTAAGCATAAAAAAATAAAGTAAATAACATTCTAGTTTAGGCTCCTTGCAGAGCACAAAGAACTATAAAAGGAAGTGAACAGATTCTGGGATAGAACATTCTAAGAAAATAACTTGTGGCCAATATCAGCAATTAATAAAATAAACAATTTCCTGTCAGTTGCCTATTTGGATTTGATGAAAAACAATGCAAATCAAATACAACCATTTGGGGGAGGCTGGAAAATGGAGGAGGAGGAAAGCAAAAGGGAGCAAGTAGATTTTAGGGCATGAAAATTAATATACTCTGCTTTTGAAAACCTAAACTGAATTGTGACAAAAGCTCTTTGAGCAGGCTAAAACAAGCAACCATGCTTTGGCCTTTCAACAGTTAACTTGTGTGGTCTAAAATGTATTAGCACAAAGTAAAGTGGGGAGTTGCTGATTGGCCATTAGATTTTTCTGACCTTAATGATCCAGGTTTCCTATCTATCCAGACAAATTCACTTTGTTATCCAGCTACTGTCTGTTTAATTATTTATGATGTGCCCACAGGTTTGCTGGGCATGCGGTATCTTTGTTTCCCCCATTCAAAAAAAAATGTCTAAAGTCAAACGCAGATATTATTTTTAAGATCCAATTAAAAAATGGTTACTGAGTGTTTGTTACCTGTGCAGAACTGGTAAATACAGTCCAACTTCTGCCTGCAAGGAGCCTAGTTTATTTAAACCATGGGCCAAGACACACATAAAAGTTTTATTTCATTTAAATGTGTATAATAGATGTGAAAAGGCTGCTTGTTGTCCATGTTGGAGAGCTCAGTGTCAAGACATAGGTGAACATAGTAGTATAAAGACAGTAAAAGTGTTTCTCCTACACCACATGACACTATGACAATGGCAATAATGATACTAAGAAAAATAAGGGCTGCCACCTTGGGCAAGGTCAGATCATTGGTCCCTGTGAAGCTGCAAGCCCTGGTCAAGCAGCCACAACGGGTGACTAAAAGCCTCCTGGCTATGTTATCTGCCAACTTCTTCCACCAGCAGAAACAGAGATTCTTTTCCTTCTTCCAATATCTCCTACATTTAAAGAGGGCAATCAAATCCAATGTCTGAAACCACTGATGCTGCCTTAACCACAAAAAATTCAAACTGCCACTGTAATGTGGGGAAGCAATGGAGTGCAGCCATATACCCAAGCGGGATACAAGTAGCTCCAGCACCTGGGGCACAGGGTTAACCTCTCTGAACTCTGATTTCCTCCTGTCTCTGTGGTTAGCACAGGACCAAGTCAGAGAATTACGGTAAGCACTTTTCACGTGTTTTGCATGCAGTGAGTGTTTAATAAGTGTTGGCTACCGTTATTACTTCTAAATACCAAGATAAGGTAATGGCCGAATTTCCTACTGATTAAAAAAGAACCGAAGATTGCCATTGTCTGGGGATGAGGGGAGCGAAAGATCACAGAGACCTGGGAGTTTTTTGAGGTGATGTTAGTGCCCTATATCTTCATGATGGTGGTGATTAAATGACTGAATGTATTGGTCAAAGTTCACAGAACTCGACACAAACCAGTGTGAATTTTACTGTATGTAAATCATACCTCATTTTTTAAAGTATCAACCAAAGTATTTAACTAGTTCTGACTAAATCATCCACAGCAATAGACATTTTAACTTCATTTCTTTCTAAACTTAAACAGAAATCTAAGGCCTAAAATGCTACTTCATATTTTTAGACCAGGCTCTTGAATTAAAAGATTGAGCTATTTGCAAATAAGGGATGCCATCTGAACAATTAACCAAATTAACTGTTTCAAAATAAAGCATAGATTATATTGAATAGAGTGATGAAATGAATTATGGAAAGAGAAAATGAAAGTGATGTTTTCATTTACTAGATTACTTAAGATGACAAACATAACGGCTTCTTCTCTAAAATCCAGTAATGAGCCTTTGTAAATAATCTCAAAAGTCGACCGTTATTTTCAATAAGCTAAGGAAAAGTAGAAAAGTCTGGTGATGATTTCCATGATTTATTTATCATCTCAAGGTATTTGTAAAAGGTTCTACAAAGCTGCTCACTCTGAATTTTAATCAACACTGTTAACATAACCAAAGAGTTCTTTTAGTATAGATCTGTGCATCTATTTTGGCAGAAAATATTGTTTTACAACAATTTCTTACTCAACACCACATTTACAAAACAGATGGAGTACCAAATAAATTATTTTAAATGAGGAATAAGATTCGGGTCAGCCTACAGTGTATTTCTGCATATGCCCTGCACTTTAGCAATAGTCCCCCTTTCTTTGCCCACCTTATAGCACATTTAGGCCATTATTCTCCCTCTGATTTAAGGATCTCCAACAAAGAGGGCTGTCAAGACTGTAATGAAGATGAAAGCTAGGAGAGAGGCACAGTTCAGAAGCCCAGCATTTCAACTAATACAACCCCATAAATACCGGCCTCAGTTCCCCAGGTAGCATTCACTCCCTGCTATTCCCTCAAGTCCCCAATTATCACCTTGCTTACTAATCTACTCCTGCCTCTACTCAGAGACCACCTGACTGCATTCATCCCTTATATTAAAAAAAATAAGGAAACCAAGGAAAGATGTCACTATTGCTTTTTCACATGGGCTTCTGCTTTAGCTTTTTATTCTTTTTTTTTTTAAACAAAAGTGAAACATAATTTCTGCCATTCACATGACAAAACTATCTGTGCAGTATTTGTTGCTTTATGAAATTTGATGTTAAAGACTTTGTTTTCTATTAGGATATTGTCCTGATGCTGGAAGTTATCTTTAGAAAATACCACAATACATTCCAAAAATCTTGATGCTTCAAGGCACCAATTCAAAGGGAAATATACCAAGTAGTTACCTATTTAAATATAGCATCCTCTCTTTCCTATAACCCAGTATTGATCAACTTTCAACACTACTTCCATAATTTTCGAAAGTTTTAAGAAAATGCAAAGTGAAAACAGAGGCAAGAAAAAGGAGTATGTCAAGCCTTCTTTGGAGGTACAATACAATGAACAAAATATGGGACTGGTAAATCCAAAACCAATTGTTTTATAAATTAACAGAACTCAGAGAAAACATGTACTTTCTCCATTCATTCAATAAGCAATTTATTGAGCTGCTACTACATTCCTGGCACTTTATATCTAGGGTTACACTGGTGAACAAGAAGCCAAATGCTTTCTTTACAAAGAAGAAAAATGACAAAATATCCTTAAAAGTTTCAGAATTCAACATAAGTATCAATATCATTTCTAAAATCAGTGATTTTTGAACATTAATCATTTCCCCCATGTGCTTCTAGAGCCTTCAATTAAGAAATGGTATCTATTGACAAGTTCCCAATTCCATATATCAGAAATACTAACAAATCATCCTTCTTGCTTATCGCCCAGTAATGTAAAATTAAAACAAATGTTTTTGTAATTCAGTAAGTTACACTATGAATCTCACTATGGACACTAATAAAGTTTGATTTTTTAATGCAAAAACAAGTATTCAAAACAATTAAAAGAAAGGGGTTAAAATTAGGTAGGCTGGTATCTTCTTTGGAATTTTCACCTCAAATTTTATTAACACCACAATGCAAAATCACCACAAATATTTTATGACAAATAAAAACAGAAATGTCACCTAACTCTGTCAATAGGATTGATTATCATGCACAGTTGAAAGCAACTTCCATGGAAACATAAGCTACAGAGTAAAAGAAAACGTAAGTCACTAAAAGCTATGTATGCAGCAAAAAGACACTTTACTTTCCTTAGTTTATCTCTACGTGTGTGCTGCAGGTAGTTAATACACTTCATCTCCAAACCCTTCAAATTGTGTCCTTGCCCAGACATAAACTGCGCAAACAGATGACAAAGGGAAATGCAGTTTCACAATTGCCTCTTACATAGAGTAGCAAGATGGTATATTTCACTAGATTACTGCATAAGTTGATAACACCATCAGACATTTTCACAGTACTTGGAAGATTTCTGTAGGTCCAATAAAATTTCAGATACCACCACTGCCAACTCTCTTTACTGTGGCACGTTCTGCCCTCCCACCAGTTATCAGCCACAGGAAGGGTGGGTGCAGCCTGTCAATTTGCTTTGCTGCTCCCTGTCCTGATAACTCCTTGATTTTCAGAAAGCAATGTTTTCATTTGCTCCAAACTTGAGCGAGCCGAATGAGCTGGTCTTGCCTAAGGCTCTGCTCTTCTTAGCTCATCAACTATTTTTTTTTGCACTTCATGTCATGAAAAATATTTTTACATTGCGAACCAAAATGTAACATTAGAATGAAACTAACACAAACTCGGGAGTTCCTAATATTACTTCTTGAGTTTAAAATGCTCAAAACAATCGCTGGCTTTCTTCCGCTAACACTGTGCAAGCAAAACCAAGCAAACTGCCCAAAAGAACTTCCACAGTACTCGAGGCCTGCCTACTGCAGCAAGGAAAAAGATTAAATCGTGTGGAACTGTAATCTCTGAGCTTTTGAGCCTAAGAAAGCGGAAATCTGCATTTATGTTCAGAAATCTACTCTATTTTTCTTTGTGACTGAGTGACCGGATATTAGGAGATTTTGCACCCTCGAAGTGTAAACATTTGTAAGAGCCAACTAACTGTATACGGATCAGAAGAACCCTATTAAATAATCTCTGTTCACCCTCTGTTCGCCGCCTGGGATTTTTAAGAAAATGTTCTCACATTTCACATAATCCCTATCTGTGTTTAAGATACAATAGAAATCTTACAGGGAGTCTGTTAACCAGACTAGGCTACACATAAGAGTATGCCCTACCCCGGCAGGTACAAGGCCCTAATGCCAGACCAATCCTGGAAGAGGTGACAGCCCCAAGTTCAACTGAGGATGTCTGAGCACAGCTCCCCCTGCACATTAGGGATCACCTCTCCATTCTTTCCACATGCCATTTGCATCCAATCCCCGCTCAACCACCCCAAGCACCCATGCTCCAGTGGTTCCTGTTAGCAGTGGGCTTCCTCCTTCCACCACCACTCCCCCAGGGAGAAAATAGAATCCAAGGACGGCTGAGGGTGGGCGATGAGCGCCCTTCTCCCACCTACCTTGATGATGCTGCTCCGGCGGGGCAGGCCGCCCGGCTTGCTCTCCCGGGGGAGGGTACAGACGACCGCGCTGGGGGTCGGGGCGAGCGCAACGCCGCGGGGTCCCCTGGTAGGGCTAGCCCGGGCTTCGTCCCCGGACACGCCGAGGCTGCAGTCTCCGTTGGAAACCCCGCCGCTGTCATAGCGCGCCCGCCCGTGGCCGAGGCGACCTCCCCCGCCACCGCCTTCCCCCACTCCGGCTTTCAGGGCGCCCTTGGCGCCGAGGGCCGGGCCCGGGGAGGTGGGCAGGGCCCCGCCGGCGGCGCCCCCCCGGCCGCACTCCGCCATGGGCGCCCCGCGACCCGCCTGCACAAAGCCGCGTCCTCGCGTCCCCGCGTCCCCGCCGCCGCCTCGGGCCGCCGCGCGCGGCCCCTCCTCCTCTCCTCCCGCCGCCGCCTCGGCCGCTTCTTCCGCTTTTTTTTTTTTTTAATTTAGATGTGATGTTTGTTTCGAGCTCTCGCCTTGCGCACGGTTAAAGTCGCGGCGGCAGAATTATCGGAAGATTCCTGCAGGGGAAAGAAGAGAGAGACGAGTCAGCTCCGGCGCCGGCGGAGCCCCGGCTCTCGGCACCTGGGGAAGGAAAACACGCCCCAACACACGCGCCTCTGCGGGCGCCAAAAATAACCCGCGCGGGCCGGGCGCCCACCCCGGGGCAACCCGCGCCCACCTCAGGGGCCCCAGGCACCCACCCCGAGGTAACGGGGCGCCCACGTCAGGGGCTCGGGGCGCGCTTCCCCGGGGCTCAGAGCAACTGGGGTCGGAGCACCCGCCACGCAGGAAAAGGCGCCCACCTCCGGCGAAGGGCGAGGGGAAGTGGCGGCCGCCCCGACACTCTCTGGACACGCGGAGGCGGCTCCCGAGGATCTCCCGGCCCCGGGCGGGCGGGGGGCGACGCGTGGGTCTCTCCGGACCCTAACTCCCCAGAGGCTGCCGCGTGCCGAGCTCTGTCACGTCCCCTCAGAGCCCCGTTAAGGCCCGCGGCGCCGAGAGGAAGCCCACGGCGGGCAGGGGCGGCCGGGTATGACAATCGCCGTGCGGCCCCGGGGCAGCTCCCGGAGGGGGCAGCCCAGACCCACCCCACCCGCCGGCTGCTGTCTCCTCCCGAGCTCGGCGCTGCCCCCTACAGGCCGCGTGGTCCCTCCTCGGTCGCCCCCTGACCCACCATGAGCCGCCTAGCTCCCTGTCGAGATTGCCGCCGTCGCGGCTGCTGTCACCGAGGCCGGGTCATCGGGCCGCGGGGACCTCAAAGCCGAGTGGACGGGAGCCCCAAGTCATTGCCTATCCTTCGCCTCCCCAGAGCTGCTGCAACTGTCAGTCACCCACCCGGAACCCCGAGGGGCAACTACCAAGTAGGCCTCGGGGCCCGGAACAAGGGTCCCGGGGCTCAGGATCTCGGCCGCTGCGCCTCACTCCTGCCCCAGCCCCGCGCACGGAACTCGTTTCCTTCCCACCCAGTTCGGGACACTCCTCTCTGACTTCCCCAGTAGGTCAGACTCATTTCATACACTGGGACCAATTCCTTTCCCTTGGGCTCCTGATTGATTCAACTAGTTGGAAGGATGCTGAGGCAGGGGTGAAGGCTGGGGTGGCTGGCAGGCTATGAGGGGCAGAGGACATCAGCAGAGCCTATTTCGTGCCCTCTGAGTCTCCACACACAGATTTATCATTGAGACCTTCCCGATTCCCCTACCAGGGATGCCGGCTGGCCCTGCCGGCCTGCGGGGCCCAGCCTAAGTCAGGCTCATCTTTTGGGACAGGATCTCACTTGCAGCGCTACAGCCAGTCCCTCTTCTGGTTCTCACGCACCCACTTAAGGCGGAGTGACTGGCCTAAAAGTCCAAGCTGATCGTGTGGCTTCCGTTCGTAAATATCTCCCCTGGATCTCCCTCCCTGGAGCCAGACAAGACTCAAAACTCCGAAGGGTGAGACCCCAGACCTTCCACCGCCACCCCACGCCCCAGGCCTGGGCCCACCCACCTCTCCATCCCAGGCTCCGTGGGCTCCAGCTTCCTACCCTCTCTGGCACCCCAGCCCTTCCCCAACTCGTGTGCTTTCATTTCCAGGAATGCAGTCCCCGCAGGGCGCAAAGGAGAAACTAATAGTCCAGAGGCGGGGTGAACTTAAAGACCTGGCTTTCATTAGCGTGGTGTTGTAACAGACTGCCAAGGAGCCTCTGAGGAAATGGATTTACGTACATATACATACTCGCCCTTGCCCCTGAAGCAACATCAAATACTTTCATGTTATTCTTGGGGGCGTTTTAATTCTTCCGATCCTCTGAATTCGTGTTTTTGTACATCTCTTTCCAACCTGGGCCTACACACTAACAGAAATAGTTTTTTACATCGAAGGACAATGCTTAGTGTTTTATTCAGTCTCAGCTCTTTTCTTTCTTTTTTCTCGTTGTGTTTCAAAATGTTTATTTTTTCTGTCTTGTGATAGTTTTGGAGGAAAAATATTGAAATAATTCAAATCAGGCTCTTAACTCTGCTTTATTAAATTTATAGTCATAGTAGCCTGTGAGTATGCTTCGGGGGAGGAAAAAAGAATGCTGGGGTCTTTATTCTTCAAGTTCTCTAAGTTTGATATTTTGAATAAACACCCAGAGGTGTCTCTGCCTTTTGTGTGTTAGTATCTAATCTTTCCTGCATTTACGAGTCACTAGTAAAATGCTATGAAAGCCATAGATCCCATGGCTCTCACTGTGATTTTCCTGGGCTGAGTAGGGACTTAGTGATGTTTAACCCCCAGTATGCTTTTTATAGAAGCACCAGCTGATTCACCAGTGCCCTCCAAAGTGAGCACCTATCCATCTCACTCTGGACTCCCAACAGGTCATACCAGGGAGCTTCGTTGAAATAGACTTGGCATTTAAATTAAAATGTTTCCCAAAGCATCTTGGCAGACCTGTAACTAATGATGCCAGAGGCCCAAGGCCTGTGCCAGGTTCCCTTTTATTCCCATAAGTGCTTGTCTCCCACAAGCCACTGGTCACACGCCTGCTGATGTTATAGAAGCACTTCTTCATCCCACAAACAGCCCAACTGTAGGTACCCTATCTCAGACATGGTGAAGGGAAGCAGCATGTTCCTCTGACATGTGCGATGCTTGGCTCCCAACAGGCTTTTTATAATAAGCTAAACTCAGATTTTTTCATCACAAATAGCGTAGTAAGTAATTGTTTTTCCTCATTCCTGCTTGTCTCTCTGCAGTCACTAAGTGGTTGCTGTCCATTCCTCATATTCCACAAGCAATATT
Source organism: Homo sapiens (assembly GCF_000001405.40). Classification (NCBI taxonomy): domain Eukaryota; kingdom Metazoa; phylum Chordata; class Mammalia; order Primates; family Hominidae; genus Homo; species Homo sapiens. The sequence continues at coordinate 16,882,069 of NC_000003.12, read as the reverse complement.
ATTGAAGAAATTGTAAATATTTTGCCAAAATTCTTGCTGAAGTGTTTTCATGGCATTGTGAAATTCGTAGTAGTTGGAGTTAGAAAAAGAGCCAAAATATCATAGTCATTCCTCAGCGAATATTGTCTAATGGTTCCCTCAGATTACATTTCAGAGCAGGGCAATAAAAGATAGGCAAGACATTAATAAAATGCCCATTCTAAATAGCTCCATGATGCTTATGCCAATTTATTTTGTCTGTATGCAAACGGTTGGATTCTGGTGAGTAACCTGCTCATATTTAAAGTAGATACCTTTAAAATCTCATTCTATCATGCCAGCAATACAAGGCTTTATCTCTTTTAAATTTTCTTCGTATTTCAATCCATCTCAGATTTTAATCATTGTCACTCTTCATCAAACTGTCTTCTATTTGCATCATCAATTTAATGCCCAGAACTTGAACTATTCAGACTCCCTGTTCCATAAGAACCTTCCTTCAGTCTCAAAAATAACACTGACTCAGTTTACTGACTTCTTGCCATCATTTATACCCTCGTAGGTTATGAATTCATATCTAGTTTCCAGTTCACAGGCTCCAATATTAGGACTCTCCAACTTTTTTTCTGATTCAGTGAGTACTTGGCCTTCAGATTATTTTCTTCCTTAATGTATTATGACAATTTTCATTTCCCAAACCTCAATCACATGTTATTTCCTCTATTTCTCCAAAGATGCAGTTCAACCTCTGAGCCTTCATAGTCAACTGCTGTTCATATGCTTAACATAAATGCTAACTAGAGCAGAAAGTAGATGACCAAAATGCTTTAAGGAAATAGTAGATTATATCAATGTACTAGTCCACACTGGCAACTCATTTGCTTCCTGAGTCAATCCAAGGGGTTGATTTTAATCTATTATGCTCCTACAGCTTAAATTATATTTATTTTATCATGATCCTCAACAACAAGAAATATGTAGCGATTGATTGCCTTTTTTCCTGAGCAGTAATGTGGCAAGTTAGACCTGCCAAAAGCTTTCATTTCCATATTTTCCTCTCTTCTGACACAAAAGATCCTTCACCCATTTTCCTTGGATCCATCTTCCACAAGTGTATATGGCTGCCAAGAAGTTAGGCACTCAGGGAATTACAGCTATGCTTTTCAGCCACTGAGGAGCTACTTTGCGAGTTCATTAAGTTTTTTCAGTGGCTATTGGTAGCACTTTGAGGGAATCTATTAATCAATGGGAATTTGATAAGATCATTCTATCAGCAAAAGGATACAATATGATAGACTAATATGAGTCCCTCAATTAGTGTAATAACTGTTACTTATTACACTGGTTTTATAAATGCTGTCTCATGTATATGATTGTATGTCTACCACCATTTTATTACAGGAGTCATTGCAAACTCAGATGTGTCTGGGGGCCAGGTAGGTAATGTAATGAGTGAAGTTGGAGGGATTTGTTTCATAATAGCATCATAATTCTTGTTTTTCCAACAACGATATACTTTGCATATCAGAGTAATACTCTTCCTGATTCACTTCTGGCTTTCTAATTTTGATAGGGCCTTGATACAAGAAATATTTCACTTTCCTCTTAACTCTAAAAAAGATGTGTGAGCATACTGATAAATAGCAACTGACACCCAGCCAGGTGTAGTATGGCAACACAGAATGTTAGACTCAGGTACTCTGGTGAGAAATCTTTTGGCTACCTTGAGGGAATCTTGGCTCAGTGCTGCCAAGACCATCTTGTTTTTCTAGAGAAGCCAAAAATCTGGAACATAAAACTTGTTATTTAGTTAGTTAGTTCATTCTCTTAAGGGAAGGACATCCACAAATTGAGGTCTTCACGTATTGTTTTTTATGAAGTCTACAGAGAGACCTATTTTTTTCCTATCCCACCTCCAAACCGCATGATAAGCAAAGTTTAGCAAATGCCTTCCAAAGTCTGCATTTCTTTGGGTCTTGTCAATCTGTTTTTTATTGACAGGTTTATTTTCATGAGTTTTAAGAAGTCAGAATATCTGATGACCACATCATTTTACACATCCCAATATGTGATGGGTTGCTACCAACCTATTTCCCTTCATCTACCCACTCCCAAATCCCAACCCCAGGAATATTTCATCTCTGAAATCTGAAACTCAGAGACTCATTGTCTAGCCAGAAACTCTGCCCTTTCATCAGTCCCATTCTCTTACTTCCCCCAAACCCACCTGCCAGTCTTAGCAAGACCTGTACTTTCTCCACCCCTTCCCAATCCCTTAGTCTATCAGCACCCTTTTTATCCTTTTTCCCCCGACCTAGCCTGGGCCTCATGACCAAGACCTTCAATTAAACCACATTCTCACTAGCATCCTAGATCCCTCACATTCTTGTCCTTCTGCTGTGCCCACCTTGACAATATACAGCTTTTCATAAATCTAACTATGGCTTTCTCCGTGCATGCCCCCAGGTGCCACTCTGCTGTGGGAAAAAAATCATATAGCTAGGCTGTGTTACATGTGTATGATTTCCGTCTTCAGCAGAGCCTCTGGTATATTGAGCAATATTTTACCGTTTGCTAATTGCCATAAATCTTTATTCTCCAAACTGTTACTCTTCAAATCCCAACTAACCCACTAGTTCTCAATATCAGCAGTTGTCCTAGGATTCTACTTCACAAAATGCACCAAAAAATAAACTGCTTTAACTTTTTTTCCATTCCACTTATTGTTACTTCACCTACCACCCCTGCTGTCTAAGGGTAACCCTGAATCAGAAACCATCTATGTATATTTTCTATGCTTATTGGACTCTTCTGCTGTGATGTGATTGATCTTTTGATACCAAGGTGTTTTGTTACCCTCTAGTTGGCAGAAGCTGGAATGGGGTCTTCCCTGAGTGAGTGGCCAATCCCAACTTCAATCATACAAGGGCAGGAAGGAGTCAGGGATTTGGAAGACAGCCTTAGACCACTTTCTCTTGGGTCTGGTGCCTTGAGTCTTCATGGGTGCTCCAAGGGAGTGAGGAGAAGACTAGGGCCTCCAGGAGCCAGAAGGGGAAGAAGTTGCCTTCATCAGAAACCCCATGAGGCTGAGCCTGTGGGCTCCGAGGATAGGGACTTTGTGTTTAAATGTGCTTTTTATGGTCTAATTCCCCAAAGTTGTTAATAAAGAGGGGTTAGTATTAATAACTCCTCTCAGCTGTACCATCATGGATAAAGTGATGGCCTCTGAAAGACAGAGCTACTCCTTCTCTCACCCCCACAGCCAGTGTGATGGCTGTGGCAGCCATGAGTGAGATTCCAGGGGAAAGTAAGTCCCTGAGTTAAAGAGGCAAGCGGTAATCGGAGTAGACCAACCCCTCAGGGAGCTTCTCTTTCCTTTGTAAACCTTGAAGCACTGAGGCAGTTCTTCCAGTTCTTCTACCTTGCTTTGTCACATCTCTTGGTCCATTCTCTATGCATTTTGCTTTCTTCCACATATAAATACATTCTAGACATCCCTTCCTAAAAATTTTTCCTCAACTCTCTTTCCTTCTCAAGCTACACCTTCTCACTCTCCTTGCTCCTCACACTGAAATTTCTGTGTAAAAAAAAAAAAAAAAAAAAAAATTCTTTTCTCTCTGATGTTCATTGTTCTTTTTGTTACCAGCCTATTGTAACTGGCTTCCATCCCCTTCTATGGAAACTGTCCTCCCAAAGATCATGGTTAAAATCCTGTATCAACAAACTCAATGGCTACTTTTTAGTCTTTACCTGTCTTGGCGTTTGTGGAACATTTAGTATTGCTAACTCTCCTTTTATTGTTGAAACTCTCACTTTCCCTGATGAGATTCTTGGCCTGACTGTGCCCCAGGAATCTTAAACTCAACATACCTTCATTTTAATTCCTTGAATCTGTCCTTTATACATCTGTTTTGTTTTGCTATCCATGCTGTAGACTAACTGAATGAAGAACTCAGCATCAACTTCCACTCCCAAGGCCTCCTGTTCCAGTTAACTGTCGAGGCATTGTAAATCAACTGAGAAGTACCTTTCAAACCCATTCCCACCAGAATGGCCTGCTTTACTGTCTCATTGCACTATTGTCTATTGGACTTCTGCAATAGCCTCCCAACCCTGCCTGCCTCTACTCCCTCCCAACTTCAATCTATTTCTCAAACCATCAAAGCATTGTCCTGGAGGATCACTACTCAATCCCAAAGTCTCCAACAGTTCACTTTAAAACAAATTTGATTCCCTTTGGGAGATGCACAAGTTCCATCATAACCTGGCCCAATCTTCCTTTCTAGCATTGTCTCCTACCTAGATATGTTCCATAAATGCTAGTCATGTCAATCTACTTCCCTGAAAAGGCCATGCAGTCTCACCCTCAGTGTGTTTGCTTATGGTGTTTGCTAGGTTTAGAATTCCTGTTTCCCTCTCTGCATTGGAAGAACTTAGAGGCATTCTTCAAGAAAACACAAATGCTTCCTCCTTTGATAAGATGTTTCTGACTCCGGAAAATTAATTGCTCCTCTAGGCTCTTAAAGCACTTAGTACATACCTCGACAATGGCCCTCATTATAATATATTGCAATTATTTATGTATGAGTCTTTTTCCCCACATGAGCTTGAGATCAACAGAGCATAACTTACAAATCTTTTCTCCATACTAAATGAGCTCATCAGAGTTTGACACTACATAGGATTAATCCTCAAACTGTCTGCACCAGCCCAGGACCTGACATATCATATATCTTCCATACATTTGTTGATTTTAATTAATAAGGCTGTTTTAAAATCCATCTTTGCCCTTCATATGCTTATAAAACCCTTTCTTATTTCATTATTTCATAAGGCCTCTTTCCTTGGTTCGACTGAATATGTTTTATTCTGTGCCTTCCAACTTTTCTTCCTATTTTTCCTTAGTAACTAATACAAATAAGTTCATCATGTTGCTAGCATTTATAAATTATATATGTATTGTGTGAAAAGGACTGTATTTGATGCTGTGGGGGGAAGGTGACTGGGAGTTTGGGGTAGGAAAATGGAGGCTTATTTTTCATTATGTATGCATTACAGTTCCAATTTTTAAAGTAGTTAAAAATAATAAAGGGAGCAGTCCCAGCCCTGCTATGGTTAATAAAAATTGTGACCTATCTCTGAGACGTAAGATTAACAAAACCTTACCAGACCAAAAACATCACCCCTTCAGCTTGGCACACTGCCTGACTCCTTTCTTAATTAGTTGGAAATTCTAACCATCAACAATACACAACACAAGAGAGGACACAATCTCCAGAATGTTGCTGTTAAAATGTACAAATTACCTGGAAAAAGGAAGCTTCCCTAGACAGCTCCCACTTACGCTCATTAGCAAAAAATGAGCTAAATGTCACCCTGTTCTTTTTGGCAGAGACATATGGCATTCACATGAGAGAGAAAAGACAGATTAATCTTGTTACCCAGAAGGTGGCAGGACAAGTTTCGGGGGGGGCTCCCTCCCATCCCCTACTCCAAAAAACCTTAGAGGGCGGCTTGGGCAAGTGAGGAGAGGTTGTGAGCCACATTGTGGTTTTATAATCTGGCTCGATGTCTGCCCTGAGACAGAGAAACACCTAAGAGAAGGGTTGGGAGGGCAATGAGACTTGAGAGAACCTAGGCCTTGGAGGAAGTGATGGAGCTGGCTTGCTGGACAGGGGTCAGAAGGTCATTCCAGGGAAGATGGGCAGCCCAAGCGAAGACACATCCAAGTTCCTCTTCTACTCACTAGTCCCTATGCAAATGCTTCTTGCACTATTAAACTTTAGTTAAGACACGATGAAGAAGAGGCCTTAAATGTTCTTTTAAAATCATATGACCATGTAAATAGAGGATCTTGAACTCAACTGGGACAAGGACAAGAACTAGAGGAAGTGGATAAGCTGTAGCCACAGGGATTTTGGGTGCCACAGAAAGGAAATTGTCCCTGCTCTGACATTAGGCACTGATATGCATTACCAGCAAGGCCTTGGAATTTCCTTTTCACAAGAACCTTAAGAAGGTAGACAGTTATCTACAGGGATGGTATGAGCAGTTCCAGCCTGAAGGCAAAGGTCATAATGAATGACTCCCTTTGACCTGCTGATTCTGGGTATTTAATCACAGATTTTTAAAAACTTTTTTGAAGTCAAATTAGATGTTAGAATTTTTTTCTCAGTTTTCTTTGTCTTCATTTTCATGGAATTACTATTTGGTGTGGTGTAATGAAATGTTTCAGCCCTCTTCCAAACACGTATTTCTCACGGGGGGGTTCAATTGCCTATTTACTGTTTTGAAATGGAATACCTTTGTAATCATATATTCCCGCAGTTTGAGTTCACATGTTTCATCTAGCTGGTCCATTTTTCTGCCTTTTAAATTAGGTTCACTAGTTTATTTTTATCATTGAGCCAAAGATCTCAGGATGTTCTCTGCTTGGGGTAGATTTTCCACTTGAAGAATTATAAAATGACCCTCTTCCTAACATGGTAACTTCTTTGATGCTGTACACTTGCTGTGTTTGTAACAGTTAGGGGAAATTAAAGTGTCTGGTAGAGTACAATATTAATGCTATTAGAGTACATGGAGAAATTTTAAATCTCCCTCAATCTCTATTTCTGATGATGGATTCCTTGGGGTTTTAACTCTATGTTGTATTCAAAATAGTGTTTGGTTTTTTTTTTTTAATCGTCATATTCTCCAGTGTCAAACTCAGCATTATTGCTTCCACAAATACTTTGTACATTGAACCATCTCTATGTTATTTTATTCATCTGTTCCTCTAAGAAGACCTTGTTAATCTACAGTGACATTTCAGCCATAAAAATGAGTTCAACCATCTCTGTTCTGTCTCTCTTTTCCTTTTAAACACTCAGCTTAAATCTTAAGTCTTTCATAAGCTCTCTTCTCTGCAGTGGTGAGTAAACATTTCATTCCAGCAGTCTACTGTTCTCATTCTTACTTGTAGGGAAATTCAAACCTTCTGTCTAATTTTGGGTATTAGGAAGCAGCCTGGCTGTGTAACTTAGCCCCCAGACCCAAGATACTCTAGCTGAGAGTATGGATCAGAACCCTTGCCAGTTGGTCATTGCTTGGCATAAGACAAATCCTTTAAACCTTAGCCATTTCATTTTCCTTCTTGGTCACGCAGGGATAAAAATGGTGACCTGTTTCCTGACCTGCCTCCTGATCTGCCTGCCAGGGTGGATGCAGACCAACATTTGCAAACCTTAACGGACAATATGAATGCTGATTGGAAAGAGAGCAATTGGAGCTCACAAATAATTTCCCCAAAGGTCAATTAGACCCACAAGATATCTCTGGCATACAGAGGAAGTATCGGCCTCATCTATATTTAATGTAATTCCCTTCTCCCTGGTCCCATTAAAGAAGAGTTTGGGGTGCAATAAATAGTTCATGATAAAAATGTCCATGCACCCACTTTCCAGAACCCCAGCCAGTGACCCCCTTATTTCCATTTTGAATATAATAAAATGTCTGTTCAATAACAGAATATGGATATTTGTTGGAACATACAAACTACATTCTCTTTGCAGTGCTATTGGCAACTGATTCCTATGTATTATGTTGACTTGGGGATTGTTTATATACCCACTCACCCCTCAGCACACAGCATGTTATAAAAACGTCTTACTTTTAAATACAAGCTGATAATTCTGAAGAGAAAGAAACGTAAAACATCGAGAATACAAAACCTAAATCATAATCTCATCAACAAAGAGCCAGGGTAGCACAGCAACCAGAGACTGTAATGGGGAAAACCATTTCTGAATCCAGAAAGGTGGGCAAGTAATAGGTCTCATGGGTTGGGAATAAGATTATTCATAAGTATCAAAATTAAAGAAAGTGTCAGGAGAATTAGGGCTTTCCTTGTGTGGCTGGCTTGGGAGCCCTACTTGTTTCTGGCATGTGTGGAATAGGGAGCAGAGACGAAATAACAAAAACTTATTTTGTTTCCCTGTGTGAGTCAATTTACAGTAATTCCAGCCCTCAGGATGGGACACGCGGGCATCATGAGCTAAGCAGAGTATCAGAGATGTAGCTTCACATCCCTGAACGCAGGCCCTTCAGAGGGAGTACACAGGGACTCTGGGGTGGGCCTGCTTTGAGATTTAGGTTTCACAGACTTATTTCATCAAGATTCTCTTTCCAGGATTTGGAGGTGGGATTCCTGTGAGTATAATTTAAGCCTTCAGCAGCAGCTATACTAAAAAAGAGAAGGTCAGTTTGAAGATAGAAAAGTGAAGCAACAGATATCGGGTCTATCAGTGATAACAAAGAACGCTCATCTTCTTCTGAGCCAGATTGTCTCCCTCAGTGAGCGAGAGGGAAGGAGGAATGCCGTGCTGAGAAGAGAAAGAGGAGCAGGTTGAACATATTTATTCCCATTGTACAGATGAGGCACTGAGGCACAATTAAAGTTATATCACTTGCTCAGGGCCAAGTATGGCTCCGAAGTCCATTAACTTTACCACTGTGGAATACTGAGGAGAAAAAAATGCCAGGACACCCTCCTGGAAAGTGCAGCCCAAAAGGAATGGTAGCTATGTGAACACCTCTACATCTCTATTATCTTCAGCAGATTGGGACCCAGTTCAGTCGTCCTGGTTAGCTATTCCTTTGCTAGGGGCACCTGGGCTTGGAGAATTCCACTCCATGAATCCCTTGCTTTCTGCTTCCCTTCCTGAGGTCACTGTACAAAAAGACAAAAAAACACATCAGAGTGTTCAAGTAGTACCACCATCTTGGGGAAGCCTTGAGGGTTGACCATGTACCACAGTGGAGAATCAGTGAACATTCAATATGCACCAGGCACGATTTCAAGAGCTTCTCATGCTTTACCTCACTTAGCCCTGACAGAAACTCTGATAAACAGCTAATTTTATTTTCTCCATTTTACAGATAGGCAGGCTAAGGAGGCACAGAAAGGTGAAGTGACTTGCCCAAGATCTAACCACAGTGAAGACAAGCTAAGGCAGAGAGGAGTATGGGAGAAAAGGTCGTAAGCCTTAAATGCAGTGCACAGGAGCAAACCCAGTCCTCTGTGTTACGAGGCTGAGGGGGATGAGGATTCTTGGCTGTGGGAGAGAGGTTGGGGCAGAGCTGACTTTTGTTCCTGCTGCTGCTCCAGGCAAAAGCCTTAGTGGAGCCTGAGGTGAGTCTCATCGGCTTAACACCTGACCTCAGGCTCCCCTGGAAGAACAGTAGTACTCCCTTATTTTCAGGGGATATGTTCTAAGTCCCCAGTGGATGCCTTAGCTGCAGATAGTACTGAAACCTATATATAACACATTTTTTTTTCTATCTTATAACTGAGAAGGCTACTAAGTGACTAATGGGAAGGTAGCATATACAGTGTGAATATGCTTGACAAAGGGATGATTCATGTCTCCGGTGGGATGGATGGAGGGGGATGTTGAGAGATTTAATCAAGCTATTCAGAATGTTGTGCAATTTAAAACCTATGAATTGTTTCTTTCTGAAATTTTCAGTTTGATATTTTTGGATGGCAGTTGACCATGGATAACTGAAACTGAGGAAAGCAAAACTTCAGATAAGGGGGGACTACTGTAACAAAGGAACACTTGACATGAAGCGAAGGAGACACAAGAAGAGAACTTTTAGCAGCGATTTCACCCTGGGGATGAGGAAATGTGAAGAGCTCACCAGGGAACTTTCTCAAAGCTGCCTGGCTAGAAGAGGATTGCGTTTTAGATGATACAATGACTTATCTAGAAAACCCAACAAATCCTCCCCAATCAGCCTGTGGTAAAAATGAGTTCAGCATAGTCACAGAACATACCAGCTACGTAGTTTGCAGGAGCCCTTTGAAAAATGAAAATTCAGGGCCTCTTGTTCAGAAATTATTAAGAATTTCAAGAAGGTAACAATAGAGCATTAAACCGAGTTCTGAGAGCAGGACCCTGTGTGACCACAAGGGTCACCCTTGAAGCCAGTCCTTGTTCAAGGCATGTCTAGGAGAAGCTGGCCAAGTATAAAAAGAAACTCATAGAATTATAATTACAGCTCTCAGTACTAAAGCTTTAATGGCAGAATCTGTGCTCAAATAAGAGAGAAACTATAGCAGACAAATATTAGGAATAAAGTAGAAAAATAGACTTATGGAAACTATGGAATCATAGGGCAAGGGATTGTAAAGCTTCTTTCTACTTATACAAATTAATCATATACTGGGAGAGAAAAAATGCACTAGAGCTAATGCAAAAAACAATAGCATGAAACCTATGAAACCATATTCTCATATGACAACATAACAGGATAATTATACTTAAATAGGAAAAATGGAATTCCACAGAAACAAATCTACACGGAAATAAAAATTAAATATTTCACATTAATTTATGTAAAGCTATAGTAACAACAAATTTAAATAGCCTGAGATGCTAGCAGAAATGTACTAAAAAGGAAATTTATCTCTTAGATATACATTAATAAGAAAGAATAAAAACATCTTTAATTAATTCTGTATTAAATAATTCTAAAATGGAATAATGTAATGAATCAAAACAGAGTAGGAATATAAAAATACAACAGACATTTTAAATATAAAGGAGGAACAGTAGGAATAAGCCAACAAAACAAGAGTTTGCATGTTGACAAAATGGACAAAATTGATAAACTATTGACCCAATGAAAAAGAAATTACAAGTTCGTGAAATCAGGGAAAAGACAATTAAAACAGCGTAGATTTTATTAAGTGTTAAAGAGCATTGTTCTTAGCTGTAAGTGTATAGCTAGTTGAGCAATCATGTTCATATGATTTCTCACAAACATGTAATGAAAACATATGCAATTAAAAAACATGATCAATTCCTGATACATAGATAGGAAAGGTTAGATATTATGACCCTGATGCAGTAACTGGAGAATTTTTCTAAGCTTTTAAAGAATAAATAGTGTTTTATGCTGCTTAAATTGCTCTCCAAAAACATTTTTAAGGTGTTATATTTCCTTAGGGAACAATATTTCTAAAATAAATTTGTTGAGCCTCAAGCTTGTCAGGGCTAGGCAATCTCATTAATGAAACAAAGGTGCAAAACCTTAAGCAAGATTTCAGCAAATGAAATGTAATAGGTTAAAAAATTGTCCAGTGTGGAAAAAGCAGGATTTACTCCAAGTATATTAGAGTAAAATATTTAATAAAATTAATCACAAAAAATAAGCAAAATAAATACAGCAAAATAAATAAGGATTACTGCCTTAATAGAGCATAAATGCGTTAAATGTAAAAGTCAACTATAAATACTAGCATAATGTACTTAAAAAGGAAACAATGATATGTAAATACAATGAATAAAATTTTATTATAAATTATGTTTTAGCAAGTTAATGCAGCTATATCTAAAAACTAGAAATAAACAACAAGCCACAAAAGTATTAAGGAATTCAGAAAAAAATCAGACGGTTTAACAGAGTCACAAAATTCAATGCCATTTTTTTTTTTAATTTTTAGTGACAGGATCTCACTCTGTTGCCCAGGCTGGAGTGCAGCGGTGTGATCATAGCTCACTGCTGCTTCAAACACCTGGGCTCAAGCGATCCTCCCACCTCAGCCTCCCAAGTAGCTGGGAGTACAGGTGTATACCACCATGACTGGCTAATTTAAAAAAAAAAACACATTTTTGTAGAGATAGAGTCTTGCTATGCTGCCCAGGCTAGTCTTGAACTCCTGGTCTCAAGTGATCCACTTGCCTTGGCCTCCCAAATTGCTGGATTGCAAGTGGGAGCCACCACACCCAACCTCAATGGTATTTCTTTATACTAATGACATACCAGTAGAAAATACAGAGTTTTCATTAAAACTATGAAAAAAGTTAACGAAATCAATTCAGAATAGATTGACTAAAAAAAATATGTAAAACCCAGATGAAAAAATGAAGGAATATATAATAAATAAGCAGAAATCAGGCATTTGGAAAGCCTAAAATTAGAAAAGATGACAAAGAAAACACCTGAATTTTAAAGAATGCAATACTGATATTGCTATAATGGTATAGTGTGGGATACTGTTACATACTATATATTAAGTGATAGTATCCTGTACTATTACAGTATGTACATACTAACAGTAATGTACTATTACGCCAAATACTGTTACATAAATTAAATGTTTCAAAGTAGTTTTACATTAACCATGTTTGAATGGATTTAAAGTCTCATTTTTTATAAAGATGCTTCTGTTTATGAAGAAAGAAAAGGAAATGCTATGCTATATTGCAACATGACCACAACAGTTACCAAATTTTGGTTATACAGTGCAATTGCACCACAGGTTTCACTTAGGAAAATTCAGCTGTACTTACTCTCATCTCTATTTGATGTAATTTTAAATGCTGCCAAATTGTGTTTTGTCTTTCTCACCTAGGAGTCCAGGAGAAATTAAGTCCGAATTCACTAAGACATCCATTCCTAGTATGTAATGTATTAATATTAACTTATTTCCTTGAGATCTAGGATTGTGTTAGCTATCACATTTTTTTTTTCTCAATGTTGGGAGAATTGAGAAAACAGTCACCACAATCATTTTCTGTGTTCTGTGGTTCAGAAGAAGATTCCTAGTAAATTTGCTAAAAATTGACTCATGCACATAGAATGGGTGAATTTTAGGTTGTATAAATTATACCTCAATGAAGTTGCTTTTAAAAAAAATTATTTAGCTATTAAAAGAGCAAGTGGTTTCCTCTGAAAGAAAACCAGACACCAAGACTGTAGAACAGTGTTGTCCAACAGAACTTTCTGCAGTGTTGGAAATGATCTGTATCTGCATTCTTTAATATTGTAGACACTGGTTGGTGTGGCTTATCACCCTGTGAAATCTGCCTAGCTACTGTAACTGAGGAGCTGAATTTATTTTATTTAATTTTAATTAAATTTAACTAGCCACATGTGGCTAGTGGCTAGCATATCAGATAGTGCAGCCACAGAGAATTTTAGGGTCGCACCTAAGGAGACTCATCAAGGGGTGTGAGTTGACCTCCTAGAAATTTTTTCAGGAAAACATTGGCTAACTGGAGTCCTAGAGACACTGACTTCACCAAAGTCAAATTCTCTACCTTACACTTCCTCAGAAGCCATAATTCCAGCTCAACTCATTCCCACCTTCACTAATCCCTCATCAAGAGCCCACGATGGAGAGTCTACACACTAACAGCTGCTTTATATTTCAGTTTGAGAAACACTCCCTTCACAGATGGGGAAACTATGATCCAGAAACCTTAATAACTGGGCTGTTTTATTCCTTAGACACCACAGATGCAATGTCCAAACCCTGGGGGTTCCGCAAAGACTATAGAAAATGTTTCAGACCTTAAACAAATAAATAAATAAATAAATAAATAAATAAATAAATAAAATATTGGTTCAAAAATATAAAAAGGGAAAAACAAAATCAATGAAAATTTTTATTGCAGATTTGTTAGAAACCCACTTACTTTTCAATAGAAGTGAAGTTATAATCACTGACTGGGAGTGTGGTTAATATAGTTAATATGATGATGGGTGAGTTCCCACCATTAGTGTCTAGGGCATTTGAAGGTTTCAAAGGCCATAAGGGGCCTCCAAGCTTGTTGTTATTCCTTTTAGAACACTGTCCACATTTTATTTACATTTTAATACTAACTTTAACCTTAAATTCATATGTTCATTCATCTATTTTTTTTTGTATTGGTTTTACTTAAACTTGAATGCATGAAAAACAAAGACTGTAAACAAATATTTAATATATGTGCAACTTATAACACAAAAGAGCTGCTTTTATCAGAAACCCAACTCCCTTCCACCATTTGTTTTATAAATACGGATGTCAAAACTATTCTGAGCATATTTTTAATTCTACCAGTAGCCAGCACCTGCATCTCTTCAAAGATTAACACATTCGGGAGGAGTATTCATCACACCTGCTATTTTTAAAATAATTTAAACTGCAGCTCTTTCACTAAGCAAGGGAAGATAAAAACAAGAAGTCCATTTTTCTTGAGACTAGTTTTTTGGAAATGATTATTATCTGACACTTCTCGCCATACTTATGTTTTCTAAGCCTGAACATCTTGGATATTCTAGTTTATGCTTAAATGATGCCTTGCTAAGAAGAAAAATTTGTGCTTCATTTACCTCCCTTTGTCTGAAAACATAATGGGTGTATGTATACTAAACAAATTCTTATGACTGTCCAGCTCATTGTTACCGCTGTGATTCGTTTACTTCATGGGTAAGTGGTTTGCATCATGACATTTAATCACACCATTAACAAGAGTAGAAGATATGTTGATTTAAGCAAGTTTGAGATACACCAAAATTAATCATTCTATATTTGTGTTTCTGGTGGCTATGAAAAACTGTATTTTCTCTGGATGTCATTATATTTCTTAGCTCTTAAAGTCCAACTTTAATACTACATAAATTTGGCCATTTTGCCAACATTAGAACACTCCATGCATCCACCATTCCTCTAGAATTATTTTTCTGATTTATATTTTGTTACAAATGCAATTACTAGAGGAGCTTCAGACTACTGGGGTCCACATTCTACTTTATGTCTGTATTTTCTGTTCAGAATTTATCAGTGGAGACTTCTGGGCTTGTTGATAGAGCTAGTTCTATGATTCTATTTCCACATCAAATGTTCCTCTTGCTGCATTATTTTATCACTTATACAGATTTTTACTTATATTTCAAAAAGCACATTCAGTGCTGAATATGTACTACGTGCTTTTCTAAGTACTAGACATATATTAACTTACATAATCCTGACAACAACCTTGTAAATTAGACACTGTTATCATCTTCATTTTGCAGACGAGAAAATTGAGGCACAGAGAGGTTACATAACTTGTCTAAGATCACACAATTAGGAGCAGAGCCAAGACTGGAGCAAGGCTTTAGTGCATGACCACTTCACCATCGTGCTATGCTGTTCCCCACAACTTAGTGTATAGGGTCCCACTAATCTGGTTCAGATTCCCAGTGTGACTCCAGATCTGAGGTCATGCCGAGGTGTAAGAGCATCCACAGGGGAGAAACCTGGAGAGGGCAGAGGCACCTATAAGGTTCTAGAGCCGGCATATCAGCAGACTGGTGGGTCCATGGGCTGTAAGGGATTCCCTGGATGATAAGCAATTCCAGTGCACTGTGAAGTGACTCTCTCCAGCCTTGGATCAACAGCTGCCAGTGAGCCAGAGCTCAGTGCCCTTTGTCATCTCACTAACAAACCAGCGGTAGCCCCAGTTACATCCTTGTGGTAAACCTCAAACAATTATGCCTTTGCCCTCTAGTGTTATTTTTCTCCTTCTAAATATTGCCACATTTGGAGACAGGATAAAGATTGTCAGAAGAGGGGAAGACACATGAGCATCTGAATAATTCTGCTTACATCAATGAACGGCCAGGGCACCATCCACCCCTGGAGGCTTTCCCTGGAAGATTAATGATCCTCCAAAATCAAACGGAAACAAACCAAGGCCAAAGAGCAGTAAATCAAGCCCCAAATCATCACATACTCTGAAAGTTTAGCCTTGAATCTTACATCAAACAGTATTCAGCATTTTGAAAAACATAAGAACACTGGAGGTGGGGAGGTGGGGGGGTTGTCAGTACCACATCATGAAAAGGGTTTTATTCACATCAAACTCGAATAAAATGGAAATGTCCACTGTGAAGAAGTTGAATGAAGAAATATGTATCAAAGCTGTTGATAGCCAAAGATCCCTCATTTTGTGTTTTACGAAATTCTGTCAAAAATTGAACGAATTCTCATTCACACAGTCATTCTCTGAGAATGATTCCCCAGGAAACTGACTCTGAGATGGAGATTAATGTGTAGGAGGTTTATTAGGAGTGTTCTTGGATAAAGAACTGTAAAAAGGAAGAAAAACCAGCAGGATTGGGCAGAAGGAGAGGTTGGGCTCTCCTTGGGGAGTTCAGGAGCTGGATGGCCCTTCAGAGTTGTCCCAAGTTGGAGCAGGCAATGGTGCCAGGTTTTATACCCCTCCGTTGGCCAATTATTAGATATGGTTTGCCCTGGAAAGATAGCCTGACCTGGGGGAGGTGACTCTTTCCAACCAAGATCAACTCTAAATAGGGCTGAGGGCCATCTGCTGATAGTGCTCTCAACAGCAGAAGGAATAGGTCCTTCAGTTCTACGACAGCCCTGTCCCGCTTCAGCTTTCACAGGCTATGTATTTGTAGGGAAAACATTTTGTTTTTAACATAACTCTAAAGGGATAGGTCTTTGTGTTATTTAGCTCCTCCCAATAACAAAATGGCATGATGAAGTTATAGATTAAAATCTAGTCCCCACTATGCAATTTAGGATATGCCTCTTAACTCTAACACGAAAACCCTTGTTCTGTTTCAGCACCTTAAAAGTAAGGTTTCCCTAAAAAGATTGTGTTCATTCTTGCCATTGCTGTTTGCAAGCCAGGATCACTGTACTAAAGCCTGGCTGTGTCAAATGGGAAAATGAAGTCCATTTGTAAGCTGTAAGAGTGAAAAGGGAAAAAAATAGATGATTTGTTTTCTTTTCCAATTCCAATGCTGGAACCACAGTTGATGCCCAGTAATAAGTGGTTAACTAGGAATTAAAATAGCATGGCCCTACTGGCTTAAAATATGGAATCTCAAAGTGGGTCTTTGAAAAAATTCCTTGACTCATTCATAAGAAGAGCCAAAAATGCTATATTTTATGGGGGAAATATGAGGATGAGGATAAATAATATACAGAGGAATGGATTTAGAGACTTTTAAAACCCATTAGCATGTACAAATTATAAGACACAAAATTCGTTCCTATCATGGGCCTCATGAATAGTTTTCCTTGACCTTTTCATGATGATGGATTTTTTAAAATCCACCAAAAAAGTTGAAATGTCAACAAACTAATATATTTTTATGCATATTCTGACTTTGAATGAGTCAGCCTAACCTTGTTTCCTACTTGCTAAAGAATATTGTTGACCTATTGTATTCTAAGGTTATTGTAACTCTCGGCCCCTAGTAGTCATTTCTCTGCCCAGAAAAAAATTAGATCAAATAATTGTTCACTTAATTAGAACATATCAAGAAAACTCAGTGCTAAATTCAGAGGATAACAGTAACTTAGTTGTTCAAATTATCTTCAGGTTTTTTCAAAGAATCCAGAGGAATCTGAGGATGAAGCAGTCACTCAGCGCTTTACTGAAAAAACTGGATGATGTCTCTTCAGCAGTAAAACATTAATAAAGTCCAAAGCACAGAATTACTCATTCCCCACTTCTGACTCATGCACATTTTCAGAAATAATCCTTCTTTAAATGTTGCTGCAATGGGAAATGTGAAGAGCAAAGTTGTTTTGGCACAGCCTCACTTTTGTTTTATTGAGTTATGAACCATGTTTAGTTTCGCACTTACGATATTGTGCATTCCAGATGATATATTTGCACACATAACATTACTATATACATTAGAAAGAGACCTGCTATGGCAGCTCCTATGATTTAAAAAGTCTCTATACAGCTATTCAAAGAAAACGTTTTAAAGTGATCTATTACCTTTCCCCAGGAAAATAGTTAATGTCATCAGAGTAACGTAAATTTCATATAATATGTATTGTAATACCCTTTGATTTGAGAGCATGTAATGGCAGTTATACGTAAGGAAAAGCTGATGAGAAGTAAATGTTTACATAGAGTTGATTTTACTTCTGGAAACGAAAAGGGAAAATGGATATCTAAATGTCAGTGATTTCAGGACATAAGTTCCTAGTAAAGGAGAGAAAACCGTCTCTGTCAGTTCAGCTCAAGGTATCCATTTCTGGAAAACATTTCTAAACCACTGTGGAATCTGAGGATGAAGCGGTAACAATGCTTTACTGAGGTCTGCCATGATTGCTCCGTGCTCTGAAGTTCAATGGAAACTTAATGTCAGTTCACTCACTAAGGCCTCAACTATATCCTGCCTTGTTTTTTTAAGCAGGGACTTTGGAGTCAGTCAGGGATCAGCTTGATTCTCATCTTGGTCTTCATCAATAAAATGGACGTCAATCAGATCTTCCTCAAGGGACTGTTATAAGGATTAATTAGCTAATGTATGCGAAGTATTTATTACAGGGTCAGGCACACGTTAAGAGGTCTAAAACCAATAGCTATTATTACTATTTGACAGTTATCTGTGTTATATATATTAGAAAATATTTAGGGGTGAAATGCCATGATGTCTGCAACCTACTTTCAAATGTTTTCAGGAAAAATGTATATCAACAGACATAGAGGGCACAAAATATTAACAACTGCTGTGACTAACAATTAGGCAACTGCATTTAGTGCAATTAGATGAAGAGTATATAGATGTTCACTGTACCTTTTTTTCAAATTTCCCATAAGTTTAAAATATTTTTAAATACAGAGGTGAGAAGAAAATGTAAATCAGATAGTACCTTTCTGTGCTTAAGTATTTGAAATAGATTACTTTGTGCACATTCCCATTTTCAGCCCTATTCTGACCATTTAAGCACATGGGCACACCACACTTCATGATGCACATAAAAGCTCATTGTCATAGTTTTGTCACAGATGAATGGTCCCCAGTCAGTCTTTCCATTTTATTGATAATTTTCTGCTCTCACCCGACCAGCTCTCCAATCTTTGACTCCATCCCCCAGCCCTTAAAATCTGCTTCTGGCTGGGCGCGGTGGCTTATGCCTGTAATCCCAGCACTTTGGGAGGCTAAGGCAGGTGGATCACGAGGTCAGGAGATCGAGACCATCCTGGCTAACACAGTGAAACTCTGTCTCTACTAAAAAATACAAAAAAATTAGCTGGGTGTGGTGGTGGGCACCTGTAGTCCCAGCTACTCGGAAGGCTGAGGCAGGAGAATGGTGTGAACCCAGGAGGCAGAGCTTGCAGTGAGCCAAGATCGCACCACTGCACTCCAGCCTGGGCAACAGAGCAAGACTCCATCTCAAAAAAAAAAAAAATCTGCTTCTGACCTGTTTTCAGTTTTTATGACCCACTTACTTTCTCTTTCTGGCTTACCATTTCATGCTTTTGTTAATTCCTTGATTTTTTTTTAACTCAAAAATGCAATCAGTTGGCCAGGTGCCGTGGCTCACGC
Organism: Homo sapiens; assembly: GCF_000001405.40. NCBI lineage: Eukaryota > Metazoa > Chordata > Mammalia > Primates > Hominidae > Homo > Homo sapiens. The sequence goes on along the minus strand of NC_000003.12, from coordinate 16,862,968 downwards.
CTGTAATCCCAGCACTTTGGGAGGCCGAGGTGGGCAGATCATGAGGTCAGGAGATCAAGACCATCCTGGCTAACATGGTGAAACCCCATCTCTACTAAAAATACAAAAAATCAGCCGGGCGTGGTGGCAGGTGCCTGTAGTCCCAGCTACTCGGGAGGCTGCGGCAGGAGAATGGTGTGAACCCAGGAGGCAGAGCTTGCAGTGAGCCGAGATCGCACCACTGCACTCCAGCCTGGGCTATAGAGTGAGACTGCATCTCAAAAAAAAAAAAAATGCAATCAATTATACATATTTGTGGTAGAACATAAAATTCAGACTTCACTGAAGTGGGGGGAGAGAACAAGTAAAAGAAAACTAACTTCCTTTTAACTTCACAGCCCCACTTATTAAAACAACCACTTTTAATCACCTAGTTTATTCTCTCAGATAGTTTTCTATCCATATTCAAAGATATAGGTTTATTTCTGTTTTTTTTTTAATTGTATTATATAATATTTTTTCTTATCTTATTACATCGGTTTGGACCTCCATAACAATGCAAATTAGCAAAAATAGCAAATATCTTCATTCTTGATTCTACCTTTAAAATTATATTCTAAGACTTAAATTATACTTCTTTTGGTAGTCTTTGCCAAAATAAACTCTCATTAATGGGGCTACCCTAGCTTCTCAATAGATAAGAGAAATCGACCAATTAGAATTTAATTCCTGAAAGGCAGGAACTGTTTCTCATACTTTGTATCTCCTTTTGGACTTAGCCATGCATGTGTGCCATTTGTACTTGTTGAGTGAAAGGACCAAATAAAATAAGTAGATTAATTTTACTACAGATTAGTTTTAGTATACTAGAAACGCATCATGATTATTCTACCAACATTACTGTTGGAGGCTGACAATTGAAATTGAACAGCTTCTAGACAAACATATCTCAAGCAGTTTTGTAATTTTAGGCCTGCTGTGACTAACAATTAGGCAACTGCATACAATAATTTGCCTAAATAAGGATGCCAAATGGAAAGCTGGAAAGCTTGCTCTCTAAGTGTTTAACATCTCTTGTAAAATCTAATAAAACCGACCGTGAACTGCCCATTTCTGGGGCTTGAATTGAGGAGAGAGGAATATTGGCAGACTGATGAAAGTAGTATATACTAAGAATAAGCCAGAATGCATTCATAATAATATCTACCCCCTGCAAAATTAGGAAAAGAGTGGGTTGACCAAATGAGCATAATATTCAGTCTGTCAAACAATGGATATCTGATCTTCATCAAGAGAACACCGAACACACAGTCATTAAATCCCCTCTATTTTGCAATAGGAGGATGACTGGATGAGGCTATGAACTTTTATTCCCTTTAATCAGTCAACTCTCAAATATATCTACAGATGAGTTCTCACTACCTCGTAACAGGTCTCTAGTTTTCATCAGATTGAATTTTAATCTGGCCTCTGAGCTAAGAGTGCATACAGTTTCATAGTTGAAGGTCAGAGTTTATATCAACCCATCACCTTATTAAAAACTAATTATTAGGGCCAATGCTGGATCAGAATAAATATTCCTCAGTCAATGACTCAATTAATTAATTGATCTATTAATTTATTCATAAAAAATGTTTAATGCCTATTATATACCAGATCCTATGCTACCGGTGACAATAAAGTAAATTAGAGTCCTTTCTATCAAGAACTTTATAATCTCCACGTTCTCTCATGAGAAATTAACAAATTATATTTCAATGTAATTTGTGGTTTAGTTCATATTATTTATAGCAACTGTCACGATTAAAAGATATCAAGCAGCAAGTCTCTATACAGCTACTCATAGAAAAGCTTTGATACTAATATATTACTTTTCAGTAATCTATTACTTTAACAGATTTGTCTGTTAAAATCCATTTTATCTAACCATGACAACACAAGTCAGCCTTTCTAAAGGGCTTCTATCATATGCAGTTTGTTTTTCTGTCCTCCCAAAGGATAAATACTGAAAATTATTAAGAAGAATGCACTTAACGATATAACCTAACTAACCAGTAACCTCTTAGCTAATGATAGTACACACCACTCAGTGATTTATATGATGTTTAATGTAAAATTTAATGTAAAAGTAAAATTTTCTAGAAAAGTAAAGACCCCAGATTACTATGAATGATATCTGTTAACATATAATCCCAGCAAATTAACGGAGGCTTTCTTCAAATTTTAGAATCAGTTGAAGATCTATATACACATTATTACCATAGTCTTCCCTGACAAATACTGTACTCTCATGCTGAGAACCAAGCATTACACAATAATATCTAAGACATCAAAAAGATTGAAAGTCACTAGACTCAAGAAAATTCAGATTTCATGCTTATATAATATCTTCATGGAGTTCTTCCAGAACAAAACTCCATCACCATACTCAAGGCAGTTTCACTGATTCATTAACTACACTTTTTTTAGTAGCCCAGTAAACCTGACGCTCATTGACAAAGCTGAAGTTTTTCAAAGCTAACATAGCCCTAGGATGCAATCAATAGAGTGTAACAGGGCTTAAATTATAGCTAGACAGTATTTAATCAAATTATGTCAACATATGCCAGCTTGTTTGTAGACTACTGTATCCAGCTCTGCACGAAAGTAAGCCAAATCCTTTCTTTTTTCCCTTACAGCATGCACTTTAGAATGTAAATTTACGCTTGTAATGTGTAATTAGAAGACTGTATCATCTTGTGGACTTAGATAAGAAAGTAAAATCCTTACTTCTCTGACATTATCAGTACTTCCTTACATTTTATAAAGCATATATTTCCTTGACTTTATCCAATGAACTTCTAATTATGTTGTTCCATGATTAATTATGATTCCATGATAGCCATGATTCCATGGCTAGTATAGAAGTTACAATTTTTACTTGCTGTTTTTATGATTTTCCCCCTGATGATTCTTTTGTGACTTTTTAAATGATGTCTGCCAACATGTAAAAAGGGGGAATTTATAAGGAAAATGTTATGGAGCCTGATTGATCGTTTCTTGCCACTAAGCATGCAATCCAAGTAGTTGGCACTCAGTGAAAGAGAGAAACTTTTAATGGGAGTCCAGATCCTAAAATTATACCATGAGATCATAAAGTTAAACTACTCAGTGCATATTTACAAAAAAGTTGGGAGATAAATGTAAAAAAAGTTAGTTCTATTTTTAAAAAAAACTTTATTAAATACAACCAAGGGGTTCTATTGTGGAGTGTCTGAATACAATACTTTGCTTGTTAGATTCAACTAGTTGAAACCCCTTCGCTCTCCCAAATACCCAAAATGCTTTACTAGCTGCCCTCTGGTCTCCCCTTTATTTTCCTGGCAAACATTTCTCTCTCCTCTCTCTCTCGATGATAGGTAGATAGATAGATAGATAGATAGATAGATAGATAGATAGATAGATAGATATAGATATATCATATCTATAGATAAATATATAAAATCAGATATATTTTATAGATATATAAAATCAGTGTGTATATATGTATGGAATATATAATAATATATAATTATATATGATACATAATTATAAGTTTGTATAATATATTAGGTATATTATGTTATATAATAGCATTTATGTGTGCATGTACATTCATATATATGTATATGCATACAAAGAGAGAGATTTCAAGGAATTGGCTTATGCAGTTGTGGAATCTGACAAGCTTGAAATCTGTAGGGCAGGCCAACAGCCTGGATTTCTTCTTCTTCAGAGAAACCTCAGCTTTGCTCTTAAGATTGGATGAGGACCACCCAGATTATCAAAAAATTTTTCCTTTACTTAAAGTCAACTGATTGTGCGTTTACAAAATACCTTCAGAGCAACAATTAGATTAGGTGGGCACTACCGGGAACTACAGTCTAGCCAGGTTGACACATAAAATTACCCATTTCACCCACCAATTATTGAGATTTCTCTCAAAGGTCACCAATGGTGTCCTTGCTGCTAAATGCAGAGCTCCTTTATTGGAGATTATTCTCTGTTGCACCTGATAGGGTTCACTATCTCTCCCTTAAAAATACTCCCTCACCATCACCAGAATCCTATTTTTTTTCCAAGTTTAAATTTAGTCCTTTCGAAGAAACATTATATTACTTGATAGCAATTTTAATGCTATGGGATTTTATAACATGTTAATTATTTTTAAAGTGACAATATGTGGATGCGATGTATGCTAAATTCATATTAACCAGGGTCTCGGTGAGCTGAAAAATCTAGGTCCAAGCCCTGAATTCGGTAGATGAGGAAATAACCAGCCACAGCGCTTCACTTTCCCATCATTGGTAATAATAATCTTCAGTAAAAGATAGGACTTCCAAATATTAGTACAATAAATGGCATTTTACACATAAGGAAAGGAATGAAAAAGGGTGATAGAATTGAAAAAAAGAAAGGCTGTTTCAGACAAGGATCTTAACCTGTTAATCGATCATTATTATATCTTGATTCAAAACCTAAGTTATTCAGCAAAAGGCACTGAGATAATTGGATATCCACATGAAAAACAGTGACGTTGGACTCTCACATTATTTATGCCATATACAAAATTTCACCTAAAATGGATCGAAGATCTACATGTAAAAGCAAAACTATAAAACTAATGGAATAAAACAGAAGTAAATCTTTGTGATATTAAATAATGTTTCCTTACGTATAACACCAAAAGCATAAATGACAATAGAAAATATAGATAAATTGGACATTATCAAAATTTAAAACTTTTGTGTTTCAAAGGACATCATCAAAAAAGTAAAAAGATAATCCAAGGAATAAGAGAAAATATTTCCAAATCATATATCTTATAAGGGACTTGTATCCAGAATATATAAAGAGCTCTTATAACTCAACAATAAAAAGACAAATTACCCAATTTAAAAATGGGAAAAGGATTTGAATAGACATTTTTCCAAAGAAGACATATGAAATGGCAAAAGACACTCAGTATTATTGCTCAGTGGGGAAATGCAAATTAAAACTACTTCAGCCCCACAAGGATAATTAAAATTAAAAAGACAATAACAAATGATGAAGATGTGAAGAAATTGGAACCCTCATGCATTGCTGATGGGATTGTAAGATGTTACAGCTGCTTTGGAAAACAGTTTCATAGTTTCTCAAAATAAACATAATTATCATATGACCTGATAATTCACTTCTAGGTATGTATCTGGAAAGTTGAAAACATATGTCCACACAAAACTTAATACATAGATGTTCATGGCAGCATTATTTATAACAGCCAAAAAGTAGAAACAGCCCAGATGTCCAACTAAGGAATGGATAAACAAAACGTAGTATAACCATACAGTGGAGTATTATTCAGAGCATAAAAAAGGATGAAGTACTGATGGATACTACAACATGGATGAACTTTGAAAACATTATGCTAAGTGAAAGAAGCCAGTTACAAAGGGTCATGTATTGTATGCTTCTAAATCTATGAATGGTCCAGAATAGAAACATTGATAGAGATAGGAAGTAGATTAATGGTTTCAAGGGCTGTTGGGAAAGGGAAATGGGGAGTGACTGCTAATAGGTGTGGGCTTTCTTTTTAGGGTTATGAAAAGGTTCTGAAATTAGATAGTGCTGATGATTATACAACTATGTAAATATACTAAAAACCACTGAAAAGTTCATTCTAAAAGGGGGAATTTTATAGATGTGAATTATGTCTCAATAAAGCTGTTATTAAAAGACAACCTAAGTCAGTGCATTTTGCTATCATTTTTGTTCTTGTGGTGATTGTGTCTTTTCAATTATTAGATTTGCATATAAAACTACAGTTGATACTCTTGGAAAACCACTGAAGTTTGTCAAATTAAAATACAAAGCACATAACCACAATACTTTCTTTTAAGAGACAAATGATTGATTCTGGGTTTTTAAAGTAAGAAAATGAGTTTTCCATTTGACAATGAATAGTGTTAGAATGTAGTGCTATTATTTAAATGGAATTACAACATGTGAAATTTCAACCTTAATTTAACTTGAATATTTTCTTTTCTCTGCATCCTGTACTCAAAAAGAAATGACTACCTGATACCAGATAGAACATCAGAAGATTCTGTATGTTAGAGAGGAAACTTATTTCGTTGAAATGAGCATAAGTTTAAAGCAATTGCATTGCCCTGCAGGATTTTAATTCTACAAGATTATCTCAGTGTTTCTTAATCTATCTTTCATTATCACCTCCTAAGAAATCTTTTTAGACTTTTTTTCTAATCATCTCTCTTCTCCATGAAATATTAATACTACTGATATACTGCATATCTGTTTTTATACTCTATGTACAGTATATCTATACTTTATCCATGAAAAAAAGAAAGATCTTTTTACTCAAAACCAATTTTTTAATTCCTTTTAGTTGATATTGTCCCTGCTAAAAATGCATGATCTACCTTTAAAATTAGTGTGTGTATTTGAGTGGACATATTTTATTTTTCTTACAGTAAACAGAATTCTTTCAGCAACTGAAATTCAACAGTTACAAATTTAAGTAGATAAAATTTAATTTTGATAAATTTAATTTAATAATAATTAGGAAAAACAATATTTAAATAATTTTTAGAAATTCTAAGTATAGATAAAATATTAGGCAGCTTTCAAAATTATTTTTCTGAACATATTCATTAACATTGAAATCTGCTTATAATGAGAAAAAAGCAATGTGCAAAACTATATCAAAAATACTTTATGAATTTTCTAAAAATGCATATATATATGAGTACAAATGGCTACAAAAATACTCATTAAAATGTTAATAATGGTTATCTCTCAGTGCGAAGATGCTAGGCAATTTTCAATTTCAACTTTATACATGTCTATAGTTTCCTAGTTTTCTAAAATGAGTGTGCATCACCATTATAGTTAGGGAAAAATGTTTACCAACAAAATATTTATTGAAATTAATTAATATCAGGGGAAAATATAATGATACATATTTCATAATACATGAAGTAAGGTATTATATAGCCTTTTGGGGAAAGGTTTTGTTTTTGTTTATATGCCATAAAGAAAGTACTCTATGTCCAGCCCATGCTCTTGCCAATATTTTTGATACATTTTCAGCAAAAGTATTAATCCTTAACAAATGACAAGTTGACTATGACCTAGGCTTGCAGCAGTTATCCTCTATAGAATCATTTCTCATGTATTTCAAAGTTACAGAGGAATCACTCAGGAAGCAAATGTTTGCTGATGAGTTTTTAAAGAGAGTGGATCCACTCAAAGTCATTATGCACTTTATTTCAACAAAGCCTATTTAAGTAATGACTCAGATTTGAATATAGCAACTTTTGGGGCTACTGAAGGAAAGATGCTTAAAATACCGTTTGAATACACAATTTGCAGAGTGCTCTTATTTGATGCTCACAACAATCCTGTGTGTCACTAACAGCACTCTTATTATTTATGATGAGTACACACTAGGCAAGTAAAAGAACTGGAACTCCAATCCAAGTCTTGGGCTCTAACTCCAAGTTTCAGGTTCTTTCTTTAGATCATTCTTCCTTGCTGAATGAAATTAGTGAGTACTTTAAACATAAAGCAACTGAAGCAATGAACCACGATTTACAACCTCATCAAGTAGGGCTTACTATAGAGCAGGATTTAAATGTACCCCAACTGTCTCCTACACCCTGTGGTCCCCTTAAGCCCAACAGAAAGGGCCAGTTGGTGGTTCAGAGAGAAGTCTTCAGGTCCATGAGGAAGGCTCCATCCTGACTACTGCCACCGGTGTGCTAGGTTCTGCCTCAAAGCATGAGAGGTCCTCTCTTCTAGTACTCTCAGGACTTGAAGGAGGGGTAGGCTGAGGTGATGGGTGAGGGGATGGGACTATGGAGTTTTAAGAGGCCGCTGTCCGACTGGGCCCAGGGAGCATGTGCCTATTGTACAGTCTCCCTGTGGAAGCATAGAGGAGCATCAGAAAATGAGGAGCTTGGTAGGAAATGTCCTGCAATGCACACTGCTTGACTGTTCTCATCTAGATCAGTTCTAGTCATCACCCCAGGCCTGAATACATTCAAGATTTTAAGATTGAAAAAAATGTAAAAATATACTAGTGCTTAAATATACCAGTGCTTAACTAAACCTATCATGCCACACATATACAATCAATTGATTTTTGACAAAAGTGCCAATATAATTCAACGGAAAAGGATAAGGATAGTCTTTTAAACAAATGATGCTGGAACAACTAGATATCTATATGAAAGGAACTGAATCTCAACCCTTATCTCACACTATCCACTAAGATTAACTCAAAATGGATCATAGTCCTAAATGTAAAAGCTAAAACTATAAAACATCTAGAAGAACTCTAAGAAAATATCTTTGCCATTTGGGGTAGGCAAAGATTTCTTAAGAAGTAAGAAGTTTTAGCCATAAAAGAAAAAATAGATAATTATATTCCATCAAAATTAGGAAGCTTCTGCTTCTCAAAAGTCACCATTAAGAAAATGCAATGATAAACCAGTTGCTGAGGGAAAGCATTAGCAATACACATATCTCACCCTGGCCTTGTATCCAGAATATAAAAAGAACTCTTACAATCCATTAATAAGAAACAAACCAATGAGCAAAAGACTGGAACAGCCATTTCAAAAATAAGTTATACAAATGCTAAAGAGTTCAAAAATAAAAGACACTCAACATTAATGAAAATTGCAACCACAATGAGAAACCATTTAACACTTACTAGAATTGGTAAAAATTAAAATGACTGACACCACCAACTGTTGACGAGGGTGTGGAGAAATGAACACTGGTACATTACCAGTGGGTATGTAAAGTGGTACAACCACTTTGGAAAGTAATTTGGTAACTTCTTCTAAAGGTAGATATTTATCTACTGTATGACTCAGCTACTTCTAGATGATATAAAACTTATATCTACTAAAAGTAATATACATGGATGTATATAGCAGTTTTATCCAGAATAGCCTCACACTGGAAGCAACACAAATGTTCACCACAGTTGAGTAATAAACAAATTGTGGTACCTTCATGTAATGAAATACTACTCAGTAATAAAAAGGAGCAAAGTACCAACACCACAACAACACGATGACTCTCAGAACCATTATGCTGAATGACAAAAAGGAGTATACACTATAATATGATTCCATTTATGAAAAGTTCTAAAACCTGCAAAACTTAACTATAATGACAGAAATCAGAACAGCGGTTGCCTGTGGTGGGGAGGGGGAGTAGGAGTGGAAGTTGTGCTTGAGTGCAAAGAGGCAGAATGAAACTATACTGTGTGACAGAAATATTCAACATCAGGATAGTGCAGAATATACACAAGGGTATACATTTATTAAAGCTCATCCTATGGTATACCTTTAATCTGCGCATTTTGTTGTAAGTAAATTGTGCCTCAATAAGTTGATTAATAACAAATTTAAAGAATTCGTAAGTGCTTTCTAAAAAGAAAACCTGCATTACTCTATAAGTCAAAAGCAACAAGAATATTCCTTCCATAAAAGCAACTGATTAAAGTGAGTGAACTTTTTTTGGCCTGGGCACAAATCAGGGTGCAGGAATTCACCCAGTTAAGATCACTTGGGTTTAAATCATGTCCATCCTTGTGAGACTATGGGATCTTATTCTATGTGTGTATCAGTTTCTTAAACAGAGGATAGCCAATTATGGGTAAAAGATAGTTTGCGGGCAGTTTTACTGATATGGAGATAGGCTACAAATTTTAAGCTCTCAATTTATGACTGAAAATAATTTGATATCAAGGTCTGTGTTTTGTCTAGATGATCATAGTAGATACTCAACAACTCTCATTGAATGAATGAATAGCTGAATAAATGATAAGCAGATAATCATCCTTCTCTCAGTATAAATATTTCATTAGATATGCACCAAAAATTATGTGTGATCTCAATATTTTTGTTAAATACTGTATGTAAACATATAATAAAAATAAAATTTAAAAATCATTTTCGGGAGATTAGAAGGTAATATATATGACTTAAGAAGAAAAAAAGAAAAGGCAGCTTGTAAAAGAATACTTTCTCTCCTTTTTAAGTAACTGAAATTTAAATTTCAATAGTCATATGTGGTGATTAGATACTGTACAGGACAGTGCAACAGTCTAGCCCCTCATTACTCAAAGCGTGATCTCTGGACCTGTAGCATCAGCATCACCTGAGAGCTTGTTAGAAATGTGGGGTGTCAGGGCTCACCCCAGAACTGCTGAGTTAGAAGCTGTATTTAACGAGGTCCCAGGTGACTTGTGTGCACATTAAAACGTTCATAGCATTTGTCTATATCTAGAGGGATACAGGCCAAAAGGATATTGAAGTGAGGCATGAAACGGGGGGCTATGTATGTGTGTGTGGTGGGGGAGTGGTGATGTAGTGAGAAGAGGATTTTTTTGAGCTTTTCCTTTACATGTCTGTATTGTTTGACTTTGATTCAACAAATATATATAACTTTTACAATTTACAAAACAGAAAAAATTTAAAATGATGGCGAAATTACTATACAGGTGTATGTTATTAAAATGTTTAGTGAAAAGGAACATATCAAGTAAACCAGAAGTAAAATATAAACTTGTGGTCAAGGAGGAAAATTTCTTGAAGGTAGGGTTGGTTACTCTCCACTTATCTCTCCTAGTTCCAGGCCATGCCTGCCATATTTTACAAAAAATTAACTGATTGCATGTCTCAACATTCTGTTGCCTGCCATAACTGCATCCAAGAGTGTTAATAAAACTCACCTTCTCTGAGCCAACAACCCACCCATTGCAGTTAATTTGTATCCAGAAAATGGAGATTGCCTACGGGTTTAACTGAAGTCCATATTCTGTATAAACTCTGAGTATTAGGATGTTTTTCAGCTACAAAACATATTTTCTTTCCAGGGGTGCTAATACACAAGAAAAAAAATTCAGGGAAAAGTAATTTAAAAATTCAAGATATTTTTGTTTGGGACAGAAGTTGAGAGAAAGAAATATTAAAACTTTATCAACATGACCCTCTTAAAAGTTCTCATCAAAAACATTACTAATTATACCAAATAATAAAGAAATTTCCTCAGTTGTAAATTATATCCTAGTTGCCTTCAAACTTTTCTTGACTGATTGAAATAATTTTACACACACATAACTGAAACAAGTTTGCCCTGACCCTAAGTTGCACACAAATATTTTCTATTTTATTGTCTTTTATTCTTTATATTCTTTTCTATTTCTTTCTTTTTTTTTTTTTCTTGAGACAGAGTCTCATTCTGCCACCCAGGCTGGAGTGCAGTGGTGCCATCTCGACTCACTGCAACTTCCACCTCCTAGGTTCAAGTGATTCTCCTGCCTCAGCCTCCCGAGTAACTGGGATTACAGGTGCACACCACCACACCCGGCTAATGTTTGTATTTTAATAGAGACAGGGTTTTACCATGTTGGCCAGGCTGGTCTTGAACTCCTGACCTCAGGTGATCCGCCCACCTCAGCCTTCCAAAGTGCTGGGATTACAGGCGGGAGCCACCGCACCCAGCTTACTATTGTATTCTATTTCAATGTTTTGAAAATGCTTCAAAACTGATTTCATCACCTGTTAATAGGTCAAGACCTACAGTTCACAAAAACACTTTTAAGGCAAGAGAGAAGGGAGGAAGATTGATTAATTGATTCATTCAGGGAAGAGAAAAGAAATGTAAGATACCCCAAAGAGAAGAAAAAAGAATGGAAAATGTCAGAAGTGGGAGAAAGGATGAGAGGAAGAGGAATTCCATTTCCTATGATCTGTCTTACCCGGGCCAATGCCTGCTAATTGTAATAAGCACTACCCTCTCCCCAAAAGACCTATCCAAATCCCTATGCTCTGGGCCTTCACCTCTTCTCAACATTCCTTATTCTCTTATTCTGCCATCTATTTCTCTTCAGTCATCTGAAGGCATGGTTTTTGCTCTAAGATCACTAAGTCCTTATGGAACCTAACTGGCTTCTTCCGTCTTGGTTCTTGTTTATTCTTCTGCCGATGGTTCCATTTGTTCTCTTTCCTTGCATGCCTAACTTCTAAAAATCTAACTCTGATTTCTTCTTCTCTCTTTCTCCTATTTGTGCCTCTCCCCTCTAACTGCCCATTGTAAGATCAGTGTAAACCACAAGCTTGAGTTCAAAAATTCAATGATACAAGCACTATAGAGGGTGAGCTGCTCAAGTGAAAAACTACAAGGGCATAGTGACTCAAACTTTGAGAGCTCCCAGCCCCTGGAGAAAATCTCTGAAGACCACCAAGATGGCTTGGCTTCCATTTTAAGGCACACTGACCTGGGAGTTCTGCTGTCTGTGGTTTTGAAAAGAGCTGATATCATCCTGTGAAACAACAGTGGATGCACGTAGTATCAAGAGAAAAGACAAACGATTGGAGAAGATTCTACGAACGACCTCATATGGACGAAGAAGGTTGTGAGGACACAGTGGGTAGAATGGAAGAGGAGTATCCCAGGAGGAAGCCTAGTCAGCAGGCTGGATCAATCCAGCCCTGAGAAAATTACCTACAGCAACAGGAAGGAAGAAAGGAGAGAAGACACGTTTCCAAAGAACCTCAAGATAGTGTCTTGGTATCCCTAGCCTGGACCAGGTTTTAGAAATCTTGCAAAGGCATAGGGATCCTGTTAAATCTGTTCTGAAGGTAGCACTGACCCATTCTTAATAGCTCTTACAAACTCAGAGCAGGCAGATAAAAATTAATTTACTCAAAAGGGGGAAAGCATAGGAGGGTTTTTGGGGATGTGGAACTGGAGCCTGGTTCACATTCAGCCAGGAACAGCTTGCCAGCCTTGGCTGTTAGTCCATTTTTTTTCATCCCGAGACAGGAAATTACATAAGGCCTAAAACACGCACCCCAACAACGCTATGACTGACTGCAGCTGTTCTGATAGAATTCCTGTATCCAGGCTCATTACATTAGGATTTGTGTGTTGCCAACACATGTTTCTTGAGCACCTACTCTATGCAAGATGTTATGTTCTGCTTTATGTGTGGACAGGGGTCAAGTAGAGGATATGCTGGACCTGAGCTGACATAGAAATGTGGTTTCCTTTTACCTCTTGCCAAGTTCCCCAAGCACTCTCTATGCCTAGGTCAATTCTCTTATCTCCTCCTCAGACCCTAGCAGAACTCTTTATACCCAACCCTACCTACACCCTAGAAATAAAGGGCTGTCCTGATCTCTTTTTCCTGAGCTCTGCTACCTCTTGGCTTGATCTTGGGCTTAAAGGCTGTTAACATGATGCATTTTCTTGACAGAGAGAGAGAGAGAAAAGGAAAAGAAAGGAAAAAAAAAAAAAAACATGATAAAACATGAAGAAAGACACAGAACTTTCTTATTTCCCAAAGTGGGAAACTTCTTTTTTTAATGCCTGGCAGAGGAAGTATGGTTGCAAATGTTACCCGGCACTAAACCAGATTAATTTTCCATTCAGGAAGAAACGTAAGCAACTTGGGCTAACGGAGGCAAATTGCAGGGCCCTATTATTTAGCACGTTTGAAATGAAAGCCAATACTGCTATTGAATTGCTGGCGGAGGAGCTTTCTCTTCCTCTTGCTAACGCCCGCCCACAGGTTTCCTAGCAACCAAATTACATTGCGGAGAACACTCCCCAGCAATAACTGACCCTGAATTTTAATTTTTGTGCTGATGCATAAGTGGGATAAATAAATAAACAAATGCAATCACCCTGAAAGAGTATTGATCTTGACTCATCAGGAGCACGCGTAGATTATAGTACGGCAAATAGAGCAATGCAAAAAATTGGTAAAACCTCTATTTTGGAAGATTTTCTTTAAAAAATATAAAAAATTTAGGTAGTCTTGTTGAAAAAATTAATAAAATGGTGGTATGAAGATAAGAATGGAAAGTAAACTTAACCCCCAAATCCTAAATTCTATAATAATATGAAGAATAAAATGGTAATTTTTATCATCCCTTAATTGAAATAGCTTTTCAAAAATGACACTAATTGCGATGCGCATAAATGGCTCTTGGACAGCCACATAGAAGCCCTAGCATTACCCTTCCTGCTCACATGTAGTAGAAATAATAATTTACATGCAAGGTAGAAAAAAAAAGGGCAGGTTGAGCTTGAGGTTTCACATCGACATGCAGTTGCTGCTTTGTGTTTTGAATATATCAGTTTGAATCAAAGGTGTTATCAGTAAACCCTTGCAGTTCCTATTGTCATTTATTCACAACTTTTGAAAATATGCCCTCATGTAGTTATTTAAGTTTTCTAATTCACCTTGGACTAGCAATGATTATTTTTACCATTCTGAAAATCATCTTTCTAGTCTGTTCTGAAGATGAAAGGAAAATGCAGTATAGTATACATCTTTTCATTTAATATGCAGTAATGTTTTTGCATAGAAACTGAAACTCTTACCTAGAAACATTCTTTTAGGTACTTACTAAAACAAATAGAGCTAGGGCTTAGGGTTCAAGTCCTGGCTTCCCGCACTTATCAGCTGTGGGACCCACTTAGTGTCTAGTCTTATTTCCACATCAGTAAAAGGAGATAGCATTAGCAATCATCTCATTGGGCAGTTCTGGGGTCTAAGTGAGATCACCCAGCACAACGCTGCTGTAAAGTAAGTCCTCAATTTCAGCCATTATTGAAAGCACAGTAAACTACACTATGCACTACAGTGCATAGCGTTGAGTGTTATGTTATGAGTGTTATGTTATGAGTGTTATGGGTAGTGTTATGAGTGTGGTGGAGGCTGTGACATGCTGCTCTGATCCCACTTCAGGAATGAAGGGACTATTCTCCCAGATGATGGGACTGCTGCCCCAAATGGACATCAGCTGTGAACTCTCTTTGGAGACTGCCTCACCCAAGAGCATGTGTTCTTCTGGGGCAGCCTGAAACCAAAGAGAAGTCCATCAGGAGGTATAAAGGTCTGGCCCCTTTGCCCCAGTCTAGGACAGCTGAGAGGGCCACCCCAATTCCAGAGTTCCCCCATGGGGTTGGGTAAGGCCTACATCACAGCTCAGCCTCTCCCTCCGTCTAACCCTGCTTCTTCTCTTCCTTTTGGCAGATGTTGATTTCAAGGGTGGTCCCTCATAAGCATCCTCCTTGCCAGTCTGCATCTCAGAGTCTGTCTCCTGGGGAACCAATCTGCAACAATGAGCCATCACAAATACATGTAAGAGGAATTTTAGTGATCATGGTATAATTGTATGTGAAAAAAGGAGGACACCAAATTCAATACGTGGGATAATCTCAACTGGGACAAATTATATTGATGTGAATGTGTGTGACTGAAAAACCAAAAAGTACACCAAGATTAAGCGTTCCTTTTGGGTAGGAGGATTCGAGATTATTTTTATTTTCTTTATACTTTTCTGTGCTTTCCAAGTTTACTACAAGCAACAAAGTACTTTTTCTATGTGTGGGGCTACATCTCCCAAGGGCTGAGCCCCATTCTCTACTTTACTTCCCTGAAGTAATTCAGCTTTTAGATACACATGAAGCAGAATGGGTCAATCTAGAATACTCCTCACCACCATAACTAGTCAGCCAACTCTCAAGTTTCCAATGGCTGGGAACTGTGTAGTTCTTAAGCTTTAGCTAAGGAAGCCTTTCTTCAGACAAAAGTTTACTTAATATGTAAGGCATCTAAAATCAGGACTTGAGAGAAGCCAAGATTGGGAATAGGTGGGGGAAGGAGAGAAAAGATGAAGCCTCTGCCCCATGGCCAAGTCTCTGAGAGGTCGCTCTGAAAACCCTGAAAGAGAATTAAGATTTTTTTAAATGCCACAGAGCCCTCACCTTCAATTTTGATAATGTGATTTGAAGGGCGAGACATAAACCCTGACTTCAGTCTAGTTGGAAAATCAGCAGTAAGAAATAAGAGACAATTAGAGAGTAGTAAATTTTTGTCACTGTAAATAAGTGCAGTAGGAATCCAGAAAAAAGTGACAAGCTTACCGGCTGGAATAATTTTAAAAGGCATCTTGAAAGAAGTGGGTCTTCACTCTATAGAAGGATAAGTGAAATGCAGCAAAGCGGAAAGCAAAAGAGAAGTCATCCGGGGTGAGGGCTGTGGCCAAAGCCAGAAGGGAAGTGGGTATTGGATCTTTCGGTACATGAAATAGTGCACTTCTTCCTTATTGAAGATAGGGATGGACTTGGAAAATGAGAAAGTAAGGTTGAGTCTACATGGTGGATAAGGCTTTTGGAGAGAAACAAAGCAGTGGAGCACAGACCTCCTGTTTAGGCAAAAGGGGGCCCCTGAGAGTTCTCGACAAGCTGAAGATAGTCTATGAAATAGCTTTGTCTGACCTCAATATATAAGGTAAGGGAGAATTAGTTGGAAGGCACCCAGGGAAGAAGCTGTGGCCCTTCTCACAGTGCCATGGCCCAACCTGGGGTAGGTTCTGGCAGAAGTTGACATTGAACTTGAGGGCAATGACCCTGTTTTTCTGATGCTTATGAAAACCAGCCACATCACATACAAACACTGCAAACTTTCTTCCTGGAAAGTTTTCTTTATTACTGTTATGTTTCTTATCCTGTGGTGCTCTACTGACAGCTGTCCCACTCCAAAAGAGTAACAAAAGCAGGAAGAAGTGAGGGGAGAGCCAGACACCTGAGTGAGCAGTTATCTCTGGAGCCCCCTCCCTGCCTTCTGCAACACTGAGCAAACAAGATGTTTAACAATTCTGCCTGGAGTGATCTGGAAGAACCCCAGAACGTCCCTCATTTTATGGCATCCAACAGATGAGTAAGTAGGGAGATAATAGCTATGAAATTATATGTGGATCTTTCGATCCCGTGCAGAAGTCAGTTCATTAGATTAGAATCAACCAACATTTACTGATGGCTCACCACGTGCTAGTTTGGCATGCATCTCGTGTAATCCTCAGCACTCTATGAGGTAGGTATTTTTACCCCCATTTTTCAGAAAACTGACATTTCGTACACATTCATCTCTATTTACCAAAATAATGGAACATTTAATCAGAATTTTTATTTTAAAATGAGTAATTCCTTCCCTTTACCTCAGTATATTTAAAAGATAAGTTTAGACAATAGGGCTTGACTATAGTTAATTGTAGAACAGCTGTTCAATAACTGGGCACTTTTTCCATGCATGGCACTAAACTACACGCTCTGGGGCAGAAAGCAAAGCCTGGCAAACATAATCACCGGCCCCAAATTGCTTACCCTGGAGTTAGGTAGACACCAAATGCACACAACAACATTAGATAACAGTCTAAGAAGGTATAACAGGACTCAGTGAAATTGCATTGAGGAGCGACCTGTCAAGTTCCAAACCAACAGGTATTTCTTGAACCCCAAACATCCAAAATAAGTAAGCCATTTTGGCTACATTTCTGCCAGTTATCTTTCCCATCAGTCAAAACCTTTTGAATTTTCCTTTTTATTGCTTCCCTTTTCATTTCCCCTTCCATTGACCTTGGTCAGGTGTTTCTCACCTCTTGCCTGGATTTTTTCTACAACCTCTGGGCTGGTATCCCAGCAAAGATGGCTGGTTCTTCCAGTCCAGTTCTTTAGCCCTGCCAGACTCACCTTGGCGAAATACTACCTGCTTGATGGCACTCCTGTGCTCCCAATCCTTCTGTGGCTCCCACCATGTGTAGGATGATGTCTAGATTGGCATTCAAGTTCTATTAATATTTTTAATTCATCTGGAGTTACCTATTCTCTGTTTCCCCAGCATGCTGTACCCATTACTGTCTCCTTGACTCAGTCCCACTTGTACCTCCTATCATGTCAAAGTCAGGCATCGCCTCCTGTATTGAACTCACTCCAGTCTCAGTATTTCATCAGCTTTTCCTCACATACCTCCTTGGACTATGTTCTATGCACTTAGTATCTATCCAACTCACCAGCAAGCAGTTTAGGGCCAGTGATTGCCTCTGACAGACTCTGCTTTCTTCCCCAGAGCCCTTTGTTTAGTTTACATAGAGTGAGTGCCTGGTTATTTAATAGCTATTGAACAAAACTCTGTAGAGTCAAACTTTATTGTCTAAAGGTAACACAAACTTGCCCTTTACATTTCCTAATTTTTGTATTTGATTCTGCAACATCCTTATTGCATGAGTTCTGGGATTTTGCCATCTCTGGGTAACTCAATTATAATCTGCAACTCTTAAAGTCTACAACTTGCACTCTGTCAGTAATGTCCAATGGAATGTCCTATATTTCTACCTGTGCTGTCCAGTTTAGTGACACCTGGCCACATGTGGCCATTGGGCACTTGAATTGTGTCTAGCGCAACTGAATTTTTAATTTTATTTAATTTTCATTAATTTAAATAGCCACATGTGGCTAGTGACAATTGTACTGGACAGTGCAGGTCTAAGTATTTATGAATAAAAAAAGAAAAGAAGATAAGACAGTATCAGCCCCAGAGCTTTTCAATAGCCACTCTAAACTGTAAATAATTCACAAAAGTATTGAGCTGCGAAGTCACAAGTTTCCATGGCCTTCTCACCCATACGACATACAGTTTCAGCTAGGTGTATATCTACTGGCTGCCTGTTGACAAACATTCCTATTTTTATTACCTCATCTAGAATTCCAAAAGCCCAGCTCAGGTGATTACACAGGGAGACAGAATAAAATTCTCCCACACAGCACTCCCTAATAACTACAGGTGATCTCATGAAACCAGCTCATACTTGAGGGTCCCATTTGAAGAACCCTGCCAAGACCTCTATTTTTATCTTTATGTATGTGATTTCCTATTTTAGCTTCAAATAAGTATTTTACGAAAAATAATACAATTACCGGCCATAATGTGTGTTAATGAAGGGCAGGCATAGCAAAGATTCATCAGTTCACCCATAATCCCTACCTCAGACAAACATTCCCGTCCTCACCAAGGTATCCCAGTTAATATGTGGACAGGTTGGCTAATGTCAAACTCAGCCCTTAACAAAAATAAGAGATAACAATTATTGAATGTTTATAATTCTTAGAAGCAATCAATATGTATTATGCTATTTATTGCATTCAACAATCCTTTGAGGCAGCTATTACTATCAATCCCATTTTACAGATGAGGAATTGAGGCACAAAGGGGTTATAGGATGTGCCCAGGTTAATGAAGCTAGCACTTGCAGAGCCAGGATTTGCACCCAGGCATTGTAACTCCACTGCTTGTACTCTTAATCACTCTACTATTTTCTTACTGAACCCCACCTGAGGTATTTATACTAATTCATCCATTCATTTTAAACTCAGTATGTAATGAGCACTAGCTTCTCATGTGTATCAGGCACTGTGCTAGCTATGGTGTGAACAAGCAATGGGTTCCCTTGTACAGCTATAGCCTAGGACCCTAAGAACTCAATCACATTGGCTGATCATCACCACTGGGTTTGCTCCGAGGATCTTATCATCTACATGAGAGGGAAAGATCACTAAGGAAAAAAGACCATTAGGCACCATTAAGGACACACGTCAGGTGAGTGTTAGGAATATATTTCTTAGAATATCAGGTTTAGGGCTGAGCCTTAAAGACTTGAATGAATGATTCAAACTTTAAATGAATTAAACCCCTAATAGAATAAAGAGGCCAACCCAGGGCAATTTCAAGCCTACCCAGCAAAACCCCAACTTCCCTCAAGGGGCAACCCTTCCTGCTCCCTAAGTGGAGTGCGTGGAATGTGCCTTCTCTTAGGAATATCCTTTCCCACTTCTCCACCTGGCTGACTCCTTCTTAGACATCATTTAGGACTTTGCTACTTGAAATGTGGACCTTGGACCAGCAGCATTGGCATTACTTGGGAGCTTGTTAAAAACGCAAAATCTCAGGCTCCACCCAACCCTGCTGAATCAGAACCTGCATTTTAACACGATCCCCAAGTGCTTTTTGCATCCGTTACAATCGGAGACGCACCAAAGTAAGACATAGCTCAGATATTATCACTTCCTTGAACCCCTGGCTTCGGTGAGGTTCTTCTCCAGGGAGTGCCCACAGTGCCCTGGTCTTGGGCCCACCACAGCACTCACCACACTGAAATGTGTTTGTTGGTTCTCTGTCTCCTACCTGGATGGGCAGCAAAGGTGTCTTATTTATCTTGGCTTCTCCAGTGCCTATAACAATACTGAGTAAACATCAGTTGAAGGAACGAATGAGTGGCTCTGAAGAAAGGTGAAAGCACTCTGGAAAATTAGCATTATGTTGCTAGGAGCCCATCTGGAACCTAATACTTGACATTTCTCTCTCTCAGCTGCTCCAGCTGCCCCCTGCATACATGAACGATTTCTCTAAATGCACCTAACTTCAGCCTTCAGGCCTGAGCCAGCGTTTAGGGTTCTCTGAGTCTTCTGCTTTTAAGCCACCTCATCACGGAACCCAGTAGGAAAACCCCAACAAACAAGGGCGGGCCCTCTGCTGCTTGGCACAGCCACCTCAACAAAAGCTGGGCACTTCCTGTAAGGCCCAACCCTGGGCCTGGCATCCCATCCTGCAGGGGGATCGCCCCTCTCCCTACTTCTGCTCACCACCTCCGGCACTTCCCCCGGTTACTTGGGTTGCTGCAGGAGCTGGGAGCACACCTTGCAGCTGCGGCAGCTTCAGAAGCTCAGATTTAACAAATGCTGGGCCGGCCTCAAAGTTAACTTCAGTTCAGTTTTCAAAGATCCTGCAAACAGCAGAAGGAGACCAGCCTGCTTCTTGTTTCTTGTCAAAGAGCGCTGTTCCCTAATTAGCCTCTCATGCTAACTTGGGGGAGCATCTCTATTCTTAGATAATACAGAAAACTGGTTTTACCCCTTAATAGTGTCTTTCTTTCTTTTGTAAATAGTTTTTTAATAAACATTTTGGTAGCTACATGAGGTTGGGTAATGCCCAAGGCTTTACCAACCTCATTGTGATATTTTTTTCACTTGTAACATATGTGACCACAGATGCTGCCACAGGCGTCACGTGGCCCCCTCACTGTAGCTGGGAGGGGACACACCTCCCATTTCCCTCTGACCACTGGGCTTTGTCTTTTCTCTCTCCTGTCTAAATTACTGAGCTGTCAGATCTAAAAGGACTGTAAAGAATAGAGATGTCATTGCCCTCTTATTTTAAAAAATTAGTAAAACAAATTGCTTTAAGTTTTCTAAACTTTTCAAAGCATTTTTAATGCAATACGTCTACATGCTAATTGTAGAAAATGTGGAAAAGCCAGAAAAGCATAAATTACCCATAATGCTACAATACAGAGAAAAATCACTCAACATCTCGGTAAATTTCTCACTAAACTTCATGTATCCAGAATAATGCATGTGAATGACTAGCGATGGAGCTGTCCTCCACCTTCCAGCCCCCACTGATACTTCAGGAACTTGGTAATAATACAAACCTGCACTTTATGCAGTTTGGAGTTTTATTCCTACTTACAAGATTATGAGTGGGTTTATTGTACTTCTATAGTTGAGCTGAAACTACGGCAGTCCCTTCTCACCTGCACTTTCACTTTCCAACGTTTTAGTTATTTGCAGTCAACTGCAGTCTGAAAATAGTAAATGAAAAATTCCAGAAATAAACAATTCATAAGTTTAAAATCGTGCAATATTCTAAGGTGCTTGATGAACTCCCACGCTGTCCCACTAGGTCCTCCTGAAATGTGAAATATCCTTTTGTCCAGAATACCCACGATGTATACCACATAGTAGTTGTTTTGGTTATCAGTTTGAAAAAACAGAGAATATATAGGATTCAGTACTATTTGAGGTTTCAGGCATCTGGTGGGGGGTCTTGGAAGGCATCCCATGCAGATAAGCAGATAAGAGGGGACTACTGTGCATACAACTTTGTATACTTCCTTTTTTTTTTTTTTTTTGCTTAAAGGAATATCAAGAGAATTTGCTCATGTTAACACTTTTTTCCCCCATTTTCTAATTTGTCAAATGAGTTTAAATGAGGTGATAAAATTGTTGGAAGTTGGGAGGTTACTAATCTGTTGTAATAAGATTTAAATAAAATAATATATTTTCAAAGTGCTTAGCTTGGGGCCTGGCATATAGTAAACTCTTCATAAATGGTAGCTATGACCATAGATTATTACTAAAATCTCATTTTAATGCCAGCATATTTCATTCTAAGTAGCATATTTAACCACCCACCCTTTTATTGTTCTGAGCTTGTTTCCAATTCTCCCCATTAAAAATTGTAGCACTGCAAGGATATCTTTGAGTATAACTTTTTGTTTCCTTTACAAAATTATTATTTCTTTAAAATAGATGACTCGGTTGAAAGATATAAACATTTTAAAGGCTTTTTGTTATATATTGACAAATAACTTCCCAGTGTTAATAACACTCAGTATTAATAACTGGCAGAAAATTTGGTACTAGGAAGTTATTTATCTATGTATAATAAAAATTGTATCAAATTTCTGGCCAACCACAAACGGGATTGCCCATCTTTCTGCATCCTCACCAGTAGTCAATCTTCTTTTTAAATCTACAAACGTAGCAGGTGAAAATTTGATTTTGTTGTTCTTTGAATTTGTATTTCTTGAAATTACCAATGAAGTAAAAATATCTTCATTAACCATCTGTATTGAATTATCTCTTCATGATCCGTACAGTAAAAGATATTTTATCAGTCAAATACCCTAATGGTTTGGATTTTCTTTTGTGTGTGGTATTTCTCATCTCAAAACCTGTCAGAAACACACTCACTTCCTACACACAACTAGAAAGGCTATCAGTAAGACTATTTGGGATTTTGCCAGAGATGCCTTTAAATTTAATCATACAACTACTAAATATTATATTTGACAAAGATTCACTCTATGTATCCATACAGTGGTTCTTAACCACAGATTCTATCCAGGATGGGTGAGAAAGAAAGGGGTGGGAATAACCAGAGCCCAGGCTGCAGCTGTAACCCACAGCCCATCTGACCTGTGCTCCGCCCTAAGTGAGCATCTGAGCCCAGGCCATGCAAACAGAAACTCAGGACTCAGAGGGACACCCACCTCTCCCAGCTAGCATCTGGTCACAAACTGAGTAGCAGAGCTAGGATTCAACACTGGGCCGCGTGGGCCCCAAAGTGGATGCTCTTGGCCCACCAAACCACACAGGGTCCCTTAAAAACAGGGTCTCTGAACATGAGAATATCCAAAGTTTATATTCTGAGAGCCTCAATAAGATTTTTATGAGGAAGGCATCTTACTAATTTTTATCCTCAAAGTAAAATTGCTGTCTCCAGGAAGGAAATGCATTTCCTTGTGAACGCTTGCCGGGGTCCTTTAATTCTAAGAGAGAAACTGAGGTCGAGTGTCATCCTGGCTCCCAGAGAGGCATTTATTCTTACTGTGACTCAATTTCCTCTCGTAAAAAAGGGAAAACATTCCAACCTCTCCCAGAAAGATGGCGAAGATGCTGGGCTTTGTTGGTCCTTGCACGGGGAAAATGACTGTGGAATACCAGATCCTGAGGACTGTTTTGTAGAGATTATATAGCATCTGTCATTCACACAATGCCTGCTGATTAATAACGATTGAAATTATTGTGAAAGTAATTTGCAAGTACAAAGCAGGATCTGCATAAATCTTGCCAAGAGTTCTGAATACCAGTCCCAGTAAAGTTTTAACCAAGAGAGCAGGCATTTTTCCCACCAGTCCCTCAACCCTCACAAGTGTCAAGTCACTCACTAACAGAATGTATACTCCACCATTTAACAGTGACTTGATTTCTTTTAGGGGCTGATCTAATTTCTGGAGGATACTGCTCCACGATGCCATGTTAATTCATATGATTGATTTAATGCATCTCTCCCTTCCAGTATGGAGAGCCATAAAAATACTCATCTTTCTGAGCTACAGAAATTGGTTTTCTAGTTTATGTTCTGCAGAAGTACTCAATGCTGTTCGTCAGAAAGGAATTGAGACTACATGCTTCTGTCTCTGAATCTGAACCAAGGGGGATATAAAGTGTGTCTTGATAGACCCCAATGACTCAGATGGTGCTGCTTTAAATTTTCAAGTTGGATTTAAACTCAGGAACCAATTTTACCAGTTGAGATGTCCAAAACAGGTTTGCTTCAGCAGAGCAAGCTGAAGTTAGCTGCTTTGCCTGAATTAAACAAATGCTGGCAGTGCTATCAGGACCCTGGCATGGCCAGATGGCAATTGCCACACCTTGCCAGTTACCAATCAGCGTTCAACAGCTGGGCTTGACCAAACAGCAACTGTCCTTGACCCTGGCTTCTGATCATCTGTTGGCTATAAATAGAAGTGGGGTGTCATGAAAAGAGAGCAAAGTACTTGATGCTAGCAATTCAGGAAATCCATCTGAAAAACAACATAGCCAGCTCAATGTATTGAGCTAGTTTCAGGATTACTTAAGAATGGAAAAACATAAAGTCTAAGAATAAGACATTATTCCAACATTGAGATGCCTGCAGCAAAAAAACAATGTGTGCTTTTACGAAATGAAGGCTAGACTATTTCCAGATTATGTATGTAGTCATATTGAAGACACCAAGTATCAGCATTTGAAGTCCCCTGGGTTTG
Organism: Homo sapiens; assembly: GCF_000001405.40. Lineage (NCBI taxonomy): Eukaryota > Metazoa > Chordata > Mammalia > Primates > Hominidae > Homo > Homo sapiens. The sequence goes on along the minus strand of NC_000003.12, from coordinate 16,838,447 downwards.
ACAGATAACAACTGTTAGAGTTTGTTTAAGAAAATAGGAAAGCATATCCAAAATCTAGTGTCTTACTTTTCCTGTACCAAAAAATATGCAGGCAAAAAAAAAAAAAAATGCAGTAGCCCACAGTTCTGCTTCATGTGATGTCACTTAACGTATTCATTAGACATCATATTAGAGCTAAAAAACTGACAGATGAGTGTTTTATTGACTACATCAGATCTGGGTAGTCCTAAAATAAAGCACTGGGAAGAGAATCTCTATGTGTTATGCAGCTAAATATTCACATTGTCCAAAGACAAAAGACAGACGGTGGGAAAGAAGCAGACAATGACATTTTTAGAAACAAAACTGAAATTACCTTAGATCTGCTGGACGAGATGGAAACCACACATTCAGGAGAAAATGCAAACACAATCCAGCAAGAAAGGAAAGAGCAACAAGGTGGAATCAAAAAAACAAAAGAAAAGAGCTGAGTTTAAGCTCCAGAGAGATTTAAATTAAACTGCCCTTGTCCTTTTGCAGGGCCCTGCTTTTAAAGGTTAAGGCACAAACACAGGCAGGCCTTGCAGCCTCCTCTCTGTGTCCCCTCTCACTCTAGACAGCTGGGGATGTCTTTCATGTCTGACAACTGCGGTGGGAGAGTGTGTGGACAGAACCAGCAACTGTGGGCTTGGCGGGACTCCACGAAGCCAAGGACGGGCCAGCAGGGCAAGCCTGGTAGTGCATAGCTTCTTCTTCCTCATCTATAATACAATGGATCCAACTTTTTCTTAACTGCCGAACGGTTCACCTTGCCTAGAGAAAGCCGATTTATCAAGACAGGGAAACTGCAATGGGGAAAGAGTAATTCATGCATGGCCCACTGTGCAGGAGACCGGAGTTTTATTATTACTCAAATCAGTCTCTCGGAGCATTTGGGGATCGGAGTTTTTAAGGACAATTTGGCGGCCAGGAGCTCAGGAAGTGGGGAGTGCTGACTGGTCAGGTTAGAGATGGAATCATAGGGGGTTGAAGTGAATATTTTTTGCTGTCTTCTGTTCCTGGGTGAGATCAAAGAACTGGTTGAGCCAGATTACGCGTCTGGGTGGTATCAGCTGGTGCATGAAGTGCAGAGTCTGCAAAATATCTCGGGCACTAATCTTGACTTTTACAATAGTGATGGTATTCCCAGGAGCAATTTGGGGAGGTTCAGACTCTTGCAGTCAGAGGTTGCATTGTCCCTAAACCATAATTTTTAATCTTGTAGCTAATCTCTTAGTCCTACAAAGGCAGACTGGTTCCAGTCAAAGGGCTATTATTTAGTTTGTTTCAGAGTTAAACTATAAACAACTAAATTTCTTTCTAAGCTTAGTTTGCCCTGTGCCCAGGAATGAACAAGGACAGCTTAAAGGTTAGAAGCAAGATGGAGTTGGTTAGGTCTGATGTCTTTCACTGTCATAATTTCCTCAGTTACAATTTTTGCAAAGGCAGTTTCACTTTGTGCTCAGAGGACCTTCTTTCAAAGTCAAAAATGGTTCTTGGTGTACAAGTAGTTAGACTTTCAGTGACTTGAGTGATGAAAAGACTGAAAGCTACTAGGGATCAGTAGGGCTTTTAAATATAATTTATATTTGGTTCCTTATCACACCATCTATATAGATTTGGGAACAAGTCGTATAAAGTCTGTGAAATTTTTGAAATAACTGAAACAAGTTATCGTTTCAGTCTACAGATGGATTGGAGGTCACGTGATCTGGCTTTGGTGCTGACTGCTGGAGGATGTTTGTGGTGATGGAAATTTGAAATTCCTGTGGTGGCCTTTTCCCTGATTTCAGGGGCATTGATGTCTTTTTTTTTGAAATGTGCCTCTGTGGTGGGATTTGACAAAGAATTAGTTTGTTTTTTGGTTGTTTTCCATTACCCAATCAAACTAATCTCAATCCAAATTCAGACGACCCCTTTTCCCTTTCCCTCACAAAATCTTTCTTTTCTCCAAAGTCTTACACATATTGGCCCCAGGTTTTGGGTCACTGTTCACTCACTGAGAAGCTAAGGAAACAAATATTGTCTTAGCAATGAAGGTAATTCTCTCACAGTCTGGTACTTGAAAAGCAAACCGAGAAACTGTGATAAACAGCAATTGGCAGAGTTCTCCGTTTCAGAAGAATTCCCGTACTTGTGCAAGTGTCTCTCAGAAGGTAGGCTTGTAACTTTCTAGGGGACTGCAGCTGGCTCTCCCACTCTGGGATAGACCTCCTGATAAGGCTGATTTTCCACAATTCAGGTTCTCTGAGGACTGCCCACCCAAATCCATTGCCAAACATTTTTTACTTTGTAGGCTATTCTAATTGGTAATAAAAACTGACAGGTTTATCAAAGAGAAACATAAGTATGTTGGCATTGGAAAGAAACTTGGGAAGTCTGCTCCTCGAATTTTATACACCACGAAATAGAAATCTGAGTTTTTAGAGCCTATGACAGATTTTGACAATGCCATTCCTCAGTTGTTTTCCTCAAAGATGTTAACAATGTATGAGCCAGGCACCAACTAAAGTATTAAATAGAAACACCTTTGTTACTTAAAAGCAACTAAGATGGGGCCTTTTAGGGAGTAATCCACACTTTGTGTCACATACTTTTGCTTTGTTGATGGGAGTGGACTTCCCTGGAACAGCCGTGTGAGGCCTGGTGGCCTCTTGGTGGCCAATCAAACCGGGACCAGCAATGGCATGGCATCTGATTTTCCCATTCTGAGCTCCTGTCCCACTTTCCACCCTATCCCAGAAACTTTGAAGTCACCTAAAATGGTGACCTGCCTCAGATTTTACTGAGGTGAGATCACCATTGAAGGCAACCAAGTTACTTTTCCAACTTTAACATTTCTCTTATCTTTCTCTGCAAGCCAAAGACTGACAAAATGAGTATGATCGAAATGGATAACTTCATAGGTGTCAAGCAGGGTGTATTGGTGGGGATTACCCAGAGAAACAGAACCAATAGGAGACATATAATAAGACATTCATAGCAAAGAACTGCTTTATGTGATTCTGGGGGCTGGGTAGGCAAGACTAAAATCCGCAGGTCCAGGAGGACTGGCAGGCTGAACTCTTGGGCAGGAGCTGGAGCTGCAGTTTTAGGCAGAATTTTTTCTTCTTCAAAGAAACCTCAGCTTTGCTCTTAAGGCTTTTCAACTGATTGAATCAGGCCACCCAGGTTATTGAGGAAAATTTCCTTACTTACAGTCAACTGATTTTGGACTTTAACTACCATCCATAAAATACCTGTGTTGGGGCACCTAGATTAGTATTTGATTGAATAACTGGGGAGTGGGCCTAAGTTAACACATATAACTAACCATCACAGAGCTGGTGACGTGGTATGCATCTGTAGGTCCAGCTACTTGGGAGGCTGATGCAGGAGGATTGCTTGAGCCCAGGAGTTTGGAGCTGTAGCGTGTTATGATTGCACCTGTGAATAGCCACTGCACTCCAGCCTGGCAACATAGAGACACCCTGTCTCTAAAACAAATAAGCAAACACATGCACACAAACCTGATGATCACAGAGGAGGGTGGAATATTTCCACACTGAAGAAGTGTCACAGTGTTCCCAGCTATTCTTATTATAGTGTCAGGCACAAAGTTGACAACCAGTAAATATTTTTGAATAAATGAATGAATGAGTGAATAAGATCATGACAAGGATGTAGGGTACAGGGCCTAAACCCTTTGCTGGGTGAGGGGGTGAGAGGCATTGGGCCAAATCACAGTGGCTGAAGGACCCAGGGGAGCCCCAGGAGTGTGGGTGATTGTTGGGTTTGCAGTTGGGGCATGTCACCCTTACCAATTTTACAGGAGCAAAGGAAGTAAACTTTTCACAAAGGACCTCATCAGAAGGAAAAAATTCATAAAGCACAAACAAATATGCATGTGGAGAAGGGGAGACCCTCTTCAGCTGATGGGAAGTCAGGGCAGGAGGAAGGCTATGAGGAGGAACTTCCAAGGTTCTCCATCACCTCCGTTGTCAAAGCTTCTCCTCTGCTCTCTCACGTCCTCTCCTGGCCAGAAAGACCAACAATGGAACTAGTGGCTGCAAACCTCAGTGTGTGCAAAGGGCAAGGCTGGTGGGAATCTTGGCACTCCTACCCACTGTCTGGCTGTGGGGCTTTGGGAAAAGATACCTCTCTCCATGATCCTTAGTTTCCCGACCTGTAAATGTTGGTAATAATACGAACTGTCTGGGCCATGGAAGGATTATAGGAACAAATCCTTTGTTCCTGTGGATCAAACTCTTCAGTTGAACAATTTGTCCCTGCCTTATAGGATCAACGGATCCTTATGTGTTGACAGCAGTGGTGAATTTACCTGGAAACTAATAAGCTTAAGCTTAAGCTTCAGGGCATGCTTCACTTGCATAGGCTCCTTCCATGGTTCAGAGTATCCTGCAGGGATATGAAAAAGCCAGCAGCCAGCGGAGTGCCACAGCATGGAGTGCCACTGCAGCCTGGGTTACCCTCTCTGTGCCTTGGGGTAGTCCTGGGGCTACCAGCACTACTTCCACTTTCAGCTGATTCCAGGAACCACTTGTCCCTTAGGAACTATTTGAGTGAATTGCTCTGTGCAGAGGAGGAGGTATGCAAGTTTTAACAAATGTTAATTGCAATTACTATTGAAAAGCTGTATATGGTACTTGGGTCAGTACAGGGTAAATAGTAGATGAAAAGATTGACGTAGAACTCTAAATACTCTTGGGGGTGAATTCTATCCTGTCTGCATGTTCCTTCTCTTACTAAAATAAACTATTTTTATTGAACTTATAATTGTGTTCTTTTATTCCAGATATAATAGGTAAAAATAGTGGATTTGCTGGCTTAGTGTTAAAAATAAAACATAAAACATTAGTTATCCTAATAACTAGATCCCACAGACTACTTTCTGGGTAACAAGAAATTGAGAATGGAGTTGAGTGGGCAGAATAAAGAGATGAAGTGAACAAATCAAGTCGAGAACATTTACAATGGAGCTCAGCCAATGCTCATCTCTTCCAAACATCTGCCAACCCCTTTCCCAGCTGAATGAAGACTTCACACTTTCACCTCCAATTGTTGGAAAAATTATGAGAGGATGTCCAGCCCTATTTTTTAGAACTGGACTAGGTTGCTTCCATTATTATCACCAGGGCCTTGGGTCCAACTACACTGAGTGCCTTATAGAAATTATGAAATATGCCACTCTGCTACTGTCGTGATTTCAAATGTGATGAGAATATTTGAAAAGCATTAACGTCTTGCCCTGTAAGAAGGAGACAGTGGAAAGGAAAATTAAACTTGAGAAGCAGCAGGCAATTTCCAACTGTCATTATCCAAAATAATCCAGCAGTTTGGAGTATACTACAAAGGCTTGTACTCGGAAAATGGGGGGAAAAAACATAATATGTTAAAGCAATAGTATTTACTGCCACAAAAGAAAAATCTCATTGGCCAAACTGAAAAAACATTTGTTTCTAACTCTTGTTAAATCTTACATAGGTCAGGTTGTCCTACTCCATCTTGTAGGCTCTGCCATCTAGAATCTGTAGCCTGCAAGACCATCTCACAAGAGAATCGAATGATGCAGAATACACTCCAGCTACCATCTTAGTACTTGTTTCTGTTCACTTTTTGCTGGCCAGCAACAGTCACATGGCCATAGCTAACTGCAAGGAAGGCTGGGAAATATAGAGGAGGACACAGATGCTTGGTGGTCACCTACTGCCTTCAGCACACATTGAAATAACTAGGGACAAGATGATTGACAACGGCTCGTTAATTGATTCATTCAATGAGTTTTGTTTTGGGTTTTTTTGAGGATGTATTTTGTGTCAGACCCTGTTCTAGACACCAGGGATTTAGCACAATGTTCCAGAACACAATGGACATGGTTCAGACCATTGTGAAGCTTTCAGCCTAACGTGGGAGAAAGACATCAAACACGTACTTATGCCATTAATTAACATCATGCAGAGTGTTAAATTGGAAGCAAACATTTTTATGCACTGTGGATGATGGCCATTTGTCCACACTTTTCCAGGAAATTTTGCTTTTAAGTGGTGTGTGCTATTTTCAGACTGTAGGTTCTGTTTCTACTAAATTTCTATTTCTATTGTCTCCTTAATTATAAGAGAGAAACTAAAGCACAGCATAGAGACAGAAAGCCATCTCACCTGAACTGTGCCAATGGCATCCTCCCTGGCTTTACCACTTCCCTCACACTCCATCCCTCACAGCCTATTTGCCACACTGCAGTATATTTTGGTCTTTGTAAATGGGAAATCGGGGCATGTTATCTGCTCAAACCCCTGCAATTACTCTCCATTTTACTCAGTAAAAATCTGAAGTCATCCCAATGGGGCTCTGCCAGCCCCACATTATCCGGCCCCCGCCTGCTCCTTAGACATCATGCTCCCTGCCTCGCTCACTCATTCTGCCTCTGCCACCTACATCTCCATGCTGCTCTTCAAATGCACCACTCACATGCTTGCCAAGGGGCCTTTGCTCTGCCCAGAACTCTTTTTCTCCAGATATCCATATGGTTCATTTCTTCCCTTCCTGAAAGTCTCAACTGACATACACATCACCCTATTAAAGAGGCCTTTAAGATGCATATTCCCCCTTTGAAAGAGTCCCCTCTTCTCTACCCTTGTCACCCCCTTTGTTTCTTCTTTCAAGCTGCTGGTACTTCCTGCAAATTCTGATCCTGACATGTTTCCTCCCTTTCTCCCTCCCTCCCTCCCTCCCTCTTTTTTCTTTCTTTCTTCCTTTTTTTTCTCTCTCTCTCTTTTTATAACAGCTTTATATTTATATAATTCATCTACTATAAAAGTCACCCATTTTAAAAGCACACAGTTCAATGGTATCTTAGTATATTCACAGTTGTGCACACATCACCACAATCAATTATAGAACATTTTTGTCCCCTCAGAAAGAAACCCTGTCCCCTATAGCTATTACTCTCAAATTCACTCCAGCCTTAAGCTCAGGCCTAAGCTACCACTAATCTACACTATATCTCCATATATTTGCTTATTCTGTACATCTCATATACATGAAATCATATAATATATGGCGTTTTGTGACTGGTTCCTTTCACTTAGCATAATGTTTTCAAGGTTCATCCACACAGTAGCATATATCAGTACTTCATTTTTTTCATGCATTAATAATATTCCATTGTGTGGATACACCACATTTTGTTTATTCATCAATTGATGGACATTTGGGTTGTTTCCTTCTTTTGGCTATTACGGATAATATTGCTGTAAATATTTATGTACAAGTTTTTGTGTGGACATGTTTTCATTTCTCTTGGGTATATACCTAGGAGAATTGCTGTGCCAAACGTAACTAGGTTTAAACACTTGAAGAACTGCCAAACTGTTTTCCGAAGTGGCTTCATCATTTTGTATTCACACTAGTAATGTCTGATTACTAATGTCTGTTTAACGTTTTTTCCAGTTTTTCCACATCCTAGTCAACTCTTGTTATCTGACTTTTAAATTATAAATATCCTGGTGGGAGTGAAGTGGCATATCATTGTGATTTCAATTTGCATTTCCCCAATGGCTAATGATACTGAACCTCTTTTCATGTGTTTATTTGTACATCTTTCTTGAAGAAATGCCTATTCAAATCTGTTGCTCATTTTAAATTGGAATATTTGTCTTTTTCTTAGTCAGTTGCAAGAGTTCTTTTCATATTCTAGATTTAAGTTCCTTATCAGATATATGATTTGTAAATATTTTCTTCCCTTCTTTAGGGATGTCTTTTCACTCTCTTGATGTTCTTGAAGGCCCACAAGTTTTTCACTTTAGTGAAGAACATTTTAAGTATATTTTCTTTTGTTGCTTGTGCTTTTAATGTTATATCAAGGAATCCATTGCCAAATTCAAGGTCAAGAAGATTTACCCCTGGGTTTTCTTCTAAAAGTTTTATATTTTGGCTCTCACATACAAGCCTTTGATCCATTTTGAGTCAATTTTCATACGTAGTGAGAGGTAAAGATCCAAATCCATTCACTTGCATATGGCTATCCAGGTGACCTGTAAGTTTATACTATGCAAGTATCACACTATCTTGATTACTGTTGCTTAATAGTAACTTTTAAAATCAGAAAGTGTAGGCCAGGCATGATAGCTCACGCCTGTAATCCCAGCACTTTGGGAGGCCAAGGCGGGTGGATCACTTGAGGTCAGGAGTTCAAGACCTGGCCAACATGGTGAAACTCTGTCTCTACTAAAAATACAAAAATTAACTGTGTGTGGTGGTGCATGCAAATCCCAGCTACTTGGGAGGTTAAGGCAGGAAAATCACTTGATCCCAGGAGGCGGAGGTTGCAGTGAGCCGTGATCGCACCATTGCACTCCAGCCTGGGCGACAGAGTGGGACTCCATCTCCAAATCAAATCAAATCAGAAAGTGTGAGTCTTCCAACTTTGTTCTTGTTTTTCAAGATTATTTTATTTATTTGGGGGTCCCTTTCAATTCCATATATACATTTTAGGATTATCTTGTAAATTTTGACAAAGGAGCCAACTGGGATTCTGATAGGGTTTGAGTCTGTAGATCAGTTTAAGGAGTGTTGCCATCTTAACAATGAATCTTCTGATTCATGAACATGGAATATCTTTTTATTTATCTAGCCCTTTGTTAATTTCTTTCAACAATATTATGCAGTTTTTGGAGTACATATTTTGCAATTCTTTTGTTAAATTTATTCCTAAGTATTTTATTCTATTTGATGCTGTTATAAATACAATTATTTTCTTATTTTTTTCATACTGTTCATTGCAAGTATATAAAAATATATTGAGTTTTGTATATTGATCTTGTATCTTGCAACGTTGTCAAACCACTTATTTGTTCAAATGGTGTTTTAGTGGATTCTTTAGAATCTTCTACATACAAAATTATGTCATCTCAAACCTTTCTTTACAATATGATGTCTTTTACTTCATTTTCTTACTGCTGTCATTCTTCACCTTTCTTATCCCACTTTATTTTTCTTAGTCTTTACCATTACCAATTCTATTGGCTATTTATCTATCTATAACTGCTCTCACCACTAAGTAAGCTCCCTGAACACTAGTGCTTTCTCCACTCTGTTCACTGCCTTCTCAGGTTCTAGAACAAAGTCTGGAACATAATTGGTGCTCAAAAAATATTTAGGTTCTTCGTTAGCTTTCAGCATGAATCCCTCGGCTCTGCCTGGAGTTGAGGTCAGACTCAGTCAGAGCAGTTCAGGGCATTAGGGCCACTGCTCTAGGATATATACTTTTTCAGAAATCAGTTCAAGGCATTGTTACTAACAAACAACAAACGACAGCAACAAAACTTCTTTCCAACTGTAATTACTCACAGCGAGTCAGCTTGCATCTGAGGCTTTAAAATGGAAGTCTACAAGATCCCTTATTGTTTCTTTGACCTTCAAGATTGTATGTTTTGCCATCACCTGACAATCTAGGGCAGAGGGACCCCTTGTGGCCACGAAGTAATGGCAGGAGCTAAGAGGCCTTTGGATTTTTTTTTTTTTTTTTTTTTTGAGACAACCTCTCACTATATTGCCCAGGCTGGCCTTGAACTCCTGGGCTCAAGGGATCCTCCTACCTCAGTCTCCCAAGTAGCTGAGATTACAGGTGCACACAACAGCACTCAGCTACGGCCACTACACTGGACAGAAACCATCTGCACAAAGACCTGTCCACATGCCATCCCACCATCTTTCCTGCCAACCAACCTCTTCTTTGCCAGTGTTTCTGTTGTTTCACCTGAATCATCCTTGTCGCTCTAACAAAAGGCCGTTAATCAAAGCGATAGAGAGGGATGGGAGAGGCTTTCTGTAAGGCTAAAAATAAGCAAGGAAGAACTAGTCTGGAACAAAGAGTGAGTGGTTTGGGCTCTGTGACACAAAGTAAGACCTTCAGAATCCAGGCAGGTAGCCAGTGGCCACCCAGCAGATGGGCTATTGGTAAATCTGCAGCCTTCTTCTCTCACCCACCCAAGTCAGGGAAACTGAGGAGAAGGACATCATAGGGATTCTTTTGGCTGTATCCTCATTATGAAAAGAAATGAGTCATTATAGGTAACTAAACAAAGTCAAAATTATTTTGCAAAGTATGGGGGAGATTTTCAGACATTTAGGGTGTGGTAAAGAATTGTTCTCACAAAAAGTCATCCCAGGTTTTCATTTGACCCAGAGTAAGTTCAGGAAAATTAAGTGCAATTCCCATGCCAAATATAAGAAAAAAGAAAGAGAAATCCAAAGTACTCCTAAAGAAACAGAAGAAAACAAGAATTGATTGAGTACAGGTAAGGCCTTTTAGTTTTTGCATGTTGTGAGGTTTTGTCTATTTTACAGATGCCTTGGGAATAGAATTATAGAATAAAATGTTGGGATCTTGAAAACTTTTAATTGAAAATATCTGATGAGCTATCATGTCTAAAATATCAAGCTCAAATTTTATGATTAAGAGATCTAAAATAATAGCTAATGCATATAATGCTTACTATGTGCCAGGTATTGTTCATTCAGCAATTCTTCCATCAACCCTTAGAGGCAGGTAGTATTATTAATCCCATTTTTCAGATGAGGAAGTTGAAGCAAGTGATGTTATAAGCAAGTTTTCCAAGGCCCCACAGCTAGTCTGTGAAAGCCTAGATTTGGAAGTAGGTCATCTAATCCCAGGGTCCAAGCTACCACTGAAATTTATCACATATGTCATTATAGTTTATCATGAGTATTCTACCCAATCTAAAAAGTGTTATTATGGAACTATATCCACGTTCAGATAGAAAAATTTCAACCGAACAAATGTTTCAGTTTATTGGCTGCTGAGAATTTACCCACAAGATACACTTGTACATAGGTCAAGATGTATGGACCAAATATGTTTACTATAGGATTTTTTTTTCTTTTCAGTAGCAGCCGAGATCTCAAGATGGTCTAAGTATCCACTAATAAAGAATTGGTTAAGTAAATTATGGCCTATTTATAAAAATGGAGTATTCTGTAGTCATTGCAAAGAACAAGAAAGATTGGTCTATGGTGATGTCAAAGCTTTGGAAGATGTAAGGAAATTTATTTGTATGAATAATAAAAATGTGCATATAATTTTCTGAAATAATATAGAAAAACATAACTGGGGTTAATATTGGGGTTAAGAGAGAAAACATGACAACGTGAATATACTTAACTCTACTGAATGGTACACTTAAAAATGGTCCAGATGGTAAATTTTATATGTATTTTACCACAATAAATAATAAAAGATAAAGGAGAAGAGACATTTACTGCTCATTTCTCACCTTTCTACTGTATTTTATATATGTATATATTACTTTTGTTTTCACAAATATTCAATAAAAATAAACAAAATGCATAAAACAATGTTGTGAGTGGTCAGGCTGCATTACACTAATTTATTTGCATCCAGCTGTATTTTTATTATGGTCCTATCTGAAGAGCTTTAAGAGTTAACAAAATTAAACTTATGTGTGATTTCTGGTGACTTTTGATCAAATGAAAGTTTCTAAATAAATAGCCTAGCTCCCTAAAAACTTCACATCCTGTCAAAGAAGATAATTTTATTAAATGTGGACTATATAAAAACATCAGATTTAGCACCCACCTGGCATATTTTCTTGGAATTTATTTCAGATAATTTTGTTTTGAAGAACAGGTAGTTCCTCTGTAATTTCAGACTGTCCTTCTGAGAACACATTATCCTGGTGTCTTCTCTTCTTGACTACGCAATTTCTTTGTAACCTTTTATGGCTTTTGTTTTGTCTCTGCCTACGCCTTCCAAAAGTGAGCCAGAATATAAAAATACACAGAAAGTATGCCAAATATTATGAATTCTATGTTTTGAGGTTAAAGATAAAACATAGGCAAGTATCTAAGAGAGAACATTACCATTTATTAGTTTTCCTTTGATCATCCTTATCTTTACATGAAAATTTTGACTAAGCCCGAGTCTATAAGATTTCGCCCCTGCCTTACAGGTTTTAAGATCCCATGGATAAAGGTATTTCGACTTCTGGAAGGGACTATGATCAGATTTCCCCATAGTCTATAGCGGCCAGGCAGGTAAGTAAACAATGACATTGGCCAGGTGAGGAATGGAAACCTGGGGAGAGTATGTCCCATCTAAAGAGAGTGGATGGCTCTCAACTCCAGCCCATGGTTGTCCTATGGGACCCAATGTGGCAAGAACATCTCTTCCAATTTTTCAAAAGAAGCTGGAAATCTAGATTTTTATGTAAATGATTCCAATTGTTTAATGTTCACAATTAATTCAAAAAATTTGAAAGCACTGTGGGGCCAAGAAAAGCATGTCTCTTGGCTGAACTGAGATGTGACTTTGAATGGAATCCAACTCTCTTAATTTTACCGAAGAGGTGGCCAAGCGCAGAGGGAAGTGAAGTTACTCACTAACGTTCCAGGGCTGGTTTGGGGGAGGAACTGGGACCAGATACCATTCCCCTTGCAGCCCCATCCTCTTTCCTCAGCTTTTTAGTCCATCTAATGAAGCAGCAGACTAATTTAAGACAAGCATATGACGAACCTCCCATTCCCACACATGTGTCAGTAAGCCTTCAACCTGATGGGCTGGACCTTAACCACAAACAGAAGACCCAGCTGACAAACTACACCCACACTCCACTTAATTCAGGCTGGATCCCAGCTCTTGACCTTTTTTTGGGTGGATATGGGAAAGGAAAAGTTGGAAATTTTACCCTCGGTCTGTGGGAGGAATGGGAAAGTTTGCACTTTCTGGTAGAAATTTTTTAAAACCACTAATTATAAATGTGGCATTGCTTGGTAAGATCTTTTTCTCGGCTTCCCAGAAAACAGATACAGGGCCTCCATCCCCGGCTCCATGGCTACTTTACAGTAAGAGGCTTTGCCAGGAACTTGCGTTTTTCATGTAGTGACAGGAAATGAACCTGTTGGCTAAGAGTATTAACTCTGGAGCAAGATGGCCTGGGTTCAAATCCACACTCTGAAATTTATCAGCCATGTGTTCTTGCAGAGACTTTGCTGTGCCTCTGTCTCATCACCTGTAAAATGGGAACAATGTCAGCATCTCTCTTATAAGATTGTTGTGATAATTAAATGGATTAATACACGCAAAAAAGCACTCAGCACCATGTATGTCAGCTGCACCTTGGAATCTCCTGGGGGGAGCTTTCCAAAAATATGGATGCTTGGGTCCCACTTCTAGAGATTCTGGTTTAACAGGTCTGAGGTATGTCCTGGACATCAGAGTTTTTAAAATCTTGGCAGGTGATTCCAATGTGCAGACAAAGCTGAGAGCATTGAATATAAATGCTTATTAAATAAATGATGGCCCTCTGAGTGAATGAATTTCAAAGAAATTCAGATGCTCTCTTCTGCACGTAAGCATACATTTTGTAACTTCTTTATGACATTTTCTATGTGGTCGTCTTTCGGTGGCATTCAGCATGGAAGGCCAAAAGATCCTGGGCAAATTTGCAAAGAAGGTCAAATGCTTCTGGAAACCTCCCCATCTTCCCTGCCCTCTTCTCTCACCTCTGCCCCTGGCTTCAGGAAATTCAGGTGGCCCCTAGAGGCTCTGATTCAGCTGGGTAATGAAAGACAAATGGTGAAAATTCCATAAGGCACATAGGTATTTGTAAATCCAAATAACCTTTAACTAGTGGAATAAGCCTGTGGAGGTGTGTTACATGGGAGTATCTAGTGGAGACTGGAGAGGCACATCTTCTCCATCTCCCCAACTCTTGCCATTTCCAATGACCCAAGTCAATAGGTGAACTGGGGCCGCCAATGTGGCTCCCTAGCATCAAAAGACAGTACCTCTGAAATTAATCTCATCTGAGATGCTGGCAGATTGAGTTCAAAATATTGCTGATATAGTGAGTAGTTATCAATTGAGTGTGTCACATCCTACAGATGTAACATAGTATGCTCTCAAATTAAAATGGAATCCTTTTGACTTCCCTCTCTCACAGAAGCCTTGCTGTCTGTAAGCCTTGTAAGTCACCTGTCCCAACATCTTCAGTTTTGTTAGTGATCAGAATCTCTAATGCCCCTGGAGTGAGGGTGGGGAGACGGCAGATGGTAAAGGCAAATAAGATAGAAGGTCTGCCCTGAAACAGGAAATTGAGGAGAAGGCTTTTAAACCAACTGAAACCTTGATGAGGGGGTGGTAGCATCTGTGGTTTGAAGCACAGATTACCCAAGTTCCTTTGTTAGTGTACCTGGCATTTTTTCATAAGCCTCCATGTTTCCCCTCGGCTTGGTATCTTATTTAGTAAGCACGCTACTGAACACATCTGTTCTCACAATAGGAATTAGAATCAAAAGGCTTCCTCGGTGATTCTGGAATTTGTCACCAGAAAAAGAAGAAAGTTCATTGACCAAAGGTAGTCATTGCACACCTGCAACCTGAAACATCATGGAAGCTCTTGTACTCCAGCCACCAGGCTGTGGGGCTCGCCCTGAGAGGCCTGGGCCACCAGCTACAACTATTCCCTTTCTGCCCTGAGCTGTCAGGATTTCTGCCAATGATTCCACTTGTATGAGCTATCTATAATAAACTCACAGAAGCATAGAATACAATAGTGGTTTCCAGGGGTTGGGGACTGGGAAAGTGGAGAGTTGTTGTTCGATGGGTGTAAAATTTTAGTTCTGCTCGATGATTAAGTTCTAGGGATCTATTGCACAGCATAGCGCCTATAATTTACAATACTGTATTAGACACTTCAAATTTTGATAAGAGGGAAGATCTCATGTTAAATGTTCTTAACACACACACACACACACACACACACCCCAAAAACAAAAGGACACAAGGGAACTTTGGGAGGTGATGGATGTGACTATTATTTTGATCACAGTGATGGTATCACGGGTTTTTGCATATGTCTAAACTCATCAAATTCTGCACATTACATATCTGTAATTCTTTGCATACCACTTATACTTCAGTAAAACTATTAAAAATATTTCTGGCATTGTAAAAAAAAATAACAACAACCATAATTGTAGCTACCACTTGCATAGGGATAACTATCCTAAGGCCTAACTGCTCTCCGTTAACTAGCAGGTCCAATCCTCTTAACAACCCTATGAGGTAAGTAGCTTCATTTTCCAAACGAGGAAACTGAGACACAGAGAAGTTAAGTGACATGCCTAAAGTCACACAGCTAGAAAATGACAGAGCTTGGAATTGGGCAGCCAGTTCAGTTCTGGCTGCACTGCCCTCCCAGAAAGTGCCTAGCCTGGCACAACAAACCTTTTGTTAGGTTATATGGTCAGGGACTCTATTTCAAAAGCTCCCTTTTTTAAATAAACCCCCAATAAGCACCACCCTTCTGCCACCTCCCTCTCAACTCTTCCTCAAGTTAGAACATCTAAGCTACTTCCCAGGAGGTCCCTCAGCTGCCCTCATCCTACACTGCCTTCTTCTACTCATAGTTCCTCTTCAATGTTTCAGAGAACCAGGGTTCTCCTATATCCCAAGATGAATTTTAAATCACTCTTCCCATCAGTCCTCCTTGGAGAAGCAACATCTCCCATCATCTGTATATTCCATTTCGCTCTGTCCTTCTCTGGTGCCCACAAAACTGCAGGCATCTCATGGAGCAGAGCACAGGCTCAGGGCCAGGCTATCTAGGTTTGAATCCTGGACCCAGACTTTCTCATTGTGTGATTTTAAGCAAGTCACTTAACTACTCTGTATCATCTGTAACTTGGGAATAATAAGAATACCCATTCAGCGGAATTGCTATGAAGATTTAGTAAGTTAATGCAATCAAAGGCTTAGGACAGCGCCAGGCGCACAGTAAGTGCTCTAAATGCCACTGTTATGATTTGTATCTCCTCTACTTGAATACATGTCAATTGGCCCCATTGCTCTGTGAAGTTACTTCCCCACTTCCTTCTTTGATCTTAGTGACCAGGTCACTCTCCAACTCAAAATCCTTCAATGGCTCCCCATTGTTTACCCAATAAGATGAGATCACATTAGCTTGGGCTTCAAGGCCTGCCTCTTCCTATATGTGGATTGCTTCCTCCCTCCTTTCCTGCCTGACCCATCCATACCCACCCTTCAAGGCCCAGTTTCCATGATATCTCATACAAAAAAACCTTCTATGATCACCCCCTCAGAAATCCCTGCTTCCTTTTTGGAGCCCATACTTCTGTCCTGCATGGTTCCACCTCACTGTCCTGCACATCTCAAGAACAACCATCTATTATGTGCTTGTTTCCTTGTCTAGCATCCACTAACTGTCTTCTTCTCCCCCTAGTGCTACTTCTACAGCCAGACTGTATTGAGTGTTCAATAGGTGCTAAGTGTTGAGGTACATCCATCATCTCAGCCAATTCCTGTGAAAACCATGAGAATCATTATCCACATTTTACAGATGAGCTAGCTTCATAATTTACAAAAAGTCACACAGTTAGTAAATGACAGAGCCCAGACTTGAATCCAGGTCTGGCTGACTGCAAAGCTTGTACCTTAGCCACCATGCTACACAGCTGCTTCTCTGACTTTGTATCTTCCCCAGCCCTAATTTTAAAAGAAAACTGTGCTGCTGAGCACTTCGGCAGGTACTTAGGAACAATAATAATGAAATACGGATAATAATAACAGCTAATTTGAGTGCTTACTATGTGCCAGGTAACTTTCAAAGCACTTTACTTCTATTAACAAATGCAATCCTCACAACAAGCATTTGAAGTAGTTACAATTATTATTCCCACTTTATAGATGAGGCACAAAAGGGTTAAATAACTTGCTCAGGGTCACACGCTACAAGTGGCAGAGCTGGGATGCAAACTCAGGAAGTCTAGCCTCAGAGTCCAGGCTTGTAACTGTCATGCTGTCTCCCAGCATGTCTATTTTGAATGAATAAATGAATGAATGAATTTAAGGGGAAGGATAAAGAAAAAGAATCACATCATTGGAAATGGGGATTTAATGAATTTGTACTTTGTAGAGACCCCCTAAACCAGATAACAGGAGCTGAACTGTGACACTCAGCCACATATCCTCTTCCGTGGATGGGCAGGTCAGAAGATAAGGGCAAAGTACCAGGGAACTTGGAAGGGAGCAAGAGCCATCCAGGCAGGACCTGGTGGCACCTCCCTGCTGCCTCCATCCACAATGCCATGGAGACTCACTGAAGTGACGCTGGGCTCTTGGCTTCTCCAGTGTGAAAATCCAGACGGGACTGCACACCTGCTGCCCAGCTCGGCCTCTGTGTCAGGAACACCAGCCCTGGGTGCCATGGAGAATCTTGTGAGCATGGGCTAGTGTGCCCACATAGGCAAGTGTCCATGCAACCTCCAGGAACCTGCCCAAGGCATTTGCAGTCAAAATGACCACTTGGCAGGGAGGGGCTAGCTAAACACTTCTCTTGGGCTTCATTCAGGAATGGAGCAAATCTGCACATGAAGAGATTGAAAGAATAAACAGAAGCCCCTGCTTTCCTATCCTAGTGCTGATTCTGGATTCTTTAACTGAAACAAATACTCATAGTTCCGGTTATCTTACTGACACCCATGAAAACTGCTTGCTTTGCTGATGTTAAAGCATCTTGTCCTTTCCTTATCAGAATACTTATGTCTTGTCACTGTCATTGTTCTTTTAATGGTCATTTACTGGCAAATAATTAGTAAGCTCCCTAAGAACAAGAATCATGCCTGCTTGCTCATCTCTGTGTGCCCAGGGCTTACCTGCAGATATTCAAACATCTGCTGAGTAAATTCATGAGCAAAAATGAGTAAGTGATCATGTCAACTGATGTCAACAGACCAGCTCACTGATATCCAGGTTTTCTCTCTGAAATTCTTGGTTCCCCTAGTGGCTAGGTGGGATTATATGACTTGTTCTGACCAATGGGTTGTTAATGAAGATGACATGTCATTTCTGATCTGGGGCACCAATTGGTGGTTCAAGACCCACAGAACTTTCTTTACCTCTGCCAGAGTGATTGACAATTTTCCAGATGGTGGGTTCTTTCTCAACCTAGGTCCTGCATTGGACATGTAATATGACTGAGAAATAGACCTTTGTTGTTTGAAGCCACCAAGGTTTGGAAGTTGTTACTGCAGCAAAACTTAGGCTATCCTGACTAATAGATATTCAGTTTAGACAAGATTTTCAGGGATCTACAGAACAGAAGAGCCTGAGGAAATTATCGTCTAGAACAGCTCATAAGACCTTTCTGCAATGTTGGAAATGTTCTCCTAAAGAACTCCATAATGAAAGCTGCTAATCCATTACTTTTTAAAAATATTTTAAAATTTGACAAACTATGCAATAATGGTTTGTCTTGCCACATTTCTTTGCCTGCCTCTATGATAAGTAAGAGTGTTTGGGACTGGCCATCAAAGGCAGACCACAAGATCAGTCATAGAATGCACACACTGCTTTCTGCATTAAAATGAAAATGAAGAATGGAGATTATCCTTATTAATTGCCATCTGAAACACAAATCTCAGTTTTTTATCAGCTGTGAGGAAAAGAGACAATTCAATATCAATGCAATATTTAGAGACCAAGCTGAACATTCCAAGGCATCAAATTGTGTTGCTTCCAGCCTGTGATTTAAAAAATATATCATAATAATAATGCATTTAGTCAAACTGCTGTCTCCTAGCCCCCATGCAGGAGGAGGCTATCTCTTGAAACTCATGCACTAATTTGCCATGTAAATCTCCCCACTCACTAGGCTTGACTTTAACAGAGAACACTGTGGTGAAGAGGAAGGCCTGCAGAGGCAGCTGGCTTTATGGTTAGCTGGCTTTCCCTGGTTAGGAAAAGCTTCCATGAATATAGTTATTATGTAATTCATATGTGCTATTTAAGGGCCCATGGCATCTTGTCACTGCCATTGGTATACAAATATGTATTTTTATGGAAACCATCAATTAATGAGGGTCCTGGGTGGCCAGGCTGTGTACTAGGTTTTATGTACAGAATCTCACTGAATCCTGAGAGGCAGGGATTATTGAAGTCGTTTTTGTAAGTGAGGAAAACAGACTCAGAGACCAAAAAAGTGCTGGTATTCAGACCCATCTCAACTTAATCCAAAATTTCATGCATTTTTCTCTCTTTTTTTAAATATGATGTTTAGGATATGTGGCACCCCCATCTTTGGACAAAACAGGAGGAAAGCAAAAGCAAGCTTTTGTGTTGAGCAGAAGGGTTCAGGAAGAAGCATGAGGGAGGAGAATGAACCCTGAATTAGGAGGCAGAAAATATGGGTTCAACTTCAGTGTTCACAAAACCCCAGTGAATGACTTCCTCTTTCTGGGCCTCAATTTCTTCATCTGCAAAATGAAATGGTTCAATGGAGTCACCCTTTATGGTCTCGGTATTTTCACTGGTCTGGTCATACAGCCACAATGACTGCTAACCTTAACCTCAGCCTCCCTAGAAAAATCATTCCAAAGTTAGATTTTGTTTGTTGCTGCTGCATTTAAATTAATAAAGTTCAGGGTCAGCCTTGGAGGGTGTCGTAGTCACAACCAGTCTAAATCAGGTTTATAGCTTCACTGGGGAAATGGGTCAATTCAAATATTTGCCATTCATTTTTGTAGCACACTTATTTTAGAATAGTTTAAGATTTAAAGAAAATTTGCAAGGATAGTACAGAGTTACCACACCCAGATTCCTCTGTTATTAGCATCTTATATTTTATGGTACACTTGTCACAACTAATAAGCCAATAATGATGCATTATTATTAATGAAACTCCACACATTATTTTTATTTCCTTCAACTTTAGCGATGCCCCATTTCTTCCCTGCAATCTCATCCAGGATACTGTACTATATATACTTAGTAGTCGTGTTTCCCTAGACTCCTCTAGGCTGTGACAGTTTCCCAGATTTTCCTTGTTTTTGATGACCTGTTTTAACAGTTTTGAAGAGTACTAATCAGATACTTTGCACGATGTCCCCCTGTGTGGGTTTGTCCAGTGTGCTTTTCTCATGGTTAGACTGTGGTTATCAGTTTTGGAGAGAGAGACCGCAGAAGTAAAGTGCCATTCTGATCACACCATATCTAGGCTGTATACTGTGAGCATGACTTACCACTACTAATATTAACCTTGATTACACGGCAGAGGTCATGTTGGACATGTTTCTCCACCGAAAATTTACATTATCTCCCTGTCCATACTGTACTCTTTGGAAGGCAGTCCCTATATGTAGCCCACATATAAAAGATGGGACTTATCCTCCAACTCCTTGATGGGGGAGCATGCATTTTATAAAGTATAACCATGCAGGCAATAACTGCTGGGAAACAGATTCCAATTCTAAACCTTATTATCCCCAAAACAGCCAAGCCAAGATGATAACAAAATGTAATCACTGTGTCCAGTCTTTGGAAAGAGCATTCCCTAACGATGAGGGTAAACTGCTCTATGAAAGTAAAACACATAAAGCATCTTCCACAAAACATTTTGCTTAGTAGAGAGTTTATTCTATTCCTATTTACACAAGATTTGTTTATTATTCACAGCATTTAGTCTCACTCACACCTACAAATCTCATGTAGTTAAATATTACATATAAAGAGCTCTTGGAAATCAATAAGGAAGAAGGCAGAACTCATCTTTTCAAGTGAGCAAAAGGATGAAAAATAAATTTGCTGAAGAGTCTAAAGTGGTTACATCTGAAGTAGGGAAGGGGATAGAGAAATTATAGGGTACTCCCTCACTTTTTACTTCATACATTTCTAAATATTAAATGAGGATCTTTTGGCCATCATTTTTAAAAAACAATAAAATATTCTTAAAGTAATAAAATTATATTCATTAAAATATATATGGTATGATTTCTAATCTATACTGGCTATAAAAGCTGATATCTGACCCTCTCTTTTACTTAACTGTTTCTTACAGTGAGGGAGAACCTACAGGCTTTGGGAACAGATGGCTGGTATTGTGAAACATGATGCGACTGTTTATTTGCATGTCTTAATTGGAAATTTAGCATTCAGGGTCACCCCACCTTATATGTTTATAATTAGAAATTACAGGCATCATTTTTCTTTGCTAAGTTTTCAAGATTTGGCAATTAAGATGATGACACAGGCAGACCATTGTTCACTAGGCAATTTTAGTTCTAGTTGGCATTCACTGGAAAAAAATTAGTCATGTGTAATTCCTGAGGAAACGTTATTGTTATTTTGCATATTCTTGCTTTGTTTATTAAATAAATATATATTTAAACAACTTCTGGATGAAGGAATTGTTAAATTTAAGACCATTTTGACAGTCCAGGGCAATCACAATAAAATCTATCATCTCTATATAATTTGCATCAAAAATGAGAAAAATTAAGAATAACTGGTTCCAGAATTTAACTGTAAAATCAGTTTATCTTCCTGAAAAGATAAAAATCCTTACACAAAGACTGTAATATTTTGGGGTGTTCATATAAGAGAAAAATAATGTCATATGAAAATTCAACGTATCAGCTGGGTGTGACGGCTCACGCCTGTAATTCCAGCACTTTGGGAGGCCGAGGCAGGTGGATCACTTGAGGCCAGGAGTTCAAGACCAGCCTGGCCAACATGGAGAAACCCTGTCTCTACTAAAAAATACAAAAATTAGCCAGGCATGGTGGCACTCACCTGTAGTCCCAGCTACTCAGGAGGCTGAGGCAGGAAAATCATTTGAACCCAGGAGGCAGAGATTGCAGTGAGCTGAGACCGTGCCACTGCACTCCAGCCTGGGTGACAGAGTGAGCCTCCATCTCAAAAATAAGTAAACAAAAATAAAAAATAAAATTCAACCTATCAGTGGTGAGTAATAGGCATGTAATAACAAGTGTGATCCTGACATGTGCTATTGAAATGCTGTAGGAGAGAAAAGTGTGGAAGAGTTACTGGCCAGGCAGGAACAACACCATCTCTGCTTTATCCCCAGTGAAAGAACTAAGATAAACACAGATGGGAGCAAGAGAAATCARTGCCCACTTATTTTAAGGTGTGATTTTCTGCGCAGGAAAGATGCTCACAGAAGTGCTATGCATTTGTTTGTCTGACAAATGCTATAGCCATGGTCACAGCCTTGACCTGTGAGGGACTGAATTAGCTTTGACATTACTGTTCCGGCCTCTGAATGACTTCTAGTCTGCCGTTCACTGATGAGCTGAAGAAAATACATTCACACACATAATGAAACCTCTTCTGTCATCAAGTTTTTATTTAAGTGTCAGAGCTGAGTAGCCAAAATAACTTGAGAAGCCACTGAGAACATGAGGCAAGTACATTACTGAGGCTTAAGGGAAGAGTGTGACTTAAGCCATCTTGGAGGTAGCTAGACCTTTTGAAGCATTTCTTCAGGAAATTCCATTGGAAAAAACAGTTTGGAGTATTTTGGGGGTTTGTTTTTGTTTTCATTTTGGAGAGGGCTGTGGACTTGGTGCTGACTTTATTTGGAACATTTAAATATTCTGGATACTATTTTTGAATAAAAATTTTCTCCTACAAATTTCACTCAGAAAGAGTTGAGATGAAAGAAAGCAACCCTAAAATTATTTTACCAATTCCAAACCTTCCAACAATATTGGAATATTTTAACTGAAGATCCACAGCATATTTGGTTACAATCTTTCTTTCCATGACAATGGGCTGCCAGCTGAAAAACAACTAGGATGGTGATGAGGGAAATTGTTTTTAACCTAGTAGAGACTAACTACTGAATAAAATTCTGTAAAGTGTCGAAATCCTACCTTCACAATCTCTGAAGTTCTGATTCGTCGTCAGAGCCTAGTCTAAGAAGTCTCTTCAACTGTTGGGCAGTCTATTTTGGAGAATAATCTCCTCAGATACACACCCCTTATAACCAAATGTTCAAATGATTCATTTTCCAATTTCTGCACGAACTTATGCTAGAAAATGGTTTTCCTGTCTCACCAAGCTGATGGAGTTTCTGTTGACATGTCTGAAGACGTAGAAAATTGGGAATCAAAAAGAATCAAAGACATTTTCCCCAGGAAGTTCAAAGAGTCTGCCAGCTGTCTCAGGTGTCTGGCTTGTAGCAAACCCAGGGAAGTTTGTGGTCCCTTAAGCCAGGGACATTTTGATGAATGTGTATATTCAATAGGCACCTGATATGTTGTAGTCTACATCATCCCTTTTCCAAACCACCACCCCCACCAGCACCATCACCACCAACAAAACACATTGTCCAAATAGGCATCTTCCAAGTTTTAGTCAAAGACACATGAGAGAATAAAAGTCATTAGGAGGTAAAATACTTCAATTAGAAGATGTTTCCCAAACTTTAGTTATTTGCATATCACTACTGAGATCTTTGCCGTATCCTAGGACCACTGTACTTTCAGGTTGAACCATATAAACTTACCAATATTGGAACCTGATCTACACAACCAGAAATTTCAGACAGTTTTGTAGAAAATTTCAAGTGGCTCAGTTTCATATTATTAACTTATTTTTTTCTTCAGCTTGACTAACTTTAAAACCTTAAATTCAAGTCGGCAATCACGCTTCTTGGATATTTACCCAAAAAAGTTGAAATTTATATCTGCACAAAAACCTGCACACAAATGTTTATAGCAGCTTTATTCACAATTGCCAAAACTTAGAAGCAATCAAGATGTCCTTCAGTAGGTGAATGGATAAACTGTGTATCCAGACAATGGAATATTATTCAGCGCTAAAAAAGAAATGACCTAGCAGGCCATGAAAAGACAGGGAGGAAACTTAAATGCATATTACTAAGTGAAAGAAGACAAAATGTTGCATATTTTATGATTCCAACTACATGACAATCTGGAGAATGCAAAACTATGGAGACAGTAAAAAGATCAGTGGTTTCCAGGGGTTAGTAGGGAGAAAGGAATGAATAGGAGGAGCACAGAGGATTTTTAGGGCCGTAAAACTACTCTGTATGATGCTGTAAAGGTGGATACATGTCATTCTACATTTGTCTAATGTTTTAGACAAATGCACACCAACAGTGAATACTAATGTAAACTCTGGTCATTGAATGATAATGATGTGTCAGTGTAGGTTCATCAACTGCAACAAATGTACCACTTGTTCAGGATGCTGATAATGGCTATGCATGTGTGGGGACAGAGAATATATGGGAAATCCTTGTACCTTTTTCTCAATATTTTCTGTGAATCTGATAATTCCTTAAAAACTAAGGTCTATTTAAAAAACAGCCTTAAATTAGTATTAAGGATTTCAGTCCTTAAGCATACTGTGGTAGAAAGTCTCCAAATATGGCCACCATCAATTCCTTCCYTCTGTGAATATTCATGCTACTTCTCTTATCAAGAGGTAGAGTCAATTTCTCCTTTCTGTGATTCTGGGTTGGCCTTGTGACATTTTTTGACCAATAGAATATGGCCTCTTTAAGAGGCTTGACAGTTTTCACCTTGTTCTCTAAAGAGAAGCCAGCCACTATGTAAGAAATCTGAATACTCAAGATCACCATGCTGTGAAAAAGCCCAGGTGCTAGGCCTTATGTGGGAAGGTCACATGGAGGAGAACTGAGGAACCCATCAGACAGCGAGAACCAAGACTTCACACATATGACTCCAGTTGAACCATCTTAGCCAGCTCTCAGAAATTTAAGCCATCCCAGCTGAGGTTCTAGACACTGTGAAGTACAGATGGGCCATCGTTGCTGTGAGCTATCTGAATTCATAGCCTACAAAATCAATGAGCATAATATAATATGTGCTGCTTTAAGTCCCTAGTTTGAGAATAGATCATTGAAACACTACTTGAGGACAGCTGCAGGTTAAGACCACAGATTAAGACCACAGATTCTGAAGCAGAATGCTCAATTCCAGCCTGGATACTTAACAGCTGTGCAACTGTGGGTAAATTATGGCTGTGATAAACTGCTACATTGGTGGTCCCCAATGAACCACATCACCTACTATTCACAGCCTTGTGCAATCCCTGGATGCTGACTCTGAGCTTAAGCATGTGACTTGCTTTGGCCAATGGGACATTTGCAGTAAGACCAAGCAGAGACTTGAAAAGCACTTGCATGATGGGAGTTGTCCTCTGGGAACACTTGCTCTTGGACCCCTGAGCCACCATGTAAAAAAATTTCAGGTGCCTTGCTGGAGAGATGGCACTGAAGGAGAGAATCCCAGCTAGCCCCAACTGTTCCAGCCATCTATGCTCAGGGGCCAGTTGTGGGAGTGAAGAATAGCAGAACTACCTGGCTGAGCCTAGCCCAGATCACAAATTAAATAAATAAATAAATAATTGTTTAAAGCCACTAAGTTTGAGGATTATTTGCTATGCAGCAGTAAATAATTAAATAGAAATAATACCCATGAAATTGCAAATGTGATTAAATATTTTTCCTAGCATAAATTAAAAATTTTTTAAAGTCAGTCAATGCATCAGATAAAACTATCTTATCTACCACTTAATAATCCCCTTATCAGACTTTGGAAAATATTGGTTTAACAAGACAACAATAATAATGATAACAAGTATAATAGCAATTAATAATTTAGCGGCTACTCTTTTCCAGACCTTGGGCTAAATGGTTTACATGCATGACCTAATTTAATCCCCTCAACAACACTGTCAGTTAGGTGCTGTTATTCCCATTTTGTAGATAATGAAAGATGAGGAAGCTCAGAAAGGTAAGTAATTTGTCAAAGGTCACATGAAGGTCATGTTTGATGACTCTTAGAACTTTTTATGGAGTAGAAACTTCCCATGATCTGAAAGAAAATGAATGAGATCCACTCTTTGTATAAATGTTTCTCTGCCTTTTAGTTAAGAATTGCTGATATCATTGCTTGTATTATATTCAGGGGCTACTTCAGAGACAGAGCTGCTCTATATGACCAGAAACTTGGGCTACAGACAGGTTCCTCACCCTCCCACCACCTACCCACCTCCATTCCTGCTGATGGACTGTCAGGAGCAGTGCATTGTCCTCATTAGAGTCACTCTGACAATAACCAACAGTAGTTATTGGACATTTACCATGCACTCAGCTGAGTGCTGGAGTGGGAATGGCAAGTTGAGAAGAGATTCAGAATAACTGTAAAATAGGGCTGCAACCTTTGAAGAATTTATGTATTTGTTAAGGAGACCAGACTAGTTTACACACTCAAAATAGTCACTAGACAAACTAAGGCCATTTAAAATTATGTGCTAAATTACACAGAACAGATCTGACACAGAAGTTGAGAGAAAAGGAAAAAACCAGAGGAGGCTGAATGGAAAAGACAACTCTTGCATGCCTCAGAAGTGGGCGTAGGCTTTGCAAAATTGGAGCTCAGAGGAGAGGGCACTCTAGGTAAAGAAAACACCCAGGCAAAGATATGGCAAGGGAATAATCATGGAACAGAGAGACACATTGGGGGTGGAAAAGAAGTTTGGATCCATAGACCAAGAAGCACTGAACAGAATAAGATTGTGTTGAATTCACTTTGTGTCCCCAGTCTTGCACAGGGCCTGGAACATATAAGTACTCACTGGATAACCATAAGTCAGGTGTGGAGAGGAGAGTCCTCTCCATGGGCACAGGGAGTATTTGTGGGTGAAGCCTGGGTTGGAGAGAGGAAGACTGGGAGGCAAGAAAGTAAACTTCCAATGACTATACAAGGATGGAGTCAGAGGCCACGTGCATGGCCTTTCAGGAGGTGTCCTAGGGACAGTCCCAGGAACCCAGGCAGATTAAAGACCTGGAAGAGAGCATCCTCTCCTCTAGTGGGACCTGACTGCCCTGGAACAAGGCTTCCCTGCCATATCCCAGCAGGTATCTGCGGCATAGAAGCTCACCCCACCTACTGAGAGACATAGGAGGGTCCCAACAGCTTCCTTTATTGGCCTTGGACAGAGCTAAGCAACTGTCTTCTTCTTTCAGAAACTGTCCTTGACTTCACAATGACCCATGTTTCTCCTCTAGGAATGACCACCCCTTCCTGCCTCCCATTTTTGTCCTGGGCCTGACCAGCAATCACTGTTTCTGAATCCAGCCTGAAGAGGGAAGGAGGTCCCACAGCTTCCCAGGAAAACCTGGAACACTCACTGTGCTTTGGAGGTCTCTAAAGTCTCCATCAGCCCATGAAGTCTATGTGTCTTCTTCAAAGTCTTTTGATCCGGCAAAGCCACTTGCCACACCCAATGCCCACCATGGTGAGACACTTCTAGTGCACAGAGTCAGCAAAATCCAAACAGACCTCCTGGCTTCCTGACCCTCTGAGCACTCCCAAGCACTGGCTCAACGTTCTCACTCTCTCTTTGTTCTTCAGGGAACAGTGAGCTTTGGTTTGAGGTTACCTCAAAGGAAAAACAATTTGATGTGTGATAAGCCTCTGGCCGCTGGCAGAACAAGGAGGGCCTATCAGATGTGGGCTACTATAAAAAAAGTAAGGCTTTCCTATTGGGTTAAGCTAAACTGTAGTCCTAGTTTTTGATGAAAAGAAGCCAGCTAAAACTCCAGCCCAAGACTGACACCTGGGAATCCTTCTAGGAGAAATATAAATAAGCAAAGGAAGCCATTCTTGGAGATATGCAGAACTAGGAAAGCAATTTCATAAGCGTATACATTTCCAACAGCACCTCGGCAAAAACAGCTCAATTTGAGATATTCATTTGCATCAGAATAGTCATGAATATTCAAAAGTCAGCCAGTGTTTCAGAACCATTGTCTAATCCTGGCGCTTTCATCTTCCCCTTGAAAAGCAGATCATGGGTTTTCGAGAAAGGTAAACTTTGCTGGTGTTTGCACTGCCATGCCTGGCAGGAAAGGGGATGATTGTTTCTGTTTCTTAATATTAAAAAGTCTCAGCTGATGTGAAATCTTTGCACTTTGTTCTGATCAGGATAAGAATCATGCCAAAGACCTTGGATCTGGCCTTAGAGATGCACTTTTCAAACTGCTTGTTAGAGCTTTCTGTTCGGAATCCTGCAGACGTTTTCTGACACGCAGGTTACTTAAAGGGAAAACCCTGCCAGGGTCATGGGCCACATCCATGGAATGAATGCAGTCTAAGATTCAGGAGGCTCTTGTCATAGTACTCAGACTCTCTGGGCTACATTGGCCAACCCACTTATTTTTTGTACCTTTTTTATTTTTTTACCATAATATTTAATATTTTGCACCTTAATTGGACAAATTAAGACTCATGTGTATTCATCCTCCCTCTCTTCTTTTGCCTTAGTTTTACAAAATGAAATAAGATGATATTGCGTAACTGAAAGTGCTTCGAACTCCTTAGGGGGAAAGCAGGAGCTATGGCCAAGTCAGTGGTTGTCTATCAAAGCTTTCATTGCCAGAAAACAACACATTCTTATGATTCACAAGGTATTATCTTAGACAATTTTAATGTTAAGAAAACAATTTTCATTTTAAAAACAAAAAAAGTAAATAAATAAAAAAGGAGACTCACCAGTCTACCATTTGCTGAGATGATTGGCAGCTATTTCTAGCTTTCTTTGCTAAAATTGAATTTCTTCTTTATGCTCCAAACTGATAAATGGTTCAATAACAGGTTTAAGATGGGTTATGAGGAAAGGAGATGCAAGAAGGTTGAACTGGTACAGACTGAATAAGAAATTCATCTCTTTGCCCCCACCACATTCCAGCTGAAGCTCATTTTATTGTCGCCTAAGCTCTGTCTAAATTGTTCAATTTATGTGACAAAGTCTTGATGGTATCTCTTTAAGGCTGTCAGAGGAGCCAATGCAATGTCAATTCAGAAGTGAAGTCATCGTTACAAAAGTGCCTTTAGTGGAAAATGACAATGTGGGAAGTCTTACCTGTTCCCTTGCAATTATTTTCGTATTCAATTTGCAAGATAAAGGATGAGTGCCGCTCCACCCACCCCTATACCTTTGCCATCAGACTATGTTCTTTCTATTTATTTCTCAGGGTTGGCCTTAAATCACTAGACAGAGTCCTTGAATGTTAGTTCTGGGGAGATTTGGGATATTTTTTAGCCTAGCTACAGTTAGAGGATCTGAGAATCCAAAAAATAGAATTGTTCACAATGAATATTTTTATTAATCAGGCATTTAAAGAAAAACAAAACATGCTTTGCTGTTATAAGACTGAAAAGGATCTGAATCAAAAAGAAAAAGTCTGGGGGTGGGGTGAATCAGGATAGGGGGTGGGCATACTGCCCCATGGATTGAAGAATAAACACCGTGTCTTCCCTGCTCCTCTGGGAGGCAATTCCTAGTTGCGTTCTGCATAGTCCCAGGAGTCCCCAGTGAAACTGACCTCTTGATGCCCACAGCAGTAACCTGCGCATAAGCTCACCCATTACTGGGTTTCCCTTCTCCTACTCCTTTCCCTACTCCTTCACAATGCTTCCTAAGATCATCTCCCAGATAAACTACTTGCACCCAATTCCTGGTCTCAAGGTCTGCTTTTGATAACGGGGAAGTTTATACATCAAAAAGGCATTGCCCTTAATGGAGAGGTTCTCAATTAGGGGTGATTCTGCCCTCCGGAGGACACTTGGCAAAATCTGGAAATGTTTTTCTTGTCACAGTTGGGGTAGGGAGTGTTACTGGCATGTAATGGGAAGAGGCCACTGATGCTGCCAAATATCTGACAACGCACAGGACAGCCCTTCATAACAAAGAATTAGTAAGCCTGAAATGTCAGTAGTGTCTAGGATGGGAGATTCTGCCTTAGAGTACATGTTCTTCATGTCTCATACCATCAGCACAACTCATTACCCTAAAAATTGTATAAAGGTCAGCTTTTGAAGGATGAACTTCTAAAGAAAAGCCATCTAGACCATCTCATCTCTTCCTCTATTGTAATAATAGAAGAGTTATATTATAGGGTGTGGCAAAGGTGTGGTCCCTGAAGCTACAAATATGAAAGTGTGGTGATATTGAAGGAGACAAGACTGGCATTCAGCTGGGGCAGCATGGATCATGATAGGCAACTTCAGGGATATCACAGGCAAAGCACTAGGTCAACCATGTTTGGAAAACAACTTCTTTTTTAACCACTGAAGTGCAGTTGAACATATACCTACTACATGCTGAAATTATTTTGGTATTAACTGTGCTATATTTAACTAAACTTACCTAAACTCTTAAGATAGTGTTAAATGTACCTAAACAGATTGCAGACATTCTAGGTAAACATAAATAAGTGTAGCTCATTTTACAGATGAAGAAATTGAGGCTCAGATTAAGAAAGCTGCTCTTTGTCACACAGCTAGCAGGTGCCAAATCCGGGCTGGAACACAGATATGTGAACTCCCACCTTGTTTACTCCTTCACCCAGGGGCAGAGAGGAGCATATGGGAGAGCTAGTGTTTTATTGCTGGGTGGATTATATAAGTCCAGCAGATGGCTAACACTGAAGCCAGCAGTTTCTCAAAATTCCCAAATCCTAAGAAGTGTCAGTCTCATTGTGGTGAACTGTGGCCATCTTCTCCTGTATCTTAAAAGGGTAACTATAACAACACAACACACACACACACACACACACACACACACACACACACACACACACACACACCATATTCCTTATCCTGGAAAACAATACAGAAAATTCAGCTTTAAAAAACTTTTAAATTACAGGTAAAGATAAAGATTGAAAAGTGAAATAAAGCTTATCCTGATGAATTCTGTCTCTGATTTCTTAAGAAGATGCCATAGGTATCTAAAGAAAACAGCCAATAGCAAAGAAGGGTGCTTTAACCGTAAAGTTTTACTCTGGGGAAGATCCCGGATATTAGCTCATCCACACGGACCTTAATTTTATAGGGAGGAAGGCAAGGCACAAAGAAGATAAGGAACACATGCAAACCCACTCAGCAGAGGCCAGAACATTCCCTGCCCATGACTGTAGAACTCGACTCTGGAGCCAATTTTCTAATATGGTTCTCATTTTTAAAATGCTGGTCTTCAAATATCGATACAGTTCTAAGCTACAGTGTTAATGTGCAATCCAAGAGGCACAAAAGAAGAGATGGAATGAAGCTCATTGCCTTACAGGAATTTCTGAGTTCTTTTCTTCTATAGTCATCTATAGCATGAATCTCCTTTACGGTTCCATGCAGAAAGAAATTCCTACCAAGTTCTAGATGACAAATTTGGGAGAGTAGTTAGCATTTATCAGAAATGAAATAAACATGTGGTATGTAACTATATAGTCTTTGGTTCTATAGGAGATTGGTGAGGGTGGCTGAATTTTTGCACTTCTATCACATTAATTAGAAAATCAATGCAAAGTAACTTTTTTTTCTTAGATCATTGATTTTTTTTCCGTCAAATTTGGGGAAAATGACAAGAAAATTTATGTGTTGGGCTTTTGTTTAATTTTGTGTTCTAACTAGACTACATAGCCATTGAGTGCTAGAAACAGATCACGTTTGCCTTCCTATCTCTAGTGCTTAGCACAAGGCTTGGCACTTAGTAAGTACTCCACATATTTGTGTTGAATGAATGAATAAATGAATGTCAATGATTGCTTTAGAAGGCATTCTGCCTTGATAGGAATTATTAATAAATGCAAGTCCATTTATTTTTCAGAAGTGTGTTTGAATTTTCCAGTCCTTTTATTTCTTGCAACCCTGGTCAGTCTTAGAACATCCATTTTTTTACATTAATAATTCAAAGAAGGAATTCCTGAAACAGAAGTCTGAATACGAATGCAAGTCATCATCTCAAAAATCATTCTTCCCTTCTCAAAGAAATTCATCTTTAGCTATGAAATAAACACAGAAAGCAGGAGTTATAAAGCTTGAGTGTTCTTTCCCTATTTCTGTTTATTTTTTAGTATTCTTCACTGGGTTCATTTTAAGTGCCAGTGGCAGTGTAGAGATGTGGTCATGAGCAGGGACTTTGGAACCAGAAAGACATAAAGTCAGGTCCCAGACCTGCTACTTTCCAGCCACATGACCTTGGGCAAGTTATTTCATCCCTCTGTGCCTCAATATCCACATCTATGTGGTGGCACCTATCTCATAAGGCTATTAGAAAGACTAAATGAGATACATACAAAGGTGCCTGGTATATACTGGATGCCCACTGAATGTTCGAAAGATAAATAAATAACTCTCCACCCTCTTATGATTACCCTACTTTTCTATATTAAGAGTGCATTCAAGACCTTGATTATGTCTGTTTCAGTTGTCTATTATGTCGTTAAGAAGCCACTCCAAAACTTAGTGGCTCAAAACAGTAAGAACCCGTCATTTCTTATGATAGTGAATTGTGACTGGGTAGTTTCTCTGCTGGTCTTACCTGGGCTCACTATGGAAGGTTAGCTAGGCTCTGGACGTCTCTCTCTGTGTGGTCTTTCATCTGGCCTTCATCATCATATAGTGGCCACAGGGCAGGGTTCCAAATGAGAACAGGCAGAAGCTGCACAAACTCTTGAAGTCTGGGCTCTAGAATCTGCACAATATAACTTCCACCACATTCTATTGGTCAAAGCAAGTCACAGGGCCAGCTCAGTTTGAAGAGAGTATAGACTCCACCTTTGGATGGAGGAGCAGCAAAGTCACATTGCAAAGGTCTATGCATACCGCTATGGGATACTTTGTGTCCATGACATAATCCACCACAATTCCCTCACCTCGCCTCATGCACACCTTCTTGGACTGTGCTTTCCCAATCTTCCACTTTCACTTCACAAATCTTTCAGTCGTTGCATAAAGTAAAAATAATGTTGTCACACAGCCAATGACTGCTGGAGAATCATGCAATAAGTCAGCGAACAAAGAGCTTGTGTCCAATGTAAGGTAGACACTCAAATCTAGGGACAGATTCAGAAAGAGCCATTTTCCAAAAAAGAAGCTAACAAGAACCCGCATGTCATGATCTTTTGTCCCTGAAGTAATTAATCCAAATGTAGGGCTTTGGAGTTGTTTTACTTATGGTTATCTCAATCCTACAGCCAGATTTCCTCAATCCTGGCATGTGGCAGCCATGGGGATGAGCCACTCACATTTCCCTCAAGAGAGAACCTGTTGGGATGATGACTGTTAGCTGATGGCCTTCATCTGCCACACCCCTGGAAATCACTTGTGTCCTCTTGGTGGCCACAGTGTCTTCAGGCTGCCCCAGGCAATGATTGAGCATGGTGAAGATACCAGGTTTGGGACACTTCTGTTCTAGGGCTCTGCATTGGCCTGACTGAGATTTTCTCACAGCTGCACTCTTCATGTCTTAAATAAGAAATGCTTTCCTTCCCCCAAGGTCCAAAAATATTGATCTATACTTTCTCTTCATAATTTTAAAGTTTTGCTTTGATTATTAAAGACTTTCATTTGTCTGGAGCAATTCCAGGGTATGGTGTGAGGTAGGAGTCCAGTTTCACTTCTATCCATATGGATGAGCACATTTTTAGCTCCACTTAACATACAGTCCCTCCTCTCCCAACTGCCAAGCCGCCTCTACCATCTATCAGAGTTCCATGTATACATAGGTCTGTTTGGGAACACTGCCTTATGCTCCATTGGTCACTTTCTCTACTGCTGTGCCAGTTCAGCACTGTCTTCCTTCCAGTAGCTTCATAATAACTTGGGTTATCCATAAGGTAAGCCTCTCCCCAGTCTTCTTCAGAAATGCTTTCACTCTGTCCCCTCACTCTTCCAGACACATTTTAGAGTCAGCTTCTAGTTCTATGAAAAATCCTGTTGATGTTTTGCTTGGTATCATTGAATTTAGAGGTCAATTTGAGGAGATTTAGCTTTTTAAAATTTCTTTCATTCTGTTTTCCTTGCTCCTTTGACTAAATGCCTGGCTGCCTATATTGCTCTGCATCCAGATGTGGAGGAGCCAATGGCTCCTTATAAAGGTCTTCAATTACTAATTTCTGTTTTTCAGCCTTCTTCCTTACTCTGAATCAGTCCCAGAGATCAATTATCCTCTTTGCTACACCTTAGAGGTAATTTTTATTTTCTCATTGTATTAATCAGGGTTCTCTAGAGGGACAGAATTAATGGAATATATATGGAGTTTATTAAGTATTAACTCATATGATCACAAGGTCCCACAATAGGCCATCTGCAGGCTGAGGAGCAAGAAGAGTCAGTCCGAGTTCCAAAAAAAGAAGAACTTGGAGTCTGATGTTCGAGGGCAGGAAGCATCCAGCACAGGAGAAAGACGTAGGCTGAGAGGCTAGGCCGGTCTAACCTTTTCATGTTTTCCTGCCTGTTTTTTGCTGGCAGCTGATTAGATGGTGCCCATCCAGATTAAGGGTGGGTCTGCCTTCCCCAGCCCACTGACTCAAATGTTAATCTCCCCTTTCGCAACAACCTCACAGACACACCCAGGATTAATACTTTGCATCCTTCAATCCAATCAAGTTGACACTTGGTATTAACCATCATACTTGTTTATATCTTTAAAATTTTTCTATGATCAATAAGCATTATCATTGCAATAAAATGAACAAACAAAATGGTTATCTTGTTCCCTTAGTGCTAAATTCAAGTCCAGCAGTCAACTTTCTTAATAACTTCAACCCCAACAGGATCAGTGTATACCCAGCCAGTGCGCTCCCAGATCAATGGCAGACATTGGTAATCCAATCACACACATTTACCTCATGTACCATGTCATCAGAATCTTTCTCAACACAGCCACACAGACTGCCACTGCAAGTTGTGAGGAAAACATTTTTGCCATCCAGAACACAATGATCATTCACTCTTCCTCCTAGATCTATATTCTACAAATAATTCTAAAGGAGTCAGTTCAGGGTGCTGGAAAGAGCACTGCACATAGAACCAGATGCTCTAGTGTACAGGTCTGGCTCTGCCACACTCTAATAGAAGATTTTTTTCATGGGACAGACAGCCACTTCCCTCATCCTCAAGCTTCCTCTGCTGTGAAATCTGGAGGTCGACCTAAGGGCTCTATCTGCTGTAGCACCTGATGTGATTCTAAATTTCATTTTTTCCCCAGGCACTTAACGCAGGCAAGAAAACAAACAATGATAATAATGCCCCATATCAAGGGCCTCCTCTGTGTTAAGCATTGTGCTAAGCACTTTACCTGGATTATCATTCCATTTACTGCTCGTAATATTACATGATCGTACTGTTCTCCCCATTTTACAGATGAAAAAATTTAGAATTAGAGAAGGAAAGTACCTTGTCTGAGACCATCCAGCAAGTCAATGGATACAGATGTGAGCCGATATCTGACTATAGCAACTGCTGCCCATGCTCTGCCCACACCCCACATCTTTCCACTGCCTTCTGTTGCAAGCATCTGCCACGCTCCACTTGAGGGCTTTCTCTCACCCCAGTGAGGCAGGCCATTAGTCTCAGAAGCAGAGGAAGTTAATGCCCCTGGAAACAGCTCTCATATAATGACAGATGAGAGTTGGAGGATACATACCCCATCTCCCTTGCCTCTTGGTTGGGATGACTCTGAGGCTTATTTTTCCCCTTCCTTGTCTTGCTTCCTCTCTTCCCCTCCTTTGCTTCCTGGGACCATCTCTCCCCAAAATTTCTTGTACTCAGATTCTTCTTGCTGGGTATTTTTTCCTGGAACTTAAACCAAGACAACCTTGCACCATGCTAGGCTGCCATGAAAATTAGACAATAGTGTTCTAGAAAAATACATCAAAAAATTCGTTTTTCAGCTTCTACTGCATTCCCTTTGAGTTTGGAGCATAGAATCCAGTTATATCAGAGTCTGTATCCCTTGAGAGAGAAGAGTTAGGGACACTTGGGGTTTGTAGAGCTATAAAGGCCACGAGGCCTTAGAAAGTGGACCCCTGTGTTCTTGTTCTGCCTTCAGCCACTTCCCCACTCTGTGCTCACAGACAAGTATGGAAACTTGAATACCTACTTCTTCATTTGTAAACAGAAAGCTCTATGATTCTGACTCAGATTTTAGATCTTGAGCTCAAGATAATCCAGCACAGATTGGCTGATCTATAGTTAAGGCTGGAATGCATCACTTTATGCAGCTGACAACTTTGCATAATGGAAATAAAGACCCAGACACTGGCATGCAGGAAAAGGTGAAAACACAACGCTAAACAAGGAAATAAGATCGACAGAGATAAAGTGCTGGGCAGTCAGTCCTAGGTGAAAATGTTAATTGTAATGCAGCCTTTTGGAGAAAAATGGAATGTAAATCTCTCAAAATACAATGTGTCCAGAGCTAAATATGCAGCCATTATGATGATTTTCCAAGAACTGTCATATTCAATTGTAGCGCTGAGATGTTTCTTTTCAGCTACACAACGCTTTTACACAATTAATAATCTCTTTTTAGAATCAATATTATTTTTTAGTGGCAGAGGCATTACTGAATGCCATGTCCTCCAGCCCTGTCTTCGTGGTGGTTGTTTGTGGGACCAACTGTAATAATTCTTGTGATTTTATTCAAGGAATTTGGGAAGAGAAAAAGATTCCTCGTAGAGCTTGAAAACAAAGCAAAGAAATCATCCCATGTGACTTTCTCCCCTGAAGTTCTCTGTGACTCCCTGTCTGCCATCAAGCTTGGGCTTCGATGTTAATTTTTCCATCTGCTTTGGCTGCAGGTAATTTGGAGACACTGACGTCATCAGACCATCTGTTCAGTAAAACCACAGCGATGCTTTCCTCCTGAGTTGTTTATGCCTTGACAGCTACTTTGGGCTATTTTCAATATACTCAAAGCAGAGACTAAATTGTGGTCCAAACAGTCCCTTAGCATTGCATCTAAGTGTAAAAATTAAAGTTAATTATTTTTGTAATTGTAACAAAAAAATCAGATGCACACCGAGTTATGGAAACTACTGGTTAATCTCAAGACAAAGGAAAGCAGATAGTTTGCATCATGATTTTTTTCTTCCTGATGCCTTCTGACAGCCTCAGTTTGTCTAGTCTGACCATTCCAGTTATGCCTAGGGCCTGACACAGGATAGTGCCAAATAAATTTTGTAGGATGAATGACTGGTATTTCCTTTATCTAAGGCACTCTTGAATATAATCCATTTATATATATTCTTTCCAGTCAGCTGTCCTCCTGTGCCCAGGAAGAACTGGGAGTTAACTTTCACTTCCTCTTTAAGAGGAACTTGAGAGGGCTGCAGAGGAAATGGAGATTTCATCACTTCAAAATCTGTAGAGACCACATTACACGTTTTGGAGGGTCAGTACTGCCTCTAGAATAGAGTGGATTTTTTTTAAATTCCTACAATGTGAAACTGATAGCAAATATTAAACCAAAAGCAAAATGGATTTGGATTTTAATGCAAATCATGAAGACTGGATGTACTTCTTCAAATAAATCTTAACAGCAACAACATAATTTTAAATAAATAATTTTAATGTAAATCATGAAGACTAGATGTACTTCTTAAAATAAATCTTAAGAGAGACAACTTATAATTGACCTATATGAACATCATGTCTCAAGTGATTTTAAATTATAGTACTTTATGTGTGCTATGTTGCACAAGTATCCTGAGATCCCCTTGCATTGCCTGAATGCCAATTTTCATTTTCATATTTAAGAAAGAATATTCTTAAATTCATTTCTTATTTCTTGCTCCATTCTTATCCCTTCCTCCTTCTCTTCCTCACTACCTTCCCACACTAATTCATGCCTAAGTCTTGTTGAGTTTGCCTTCTAAAAATAGTTCTTGATTCCTCTCATTTTTATTTTCTTTCCTAGCATTATCTTAGATCAAGTTACATTCATCTCTCATCTGGAGGTCTCTGGTCTTTAAACATCCACTCTTGTCCTCTCTAATTTGTTTCCTACAAGTTACAATGTAAATTTGATCATACTATCCTCCTAAAGACCTTTAATGACATACCATTGTTTTTAGAGTGAAGATCACAATCCCTAATAAGCCCTCCAAGGCTGTGCAACATTGTCCCCTGACTGCATAGGGGACGTTTACATTCCTTCACATTGCTTCACATTCCTTCCTCCTCTGTACTTCAGATACTATGGAATTTTGTTTGCTTGTTTGTTTCTAGTCCTTCCAACAGGCCGGCTCCCTCTTGCCACAGGTCCTTCGCACATGATGTTTATTCTTCCTGGTCACTCTTCCCCTGGTTAAAGCCTACCTATTTTTCAGATCTCAATTCTTTTTAAGTTTCTCTTTAAAACTAATCTTCTAGACCAAGCCTGGTCCCTCTGCCTGCTTTCACCTTCTTTCTTGGTAACAGAAGCCCCAGTTTTTAACAGGGCACATGACTTAAAAGCCCCTATTACAGCTAAGTGTGGAGGTGTGACTAAACTACAGCCAAAGATTTGTAAGTGGAAGTGGTGTGTTCATTTTCCAGGACATGCCTTTCATTATACCTTTCTCCTTCCTCTGGCTGGAATACATGATGGCTGGAGACTAAGCCATTATCTTGGACCATGAAGTGGAAGCCACATGCTGGGGATAAGGAACAACAAGACAGAAGGAACCTGAGTCACTAACACTGTGGGACACAGTATCAACACTGGTCTACCTACAGTGACATGACAGAGAAGTAACCTTCTATCTTGTGTAACTCATCTTCATTTTAGTTTATTTCAACTTGTATCTGAATCTAATTCAAACTTATGCAGTGTGATTAATATGTCTCCCCCACCAAACCATAAGCTGGATGAGGGCAGGGACCATGTCTGGATGAACTTTATATTCCCACGACCCATCAGGAGGCCTTGTAGATACTCAAATAAATATTTGTAGAAAGGAAAAAAGGAAGGAAAGGAGAAAAGAAAAAATGCCTATACTTCCTAGAATTTAAGAAAATTTCAAGTGTATCTTTTATAGACAAAGTTGTAGTAAGATCTGCCAATCCAACCCACTGTCTCATTAGGCAAGGCTGAAAATTAATCTCCTGACACTCTGCAAAGCAGAGGGGGGAAGAAGGGAAGAGGAAGACTTGTACCTCATTCTAGTGGGATGAACAGCATATACAATAAACAGACACGTGAGCAGGGCAGTACAGTCAGCAGGGGCCAGGTCATGGGGGCCTTGTCAAGGACAAGGCAGATTTTACCCTGGTAGCAATGAAGGTATATCAAGGGGTTTTGTTTATTTTTTATGACATAACATATTTGAGAAATATTATAGTGGTTGCTGTGAGGAAGTTGGAGAGCAGGGAAGAGGTGCTGGAGACTATCCAATCAGTGTCAGGCTAAATAATGATGAAAATGAGTGCTTATGTTAATTGTTAGTACTGTTTATCAATGTCCAGACTCCTCTCCTTCAGGACATACAGCAGGATTGCACTTCTAGTCTTCCTTATGGTGTAGTGGTGCCATGTGATTAGTTCTAGGAAGTGAGTTGTAATCAGAAATGATGTCTGTCATCTCCAGGTTGAGAAATTCACTGCCAGAATGATCTCCTCCATAATGTTCTTGCCTTCTGCCTTGGCAACCGCCAATGTTCCTGACAGTGGATGCTCCATCTACCCGGGTCCCAGAATTAAGATGACACAGATCAGAGCTCCTAGCTAACACAAAGCAGACATGAGTGTGAGTGTAAGTCAATCTTTGTTCTTTGAAACCACTGAGATATTAGGGTTGCTTGTTACAGCATCACATATTAGCCTATTCTGACTGAGCAACGTCCACTTTTAGCAATGCTTTGAGCGTTGGCCACAAGATAAATCCACAAATGAGATAAAATAAAACATTTCAAGATTAATAAAACAGAATAGGATAAAGTTTTAAAATATTGTCCTCTCTGTTTTTGAAAATTAACAATTAAAATAACTTCATTTTCTTGACAAATCTTTGATGCCCACTTCTAGAAATGTTAGTAGAAACCCTGTTTGCCACCAAATTGATTAATTATTGAAGAGCAGTTCTAAAAATGGCATTGGTTAAAGCCATGCACTTCTTTCCATGTTCCATTGTGACTTTGAGTCTTCTGAATAACCTGACTCAAGTAATATGTATCAAGTACTCCTGAAATGCCAGTCAGTGTGTTGGATACAAACTCCTGAAATGCCAGTCAGTGTGTTGGATACAAACAAAAAAAAAACCACAAAGACCATGCCTTTCACGTGCTCATGGTCTGGAAGCAGAAATAAGCACATAAACAAAAAATTAGTTAATCCCTGTGACTCAGTTTTCTCATTATTAGATGAGGATAATTATAGTACCAGCCTCTTGAGTTGTTGTGAGGACTGAATGCAAAACAGAAACATATGATGTGCTTAATACATACTACACAAACAAACAAGTATGGAGTAATCAGGGCTATCATGAAGGAATTTGTAAAGTGTCACATGACTACCTGTAAGGGAGGAATTAATTACAGGATGGTGTGGGTAGCAAACCCTCCACATCCTACCAGTCTCATATCCCATCAGTCCAACTTAAGTTTCCCTAAAGCTGCAACGTGAATTTTCTATGCATGCTGACAGCTTCCCTCTTCAAGCCTGAGCCTTTCTGCTTCCATGCCTGAGGAAGAGCTTTCTGTGGCACAAGTGTGGGTCTTGCTCAGCTATGCTCAGGGCAGCCTGGAAGTGCTGGGGATTTACCAACCCCAGAAGCATTTCTTAACCAATGAGGGTTAGAGTTGGCAAACAAATACCCAGCTTCCCTGTTCCACAGTGGGACAATTCCAAGGCATATTCTGTGCCTTGGCCTTACCATTGTAGTGTACAACTGCCTGACTTCCAGCCACCTAGGGGCTTATTTGTGTGGTTGGAGCCCACTCTGTCCAAACTTAGGAAGACACAAGTCCCAGTGAATTAATGCCTATCCCCATGCCGCAGCCCAACAACAAGAGTTGAAGGATAAATACTACACTTCCTTCTGCCCTCAGGTGGGATGACCCTGGAGGCATGGTCTATACTGACTTCTAGGTCTGTCCTCAGTGATAACTGGCTTCATCTTGTACCTTTCATTGAAGCCTTCCTTTTCCTGTCCCACTTCCTCACACCAGTGCCCTCTGTGATTATCTCCCAAATAAACTACTTGCACTCAATTCCTGGTCCCAGGGCTTCTTGGGGAATCCATATGTAGACAACAATCACCAATCAGTCTTTCTATTTTAGTGCCAGCTCCAACAACACTGTTTTGTCCGATGAAAACTTGTGGGATTTCAACAAATCATTTTGATGTTTTATTGGTTATGTTTGAATTATCCCTGTTGCTACAGAAACTAGAAAGGGTTATCTATGTAATAAGAATATGCCATAGACGTGGATTTGAGCGAGGAGGGCAGAGTTATTGCAGGACTGGCTGGAAAGAGGGTCCCTAAAAATGCATACTGGGAAGACAGATGTAAGAGGAATTAAAAGTGGCTCACTAGCTAGCTAAAAAAGTAAAAAGACAGAAAAAAATAAGGTGACAGGCAGAGATAAATAAAGATAGATTTGCACTGAGAAAAGAACAGTCTCTCACTTTTTCCTTCTCTAGAAGTTGAGTGCA
Organism: Homo sapiens; assembly: GCF_000001405.40. Taxonomy (NCBI): domain Eukaryota; kingdom Metazoa; phylum Chordata; class Mammalia; order Primates; family Hominidae; genus Homo; species Homo sapiens. Next base: position 16,797,097 of record NC_000003.12, on the reverse strand, counting down.
ATGTGCTGAGCCACAGGTGGTGAATCTTGATTGGTTAATGTCAGCCATGACAACATTGTTTCCACTGTTACTCCTTCTTTGCTGGTACAAGTTGCCACATGACTAGTTCTAGCCAAAGAGATGTAAGATAAAGCTCACTGGGGGATTCTAGGAATGTTTTTGCTTTCCTGATTTTCCTGATAAAAGGGACAGAGTTAAGATGTCACTGTTCCATCGTGTGTGTGTGTGTGTGTGTGTGTGTGTGTGTGTGTGTGTGAAATACAGATATGATACCTGGAACTGCAGCAGACCTATCTTGTGATCATGAGGCAACAAGCTCACATGCTAAGAATGGCTGAGTGGAAAGATATAGTCTGTCTACATTTAGCATTCACCTGGGCTGCTGATATATGACACATTTGTTACAGAGGAAAATAAACCTCCATTTGTTTAAGCAACTTCTAGTGAAGTGTGAAGTTTTCTGTTACCTGCAAACCAAGGCATTCCTAAGTCCTAAAAATACTGTCTTTCAAGTTACATCCCCAAGTCCTTTAAAAAATATTAGTATATGTGGCAATGACAACTAATTAGAAGTAACATTAGATCAATAAAATCTTGGTTAATTAGAATTAAGTTTTAAGACTCACAGTTCACAGTTCTAAGTTCAATTAAGCTACAGAAAGTAATTAATTGATTCATTAATTAGAAAGAACTACATGTTAAAAGACTGCTGCTATAAGCAGTCAGTAACCCAATTTGATTGCTACAAATAGAAAATCTTCTGGGAATACTCAGAGATTATACACACATACTGTATGTATATAACCTCTGAGTATTCCCCGTACTCATATATACATAGACATATAAGTTTATTCTCAGTACAGCATATGTGTGTGTATGTCTATATACCTATACATACATATATGTCTATATACATATACATACACACACACACACACACACACACACTTCTCTCTTAGATAACATATAGAATATTTCGCCTCTTGGGTTTTTTTTTAATCATCTAAGAATAGTCCTATATCAATTCAAAGAGCATTTCCTCATATCTTTTTCTTTAATAGCTGCATGGTATTGCACTGTGTGACTATCTCATGGTCTAGTCAAATCACTTTCATGTGGATGGGTGTTATGAACTGAATTATGTCCCTCCCCCAATTCATATATTGAAGTCTCCTAGTCCCGTTTACCCAAGAATGTGACTATATTTGGAGGTAGGGCCTTTACAGAGGTAATTAAGGTTAAATGAGGACATAAGGGTGAGGTCCTAATCCAATAGATTGATTTCTTTATGAAAAGAGGAAGAGACACCAGAGGAAAGGCCATGTGAGGACAGAGCAAGAAGGAAGCCATCTGCAAGACAGGGAGAGAGGTCTCAGGAGGAACCAATCCTCCTGACACCTTGATTTGGACTTCCCAGCTTCCAGAACTGTGAGAAAATAAACATCTGTTCAAGCCACCCAGTCTGTGGTATTTTGTTACAGCAGCCTGGAAAAATAATACAACGGATATTTAGGTTGTTTCCAGTATTTTTAGTATTATAATTAGTGCTATAATGAATAATCTTGTAAAATGTTGTTTCATATTTTTAGAAATATATTCTCAGGATAAATGCCTAAAGCAGAATTGTTGGATCAAAGGCTAAATGGGTAGGAACAGTGGTCTTATTAGATACTGACAAATTCCCCTCCATAGGGATCCCACCACTTTGCAGTCCCCAGAATGATATATTTTGGTGCCTGATACCCCAGCAGTTTTGACAACAGGCAGTTGTTAAAATTCTTAACTTTCACTAATCTAATAGATAAAACGGTACACCAGTACGGTTAATTAACATTTCTTTTAAGATGAGTAAAGTTGAGCATTTCTTTAAATGTAAGGGCCTTTGGTAAACCTTTTTCTGTGAACTGTCTGCACATGTCATTTATCTATTTTTTAGTTAGATTTCTACTTTCTTTTTCCTTCATTTTTAAGAGCTCTTTATGTATATTCATGTACATAGATTGGTGGACAGGAATTCTCTTTTATCTGTAATATATGTTGCAAATATTTATTCTCAGTTTTTACTTGCCTTTTGACATTATTGCAAAAGTTTTTGTTTGGAAACCATTTTAAAATTACAGAAAAGTAGCCAGAATAGTATAAAGAATTACCTTTTACCTTTTACCCAGGTTTGTTAATTGTTGACATTTTGTCACATTTGCTTTATTTCTCTCTTACTCTGAACATTTGAGGATAAATTGCAAATATTGAATCGCTTTCCCACTAAAATACTCCAATGTGAATTTTCGACAACAGAAAACTTAAATTGATACACTATTGCTTAATCTGCAGATTTATTTAAATTTTTCCAATTATCTCAAAATATCTTTTATAGTTTTTTTTTCTGGTCTAGGTTTAAATCCAGGATCATGCTTTACATTTAGTTTTGGTTGTCTCTTCAGTCTTCTTTAATCTAGTACAGTTTCTCACCTTTTCTTTGTCTTTCATGATGTTGAAATTGTGGGCAAACACAAGCCATTTATTTTGCAAAGTGTCCTTTAATATGGATTTGTCTGATGTTTCCTTGTGCTTAGATTCAGACTGTGCATTTGTAACAGGAATATCACAGAGTGATACTATATCTTTCCTTGTACAGCATAGCAAGAGGCACATGATGTTGACTCATTATTGTGATGTTGACTTTGATCACTTAGTTCAAGTGGTAACTACCAGCTTTTGTCATTGTTGAATTACTATTTCCCTTTTGTAATTTTGTAAGTAATTTGTGGGGTGATAAAAATCTTATTCCTTATCACACTTTTACACATGAGTTTTAATATCCATAAATGATTCTTGCCTGAATGAATTAATACTACAGTGTTTGCAAAATAAGGATTTTCTAATTCCATCATTTATTCTATAGTTATTCATTGTCATTCCACTGTTAGGAAGTTCTTTTCCTTCTCTCTATAACTCTCTATCTCTCTGTCTCTCTCTATATCTCTCTACTTGTCCATCTGTTTAAAGTCTGTGCAGACTCATGGACTCTTATTTCATTCAGTGAGTTATACTTCATTACCATCATTACTTATTTTGATGTATAGCAAGCATTTTTAATATCCAAGAACTCTCACTTCCTGATTGCTTTCTCTTTTTGTAAATATTCTCACTGGCTGAAATAGGGATTGCTTTTCAATGTTCACTTCTCCATACTCAGTTTTTCTATCATTTCCTCTTTGTTTCTCTTTCTTGTGCAAATGGTTGCTTGCAAAGGGCTAAGAGTTTTTGGTCACCCATTCATCTTAAAATATAAAGGCTCATGCAGACTAATGCAAATGGCTGGTGACTCCTTCCTCAGTTGTGTCGGTCCTTTTCTAAGAGGCTTCACGGTAAATGTGAGAGCATATAGTCATCTGACGGCAGCTTCACTTTAGGATATGAGATCATGAAAACCCCCTCTGAGAATCAGAAGGGCTTTGCAGTGAGACACCAGCCCCCCACTTTGGAAGCTCCTGCTCTCTCCCCAAGGAGCTCTTGTGATATCTTTAGCCGACAGTGCTCCCACGTTTGTCCTGGAGATGAACCCCTAGCTGCTAGTTCTCCTGCAGCTCCATGGGTGGGCGAGGGGAGCATTTATGCATGTGAGTCGTGGGGGCAGGGAAACTTGCATAGCTTTGCCACAGGCAATCTTCCAATTTACACTTTCTCCACAGTTTACCATCCCACCTCCCACACTAGCTCTTTCTACCTGGTGACTCTCCACTTCCAATATTACTGGGACCCTGGGGGAGATGAGCTCCAGGCTGAGCTGCAGCCTTCATTCTGGCAGTGGTGGGTTCCTCCATCTGTTTACCTGTCAGTGTGCTCCCATTCACTGTCTGCCATCCAGACATTCATTAATAACTCACTCCCACGCTCCACACTCTTGGGGGCTTATTTCCTCTGGAACTTCTGTGTCATAATTTCAATAGAATTCAGAGAGAGAATGGGAAGACAAATGCATGTGGACCACCATCCTGACCGAGAAAGCCACATTGTTATAAGATGGTATAGTTCAAGGGCATTTGACTGGGATGTAGAGTACTTATCCTAATTCCACCAACCATCAATATCACCATGTTCTTATACTTCTTTTCCCCACCAGTCCCTTACAGCTCCAACATTCTGAGATTCTTTAGGTAGCATGTTCCCACAGAGCTGACACCCATCAGCTGCTTCTGTGAGCCTGATCCCTGACATTTCCTTCTGCCACCTCTATGCATCACAAATGAGCATTTGTGTCACCTTCTCCTTTTCCACAATCCATGAACATTCAAAAGTTTAAGTAGGAAGAGAATCAGAAGCTAATTATTCAGTGAGAACTGAGGAGTCTCAAAATGATGCAAAATCCTTTCACCCCTTTTTACTTTAAAATCCTCTGCTAACAACCGTAGACTCTGCTCTTTCTTGAGACCTACTGTAAAGATGAAAAGGGGTGCTACCTTTCCTCATGCATTATAAGGATCATGGCCAACACTCCTGTAACAAAAAACAGGTTAATAAGAGAAAAACGTAGCAAATTTATTTTATCAAAATTGTACATGATACAGGAGACTTCAGAAATGTAGACCCAAAGACACATGGAAAACTGTCTGTTTTTGTGGTTAGATTTTTATGAAGAATGGACAATCATATAAAATGTGATTGGATAAAAAGGATATTATCTAATGGTAATAGACTGTCAGGTCAGCGGGGACCCAGCAAGACCTGTCTGTTTATGTTCTTCTTGATCTCTCTCTGTAGCATTTCTTCCTCCCAGGTATGGGGCAGGACCCCCTGGAATCAGGGTCCTCAAAGGACAAGAGAGAAGAAAAAGAGTGACATTTCTAAGTTTTGACTCGCTATGACTTGCTTTGGAGGAGAAAGAGGGGCAGGAGACAAGGAGAGCAGAAGAAGGTCAAAGAGAGACTCTGCTTCTGAGGCCTTCCAATCTCCTTTAGTTCGAAGTACTCAGCATGCCAAGGCAGATACTTTGGGGAGTCATTTTCTGAACCCCAACACTACCTTTCCTAGAAACAAAAAGACACTAAAAGTGAAAAGATCAGGCAAGGGAAGTAGCAGAAGCAAAGCTGCCTGATACTGCCACAATAGTGAGAATATATTCATTCATCCAAAGAGAAGCTACCAGAACCCAAGAACATTTAAAACACAGCCCTTGTTCTCCAGAAATCTACAGATTCATCAATCATGTTTCCAATCATGGGGCCAAATTGGAAAGGAGCAGTCAAGTGTTTCTTCTCTAGATGAATGTGAGGGTGTATGAGATTTCACTGGTGGAGACTGCAGCCTTGAGGGGTGCCCTTTGTTACTGCCAAAAAACCGCCAAAGACGAATGAAAGATGTGCATCCCACCAAGAAGTAGACCTTGAAGCACATGGCACAGAGATGAGCCAATTCACAGGGAAGGAAGTGTGCCAAGGTGGTGTGCTAAGGACACAGGAAGAATGGATGTAGGTAGTCAAAGCCAGCATCTCATCTCCCCTTATACTATTTGCCCATTCAGAAAAGGCTTGCTGAAGTCAGTCAAAGATGGCATAGATCTTATGCAGAACATTATCTGAAGACAGGCTATTGCTTATAATAGCAAGTAGAAAAAATACGTATGGTTTATTTAGGCCAGTTTTAGCATTTGCCTCAGATATCTTCTATGGCATAACAAACCATTCCCAAACCTGATGGCTTAAAAAAAAAAAACAACCATTTTATTATACCTTATAAGATAATTTAGTGGCCAAAAATTTGACTAAGACTCAGTGGGGCAATTCTCTTATTTCATATGACCTCAACTGAGATCACTTGGTGACCTCACTAGTGGTATTCATGTGATTCTGATCTGGAATATCCAAGACAGTTTCACTATGTCTGGTGCCACAGTGTTGGATGGAAGGCTGTGCCCAGCTGGGACTGTGAACAGGAGTACCCATGTGTGACTACTTCAGCACTGCAGTCTCAGAGTAATTGGGCTTCTTACATGGTGGCTGAGGGCTCCAAATGAAAGTATTCCAAGACGTGGCAAGCGGACGATGACAGTGCCTTAAAGCCTGAGCCAAGATACTGCCACAGTATCACTTCCCCTGTATTCTATACACTCATAGAGCTGCCCATACTCAAGAGGAGGGAATCTGGACCCCACTTGTCAATGGAGGAGTATCAAAGAATTTGTGGCCATCTTAAACCACTACAGCATTAAAAAGGAAACTAGAGAACAGAGTGCTACGCTATCGCACTGACAGGATGACTAATCCTCGTGTTTTCCCATGATTTTCAGGGCTAAATCCAGGACCATTCCAGGCAAACTATATCAGTTGGTCATGCTATTTACTCAGCCCCATTCTAGATTCACCTTGACTTTGACTGGCATGGAGGCTGTATTAGCCTGTTTTCACACTGCTATAAAGATGCTACCTGAGACTGGGTAATTTATGGAGAAAAGAGGTTTAATTGACTCACAGTTTCACATAGCTGGGGAGGCCTCAGGAACCTTCAGTCATGTATCAGCATGATACATAGAAGTGGGGCCATTGCTATAACAATACCTAAAAATGTGGAAGCAGCTTTGGAACTAGGTAATGGGCAGAGGCTGTAAGAATTTGGGGAAGCAGGCTGGAAAAACCTTCATTGCTGTGAATGGAGCATTAAGAGCGATTATAAAGAGGGATCAGAAGAAGACTAGGGAAAGTCTGAATCTTCTTAGAGATGACTTAAGTGATCGTGACCAAAATGTTGATAGAAATAGGGACAGTAAAAGTCTCTTTGACAAAGTCTCAGATGGAACTGAAGAACAGGATATCAAAAATTAGAGCAAAGGTCATTCTTGTTGTAAAGTAGCAAAGAACTTGGCTGAACTTTATCCAAGCCTAAAATTGCTTTATGGAAGGTTTGGAATTTAAGAGTGATGAACTATTATATATGGCAGAAGAAATGTCTAAATTGCAAAGCATTTAGGCTGCTGCTGCTGCCTGGCTACTTTTAACTGCTTCAAGTAAGATGCTAGAAGAGAGAAATAATTTAAAGACAGAATTTATGACTAAAAGGGAAGCAGAGTGAAAAGACTTGGAAAATTCACAGCGTGGCTATGTAAGGAACAGAAAAGTATGCATGGGTATGGCCAAATGACTGTTTGCTAAAGAGATTAGCATGGATAGAAGGAAGGCAGATGCTATTCAACAAGACAATGGGAGAAAGACTCTGAAGGCATTTCAGAGATCTTCAAGGCTGCCTTTTTTTGCATCACAGGCCCAAAGCTCTAGTAAGGCAGAATGGTTTTGGGGAATGGGAACAGGGTACCCTCTGCAGGCTCAATGTCCAGGGCCACCTTGCTACTCTGCTCCCTGCACTCTGGTGTAGCACCCCTTGTCTGCCCCAGCTGTGGCTCAGATGGGCTCAAATATTGCTCAACCCACTGCTCTGAAAGATACAAATGGTAAGCCTTGGTACTGTTCACGTGGTGCTAATTCTGCAAGTGTACAGAATGTAACAGCTGTGAAGGCATGGCTTCCTCTATCTGGATGGCAAAGGATGCTGCAAACCATGTGTGAAAACCTAGGCAGACACCTGCCACAGTCGAGTGTGGGAGTGGAGAGTCACAACAGAGAGCCCTTAGTGGAGCAATACTCAGTGAAAGCATGTGGTTAAGGCAACCCTAAAGACCCCAGAACTGTAGAGCTACTTGCATGCAATGCCAGCCTGGGATAGCTGCAGGCACAAGACTTCAACCCCTCCAGTGTGCCCAGGAAGCAGGACATGGAGTCAAAGACTCCAGCCTTTTTTTTTTTTTCTTGCCCCATGTGATCATATTCTCCAGCTTTAAAAATTAATGTCTGCCCTTTTGGGTTTTACACTAACTTAGGGCCTGTTACTCTTTTCTTTTTGCCTATTTCTTCCTTTTGGAATGGGAAGGTCTATCCCATGTCTGTCCCACCATTGTATTTTGGAAGTAGATAAATTGTTTTGATTTCACAGGCTCAATAGCTGGAGGAATTTACCTTGGGACAAATCATGCTTTGAGTCTGTATTAGTCTGTTTCACACTGCTACAAATAAATACCTAAGATTTATAAAGGAAAGATGTTTAATTGACTCACAGTTCTGCATGGCTGGGGAAGCCTCAAGAAACTTACAATCATGGTGGAAGGCAAAGGGGAAGCAAACACCTACTTCCCAAGGCTGCAAGACGGAGTGAGTGCAAGAATGAGGAAGTGCTACACTTTAAAACCATCAGCTCTTGGTAAGAACTCACTATCTTGAGAACAGCATGGAGGAAATCACCCCCGTGATCCAATTACCTCCCCCTGGTTCCTCTCTTGACACATGGGGATTGCAATTTGAGATGAGATTTGGGTGCGGAAACAGAGCCAAACTATGTCAGAGTCTCACCTATATTTGATTTAGGTGAGACTCTGGAGTTTGGACTTTTGAGCTGATGCTGGAACAAGTTAACAATGTGGGGGCTGTTGGGATGGAGTGGATGTATTTTGCATATGAGAAGGACATGAGTTTTACAGCACCAGGGATAGAATGCTAGGGTCTGAATGTTCCCACCAAAACTCATGTTAAAATTTAATTCCCAGCCAGGCGCAGTGGCTCACGCCTATAATCCCAGCACTTTGGGAGGCCGAGGTGGGCAGATCATGAGGTCAGGAGATCGAGACCATCCTGGCTAACACGGTGAAACCCTGTCTGTACTGAAAAAACACAAAAAATTAGCCGGGCGTGGTGGCAGGTGCCTGTAGTCCCAGCTACTTGGGAGGCTGAGGCTGGAGAATGGCATGAACCCAGGAGGTGGAGCTTGCAGTGAGCCAAGATTGCGCCACTGCACTCCAGCCTGGGTGACAGAGTGAGACTCTGTCTCAAAAAAAAAAAAAAAAAAAAAAAAAAAAAAAAAAGTAATTCCCATTATAAGAGTACTAAGAGGTAGAGCCTTTAAGAGGTGGACTAATATCATTATTGGAGGGTGGGCTAGTTATCACAGGAATGTGCTCCTCATAAAAGGGTAAGTTAAGTCCCTATTTGCTCTCTCTGTCTCATTCACTAACTTCTACCTTCCAGCCTTCTGCCATGGGATGACCCTCACCAGATGCCAGTGCCACGCTCTTGAACTTAGCAGCTCTAGAACTATGAGCTGAAAAAAACTTTCTTTTCTCTGTAAATTACCCAGTCTGCGGTATTCAGCTATCATAATAGAAAATGGACTAACATAGCAGGCCATGGGCCTTCCCTTGAAGCAGGGAATAGAATGAGAGCCCCTGGGCACTGGAGCACTAGAAGGATATGACAGACCATATTTTCTAAAGACATTCATACCAATATATATTCTATTTCATATATTTTTACAGTGTGATGTTTAGAGCTCAGGGAATAAGTTCCTGATAACAATGAGAGGAGGTGAGAAACAAGAGAGACCATATGAGGAGCAGGTGACACCTCAGCCAAGAACTTAGTCAGAGGGAAGAGGTAACTCCAATTCCTGGGTAATGTTTGTGGAACAAATTATACATTATTGGAAAATAAGGTAAAGACAACCAGCGTAAAGTCACAACTCTTGCTCTACGCTCTCCAAATGGTGCATTATATCTCGGTTGATCCATTTGTTGTGTAACTTTTAATTCTTTGTTCAATTGGACTGACTTTTAACTTCCAAAGAGTGAAGATCAAATATCTTCATGTTCCCAGTGATTAACATAATATCTGAAAGAGAGCAGCAACTCAATATTTGTCTGATGAATAGGTAGATAGAGAAAATAACTGGTTGGCTGGCTAGCTCAGTGGATAAATGATGAATAGATAATAAATAATTGATGGATGGATGACAATTCCTCTTGGATCTTGAAGGCTGGCAAGCCTACCATACAAGCATGGACTTGTTATTCTGGCACTTAGGTGACTTTCTTATGGTCCTGAAACTGAAGGAAATCTATTTTTTAAAGCTTTTGGTTATCTCTTAATGATAATATACCTAAAGAGCTTTGTCTTTTTTTTTTTTTTAATTCTCCAAGAAACAGAAGCCAAAACACAGGCATCTGCAAGTAACCTATTGGAGAGTTGATCTCAGGAAGTGCTGGTAAAGGAGGGAAAAAGTAAGACAGGCAAGAGACAGGGGCCAATGAAAGATGCATTAATGAGTTTACTGCTTGGGAAACTGTACTCAATCCTTGTGTGAATATCTGGGAAATAGTGTAGAAGACATCTCAGAGTTGGCTCGTCCAAAAAGCAAGAGAGCTGGAGTATTTATCCACCAGCTCCCATCTCTCATTGGGTGAGGGTTAACCTCATGAGAAGGTCAACTGCTAGCATGTCTGATCTGCCCACATGCAGGCAAAAAAGTACCTGTGGCCAAAAAAGGAGAGTTGTGAGAGCTAGGGGCATGAAGCTATCCACCTACAGGCAAAGTGAGTACTGAGGGCTTACCAGCAGGACACTGACAACTTCCACTACAGGTTCCCTTCCACATAGGCCTTAAGCCCTGCTCATGTGGTTTGGAGACAGAGACGCTCAGGCCCCTGAGTTTCACGACACTCTCTGATTTTGGGCTGAGGGATATTTCCTGATAACAAAAGAGGTTGAAGTCAATCCTGTGTCACCTTCACTCTGTTTGATCCATTTGGGAACTATGGAGGCTGCACAATTCCTTGCAGGTTTTTGAGCTTTATCCTATCCATACCCATGTACTTACACCTCAATTAATTCTTCTTGTTATCCTATGTGTTGCTATAATGTTTGCTTTTAATCAAAATGTTGTTCAGTAAAATCTTTTTGCAAGGTTCCTTGTCTTCTGCCTCACTCTTCTGTCTTTAGAGCATTGATGAGACCTGGAAAGGTCTAACGGTGATAGAGAAACTGAGGCTCAGGTACTAGAAATAACTTAGACTAGGTTACCTACCAAGATTAAAACAGAGCTAGGATTACAATTCAAGTCTCTAGGCTTCTAGTTCAGAGGTTGACCAACTATGGTGCTTGGACCAAAACCAGCCCACTTCCTGGTTTTGTTAACGAAAGTTTGATTAAGGCATTTGTTACATATTATAGGAGATTTTTTTTGACACTACATTGGCAGAATGCAGTAGTTGCAACAGAGACATTGTAGTGTCAAAAAAGTCTTCCAGTACCTGAGCCTCAGTTTCTCTATCACCATTAGACCTTTCCAGGTTTCTTCAATGCTCTGAAAGACATCATGCCTGTCCTTACTTTAACTTCTAAATACCCATGCATTCAAGCAAGGACATCCCTCAATAGCTGCATGGCTTTCTGTAAGGAGTGGGTAATTTTAGGTGTATATCTTTCATGTTGGAGCCTGAGGAGTGGAGGCTAGGTGGGAAAACACTAGACTTGAAGTCAGAAGATGTGAACTGGAGTCTCATCTCTGCCTCTTAGTCAGTTGCATAATCTTGGGCAATTCATTTAACCTTTCTATACCTTGGTTTCCTCATCTATAAAATGGGGAAAACTGCCTACTTTTATGGGTCACTGTGAAGTCTAAAGGAGAGAGACTGTATGTGAGAGGACATTGTGACTGTGTGTAACGTGAGATAAATTGGGGAATAATAGGATAAACAACAGCCTAGAACAGGGCAAACATTTTCTGTAAAGGGCCAGATAGTGATTTCTATCCTGTTCAGTGGGAGGAGTCCACTCTTTTTCTACCCTGACTATTATCCCTTGGGGTCATGCCTTCTCTTATTTTAACTCCTAACTACCCACTGTGGTGTTTTACATATACTTTTTCATCCAGGGTTCCTGGCTTATGACTCCCATAACCTTTGTTATAGTCTTTTGTTATAATGTTGGGTATGTTAGGCCTCAGGAAACAGAATATTTCTGACCTTTTTCCACCTTCCCCTAGTGAGGACTCTAATCTTCCCTGATCTTTCTGAGTGTGAATCATAAGACCCTCATTCCAGAAAGGGTCCTGCCCCATACCCTGGGAGAAGGAATGTTGACGTCATGAGGCTTCCATAAAAACCTAAGAAAACAGGAATTGAAGGCAGCTTCCAGATAGCTGAACATCTGGAGGTTCCTCCTGGAGGGTGGCACACCCTGGGAGGGTATGAAAGCTCTGCACTCCTTTACCTGTACCACACCTTACGTGTCTCTTCATTTGTATTCTTTGTAATATCCTTCATAATAAATCAGTAAATGTAAGTAAATGTTTCCCTGAGTTCTGTGAGCTGCTCAAGCAAATTAATCAAACCCAGAGAGAGGGTCATGGGAATCCCGACTTGAAGCCATCTTGCAGGGGCAAGAATGAGCCACAACCCTGTGGGATCTGACACTGTCTCCAGGTAGATTATGTGGGAATTGAATTGGAGGACACCCAGTTGTTGTCTGCTGCTTGATGTGTGGGCCAAAATCCCCACATTTAGTCACAAAACTCTTCTGTGTTGATTGTTGCAGTGTGAGAGCAGAGGAAATACATGGTTCGAGTTGTTTTGAAATACCCATTCTGCCAAGCACCTTGTTCAACAGACTCATGACTTTCTGTATGGCTTGAATAATATTAGATATATGTCTCTTATATTTTCTTTTTACCTTCAACCCAAACAGATAGCTCTACAAGATAAATTATAAGAATTCGGGACCATGCTTAGGTTCTGCAACAGTGTCAGATTCCTATAATGTTTTCTAAATGCTTTCTCTAAATTTCTGTATTTCTCTTATTGCAGACTAGTAACTAGCAATCTGTGGCCCCACACCAATCCACACCTTGAGTGGCACTACAAGAGATACCCCTTCTTTATTTTTCAATGTGCTGGTTTCCTTTTGTATGCTCCATGCTCTGTTCCTCTCCACCCTCTCAGTACTGGCCCTGATTTCTTCTGTATTTCTATGTGTAAAGCAGAATTGAGACTTCATTGTAGCATTGTTAAGGTTTTGATTACCTCCATAAGCTCTGCCTACCAAAAATGCTGGCTCTCTACCTATTCTCTCAGGAATGGCTGCCCTGTGCCAGGCTCTCTCTCTTCCTCTCTGTGCACTCTGCCTACATTTGGGTGGCATCTGTCACTTAACCAGAGCAAAGGGAGAGTCTGTTTACCATCTTTGTGACAGGAGTGTCACTTCCTCACTGGGATCTAAGCTGAAAATGGATGTCCCCACTGGGCAGAAGCAGGGTAGACACTACCTGCATCCTGTCATTGAGACAGGAGCGTTTTCTGGACCCCTTCATGGGACTTGTGACAGGTGTGTGACACATTTGCCATCATGTGCTCAAACCCCTTACGGGATTGGAGTAGTCAGGTGAGCAGGTGCAGGAGCCAGGGCAAGTGCTTTTGGGCTCCAGCCTCATGGCAGTGTCTAGGGGTGTTACAATGCTCTTTTAGTCCTGCTGTCTGGGGATGGCTTAAGTATTAAACAGCTCAGTGTGACGGCCTTTCTGGGTTCCTGCACCCAGTATGTCTCAAATTCTTGTCCAGTGTCCAGGAAGAATCAAGTCCACATGGACTTGAAGGATGGAGAATACGAGGATTTTATTGAGTGTTAGAGGTGACTCTCAGCAGGATGGGTAGCTGGAGAGGGGATGGAGTGGGAAGATGATCTTCCCCTGGAGTTTGGCCATCTTGCGGCTGATCTCTCTGACTGTCCACAGCCAGACTCCTCTCAACGTTCATATGCTTCCTCTCTTCTCTCCTTCTCTGCTGTACTGCTCTGCTGCTCTTCCACTCTGCCACCCTTCTGCTCGTGGAACCTGGGGTTTGGGGTTTATATGGACACAGGATAGGGTAGTGTGGCAGGCCAAAAGGCAGCATTTGGGTGAAAAACAGGAATGCCTGTTCTCATTTAGGGCCGCAGGTCCAGGCATGAGGGTGGAGCCCTCACCAGGGACCCTGCTCTCCTGCCTCCATGTCCGTATCATCATCCCCCTGGGAACTACTTCTCCTCACTGCTGTCCCTTGCCTCCAGATACAAAGCCCTACTTGACTGATTTCATTTCTAGTTGATCACATCATACTGAATACCGAGTAACTAGAAGATTCATTGAATGACAGCTGCCTTGCCAGAAAGCCTAGTCGTTCCCATTGATTCAAACCTCCCTTAAAGCTACTAAGAATAGGTGCATAGGCATTTTTTTAACAAGAAGAGATAGGTGCATATTTTAAACTATATACCAATTTAATCTGAAGTGTTAGTTGCTGAAATACACTGTGAAGTAGCATTTTTAAATGAATAAAATTTTAGCCTTTACTCCCAGTTTGTGTTTAGACTTTGATGACTACATTTCTCCAGAAGACAAAGTATTTTGGGAACGGTTTGGGAATAGAACTGGCTTCAGTTGAAATTAAAGATTGTCACCGTCAGATATTTTGTCTCTATACCCTTTCATCTCCTACTTTTAGCTCCATGATTTGTTAATTTTCCTATATTTCAAAGGCAAGAGGTGCCAACCTTGACAAAGGCAGAGAGGCACTGGGGAAAGGGAAGGAACTTCCAAACTGGAGGAAATACATTATCATGTAAATGTTATTTCAAATACTTGGAAAGATATTTTAGTTAAAGATAATGTTTTTAAAGATTAAAAATACTAAACTTTTAAAGATTCAAGACATTCTTATTAAATTAAAATGTTGGGCAAATGCCAAAAAAGTATTGTGGTTTGAGAAGTCTGACAAATATAAAGATTCTGTTTCCTAAATCCATCGAAGTCCCATATCCCAGGAAAACTGAGACTCACAGCTTTCCAGACAACTTAAATCCCCAAAGCATGACATGCTATAAGATTCTGGGTCATCACTGGAATTCAGGGTATTCCAAAGATTGTCCTCCTTCTTCCTGGCCTCCCTCCTTCCTATTGATTCTAGCAGCTGATATTTAAATATCAGGACAAGAAATAACACTGTTTTCCCCCAGCTGTTTTTAAAAAATGAATTGTTGAAGCCAGACATGATTGTCATTGCACAGCCCCAATGTGTAACTGACACTTTTTAAGAAGTTATTTTTTTCTTTCAAAACACAAGTGTGACAATTCCTACATAAAATTAATCCTCTGTCAACTGGGAAACACAATCCCTCTAATTTTTTAGCACACTACTTTTAGAAGAAAGAGGCAATTGAAAAGAAAACTAGCTAATGTTGAGCACATTTGTTTAAGGGAACTTTCTTTTTTTTAATTATACTTTAAGTTTTAGGGTACATGTGCACAACATGCAGGTTTGTTACATATGTATACATGTGCCATGTTGGTGTGCTGCACCCATTAACTCATCATTTACATTAGGTATATCTCCTAGTGCTAACCCTCCTCACTCCCGCCACTGCACGACAGGATCTGATGTGTGGTGTTCCCCACCCTGTGTCCAAGTGTTCTCATTGTTCAATTCCCACATATAAGTGAGAACATGTGGTGTTTGGTTTTCTGCCCTTGCGATAGTTTGCTCAGAATGATGGTTTCTAGCTTCATCCATGTGCCTACGAAGGACATGAACTCATCCTTTTTTATGGCCGCATAGTATTCCATGGTGTATATGTGCCACATTTTCTTAATCCAGTCTATCATTGATGGACATTTGGGTTGGTTCCAAGTCTTTGCTATTGTGAATAGTGCCGCAATAAACATACGTGTGCATGTGTCTTTATAGCAGCATGATTTATAATCCTTTGGGTATATACCCAGTAACAGGATGGCTGGTCAAATGGTATTTCTAGTTCTAGATCCTTGAGGAATTGCCACACTGTCTTCCACAATGGTTGAACTAGTTTACAGTCCCACTGACAGTGTAAAAGTGTTCCTATTTCTCCACATCCTCTCCAGCACCTGTTGTTTCCTGACTTTTTAATGATCACCATTCTGACTGGTGTGAGATGGTATTTTATTGTGGTTTTGATTTGCATTTCTCTGATGGCCAGCGATGAGCATTTTTTCATGTGTCTGTTGGCTGCATAAATGTCTTCTTTTGAGAAGTATCTGTTCATATCCTTCACCCACTTTTTGATGGGGTTGTTTGATTTTTTCTCATAAATTTAAGTTCTTTGTAGATTCTGGATATTAGCCCTTTGTCAGATGAGTAGATTGCAAAAATTTTCTCTCATTCTGTAGGTTGCCTGTTCACTCTGATGGTCGTTCCTTTTGCTGTGCAGAAGCTCTTTAGTTTAATTAGATCCCATTTGCCAATTTTGGCTTTTGTTGCCATTGCTTTTGGTGTTTTAGACATGAAGTCCTTGCCCATGCCTATGTCCTGAATGGTATTGCCTAGGTTTTCTTCAGGGTTTTTATGATTTTAGATCTGATATTTAAGTCTTTAATCCATCTTGAATTAATTTTTGTATAAGGCGTAAGGAAGGGATTCAGTTTCAGCTTTCTACATATGGCTAGCCAGTTTTCCCAGCACCGTTTATTAAATAGGGAATCCTTCCCCTATTTCTTGTTTTTTGTCAGGTTTGTCAAAGATCAGATGGTTGTAGATGTGTGGTATTATTTCTGAGGGCTCTGTTCTGTTCCATTGGTCTATATCTCTGTTTTGGTACCAGTACCATGCTGTTTTGGTTACTGTAGCCTTGTAGTATAGTTTGAAGTCAGGTAGCATGATGCCTCCAGGTTTGTTCTTTTGGCTTAGGATTGTCTTGGCAATGTGGAGTCTTTTTTGGTTCCACATGAAGTTTAAAGTAGTTTTTTCCAATTCTGTGAAGAAAGTCATTGGTAGCTTGATGAGGATGGCATTGAATCTATAAATTACCTTGGGCAGTATGGCCATTTTCACGATACTGATTCTTCCTATCCATGAGCATGGAATGTTCTTCCATTTGTTTGTGTCCTCTTTTATTTTGTTGAGCAGTGGTTTGTAGTTCTCCTTGAAGTGGTCCTTCACATCCCTTGTAAGTTGAATTCCTAGGTATTTTATTCTCTTTTAAGCAATTGTGAATGAGAGTTCACTCATGATTTGGCTCTCTGTTTGTCTGTTATTGGTGTATAGGAATGCTTGTGATTTTTGCAAATTGACTTTGTATCCTGAGACTTTGCTGAAGTTGCTTATGAGCTTAAGGAGATTTTGGGCTGAGACGATGGGGTTTTCTAAATATATAACCATGTCATCTGCAAACAGGGACAATTTGACTTCCTCTTTTCCTAATTGAATACCCTTTATTTCTTTCTCCTGCCTGATTGCCCTGGCCAGAACTTCCAACACTATGTTGAATAGGAGTGGTGAGAGAGGGCATCCCTGTCTTGTGCCCATTTTCAAAGGGAATGCTTCCAGTTTTTGCCCATTCAGCATGATATAGGCTGTGGGTTTGTCATAAATAGCTCTTATTGTTTTGAGATACGTCCCGTCAATACCTAATTTATTGAGAGTTTTTAGCATGAAAGGCTGTTGAATTTTGTCGAAGGCCTTTACTGCATCTATTGAGATAATCATGTGGTTTTTGTCTTTGGTTCTGTTTATATGATGGATTACATTTATCGATTTGTGTATGTTGAACCAGTCTTGCATCCCAGGGATGAAGCCCACTTGATCATGGTGGATAAGCTTTTTGATGTGTTGCTGGATTTGGTTTGCCAGTATTTTATTGAGAATTTTTGCATCAATGTTCATCAGGGATATTGGTCTAAAATTCTCTTTTTTTGTTGTGTCTCTGCCAGGCTTTGGTATCACGAAGATGGTGGCCTCTTAAAATGAGTTAGGGAGGATTCCCTTTTTTTCTATTGATTGGAATAGTTTCAGAAGGAATGGTATCAGCTCCTCTTTGTACCTCTGGTAGAATTTGGCTGTGCATCCGTCTGGTCCTGGATTTTTTTGCTTGGTAGGCTCTTAATTATTGCCTCAATTTCAGAGCCTGTTATTGGTCTATTCAGGGATTCAACTTCTTCCTGGTTTAGTCTTGGGAGGGTGTATGTGTCCAGGAATTTGTCCTTTTCTTCTAGATTTTCTAGTTTATTTGCATAGAGGTGTTTATAGTATTTTCTGACGGTAGTTTGCATTTCTGTGGGATCGGTGGTGATATCCCCTTTATCATTTTTTATTGCGTCTATTCGATTCTTCTCTCTTTTCTTCTTTATTAGTCTTGCTAGCGGTTTATCAATTTTGTTGATCTTTTCAAAAACCAGCTCCTCGAGTCACTGATTTTTTGAAGGGTTTTTTGTGACTTTATCTCCTTCAATTCTGCTCTGATCTTAGTTATTTCTTGCCTTCTGCTGGCTTTTGAATGTGTTTGCTCTTGCTTCTCTAGTTCTTTTAATTGTGGTGTTAGGGTGACAATTTTAGATCTTTCCTGCTTTCTCTTGTGGGCATTTAGTGCTATAAATTTCCCTCTACACACTGCTTTAAATGTGTCCCAGAGATTCTGGTATGTTGTGTCTTTGTTCTCATTGGTTTCAAAGAACATCTTTATTTCTGCCTTCATTTCTTTATGTCCCCAGTAGTCATTCAGGAGCAGGTTGTTCGGTTTTCATGTAGTTGAGCAGTTTTGAGTGAGTTTCTTTTTTTTTTTTTTTTTTGAGATGGAGTCTCGCTCTGTCACCCAGGCTGGGGTGCAGTGGCGGGATCTCAGCTCACTGAAAGCTCTGGTCCCAGGTTCGCACCATTCTCTTGCCTCAGCCTCCCGAGCAGCTGGGACTACAGGCGCCCACCACCACACCCGGCTAATTTTTTGTGTTTTTAGTAGAGACGGGGTTTCACCATGTTAGCCAGGATGGTCTCAATCTCCTGGCCTCATGATCTGCCCGCCTTGGCCTCCCAAAGTGCTGGGATTACAGGCGTGAGCCACCACACCCAGCCTTGAGTGAATTTCTTAATCCTGCGTTCTAGTTTGATTGCACTGTGGTCTGAGAGACAGTTTGTTATAATTTCTGTTCTTTTACATTTGCTGAGGAGTGCTTTACTTCCAACTATGTGGTCAATTTTGGAATAAGTGCGATGTGGTGCTGAGAAGAATGTATATTCTATTGATTTGGGGTG
The DNA here is from genome assembly GCF_000001405.40 of Homo sapiens. Classification (NCBI taxonomy): domain Eukaryota; kingdom Metazoa; phylum Chordata; class Mammalia; order Primates; family Hominidae; genus Homo; species Homo sapiens. The sequence goes on along the minus strand of NC_000003.12, from coordinate 16,778,199 downwards.
GAGAGTTCTGTAGATGTCTATTAGGTCCACTTGATGCAGAGCTGAGTTCAATTCCTGGATATCCTTGTTAACTTTCTGTCTCGTGGATCTCTCTAATGTTGACAGTGGGGTGTTAAAGTCTCCCATTATTATTGTGTGGGAGTCTAAGTCTCTTTGTAGGTCTCTAAGGACTTGCTTAATGAATCTGGGTGCTCCTGTATTGGGTGCATATATATTTAGGATAGTTAGCTCTTCTTGTTGAATTGATCTGTTTAAGAGAAATTTCTAGGCTAATCCCAGAGTCACACAGGTTCCACACGATTGCTTTCTTGTTCCGCATTTGTGGTTTTGGTCAGTGCTGATCAATAGTTATAATACTGACCCTCAGGCATGTTAACCTTCCTTTGACCATCAAAGGAAGAGTAAGTATTACTTGATGCATTGTCCTTACTAAGGCAGGAAATAATTAGACTGGAATGTTTTAGTAAGACTTTTAATATCAGTTTAAACCTTCATTGTAACTAATTCAGGAAGCTAGAATCCATATTCTTCGAATACTCTGGTTAAACTATTACCTCATTTGTAAAATGAGAGAATTCTATTAGAAAGTTCACTCATTTACCCAGCAAAGAGTTATTAAGTGTCTAATTTGTGCCAAATACTATGTTTGACACTGGAAATATAGGCATGAACAAAACAAAGTCCCTGCACTTATACTACTTATAGATTAATCAGAGAGATAGATATAAAGTAAATCATTACATAAATAATTTATAGTTGTAATTGTGGTAGGTGCTACAAAGAGAAAGTATGAGATGTTATGAAAAAATATTATGTGGACAGAGAGCTTAATCCAGGATTCTTAAATCTCAGCAGTGAGAGCTTGTGCAAAGGCATTGGGGTGGGATAGAGCCCACCCTTTAGAGAAAATGAAAGTAGGAAAACAGAGATAAAACAATATAAATGAGAAACGAGAGATGAGCCCAGAGACCAAGCAGTGAGTAAACACACAAGGCTCTCTGATGAGAGCCTTGTGGAGCATAACAATGAGTTCATACTTTATCCAAACAGCAATGGAAAACTGCCTGAGACTCTTCTTCATCCCCCAATATTGCTTCTATCCTTCTTCCTTTGGCAATAGGACCCCTGATTCTAGGCAGGCACACGGCGCCCAAGATAAAAATTACATTTCCTGGACTCCCTTGTGAATGAGTTCTGGCCAATGAAGTGCAAGCAGAAATAGTGGAAGCAACTTCCAGGAAGTATTTTTAAAGAAGAGAGTGTATTCTTCATTTTTCCATCAGGTGAGAATTCTGACATGATGGCAGGAGTTTGAGCAACCACTTTAGACCATGAAGTAGAAGCCACATTTTGAGGCTAGCAGTACTAGAAGGTGAAAGAAGCCTGAGTGCCTGTCATCATGGGGCCATACCAGTCCTGGAGATAGACCTCTGAGCTTCCTCAATATGAGAAAAAAATTATACTGAATTACACTTTTGTTCAAGTCACTGTTATTTTAAGCTTCCTCTCAGTCTCTGCTAAGCTTATTCTTAATTAATATTGAACTCAGTTCTTAAAAATAGAGTTTAAAGAAAGGTCTTTCATGATGGGATTATGATCTCTTAAATCCACAAATTTCTTTTGTGACATGGCTGAATATATTTAATATATGAAACAAAACCCTGAGAAAAACCTATTTGCTTGTTCATTTGTTTTTTTTAAGATTTAATGGATATTTATTTTCAGTGTTCCTTTTTTGAATATTTATGTGCTTATATTTTATTTTATTTTTTTAAGTTCTGGGGTACATGTGCAGGATGTGCGGGTGTGTTACATAGGTAAACGTGTGCCATGGTGGTTTGCTACACCAATCACCCATCACCTAGGTATTAAGCCCAGCATGCATTAGCTCTTTTCCCTAATGCTCTCCTCCCTTCCCCCACCCTCCCCTGACAGGCCCCAGTGTGTGTTGTTCCCCTCCCTGTGTCCATGTGTTGTTAATTTGTTTCTTTATCCAATCACTTATTCATTCAGCACCTACTATAAGTAAAGCACTTGTTTTAAGTATTGCAGAGGACAAAGCTCACAATTTGAGGCCTACCCTAAACGGACTCACTATTTAGAAACAAAGAAAGTAGTCATCAGTAAGATGCAAATGGCCAAAGAAGATGGTTAAGGAAAAGCTGATGTTAGGAAAATTTATGGAGGTAATAAACCATAATACATTGAGTTTAAGAGAGCGTATAAAACTACCATATAGCCTAAGCCTGTATAATGCCTCCAATCCAATTCAGAAACTATCTAAACTAACACTCTAAGACATAAAGTTTCAGCACAGCAAGAAGCTTTAGAGAGAGCTAATATTTGTCCAATTCTATAATTAATAGGATTCTGCTGACCTGAGCAAACCACTCAGGCAAAGTAAATAGGCAAAGATAATTTCTTTCTTTGAAATCAGGGATTAACGAAGAACACTCAGCCAAGCACTGGGCTTCAAACACCTGCTGATATCAGCTTTACCGCTGTTGTTGCTGAAGCTAGTCCTTAATCATGAGTTTATCACATTTGTGGAGATCTTACTTAAGAATTAATGCTGCAGATTTACATGGGAGGAATTTGATCCTGTGTCTAGAAGTTGAAGAGCCAAATCCCTCAGCAAACAATCCTTTGAGACTATTTAGGAGGACATAACAGCTGAAGAAGGAGGCATGTGGAAGTTTGGGTGCCACAAAATCTTGGGGCAGGGCAGTCAAGGGAGGAAAGGGCTATTTTTGAGCACCTCTGTGCTAGGGATTGTGTAGGGATATGAAAATGCCTATTTAATACTTATAACATCTCTGCAAGATTGTCATGTATCTCCTATCACAGGTAAAGAAACTGAGGCTAAAGAAGACATGATTTGACCCAATCATGGAATGAAGCTGCAGCTAGACCGTAAAACAGGTTCTGCCGTTTAAGGCAGGCTACCTGAAACTCTGTGGGATACGGTGTCTTCATTTGTAAATTGGAGGTGAGGGGTGTTAGCCGATGGTCTCCAAGAGTATTTCCCTCATAAAAGCCCAGCTATGGGTCTCTACCTGACAGCCAACAAACCCGTTGCTGTGTCTTGGGGGAACCTTCCAGTCCCAGTAATAGTGTGTCCGGAATTGGTGGGTTCTTGGTCTCACTAACTTCAAGAATGAAGCCGCGGACCCTCTCGGTGAGTGTTACAGCTCTTAAGGTGGCGCGTCTGGAGTTTTGTTCCTTCTGATGTTCGGATGTGTTGGGAGTTTCTTCCTTCTGGTGGGTTTGTGGTCTCGCTGGCTCAGGAGTGAAGCTGCAGACCTTCGCGGTGAGTGTTACAGCTCTTAAGGCAGCGCGTCTGGAATTATTCGTTCCTCCCGGTGGGCTTGTGGTCTCTGTGGCTTCAGGAGTGAAGCTGCAGACCTTCGTGGTGAGTGTTACAGCTCATAAAAGCAGTGTGGACTCAAAGAGTGAGCAGTAGCAAGACTTATTGCAAAGAGTGAAACAACAAAGCTTCCACGGTGTAGAAGGGGACCCGAGCGGGTTGCCACTGCTGACTCAGGCAGCCTGCTTTTATTCTTTTATCTGGCCCCACCCACATCCTGCTGATTGGTAGAGCCCAGTGGTCTGTTTTGACAGGGAGCTGATTGGTGCATTTACAATCCCTGAGCTAGATACAAAGGTTCTCCACCTCCCACCAGATTAGCTAGATACAGAGTGTGGACGCAAAGGTTCCCCAAGGCCCCACCAGAGTAGCAGCTAGATACAGAGTGTCGATTGGTGCATTCACAAACCCTGAGCTAGACACAGGGTGCCGATTGGTGTGTTTATAAACCTTGAGCTAGATACAGAGTGCTGATTGGTGTATTTACAATCCCTGAGCTAGACATAAAGGTTCTCCAAGGCCCCACCAGAGTAGCTGGATACAGAGTGTTGATTGGTGCATTCACAAACCCTGAGGTAGACACAGGGTGCTGATTGGTGTATTTACAATCCCTGAGCTAGACATAAAGGTTCTCCACATCCCTACCAGACTCGGGAGCCCAGCTGGCTTCATCCAGTGGATGCCGCACTGGGGCTGCAGGTGGAGGTGCCTGCCAGTCCCGTGCCGTGCGCCCGCACTCCTCAGCCCTTGGGTGGTCGATGGGACTGGGTGCCGTGGAGCAGGGGGCGGCACTTATCAGGGAGACTGGGGCCACACGGGAGCCCATGGAGTGGGTGGGAGGCTCAGGCATGGCAGGCTGCAGGTCCTGAGCCCTGTCCCATGGGAAGGCAGCTAAGGCCCAGTGAGAAATCGAGCACAGTGCTGGTGGGCTGGCACTGCTGGGGGACCCATTACACCCTCCGCAGCCGCTGGCCCTGGTGCTAAGCCCCTTATTGCCCGGGGCCAGCAGGGCCGGCTGGCTGCTCCAAGTGCGGGCCCGCCAAGCTCACGCCCACCCAGAACTCCAGCTGGCCCGCAAGCGCCGCCCGCAGCCCCGGTTCCTGCTCCTGCCTCTCACTCCACACCTCCCTGCAAGCTGAGGGAGCCAGCTCCGGCCTTGGCCAGCCCAGAAAGGGGCTCCCACAGTGCAGCAGTGGGCTGAAGGGCTTCTCAAATGCCGCCAAAGTGGGAGCCCAGGCAGAGGAGGCACCGAGAGCAAGCGAGGGCTGTAAGGGCTGCCAGCACGCTGTCACCTCTCAATAGTACACTCTCTCCTTTGTACTAAATTTACAAATTTAGTATAATAAACCAACTGTCTTTATAGCTATTCTTCATGTCATTTGAAAACACATGTGATTTGAAACTGGCACTCTCAAACACAATGTTGCACACTTTATGAAAAAGAACAAAATGAAAAAAATTACAAGATCAACACTTAAAAGTTTTGATTCCATGATTTTATTTGATGATGAGTCATTTCTGTCTTGTTTATAACTGTGGATGTAGGGAGTTAGTGTAGCAGCTCTGCTCCATGAAGCTCTTGAGGGCCTGAGACCCACCTAGGTCAGTGCTCTATCTTCCCTGTGATGTGGCCCTTGTCTTCATAGGCAAAGATAGGGAATAGAACTTCAGAAATAATATCTGCATCCCAGGCATGAGGATGACAGCAAAAGAAGAAGAAAAGAACGTGTACCAGCAGCCACATTGTACTGGTGTTTACATCTCATTGGCCAGAATTTAGTCACAGGACCAAGTGTTCCTGCCACACAAACTATGAAATATATTCTTTATTCTGGGCAGCCATATACTCTGCTGTAAGTCTGAGGCTTTATTATGAAGGAAGAAGTAGAGAATAGATACTGGTAATAACCAGCAGTCTCTGCCAGTAAGTAAAAAAGGGACAGTGAAGTTTGTATATTATCTTGTTACATATGAAGAAGAGGATATATGCAGGCATGCCTTTTTTATTGCACTTTGCTATATTGCATTTCACAGACACTGCATTTAAAAAAAAAAAAGGGAGGTTTGTGGCAACCTGCATTCAGCACCATTTTTCTAACAGCATGTGCTCACTTCCTGTCTCTGTCATGTTTTGGTGCTTCCTGCAATATTCCAAGCTTTCATTATTGTTACACCTATTATGATGATCTGTAATCAGTGATCTTTCATGTTACTATCATAATTGTTTTGGGACACCACGAATCATGTCTATACAGGATGGTGAACTTAATTGATAAATGTGTATGTTCCAACTGCTCCACCTGTACCTGGACAAAACGGGTCTGGCTGCTTGGTCTCATGGTCTAATTAATGAGATGTGGACAGACTGGTAAAGAAGAGGGTTTACTTCTGTAACCGGCCACAGGGAGAAGGTCAGGGAAGTTCACCAGACCACTCAAAATTACAAGTTTTTCTTCAGGCCTTATATACATTCAAGCTATATGCCTACATGTGGTGTGCACCTGCCATTAGGGGTGTTTCACTCAATCTAATCTTTAACTAGGGTCTGGGGTCTGGAAAGTTTCTTTAGAACCTTGGAAAGATTACTTAATCTTAAGTGGGCCCTTGTACAAGGTGTGTGTAAAAATGCCTTCATTATTTTATCAGGGTTTAAGGTCTGAGAAAACCCAGGTGGGGTCTTAATGGGTTTGTCTTCACATTTCAGCCCTTGTATTAAGGCACCAGTTTCTCCAACTACTAATGTTTAATTTACACATTCATCAGAATTACAGTAGAGGGTTAGTGGAAACTGACTGTTCTGGTTGCTAACGGAGACCTGGCCTGCCACAGTCCCCACAATTTGTGCATGATTCCTATCATGTCAGTTACTTTTTTTAAGATTAATTCATTAAAGATTAGTACAAAAGTGTAAACTATAACATAGCAGACTAAAGAGAAATGGGCTACGTAGTCTCTCTGGCTACTTCCTGCTGAATAGGGTCGTTGTCAGGGGGCGTTAGAGTGGAAGATGTCTCTTTGGCTCTGGTAATGCTCCTGACTTGGGGGGCTCAAGGGAAGTTCCTGTTGAAATATAATCGAATGAGTTTGGGGAATGTGTTGGGAAAACATGCGACAAAAATACAGTCCACAACACAGTGCTATGCCTACGCTCCAGAGGGTGGCAAGGACAATGAGGATTTTCTGCCACCAGGAAGGTCTTCCACTAAACTGAGATGCTATCCAGTCATGGAGTGACAGTGCAGAGCTGGAGATGACTTGGATTTGCCGACATGTATCCTCTAAGGCCAAGGAAATGTTTCTAGAGTTATTGGGAATATACACACAACATTCAGTTTTGATGAGGGCACAGGTTCCTCCTTCAGCCGCAGTTAAAATATCTAGGGCCATTCGGTTTTGTAAGATGTCCTCGTGCATATAATACACTTCAGCATTCATGAGAGAAATACTTTGGAGGCTGTCATTTAGGGCCCGTTGGGTAAAATTGGCTAGAGCCTCTATGTGCTGTATTACAGTTCCTAAACCTACTGAGGGCATAAAGATTGTGGGTAGGTGATCATTCCTGTGAACAATGGCCCTAGTCCCTTGGTTAACCACATGTGGAAGATAAGGATAGACTTCCATGGTTTTTACCCAGCGTCCTTGTGCCCAGGGAATACCTAGAGTGCAGCATCCTAACCAACCTGAGGGAAGCCAAGGCCATAAGTTTGGGCTGCAGAGCCACTGGGTTCCGTTGGGAGCATACCAATTCAAGCCAGGTTGCTGAGACCAGTCTGTGGCAAATAGGTCCCTCTGTTGTAACAGTATAGTATGTCGGCACTGTCCAGGTGGAATCCATCCCATAACACGAGTTGTGTTTGGCCAGTTATCAAGGGAGTGATTTCTTTGCTCCCAGCATAAGGGAGCTATCTGGCTTAAGTGTCCCTTAGTGGCTGTCAGCCAAATGAACCCGTCCCATATCTGGAGAAACCCATTTCTATATTGAGTGTTCTGAGGTCTGGAAGTCTGGACAAACACCTTGGTATCCAACAAGGGGATGGCAAAGGCTATTACTTTATCCCTTGTCTCATTTACTGAGAATGGTTTATCATGCCCTGGCTCATTTAAAGTTTTATTTATAGGCCATTCTGAAATGTTTTTTCTAGTTACCCCAGTCATCTGTGCCCCTGTCCATTGTTTAAGATCCCCTATAAAGCTTTGAAAAAAAACCCAGTCTTTCCCTTGTAGCGGGGAGACCCACCAAGGTAGCTCCATGGTGTTAGTGACGGGTAACGAACCACAGACCCAGCAAGGGTCTCCTTGTTGTAAGCCATCTGCATAACTGTGTGCCCATTGTAGGAAAACGTTAGAGGTAGAGGCATTAACAACAAAAGGAGCAGAAAGGAAAAATATTATAAGGGAAAATCTTGTCATTTGTTGAACAGAAATCTTAGGCCTTCCAGGGGTTCCATCTCCCATTCGGTGGCCTTGGTGTCCTCTGTCGTGGATGTTTCTTCTTGCAGGAACTTTTTCAATCGTGTGTAGTGGATCCATGGCTTGATGTCCACCAGTTTCAGTGCTGAACTGGTGCTTAGCAGCACATCATAGGGCCCTTTGTATTTCTCCTGCAGCTGGGAAGCAGGGTCTGTTTCTTTCCATTCTTTTAATAGCACTTGATCACCGGGCTGGAATGTGTGGCACAGTTCTTCAGAGTTCACAATGCTCCTGTTAAATTTATGCAAAAGGTTAAGAGTTTGTCCCAAGTGAGTAACACAGTTTTTAATAGTTAACTCCCTGTTAAGGGGTGCCTCAGTAACCCGAGATGGATTAGCAGCAAAGGGTCTCCCAAATATAATTTTGTAGAGACGAGACTTAATCCCACTTTGGGGGTTACCCTTACCCGGAGCAGTGCAATGCCGAGTACCTGAATTCCCTTTAACTGGGTTTCCCAGCACAGTTTGGCAATGATTGTTTTCAGTGTTAGATTCATTCTTTCCATCTGTCCGGAAGATTGAGGTCTCCACACCGAATGTAGTTTCCATTTTATTCCAAGTGCCTTATTTACTTATTGAGTTATGTCAGATGTGAATGAGGGCCCATTATCGCTTTGAATTATGTCCAGAAGCCCATACTGAGGTATGATTTCCTTTAAGAAAACTTTAATTACTTCAGTTGCTCATTCTGTGAGCCTCTACCCAGCCAGAGAAGGTGTCTACTAGAACTAAGAGGTATTTGTATCCTCCACGGGAGGGTGGCATTTGAGGAAAGTCTATTTGCCAATTTTCCAGTGGGTATTTTCCTCTGTTTTGATGTCTGGGTTGTCCTCAACTGTGATTGTTAAGTTCATTTCTAGCACACAGATAACAGCACTGGACTGTATTTTCCAAATTAGCTTTTAGCCCTTTCCCTCTCTAATACCACTGAATGAAGGCTAATGAACACTCTCACCCATAGTGTGTGCTATCATGGATATACTTTAACATTGGATGGACAAGTTGAGCCGGTATCCAAATTAGGCCCTTGTTATTTACTTTCAAGCCTTCCTTATTTAAAGCAACTCCCTTGCTTTCTGCACTTTTCTCATTCAAGGACTATATTGGGGCCTAAAGCCTGTTAAATCTATTTGAGGAATTAGAGGTGTCTGGAATTCAATGCTGGCTAAGTGCCAGGCAGTGTGGTCTGCAAAGGCATTCCCTTTGCTATTTTGAAATTGCTGTGTTGATGGCCAAGACAATGCATTACAGCAACCACCTGTAGAGCCTTTATTGCTTCTAGTAATTCCAGTACTTGTGTGGCATATTTAATTTCAGTATTGACAGCCTTCAGTAATCCCCTCTCCTTCCAAATGTCCCCATGAGCATGGACTATCATGAATGCATATTTAGAGTTAGAATCAGCATAGATGTTGGTGTTTTTACCTTGGGACAACTGCAGGCTCTTATAAGGGTGATTTGCTCTGCCTTCTGTGCAGAGGTTCCCACGTAAAGTCCTTGCCTCTGCTACCTCTTAAGAGGTCACCATAGCATATACAGCATTCTTTCTTCCATTGGTTACCAGGCTGCTCCCATCTATGAAAAATGTCCAATCTACATGCAGCGTGGCTGTATTCTTCAAATCAGGATGGCTGGAAAATACTTGATCAATAACTTATAAACAATTATGCATAGGTTGTTTTGGTTCTTTGGTAGGAAGAAGTAAAGTAGCTGGGTTCAGGGCTCTGGTGGTTTGTAATTTCACTGTGGGGTCATTTAAAAATGGCCTGGCATTTGCCTAACTTGCTGCTGTCAGCCAATAGTCTCCCTTTTGTTCCAGTGGCACCAGCACTTGGCAAGGCACATAGACTGTGACAGGCTGTCCCAAAGTTAGCTTCTCAGCTTCCTTTAACAGCAGGCTGGTGGCAGAGACTGCCCTTAAACAAGGGGGTGGGCAGCCTTTGGCCACAGTCACCAGCTGCTTAGAAAAGTAAGCTACTGGCTGTAATATTTCTCCTAACTTTTGGGAGAGGACCCTGAGTGCCAGACCCAGTCTCTCATGATTGTACAGTTGAAAGAGCTTGTGAGGATTTGGAAGCCCCAAGACTGGTGCAGAAATTAACTTACATTCAGTTGTTTGAATGCATGTTGGTGTTTGTTTCACTTCCCAGTTGAAGGGATCATTGTCAGCCCCTTTCAACAGCTCATATAGTGGCTTTGCTGGCAGTCCATAGTTAGGAATCCAAATGCAACAAAACCCTGCCATACCCAGAAATCCTCTCAGCTGTCTTCTAGTAGAGGGTGTGGTGATGGAGGCAATTGCATTTCATGTTTCCACCATCGAGGCTCTGGTTCCCTTCTGCAAGAGAAACCCTAAGTACCCCACAGTTTTTCTGCATATTTGAGCCTTTTTACTTGAAACCTTGTACCCATGGGTTGCTAGGTGATTTGGAGTTTTAATGGTATTATTTTGACATCCCCATTCACAGGGGCTAGATATTAGTAAATCATCCATGTATTCTAACAACACCCCATTTTCCAATTGTAAACTTCTTGAGTCTTGAGCCAAGACTTCTCCGAATATAGTTGGAGAGTTTTTAAACCCATGTGGGAACACAATCCAATAACACTGAAACTGAGTTGCGGCTTCAGGATCTGTCCATTCAAAGACACACCGCAATTGACTTTCTATGCGTACAGGTATGCAAAAGAAAGCATCCTTTAAATCCAATACTGTAAACCATTCACGATCTCCAGGAAGAGAAATAAACACAGTACATGGGTTAGCTACAGTGGGATGTACATCTTCTACAATGTCATTAATTGCCCTTAAATCTTGTACAAATTAAAATTTGTGTGAGTGAGGCTTTTTCACCAGCAAAATTGGAGTGTTGTAAGGAGAATGATGGGGTACTATTAGGCCATACTACAAGAACTGGACAAAGACTGGTTGAATGCCTTCTAGTGCTTCTCTTTTTAAAGTGTATTGTTTCTTCTGGACTGGCTAGGCTCCTTCCTTAATTTTAATTTTCACTGGGTCCACACTGATGGCCTTCCTGGGCCCATGTGAAGCCCAAATCTCTGAGCTTACCTTGTCAAGGATTTCCTGTGGAATAGTCCCTGTTTTAGAGTTGGAAGCCTCTGAGTCTGTTAGGAGCGCCTGCAGCTGAAACCCATGTTCCAGAGGCACTTGGGAGACACATCTGGTGTTTCTCGGGATTACAGACTTACATAGCAGGTACATAGCAGGTCTCTGCCAAGTAAAGGGACTGGGAACTCTGGCACATAAAGGAATTTAAGAGTATTAATTCATTGCCCACTTTACAAGAGAGGGGACACAGGAACCATTCCGATCTTAGTTCTCTGCTTATCCCAACCACATTAACAGAAGTATTAGAAAGTCCAGTTACTGGGGTGTTAACCACTGAATAAGGAGTGCCAATGTGGACTAAGAAATCCACTTTTTGTTTCTTTACTGTCAATTTTACCCCAGGCTCCTGTGGGGAGATTTTAATATCAGATAGGGTTGGAGCTGTTGGGGGCCTTGGGCACCTTCAATCTTCCTCAAATTCATTTCCAGGCTTAACTCCCATCAGTGATTTTGGTTCACTCTGGCTTAATTTTGGACAACCTTGTCCCAATGTCCTGTTTCCCAGCAGCAAGCACATTGATCCTTTTCTATTTTTCCTCTCCATTTTTGGAATCTCTTTCCTTTTGGATTTCCTCCTGCTGTGGCTAGAAGTATTGTTGCCTGTCACAGGTTTTTAACTTCCCTGGTTTCTCTGCTGTTATAAACCTTTAATGCAATATCAATCAATTGGGAGGCATTCGTCCCAAAGGCCCCTTCTATCTTTTGGAACTTTTTCCTGATATCAGGGGTACTTTGCCCTATGAAAGTCATATTAACCATATTGACATTTTCAGGATCTTGTAGGGGTCTGTATATTTTCTGAACACCTGACAATATGTTCCATGAACTCAGAGGGTTCCTCATTAGGTTTTTATTGGAGCTGCTGTACATTGTTTAAGCTCTTAGGTTTAGGCATTCCAGATATCATGCCTTTTTTTTTTTGTTTGAGACGGAGTTTTGCTCTTGTTGCCCAGGCTGGAGTGCAATGGCATGATCTCGGCTCACTGCAAACTCCGCCTTCCAGGTTCAAGTGATTCTCCTGCCTCAGCCTCCCGAATAGCTGGGATTACAGGCATGCACCACCACGCCCAGCTAATTTTGTATTTTTAATAGAAACAAGGTTTCTCCATGTTGGTTAGGCTGATCTCGAACTCCTGACCTCAGGTGATCCACCCGCCTTGGCCTCCCAAAGTGCTGGGGTTACAGGCATGAGCCACCATGCCCAGCTGATTTCATGCCTTTTAATATGTATCTCCTGTAGTGTTCCAAGTGAACCATGCCAGCCGCATTGGCCTCATTAGGGTACCAACTTGGGTCCATAGAGAGGATTGCCCTATCAGAATCTGGAGTATCATCTAGGTCCTCATCATAAAGGTGTTGCACTTCCTCTTTTGCTTTGTCTAAAACTAGCTGCCACTCATCTGCAGTGAGCATAATATTCAGGAGGGCTTACACACCTGCCCATGTGCTACAATGAGTAGCAAATATAGTAGTATATAATTCAGTCATTTTCTGGGGATCCTGTCTATATGAAGGATGTTTTTCCAATTTAACAAGTTGGATGTGGAAAAAGGATTGTAGGCCCAATAATATCCAGCCAGAGCTCCTTGCTGATTAACCCCTACTGGGTATTGTCATAGTGGAAATTGCCCTGCTCCAGGGTCAGTGACCTCCCCAAATTAGTACCTTGCCTAGTTCGAGAGGGAGACACTAACTCTGCGGCTTCCTTATATTCTGGGGGCAGTAACTCTTCCTTTCCTTGCCTTAGCACTGGAGCAGTAGCTACTATAGGGGTTAAGAGCATTTATTAACTGTTGGGTTTCTGAGTCCTTTCTTCCTCCCCTTAGGAGTCAGGACAAACCTTAGCAGTGTATTGTACCATTAACTTATTCCCTTCTTTCTTAACATCCTAATCATACAGTAACATGGATGCCAGGACATATGGCATTTCCCCCCATTTTCCCAACCGTTGGCAGAATAGTTCTAACTGAGAGATGGTGTGAAAGTTCAAGGTCCCACAAACTGGCCACCTTTCTTCAGACTCTAAAACATACATTGGCCAAGCTATGTTACAGTAAAAGATTAATTTCTTTTTAGTCATGGGTGGATAACCATATTGTTTCCAATCTGCCAGAATTCTCCCTAGGGGGCGATGGGCAGGAACAGAGACAGTGTTTCCCATCTTGAGTGCTCAAAACTTAACAGATAACAGACACACAAAAACAGATTCTCACAGCCAAATGTAAATATATTTCAAACAAATGCAAAGTAGATGTACAAATTAGCCCTATTGTCTCCTTAAGGGTACCAAAATGAATGGCTTTGCAAGCCCCGATAAGGAAGACAATAGACTCCCTGCTTATGATCCAGTTTTACTCACCCCTTCAGTGTCCTAGCCCCTGTTCTACCCCAGTAGCAAGGGGATGGGTGGTCCTTTTGCCCAGGGAAAGTTCTCAGAAGCGTCCTCAGGACAAACTGTACCTAGCAGCTGCTGGGAGTCTCCTAAAGACCGTCAGGTCACAAGCCTCTAGCTGCTGAGGGCAGCTCTGTCCCAGTGGAGCTGCCAGATTTTGTACCCGGATAAAACTGAGGTGTGGCTGCTTGGTCTTATGGTCCAATTAATGAGATGCAGATTACCTGGAAATAAGAGAGTTTATTTCTGTAAGCAGCCACAGGGAGAAGGTCAGGGAAGTTCATCAGATCAACTGAGAGTTACAAGTTTTTTTTCAGTGCTTATATACATTCAAGTTATATGTCTACATGCGAGTGTGCACCTACCAGCAAGAGTGTTTCATTCAATCTAATCTTTAACTATGTTCTAGGGCCTGGAAAGTTTCTTTAGAGCCCTGGACAAATTACTTAATCTTAAGTGGGCCCTGGTACAAGATGTGTGTAAGAATGCCTTCATCAGCCAGGAGTGGAGGCTCACGCCTGTAATCCCAGCAATTTGGGATGCCAAGGTGGCCTGGTCACCTGAGGTCGGGAGTTCGAGACCAGCCTGACCAACATGGAGAAACCCCGTCTCTACTAAAAATACAAAATTAGCTGGGCGTGGTGACGCATGCCTGTGATCCAAGCTACTCAGGAAGCTGAGACAGGAGAATTGCTTGAACCCAGGAGACATAGTTTGCAGTGAGCTGAGATCACGCCATTGCACTCCAGCCTGAGCAGCAAGAGCTAAACTCTATCTCAAAAACAAAAACAATAACAAAAAAGAGAAAAATGCCTTCATCATTGTATCAGTCTTTAAGGTCTGAGAAAGCCCAGGTGGGGTCTTGATGGGTTTGTTTTTACATTTCAGCCCTTGTACTAAGGCAGCAGTTTCCCTAGTTCCTAATATTTAACTTATACATTCATCAGAATTATAGTAAAGGATTAGTGGAAACTGACTGTTCTGGTTGCTAATGAAGACCTGGCCTGCCACACACCCACGGGCCATTTCCCCTGTGTGTGTGTCTCTCTCTTTCTCCCTCCTTAGGCCTCTCTATTCCCTGAGACGACATTGAAATTAGCCCAGTTAATAACCCTGCAATGGCCTCTAAGGGCTCAAGTGAAAGGAAGAATCACAAGTCTCTCGCTTGAAATAAAAAACTAGAAATGATGAAGCTTAGTGAGGAAGGCATATTGAAAGCTGAGACAGGCCAAAAGCCAGGCCTCTGGTGGCAAACAATTAGCTAAGTTGTGAATGCAAAAGAAAAGTTCTTGAAGGAAATTAAAAGTGCTACTCCAGTGAACACATGGATAAGGCCTTTCTGAAATACCCTTACTGCTGATTTGGAGAAAGTCTGCGTGGTTTATACAGAAGATCAAACCAATCACAACATTCCCTTAAGCCAAAACCTAATCCAAAGCAAGGCCCTAAACTCTCTTAAATTCTATGCAGGCTGAGAGAGGTGGGAAAGCTGCAGAAGAAAAGTTGGAGAAGCTGCAGAAATCAGTTCATGAGGTTTAAGGAAAGTAGCTATCTCCGTAACATAAAAGTGTGAGGTGAAGCAGCAAGTTCTGATGTAGAAGCTGCAGTAAGTTATTCAGAAGATCAAGCTAATATCATTGATGAAGGTGGCTATACTAAACAACACATTTTCAGTGTAGATGAAACAGCCTTCTTTTGGAAGAATATGGTGTCTAGAAGTTTCATAGCTCAAGAGGAGAAGTCAATGCCAGGCTTCAAAACTTCAGAGGTCAGACTGACTCTCTTGGTAGTGGCTAAAGCAGCTGGTGATTTTAAGTAGAAACCAATGCTCATTTGCCATTTTGAAAATCCTATGACCCTTAAGAATCATGCTAAATATACTCTGCCTATGCTCTATAAATGGACAAAAAAGGCTGGATGACAGCATATATCTTTGCACATGACTGAATATTTTAAGCCTACTGTGGAGACCTACAGCTTAGAAAAAAAGACTCCTTACAAAATATTATTGTTTATTGACAATGCCCCTGGTTACCCAAGAGTTTTAATGGAGATGTACAAGGATATTAATGTTGTTTTCCTGCCTGCTAACACAGCATCCATTCTGTAGCCCATATATCAAGGAGTAATTTTGACTTTTAAATCTTATTATTTAAGAAATACATTTCAAAAGGCTATAGCTGCCACAGATAGTGATTTATCTGATGTAACTGAGTAAAATGAATTGCAAACATTCTGGAAAGAATTCATCATTCTAGATGTCATTAAGAACATTCATCTGTGTGAAAAGGTCAAAATATCAACAGTAACAGAAGTTTGGAGGAAGTTGATTCCAACCCTCAAGGATGCTTTGAGGGGTTCAAGACTTCAGGGGAGGAAGTAACTGCAGATATGGTAAAAAAAAAACAAAACAAAACAATAGCAAGAGAACTAGAATTAGAAGTGGAACCTAAATGTGTGATTGAATTGCTGCATTCTCATGATGCAACTTGAATGGATGAGGAGTTACTTCTTATGGATGAGCAAAGAAAGTGGTTTATTGAGATGGAATCTACTCCTGGTGAAGATGCTGTAAACATTGTTGATATGACAACAAAGGAATTAGAATATTACATTAACTTAGTTGAAAAAGCAGCAACATGGTTTGAAAGGATTGGCTTCAATTTTGAAAGAAGATCTACTCTGAGTAAAGTGTTATCAAATAGCATCACATTCTATAGAGAAATTTTTCATGAAAGGAAGAGTCAATCAATGTGGCAAGCTTCAATTTAAGATGTCTTATTTTGTGAAATTGCCACAACCAACCTAACCTTCAACATCACCAGCCTGACCAGTCAGCAGCCATCAACATCAAGACAAGATCCTCCACTAGCAGAGATTACAACTAGCTGAAGGCTCAGATAATTATTAGCAGTTTTTGGCCATAAAATATTTTTTAAATTAAGGTAAATGTATTTTTTCAGATGTAGTGCTACTGCAGTATAAACATAATTTTTATATTCACTGGAAAAAAATTTGCGTGAGTCATTTTATTGTGATACTCACTTTACTGCAGTAGCCTGGAACCAAACCCACAATATCACCAAAGTATGCCCCTACATATGCATATAAAATGTCTTCAGACATACTCAAGAAATTGACAGTAGCCACAAAGTCTGGAGAGTAAAACTAAGGAATGTACTTCCTCAAAATTCTTCAAATTAAATTGTCAACATGAGCACATATTGATTTTATGATTTGAAAATTAAAATTGGAAAATTTATACAATTAACTTAAAAAGTGGATCAAGGCCAGGCACAGTGGCTCACACCTGTAATCCCAGTACTTTGGGAGGCCCAGGTGGGCGGATGACCTGAGGTCAGGAGTTCGAGACCCACCTGGCCAACACGGTGAAATTCTGTCTCTACTAAAATACAAAAACCGGCTGGATGTGGTGGCGGGCGCCTGTAATCCCAGCTACTCGGGAGGCTGAGGCAGGAGAATCACTTGAACACCCAGGACAGGAGGTGGAGGTTGCAGTGAGGTGAGATGGCACCCCCGCACTCCAGAGCCTAGGCAACAGAGACAGACTCCATCTCAAAAAAAAAAAAAAAGAAAAAAAAAGAAAGAAAAAGAAAAGAAAAAAGTGGATCAAAAAATTAGGTAGAAATATAGTGAAATATTTTTAAAATTGTACTTGAGAATGTACACCAGCAAATTACCAATTATTCTTATATTTCTTCTGTAATGATTTGTTTCTAAATACAAGTATGATTTCATAAGTCAAGAAGAATTAAAATGGAGTAAAATTCAGGATAAGATTTGTTAGTGAAAGAAGCCAAACTCAAAAGGCTATATACTGTATAATTTAAATTAAATAGCATTCTGGTGAGAGGAATGGAGCAAGATGGCAGAATAGAAGTCTCCACTGATTGTCTTCCCCACAACGACACCAATGTAACAATTATCTATACACAGCCAAGCACCTTCATAAGAACCAAAAATCAGGTGAACACTCACAGTACCTGGTTTTACTTCATAGCGCTGAAAGAAGCACTGAAGAGGTAGGAAAAACAGGCTTGAATCACTGACACCACCTCTTCCCCATCACCAAGCAGCAGTGGCGTAGTGCTGACAGTGTTTCTGTGTCCTGGGGAGAAGGCGAGCCAGCAATGAACTCAGTGCTGCCCTTGTTACAGCAGAAAGCAAAACTGGACCAAACTCAGCTGACACCTGCTCATGGAGGGGGCATTTAAATCAGCCCTAGCCAGGGGGGGAATCACCAATCCCAGCAGTTGGAACTAGCTCCCATAAGCTTCACCGCCACAGGCTAAAGTGCTCTAGGGCTCCAACTAAACTTGAAAGGCAGTCTAGGCAATAAGGACTGTAATACCTAGGTGAGCTCTAGTGCTGAACTGGGTCCAGAGACAGTGGACTAGGGGTCCACATGACCTACTAAGACACCAGCCAGGGCAACTAAGGGAGTGCTGGCATCAACCCTCCCCTAATGCCAGGCTGCACAGCTCATGGCTTCAAAAGAGACCTCTTCCTTCCACTTGAGGAAGAGAGATGGAAGAGTGGGGAGGACTTTGTCTTGCATCTTGGATACCAGCTGAGCCACATCAGGATAAGGTACCAGTCAGAGTCATGAAATCCTCTTTCCAGGCCCCAGCTCCCAGACAACATTTCTAGACACACTCTGGGCCACGAGGCTATCCACTGCCTTGAATGGAAGGACCCAGTCATGGCAAAATTCATCACCTGCTAACTGAAGAGCCCTTGGCCCCTGAATACCCAGCAGCAATACCCAAGTACTGTGTCAAGGGCTTTGAATGAGACTCAGACTTGCTAGCTTCAGATGAGACACAGCAAATTTCCAGCTGTGGTGGCTGTGGGGTGAGACCCTTTCTGCTTGAGAAAAGTGGAGAAAAAAGTTAAGGGACTTTGTCTTGCACCTTAGGTAGCACCTTGGCCAGAGGTGGGTAGAGCAAAAAGAGGGCTCTTGGGGTCCACAATTCTAAGATTTGGCTCTGGTACAGCATTTCCGGACCTGCCCTGGGCCATACAGGAGCCCATTCCTCTGAAGGGTGAGTCTCAGATCAGGCAGTATTCACCATAAGCTGACTGAAGAGTCCTTAGCCCTAAGGGAACATGAGCAATAGTCTGGTAGTACTCCTCATGGGCCTGAGGTGGTGGTGGCCACAAAGTGAGGCTTCTCTGCCATTGAAAAGAAGAGGGAAGAGTGGGAAGGACTGTGTCTTATGGTTTAAAAGTCAGCTCAGCTGCAGTACAATGGAGCATCAGGTACACATCTAAGGTTTTTGACTCTAGTCCCTGGCCCCCAGTTGGCACCTCTGGACTTGCCCAGGCCCTGGGGAAGGATATAAGCCTGGCTGGCTTTGCCACTTGATGATTGTAGAGCCTCAGGGCATTGAGCAAACATAGGCAGTAGTCAGGGAGTGGTTGCAACAGGTTTTGGGAGAAACCCAGTGCAGTCCTAAGGGTGGTAGCTATAGACGTGTTTTTGTCACTCCACTCCCAGCTCCAGGAGGCTTGTAACAGAGGGAGAGAATTGATTTGTTTGGTAGAAAGTAAGTGAAGAGAACAAGAGTCTCTGTCTAGTAATCCAGGGAATTCTTCAGGATCTTGCCCAAGACCATAAAGGCAGTACCTCTGCTAATCTGCAAGAAACCACAGTGTTACTGGTCTTGAGGTTCTTCCTAAGGCAGATACAGCTTAGATCACAACACCCAAGTCCTTTCAAATATCTGGAAAGCTTTCCAAGGAAGATGGGTACAAATAAATCCAACTGCAAAGACCTAAATAATACCTAACTTTTCAATACCCAGACACAGACAAACATCTATAAGCATCAAGACTATCCAGGAAAACATGACCTCACCAAAGAAACTAAGTAAGGCACCAGGGACCAATCCTGGAGAGGCAGAGATATGCAATCTTTCAGACAGATAATTCAAAATAGTTGTTTTAAGGACACTAAAAGAAATTCAAGATAATACAACAAAGGAATTCATAATCCTATCAGATAAATTTAACAAAGAAATTGAAATAATTTTTAAAAATCAATCAGAAATTCTGGAGCTGAAAAAATGCAATTGATGTACTGAAGAATGCATCAGAGTCTTTTAAAAGAAGAATTGATCAAGCAGAAGGAATTAGTGAGCCTGAAGACAAACTATTTGAAAATACACAGTCAGAGGAGACAAAAAAAGAATGAAAAACAATAAAGCATGCCTACAGGATCTAGAAAATAGCCTCAAAGGGCAAATCTAGGAATTATTGGCCTTAAAGAGAAGATAAAGAGATAGGGGAGGGGTAGAAAGTTTATTCAAATGAATAATAACAGAGAACTTCTGAAACCTAGAGTTAAATATCAGTATCCAAAGACAAGAAGGTTACTGAACACTAAGCAGATATAACCCAAAGACTACCTCAAGGCATTTTAAAATCAGACTTCCAAAGATTAAGGGTAAAGAGAGGATCCTAAAAGCAGCAAGAGAAAAGAAACAAATAACATACAATGGAGCTCCAATACATCCAGCAGCAGACTTTATGGTGGAAACCTTGCAGGCCAGAAGAGAGTGTCATGACATATTTAAAGTACTGAAGGACAAAAAAAATATATTTTACTCTAGAATAGTATATCTGGCAAAATTAACCTCCAAACATGAAGGATAAATACTTTCCCAGACAAACAAAAGCTGAGGGATAAGATATAAATAGTAGCAACAAAAACTTAAAAGGCCATAGTATTAATTTAAGCCATCGAGTCTTTATTAGTTTTCTTTTTGCTTGCTTGCTTGTTTGTTTATGCAAACAGTGTTAAGTTGTTATCACCTTAAAATAATAGGTTATAAGATAGTATTTGCAAGCCTCATGGTAACCTCAAACCAAAAATAAAATACAATAAATATACAAAAAATTAAAAGCAAGAAACTAAATCATATCACCAGGGAAAATCACCTTCACTAAAATGAAGACAGAAAGAAAAGAAGGAAGGAAGAGAAAACCACAAAACCAATAACAAAGTGGCATGAGTAAGTCCTTACTTATCAATAACAACGTTGAATGTCAATGGACTAAACACTCCAACCAAAAGACATACAGTGTCTGAATGGATTTAAAAAAGAAGACTCAAAGATCTGTTTCCTACAAGAAACACTCTTCACCTATAAGAACACACATAGACTGAAAATAAATGGATGAAAAAATATATTCCATGCCAATGGAAACCAAAAAAGAGCAGGAGTCACTACACATATATCAGACAAAATAGATTTCAAGACAAAGACTATAAGAAGAGACAAAGAAGATCATTATATGATGATAAAAGGGTCAATTCAGCAAGAGGATAGAACCATTGTAAATATATATGCACCTAACAGTGGAGCACCCAGATATATAAAACATATATTATCAGCGCTAAAGAGAGGAATAGGTCCCAATAAAATAATAGCTTGACTTCAACATCCCACGTTCAGCATTGGGCAGATCTTCTAGAAAGAAAATCAACAAAGAAACATCAAACTTAATCTGCACTATAGACCAGATAGATCTAATAGCTATTTACAGAGCATTTCATCCAATGGATGCAGTATACACATTCTTTGCCTCAGCACACAGATCATTCTCAAGGACAGACCATATGTCTGGCCACTAAACATGTCTTAAAACATTCCAAAAATTGAAATATTATCAAGCATCTTGTCTACAACAATGGAATAAAACTGGAAATCAATAACAGAGGAATTTTGGAAACTATAAAAATACATGGGAATTAAGCAATATGCTCTGAAAGACCAGTGGTTCAATGAAGAAATTAAGATAGATATTGAAAAATTTCTAGAAACAAGTGAAAATGGAAACACAACATGCCAAAAGCTATGGGACACAGCAAGAGCAGCAGCACTAAGAGGGAAGATTATAGCTATAAATGCCTACATCAAAAAAGAAGAAAAACTTCAAATAAATAATCTAACAATGCATCTTAAAGCACAAGAAAAGCAAGAGCAAACCAAACCAAAATTAGTAGAAAAAAAAATAATAAAGATCAGAGCAGATATAAATAAAATTGAAATTTTAAAAATTACAAAAGATGGCTGGGCACAGTGGCTCACGCCTGTAATCCCAGCACTTTGGGAGGCCGAGGTGGGCAGATCATGAGGTCAGGAGATCGAGACCATCCTGGCTAACACAGTGAAACTCTGTCTCTACTAAAAATACAAAAAAAAATTAGCCAGGCGTAGTGGCAGGCGCCTATAGTCCTAGCTACTCGGGAGGCTGAGGCAGAAGAATGGCGTGAACCTGGGAGGCGTAGCTTGCAGTGAGCCAAGATCACGCCACTGCACTCCAACCTGGGCAACAGAGTGAGACTCCGTCTCAAAAAAAAAAAATTACAAAAGATCAATGACACAAAAAGTTGTTTAACCTTTAGTCAGACTAAGAAAAAAACAGAGAAGATCCAAGTAAGTAAAATCTGAGATGAAAGGGGAGACTTTACAACTGACACCACAGAAATTCCAAGGGTCATTAGAGGCTGCTATGTGCAACTATATGCCAATAAATTGGAAAATCTAGAAGAAATTGACAAATTCCTAGACACATACAGCCTACCAAGAATGAAACATGAATAAATCTAAACTCTGACCAGACCAAGAACAAGTAATGAGATTGAAGCCATAATAAAAAGTCTCCCAGTAAAGAAAAGCTCAGGACCCAATGGCTTCACTGCTGAATTCTGCCAACCATCTAAAGAAGAACTAATACCAATCCTACTCAAACTATTCTGAAAAATAGAAGAGGAAAGAATACTTCCAAACTCATTCTATAAGGCCAGTATTACTCTGACACCGAAACTAGAAAAAGACACACCAAAAATCCAAACTACAGGCCAATATCCCTGATGAACATTAATGCAAAAATCCTCAACAAAATACTAGCAAACTGAATTTAACAACACTTAAAAAGATCATTCATCATGACCAAGTGGGATATATCCCTCGGATGTAACATATGCAAATCAATCAATGTGATATAGCATATCAACAGAACGAAGGACAAAAACCATATGATCATTTCAACTGATCCTGAAAAAGCATTTGATAAAGTTCAACATCCCTTCATGATAAAAGCCTTCAAAAAGTTTGTATAGAAGGAACATGCCTCAACAGATTAAAAGCCATATTTAACAGACCCACAGCTAGTATCATACTGAATGGGGAAATACTGGAAGCCTTTCCTCTGAAATCTGGAACACAACAAAGATAAGGATGCCCACTTTCACCACTGTTATTCAACATAGTACTGGAAGTCCTATCTACAGCAATCAAGCAAGAGAAAGATATAAAAGGCATCCAAATTGAAAAGGAAGAAGTCAAATTACTCTTGTTTGAAAATGATATAATCTTATATTTGGAAAAACCTAAAGACTCCACCAAAAAATTATCAGAACTGATAAATTCAGTAAAGTTGCAGGATACAAAATCCACATTAAAAAATCGGTAGCATTTCTATATACCCACAGTGAATAATCTGAAAAAGATATTTAAAAAGTAATCCCATTTACAATAGCCACAAATAAAATTAAATACCTAGAAATTATCCAAAGAAGTGAAAGATCTCTATAATGAAAACTATCAAACACCAATGAAAGAAATTGAAGAGAACACCAAAGAACATGAAAAGATATTTCATGTTCATGGATTGGAAGAATCAATATTGTTAAAATGTCTATACTACCCAAAACAATCTATAGATTCAATGCAATTCCTATTAAAATACCAATGTTATTCTTCACAGAAATAGAAAAAAACTATCCTAAAATTTATACGGAACAACAAAAGACCCAGAATAGTCAAAGCTATCCTAAGCAAAAAGAACAAAACTGGAAAAATCATATTACCTGACTTCAAATTGCACTACAGATCTCTAATAGCCAAACAGCATGGTAGTGGAATAAAAACAAACACACAGACCAATGGAGCAGAATAGAGAACCCAGAAACAAATCCACACACCTACAGTGAACTCATTTTCGATGAAGTTCACTTGCACTGCTATAAGGAAATACCTGAGACTGGGTATCTTATAAAGAAAAGAGATTTAATTGGCTTACAATTCTTCAGGCTGTACAGGAAGCATGGCAGCCACTGCTTCTGGGGAGGCCTGAGGGAACTTCTACTCGTAGTGGAGGGCAAAGTGGGAGCAAGCATTGTACATGGCAGGAGCAGGACTGAGAGAGAGAGGGAAAGTGCCATATGCTTTTAAACAACAAGATCTTGTGAAAACTCACTCAGTATACAGTACCAAGGGAGATGGTGCTAAATCATTCATGAGAACTTGGCCCCCATGATCCAATCACCTCCTGCTACACTAGGTCCCACCTCTAACACTGGGGATTTCAATTTGACATGAGATTTGGGCAGGAACACAGATCCAAACCATATCGGGTACCATGTACATGCAATTGGGAAAAAGACAGTCTCTTCAATAAATAGTGCTAAGAAAACTGGATACCCATAGGCAGAAGAACGAAACTAGACCCCTATCTCTCATCATATAGAAACATCAAATCAAAATGGATTAAGGAATTAAATCTAAGACCTCAAACAATGAAACTACTACAAGAAAGTGTTAGATAAACTCTCCAGGACATCAGTCTGCACAAAGATTTCTTGAGCAACACCCCACAGGTACAGGCAACCAAAGCAAAAATGGACAAATGGGATCACATCAAGTTAAAAAAAAAGCTCCTGTGCAGCAAAGGATACAATCAACAAACTGAAGAGACAACCCACACAATGGGAGAAAACATTTGCAAACTACCCATCTGATGTGGTTTGGATTTATGTCCCCACCCAAATCTCGTGTTGAATTGTAATCCCCAATGTTGGAGGTGGGGCCTAGTGGGAGGTTACTGGATCACGGGGGCAGATATCCCACTTTGCTGCTGTTCTCATGATGGAATTCTCACAAGATCAGATTGCTTAAAAGTCTGTAGCACCTCCCCGCTCTCTCTTCCTTCAGCTGTGACCATGTGAAGATGTGTCTGCTTCCCCTTCACCTTCTGCCATGATTGTAAGTTTCCTGAGGCCTCCCCAGCCATGCTTCCTGGGCAGCCTGCAGAAGCATGAGCCAGTTAAACCTCTTTTCTTTATAAATAACCCAGTCTCAGGTATTTCTTTATAGCAGTGCAAGAACGGACTAATACACCAACTGACAAGGGATAAATAACCAGAACATATAAGGAGTTCAAGTAACTCTATAGGAAAAAATCTAGTAATCCAATTAAAAATAGGCAAAAGATTTAAATATACATTTCTCACAAGAAGGCATACAGATGGCAACAGACATATAAAAAGTGCTCACCATCATTGATCATCAGAGAAGTACAAATCAAAACTACAATGAGATATCATCTCATCCCAGATTAAATGGCTTATATTCAAAAGACAGGCAATAGCAAATGCTGGCAAGGATGTGGATAAAAGGGAACCATTGTACACCTTTTGTGGGAATGTAAATTAGTACAACCACTATGGAGAACTATTTGGAGGTTCCTCACAAAACTAAAAATAGAGCTACCATATGATCCAGCATTCCACTGAGTACATACTCAAAAGAAAGAAAATCAGCAGATCAAAGAGATACCCGAGTTCCCATATTTGTTGCAGCACTGTTCACAATGGCCAAGATTTAGAAGCATCCTAAGGGTCCATCAACAGATTAATGGATAAAGAAAATGTGATAGTTATACGAGGGTGGGGAGGAGTTGGGGGATGATTAATGGGTAAGAAAAAATAGTTCAAATGAATGAATAAGGCCTAGTATTTGATAGCCCATCGGGGTGACTCTAGTCAATAAAAATTTAACTGTACATTTAAAAATAACTAAAAGAGTACAATTGGATTGTTTGTAACACAATGGATAATGCTTGAGGGGATGGATGCCCTATTTTCCATGGTGTGATTATTAGGCACTCCAAGTCTGTATCAAAATATCTCATATACCCCATAAATATACCTATTATGTACTCAGAAAAAAATTAAAAATAAGTAAATAATAAACAGTAAATAGCATTTTGAAACAGACAAAACTATAGGGAGAGAAAATAGCTCAGTAGTAATATCAGGAGTTAGAGATGGGGTAGAGTTTGACTACAAAGGACAACATAAGGCCATTTTACAGTAATAAAAATATTCTGTGTCTTGATTGTCGCAGTACTTATATCACTCACGTCAATATAAAATGAAAATATAATCAAAATAATCAACAAAAACAAAACTGGCTAGATTGATCAAGAAAGAAAAAAGAGAAGACATAAAATAAATCTAAGGAATAAAAATGAAGATGTAACTTCAGATACTTCTGATACCAAAAGAAAATTAGAGAATATTAAAAAGAGTATCAATACACTTGAAAACTTAAATGAAATGTACAAATTCCTAGAAAAATATAAACCAACAAAACTGACTCAAAAGAAAAAACCCAGAGAACTTCAATAGTCTTAAAAGTATGAAGTAAATTGAATAGAAACTTTTAAATCTTCCCATAGGCTGGGTGTGATGGTATACTCCCACAGCCTCAGTTACTTGGGAGGCTGAGGCAGGAGATTCCCTTGAGACCAGGAGTTTGAGGCTGTATTGTGCTATGACTGTGTCTGTACATAGCCACTGCATTCCAGCCTGGGCAACATAGCAAGACTCTGTCTCTAAAAATTTACCCCAAAAAATCTTCCCACGAAACACATCAGGCCTATGTGGATTTTTTTAGTGATTTATAGCAAACATTAAAGAACAAACATTTTAAAACTATGCAAGGTATCCTGAAGTATGAAAAAGAGAGAGCATTTCCCAACTCATTTGATGAGGCCAGCATAATTGCACAGTAAAAACTGACAAAGATAATGTGAGAAACAAAAATTAAAACCCAATTTAAATCATAAATACAGATACAAAAATCCTAAACAAAATATAAGCAAACTAAATTTAAAAACATAGTAGGAAAAGATGATAACATATGGCCAAATTAATTTCATTTCAGGAATGAGAGGTTGGCTTAACAATAGAAACCAAGTATTACAATTAACTACCATATATATATATATATATATATATATATATATATATATATATATATATATATATATATATATATATTTTTAGACGGAGTCTCGCTCTTTCGCCCAGGCGGGACTGCAGTGGCACTATCTCAGCTCACTGCAAGCTCTGCCTACAATCTTAATTTAAAGAATAAATATAATACAATCATCTTAAAAAAATACAGAAAAACATGTTGTATAAAATTCAACATGAATTCCTGATAAACATTCTTATCAAACTAGTAATACAAAGACATTTCCTTTTCTGATAAATGGCATATACTAAAAACCTACTGCAAATGTTATGTTATATTTAAATGGTGAAATGTTGAAAAAATTCCCTTTAAATTCAGGAGAGAAAAAAAAATACAGGGCACTTACCATCAACTTTTGTATTTAATCTTGTACTGGAGGTTTTAACCAATACAATAGAAGGAAGTTGAAGAGTATAGATGGGATATGATAAAACAAAATAGTCATTATTCACAGTTGATATGATGTCTACGTAGTCTTTCGCAGAGAATCTACACAAAAATACAAGCCAATTAAAGAGCTGAACAATTTTGACAAAAATGCAATATATAAAACTAAAACATTAGTACAATCAGAATGTATAATTTTAAAGAAACATAACTTATAATAGCATAAAACACATGAGGTGTTAGTTGGACACAGTGGTATGTACCTGTAGTTTCAGCTACTCAGGAGGCAGAGGTGGATCAATCGCTTGAGCCCAGGAGTTCAAGGCCAGCCTGGGCAACATAGTGAGACTCCGTCTATGAGACAAAAAAAAAGAGATAATCTACTAAAGATGTGCAAAGCTGAATGGGGAGAATGATACATCTGTGAAATATATTCAAAAAGACAAAAATAAAGGAGTACTTAATATGCTATGTTGATTTGTCAGAAAATTCAATTTTATAGAGATGTCAATTCTTCCCTAATCTGTAGAGTCAAATTAATTTTAACAAAAATTGTAATAGGCTTTTATTTTATTACTTTTAAAAATTTTGTAGGTACATAGTAAGTATGTATATTTATGGGGTACATGAAATGCTTTGATGCAGGCTTGCAATGTCAAATAAGCACATCATGGAAAATGGAGTATCCACCCCCTCAAGAATTTATCCTTTGAGTTACAAACAATTCAATTTCATCCTTAGGTTACTTTAGGTTACACCATACATTAAAATCAATTTCAGTTCAAGCACATCTTTAAATATGAAAAGCAGAGATATAAAGCACTTAGAAGATAATTTGAGAGTATAGCTTTATGAACTTGAAGTAAGAAAAAATTTATTTAAGAAAAAAAACACAAAATCACATAACATGATTACAGACTTAGTTCCATTAAAATTAAGAACTTTTGCTCACCAAAATATATAATAAAGAGAATAAAAGGAGAGGACAGTGTTTGGAAATCTTGTAACATATACGATTGACAAAGTGTCAGTATTCACACTATAAAATGAACTACAAATCAATTTTTAAAAGACAACACAACAGAAGAATGGGCGAAACACTTAGGCACTTCAGAAAAGAAAAAATACGAATGGTCCACAGAAATGTGAAAAGATGCTCAATCTCATTAGTAATCGGGTACATGTACATTAAAACCAGATTGAGATACAATTTTATTCACACAAGTTAGACTAATTTAAGAAATGTGATAATGTCTTTCATGTGCGTCCGTGTAAAGAGACCACCAAACAGGCTTTGTGTGAGCAATAAAGTTTTTAATCACCTGGGTGCAGGCAGGCTGAGTCCGAAAAGAGAGTCAGGGAAGGGAGATAAGGGTGGGGCTGTTTTATAGGATTTGGGTAAATAAAGGAAAATTACAGTCAAAGGGGATTGTTCTCTGGCGGGCAGAGTGGGGGTCACAAGGTGCTCAGTGGGGGAGCTTTTGAGCCAGGATGAGCCAGGGAAAGGACTTTCACAAGGTAATGTCATCACTTAAGGTAAGGACCGGCCATTTTCACTTCTTTTGTGGTGGAATGTCATCAGTTAAGGTGGGGCAGGGCATATTCACTTCTTTTGTGATTCTTCAGTTACTTCAGGCCATCTGGGCGTATACGTGCAAGTCACAGGGGTTGCGATGGCTTGGCTTGGGCTCAGAGGCCTGACATTCCTGCCTTCTTATATTAATAAGAAAAATAAAACAAAATAGTTTTGAAGTGTTGGGGTGGTGAAAATTTTTTGGGGGGTGGTATGGAGAGAGAGAATGGGCGAAGTTTCTCAGGGCTGCTTCAAGCGGGATTAGGGGCGGCGTGGGAACCTAGAGTGGGAGAGATTAAGCTGAAGGGAGATTTTGTGGTAAGGGGTGATATTGTGGGGTTGTTAGAAGAAACATTTGTCATGTAGAATTATTGGTGATGACCTGGATACGGTTTTGTATGAATTGAAAAACTAAATGGAATAACAGAAGGAGAAAAACAGGTATAAAAGGTCTAAGAATTGGGACGACCCAAGATACCTGATTAGAGAGTGCTTAAGGAGATTCAGCATAGTCCTGCCAGCAAAGATTATTTATTTACTTCAAGAGTTAAGAGTGGCAGTTTGGGGATAGCACCAAGAGATATCAGCTGTGATGGCTTGGAGAAACAGTGGAAACCGGCAGTGTAAACAAGAGCAGGGCATGTATGAGTAGTTGAGAATGGTGAATAGCAGTATGACTAGACAGAAGATAGTAGGGATGACAAGTTTTTTTGGGGCACAGTCTAAGTTGGTCTGGTGTCTGGAATGAGACTGGGGCCTAATAAAAAGGAGCGTCTATAGAGGAGCTCAAATGGGCTATACCTTGTAGCATTCTGAGGACAGGTCTGACTTCTGAGAAGGGAAAGTGGTAAAAGTATTGTCCAGTCCTTTTTAAGTTGGTGGCTGAGCTTGGTGAGGTGTGTTTTTAAAAGACCTTTAGTCCGTTCTACTTTTCCTGAAGACGGAGGACCATAAGGGATATAAAGGTTTCACTGAATACTAAGAGCCTGAGAAACTGCTTGGCTGATTCGACTAATAAAGGCTCGTCTGTTATCAGACTGTATAGAGGTGGGAAGGCTAAACTGAGGAATTATGTCTGATGGAAGGGAACAAATGACTGCGGTGGCCTTCTCAGACCCTGTAGGAAAGGCCTGTACCTATCCAGTGAAAGTGTCTACCTAAACTAAGAGTTATTTTACTTATCTGACTCGGGGCATGTTGAGTAAAGCTAATTTGCCAGTCCTGGGTAGGGGCAAATCCTTGAGCTTGATGTGTAGGGAAGGGAGGGGGCCTGAATAATCCCTGAGGAGTAGTAGAATAGCAGATGGAACACTGAGAAGTTATTTCCTTGAGGATAGATTTCCACGATGGAAAGGAAATGAGAGGTTCTAAGGGGCGGGCTAGTGGCTTGTACTATAGCATAGCCTGCCTTTGCTGGTGTATAGCAATTAGGCCTGGTGGAACCGCCATCAATAAATCAAGTGTGATCAGGGTGAGGAACAGGAAAGAAGGAAATATGGGGAAATGGGGTGAATGCCAGGTGGATCAGAAAGATACAGTCATGGGGGTCAGGTGTGGTATCAGGAATAATGTGGGAGGCCGGATTGAAGTCCAGGCTGGGAACAATGGTAATTGTGGGACTTAACAAAGAGTGAGTACAGCTGAAGGAGCCGGGGAGCAGAAAGTATATGCGTCAGATATGAGGAAGAAAATAGATTTTGGAAGTTATGAGAAATGTAGAGAGTGAGTTGAGCGTAGTTTGTGATTTTCAGGGCCTCTAAAAGTATTAAAGCAGCGGCAGCCGCTGCACACAGACATGAGGGCTAGGCTAAAACAGTAAGGTCAAGTTTTTTGCAAAGAAAGGCTACAGGGTGCCGTCCTGGCTCTTGTGTAAGAATTCTGACCACACTAACCATGCCTAGGAAGGAAAGGAGTTGTTGTTTTGTAAGGGATTGAGGTTTGAGAGATTAATCGGACACGATCAGCAGGGAAAACACTTGTGTTTTTATGAGAATTATGCTGAGATAGGTAACAGATAAGGAAGAAATTTGGGCTTGACTGAAGTAATGGGGGGCTGTCTGTGAAGCTTTGTGGCAGTACAGCCCAGGTAATTTGCTGAGCCTGATGGGTGTCAGGGTCAGTCTAGTGAAAGCAAAGAGAGGCTGGGATGACAGATGCAAAGGAATAGTGAAGAAAGCATGTTTGAGATCCAGAACAGAATAATGGATTGTGGAGGGAGGTATTGAGGATAGGATAGTATATGGGTTTGGCACCATGTGGTGGATAGGCAAAAGAATTTGGTTGATAAGGCATAGATCCTGAACTAACTTGTAAGGCTTGTCTGGTTTTAGGACAGGTAAAATGGGGGAATTGTAAGGAGAGTTTATAGGCTTTAAAAGGCCATGCTGTAGCAGGCAAGTGATAACAGGCTTTAATCCTTTCAAAGCATGCTGTGGGATGGGATATTGGCATTGATCAGGGTAAGGGTGATTAGGTTTTAATGAGATGGTAAGGGGTGCATGATCGGTTGCCAAGGAGGGAGTAGAGGTATCTTATACTTGTGGGTTAAAGTGGGGGAATACAAGAGGAGGATGCAAAGGAGGCTTTGGATTGGGAAGAAGGGCAGCAATGAGATGTAGCTGTAATCCAGGAATAGTCAGGGAAGCAGATAATTTAGTTAAAGTGTCTCGGCCTAATAAGGGAACTGGGCAGGTGGGGATAACTAAAAGGAGTGCTTAAAAGAGTATTGTCTAAATTGTACCAGAGTTGGGGAGTTCTAAGAGGTTTAGAAGCCTGGCTGTCAATACCCATAACAGTTATGGAGGCAAAGGAAACAGGCCCTTGAAAATAAGGTAATGTGGAGTGGGTAACCTCCGTATTGATTAAGAAGGGGACGGGCTTACCTTCCACTGTGAGAGTTACCCGAAGCTCGGCGTCTGTGATGGTCTAGGGCGATTCCAAGGCGATCGGGCAGTGTCAGTCTTCAGCCGCTAAGCCAAGAAGATCTGGGAAGGAGTCAGAGAGCCTTAGGCCAGAGTTCCAGGGGCTCTGGGAGTGGCTGCCAGGTGAGTTGGACAGTCCGATTTCCAGTGGGATCCCGCACAGATGGGATGCGGCTTAGGAGGAATCCTGGGCTGCAGGCATTCCTTGGCCTGGGGGCCAGATTTCTGGCACTTGTAGCAAGCTCCTGGGGGAGAAGGTTCTGGAGGAACGCCTGGCCACTGCGGTTCAGGCATTTGGAAGTTCTTGTGTGCTGGAGATATGGCTGGGGTTTGTCTCACAGTGGAGGCAAGGAATTGCAACTTTTTTCTATTATTGTACACCTTGAAGGTGAGGTTAATTAAATCCTGTTGTGGGGTTTGAGGGCCAGAATTTAATTTTTGGTGTTATATTTAATGTTGGGAGCAGATTGGGTAATAAAATGTATATTGAGAATAAGACAGCCTTTTGACCTTTTAGGGTCTAGGGCTGTAAAGCGTTTCAGGGTTGCTGCCAAACGAGTCATGAACTGGGCTGGATTTTTATATTTGATGAAGAAGAGCCTAAACGCTATCTGATCTGGGATAAAGAAAAAGGAGCATTAACCTTGACTATGCCTTTAGCTCCAGCCACCTTTTTAAGAGTAAATTGCTGGGCAGGTGGGGGAGGGCTAGCCACGGAATGAAACTGTAAGCTGGACCAGGTGTGACGAGGGGAGGTGATGAAAGGATTATAGGGTGGAGGAGCAGAGGCTGAGGAAGAATTGGGACCTAGCTCAGCCTGGCGAGAAGCAGCCTGGGGAGGAGGGGAGAGGTCAGATGGGTCTGTAGAAAGGGAAGATTAGAAAGACTCAGCAACACTTGGGGTTGGGACTGAGGGGACAGGTGGGAGGGAAAGAAGGAAGATTTGGGATGAGTTGCACTGGGAACAGAGACTAGAGAGGGACTCATGTGTAAAAGAATGCCTGGAAGTCAGGCACCTCAGACCATTTGCCCATTTTATGACAAGAATTATTTAGATCGTGTAGGATGGAAAAATTGAAAGTGCCATTTTCCGGCTATTTGGAACTACTGTCGAGTTTGTATTGAGGTCAAGCAGCATTGCAGAAGAAAATAAGATGCTTAGATTTTAGGTCAGGTGAGAGTTGAAGAGGTTTTAAGTTCTTAAGAACACAGGCTAAGGGAGAAGAAGGAGGAATGGAAGGTGGAAGCTTGCCCATAGTGAAGGAGGCAAGCCCAGAGAAAAGAGTAGAGACACGGAGAAGGGGTGGAGGGTTGTTGCCCTCCAGAAAAGCAGAGAAGGGGTCGGGGTGCAGAGATATGAGGTCAGGGCATGGAAATAAGGGATCAGGGTGCAGAGATATAAGAGGTTGGGGTGCGGAAATAAGGGATCAGGGTGCAGAGATATAAGAGTTCGGGGGCGGAAATAAGGGATTGGGGCACAGAGATAAGAGGGTGGGGTGTGGAAATAAGGGATTGGGGTGCAGAGATACGAGGTTGGGGTACTTGACCCTCCCCCAGAAAAGCGGGACTTGCCACTAAGGGTGATGGAGAAGGGGTTGGGGGTTTCTTGCCCCCCAGAAAGGCGGAGAAGGGGTAGAGACACGGAGAGAAGGGATTGGGGTACTTGCCTCTTCCCCAGAAAAGCAGGACTTGCCACTAAGGGTGAAGGACCAAGGCAGGCATCCCCACATGGTCTGACACCTCTGAAACCTGGGTGAATAATCAGAGAGGTGTCCCTGCAATGATTGAACACCAAGGGAAGGCTGCCCTCCCTAGTCCATGACCGGTGCTGGAGTTTTGGGTCCACGGATAAAACATGTCTCCTTTGTCTCTACCAGAAAATGAAAGGAATTGAAATTAAGAGAAGGGAGAGATTGAAGTGTGGTGCCAAGATTGAAAGGAGAAAGAGGTTGAGGGATAGTGAGGGAGGCTGGAGAAGAGAGTAAAAAGAGGCCGCTTACCGGATATGAAATTGGTGAGATGTTTCTTGGGCTGGTCGTCTGAGGACCTGAGGTCGTAGGTGGATCTTTCTCACAGAGCAAAGAGCAGGAGGACAGGGGATTGATCTCCCAAGGGAGGTCCCCCAATCCGAGTCACGGCACAAAATTTCATGCGCGTCCGTGTAAAGAGACCACCAAACAGGCTTTGTGTGAGCAATAAAGCTTTTAATCACCTGGGTGCAGGCAGGCTGAGTCTGAAAAAAGTCAGCGAAGGGAGATAAGGATGGGGCCGTTTTATAGGATTTGGGTAAATAAAGGAAAATTACAGTCAAAGGGGGTTGTTCTCTGGTGGGCAGAGTGGGGGTCACAAAGTGCTCAGTGGGGGAGCTTTTGAGCCAGGATGAGCCAGGAAAAGGACTTTTACAAGGTAATGTCATCACTTAAGGCAAGGACCAGCCATTTTCACTTCTTTTGTGGTGGAATATCATCAGTTAAGGCAAGGACCAGCCATTTATGCTTCCTTTGTGGTGGAATGTCATCAGTTAAGGTGGGGCAGGGCATATTCACTTCTTTTGTGATTCTTCAGTTACTTCAGGCCATCTGGGCGTATATGTGCAAGTCACAGGGGATGCGATGGCTTGGCTTGGGCTCAGAGGCCTGACAATGTCTAATGTTGGAGAGAGGATGGAGTAACAGAAATGCTCACACACTACTGGGGGAGTGTGAATTTGTACAACCATGTTGGAAGACTATTTAGCTTTACCTAGTAGAGGTGAACTTTTGTATGTCTTATGACCCAGGAATTTCACTTCAATTTATGCCCTAGAAAAATTATTGCACCTGTGTGTCTGTAGGCAAAGATATTCACAGTAGCCTCATGTATAATAATGAAAAATTGGAACTAACCTAAAAGTTCATTAATAAAAGAATGACTAAATAAATTTTGCTGTATTCACATAATGGAATATACACATAAGTGAAATAAACTACAGTCACATGCCTCAATATGGAGAACCCCAGAAGTGTTAAATTTAGTTAAATAAGTATCTTACAGAAGGATGTACAACTGCATACATTATACTTGCATAAAGAATTCCATTAATATAAATTTCAAAACATGATCACTACGCATTGCATACAGGTATCAAAATATCACATGTACCTCCAAAATATGTACAACTATTATATATCAATTTAAAAATTACATTAAAACATGTAAAACTAATTAACATATTATCTAAAAATACAAACACATGATTAAACTATCACAAAAGAAGGGAAATTAAGCACAGGAAAAGATGCTCAGTATCATTAGTCATTAGGGAAATGTAAATGAAAACCACAGTGAGTCACCATTTCATACCCACTAGGATGGCTATAATCAAAAAGACAGATAATACAAAGGGTTGATAAGGATGTGGAGAAACTGGAACCCTCATACTTCTACTGGAAATGTAAAATGCTGTCATCACTTTGGAAAACAGTCTGGCAAAGTGTGAAACACTCTGAAAGACAGTTACTCAAAAGTTTAAATACAGAGTTACCATATAACCCAGCAATTCCACTCCAAGGTATTGAAATACTCCAAAAGAACTGAAAATGTAAGACTACACAAACTTGTACTTGAATGTTCATAACAGCATTATTCATAATAGTCAAAAATGTAAACAACCTAAATGTCCATCAACAGACAAATGAACAAATAAAATGTGATGTATTCACACAATGGAATATTACTCAGTAATAAAAAGGAATGGCATATTGATACAGTCTGCAACATAGATGACCCTTGAAAACATGTTAAGTGAAGGAGCCAGACACAAAAGACCACATATTCTATAATTTTATTTCTATGAAATACCCCAAATAGGAAATCTAAATAGAAATAAAATTGATTAGTGATTGCCTAGGGTGGGAGTTAGGGGAAAGGGGAGAATGAATATAACTGCTAAGAAGTACAGGGTTTCTTTAGGGGATAATGAAAATGTTTTAAAATGTATTGTAGTGATGGTTGTACAACTCTGTTAATGTACAAAAAACATTAATTATATACTTTAAATGGGTCCATTGTATGATATGTGAATGATATTGCAAAAAAAGCTGTTATAAAAGATAAAATAAGGGCATGGGAGTACAAACAAAAATTTATAATAATGGTTACCTTTGAGAGGGAGAGAATGGAATAGAATTAGGGAGGAACCCACAGAACATTTCACAGTAAGATGCTTTTTATTAAACTAGATGATGGCACACATTGGTATGCTATATCATAATCTAATAACATAGACATATGTTATTAAATAATTAAAATTATTTTAATGGCTAAGAAGCATATGAAAAAGTTTAACCCCTCAAATATTAATAAGACAACAATCACATTGTTATTTTTAAACCTGTGAAATTACTAAGTGTTTGCATTTGTGTGGTGAAACACATGATCTTATACACTGCTGGTGGGGGGGGTGTTGGACATTGGTAGAAGCTGTCTGGGGAACAAATCTCACAACATGTACCATGAACCTTAAAATATGCATACTCTTTCATCTGGCATTTCTATTTCTGGGAGTATATTTATATCCTTCTCCCTCTGAATCTGGGAAGGCCCCGTGACTTGCTTTGACTGACAAGGTGAAGCAGAAGTAAGGCACTGGGACTTCCAGGCCTAGGCCTTAAGAGGACTGTCTGGGAATTTCCACTCTCTACATCCTGGAAGCTGGTCACCACGCTATAAATAAGCTCAGGCTACACTGCGGAATGATGAAAAGCCACACGGAGAGAGGCCCAGGAGGAGAAGAGACTGTCTTGGATGGGACAGCCCCAGCCACTCATCAGCTGAATGCAGCTCCATGAGCAACCTCAACTATACCACAAGGAGCAGAACTTCCCAGCTGAGCCCAGCCAGCCCACAGAATAGTGAGAAATGAATCATTGTCTTTGTTTTAAGCCACTAAGTTTGGGGGTGATTTGCAATGCAACAACAGAGCTAAACAATATCCTAAAGACATAATGAGAGATGTGAACAAATATTTATGGACAAGGCTGCACATAAGTGTTACAGGCAATAATAAAAAATTAGAATGTATCTAAATGCCTGTGTTGGCATCTATTGTTTCTTTGTCTACTCAGCATCATTTCTATTTTGTAACAGAATCCAGAATTTAAGAAAACCTCCCTCCTCATTTTCAGTCAATGTGGTTCCAATGAGGTTTTTCCCTACCCAGGAGTGAACATATGACTCAGACTTGGCAAAAGACCCCTTGGGGTTAGTTCAAGGATGGGCCATGACTCACGCAATGTGGTCACAATCAGAGTGAATCCAAGACTTGCTCAGGAGTTGTAGGAAAGTGTTCT
The DNA here is from genome assembly GCF_000001405.40 of Homo sapiens. Taxonomy (NCBI): domain Eukaryota; kingdom Metazoa; phylum Chordata; class Mammalia; order Primates; family Hominidae; genus Homo; species Homo sapiens. The sequence continues at coordinate 16,741,497 of NC_000003.12, read as the reverse complement.
TTCTTTTTAGACTGTTCGTAGCCAGAATGATTGAAGATGAGAGTTTCTAAGGTTGAGAATTAAGTGAACACCACAGAAGGTAGAACTGGGGGATGCAGAGAACCATGTCTACATGACATTTTTTAGTCCCTACATCAAGCTATACCCTGGACTTTCGGGTATTTAAGCCAGTATGAGTCCTTTGGCTTAATCCAGTTAAGTTGGGTTTTCTGTCTCTTGCAATCAAGATTCCTAACCAGTATAAGGTCTGTCTAAGTCAGGGAAAGTTTGTTTGCAAAGGAAAAGACATTCACCCAAACTAATTCCAGAAAACCAGGGAAAGTAAAGGAAGCAGAGATTCTTATGGAATTCACGAGAATTAGAAATTTAACAAACTGCAAATCTCTCCATTTTTTGTAGTTTCTATTTTAAATGTGTCTGCATCCTTTTTTTCTGCTTTATAGCTGGTTCTTCTGTCCTTTTAATACAGAAATTATCATAATAATCTCAGTTATTATGATAACCAGATGTTGTAAACCAGATGGTTCATAAAGTCAAAAAAAATTATGGAACCCAGACTTTATGTTACCTTTAAACTTGTTTCCCACACATCTAGATCACATAGTATCAGTATCCCAGTGCTAAATTCCCAGAGTAAAGATCTGATGGGCCCAGCTTTGGCCAAGTGTCTACCATGTCCAAAATCAATATTTATGATGTCTCTAGGGGTTCTCTTTTTTGAAGCTGTGAGCTGAACATGTTTTCTAAAGAAAGATGTGGTCAAGGAGTAAATTATCTGCATTTCTAGAACACCACAAAACAAAGGAGGAATAAGTAAGCAAATGGTGATGCAGTATGTAACTTATGCAGTCACCCAAAACATGTTTTCAAAAAGCACTTAACATTATTCAACAAATGATGCAGGGACAACGGGATTGCCACATGCAAAGGAATGGAGTTGGACTCACCTCATGCCATGTACAAAAATCAACTGCAAATGGATCAAAGAGCTAAATATAACAGTTAAAACTATAAAACTCTTAGAAGAAAACTTAGTTGTACATCTCCATGACCTTAGATTTGGCAATGATTTCTTAGATGTGAGACCAAATGATAAGCAACAAAAGAAAAAATAGGTAAGTTGGGCTTCATAAAATTAAAAGCTTTTGTGTATCAAAGCACACTGTCAAGAGAGTGAAAAGACAGCCCATAGAATAGGAGAAAATATTTATAAATCCTATATCTGATAAGGGTTTAATGTCCAGAATAGGTAAATGATTTATATAACTCAACAGCAACAACAAAACCACCCAATTTTAAAAAAGGCAAAAGACTTGAATTGACATTGCTCTAAAGAAGATATACAAATGGCCAACAAACACATGGAAAGACATTCAATGCCATTAGTGGTTACGAAAATGCAAATTAAAACCACAAAGAGTTATCATGTCATCTCTACCAAGATAACTATATTCAAAAACGTAGACAATAACAAGTGTTGGAAAGGATGTGGAGAAATTGGAACACTCACACATTGCTAGTGGAAATGTAAAATGGTGGACTCACTGTAGAAAACAATTTGGCATTTCTTCAATAAGTTAAACATAGAATTACCAGATGATTCAGCAATTCTGCTCCTAGCCGTATATCTAAAAGAATTGAAAACAGATGTTCAGACAAAAACTTACACATAAATGTTCACAGCAGCAGTATCCACAATAGTCAAAAAGTAGAAACAACCCAAATGTCCATCAAATAATGAGTGGATAAACAAAATGTGGTACAACCATACAATGAAATATTATTCAGCCTTAAAATGGAATGAAGTACGATACAGGCTACGACATAGATATCCCTGAAACATTATGCTAATGAAATAATCCAGTCACAAAAAGACCACACATTATATGATTCATTCATATGAAATGTCTCCCATAGGCAAATCCATAGAGACATAAATAAGTTTTGTGGTTGCTACAGAAAAGGGGAAAAATTGGGGAATAAGGTTTAATGGGCACAGAATTTCCTTTAGGGGTGATGAAAATGTTTTGGAAGTAGATAGTGATGATGGTTGTATAACATTATGAGTGTGTTAGATGGCTTTGAATTGTACACTTTAAAATGGTGAATCTTATGTTGTACATTTTAAAATTATTTATTTATTTATTTATTTATTTATTTTTAAAGAGATGGCCAGCCTGGGCAACATAGCAAGACTTCGTCTCTACTATAAATTTTTAAAAATTAGCCAGGTGTGGTGGTGTGTGGAGGCAGAAGAGGAAGGATCACTTGAGCCCAGGAGTCCAAGGTTGCAATGAGCTATAATTGTGCCACTGCACTCCAGCCTGGGTGACAGATTAAGCCCCCATCTTGAAAAAAAAAAAAAAAAAAGAGAAAGAAAGAAACAAATGAGTCTCACTATGTTGCCTAGGCTGGCCTTGAACTCTTGGGCTCAAGTGATTGTCTCACCTCAGCCTCCTGAATAGCTGAGACTACAGGCATGCACCACTGCACCTGGCTATTATACATATTTTAGCACAAAACAAATGTTTAATATCAGGAACACATAAGTGCTTTTAATGTAAAAAAGTCAAAATTTAAAAGTGAATGATTCCAATTTTGTTTTTTAAATGTAAACAGAGGAAAATGACAGGAAGCAGCGATCATTAATTCTAGATAGTGGCATCTGGGTGATTTGCACTTAGTTCTTTATACCATTTTATATTTTCCAAATTTTCCATTGTGACCACATATTGTCTAATAATCAGAAAAAAATGTTCTAAATAATTGAAAACAAAGTCATTGTTGCACGCATTACTAATGCTCACCAATGTCAGGTTGTCCTCTCCTCCCTAAGCACTAAGAAATGTGTACTTCTCAGACTCCTGCAATTAGGCAGGGCAATGTGACTAGTCACAGGCAATGAACAGTGAGCAGAAGTCATATGTGTGACTTCATTGGTTATTTATTTTTGTGTAGCAAAGTACCCAGAACTTAGTGGCTTAAAACAACAACAATCACTATTTACCTCATAAATCTACAGTTAAGGCTAGGTTCAATGGAAACACCTCAATTCTGCCTCAGGTCATCACCTGGGTGGCCTAAAGGCTGGGAGTGGAATCACATGAAAGCTGGCTCTTTCTCATGTCTGGGAGTTGATGCTGGCTCTGTAGGCAGGGACCCCAGCTGGGTCTATTAGCTAGAAAAGCTGAATGACTGCCATACAAGCTTTCACAACGTGAGAAAGGAGACATCCAATGGCTTATGCTGGGCACCATCAATATTTTTTTTTTTAGAACGTGTACCCACATTAAGATGAGCTGAAGAGTTCAAGTACTGTTTCCCTATTATTGAAGAAAATTGCAAATATGGGTAAAAATTCTTGCAAGAGGCAATCCTGGAAAAACAAATGTAATGCTCATTAAGCAAGGAATTTTTATCTTTCTTTTCAAAGCATATTGTCAACATGTATGAAAAAACCCAAGAGGACATATTTGCTAAAAATAACACAACATTGCAAAAGCACTTAGAAAATCAAGTAATTTATTAAAAGAAATTTAAGATGCTTTGGAAATATCTTTAATATTTGAGCATAATGCTGTAATAAGAACAGATATGGCAAAAGAAAGAATATTGAGCCACAAATGCTGGGTAGTTGACTAGTCTGAGTAGATGTGACATTTCTGCTCAATCTTTCTCCCCAAATGGAGTAAGAGTCCACAGAAAAGTCTACAGCAACCCTGTCTAAGTAATCTGTCCCATCCGCCACCCACCACTCCAACCATTTTAATCACACTTTATCTGTGCAAGTGGCCTTCCAGGGCCCCATGCTGGACACAGGAGTTCAACAACTCCTGGCTGCAGTATGATATTTAGAGTCCAAGAATATTTCCCACTAACTGGATCTGATAGAGTTTCTACCTCAATGAAAATGAGGAAAATATTTGGAGTCAGATTAATCAATCTTAATGGGTCAAACAAAAGGCGGGAGGTAAGCTTCAAGGTCAAGCATATGAGGACCCCAGGGGAGCTATGAGTCCAGGAAGTTGAGAGTGGCTGTAGGTGGGCCTGGTCTGGAAGAACTCCCTGAACTGAAAAACAATCAGCCCCATAAAGTTTCCATTGCACTTGAGTCCTTGTGTGGGCACAGACAATTTCTTGTTACATTTGTTCTTAGCCTAGAATAAGATGGTAATAATCAAGGATGCAGAGCTAGAGAAACTTCTCTACTATACCAAAATTTTCTAAAAGGCAACCTAAGTCTGTATTAAAATTAACACACAGGGTGCTGGTGGGTAAAGTTACAGAGCTTAAGAGTAAGCATGAGTTAAAATGTTGATCCTCCCAAAGATGTGAATAGACATTTCTCCAAAGAAATTATACAAATGGTCAATAAGCACACAAAAAGATTCTCAATATCACTACTCACCAGGGAAATGTAAACCAAAACCACAATAAAATACCACTTCACTTCCACCAGGATGGCTATTACGTAAAAACACATAAAATAAGTGTTGAAAAGAACATGGAGAAATTAGAACCCTTGTGCATTACTGGTGGGAATGTAAAACCATTGTGCAGTGGCTATGGAAAACAGTGTGGTAGTTCCTCAAAAAATGAAAGAATTGCCGTATAATCCAGAAATTCCATTTCTTTTTTTTTTAAATTTTATTTTAAGTTCTGGGATACATGTGTAGAATGTGCAGGTTTGTTACATAGTTATACATGTGCCATGGTGGTTTGCTGCACCCATCAACCCATCATCTAGGTTTTAAGCCCCACATGCATTAGGTATTTATCCTAATGCTATCCCTCCCCTTGCCCCCTACCCCCCGACAGGCCCCAGTGTGTGATGTTCCCCTCCCTGTGTCCATGTGTTCTCATTGTTCAACTCCCACTTATGAGTGAGAACACAGTGGTGCTTGGTTTTCTGTTCCTGGGTTAGTTTGCTGAAAATAATGGTTTCCAGCTTCATCCATGTCCCTGCAAAGGACATGAACTCATTCTTTCTTATGGCTGCATAGTATTCCATGGTGTATATGTACCACATTTTCTTTATCCACTCCATCATTGATGGGCATTTGGGTTGGTTCCAAGTCTTTGCTATTGTAAATGATGTTGCAATAAACATATGTGTGCATGTGTCTTTATAGTAGAATGATTTATAATCCTTTGGGTATATACCCAGTAATGGGATTGCTGGGTCAAATGGTATTTCTGGTTCTAGATCCTTGAGGAATTGCCACACTGTATTCCACAATGGTTGAACTAATTTACACTCTCACCAACAGTGTAAAAGAGTTTCTATTTCTCCACATCCTTGCCAGCATCCGTTGTTTCCTGACTTCTTAATGATTGCCATTCTAACTGGTGTGAGATGGTATCTCATTGTGGTTTTGATTTGCATTTCTCTAATGACCAGTGATGATGAGCTTTTTTTCATGTTTGTTGGCTGCATAAATGTCTTTTTTTGAGAAGTGTCTGTTCATATCCTTTGCCCAGTTTTTGGTGGGGTTGTTTTTTTCTTGTAAATTTATTTAAGTTCCTTGTAGATTCTGAATATTAGACTTTGTCAGATGAATAGATTGCAAAAATTTTCTCCCACTCTGTAGGTTGCCTGTTCACTCTGATGATAGTTTCTTTTGCTGTGCAGAATCTCTTTAGTTTAATTAGATCCCATTTGTCAATTTTGGCTTTTGTCACAATTGCTTTTGGTGTTTTAGTCATGAAGTCTTTGCCCATGCCTATGTCCTGAATGGTATTCCCTAGGTTTTCTTCTAGGGTTTTTATGGTTTTAGGTTTTATGTTTAAGTCTTTAATCAATCTTGAGTTAATTTTTATATAAGGTGTAAGGAAGGTGTCCAGTTTCTATTTTCTGCATATGGCTAGCCAGTTTTCCCAGCACAATTTATTACATAGGGAATCCTTTCCCCATTGCTTGTTTTTGTCAGGTTTGTCAAAGATCAGATGGTAGTAGATGTGTGGTGTTATTTCTGAGGTCTCTCTTCTGTTCCACTGCTCTATATATCTGTTTTGGTACCAGTACCATGCTGTTTTGGTTACTGTAGCCTTGTAGTATAGTTTGAAGTCAGGTAGCGTGATGCTTCCAGCTTTGTTCTTTTTGCTTAGGATTGCCTTGGCTCTATGGGCTCTTTTTTAGTTCCATATGAAATTTATAGTTTTTTCTAATTCTTCAAAGAAAGTCAATGGTAGCTTGATGAGAATAACATTGAATCTATAAATTACTTTTGGTAGTATGGCCATTTTCACTATATTGATTCTTCCTATCCATGAGCATGGAATGTTTTTCCATTTGTTTGTGTCCTCTCTTATTTCCTTGAGTAGTGGTTTGTAGTTCTCCTTGAAGAGGTTCTACACGTTCCTTGTAAGTTGTATTCCTAGTATTTTATTTGCTTTGTAGCAATAGTGAATGGGAGTTCACTCATGATTTGGCTCTATGGTTGTCTATTATTGGTGTATAGGAATGCTTGTGATTTTTGCACACTGACTTTGTATCCTGAGACTTTGTTGAAGTTGCTTATCAGCTTAAGGAGTTTTGGGGCTGAGAAGATGGGGTTTTCTAAATATACAATCATGTCATCTGCAAACAGAGACAATTTGACTTTCTCAGTTCCTATTTGAATATCCTTTATTTCTTTCTCTTGCCTGATTGCCCTGGCCAGAACTTCAAATGCTATGTTGAATAGGAGTGGTGAGAGGTGGCATCCTTGTCTTGCGCTGGTTTTCAAAGGGAATGCTTCCAGTTTTTGCCCATTCAGTATGATATTGGCTGTGGGTTTGTCATAAATAGCTCTTATTATTTTGAGATGTGGTCCATCAATACCTAGTTTATTGAGTGTCTTTAGCATGAAGCGATGTTGAATTTTATCAAAGGCCTTTTCTGCATCTATTGAGATAACCATGTGGTTTTTGTCATTGGTTCTGTTTATGTGAGGGATTACGTATATTGATTTGCATTTGTTGAACCAGCCTTGCAACCCAAGGATGAAGCCGACTTGATCATGGTAGATAAGCTTTTTGATGTGCTGCTGGATTCAGTTTGTCAGTATTTTATTGAAGATTTTTGCATCAATGTTCATCAGGGATATTGGCCTGAAATTTTCTTTTTTCATTGTGTCTCTGCCAGGTTTTGGTATCAGGATGATACTGGCCTCATAAAATGAGTTAGGGAGAAGTCCCTCTTTTTCTATTGTTTGGAATAGTTTCAGAAGGAATGGTATCAGATCCTCTTTGTACCTCTAGTAGCATTCGGCTGTGAATCCACCTGTTCCTGGGTTGTTATTTTGTTTGTTTGTTTTTTGTTTTTTTGTTTGTTTGTTTTGTTTTGGTTGGTAGGCTTTTAATTACTGCCTCAATTTCAGAACTTGTTATTGGTCCATTCAGGAATTTGACTTCTTCCTTGTTTAGTCTTGGGAGGGTGTATGTGTCCAGGAATTTATCCATTTCTTCTAGATTTTCTAGTTTATTTGCAGAGAGGTTTTTATAGTATTCTCTGATAGTAGTTTGTATTTCTGTGGGATCAGTGGTGATATCCCCTTTATCTTTTTTTATTGTGTCTATTTGATTCTTCTCTCTTTTCTCCTTTATTAGTCTGGCTAGTGGTCTATCTATTTTGTTAATCTTTTCAAAAAACCAGCTCTTAGATTCATTGATTTTTTGAAGGGTTTTTTGTGTCTCTATCTCCTTCAGTTCTGTTCTGATCTTATTTCTTGTCTTCTGCTAGTTTTTGAATTTGTTTGCCTTGCTTCTCTAGTTCTTTTAATTGTCATGTTAGGGTGTCAATTTTAGATCTTTCCCACTTTCTGATGTGGGCATTTAGTGCTATAAATTTCCCTCTTAACACTGCTTTAGCTGTGTCCCAGAGATTCTGGTACATTGTCTCTTTGTTTTCATTGGCTTCAAAGAACTTCTTTATTTCCTCCCTAATTTCATTATTTACCCAGCTGTCATTCAGAAGCAGGTTGTTCAGTCTTCATGTAGTTGTGTGATTTTGAGTGAGTTTCTTAACCCTGAGTTCTAATTTGATTGCACTGTGGTCCAAGGGACTGTTTGTTATGGTTTCCGTTCTTTTGCATTTGCTGAGGAGTGTTTTACTTCCAATTATGTGGTCAATTTTAGAATAAGTGCCATGTGGTGCTGAGAAGAATGTATATTCTGTTGATCTGGGGTGAAGAGTTCTGTAGGTGTCTGTTAGGTCCACTTGGTCCAGAGCTGAGTTCAACTCCTGAATATCCTTGTTAATTTTCTGTCTCATTGATCTGTCTGATATTGACAATGGGGTGTTAAAGTCTCCCACTATTATTGTGTGGGAGTCTAAGTCTCTTTCTAGGTCTCTAAGAACTTGCTTTATGAATCTGGGTGCTCCTGCATTGGGTGCATATATATTTAGGATAGTTAGCTCTTCTTGTTGCATTGATTCCTTTACCATTATATAATGCCCTTCTTTGTCATTTTTGATCTTTGTTGGTTTAAAGTCTATTTTACCAGGGACTAGGATTGCAACCCCTCCTTTTTTTTTTTTTTTGCTTTCCATTTGCTTGGTAAATATTCCTCCATCCCTTCATTTTGAGCCTATCTGTGTCTTTGCATGTGAGATGAGTCTCCTGAATACAGCACACCAATGGGTCTTGACTCTTTATCAAATTTGCCAGTCTTTATCTTTTAATTGGGGTATTTAGCCCATTTATATTTAAGGTTAATATTGTTATGTGTGAATTTGATTCTGTCATTATGATGCTAGCTGGTTATTTTGCCCATTAGTTGATGCAGTTGCTTCATAGTGTTGATGGTCTTTACAATTTGGTACTGGTTTTTCCTTTTCATATGTAGTGCTTCCTTCAGGAGCTCTTTTAAGGCAGGCCTGGTGGTGACAAAATTTCTCAGCATTTGGTTGTCTGTAAAGGATTTTATTTCTCCTTCACTTATGAAGCTTAGTTTGGCTGGATATGAAATTCTGGGTTGGAAATTTTTTTCTTTAAGAATGTTGAATATTGGCCCCCACTCGCTTCTGGCTTGTAGGGTTTCTGCAGAGAGATCCGCTGTTAGTCTGATGGGTTTCCCTTTGTGAGTAACCTGACCTTTCTCTCTGTCTGCCCTTAACATGTTTTCCTTCATTTCAACCTTGGTGAATCTGACGATTATGTGTCTTGGGGTTGGTCTTCTTAAGGAGTATCTTTGTGGTGTTCTCTGTATTCCCTGAATTTGAATGTTCACCTGGCTTGCTAGGTTGGGGAAGTTCTGGATAATATCCTGAAGAGTGTTTTCCAACTTGGCTCCATTCTCCCTGTCACTTTCAGTTACACCAATCAAACGTAGGTTTGGTCTTTTCACATAGTCCCATATTTCTTAGAGGCTTTGTTTGTTACTTTTCATTCTTTTTTCTCTGATCTTTTCTTCACACTTTATTTCATTAAGTTGATCTTCAGTCTCTGATATCCTTTCTTCTGCTTCATCAATTCAGCTGTTGATACTTGTATATGCTGCACAAAGTTCTCATGCTGTGTTTTTCAGCTCCATCAGGTCATTTCTGTTCTTCTCTAAACTGGTTATTCTAGTTAGCAATTCCTCTAACCTTTTTTCAAGGTTCTTAGCTTCCTTGCATTGGGTTGGAACATGCTCCTTTAGCTCAGAAGAATTTGTTATTAACCACCATCTGAAGCCTACTTCTGTCAATTCGTCAATCTCATTCTCTATCCAGTTTTGTTCCCTTGCTGGCAAGGAGTTGTGATCCTTTGGAGGAGAACAGGTGTTCTGGTTTTTGGAATTTTCAGCCTTTTTACGCTGTTTTTTTCTCATCTCCATGGATTTATCTACCTTTGGTCTTTGATGTTGGTGACCTTCAGATGGGGTTTCTGTGTGGACATCCTCTTTGTTGATGTTGATGTTATTCCTTTCTGTTTGTTAGTTTTCCTTCAGGCCCCTCTGCTGCAGGTCTGCTGGAGTTTGCTGGAGGTCCATTCCAGACCCTGTTTTCCTGGGTATCACCAGTGGAGGCTGCAAAACAGCAAAGATTGCTGCCTGTGCCTTCCTCTGGAAGCTTTGTTCCAGAGGGGCACCTGCCAGATGCCTCCTGTATGAGGTGTCTGTTGACCCCTCCTGGGAGGTGTCTCCCAGTCAGGAGGCACAGGGGTCAGGGACCCACTTGAGGAGGCAGTCTGTCCCTTCACAGAGCTCAAGCGCTGTGCTAGGAGTTCCACTGCTCTCTTCAGAGCTGGCAGGCAGGAACATTTAAGTCAGCTGAAGCTGTACCCACAGCCGCCCCTTCCCCCAGGTGCTCTGTCCGAGGGAGATGGGAGTTTTATCTATAAGCCCCTGACTGGGACTGCTGCCTTTCTTTCAGAGATGCCCTTCCCAGAGAGGAGGAATCTAGAGAAAAAGGGAGTGGTGGGAGTGTAAATTAGTTCAACCATTGTGGAAGACAATGTGGCAATTCCTCAAGGATTTAGAACCAGAAATACCATTTCACCCAGCAAGCCCATTACTCGGTATATACCCAAAGGATTATAAATCATTCTACTATAAAGACACATGCACGCATATGTTTATTGCAGCACTGTTCACAATAGCAAAGACTTGGAACCAATCCAAATGCCCATCAGTGATAGACTGGATAAAGAAAATGTGGTATATATACACCATGGAATACTATGCAGCCATAAAAAAGAATGAGTTCATGTCCTTTGCAGGGACATGGATGAAGCTGGAAACCATCATCCTCAGCAAACTAACACAAGAACAGAAAACCAAACACCACATGTTCTCACTCATAAATGGGAGTTGAACAAGGAGAACACATGGGCACAGGGATGGGAACATCACACACCGGGGCCTGTTGTGAGGTGGGGGGCTAGGGGAAGGATAGCATTAGGAGAAATACCTAATGTAGATGACGGGTTGATGGGTGCAGCAAACCACCATGGCACATGTATACCTATGTAACAAACCTGGACATTCTGCACATGTATCCCAGAACTTAAAGTATAATTTAAAAAAAGAAAAAATTATTAAAATTGTAAATTTTATGTTATGTATATTTTACCACAATAAAAAAATTTGTTAATGTCATTCCTCTATTCCACCTTCATCTTCTTGAATCTCATCCACACACTTTGTGAGGGCTGGGGCCATGTGTTTCTTTCTCACCTCTGCATCTGTGGCCCCAGAGCAGAGGCTGACCCATTGCACACACTCAATTAATATTTTCTTAATTAAGGAATGAATAAAAGCTAAAGTATATTAAAGGAGGGAGACACAGTAGAAGAATTTGAGATGGGTAAGTTCAGAGTAAGTGTTTTCCAGAACTCCAAGATTAACAATATGATCTAGGGAACAAACAAGGAGATTGAGAATAAGAAGACTTTGCCCTATGGACTCTAACTCCATCTCTTCTTCTCTGGGCTAAGTTTACCCCTCAGACTGTCTTGAACTGGTGAGAACATATCTGATTATCTTTAAGTATGATTCACTCTTTGGAAAATCATGCTATTAGGCCTGATTGAGTAGTGAAAACCTTAATTATTCAAAATGAATTCATTTAAGCTGCCTAATTTCATTAGTTAGTATTCTTTTAACTCCAAGTTAAAAAAACCCACATCAACATGACTTGAACAATAAGATTCAACAATATCTTCAGGCTGATGTCCAGCTCTTTCTATATATTCTTTCTTTATATTTTGTATAATATCAGCAGAAACACTAATTGTTTCATGATAGATTCATCTGAAATGTGACAAAGAGTCTTCTCTTGGCCAAACTTTACTCAGGATTCTGGACCTTCTCCCAGGGCCCATCTGTGCACTTCCTTGTAAAATCCAGCTTTAGCAAAGGGACCTGCTTAGTAAGTTTAGCCAGAACGCTCTGTCTTCAATATCTGATTATCCTTGATATCTGATTATGTTACACACCCTCCATCATCCCCCAGGTGATGTCTGATCACCCTGGCCTGTCTTCAGCAAGAATCTTGTTGGGTCGGTTTAGCCAGAATCTCCCTTAGTAATTTTCCAACCACTGACCCTCACCCTGCTCCTTGGCTGTAAATTTCTCCTTTCCATATTCAGAGTTGAGTCCAATCTCTCTCCCTGACTGCAAGATCCCATTTTAATTGTCCCCACACCTATTGTAATGGTCTTGAATTGAAGTCTTCCTTACCATGCTTTAACAAGTATCATTGAATAATTTGTTTCTCAACAAATTTACTCATCCTTACAGAAGTGAAGCAGCCTGAACCAAGAGTGTTACTAATTCACTGTTGGGGAGGGGAGTAATGAATCGTGAATACACAGTCCTTTCCTCCAGTACCCCTCATTGTTGGAGAGTATTCATCCACAGTGATTAGGCTGGAGATCAGTCAGGAGTGGGTACACCAGAGGGATATCTTGGAATCAGTTTATATCATAATGAAAGAGCAGTGGTTCTCAAATATGGGTAATTTTGCCTCCCCAGGGGACATTTGGCAATATATAGAGGATTTTTTTTTTTGTCTAAACTGGGGTGGAGGTGGGGTGATAGTCCTCCTGGAATGCAGTGAGTAAAGGCCAGGATGTTACTAAACATCTTAGAATGCAGAGGACAGCCCTCTTACCTCACAAAGAAATATCTGGTCCAAATGTCAAGAGTAACAAGGTTGAAAACCCCTGAGACACAACGTTAGATCTGTATACCCATAGTAAAAAATTTCTGTCTAGAAGTTGAAAGAGAATAGGCACCATGATAAAATGAGCAAAAAGAATCTTGGAACTAGACTTCATAATGAACATTAGATCAACAGAAAGCCCTTGTTTCAAAAGCAATTGGCTGAAAATGTAATACATTATTTGTTCAGACGAAAATGCCAACCTGCTGATAAGGAATGAGGTTGACATGGTCTATTCCTTGTTAAAGTCCTAGAAGTTAAGTCCCTGGGTGCCAGTGTGGGCTCCTGCACTAACTAAGTAGTTGTGTTATTGTAAAGTCACTTAAAGATAGAAGGACCAATTTCCCCAGATGGATCACTGGGTTTCAAACACTTCTATCTGCCTCTGGAGGTGCCACAGGGATTTTCTGGTGAGGGGTACAAGTAATCCGCCTGCCCCCTTTTCACCCTCCTGCACCAAATCACCTATGCTTTATGTATTTGACATGAAATAGGTCAAAATATAAGCAGTATAATTCATATGTGCTAGATTATATATATGCAGTGTTCCTTTGTTTCTAGAATTGATCTCATTGTCCTCTTAGGTGTTCTTTCCAGTGGAGAGAGTAAAATCTTAAACTCATTGATTAAAGTTATCTCAATATTTTCCTGTTTAAAACAGCCTTTTTCAGTTTACTAACACCAAAAATTTTTTATCTATGGGGTTTTTTCTTTGTTCAGTTTTCAGTAAACAGCAGAATACCTTCTTCAAATGATATAGAAGCCAAGTATAGACATGATGGAGTAAAAACAGTAAATATCAGCCAGGCACGTTGGCTCATGCCTGTAAGCCCAGCACTTTGGGAGGCTGAGGCAGGTGAATCACAAGGTCAGGAGTTTGAGACCAGCCTGGCCAACATGGTGAAACCCTGCCTTTACTAAAAATACAAAAAATTAGCTGGGTGTAGTGGTGCACACCTGTAATCTCAGCTACTCAGGAGGCCAAGGCAGGAGAATCACTTGAACCCAGGAGGCGGAGGTTGCAGTGAGCCCAGATCGTGCCACTGCACTCCAGCCTGGGCGACAGAGTGAGACTTCATCTCAAAAAAAAAAAAAAAATGTAAATGTCTAGTCATATAGTCAAATCAAATGATGCAACTTGGCTGTTTTCTCTCTTCTCCAAGATAGCATCTAGAGGGAGGAAAATTGCATGATCTCCAGGGGAGAAGCCCGCTGGCCTATGTGCAGGTTTTCATGCTGTCCTCTGAAAACCACCTGGTTCCTTGTTTCTACTGGTCACTAGATGACTGGCTATCATCAACGATGCTTGATGATTTGAGCTGTTCTCTTTGGCACCCCTGGGACCAGGTGGTTCCCTGACCACCTCCCCCAGCCAGCCCAGCCCACCCCCACCGCCTGCTATATCTGATTTGTTTAGGCCTTTCAATACTGGGAGAGCAGCAGGGCTGCCATTCTCCACCCAAGCTCTGAGAATACCACATTAAGGACTTAGTTTTGGCTACATTAATATTTGCTTTATTCACCTCATTTCTTAACGACCATTTAAAGTTTTCCACTTTGCTTAGCCAAATTTGTGCACAATTTGCCCCTCTTTCTTTCCCCTTTGTTGTACCTATTCTCTTATAAATCATTCTAACCTATTTCCCTATCTGTTGTTTCAGCATAATTTTTCCTTTCATAGGGGTTCTGAGGCTAGCAGCTGTAGCTTGGAATAGAAGGAATCCAGGCTAGACCCAGGATGGGGGTCCACACAAACACTTTCTTTTGTTTTTATTTTAACTATATTCGTTGGTAGAGGCTCTACAGGCTAATAGTTGCAGCTTGAACCAGCTGGAATCCAAGCTTTGCCCAGCATTAGGATTTACACCAAAATTCTTGCATTACTTCTTACTCACATTTTAGATATGACAGATAACAGTAACCAAATATCATATATTTTTCTTTTTCTTTTTCTTGTTACTCTGCATTTCCTTAGGCATCCAGTGAGACAACTTCTTAGAGTTGGGTCCATCATTTTAAAATTCCATTGGTAACTTTTACCTTCAGTAACTGATTATAGCACAGCTATAGTTCCATATCATGGCTGACTCTGTAGCCATCCAGAAATGAAAAGTTCATTAACATCCACCCTTTCATCCTTTTTCTTCCCAAACTACATGCTCCAGTGAGTCAGGTTTGGTCCCATGAATCCCTCTTCTGACACCAACTGTGATAATTTGGAGCCAACTACAAGTTTAGAGAGCACAATATCCACAAAATGGCCCTCACTTCTGACAGCAACTGCAATTTCTGGTAGGTTCCCAAAGCCACTTTCAGTTTTCATAATTTTCCATAAGGACTCACAGGATTTCACTGAAAGTTGTTATACTGATTTTTACAGTTTATTATAGGGAAAGGATGCATATTCAAATTAGTCAAAGGAAGAAGTACAGGGCAGAGTTTGGGAAGATGCCAAACCTGAAGCTTCTGTGTCCCCTTTCCTGTGGAGTCAGCATGTATACTTTCCCAGCATCAATGTGTGGCAATATGCAGAGTATTGCCAGTGAGAGAAGCTCACCTGAACTTCAGTATCCAGAGTTTATATTGGGGTTTCATTATGTGCACATGACTGACAGACTGCCAACATGATTGAATTCAGTCTCTAAGTTGACTTACACCATGTGACCCAAAGCTCACACTCTGAATCACATGTTGATCTTTCTAGCATGACCAGCCCCCACCCTAAATCACATATTTGGTCTTTCTTGTGTAGCTAGCCTCACCCTAAGATCTGGTGTGGCCAGCTGCCACCCTAAACAAGGACACTCCCATTAAGTATTATATAGATCAACTCTCAGAAGCTGAGGGCAAAAGCTAGTCCTCTCTCGGGGTGAGGCCAAATTTTTTACTACACAGACCTGTACCTCACACCATATATAAATATTGACTCAAAATAGGCCAAAGACCTAAATTTAAGAGCTAAAACTATAAAATTCAGAATAAAACAAAGGTGTAAATTTTCATGACCTCCCACTAGGCAGAGGTTTCTTAGATACATCACCAAAAGTACAAGTGACAAAGGCAAAAATAGATAAATGGGACTTGACCAAAATGTAAAATATTTGTGTCTTAAAGGACACTATCAAGAAAGTGAAAAACAACCTACAAAATGGGTGATAATATTTGTACTTTTTTTTAGTATTTATAATGAATTTTTAAAATTTAATCTTTATTGGTTTAACTATAAAATTAATATTGCTCATTCTAAAATATCACATTTTAGGAGTTTATAACCCACCAAAAGGGAATCCAATAGTAACTTCCTATAAGAAAGCTACTCTTAACAATTTGGGGCAATATTCACAGAAATAACATTTTTACAAAAAATTTAAACTTTAAACACTGCTTTACAACTTGTTGTTTTCCCTTAATTTATATCAAGGCCACATTCTGTGTCAGTAGTTACATTGCTATTTCGTATTATACTATATGAATTTACAATTATTTACTGCTTCTCTATGAATGCACACTGGGGTTGTTTCCATTTTTTCTTTATTAAAAACAGTGCATCAGTGGGCATCCTTCATATGTAATTTTGATTGAAGTTACACATGAATAAAAGTCAGAGCTAACTGTGTAGATGTCTTTTCAAGTACTTCAGTGGATATCTGCTGTTTTGACCTGCCCAGTTAATTCTCTCATCTTCCTGTAACACATCCCATTTTCCTTTGGAGAATTGCCTCCCATATTCCATGCAGTTCTTAATGGGGCTGCAAATCAGAGTACCCTGCTACTCTGGCCATAGTAATTAGTGCAATAGGAGAGCCTGTGACCCAACCGAGTAATCAGATCCCTTCTCTGGGATTTAACATACGAATCCTAGCAAAGAAAAGCTCTTTCTTTACTTGGAGATGGTTCCTGGAAACATAGGAGCCTAGAGCTCTGTAGCCAGACTATCCCTTCCTTACTGCCTGAAGGGATCCCACTTAGAGTCAGAAAAATAAAATAGGTAAGAATGAGACTATTGCACAGAGGAAAACAGGTATGATCAAGAATGAGCTAATGACATTCACATTACTGAATCCAGTCCTAACCGAAGCAGTATCCACTCCTAGACTTCCCAGTTACTATATATAACAAATTCTCTTTTCTGTAGTTGGGTTTCTGTCTTTCATACAATAGTCCTCCCTTATCTGTGTGGTTTTGCTTTCCACGGTTTCAGTTACCCACGTTCAATAGCAGTCTGAAAATAGATGAGTACACTGCAATAAGATATTTTGAGAGAGAGAGAAAGCATGTTCAGATAACTTTTATTACAGTATATTGTTTTAATTGGTCCATTTTATTACTAGTTATTGTTGTTAACCTCTTACTGTGCCTAATTTATAAATTAAACTTTATCATAGACACATATGTATAGAAAAAAACAGTATATATTAAATTCGATACTACCTTCAGTTACATGCATCCATTGGGAGTCTTGGAATGTATTCCCTGTGAATAAGCGGGGACCACCGCAATGGAAAGCCTCACTAGTCATTACATTATTCAGCATCTTTTTACATCTGATGTCAGACTAGAAGTCTGGATGTGGCAGAATTCTAGTTGGTGCTAAAAGAGAAAGGCCCCATCTACTAACATACATGCAGTCAGCACAAACCACATAATCCCTAAGCACCTAGTGGCTGTTTGGCTGTACTGGCTCCTTGGTTTCCTAGCAACCAAGCTCCTTTCTTCTTCACACACTCACACCTTTTGTGACATTGCCTTCTCAAGGCTGCCCTTAATGTGAATGTTTGGGAGGTAGAAAAGGAAAAGGCAAGGAAATATACACAATATAATTTGCTCCAGGACTGGAGACTTGAGAACATATGCTAGAGGTGGCCTAGCTTACAGATTCAGAAAATTCACTGGCAGACTGAAAATAGCAAGAAGCCGGGCACAGTAGCCTGGGTCTGTAATCCCAGCTACTCATAGGCCAAGGTGGGAGGATTGCTTGAGGTTAAAAGTTTAAGACCAGCCTAAGAAACATAGCAAGACCCTGCCTCTAAAATTAAAAAAAAATTAAAAAAAAAAAAAAGTTGGTCATGGTAGTGTGTGCCTGTAGTCCCGGCTACTTAGGAGGTTGAAGTGGGAGGATCACTTGAGCCCAGGAGTTCCTGGGTGCAGTAAGCCATGCTTGCACTATTGTACTCCAGCCTGGGTAACAGACAGAGACCTGTCTCTAAATAAATAATCAGTTAAGTAAAGCAAGAGATTTTGCTTTGGTGTTAACATTCTTGCCTGCTTATACCTAATTATTTTTGTTAAAAAAATTAGTATGTATATTATTCAGTTAGGGCTACCACAACAAAATACTATAGATTAAGTGGCTTAAACCACAGAAATTTATTTATGCACAGTTCTGGAGGCTAGAAGTCCAAGATCAAGGTTCTAGTCAATTTGGTTTCTGGTGGAGTCTTTATTCCTGGCTTGCAGATGACCACCTTCTCACTATGCCCTCATATCACCTTTCTCCCATGTGTGCAGGGAACAGAGGGTGCACAGTCAAAGGATCTTTCCTCCCCTTCTTACAAGGTCACTAATCCCACCATGAGGGCCCCACCCTCATGACTTTATGTAACCCTAATTACCTCCCAAAGTCCCCATCTCTAAATAATATCACATTGGGAATTAGGGCTTTAGCATATAAATTTGGGGTGGGGGTACACAAACATTCAGTCCACAACAATACCTGAATATTAATAAAAGATGTTTTATATTCGTAATTCACATGATATTCACAACAGTGATGTGATAAGATAGGTTATATTGATAAAATTTTACATAATTGAAAAGTTAAGGGACACAGTCAGAAGACCAGAACAGCATTCCTCCCATCTGTGGACTAATTTATATTGTCTTCTGATCCCAGAGGCTTTCGATAATTTTCTCAGTCACAAGCAATGTCATATTAGGCACAACACTGCTAGAACTATGGTTTATTTGCTACTTTTTTTGGCAGCACACAAGGCCCTTTCCCTCAGTATTAGTTCCAATGCCGCATTATATAGAAATCAGTTAATAAATAGATGTTGTCATGAGGATGGCTACATAGGGTGCATAAATTTACAAGAGGAGAGCAACAGACTGAAATGTTAAAACTGATTTTATTTTCATTCAGTGGCATTGGATGCACTGGCAGCTCTGTCCATCCAGAGGCTCTCCAGAGTCTGCCTGGCCCTTGACCCCAGGCTCTCTCTCCTACCACATCAATCTATTTCTAAGAGTCTACTTCCAAATAGAACTGGAACCTGCTGCATGTCATCTTCTCTATTACCAACACCTGCAACAACATCTTAGTTGGTTTTTCTGTTTCTTCTCTGGGGTTGCCAAATAAAATACTGGACACTCAGTTAAACTTTAATTAGAGATAAACAATGGACAGGTTTTTTTTTAGTATAAACTGGGCACCATATATATATACATATATGTGTGTGTGTGTGTGTGTGTGTGTGTGTGTGTGTGTGTGTAAATACGTATTATATATGTATTTTTTCTAATTTTGGCAATTCTTCCTCTAGTTAATAGCTGTTTGAAAACGCAAAGCTGATTACTTCCCTCCCCTGCTTAAATTCTTCAAAATTGTGCCATTGCTCTTAGGAAAAAACTCAACTTCTTAACGTCAAAGCCTGCATGACCTAGTCCCCCCAGATAAGTTGGATTCTGGAGCCAAATTGCTTAGGGCTCATTTTATATATCTCACTCAAAGGAGCCTTCCTAACATCTCGATCCTAAAAAAAGTACCCTCCTATAATCCCTCATTGTGCCCTTTACTTTCCCGGCATGGCCCTTGTTGAGGAGGATGGATCACTTATTCCCCTTTCCCTGTGTTTCCAAATAGGGGGCCCTCCACTGGGGTAACACTCCTCACCTCTTGCCTTGCCCCTAGTGGAGGAGCAACCACTTCTCTTATTGGTGGGTTTGGGGAAAGAACTGGCCATGTGTGGCCTGGCCCTTCCCACTTGAAGAAATTGCTGGTCGGGACTCTTCTACACCTGCAAGTAGACTGACAGGACAGATCGGTTCCTGGGGCCTGGGATTATGCAGAGAAGGGTGATAAGTACAATTCAGCTGTAGCACATTAACAAGCCCAGTTGGTCAGACCTAAGCCATATTCTTCTTATTAGTAATGAAAGTGATAGTGTACCTCCATCCCCTTGACTCCTATGCCTGTCTCAGCTGTTTCTAAGTCAAGATAAGGGGAAGAGGAACATGTTAATTATTAACTTCCTAAACTCTCAGTAGCTTTCACTACAATATATTTATTTATGTTTGTTTAGCAGTTTATTGAATGTGTAGGGACCATGCCTGTTTTACTTACTGTTGCATCCCCGAATGTCTACTACAGTGCTAGGCATAGGTTTTATCTTTTTTATATCGGGATGATTGAATAAATAAATAAATAAATAATAAATAAATGGTACCTTGTTGCCTACCACAGTCCTGCCACCCACACCACTCTGAGCATACATACAGCCTAGGATGGGGAGGGGAGTTGAGTCCTAACTCTGATCACTTGGCGATAGCTGTTTGGTGCTCCATGTTGAGAAACGCACTGAGATTGTGCTTAACCTCATCATAAAATTGCACCATGATCAATTCTTCATGTCTGCCACGCATGCCAGAGTGGGCAGTGTGGGACAGCGTGCATAGATTTGCCCTTCTCGGCTTAGAAATGTCTGGGGCCATATTGTTCCCCATCAGATGTACTCACTTGGAGCAAGGCCAGTCTAGATGGGATTTCAGCTGCTGTTCTTTTCTGGACACTGATTTGGACATCTGGTCATTTCCTGCTGAGCCTATCCTACAGCGGAGTGAGTGCTGCAAATGCAGTCCCCATTCACTTCCTCCTAGCTTCCTCCCCTTTCTTACTGGGTCCAATGGAGGCCCAGCAGGAAGCAGTCACATAAATTATGAAAAATTTTGTCACAGCCCATAAACCTCACTATGGTGGAAGGAAACAGGTTATAGGCTGGCTTCAGTTGAGGCAAATCTCAAGGAAGATCTCTCATGAGACAGTCAATTCAGCTGTAATTCAAAGACTTTCTTCTAACACTAGGGGTTCTGCCTAAGGGAAGTCTCCTTGGAGTGACTCCAATCCTGAAGCTGTGGATCTTCTGGCTCATATGGTCTGCTTCCATCCATTCAGACAAGGCTGCTTGCTTTCGTTTTTGAGATTATTTTTGTGTGTGTTTGTCTTTAGGGGAGTATGATCTTTCCCAGTTGGTGTTCTAAGTACTCCTCTATATATAGCTTCCATTCTCCGTGGTCACTCTATCCTCCATCCCCTCAGACAGTCTCATCTCTTCTCTGACACAGCTTACACCCACACCTTCGCTAGATTTTAATCATCATCATCACCTCATGTCTCCTCTTCCTGTCTTTCCCTTTTATTTCCCCTCCCAAATTCTATGGTCCTTTGCATTTCTGACCCTGGTTATCACCTGTCCCAGCCAAAGATTCTTTCTCCTAGCCCAGTGGTTCTCAACCCTGGCTGCACATTAGAAATCACTTGAGGATCTTTTGAAAAATCTAATGCCCAGGTGACACCCAGACCAATTAAATTAGAATCTCTGAGGATGCAACCTGAGCATCAGTATTTTTTAAATCTCCCTAGGTGATTACAAGGTACAGGCAAAGATGACAACAACAGCTCCAGCCCCAGCGTGGATATTTACAAAGCACCATTCGGGATTTTTGAACTATATAACTATACGTTAAAAGCATCCTCCACCTACTGACCTTCATTAGTCATACAGAAGATTTTAGAATTGAATGAATGGGGTACCTCAGAGGCATCTAGCATTTGATAGAACAGGAGACCTGCAGGATGTTCACAGCAATTGGAAAAAAAAAGATTCTGTCATCAAGTTTGTATAGTACTTCATTCTATATACACTTTCGGAGATTTACAAGGCAAATTTACCTCAAGGTTCTGATAAATGCGCAGAAAAAAAAAGAGACAACAGTAATTCATTTAACTTGACATCTAGGTTTTCCAAATTTATTTAAGGACACCTATTAACACCTTAGGGAACTCACTTTTAAAACTCTCTTAATCCAACTTTTTCATCTGACCAAGGCATGGAGGGGTTAAATTATTTAAACCCTTAATATTTACACAGGTCACCTCGTGATGAATTTTTGCATTATTAAGGATTGAATTTCATTTTCCTTTAAATATGTAGTACTTCCTCCCTAGCTGTGGTGCATTTCTGCATTCCTTCGCATGAGACACGATCATTAAGGTTCAAAGGCACTGAAGTGGCAGTGTTAGTAACAACTGTTGGTTGAATATTAATCAGATATTGGGTGAAATACTTTAAATATTATAGTTTATTTATTAATTCAACAAATCTTGATTGAATGCTTTCCTCTCTAGAGTAGCATCTTGTGCATATTTAGCAGGAGTATATGCAACTGTGGAATAACAGGAACAATAACAGTAATAATACCTAAATGTTCTATAGCATTTAGCATGAGTCAGACACATGGGCTTTACCTTTATTAACTCATTTATGTCTCACAATAACCTCTATGAGGTTGGTTGTATTATTTTCCTCATTTCACAGATGGGAAACTGAGCCACAGAGAGGTTAAATAAGTTGCCTAAGGTCACAGCACAAGCTAGTCAGTGATGGAGCAGGCTTTCAGTCTGTTTCCAGTGGACAGACTCTTAACCACTCCTCTACACCATGTGCTTCATAACATGTGGACAACAATCTAAATAGTGAGATCATTTCTATCTGCCAGTTTATTTAATGAGCTTGGGGTGGGGGTTCCATATTTCTCTCAGAGTAAAAGTATCTTGCTGCATTGAGTGTAATCCCTTTGTTTAAAAATCCTACTGTTTAAATGCTACAACACCTAATACCAGCTATTTCACCTGCTGAAATAAAGATCTGTTCCAATGTTGTGGTAGAAATGACAGTGTGGGCTTCTAAAAGAAGTGTAGGCTTCCAGCAGGCTGCTCTCCAACATGGCAAAATCCTAAGGAACTATTCAAGGGCAATTTTAACTATATTCAATTTTCACCTTAAATCCTCAATTACCATTTGAGATGTGCACGGTGCTGAGTACTTGCCATTGAGATATAAAGAAAAGTCTGCTGGGGGACTTCTGGGAAAGCCATGACTTTCCTCATAAAGGGAGACAAGTACAGCTTCAGCCAGACCTTTCTCTTTCTGCCTTGAATGCAGGTGTGATGGATGGAGCATTGGAGCAACCACAAGGGAAAATAATACAGACATGAAGAAAACAGTAAAGATGCTGTCCCTGACATCATTGAGCAGTCAGCAACTGCCCACTACCAAACTTATTGTCATGTGAAAAATAAAAACCTCCAATTCTTTAAGTTTTGGGGGTCATGTTTTTTGTTTTTTGTTTTTTAGATGGGGTCTCACTCTGTCGCCCTGGTTGGAGTGCAGTGGTGTGATCTTGGCTCACTGCAGCCTCAATCTCATGAGCTTAGTGATTCTCCTGCCTCAGCCTCCTGAGTAGCTGGGACCACAGGCATGTGCCACAATACCCAGCTAATTTTTGTATTTTTTGTAGAGATGGGATTTCTCCATGTTGCCCAGGCTGGTCTCGAACTCCTGGACTCAAGTAATCAGCCCACCTCGGCCTTCCAAAGTGTTGGGATTACAGGCGTTAGCCAATGCACCCAGCCCATGTTTTCTTTTATTCTAGCCAAAACATTCCTTTACTGATATACCTACTCTGATGGCACTTACTATTCATCTGGACAAACAGAAATTAATTATGTATAGCATATAGATCAGAGCATACAGCATACAGAGATATAGATCTCTGTATCTAGCATTTAGATATAGATAGATCTGTATTATAATTATATTTCCATTTACAAACCGAAGTTTGTTTCTCCATATTCTCTACAATTCACTTAAATTTTTAATTGAGGCCTTATTGTGCCAGGCAGTGGAAACTTACTTTCCTCAATCCGGATGGGTATCCTCCTGTGTCTAAGGGGCAATGGGGGAAGGTGGGCTTCATTGGGTCAAGATACTGGTGGAAGCAGGCATCTGGTCTCAGCCATTATCCTCCCACACTAATATCTGTGGAGACATTTATTCTGTCTGGGTCCCTCATTTGTGACTAAGGGATCCTTTGAGCCCAGCCCTTTCAGTGAGTTCCAGGAACTCCTTGGGTGCATAGGGAACCATCCCATGCCATACAGGGCCATGCCTTACAGGGCCAAACATTTCTCATGCCATACAGGGCCGTGGAGAAAAGCAAGACAAGATGATGCCCCACCCCAGGAGCAACATGGAGCCAAGGGAACCCCGCCTCCCCAGGGAAGCAGTGACTGAATATGCAACCTCGGGAACCCATGCTTCTCCCACAGATCTTTGCAACCCTCAGGTCAGGAGATCCCCTTGTGAACCCACTCCACCAGAGCCTTTAGTCTGACACATAGAGCTATGTGGAGTCTCAGCAATGCAGCTGCTCTGGTCAGGGGCATGCATGGAGACCCAGGAGCCTTAGATACTTGCACTCTCTGGGCTTCCTGGCAAGAGCAGCTGCAACTCTGGCAAAGCAGGAGGTTATACCTCTGTACCCCTAGGAAAGAGGTTATACCTCTGTACCCCTAGGAAAGAGGGGACTGAGAAGCAACAGTCTGCAGGCTCTACTTCCACTACTCCTCTCAGGATAAGTCCCACTGGCTTGGCATTCCAGCCAGCCACCAGTAGTGGCACTGCACCTCCCTAAGAAGGGGCTTCCAGGGGGAGGGGTGGGCTGCCATCTTTGCTGTTTGGGTGACTTAGCCATTCCAGCCTTCAGAGAGTCCAAGCTGTCCAGAGGCAGAAGGGATCCCCCAGCATAGGACAGCTGCTCTATGAAAACATGGCCAGACTGCTTTTTAAATTGGTTCCCTAATCTTGTTCCTCCTCACTACATAAGACTTCCCAACTTGTGGTCTCCAGCCACCCTCTCCAGTGTTCTCCAGCCAACAGAGTTTTGAAAACCTCCTGGGGTGGAGCTCCCAGAGGCAGAGGGGCAAGCCGCCATCTTTGCTGTTTGGGTGACTTAGCCATTCCAGCCTTCGGGCTTTGGAGAGTCCAAGCCAACCAGGAGAGGAAGTGGTACCCCAGCAGAGCACAGCTGCTCTACAAAAACGTGACCAGACTGCTTCTTTAAGTGGGTCCTCCATCTTGTTCCTCCTCACTTGATAAGACCTCACGACTGGGACCTCCAGGCACCCCAGACAGTGTTCTCCAGCTGACAGAGGTTTCAAACCTCTCTGGGACAAAGCTCCCAGAGGGAGGGGTGGGCCGCCATCTTTGCTGTTTGGGCAATTTGGCCATTCCAGCCTTTGGGCTTTGGAGTGTCTAAGATGACTGAGGCCTGAAGCAGACCCCAAGCACAGCACAGCTGCTCTGTGAAAATGTGGCCAGACTTCTTTTTTAAGCAGATCCCCAACCACATTTCTCTTCACTGGGTGAGACCTCCCAACTGGGTCTTCAGCCACGTCCTACAGGTGTGTTCAGGCTGGCAAAAGGTCTATACCTCCTTAGGATGGAGCTCCCAGAAGGAGAGACAGGCTGCCATCTTTGCTGTTTCATAGCCTTCACTGGTGATGCCTCCAGGTACTGGAAATTCCAAGGGGACTAGGAACTGGAGAGGACTCCCAGCATACTACATACAGTAGCCCTACAGAAAAGTGGCCAGACTGTTATATGGGTGCCTGTTCCTGTATCTCCTCAATAGGTAGGTCCTCCAGGCCTGGTCCTGGGCCTCTAGCCACCCCCTATCAGAGCTATCAAGCCAGTAGCAACTCAGCAACTCCCCAGACAGTGTTTCCAGGGACAACTGAAAGCTTCTCTGACACGGCCTCTGTGGTGGAACTGTCCTTGCTACCCTTGGACTAACAAAGAAGCAAAGACCCTCAGTGCATTATCCACACGTCCAACAAGTTGCAGTTGACCCAAGGAAAGGAGGCTGGTCCATCTCCCCCGGGTCCCACACAACCCCACTGCTCATCGCCAGACAGGGAACCCCTAGCTTAGGTCCATGGCACAGATCCTCCATCCTGGGCTGATTGCACTGAGCAATTGCTGACCCACATCTCTCTGGGGTAGAGCCCCCAGGAGACAAGCAAAGTGGTGGGGCAGCTAGCCAGCTGATGTGGAGCACAGGTGGTTTGGTGCAGGGGTGTCTGTAGTGGAGCATAGCCAGGAACAGCCATCCCTCTAGGCTCAAATTGCTCTCATAAGAGACTTTAGCCCTAGGGAAACTATTTGACCTGATCTCTGCAGAATGGTCTTGCACATCAGATGGGGCTGGTCTGACCTGAGCACTCCTTGGTCTGTTGGCCACTCCCAGGGCCCAGCCTGACCACATATGCTTACAGGGAAGTCTTGGATGCCCTGGGGGCCCACAACATAGCTTCTATGCTGGCAGACCATGGAGAGCTTGCTGGAGAGCTCCAGCAAGGCGGCCCTTACAGCCGTGCACCAGTCCACATGTTCCCTCTCCGTACTGGAACTTCCCCTGAGCCCATGGCTACTCTCCAGATCACTTTGTTCATGCACGTCTGCATGGTCAGGTTTTGCTTTGCTTGCCCAACCAGCACACAGGTGTGTAGCATCCCCAACCCTCCACTGACCACCATTGTAGACAGAGCCTTGGTGGGCACCAAGCCAGGAAACCCCACCACTGCCAGTACCCTGCCCTTGTGCTAACACTGTGCAGAGAACAGGGGATCCTCCCACCCCCTGAGCTATTACTCCTGTTTGCAGGGCAAAGAAGGCACCCAGACCTGTGCTGGCCAGCACCTTGCCCCAAGCCAGCACCACCTCCAGTGCAACAGCACACAGAGTCCCCAGCTGCCTTGCCTCCTCCACTGTGGTAAATTCCCCCAGGGAGACAGGCACCCCCACGTCCACTGGCACTCTGTTAAAGCTGCTGCACCTCAGCCCACCCCCCAGCACAGTGGACTCCAAACCTTGAGGAGCCAGAGGACAAAGTTGGGACCCAATACAAGTCCCTCAGAGTTAGAGCTCACAGTCTAGGAGTTGGGGACTGAGTATTGGCCCCCTAAAATCTCCCAGAAATGAGGCCAGTTGGCTGAATACACCATATATCACAATCAAACCCTCAAGGTCACCAAATAGGATAAAAGAAAAAAAAACCCATCCACAGGTCAGCAACCTCAAAGATTAAAGGTAGATAAGCCCTGACAGATGAGAAAGAATCAGCACAAGAATGCTGAAAACTGAAAGAGCCAGAGTGCCTTCTTTCCTCCAAATGACCTCATCACCTCTTCAGCAAGGGTTTGGAACTGGGCTGAGGCTGAGATGGCTGAAATGACAGAAGTAGAATCCAGAATATAAATAGTTATAAGTTCATTGAGCTACAGGAGTACATTGAAACCCAGTGCAAGGAAGCTAAAAATTATGATGAAACATTGCAGGAGCTAACAAACAAAATAGCTAGTATAGAGAAGAATGTAACTGACCTGATAGAGCTGGAAAACCCACTGTAAGAACTTCATAATGCAAGTATTAATAGCAGAATAGACCAAGTGGAGGAAAGAATCTCAGAGCTTGAAGACTGGCTTTCTGAAATAAGACAGGCAGACAAGAGTAGAGAAAAAATAATGCAAAGGAATGAACCAAACCTCTGAGAAATATGGGATTATGTAAATAGACTGAATCTATGACTTAGTGGTGTAACTGAAAGACATGGGAAGAATGGAACCAACTTGGAAAACATGTTAGAATATCATCCATGAGAACTTCCCCATCCTAGCTAGAGAGGGCAACATGCAAATTCAGGAAATGCAGAGAACGCCAGTAAGATACCTCACAAGACGATTATCTCCAAGACTCATAATCCTCAGATTCTCCAAGGTTGAAAAGAAAGAAAAAATGTTAAAAGAAGCTAGAGAGAAAGGCCAGGACACCTACAAGGTGAAGCCCATTAGTCTAACAACAGACCACTCAGCTAAAACCCCACAAGCCAGAAGAGATCAGTGACCAATAGTAACATTCTTTAAAGAATTTCTAAGCCAGAATTTCATATCTGGCTAAACTTAGCTTCATAAGCAAAGGAGAAATAAGTTCTTTTCAGACAAGCAAATGCTGGAATTTGTTACTACCAGACCTGCCTTACAAGAGCTTCTGAAGGAAACACTAAATATGAAGAGGAAAGACTGTTATCAGCCACTACAAAAACACACTGAGGTACACAGACCAGTGAGACTACAAAGCAACCACATAAACAAGTGTGCAAAATAACCAGCCAGCATCATGATGACAGGATCAAATCCACACATATCAATATTAACCTTAAATGTGAATGGGCTAAAGGCCCCAATTAAAAGATGCAGAGTGACAAGCTGGATAAAGAACCAAGACCCACTGGTATGCTGTCTTCAAGAGATCCATCTTACATGCAATGAAATACATAGGTTCAAAATAAGAAGAAAAATCTACCAAGCAAATAGGAAACAGAAAAAAAGTAGGAGTAGCAATCCTAGTTTTTGACAAAACAAACTTTAAACCAACAAAGATCAAAAGAGACAAAGAAGGGCATTACATAATGGTAAAGGGTTCAATTCAACAAGACCTAACTGTCCTAAATATATATACACCCAACACAGGAGCAACCAGATTTATAAAGCAAGTTCTTAAAGACCCTCAAAGAAACTTAGATTCCCATGCAATAACAGTGGGAGATTTTAAAACCTTACTGACAATGGATCATCAAGACAGAAAATTAACAAAGATATGCAGGACCTAAACTCAGCACTGGATCAAACGGACCTGACAGATATCTACAGAACTCTCCACCCAAAAACAACAGAATATACATTCTTATTACCACATGACACATGCTCTAAAATCAGTCACATAATCGGAAGTAAAACACTCCTCAGCAATGCAAAAGAATTGAAATTATAACAGTTTCTTGGACTACAGCAGAATCAAATTAGAAATCAAGACTAAGAAATTCACCCAAAACTATGCAATTACATGGAAATTGAATAACCTGCTCCTGAACGACTTTTGAATAATGAAGTTAAGGCAGAAATCAAGAAGTTTTTTGAAACTAATGAGAGCAAAGATACTACATATCAGAATCTCTGGGACACAGCTAAGGTAGTGTTAAGAGGGAAATTTATGGCACTAAATGCCCATATCAAACAGTTAGAAAGATCTCAAGTTAACAACTTAACATCACAACTAAAATAACTGGAGAACCCAGAGCAAACAAATTCCAAAGCTAGCAGAAGACAAGAAATAACCAAAATCAGAACTGAACTGAAGAACATTGAAGCATGAAAAGCCATTAAAAAGATCAATGAATCCAGGAGCTAGGGTTTTTTTAAAAAAATAATAAAATATACTACTAGTTAGACTAATAAAGAAGAAGAGAGAGAAGATCCAAATAAACACAATCAGAAACAACAAGGGAGAAGGGAGATATTAGCACTGATCCCACAGCAATACAAACCACCATCAGAAAATATTATGAACACCTTTTTGCATATAAACTAGAAAATATGGAAGAAATTGTTACATTCCTGGACACATATACCCTTCCAAGACTGAACCAGGAAGAAATTGAGTCCCTGAACAGACCAATAATGAGCTCTCAAACTGAGGCAGTAAACAGCCTACCAACCAAAAAAAGCCCAAGACTAGACAGATTCACAGCTGAACTCTACCAGGTGCACAAAGAAGAGCTAGTACCATTCCTACTGAAACTATTCCCAAAAACTGAGGAGGAGGAACTCCTCCCTAACTCATTCTATGAGGCCTGCATCATCCTGATATAAAACCCTGGCAGAGATACAACAAAAAAAGAAAACTTCAGGCCAATATCCTTGATGAATATCAATGCAAAAATCCTCAACAAAATACTGGCAAACTGAATCCAGCAGTACATCAAAAAGCTTATCCACCACGATCAAGTAGGCTTTATCCCCAGGATGCAAGGTGACTCAGCATATGCAAATCAATAAATGTGATTCATCACATAAACAGACCTAAAGACAAAAACCAAATAATTATCTCAATAGATGCAGAAAAGGCTTTCAACAAAATTCAACACTCAACATTCATTCATGTTAAAAGCTCTCAATAAACTAAGTATTGAAGGAACATATCTCAAAATAATAAAAGTCATATATGAAAAACCCACAGCCAACATCATACTGAGTGGGCAAAAGCTAGAGGCATTCCCTTTGAAAACCAGTGCAAGGCAAGGATGCCCTCTCTCAACACTCCCATGCAACATAGTATTGGAAGTATTGGCCAGGACAGTCAGGCAAGAGAAGGAAATAAAGGTCATCCAAATAGGAGGAGAGGAAGTCAGATTATCTCAGCAGACAGCATGTTCCTATATCTAGAAAACCTCATAGTCTCCATCAAAAGCTTCTTAAGCTGATAAACACCTTCAGCAAAGTCTCAGGATACAAAAACCAATGTGCTAAAATCACCAAAATCACTAGCATTCTTATTCACCAACAATAGTCAAGTCAAGAGCCAAATCAGGAACTAACACCCATTTACAACTGCCACAAAAGAATAAAATATCTAGCAATACAGCTAACTAGAGGAGTGAAAGATCTCTACAAAGAGAACTACAAACCACTGCACAAAGAAAAAGAGATGATACAAACAAATGGAGAAACATTCCGTGCTCATGGATAGAAAGAATATTGTTAAGATGGCCCAAAGCAATTTATAAATTCTGCCCAAAGCAATTTATAAATTCAATACTATTCCTTTAAACTACCATTGAGATTCTTCACAGAACTAGAAAAAACTATTTAAAATTCATATGTAAGCAAAAAAAGCCCAAACAGCCAAGGCAATCCTAAGCAAAAAGAACAAAGCTGGAGGCATCATACTACCCAACTTCAAACTATACTACCAGGTTACAGTAACCAAAACAGCATAGTACTTGTATAAAAACAGACATCTAAACTAATGGAACAGAAAAGAGAACCCAGAAATAAGACCATAAACCTACAACTATCTGATCTTCAACAAACCTGACAAAAACAAGCAATGGGGAAAGGATTACCTATTCAATAAATGGTGCTGGAATAACTGGCTAGCCATACGCAGAAGATTGAAACTGGACCCCTTCCTTACACCCTATACAAAAATTAACTTAAGATGGATTAAAGACTTCAATGTAAAACCCAAAATTATAAAAACCCTGGAAGACAACCTAGGCAATACCATTCAGGACATAGGCACAAGAAAAAATTTCATGACAAAGACACCAAAAGCAATTGCAGTAAAAGCAAAAATTGACAAATGAGATCTAATTAAACTAAAGAGCTTCTGCACAGCAAAAGAAACTATCAACAGAGTAAACAGATAACCTATGGGATGGAAGAAAATTTTGGCAAACTATGTATATGACAAAGGGTCTAATATCCATCATCTATAAGGAACTTAAACAAATTTATAAGAACAAAACAAACAACCCCATTACAAAGTGGGCAAAGGACATGATCAGACACTTTTCAAAAGAAGACATACATGTGGCCAACAATCATATGAAAAAAAGCTCAACATCACTGATCACTAGAGAAATGCAAATCAAAACCACAATGAGATACCATCTCACACCAGCCAAAATGGCTATTAATAAAAAGTCAAAAATGACAGACGTTGGCAACATTGTGAAGAAAAAGGAATGCTTATACACTGTTGGTGGGGGTGTAAATTAGTTCAACCGTTGTGGAAGACAGTGTGGTGATTCCTCAAAGACCTAAAGACAGAAATACCATTCAACTCAATAATCCCATTACTGGGTATATACTCAAGGGAATATAAATCATTCTATTATAAAGACACCTGCCATTTTAACTGGCATGAGATGGCATCTCATTGTGGTTTTGATTTGCATTTCTATAATGACCAGTGATGATGAGCTTTTTTTCATATGTTTGTTGGCCACATAAATGTCTTCTTTTGAGAAGTGCCTGTTCATATCCTTTGCCCACTTTTTGGTGGGGTTGTTTGTTTTTTTCTTGTAAATTTATTTAAGTTCCTTGTAGATTCTGGATACTTGACATTTGTCAGATGGATAGATTGCAAAAATTTTCTCCCATTCTGTAGGTTGCCTGTTCACTCTGATGATAGTTTCTTTTGCTGAGCACAAGCTCTCTAGTTTAATTAGATCTCATTTATCAATTTTGGTTTTTGTTGCAATTGCTTTTGGTGTTTTAGTCATGAAGTCTATGCCTATGAAGTCTGTGTCCTGAATGGTATTGCCTAGGTTTTCTTCTATGGTTTTTGTACATATGTTTATTGCAGCACTATTTACAATAGCAAAGACTTGGAACCAACCCAAATGCCCATCAATGATAGACTGGATAAAGAAAATGCAGTACATATACACCATGGAATACTATGCAACCATAAAAAAGAATGAGTTCATGACCTTCGCAGGGACATGGATGAAGCTGGAAACCATCATCCTCCGCAAACTAACACAGGAACGGAAAAGCAAACACTGCATGTTCTCATTCATAAGTGGGAGTTGAACAATGAGAAGACATGGACACACGGAGGGGAACATCACACACTGGGGCCTGTCGGGGTGGGAGGTGCAAAGGGAGGGAGAGCATTAGGACAAATATCTAATGCATGCAGGGCTTAAAACCTAGATGACGGGCACATGTATACCTATGTAACAAACCTGCACATTCAGCACATGTATCCCAGACTTAAAGTAAAATAAAATTTAAAGACACCTGCATGCATATATTCATTGCAGCATTCTTCACAGCAGCAAAGACATGAAATCAACCTAAATGCCCATGAATGATAGACTGGATAAAGAAAATGTGGTACATATACACCATGGAAAACTATGCAGTGGTAAAAAAGAACAAGATCATGTTCTTTGCCAGGAACATGGATGGAGCTGGAGGCCATGATCCTTAGCAAACTAACACAGGAACAGACAACCAAATACCACATGTTCTTACTTATAAATGGGAACTAAATGATGAAAACACATGGACACATAGAAGGGAACAACACACACTGGGGCATACTGAAGTGTGGAGGGTGGGAGAAGAGAGAGGATCCGGAAAAATAACTATTGGTTACTAAGCTTTATACCCGGGTGATGAAATAATCTGTACAACAAACCCCCATGACACAAGTTTACCTATGTAACATACCTGCACATGTACCCCTAAACTTAAAACAAAAGTTAAAAACAAAAACTGAAGATAAATGTCTGCATAGATATCAGATATTATAGTCATTTTGATGGCAGTGCAATTACATTTCATGAATAAAAGAATGCCTAAGAGGGTCAAATAACTTACTAAATAAGGCAAGTAAACTATGATTCATGTGAATATATAAATATTCATAAAAAATTGCTACATCTTGTGCAACCTCTGCCTGGGGATGAATTTTGTTGATTTGTACTTTTGATCTTTGAGTTAAAATTTCTGCTCATTCTGACTTCTAAAACCTGCTTGAAGATAACACATTCATATCCACAAACTCAGATCTTACATTTCTGTATAATTGTGCATCATAGAACCAGATTAGAGTTCCAGTTACATCTGTCAATTCGATGACCATTAAGCCATCTTCTTTGCATTTTCAGATAAAGATGATTAACTTGAAAAGGGAATCCATTTTTTTTTTTTTTTTTTTTTTTTTTGAGACGGAGTCTCGCTCTGTCGCCCAGGCTGGAGTGCAGTGGCGGGATCTCGGCTCACTGCAAGCTCCGCCTCCCGGGTTCACGCCATTCTCCTGCCTCAGCCTCCCGAGTAGCTGGGACTACAGGCGCCCGCCACTACGCCCGGCTAATTTTTTGTATTTTTAGTAGAGGCGGGGTTTCACCGTTTTAGCCGGGATGGTCTCGATCTCCTGACCTCGTGATCCACCCGCCTCGGCCTCCCAAAGTGCTGGGATTACAGGCGTGAGCCACCGCGCCCGGCCGGGAATCCATTTTTAAAAGGCACATATTCTACCTTTTTGGTTATAGAAAGAAATTCTAAACCAGTGATTTTTTTTCAGAATTATTTTTTTCAAAGGTATGAAACATTAAGACTACTTCATGCTTAACATTTGTTATTTTAATAAGAAGAGCTCTAATTAAATACAAAGACCACTCTCCTTCTGCTTTAGGTTGGACCTTTGCATTCCTTTTACCTGGCAGTAGTGTGCATGCTTACTAGTAGTTAATTATCTGTGTTCATCTCTTTCACTACACTGTCCTCAGAGCCCAGACAAATGCCTAGCACACAGGAGGGCCACAAAACTAATCTGTGAGCTGTCTGATTAGTCAACCCCATTGGTTCTACCTTATCGGCCCCTCCCTGTCCCATCTCCCTGGCAGCACGCTAGTCAGTGTCTTATCAGCTCACGTGGACATTGTCATACTCCCCTCCTCACAGACTGCTCGCCTCCAGTCTTTGCCTCATGCAAGCCATTCTGCACACTTCTAGTGAACCCACCTGCTAAAATCCCTTGTGCATTACCTTGCAATTCTCAAAACCCTTGACTGGATTCCTGATGCTCACTGAAAGAAGTTAAGCATGGCAGTTAAAAGTGAGAATTCTGGAATCAGACTGCTGGAAGTCAAATGTTGGCTTCCACTTTAATAGTTGTGTGACACTGGGCAAGTGTTACACAAAAGTAGTATCACCAATGTTAGAATCAAGTCCAAATTCCTTAGTGTTAGCCAAGGCATTCTACCATCTGATCTTAGTGAGTGTGTTCAATTTTATCTTTTTGTCTTCTACCCCTTCCCCTACACTGTGAGCCATCTCCTGAGGCTGATAGGTCTATATCCAGCTTTCCTACTTCCAGACTTCTGGGGCCCACTAGAATGTCTTGCTACTGCTCTTTGCTTACATTGCTTATATCATTTTCATCCTTCAAGGAACACCTCAAGTCTCCCTGCTTCCACAAAGCCTTCCCTGATGGGATCAGACCCCACTGCTCTCACCTACAGCTCTTAGGAATCCCATCCCATATTTTCCAGTTAAGTAAGTACTTCCCAAGGCAACTCTTATTTTTTTCAACATACATTATTTTTAAACCTTAAACATACAGTTCAACTTAGTTCATAACACTCTATCATTGTTGGTTTATGGAAGAGTCTTTATTTTATTTTCTTGTATTATTTATTTTATTTAAAAATGTCTTCCTTTTATTTCCCATTTCTTATCCTAGTATTCATCAGTATTATACTCTTTATTTCATCTTCCTTATTACTTTTTCCTCTCAACTTTATGTTTTTAAGACCTACCCATTTTGATAGCTGGATATATG
Organism: Homo sapiens; assembly: GCF_000001405.40. Taxonomy (NCBI): domain Eukaryota; kingdom Metazoa; phylum Chordata; class Mammalia; order Primates; family Hominidae; genus Homo; species Homo sapiens. The sequence continues at coordinate 16,706,550 of NC_000003.12, read as the reverse complement.
ACTCTAGTTTGTTCCTTGGAACAGCTGAACAGCATTTCATTCTTTTTGCTTGGACTGCATTTTATTTCTTCATTCTCTCATTGAAGGGCATGAAGCTTGTTTCAAGTTTTTGTTCATGTAAAATGCTGGGATGAAAATCTTTGCTTAGCTCTCAATTTGTGTGCCTGTTCATTCTTTTATTCAAAATATATTTATCTGGTGCCAGTCTGTGCTAAAGACAAGTAGCTACTGGGAGTACAGCATAATTGGGAATAGACAAAATCCCTTCCCTTATTTTAGTATGGAAAGAAAATAAATAGACAATAAACATACAATGCTAGGTTATAATAAGTGCAAGGAAGAAAATAAATCAATAAATCAAGATAAGAGGACAGATAGCAATGGAGGATGCTGTTTCAAATCCAGTGGTCAGGAAAAGTCTCTCTGAGAACGTGGTAACATTTGAATAGAGACGTGAATGAAGTTAGAGAGTGGGCCATGCTAATATCTGGAAAAGGAGCATTCCTGGCAGAGGGAACGGCAAGTGCAAGACGTGTTCCAGAACTAGCAGTGGGTGAGGCTAAAGCACAGTGAGTGAGGGGAGGCTGAAGGGGAGCACGGAAGAGATGAGACTACAGGAATAGGGTGGAGCCGAATCAGATAGCATCCCCAGGCCATGTAAAGACTGATGCATCCATTCTGAGTGAAGTAGGAAGGATTTTGAGGAAAAGAATGACAAGACCTGACTTTTTGAAAAGATCCTTCTGGCAGCTGAGTGGAGAATAGATGACAGGAGAGTAAGGATGAGAGGGAGAATCCAGTTAGGAGACCACTGCAGTTGTCCTGAGCAGAGATGGTGGTGCTTAGACTGAGTGGTGGTGGTGGAGGTGGGAGAAGGGTAGGAATACTGCAGCATATTTTGAAAGTAGAGCCAATGAGATTTGTTAATGGATTGGGTATGGGGAACGGGAGGAAGAGAAGCATCAGGGGCGACCCCAATAGTTCTGACTTGAGCAGCTGGGAAGATAAAGTTGTACCATTTATTAAGAGGAAGACAACAGGTAGAACAGGTTTCAGGGAAAAACCAATGGTTTGGTTTTAACATTTTAAGTTTGAAATGCTTATCAGACATCCAAGTGGAGCTGTCAAGAAGGTAGTTCTGGAATTTGGGATTAAGGTCTGTGCTGGAAATAAAACTAGAAAGTTGTCCTGGTATACATGATACTTAAAGCCAAGCTTATGCAGGGAGTGAGTGTAGATTGAGAAGAGAACAAGTAAGGGACTGAGCCCTGGAGCAAGGCAACACATGGAGTCCGGAAAGGGGATGAGGAGCCAGCAAAGGAAAGTGAGAAGTAGATGCCATGAGACAGAAGACTCAAGCAAGAGAGAAGCATCCCTGGGGCAGTGAAGAAAGGGCCTCAAGACAGAGGAAACTATCTATTATGTCAGCGGTGTTGATGGGCTCAAAAAGGGGAAGACTGAGAATTATAGACAATTCTTTGGAGACATTTTACTGTAAAGGGAAGCATAAGTATGAAGCAAAACATAAAGGGGAATGTATAAAAGAGGGATGTTTTCTTTCCTTTTTTCTTCCCTTTTCCTCCTCTCCCTTCTCTGCTTTCCCTTCCTGCCCCTCTCCCTCTTTCTCCTCCTCCTCCTATGTGGGGACTGCTACAGCATACTTGTGTGAATGACCCAACAGGGTGGGAGAAACTGATGATCAGGAGACAGTGGTGACGGTCTAGGAACATGGTTCGTGAGGAGATGAGAGACATGGAAAGAGTTAGTGTCAGGAAGGGAGGAAGGCAGAGGATACAGGCACACTTACTGGTAGATTGGTAGATTTGGCAATGGGAACGTGGGGAAATATTTTTCTGTTTGCTTCCGTATTCTCAGTTCGATAAGAAGTGAGGTCATCAGCTGAATGTGAGGAAGAAAGAGAAGATATGAGAAGAAAGAAGTTGAGAAGGACAGTGATGGACTTGAGAAATATGGTAAGATTACCTGAAGATCAGTTTGATTCATAGGCCAGGTAGGGTGGGAGTGTGGGAGTTTGTGTGGGGCCTACACATAGAAGAGGATTTGTGAGATCATAGGGTGCGCATCTAGGCAAATCCACTAAACATTGCTCATTGCTCTCCAGAATGGTCTCACTAGTGATGGATGGGGTTTCTCCCTCTCCAAATTCTCATAGGCACTTTAGGAAATCCAGGTTTTTTATTTTTTCTATACCTTTCAGGTAAATTTGTACTTCCCTATATATTTTTCATTTCTCTGATTTTTATTTATTTTTATTTTTATTTTTTATTTTGAGACAGAGTCTCGCTCTGTCGCTCAGGCTGGAGTGCAGTGGCGCGATCTCGGCTCACTGCAACCTCTGTCTCCCGGGTTCAAGCGATTCTCCTGCCTCAGCCTCACGAGTAGCTGGGACTACAGGCACGTGCCACCATGCCCGGCTAATTTTTTGTATTTTTAGTAGAGACGGGATTTCACCGTGTTAGCCAGGATGGTCTCAATCTCCCGACCTTGTGATCTGCTCGCCTCAGCCTCCCAAAGTGCTAGGATTACAGGCATGAGCCACTGCGCCCGGCCCATTTCTCCACTTATGAAAGTTGAGCATCTCTTCCCACGCTTATCAGCCTTTCCACTTTCCCCTTCTGTGAAATGCTTATGCATATCTGTCCTAATTTGTGTTACCTGGAAAGCAGGTCTCAGTCACAGACTTGGGTGCAGGTCATTTATTCAGAAGTACAAGCAAGGGAGTAAAGACAGCAAGACAAGGAAAGGAGAAAACCCACTAAAGGGTAAGTTATGGGCAGATAATTGCTGTGGACAACCAGAGCTCAGTCCTGCTGAGGACCCTCTGAGGACCTGTGTTGAACACGCCTCAGAATTTTCCTACCAGGATATGGGGAAGCTAGGCTGTTTATATGCTACTCACTGGTCTTCTTTGGTTGAGAGCTGCCCCTGGTGAGATTCAGCCACTAGCTTGTCCCATTTGCACTGCACCTAAACTAAGCAAGTTCCCACAGTACCTGAAAAAACCTTGAGGCTGAGAAAGAGAGAGGCTCCCACACAGGTGGGAAGCAGTGTGCATGCTGGGAACCTTCGATAGTAACTGCAGGGGAACACAGAGATGGGCCACGAATGTGGGCAGGGCATCAGCAGGGTCCCCTACAATATCCTCATCCTTTTCTTTTCTTATCCACTCGCAGGAGTTTTCTGTGTATTCTAGTTATTTTTTGTCAGTTATTACCACTTTGTCACCTCCAAATCTATCACACATCTGGTAACTTTGTGGTATCAGAAATCTTTAATTTTGGTGTCATTAACTCCATTGATTGTCTCCCTTGTGGTCTGTACTTTTTAGCACCTTACAAAATTCTTCTCCATTCCAGTGTCACAAAAAAAAATTCTCCATTTGCTGCTAACCGATGTATGGCTTTGCCTTTCATGTTTAGGCTTTTACTCTACCTAAAGTTTATTTTTGTATATAGAAAAAGGTGGGCATCTACTCCAAGTTTTTCCCACATGATGAACCAGTTTTCTAGGGACTATTGATGAATTCATCTTCCCTCTACCAGGCTATGATGCTACATACATATTCCAAGTTCCCATGGACATCTGGATCTGTTTCTAGATTCTACCCATTTGTCATTCATTCAGTTCTTCAACCTATTCCTTATATTGGCAATTGTAATTTTTATATCTAGTACCTTTGATTGGCTCTCCTTCAAACTACTTATTCTTGTTTCATATTTGCAATGTTTTATTTGGTATTAAGATTCCTGTTCATATCTGTCAATAGGTCTGCTTCTTCTGCTGTAGGCTGTTCTGTTTGTGGTTATTCTTTCACAGTAACTGTTTTTCTTAAATTGTCCCAAGATTTTTTTACAGTGGTCTCATTGTCAGTCCTTTGAGACCATCAACCACCTCTGCTCATGAGGCTAACTGGGGGAAGTAGCAAAAGCCCATGGCCAGGTGGGTTTGGGGAATGGATGAGATACCTTTCTACTGAAGCTTCATGAGACCACATTTTCCCCTTGGTGCTCCTCTAGATATTTCCCCCTCCCTCCATCCCAGGTGTCACTCTCCTCCTGGGACAGCCACCCTGTTGACCAATAGTGGCAGTCCTCATCCCAGCCAGGCTTTCCCTTTTTCTATTGTCCCTTACTACCCCACGTCCTGCTCCCACCCCAGACATTTTACTTCCTAACAGGACATCCCAATATCCTTTATTCATTACTCATGACATGACTTTCAAACTCCTGATCACTCACCAATGGGCACATTTTAATTTGTCATTGTCCTTCTGAAGATGTGGTGCCCAGATCCAAATACAATGCTCTGAGTGTTCAAATGAAAACATTTTACCAGGTAAATATCAAGGTTGTAAAGATTCTTTCTGTTTCCTTTGTTTCAGCCAGGAAGTTTTCAGTTAAATATTTTAATTGTTAAGTCAATTATAAGGAAATCATAAGATGTGAGAAAATTATCTTAGCAAGGGAGAATGAGATTGTTAGACTCACACAATGGATTATAGTGAGGAAAGAGTTGACAGAGATGGATGATTAAAAGAACAATATTAAGCAGTCTTCTTAGGTATGTGAATCATCCTTAGCTACACCTGGGACAAAGAAATTACAAGAAGACTAAGGAGACTAAGGAGAAGACACAGTGAAATGTAAATAAAAGAACAAAGGATATGTGTATATGAATGGAGAAAAGGAAAATTCTAGAGTCTGAGAAAGTCAAGAAAGAATTAAATACAGAAATGTGAAGCCCCAGAAAAAAAACAGAAACATTCATGAAGTTTCCCCATTCATTTCTGAGTGCAGTTTTTAAAATGGAAAAAGAATCGTTATCTTTTTAAGTGAATGAAATTCATAATATAAATTGTTCATATATTGCTGCCTAAACTTTGCTCTCCAAAAATTGCTTCTAAAAACTATGAAATAGGGACATTTACATGTAAAACTATTTAAATAAATGTCTACAACTAAATCAGAGAGTGTGTTTTTGGAAGATACAACCAACTGGTTTTGAAATTTAAGAATATTTTTATTCTCAAGAATAGAATGAAAGATTTTTATTAAGAAATGAAAAGAATTTTCCAGCTAGTCAATTCACACTTATCCCTCTGCTGGATTCAAGTTTCAAAGATATGGGGGCTTATATGTTTGTGAAATAAAGGAAGGAAGGGAAGAATGAAAAAATAGGATGAAACAAGGAAGATGGAGAGGAGAGCAGAAGTCAAGACTGCTGATAGAATTGTCAGAATTTAGGCCATCGGGGCCTTGTGAATTTCTTCAGTGGTGTCCCTGTTGAATCGTGGTGGTAAGGACAACTTACAACTAAGCACTTGCAGGCTCTTGCTTTATTTCTATCCTTTTATTCCTTTATTTTCTGGAGCTAAAAAGGATCTGAGTAATGTTTGCAACTATGTCAAATTGATGATGATGATAGTGACAACATTGGATATCACCCCTTTCCCTGCTCTTCTTTTTATCAGAAGTCCCTGAAAAAGTTCTCTGATGTGTTCACCTCTTCTTGGTTCACTCCTATACCTACTCCACTTCCTCTTCTTTCCTTTTCCCTTGAAGCCACTCCAACCAGGCACTTACCCTGGCCACATCACTACAAGAGGGTACCCAGAGATCTCCACTTTGCTAAACCCAACCAGTGACTAGATCTCAACCACAGATCTTTGCTCTGTAAGCAGCATGTGATACAGCTCATCATCCTCTTTTAGAAAAACTTTAGAAATTCTTCTGGCTTCCAGAATTCCACACTTGCTGAGTGTCCACTTCTTACTTCCCTGGCTGTTCCTCTCAGGGCTACTTTTCTGGTTCCTCCTCATCTTCCTGACCTCCAAGTGTGCCCCAGGCCTCAGTTCTTAGCCTTCTTTTTGTATCAATATTCACTCCCATTTATAGGCCAGCTTCCTAATTTTCATCTGACTGTAAATCTTCAATGGGTGTTAAAGATGAAAAACACCCATTTTGCATGCTTTATTAGATGAATAATTTCTGCCCAGCAAGATATTCATGTCCTAGTCCCCAGAGCCTATAAGTATGTTACTTTACACAAAAGGGACTTTGGAGATGTGATTAAGTTAAGGATCTTGAGAGGGGTTGATTATCTTGGATCATCTGGGTAGGCACAATGTAATCACAGGGCCCCTGTAAGAGGGAAGCAGGAGGGCCAGAGTCAGCAAAGAAGTTATGAAGAGAGAGGCAGAGATCATGGAGAGACTTGACGATGCCTTAGTGCTGGCTTTGAAGATGGAGGAAGGGACCACAAGCTAAGGATATGAATGGCTTCTAGAAGTTACAAAAAACAAGGAAATAGATTCTCTCCTAGAGCCTCCAGAAGAAAAGCAGCTCTGCTGACACCTTGATTTGAGCCCTGGATGACCCATTTCAGACTTTTGACCTCCAGAATTGTACATAATACATTCGTGTTGTCTTAAGCCACTTTGTATAATATGGTACAGCACCAACAGGGAAAACTTACATACATATAATAATTTGGTACACAACCAATAGGAAAAACTTATGCACATACTAAAGTGTTTTGAAGTAAAGTACACTGATTTCTGCAAATTTCTTTGATATGCATCAAAAACATAAGTTTACTAGACAGAGGAATAAATAGATGGTTAGAAGCATGATAAAGCAATACAGCAAAATGTTCATGGTAGAATCTACATGGTGGGTATATGGACACTAATTTAAAATTCTTTCAACTTTTCTGTATGTTTGAAATTTAAAAAAATAAAATGTTAGGGAAAGGGTTAGATAAATTGTGAATTTTTCCAAAATTTCAGTTATTTGGCTTCCAAAAAAAAAAAACGTATTTTTCTTAGAAAAGGCCTTGAATTTCTCTGGATATTTTATACTTCTAACTATCTACATTGTCTGGTCCCCCTGGTGACTAAATGCATATATTTTAGGAAGGGCTAAAACACAGCGAAGGTAATTAATCAGACCCCATGGAGACTGAAGGCTTAACCTTGACATCAGTAGTGACAAGCATAGTCAACTGAGCTACATAGCCTAAGTAAAAAGAAATAACCCTATGGAATGCTAATCTATAGATATGCAAATGAATTAGCTCTATAACTTATCAAATCTGAACTACATGAGGTACCCTGAAAATTGATAACTGTTCCATACTTTAATGGAAAAACACCAGGAAAAAAAAACTTTGATGTAACTTTCATTCTTTCAAGAAGAATATGTATCACTAACACCTTTATGAGAAAATTCTTATTTCCCTAGGGAACACTATTGGGCAGTTAAGAAAACAGGCAGTTTCTGAGGGCCTTTTTGTTTATTAGGGAGTAAGATTAAAAGAAAATCTCTGGCTGTGATTTCTTGGGCGAAAGGATGTAGGGAGAACTGGTTTCTTTGGAATTTTTTCTGATACAGGCTCAGGGGAATGGGTATGATTTTAATACATGAGCTGCTGTTTTCCATACTAAGTAATGCTTTTTCTTACTCAACATCTCTCTTCATCATCACTGCACAGTGAGGCTGGGCTCAGGCTTGCCGGTTTCTGCCTCAGAAGGCACACTGCAGATAATTTAGAGTCAGATTCTGGGCTTTTGAGTTTCTAAGCAGGCCTTTGAAATTCATGAGAGAAAAACAAGGGTTTTAATTTACAAAAGCTGTGTTTTCTGGGAGAGAAAACCATTTTGAGTTACAAAATTTTGGTTGGAGAATCAAAAACAAAGCTCTGAAGAAATCAGAGCATACAGTATAAGCCATCACCACTGGCTCTCCACCTGGCTGTATGATAGAACCACCTGGGGACGTTTTCTAAAAACGTCATTGCCTGGACTGGGTCTAGACCAGTTGAATGGAAATCTCTTGCTGTGGGGGCTCAGTACTGGTATTTTTAAAGTCTCCCCCCTAATACCCACACACTAGGTGATTCTCATGGGCAGTCAGTTGAGAACACTGCCCAACTCAACAGAATAGAAACTCAATAGATGACCATGCAGACTTCCCTGCTCTTTAAAACTAGGTCAGAGGTACTTGAATTATCAGGCTAGAGTCAGATTAGAGCTCCAGGCTTATATGTTGCTGTGGGCCTCTGGGAAAGGGTCCTGCTCCTTGGAGGGTGATGGAATCTTAGATAGAGTTGGTGGGGGTACCTAAAAGTGAGAAAAGTGCCTCGTTACTGAACCAAACCTGGGTCCATTGGCCCAGCACAGTAAAGACAAATATCTGTACCAAAGTTTGCAGCAAGAAAAAGGAGGGCATTTATTTGCAGGGTGCCAAGCAAGGAAAATCAGACAGCTATTGTGTGAGATCCTACTTCCCCAGTGGCTTATAAGCAAGGGTTTTTAAAGACAGGGGAACATTTTTGGAAACAGAAGTTACAGGTATGAAAAAAAAATAGAACCTTGGGACCCCGAACTCACTATACCAAAGTGCAAGTTAAGCTTAGAAGCTGAGTCACAAATACTGTCTTCCTTTGGCTCCCAGATAGCTGTAATTTCACAACCCCATGTCATAGCCTCATTTCCTCTACTCCCTCTTTCCACATTTGCTTCATCTTATGTAAAATGTAGACTCACTGAGTGTGAGAGAATGCATCATTGACTTTTTCCTCTATTCCCTCTTTTCACATGTAAAATGTAGATTTACTGAGGCTAATAAGAGCCTCACAAGAATGTGACCACCTGCCTCACTGCCTGCCTCCTTTTCTTCCCCCTGCTGCTTGCAGTTCCCCTTTTGTGAACTGAAGTTCACAAAACCCCCTTTGGAAAAAACATAAATCACAGGAGCATCTGTAATTTATGCTTTTTCCCAGGCGCATCCTCAGCTTTGGCCAAATAAACCTCTAATGGATGGAGACTTGCTTCAGTCACTTTTTGGTTTACATTTTGGTAACCACAAAGGGGCTTTCTGAGTGGAGTTGGCTCTTGGCCTGTAGCAACTCTCCTACTGGGGCCCTAGTACCAGCTGGAGCTCTTTATTGCTCTGACCTATTGGATGATTTGCTGAAGTCTGAGAGTTTCTCCCTCCAGAGATCCCTAATCACTCAAAAATTTCCAGTTGAGATCTGAAGTTTATTCCACTGCAGAACTCCTTTTCTGAGAGTTCTTACTTCTAACAAGGAAGAAGACTTTCCTGCTTCCGTGATGGCAGAGAGCAGTTTTCAGCTTGTGCCCCATCTCCAGGTAAGGAGCTGGTTTGGGGTGTCATTTGGGGATTTAGTAGCTGAAAGTCAAGGCTTACCGTCAGTTGGCTATAATTTCTCCTCATGCTCAGAAATCTCAATTTTATGCAAATTGTTTGATTGCTTTTTTGTGTTTTTTGTCTGTTTGTTTCTGTCCATCTTCCGTTAGATTTAATGAACTTCTGGCCCCCTCTAAAGCTGACTAAAATCCCTGCAGCTGTAGAAAGTCAAATTCCACCTCTAAAAACCCCAGCCACTTAAGAAAAATCAAAATTTGACTATCTGAAATGTTTCATATAAGACGACTGCCTTTCCAGGTTCTCTCTCTCATTGTGCTATTAATTTAAAGATTTTAGAGATCTCCTATTCTAAACTATTAACGAAAAGATCAGATATTTTAAAGGGAGCCTAATAGTTTCATGGCTAGCCTTAAAAATTATCTTGACTAAATTAAGAGCAAAATCTGACCGAAAATAGTTCTGGTGGTTAAAATTTCCACCACAGCTTGGGTTTGCTTCCTGATTAGGGAACAACAATGGCCATTCCACCTGGTGGCCTAATTGTTAAAACCCTCCACAGCATGGGTTTGATTCCTGGTCAGGGAACCAGCCTGTCTTGGTTTAATATTTATGTGGCTTTGGGGGTACCAATGTACTATTGATCTTTTCCCCTTCTGTGGACAGCTTTTGATTTCCTGTCTTCTGTCTGTGTTGGGGGACCCAAGGCTCTTGGGTCTTCATGTATGGACAGTAAGCTGAAAAGCTAAGACCCTAGAAAATATGGCCTGAAAGAAATGTGGGTTAGACCCTGTTTATGGCTAGTGAAAGTTTCCTTTCTCTTAGTTATTTTTGGGGTGATTCTGGATCTTGTAAAAACTACTTGTCACCTCTTTGGAGATACCTCGTGCGTGCATTTGTGGTTATAACTTCGGTTAAGGTAACTGAGAGGATATCTTTGGTAAGGATGTTCAAAAGCCAAAAATATCAGCTATTTGTCCCAGCTAAAATCTGGTAATAAGAGATTTGAAGGGATTATTTTAAAAATCTGAGTGGAATTGGCTTACTCCAAAACTCCAAATCTACGAGTAGAAGTCAGCTTAATTAAAAGTTGATATCTAAGGTAGATGATATATATATATGGCCATTACTCTTTTTCTCTTTTTGGATTCTATTTTTAGGAATTTTTTAGTTGACTGAAACATTAAAATAACATTACATGCTTGGTACTTCTGCTCACTTCCTTTCTTAAAAATTGTTCTATTTATTTTTACTCCACCCTGTTCCTCCTTCCTCTTTGCCATCTTCAGTCTCTTTTGGATTTTGTTACCTAAACTGTTTGGCTTTTGGGGGTACCAGAAATTGTTTTGTATTGTGAAAAAAAGACTTGACCATGGAGTATATATTAAATAGGGAATGAGTTGATCACAGAGTGGGCTGATTGGCTTGGGTTGTTCACTGGCCTCTGGGGAATGTCCTTATAGAGAGGAACACTGTGGAAGTGTAACCGTCCAATGAGTTCACCTTGCCCACTGCCTAGACAAAGCCAATTTATCAAGACAGGGGAATCGTAATGGAGAAAGAGTAATTCACACACAGCTGGCTATGTGGGAGACTGGAGTTTTATTATTACATTTGGGGATCCGAATTTTTAAAGATAATTTGGCGGGCAGGGGCTTCGGAAGTGGGGGCTGGTGATTGGTCAGGTTGGAGATGGAATCATAGGGGGTCGAAGTGAGTTTTTCTTGCTGTCTTCTGTTCCTGGGTGGGATGGCAGAACTGGTTGAGCCAGATTACAGGTCTGAGTGGTGTCAGCTGATCCATGGAGTGCAGAGTCTGTAAAATATCTCAAGCACTCACCTTAGGTTTTACAATAGTGATGTTATCCCCAGGAGCAATTTGGGGAGGTTCAGATTCTTGGAACCAGAGGCTGCATGACCTCCAAACTGTACTTTCTAATCTTATAGGTAATTTGTTAGTCCTGCCTAGGCAGACTGGTTCCCAGGCAAGAAGGGGGTCTTTTCTGGAAAGGACTATTATCAATTTTGTTTCAGAATCAAACCATGAACTGAGTTCCTTCCCAAAGTTAGTTCGGCCTATGCCCAGGAATGAACAAGAACAGCTTAAAGGTTAGAAGCAAGATGGAGTCGGTTAGGTCTGATTTCTTTCACTGTCATAATTTCCTCAGTTATAATTTTGCAAAGGCAGTTTCAGTTTTCCAATTTATATATATTTGGATCAGGTTTACATTAATTACAATGTTAACTCTTAGCAACTCTTATTTTTAGTGAAAAACCTAAGAGGTGCCATTTTTAATTATGTATCAGATGCAGAGCTCAGGACAAAAAACAGAGCTGCAGATAAGGCATGGCCCTTCCCAGCTGAACCAGGAGGCATAGCTGGGCCAGGGAGAGTGCCACCTGTCTTTAGGCCTTACTGTAACCATTTTTTTTTAGAGCCTGGATTTTTTATAAAAGTATATAAGGAAAGTAAGATGAGTTTTGATAAAAAAAAAATAATAAGAAGGCATAGAAATGTGATTTTTGTTAAAGGGAAAGTAATTTTACCTGGTTTAGAGGATTTTTATTATTTTTAATTAAAGAAGTAAAAACAGTGTCAAGTAAAGCTATATGAATATAGAAAGGTGAAAAAGAATGTAAATTTTTGTCCTAAGGTACAATGACAGGACAAAACTGAAGGTTTAAGCAAGTTATAGAAAGTTTATGAAATTGAGCTTGTGAAAGGAATTCTGTGTGTGCTTAAATTGGCTAAAATGTAAAAGGGATTATTTAGTTTTCCTATAAGTTAAGCATTAATATCAAAAGCACACCGATGTGAGAGTCTGGGCCCCTGTGTCAGACTAACAGGGTTTTATTTGTTTGTTTCTTTTCTGTAGGGTCGATCCACTCTATAACAAAAGATTGAAAAAGTTTTTTAAAGGCTTATGGAAATCTTACCTTGTGGTCTAACTGATTGAGATTGGACGGTTTTGTTTATTTATAAGGTTTTATGAAAAATTAGCTTTAAGTCATTGTTCTCCTAAGGCAGGAAATGGCTGTGATTCCTGATCTGAAGAGTTTTATCTTGGGTAGTACTGGTTTCCAGTGATCGACGGTTTAGGTACACAGGATTTGGAAAAGGAGTAAAATGGATTATGTTGGCCTCCACCAACTAGAGCAGGACAGGCTGAAAGAATTGTTGACAAAAGGAAAAATAAGAAGGGAAGACAGAGTATTTGGTTTGATGGAAGGGCTATGACAGTGAGGATCACACTTGGAAACCAGAGTGCCATCTCGTGAAACATGAGGAATGCAGACACCACGTCAAAAAGCAGAAAGAGAGCACACTGACCAGAACAAATAGCACTCTCCAAACAATGCTAGGAAATAAATCTCCAGATCCACCAACAGAAGCTTTGATAAGACCTCTCCTAAGTCACTAGAGATTGGCAAACACTATGAGTCTAAAAACAGCCAGTTGTTTGCTGCTACCCAGAAGTTCAGGAAAAACACAGCTCCATCTCTCTCTAGCTGGAAGAATATTGACCTAGCAAAGTCAAGTATCAAGATATTTGTGTTTATGAGCCCCATTAAGAGCAGGACCACAGAGAATGGCTTTCAGAACAAGAGCCCCCAGAAACTGGACCCTGTTGAGCAGGGTCAGGAGAATATGGTGGTGACTGAATAGCCAGTTGGAGCTATAGAATAGCGGCTGGAGAATAGTAAGTTGGAGCTTTATTGGACCCCTGTGCATAGAGCAGGTCAGGATGGGAAACAGGCCCTGAATACACCCACTAGTGCCTCAGGTGTCTGGCCCCATGACTACAGCCATGACCAGGGCCCTAGTTGTTAATGGGAAAGGTACGAGGCAGAGGTTGCAGTGAGCTGAGATGGCACCACAGTATTCCAGCCTGGGCAACAGAGTGAGACTCTGTCTCAAAAAAAAAAAAAAAAAAAAAAAAGAGAAATCCAAAGTGCTTTGAGCACAGCCGCTGCTGAAAACAGCAAGCTTATGCTACTCAGTGCCATTGGCAGTGCCTTCTGTTGTGCACTTGACTTTATTTATTTTATATAGCATTCAACAAATGACAGCAAAAGAGAAAGCACTAGAACAGCAGAAGCTACCAGAAACTTTGTGAATACTTTCATACAGTTTCAGAAATCTATTATTGTAGTAGTCAATGGCCCAGCCATTAGGCTAAGCGCATCTATATTGCCTCTTTGCAATGTGGTCTGTACTAATGAAAAGGCTTGGTTTCCACCGCTCTTTACTATCTTTGGACAGAATCCAGATGGCTGTTCTACCATTGTTTCCTAAAGTAATGGAAGGGGCATTTGCAAATGAGATATTGCTCAGTGGGCAGAAGATGACCACACAGGAAGCCTGTGGTAAAGGTCTGGTAGCCCAGGTATTTTGGCCCGGGACCTTCACCCAGGAAGTTATGATTTGAATTACGGAGTTTGCCTCATGTAATCCAGTTGTGCTTGAGGAATCCGAAGCCCTTGTGTGCCGCAACATGAAGATGGAGTTGGAGCAGGCCAATGAGAGGGAGTGCAAAGTGCTGAAGAAAATCTGGGGCTTGGCCAAACTGATGGACTCCATGTTAAAGTGCTTGCAGAGGAAAATTGATGAGTTGTGACCGTTAAGCTGCCAGCTGATGTCACTGGGATGGGCTGAGCAGAAGAACATCATTGGTTTCCCTAATCCATTCTTGCAGCCTGAAATAAGCTCACGCATAGTTCATGCTTGGAAGCAGGACTGGAAATACCCAAGTTATTTATTATCAAGAAGTTTTTAAGTACTGTAGCTTTAAAATAAGTAACTACAAAGCTGCTTTGTCCACACAAGTGTAAAAGTATAATGGTGAGCACTAGACTGCTCTTGGAAGCTCTAATTTTCGTTTTCTTTGGCTAGTACAATATAAAAAAATGGAATTCTGTTTTATTAGTTTTGAATTGCAGAAAAGTCTAGAGTAATGTTTGATAATGTTTTTCTCATCTTTTTCTTCTAGAATACAGAATCTAAAGGGGTATCAGCCAGCCTCCCTAACACAGAGATACAGAATGTCTGAGGTATTGCCTTTGTCTCCAAGAAGGTACAAATACTTCAGAGATGGGAAATTCTAAATCAAAAGTGAGACTTAGCTTGTAAGATAAATCTTTCTGATTAAAAATCCACTGGCGAGCACACCCCTAAACCAAACATATGCTTAGGATTCATGCTGAGATACCAATTGGTTTCCTCTTCTTTTTTAAATATGTCCAGCTCTTTCCCAGTTAGCATGAAGAAACCACTGTCTCTCTAAAAGAAAGCTTGTTTTGTAATATTAGTGAATCACTAAATAGCTTAATCTTGAATATCTAAGTTATGTTAGTCTTACCAAGCTTTAAATAGTTTTTCTGACCCTTAAAAAAAAAATAAAAAATAAAAAATAACTCCAAAGTGCCTTTTATTACTGGGTCAGAAATATTACCTTATATGCAGTTTTCATTTTCTATTTGCAGATATGACTAATGTATTACATCAAAATAAAGTATTTTTATGTTTATAAAATGCAATTTTGAGGTTCACTTAGAATATATTTTATTTAATAAGTTAAAGTTCTTTTAACATAGTATTAGTTGCAGAAACTCCTTTCAAAACAAAAAAAGAACTACCTTATTTTCAACTTTTAATGTTCTTGGCCTCTGCTTTTATGTCTATACAATATACTAATACAATATGGCGTCCAAGAGTGCCCTGTGTGGGTAGACAAGTGAATTCCTTCCAGGAGTGAGTACTCATTCCAGACTACAGATGCTTACTGTATTAGTCTGTTCTCACGCTGCTAATAAAGACATAACTGAGACTGGGTAATTTATAAAGGAAAGAAGTTTAATGAACTCACAGTTCCACATGGCTGTGGAGGCCTCACAATCATGGCAGATGGCAAAGGAGAAGCAAAGCCATGTCCTACATGGCAGCAGGCAAGAGTGCTTGTGCAGAGGAACTCCTATTTATAAAACCATCAGATCTCATAGGACTTATTCACTACCACAAGAACAGTATGGGGAGAACTGTCCCCAAGATTCAGTTATCTCCACCCGGCCCCACCCTTGACACATAGGGATTATGACAATTCAAGGTGAGATTTGGGTGGGTATATAGCCAAACCATATCACTTATTATTAGTTAGGCTTCTGAGTTTGCAATCATATTGAATGTATGAAGAGTGAAAAAAAATCAAAACCTTATTTCTGTACAATGTTGAAGTTTATACTCAGAACTGACCACCACCCCAGCCATGCAAAGTGCTGTACAGTGTGTAAATCTACCTTTACCTTGGATTGATGGGTACAGTAGTTTTGCATCTGTGGGGCCTACCTTTTCATTCAGTAGTTTGAACTATATATAAACTGCATAATCTGTAAAGTTTTTATAGAATAAGTATTCAGCTGTGAAAACTGGTTAAATCAAACTAACATTTCTTACACACAAACACATATACATATACATACATACATACAATTAGCTTTTAATAATACACTAAATACAAAGGTAAATTTGGTTTTCTCTTTTGAACAAGATTTTCATGTAACATTAAGAGAGAATAAAATGTTTTTGTTTACCTTGTAATCCAAAATTAAAATTCTAAGCCCTCAGCTGACTAAATGGATCCCTCTCTTGCAAGGTGGTCCCAAAGAAACCTGAAAAACTAGCTCAGGTGTGATGGGAAGGGAAAGCTGGACAGGCCTCGTTATACCCTCCTCTCTTTGGAATTTAGGCACAACCAACCAATGTTAACATTAAAATAGAGATCACAAGACTGACCAAACAGACTCTTTGGACACCAAATTCCAACCTGACTCTGGTATGGCATCACATGACAGACAGTAAGCCCTGAAGGAAATCAAAGTGTTTTACCCCAAAATGTATTTTTTTACATATTTTGAAATGACTCTGCAAAGCTGTCTCTGTGAGAGAAATTTGCAATCTGTAAAGAATCTCCTTCCCTTGCTAGGTCTTCTTCTGGAGAGTCTGACACCTTGTAAGGCCCAGTAGGGGAAATTTACCATCTATTCTCTCTGAAACCTCCTATCTGGAAGCTTCAGCTACATGACAAGAACCCTGGCTTCCACAGCACCCCTTATCTCAACTCAAGCATTTCTTTATGCTAACTTCAAACTCTTCAGGCAAAGCTTAAGTCTTTCAATCAATTGCCAATCAGAAAACCTTTGGATCCACCTTTGACCTGGAAGCCCCTACTTCAAGATGTCCTACCTTTCTGGGCCAAACCAATGTAAACCTTCCATGTATTGATTTATGCTTTTGCCTGTAATTTCTGCCTCCCTAAAATGTATCTTATATAAAATATAGATTTATTGGGAATGAGACAATGCATTATTGACTTTTCCACTACTCCCTATTTTCATATGTAAAACGTAGATTTAGTAAGGCTACTTAGAGCCTCACAAGAATGTAATGATCTGCCTCACTGCCTCCCTCCCTCCTATTTGCTCTTTCCCCTTTAAATACTGAAGTTCACGACACCCTTGGCAAAAGCGTAGATCACAAATTCTCCTATGATTTGTGGTTTTCCCAGGCATGTCCTCCACTTTGGCTAAATAAACCTCTAATCAATTGAGACACCTACCTCAGTCACCTTTTGGTTTACACAGGCAAAACTGTAAATCAATACATGGAGGTTACATTGGTTTGGCCCCAAAAGGCAGGATATCTTGATGCAGGGGGTTTACAGGTCATACGTAGATTCAGAGATTCTTTGATTTGCAATTGGTTAAGGAAGCAAGGCTTTGTCTAAAAACTTAGGGTTAACAAAAAAAAATGTTAAGGTGTGGCCTGTGGATGTGAATTTCTCTAGGCCCCTCAGGAAGAAATTTAGAACAAAGAATGGTGGACAGAGTTCAGTCTTCAGCTCCCCCTTATCTGTGGTCTACATGGCAGCAGTTGGCATTTCCCATCTGATAGGAGTCTGAAAAACAACGCAGGGATATATGTGAAGATGTCATCTTTAGTTTCTACAGGGAAACAAACATCTTGTGGCTTTAATTTTCCTGGGTGGCTATTGTTTTAAGCTATCGTTACCTTCTTGCTTATCAGGTTGCTTATTTACATCTCAAGGTTAACTAGGTTCCTGGAATGTCTCTTGAAGGAACTCAAGATTTTCCTTTATTTCCATGCTTGGCTTCCTTATTATGGGCCCCTGTTCTGTCTCAGCCTTGTTCCCAGTCAATGTTCTAGAAGATGGCAGACCTCACAGAGAGTTCTTGGGGGCAAGATGGTATGGCAGCTCTAGAGTAAAAATGATAGCATTCCAGGACAAGGAGGGCACAGCAAATAAGTCTGAAATGGACATCTGAGACCACAGACAGCTCCATAGTTGTCAGTGTGGACTACCAAGGACCAGAGCCCACCACCACTTCCACCTCCATGGCATGCTTTATCCAGCACATAGACACCCCTCTCCCCAGCTCTTCCCAGGGCAAAGGAGAAATAAATAGGTGAAATCTGAATTGATTGAGTTTAAGTGTGATTTAACTATAAAAATGCTAAACTGACTTTGTTAAGCAAGAGTTGACTAGAATACATCTTGTAACAACTGGGATAAAAGGAGGTTGAAATAGAGATTAAGTGATTTTTTTCCATCACCAACAGAACCCTAACTTTACTCAGAATGTCAATGTGTATAGCTAAAAACAACATTGCTAAGTATCCTTTGCAGAAGGTGTGGTCAACAGGGAAATTAGAGGTTGTGGGGTGGAGCTTGTTGAAAAGCTGTCTTTAAAATGAAATGTCTTGGCTAGGCATGGTGACTCACACCTGTAATCCCAGCACTTTGGGAGGTCAAGGCAGGCGGATCACCTGAGGTCAGGAGTTCGAGACCAGCCTGGCCAAAATGGTGAAACCCTGTCTCTACTAAAAATACAAAACTTAGCCAGGCATGCTGGCACATGCCTGTAGTCCCAGCTACTCAGGAGGCTGAGGCAGGAGAATCGCTTGAACCCAGGAGACAGAGGTTGCAGTGAGCAGAGATCACATCACTGCACTCCAGACTGGGAGACAGAGCAAGACTCCATCTCAAAAATAAATAAATAAATAAATAAATAAATGGAGTGCCTTGGCTGGCAATTGCTCCTCATCCCTTTTCTTTCCTTCTTCCTCCTCTGGACAGAATGGCTGGAGCAGTAGCTACCACTTTGTGACCAAGAAGGAAAGGCTGAGAGAATCACAGAGACCTTAACTCTGGTGTCATTGAACTACCCGCTTTCAGACTCCTCACTATGTGAGAAAAATGACTCCCCAATTTGCCTGAGCCTCTGTTTCTTAGGTTTCTAAATAGACAGCCAAATGTAATTCTGAATCAATACAAATAAAAATGTTAAAACCTCTCAGAGGTATTCATTGTTGATGAGTTGTTATATATTCTTCCAGACTTTTAACACTTTACATTTATGTGCAATATTATAAAAAGTAAGATTTTTTTAGTATCATAAAAATAAAGATTCCTTAAATCTTTAAGAATAAGAGCTAATGTCTTTAAAAATAAGGTTCTACACTGTAGAATTTGGTGTGAATGTGAAAGTCAAGCTTTATTTAAATGACAAATGTCTTGAAAATCCACATGAAGCTAAGTGTCTTTTGTGGATCACACATTATTGGATGTCTGTAGAACTTTTTAAAGGGTCTGTAGGAGGGGGAAAATAATTTTCTCTTCTGCCCTTCATGAGTTCTTAGCTGGAACTCCATTTAACAAAAGACAGATTAACAAGAGAAAAGCAAACAAAAGTTTAATAATGTGTACCTCTTGTATACAAAGGAGAAAACAAGATCAATGAGTACATCTCTAGAGTAGATCTCAAAAGGGTAGTCTTAGAATTCAGGCTTAAATCCCATTATTCTCTGAAACAAAGAAAGAAGGGTGTGGGGAGAGTTTCCATTAAGATGTAATAACCATGAAAAACACTAAAACAGGTCAGATTTGTTATGCAGATTTAATGGATGCCTTCTCCATTGATTATAGAGTCTCTAGTAGTTTAGTTATCCTTCTCATCCCTGGTGCAGACAGGGAGACACCCTTACAAATGGATATAGATGCAAATTTCTCCTACAAAAGGGTAACTTTTCAGAACTCCTTTGTCTGCAGTTTCTCAAAATAACCAACTCAAAAAAATCCTTATGCAAAAGAGGGATATTTGGGGTGGCAGATTCTGGTCTTCTACAGTTATATTTTGGGGATGGTGTGTCCTGGTCTGATCAGGTCAACTCCAAATGACGCTATTGAGTCATCTTAGATTTTAGCAATAATAAAATTTTCAAAGACAGACATGAAACTTTCTGATCTATATTCTGAGAGCAGAAGTGGTAAATTTGGAAAACAGGTGCAACTAGTTATTTGTAATTTCAGGAGTCTGAAAGGAAAAGCCAGATATCACACTAAAAATGCTAATTTGAGAAATGTGCTTGTTAGCTGCAGTGGCTGTGAGAATGTGCCTCTGTAATCTCCAACTGCAGTGAGCAAAACTGACCGACAGCCCCAGGTGCTGCACTTAGATGTCCACTGCTGCATTTGCACAAAGCCGCACTTCCCATGGGTTGCTCTCAGCCATGGATTGAGCAAAGGCAGAGATACTCGTGCAGGCCTCAAGATGCAGGACTTCTCTGATGGGTGACTTTGGCACAAGGACACTCTGACAGCCTTACCACATTTTCACAAGGATGATACTGCAACCTCAGATGCTTCTGCCCAACCATCCGGTCTTCCTTCTGCCTTCCCATGGTCCTTCCCTATTTTCTCTTATGAGCATTTCCCTTAATACATTTCTTGCACATTTAATTTTGTCTTGGAGTCTCCTTCTTAGAGGACTCAAACTAACATATTATCCAAGGGAACAATAGCTTTAACTAGGAGGCAACTATTATAGGGGTGGGAAGTGTGATACCTTTCCTCACCCATTATAAGGGTTATGGCAGACTCTCAACTCTCAAAAGATGAGTTAACAACAAAGGAATATAAATCATTCTATTATAAAGATACATGCACACATATGTTTATTTGCAGCACTATTCACAATAGCAAAGACATGGAACCAACCCAAATGCCCATCAATGATAGACTGGATAAAGAAAATGTGGTACATATATACCATGGAATACTATGCAGCCATAAAATGGAATAAGATCAGGTCCTTTGCAAGGACATAGATGAAGCTGGAAGCCATCATCCTCAGCAAACTAATGCAGGAACAGAAAACTAAACACCACATGTTCTCACTCATAAGTGGGAGTTGAACAATCAAAGCACATGGACACAGGGATGGGCCTGTCAGGGATGGGGGACTAGTGGAGGGAGTACATTAGGACAAATAGCTAATGCATGTGGGGCTTAAAACCTAAGTGACAGGTTGATAGGTGCAGC
Organism: Homo sapiens; assembly: GCF_000001405.40. Classification (NCBI taxonomy): domain Eukaryota; kingdom Metazoa; phylum Chordata; class Mammalia; order Primates; family Hominidae; genus Homo; species Homo sapiens. The sequence continues at coordinate 16,685,967 of NC_000003.12, read as the reverse complement.
AAACCACCATGGCATACATATATCTATACCTATGTAACAAACCTGCACATTCTGCACATGTATCCCAGAACTAAAGCATAACAGATTTATTTAATCAGAGTTTCTTATGACTTGGACGCCTTCAGAAATGAGGACCCGAACACCCAGGAAAACTATTTTTATGCTTCGGTTCAATGAAGAATGGATAGCCGTGTAAACATGTGATTGGACAAAAAAGAGAACGATCTGATGACAATAGACTGAGTGGGGAACCCAGAAGAGCCTGTCTGTTCAGATTTTTCTGAGCCTTTCTGTGCAGCGTTCCTTCTTCCCAGGTATAGGGCAGGTCCCCTGTGGAATGAGGGTCTTATGACCCGCTATCAGATCAGACAAAGCAGGTCATAGAATTTATTTGTGTTCAGCTCCTACACAGAAAGGCAGGGGAAGGTTAGAGTAGTATAACCCACCTTGGGAAAGATGTGCTCTAGTTTATATGACCTGCCTTGGGGGCAAAAGGGGAGCAGGGAACAGGAAGGCAGGAGAAGATCAGAAAGATACTTTGCTTCTGAGGTCCTTTCAATATCCTTCAGTTCAAAGTACTCAGCATGCCAATGCACCATACTTTGGGGTATTGTTTTCTAAGCCCCAACATTATCATTCCTCCTATGAAAGAATATCCTGCTTGAAGCTACATCTCAGGAGTTAAGAGAATGATGATGATCATAGCTTAATTACCTTGTACTTTGATTTGTCATGTTATTTCTAGGTGTTACCCTTTCCCAGAGCATTGAGAAACACATATAAGAAGGTCATATGGTTTGGCTCTGTGTCCCCACCCAAATCTCATCTTGAATTATAATCCCCATGTGTCAAGGGAGGGACCTGTAATCCCCACATGTCAAGGGAGGGAGGTGACTGGATCATGTGGGCAGTTTCCCCCATGCTGTTCTCATGATAGTGAGTGAGATCTTGTGAGATCTGATGGTTTTATAAGTGTTTGACAGTTCCTCCTTCACACTCACTCTCTTTCTCACCTGCCATCATGTAAGACAAGCCTGCTTCCCCTTCCACAATGATTGTAAGTTTCCTGAGGCCTCCCCAGCCATGTGGAACTGTGAGTCAATTAAACCTCTTTCCTTTATACATTACCCAGTATTGGGTATTTCTTTAGAGCAGTGTGAAAACAGACTAATACAGAAGGTGGTTCTCTCACTTATGCAATTCCAGCACAGAACATACCTCTATACTAGGGTTTCTGAACCTCAGCATGGTTGATGTTTAAGCTGGGTAATTCTTTGTTGTGAGGGAGGGCTGACCTGTGCCTTATAGGATGTTAAGTAGCATCCCTAGCCTCTACCCACTAGATACCAGTAGGATCCTCCCCAAAAGATGCCTCCAGACATTACCAAATATTCTATGGGGGGAAAAACTGCCCCAGATGAAAACCTCTTCTCTATATTCAGAAATGAGAAACAGGACAGTATAGATTAATGACAGTGACAGTCACATGTTATTTGCTGGGGGGTTTTGGGGTGGGGGATGTGGTTACAAAACTAAGCTTCTGCCTGGACATATTGTGACAGAGACACCAAGGTGCAAATCCCAGCTCCAACAGTTCGTAGCTGTGTGGCCTTAGGTATGTTATTTAATATCTGGAGTTATCCAAACTTGAGGTGAAAGGCAAGGTCCTCCCAGACTGCAAAGTCTATCCAAGACTTCTGACACTAGCCCCAAGTTTGTGGGTCCCCAGGGTCACCCTCACTTCAGACCAGCTGGCTGCAAATTCAAGGGTCCCCACAAACTCCTTCATGTTCAGTAAGTTGCTAAATGACTTACAGAACTCAGGAAAGCTGATCTTTGATCTATACTTTGAACTATACTTTGATCATAACAGTTTTATTATAGCAAAAAGGATACAATTCAGAACCCCTCAAGGGAAGAGACACATAGGAGGAATCTGGGACTGGGAGGGCTCCAAACATGAAATGTCTGTTTCCTCAGGATTCTGTGTCCTCTGGCATCCATGTGTAGCAGTAAGTGTATGGAGTATTACCACCCCTGGAAACTCACCCAAGTATGGAATATTACCAACCCTCTATGAACCCTAAAAATCTGAGACAGGTATCAGTTAGTTTAGAAAGTTTATTTTGCCAAGGTTGAGGATGTGCACCAGTGACACAGACTTAGAAGGTCCTGAAGACATGTGCCCAAGATGGTCAGAGCACAGTTTACTTTTATATGTTTTAGAGAGACATGACACATCAATCAACATAGGTAAAATGAACATTGGTTTAGACTGGAAAGGCGGGAAAACCTGAAGTAGGAAGGGGGCTTCCACGTCATAGGTAAGTGAGAGACAAACAGTTGCATGCTATTTGAGTTTCTGATTAGCCTTTCCAAAGGAGGCAATCAGATATGCATTTATCTCAGTGAGCAGAGGGATGACTTTGAATAGAATGCGAGGTGAGTTTGTCCTAGGCAGTTCCCCCCTTGACTTTTCCCTTTAACTTAGTGATTTTGGGGCCCAAAGATTTATTTTCTTCTACATTTCCCCCTTTTTCTTTGTAAAATCTTTTGGAGAAAGCATTTAAGAAGAAAATGAATCTCTGGTCTTAGACTTTGTCTGATCTCTCATGGCCAGGACAGTTTATTCCTAGACAAGTAGGTCTCAAGTTCTTAGAAAAACTAATTTTTAGCAGGTTGTGAAGTCGCATGTCCCATGAAGAGAAAGTAGGGGGAAGAAGGGATAAAAACAACAACAAACAAAATAACAATCTTGAAAAATTGATATAGGCCACATTACTCTGTAGTCCATACTTCAGTAGGCAGGTATGAATGTGGTTATGTATGTAAACAGGTTGCCATTATTTTCTTCTGAAGTTTAAGTTGTTTAGCTTCAGTTTGCATGGCTTTACAAAAGCACAGCTTAGTTTTCAGTGACTCCAAATCAGGAAAAACAGGGAAAAAGGAAGGAAAAGTGGAAAACATTATTTTAAAGACTTGTAGCCAATAAAAATTAGAATTCGGTCCAAACTGTAGAAAATAATAAAAGTTGAAAAACATTATGCAAGACTAAAATCTAACAACAGGTGTGCTATAGTTTTTGAAACATAATTTTTCTCTCTCCAGTTTCCCATTTTTATTAAAGACGAATCATGGGAGGACTGGTTTTCTTTATTATACCTGGCCTAATTATTTGTATATAGTGCAGCAAGAATAATTATTATTTTTTATTTTATTTTATTGTTATTATACTTTAAGTTTTAGGGTACATGTGCACAATGTGCGGGTTAGTTACATATGTATACATGTGCCATGCTGGTGTGCTGCACCCATTAACTCGTCATTTAGCATTAGGTATATCTCCTAATGCTATCCCTCCCCCCTCCCCCCACCCACAACAGTCCCCGTTGTGTGATGTTCCCCTTCCTGTGTCCATGTGTTCTCATTGTTCAATTCCCACCTATGAGTGAGAACATGCGGTGTCTGGTTTTTTGTCCTTGCGATAGTTTACTGAGAATGATGATTTCCAATTTCATCCATGTCCCTACAAAGGACATGAACTCATCATTTTTTATGGCTGCATAGTATTCCATGGTGTATATGTGCCACATTTTCTTAATCCAGTCTATCATTGTTGGACATTTGGGTTGGTTCCAAGTCTTTGCTATTGTGAATAGTGCCGCAATAAACATACGTGTTCATGTGTCTTTATAGCAGCATGATTTATAATCCTTTGGGTATATATCCAGTAATGGGATGACTGGGTCAAATGGTATTTCTAGTTCTAGATCCCTGAGGAATCGCCACACTGACTTCCACAATGGTTGGACTAGTTTACAGTCCCACCAACAGTGTAAAAGTGTTCCTATTTCTCCACATCCTCTCCAGCACCTGTTGTTTCCTGACTTTTTAATGATCGCCATTCTAACTGGTGTGAGATGGTATCTCATTGTGGTTTTGATTTGCATTTCTTTGATGGCCAGTGATGATGAGCAGTTTTTCATGTGTCTTTTGGCTGCATAAATGTCTTCTTTTGAGAAGTGTCTGTTCATATCCTTCACCCACTTTTTGATGGGGTTGTTTGTTTTTTTCTTGTAAATTTGTTTGAGTTCATTGTAGATTCTGGATATTAGCCCTTTGTCAGATGAGTAGGTTGCAAAAATTTTCTCCCATTTTGTAGGTTGCCTGTTCACTCTGATGGTAGTTTCTTTTGTTGTGCAGAAGCTCTTTAGTTTAAATAGATCCCATTTGTCAATTTTGGCTTTTGTTGCCATTGCTTTTGGTGTTTTAGACATGAAGTCCTTGCCCATGCCTATGTCCTGAATGGTAATGCCTAGGTTTTCTTCTAGGGTTTTTATGGTTTTAGGTCTAACGTTTAAGTCTTTAATCCATCTTGAATTAATTTTTGTATAAGATGTAAGGAAGGGATCCAGTTTCAGCTTTCTACATATGGCTAGCCAGTTTTCCCAGCACCATTTATTAAATAGGGAATCCTTTCCCCATTGCTTGTTTTTGTCAGGTTTGTCAATGATCAGATATTTGTAGATATGCAGTGTTATTTCTGAGGGCTCTGTTCTGTTCCATTGATCTATATCTCTGTTTTGGTACCAGTACCATGCTGTTTTGGTTACTGTAGCCTTGTAGTATAGTTTGAAGTCAGGTAGCGTGATGCCTCCAGCTTTGTTCTTTTGGCTTAGGATTGACTTGGTGATGCAGGCTCTTTTTTGGTTCCATATGAAGTTTAAAGTAGTTTTTTCCAATTCTGTGAAGAAAGTCATTGGTAGCTTGATGGGGATGGCATTGAATCTATAAATTACCTTGGACAGTATGGCCATTTTCACGATATTGATTCTTCCTACCCATGAGCATGGAATGTTCTTCCATTTGTTTGTATCCTCTTTTATTTCCTTGAGCAGTGGTTTGTAGTTCTCCTTGAAGAGGTCCTTCACGTCCCTTGTAAGTTGGATTCCTACGTATTTTATTCCCTTTGAAGCAATTGTGAATGGGAGTTCACTCATGATTTGGCTCTCTGTTTGTCTGTTATTGGTGTATAAGAATGCTTGTGATTTTTGCACATTGATTTTGTATCCTGAGAGTTTGCTGAAGTTGCTTATCAGCTTAAGGAGATTTTGGGCTGAGAAAATGGGGTTTTCTAGATATATAATCATGTCGTCTGCAAACAGGGACAATTTGACTTCCTCTTTTCCTAATTGAATACCCTTTATTTCCTTCTCCTGCCTAATTGCCCTGGCCAGAACTTCCAACACTATGTTGAATAGGAGTGGTGAGAGAGGGCATCCCTGTCTTGTGCCAGTTTTCAAAGGGAATGCTTCCAGTTTTTGCCCATTCAGTATGATATTGGCTGTGGTTTTGTCATAGATAGCTCTTATTATTTTGAGATACATCCCATCAATACCGAATTTATTGAGAGTTTTTAGCATGAAGGGTTGTTGAATTTTGTCAAAGGCCTTTTCTGCATCTATTGAGATAATCATGTGGTTTTTGACTTTGGTTCTGTTTATATGCTGGATTACATTTATTGATTTGCGTATATTGAGCCAGCCTTGCATCCCAGGGATGAAGCCCACTTGATCATGGCGGAAAAGCTTTTTGATGTGCTGCTGGATTCGGTTTGCCAGTATTTTATTGAGGATTTTTGCATCAATGTTCATCAAGGATATTGGTCTAAAATTTTCTTTTTTGGTTGTGTCTCTGCCCAGCTTTGGTATCAGGATGATGCTGGCCTCATAAAATGAGTTAGGGGGGATTCCCTCTTTTTCTATTGATTGGAATAGTTTCAGAAGGAATGGTACCAGTTCCTCCTTATACCTCTGGTAGAATTCGGCTGTGAATCCATCTGGTCCTGGACTCTTTTTGGTTGGTAAGCTATTGATTATTGCCACAATTTCAGATCCTGTTATTGGTCTATTCAGAGATTCAACTTCTTCCTGGTTTAGTCTTGGGAGAGTGTATGTGTCCAGAAATTTATCCATTTCTTCTAGATTTTCTAGTTTATTTGCGTAGAGATGTTTGTAGTATTCTCTGATGGTAGTTTGTATTTCTGTGGGATCGGTGGTGATATCCCCTTTATCATTTTTTATTGCATCTATTTGATTCTTCTCTCTTTTTTTCTTTATGAGTCTTGCTAGTGGTCTATCAATTTTGTTGATCCTTTCAAAAAACCAGCTCCTGGATTCATTAATTTTTTGAAGGGTTTTTTGTGTCTCTATTTCCTTCGGTTCTGCTCTGATTTTAGTTGTTTCTTGCCTTCTGCTAGCTTTTGAATGTTTGCTCTTGCTTTTCTAGTTCTTTTAATTGTGATGTTAGGGTGTCAATTTTGGATATTTCCTGCTTTCTCTTGTGGGCATTTAGTGCTATAAATTTCCCTCTACACACTGCTTTGAATGTGTCCCAGAGATTCTGGTAAGTTGTGTCTTTGTTCTCGTTGGTTTCAAAGCACATCTTTATTTCTGCCTTCATTTTGTTATGTACCCAGTAGTCACTCAGGAGCAGGTTGTTCAGTTTCCATGTAGTTGAGCGGTTTTGAGTGAGTTTCTTAATCCTGAGTTCTAGTTTGATTGCACTGTGGTCTGAGAGACAGTTTGTTATAATTTCTGTTCTTTTACATTTGCTGAGGAGAGCTTTACTTCCAACTATGTGGTCAATTTTGGAATAGGTGTGGTGTGGTGCTGAAAAAAATGTATATTCTGTTGATTTGGGGTGGAGAGTTCTGTAGATGTCTATTAGGTCGGCTTGGTGCAGAGCTGAGTTCAATTCCTGGGTATCCTTGTTAACTTTCTGTCTTGTTGATCTGTCTAATGTTGACAGTGGGTTGTTAAAGTCTCCCATTATTATTGTGTGGGAGTCTAAGTCTCTTTGTAGGTCACTCAGCACTTGCTTTATGAATCTGAGTGCTCCTGTATTGGGGGCATATATATTTAGGATAGTTAGCTCTTCTTGTTGGATTGATCCCTTTACCATTATGTACTGGCCTTCTTTGTCTCTTTTGATCTTTGTTGGTTTAAAGTCTGTTTTATCAGAGACTAGGATTGCAACCCCTGCCTTTTTTTGTTTTCCATTTGCTTGGTAGATCTTCCTCCGTCCTTTTATTTTGAGCCTATGTGTGTCTCTGCATGTGAGATGGGTTTCCTGAATACAGCACACTGATGGGTCTTGACTCTTTATCCAATTTGCCAGTCTGTGTCTTTTAATTGGAGCATTTAGTCCATTTACATTTAAAGTTAATATTGTTATGTGTGAATTTGATCCTGTCATTATGATGTTAGCTGGTTATTTTGCTCGTTAGTTGAGGCAGTTTCTTCCTAGTCTCGACGGTCTTTACATTTTGGCATGATTTTGCAACGGCTGGTACCGGTTGTTCCTTTCCATGTTTAGTGCTTCCTTCAGGAGCTCTTTTAGGGCAGGCCTGGTGGTGACAAAATCTCTTAGCATCTGTAAAGTATTTTATTTCTCCTTCACTTATGAAGCTTAGTTTGGCTGGATATGAAATTCTGGGTTGAAAATTCTTTTCTTTAAGAATGTTGAATATTGGCCCCCACTCTCTTCTAGCCTGTAGAGTTTCTGCCGAGAGATCCGCTGTTAGTCTGATGGGCTTCCCTTTGTGGGTAACCCGACCTTTCTCTCTGGCTGCCCTTAACATTTTTTCCTTCATTTCAACTTTGGTGAATCTGACAATTATGTGTCTTGGAGTTGCTCTTCTTGAGGATTATCTTTGTGGTGTTCTCTGTATTTCCTGAATCTGAATGTTGGCCTGCCTTGCTAGATTGGGGAAGTTCTCCTGGATAATATCCTGCAGAGTGTTTTCCAACTCCCCGTCACTTTCAGGTACACCAATCAGACATAGATTTGGTCTTTTCACATAGTCCCATATTTCTTGGAGGCTTTGTTCATTTCTTTTTATTCTTTTTTCCCTAAACTTCCCTTCTCACTTCATTTCATTCATTTCATCTTCCATCACTGATACCCTTTCTTCCAGTTGATCGCATCAGCTCCTGAGTCTTCTGCATTCTTCACATAGTTCTCAAGCCTTGGTTTTCAGCTCCATCAGCTCCTTTAAGCACTTCTCTGTATTGGTTATTCTAGTGATACATTCGTCTAAATTTTTTTCAAAGTTTTTAACTTCTTTGCCTTTGGTTTGAATTTCCTCCTGTATCTCAGAGTAGTTTGATTGTCTGAAGCCTTCTTCTCTCAACTCATCAAAGTCATTCTCTGTCCAGTTTTGTTCCGTTGCCAGTGAGGAACTGCATTCCTTTGGAGGAGGAGAGGCGCTCTGCTTTTTAGAGTTTCCAGTTTTTCTGCTCTGTTTTTTCCCTATCTTTGTGGTTTCATCTACTTTTGGTCTTTGAAGATGGTGATGTACAGGTGGGTTTTTAGTGTGGATGTCCTTTCTGTTTGTTAGTTTTCCTTCTAACAGACAGGACCCTCAGCTGCAGGTCTGTTGGAGTTTGCTAGAGGTCCACTTCAGACCCTGTTTGCCTGGGTATCAGCAGCGGTGGCTGGAGAACAGCGGATTTTCGTGAACTGTGAATGCTGCTGCCTGATCATTACTCTGGAAGTTTTGTCTCAGAGGAGTACCTGGCCATGTGAGGTGTCAGTCTGCCCCTACTAGGGGGTGCCTCCCAGTTAGGCTGCTCGGGGGTCAGGGGTCAGGGACCCACTTGAGGAGGCAGTCTGCCCGTTCTCAGATCTCCAGCTGTGTGCTGGGAGGACCACTTCTCTCTTCAAAGCTGTCAGGCAGGGACATTTAAGTCTGCAGAGGTTACTGCTGTCTTTTTGTTTGTCTGTGCCCTGCCCCCAGAGATGGAGCCTACAGAGGCAGGCAGGCCTCCTTGAGCTGTGGTGGGCTCCACCCAGTTCGAGCTTCCCGGTTGCTTTGTTTACCTAAGCAAGCCTGGGCAATGGTGGGCGCCCCTCCCCCAGCCTCGCTGCCACCTTGCAGTTTGATCTCAGACTGCTGTGCTAGCAATCAGCGAGACTCCATGGACATAGGACCCTCCGAGCCAGGTACGGGATATAATCTTCTGTTGCGCCGTTTTTTAAGCCCGTTGGAAAAGCGCAGTATTAGGGTGGGAGTGACCTGATTTTCCAGGTGCCGTCTGTCACCCCTTTCTTTGACTAGGAAAGGGAACTCCCTGACCCCTTGCGCTTCCTGAGTGAGGCAATGCCTCACCCTGCTTTGGCTCGCGCATGGTGTGCTGCACTCACTGTCCTGAGCCCACTGTCTGGCACTCCCTAGTGAGATGAACCCGGTACCTCAGATGGAAATGCAGAAATCACCCGTCTTCTGCGTCGCTCACGCTGGGAGCTGTAGACCGGAGCTGTTCCTATTTGGCCATCTTGGCTGCCCTCCCTCATAATTATTTTTTACATAGGCTTTTAAATTGGCTTTGATGGAACTTTGTTTCACAGAAGGAATCTCAGATGAAACTTTTTTAAAGCTGAGCCCAGCCATGGATATGTACCATCAAATACCTATAAGTTGGGTGATCCTCTCCTCTTGAGGTCCCAGGATAAACTTGGGGCTCCTGAGCCTGTCAGAAAGTGACATACTTTACTACTATAGATCAGAACCCTGAACAGAGACTGTGTAGACAAGGTATGAGGCCAGTTTTTCCAAAGGGGTTTTATTGGCTCCATAAGTCAAGTTTGATTCCTTAAAGGAAAGCACACCATTCCAGTCAAAGCCTTGGTAAAATAACCAGTTTCTCTAATTGTGTCCTGTTACAAATGAAAACAGATTCTTATTGCACTTATGTAAATAACTGTATTGCCATAAGTTAAGAATACTCACAAATAGTTTCCAAATTCTGGAGAAATCAGGTAGAGAGAAAAGAAATATGTTGCAAATTTTGTTCAAAGGAGTATCCTAACTTGTTAAAAGCTGTCAATAGCTCAAAAGAAAGGCTTTCTTCACTCTGAAAAAAACAAAACAAAGGATCAACAATGTTTTAAGCAAAAAGTCAAAATGATTACTTCAGTCTTCTATTAGTTCAGTCCATGCAGTTAATTCCTATACTGCTTGATATTTATGAACACTTCAGCTCTCCATGAGTCCTGAAATTTTTCCTTCTATTCTGATGTCATAATCTCCAAAAGTTAACAGAAACCTGCATTCAAGAGCACCTGCTAGGGTTTTACAGCTGATTATAAAACCACCTTCTGAGGAGGACCAAAACAAGGCAACAATTTTCAGTGGATAACAAAAGGCTGTAGGGCAGCCATAGTCAAAGAAACAATTGACAAGGAAATTTATTACCTCTGTGGCACACAATAACAATTATAATTATTACTGATAATGTACACTAAGTCATATCAGAATTATAGGAGTTTTCCATAATTTTGGAAAACATATGAATAACATTTATACAAATGCAGCCCAAAGAAAGCCAAATCATATATGACAATGCTTCCTGTATAATTTTTATACCAAATAAACCAAGTATGTTATTTTTGGACTTTAGGGAACTAATATCTTAAAGGATTAATTAGGTCAGAAAGAGGCAAATTTATAATTTGATTTTGGGAAGTTTGTCAAATATCGAAAGTTTAAAACACTTGATATCATAAAATAGGATCATAGGTCATTATCAACTAAGTCATTCATTTAACCAAAGTGATAAGGATACCAAAGAAGGCAAAAACCTTCCTTCTTTGAGAGGAGACTTCATTTTCCAATCAATAAACCCTAAAAGAAACAGCAAGAAGCCAATTCGTTTTTCAAAATTTTATAAACAATCTATAAAATTTTAATCTTGACCATAAGACATAACTTCCATAAGCCTTTTAAAAACTTTATAACCTTTATTAAGGGTCAGTTAATGCTTCAAGAAAACCTTGTTAATCTGACACAGGGGCCTATATACTGGTCTTGCATCAGTGTGCTTTTGAGATTAATAAATAATTTATAGAGAAGCTGAACTTATTTTATCTCTCAAAATCAGCTCTTACAATCTCACATGTGCACCTCTTCCACGATAGTCCATGGGCCTCGAGGAGCTGAACAGCTTGTATTTCTGGCCCTGTGTCTCAGGAAGGCAGTTCATTTCGATTGGTATCTTCTACTGGGCCTGAAGATGGGGCTTTATTTGCTGTCAGTATTTAAAATTTAGCAGGACTTGGTGTCCTTTCTAGACCCAGGAGCCAAAGCCCTATAACTCAATGTCAAAAGTACTTTAACAGTGCATATATAGAGATATATAGATGTAATAACCTTAATTTAAAAATTTTTAAATCTCTTCTAAACAAGCCAAAATTTATAATAATAATGACATAGGAATTGTTTTGATAAACTGTAAAATCTGTTAGGCCAGTTACCAAAAGGCAAAAGAAACCTTCTGCACTGCACAGAATATTATGTTAGAAGAAAACATTTCCTTTAGAACCTTAAGAAAACATTGTTAGCATCAGGCCACAATAAACAGAACTTAAGGAAGAAAACTAATATGAGCTGAAAATGAGTTGAAGAAGAGCATTACTATTTCTCATCTTTTAAAAGGGGAGAGAAAACTGACAACAGTGAGATGCAATAAAAGTTGAACTTTGGGTTAAAACAAAATGAAAATCTCTGATAATAAACTATGACTAAGTCAATCCCTTAAGAAAATTTCATTGCTCTAACCAATTATTTAGTATATAAGAATTTTTTCACATCAAGCTCAATCTCTAGAAAAACCATTATAATTTCCTTTTGTTTATACACAACTTGATCATATAAAAGTTTTTTGTTTTTGTTTTTGTTTTTTTTTTAAATAAATCCTTACTGTGATTTACACAGACTATTCATGACACGCTTGGATTTTCTGGTTGTTGTCCTGAACATCCCTCTTTCTAAAACAACTAGTCATTTTATTCTAGGACTAAATTTACCATACAAGATTCTTTCTTAATGAAATTATTTCTCTTTTAGCTTTCTTACCAAAAAACCCCTCTTTATTTTTATAACTTTTTTTATCACTCTTATTTCCTAGTTCCTTTTACCTTGTTTTATATATGACATTTAAATAAGCTTTGAATTAGACAAAAATTGTTCACCTTTTTTTTACAAAGAACACACTTTTTTTAGAAGAATGTTTTTCTATGAATATATTTTTATTGGAAAATACTCAAATAATTAAATATCTATCATTTAATGTAATATAACTTTAGATTCTAAATTATGATGAGTTTGTATACAAGTATTTATCTCATTACATTTACCTAATTATTTACCTAGATTATTTATGAAAACTGCAATAGTCATCATTTAAAGTTATGGAACTACCATTGCAAAATTATAACAAGACAGTGAAAAAATTTTGACCTAATTGGCTCCATCTTGTTTTTAACCTCCAAGCTGTCCTTGTTCATTCCTGGACAACAGCCAAACTAACTTTGGGAGGAAATTAGTTGATAGTTTAGCTTTGAAATAAAGATGATAAAAGTCCTTTCCCAAAACAAACCTCATTGCCTGTGGACTAGACTGTCTAAAACCACAAGATTAGAAGTTATGGTAATCTTACTAAATTCAAGATGTAGCTATTTGTATTAAACCAATGCCAATGTCTTATTTATTAAAGATTACACAAGCAAAGATCATTCTGTTTTGGGGTGGGTTTATAGTTTTATAACACCTATGCCAAATTTTGACCCGTATAGTATTTGGCAGAGATGAGTATGAAATTGCTTGATCAATATATGCAAACAAAAATGTGTGCTGGCAATTCTTAAGACATTTTTGATGTTACTTTACCAATCATTTTAAAGCTAGCTTATTTATAAAGATTTTACTTAAGTCATGTAAACTTGAAAAAGCATTTGACTAGTCTTTCCTTTTCTGATAAAGTATTTGATTTAAGTACTTTTATTTTTCTTTAAGCCAATTAATTAGAGTTTTTTTAATATATATTTTCAGTACTAAAACACTGTGTAGACAACACATAAATATATAGACATATTAGGCATGCCAATAGAAGTACATCTTATAGATACATAGAAACCTTTTCTTTTTTTTCCTATCTTGGACTTTCAGATTCTTGATAACCTGTTTCACAATCCTGGGCAGTTGTCAGCTAAATAGCCTTACATTTGCAGATTAAAGGAAACAACTCAGGTGAAAATCAAATAGCAAAATTTACATTATAAGGTATGGAGAGAAAAAGTCTGGTGTGCTAGAGGGATACTAAAGATGGATGCCAAATCAAACATAAAGTTATGGAAATCTATTGTAGGACTGTATAAGGAGACCAATTTTATTTAGATAGGGACTACCTTTCTTTTAAATGGATCTCTGAGCTCTGGGCAGAGCCCATACTGAATCCTGGGTTTCCCAAGGGGAGAATTATTATGAGGCATGTGTTGTTTTTACAGCACACTTAAAAAAAATTTTTTTAAAAGCAAAGGCATTTCTAAGTGTCTAAACTACACTCTTCCTTAAAAACCCAAGAAAAGCCTCTGTTGCAATAACTATTTTAGTCAAAAATCAGGTAACACAATACAAAAGCCAAGCAGTTTAAGAGCTGAGACAAACTTGTCTATTTACACTCTTAGGATTCCATAAGGAGAAATAGAGATTTCTCCCCAAAAGGGAGTCTGGCACCTTCTCCATTTTCTTTAAGGAACCCCAGCTATTATAAGCTATTTTAGGTCCCTCATGCAACAGAAGGTGCAAGAGAAAGGAGAGACAGCAGAAATAAATGAAGAAAACAGAATTCAGTCAACGGAGGAGAAAAAAACTTTTGCTCAAAAAATAGACAAAGTCCGAGGAGAGAAAAAACAAACAACAACATGAAGGCCTTTTAAATACCAACACACACATGTACACATATGCACATGCGTCTTGGATGTCAGCTTTTAATTAAGCTGACTTTTAACCATTGAGCTCCTTTAAAAAGATCATTTAAAATCTCATTACCATATTTCAGCTAGGGCAAATTGCTGCTATTTCAGAAGTACCAAGTATCAAACCAGAAAGGGCTTGATTTAGGAACCAAACCCAGGCTGTCATGGTGGGAAAAAAAAAAAAAAAAGGCAGAATGCTTAGCAAGGGAACTGCAGCATGGGGCAATAGCCGTTGTTTTTTCAGTTTGGCCTGGCTAGCACAAAGGTGGCCTTGTTATGTAAATAAAGCACCTTAAGTAGTCAAAATTAAAAATCTTTCCTTTTTCTTTTTCTTTTTGCTGGCCATTTTTTCCCCCAACCATACCACCTTTTTGTGTGTGTGGAATTCAGCCACTTCAGAAGCTTTGTTCCCCATGATTTGGAACTTTGCTTCAGATTTGATCAAGTTGGATAGAGCTGGTCAAACTCAATTGGAAAAAGATGAAACAACAACAAAAGCAGAAACAAAGAAACAACAACAAAAACAGAAACAAAGAACGACAACAAAAACAGTTAAGTGAAAAAACAAAGGATTGCACAATTTATACAATTACTGAGCACTCTAATGGTAATGAGAAATTAAGACCAGATGGTTGTTAATCTTAACTTTGTCCGAGGCAAACCCCAATTCATTTACTTACCTAGGGATGGATCTCAGGCTGAAGACTGTTCTCTACCATTCTAGATGCAGGAAAAAAAAATATTCATCTTCCCTGTTGGAAGCAAGCTCAAACTCCATAAAGGAGTAACCTGCTTGCCATTGTCATGGAAGCAGGAAAAACTTGCCTTCCTTGTGTTGGAAGCAAGTAAACTCCAAAAAAAAGGAAATTATACAGCAAAATAAACTTTAGGTCTTGACCAAATTGTGGGCAATCAGGGATTCTCTGGAGGAGGTGCTTCCAGGCCTCAGCAAATTGTCCTGTTGGTTTGAGCTATATAGACAGCTCATGCTGGTGCCAAGCACCGATAGGAGATTTGTCAAAGGTCAGGGGTACCTCCACTCACAATCCCTTCATGTTACCAAAATGTGAACCCCACAAATCTGAGACAGGTCAGTTAATTTAGAGAGTTTATTTTGCCAAGGTTGAGGATGTGTGCCTGCGACACAGCCTCAGGAAGTCCTGAAGACGTGAGCCCAAGATGGTCAGAGCACAGCTTGGTTTTACACATTTTAGGGAGACATGAGGCATCAATCAACATATGTAAGACAAACACTGGTTTGGTTTGGAAAGGCAGGACAATTTGAAGAGGGGCAGGGCTTCCAGGTCATAGGTAAGTGAGAGACAAATGGTTGCATTCTTTCTGAGTTTCTGATTAGCCTTTCCAAAATGGCCAATCAGATATGTATGCATTTATCTCAGTGAGCAGAGGGATGACTTTGAATAGAATGGGAGGCAGGTTTGTCCTAGGCAGTTCCCAGCTTGACTTTTCCCTTTAACTTAGTGATTTTGGGGCCCAAAGATTTATTTTTCTTTCACACCTGGAAACTCACCCAAGCCTCACTGGCATATTGGGGTTTCATTACCACAATAATTGAGTCATTGTCCATATGGTTGAATTCAAACTCCAGCCCCCTCCATTCCCAGAGGTTGGGCAGATATCACCTGGCTGATATCCCAACCATCTAATCACACAGATGTGATTCTTGCATGGCCAGACCCACCCAGAGCCATCTCATTAGCATAAACTATCATGTGTGGTCCAAGGGGTCCACCATGAATAACAAAGACATTCCTATCCTCAGTAAATTCCAAGGGATTAGGGGTTACCCTGAGTCCTCCACTACTTCCAAACCCTGCCAGGACCTGAGACAAAGGCCAGGCCTCTCCTCAGGTAAGATTATTTCTTCACTGCACACTTATCCTCTCTGAAGCTCAGATTTCTCATTATGAACTGAAATGTAAAATAGTTACCTTGCTGCCTTGTTGGTATTAAGAGAGACAACATAGGTAAAGTTCCCACCACAGTGTCTGACATATATTGGTGCTCCCCTTCTTTTTCTTCTTCTGCTTCACTGTGTGCCCAGGCCACTACTGAGAGAAAGAAAAACAGAGTCTCTCTTGGGTGTTTAATAATGTGTGTAATGAGATGGGAAAAATTGTATTCTCTCAGATACTAGTGCCAGAATTTTATCCTTTCGTTTGAGAAAATATTTTGATAAACTTTTATGGGTACGTGCTAGTCATGAGTGCTGTTCACTGATGTTTCTGTTTCTCCTCCTCCTGGTATATGGTAGGATGAACTATTCCTCTTGAAGTTAGGCATGGACCTGTGAGTGGAAATGGCACATGGAAGGCCTTATGAGTCAGTAAGAAAATTAGCCACATTCCCTTTCCCCTGCCATATTGACAGCAACATTTTGGGTAGTGGGGCATCCATCAGCTTGTGGCTTTGACAGAGAATGGTGTAGAACAAAGGCCCCAGATGGCCTATAATGAACTATATCATGAGCAAGAAATAACTTTGGTTGTTTTAAGCCACTAACATTGGCAGGTTGTTTGTTACCATAGTATAACATAGACCATCCTGACTGATGCTGAATATTAGGGGTTTAGGGGGAGATTCTGAGGGGACTGGGTTTAGATGTAATGGGTCTATATGGAAAAAGAGGAAGGAATGTTTTACTCCATTGATAGAGAGGGAGGAAGAAAGGAAGAGCAGGAACACAGAAGTGAAGCCACAAAAGCCGGGGCCGAGGCTGTGCAATCCGTGGGAGATGGCATATGCTGTCTATTTCTGCAACATTCATTATTGAAATAAAATTCTAGCTTGTCCTTCACAGCAGATTGTTTCTCAGCTTTTCTTGAGCAACACCAGATTATAATGAGAGGTTGATATTACCCAAGAAAACCCAAGGGCATTAAGAAACTCTTCAAATTTGTAAAATATTTAATTCTGATATTTGATCTCTTTTGTGAAAATAATTATCTGATATTGACGAGGCCTTTCATTTTTATAAAATAGCACAGATATGTAATTAAGAGGTCGTGACAGACAACCCTGGGCTAACTTCTCATAGGCTGATCAGATCTAAGTTAGAGGTAAAAAGAAACAGATGGACATTCAGGGTCAGAGCTCCCTAATCCCATCCCATGCCAGAGAACCACAGCTGCCTTCTTTGTGCCCCTGCCAACTCCAAACCCACAGGCCATTTGTTGGATTCCACAGATCACTAGAGACAAAAAAGCCTGAGTGGCTCAGAGCCTGGAAACTGGAATCAGGAAACTGGGTTTGCCTCCTTCCTTGGCATTACCTAGCTGGGTAACTAAGCCAGTGAATTTTACTTTCCCAATTTTAAAATACAGAGACTACTCTATCTACAAAGCATAGGTTTGTTATAAAGAATAAATGAATGACTACATGTATATTGTCTGTACGTAGAGCTGCCCATCTTGGAGTAAGTTCTCAATAAATGACAGGAATTATCTCTTTGAAGAATTGCTTTTTATGCGATATAGTGTTTTTTATTTGCTAATGCAGGTAGGCTATACCATTTCTTTGTTGTTGCTATTGGTTTTATCATGATATCTTTGTTATGAAAGAGTTTCACTCATAGGGAATTAATTAATTAAGGAACTCATGTACTGAATGTAACAGATCCTCTACTCTGAGTTAGGAATATCGATTGTCATCCAGATAACTCACTTTCCCCGAGTATCTCCCTCCAATCCACATATGTCCTATATGGACCTGTGTGACCTAACATCTTCCTATCTGCCCCCACCTTATGTCACACATGCTCCCTCATGTGCTGTGCTCAAGGCACACTGATGTGTTTAACAGTTTAACAGTTGGCATTCTTCAAGCAACACTTGCTTCTTCCCAGGCACCTGCTTTGTGTCTAGAGTGTTCTTCTATATTCTCTTCCCTTAGCTAGCACCTGCATATCTTTCAGAATGCAGCTTTGCTCCTCCCCAGGTCTGACCCACACCAGAAACAGGGAGCCTCCAAGCAATCAGGGTGCCCAGCCTGATAAATGATCTGTGAGTCCCAACAGAAGCCCTGTTTCCACAGCGGCTCGCCAGCTGCTCCTTGAGGTCTTGCCCTTTGTCACCCCAACACAGCATCCTTGCCCTTTCAGTGCCCCCTCTGGAGTCTTTTATCTTCTGAGATGACCACGGGGACTTTATTACTAACAGTAATTCTCACCACAGAACTAGTGGCCGCAGGAGCTCCTCACTGCTCTGTTAAAGAAGTTGGTCACATCCTTTAAGAGGGATGCACCAGAGCAGTCAGTGGTCATCCAACCGCAGTTGCCTGGAGGGCTTGTTAAAACACAGATCACTGGGTCCCAGTCCTGATTCAGTAAGTTTGTGGTGAGGCTTGGGATTCCATACTCCTAACAAGTTCCCAGGTGATGCTGATGCTCCTGGCCTGGGACCACACTTCAAGAATGACTGCACTGGGGAAACAAGCCTGGGGAAACTTAGTCCAGCACCCAGCGCTTCTGGCTCCTTCAGTTCTCTTGAGGGTCTGAGACTGACACAGGCTGCTGTCCCTTTTTTGGCTCATGCTGTGTTCTCCTGTTTTTAAGGGACTTCCTAGAGCCTGTATCATCTGGGTCCTCTTCTGGTTCCCTAATGGTAGGTCCCCTCACCCCCCACTCCTGCTCTCTTTTCTCTTTTCCTACTCAGTCTCTTGTAGCCATGTCTGTCTTGCTCACTATGGTATCCCCAGCATCTAACACAGCGCCTGGCACAGAGTCAGCATGCAATTGATGAGTCCTGAATTGACTGAACGCCTTCGTAAGTATGTGGTTCTTATATTAGTCAGGATAGATCAGGTTATGCTGCTAGAAAACAACTCCCAAATTTCAGTGGCTTCAAACATCAAAGCTTTATTTCCTTTACACTATGTGGCCATTGCACACTGGCAGGAGGCTCTCCTCCTCATCCCCACTTCGGGACCCTTTCAGAGATGCCTGCACTATTTGGAACATTGCTGGCCATGACAGCAGATATAAAAAACATATGGAGAAGTTCGCTCTAGCTCCTAAATGCTTCCACCTGAAAAGGACACACATATTTGGCTCATATTTTGTGCTGAACCTTATCGGCTCTTCTACAAAACTGTTGCAGAAGCCCGCTTGATGGTCCCCCGGCCTTCAGGCTCTGACCTTCCGTGCCACAAAAGAATGGGAAGAGTAAGATTAATCTTCCTAAGCAAAGGATTTATGTCATCCTCAAAAGTTTTCAATGTGTCTCTATTGCTTCAAAATAAAGTGACCTTCAAAGCCCTCCCATTTCACTCCACTCTATCTTGCTTGCCACTTTTGTCACCTCACTGATGTAGTCAAGCAAAATGAAATTGCTCACAGCTCTCCTTACACATTGTCTTAGCTCTGGCTGCTATCACAAAATACCATAGGCTGGGTGGCTTGAACAACAAGCATTTATTTTTCACAGTCTGGAAGCTGCAAGTCTGAGATGAGAGGGCCAGCATGGTTCTCGGTGAGGGCTCTCCTCATGGTCCACAGATGCTGCCTTCTCACTGTATCCCCACATGGTGGAGTCAGACTAACTTTGTGCCTCTTCCTTTTCTTATAAGGGCACTAATCCCATCATGAGGGCCCTACCCTCATAACCTCCTCTAAGCCTAATTAATTCCCAAGGCCCCACCTCCAAATACTATCACATTGGTTATTAGCGTGTCAATATATGAATTTTTTGGAGACACAAACATTTAGTCTACAACACATACCGTCCATGCTTTCTAAATTCCAGCCCTTTCCTCTGTCTGGAATATCTCTGTAGTCTTTGGGTCAAGGAGCCCACATTTTTCAGATACTATATCATCAGTGAAGGTTTTCCTTATAAGCCCATCATAAGTAACTTCTCTCTCTTTTTAATGACAATAAGGCTCAATCTGACTCTGTTCTAAGGTACTTGTGTGACCAGTGTTTATGTGTGTACTACTACCTGAATAAACCCGGGGTTTCTTTGCCTGGTGAGTAAGAAAGGACTCTCCACAAGAATGCAAGTTTTGATCAATAGGAGTTTTATTACTTGTCACAAGTAAGGGGTGCACCAGGAGTGTTCTCCAAACTAGGGTCTCCCAGAGGGAAAGGTTTTATGGGGGAATGGAGAGGTGATAGGGTGCATCACTGTATGTATAGAAAGGGTCCTCAGGCCGGGCACAGTGGCTCATGCCTGTAATCCCAGCACTTTGGGAGACTGAGGCAGGCAGATCACCTGAGGTCAGGTGTTCGAGACCAGCCTGGCCAACATGGCGAAACCCTGTCTCTACTAAAAGTACAAAAATTAGCCAGACATGGTGGTGGGTGCCTGTAATTCCAGCTACTCATGAGGCTGAGGCAGGAGAATCGTTTGAACCCGGGAGGCGGAGGTTGCAGTGAGCCGAGATCGTGCCACTGCACTCCAGTCTGGGTGACAAGAGCGAAACTCTGTCTGAAAAAAAAAAAAAAAAAAGTGTCCCCTGTGGTGCAGACACTGTGAGTCATCATGCCAGCACATAGGTCACATATTATGGTCATAAAGCTACAGCTCCTGCCTCCTCCCGCAGGGAAATTTTAGCATGTTTATGAGGAAAGTTCACTCACGTTCACCTATAAGTTGCCGGGGTTATCAGGAACTAGTTCCAGGCAACTAGATGACCGTATTCCACACAGTGTTTGGAAAAAAACAGGCTGCAGGGCAAGAGGCTATAAAACGGGCTGATTACTCAAGCTGGTTAAATTCCTAGAGTCCCTGGAGACCCTCCCTGTCTGCTTACAATACCTTACCCTTCAGGAGGCTGTAACTTCCTTCCTGGTGGGGACAGGCCTCTTTCTCACAGTCCTGGCCAGTAGAGTTTTGCACAGAGAAAGCTGTGGCTGTCTGACTGTAGAGTCCACCACTGTCCTTAGTGTCTGGACCCAGGACCCTAAGGAGTTTGTTGCCCTCTGCCCCACTTCTCCTTTTCTCATAGCAGATGCCCTCAGGATGCTTTGGGAGATCCTCTTATTTTTTTCTCTAAAAAAAGGCAGATCCATGACCACATCTACTCCCTGGAACTTTCTTCAACCTTTCAGTAAACTTTTCCTATCAAGCAAGATACATGTTCCTCTCTTCCTAGCCTAGTTCACCCACTGTTTGTCTGCTTTGAATGGACATATTTCCAATTCTCTACAGGGTTAGAGGGTTAAGGTCCAGTGAGTGGGAGCTCATGATGGCTTTGGAGACTACTGGCTTTGGTTTAAATCCTAGCTTTCCAATCTAGAGAGGCTGTGGCTCTGGGCAAATTCCTTAAGCTTGTTGAATCTCTGACATTAGTCTGGATAATGGGGATGTGAGAAAGGAAAAAAAAATTCTTTCCATCTTGGGTTCTCCAGTGGAAGCCCTGTGAATTAGAGTAGCAAAGGACAGATTAACAAGGAAAAAAAGCCAGTTTATTAACATGTGCATTGGGCATACACGTGGGATCATCCAGTGATAAGTAACCCAAAGGGGTGGTTAGGATTTGGGCTTCTGTGCCATCTTAAGCTAGATAAAGGAAAAGGAGTTTGAGGCTTCAGGGCAAGAGAAGCAAGTTATGAAAAGGTGACAATGAAGTAGGGTAAACAATAGGTGTTTAATAAGGTTTGTAATGCAGATTTAAGTCAGTGCTTTCTCCATTGATAATAATTGTTAATAGTCCTCTTTTAGGTAAGGGAGAGGAAGATAACTTTTCAAATGGAAATTTCCTTTATAAATGTAAATTTCCTTTACAAAGAGAAAACTTGTGCCCTGTTTTTAGAGCTTTTCCTGAATCTGCTGATTTTCAATGCTCAGTAGCTCAAAAACCCATATGGCAAAGAGACATATTCGGGGGTGGCATATTCTGGTATCCTTCAGGGATAATCATGCACCTGTCCCCCAGGCAGAGCGAGAAAATAAATCGGACATGCTTCACTTATTGTTTCCATCAAAGTATATATCAATAAACTGTCACAATTATTCCAGTCTGTTTTGATCCCCACCTTGCTTTGTTCCTCCCCTTCCCTCCCTTTAACTATGGAACTGCCATCCATCCATCTCCTAATGCCACACCTCCATCTCCTCCTCCCCTGCCCACACCCCGCCCCCTTCTCCTCTTGGTCCCCACTTTGTCCTCCTGAGGAAGGGAAGGGGCACTTGGGAGAACTAGAGTGAGATGGACAAGTCCCAGGGAAGCCTCATTTCAAACGCAGCTGCTTCCGTTTACTGCTTCTCTTGTCGGGAGAGCAGAGGGCTTTCACTTTGGATCCCACAGAATGTGCTTTTCTGCTCCCCCAGGGCACACCTAATCCAATCATCACTCTTATTCAATGCCAGCTGCCACTGAGCAGCAAAGGGTCCCCCAGCTCCTCAGCTTACTCCTGAGTCCCAACCTGCTTGCTTTCTGTAGGAGCCAACAGGATTGAACAGTGTTTCTCTCTCGTATCCAATGTGGTCCAGCCAAAGCCTTAAGTTTTGCCTTGTTTTGTTCCAGTGTACCATATTACAAACTTTTTTGTTTTTGTTTTTGTGGTTTTTTGTTTTGTTTTGTTTTGTTTTTTTGAGACGGAGTCTAGCTCTGTCTTCCAGGCTGGAGTGCTGTGGCGCAATCTCCGCTCACTGCAAGCTCTGCCTCCCAGATTCATGCCATTCTCCTGCCTCAGCCTCCCGAGTAGCTGGGACTACAGGTAGCCACAACCACACCTAGCTAATTTTTTATATTTTTAGTAGAAACGGGGTTTTACCATGTTGGCCAGGCTGGTCTCAAACTCCTGACCTCAAGTAATCCACCAGCCTCAGCCTCCCAAAGTGCTGGGGTTACACTGTGAGCCACCCTGCGCAGCCACCATATTACAAGACTTTCTGCTCAAATACTGAACAGCAACAAGGAAGATCCCTAGAAATGCCAAGCAAAGATTTTTATGGGCATATTTTAACCGACTCCTCATGTTTTAGGTCTGAATTTGACAGGCTCAGGCTGTGGGATCTCAAATGACTTTACCTCTGGGAGCCTGGGTTTCCTTCTCTACAAAAGAGGAGGATAAGCAGGAAATGTTCTAAGGTTTCTCCCAGAGCAAACATTCTGGGAGTCTAGAGGTAGGTACAGATTTTATAAAATATTCAAACCCAACTTCCCATGGGTGATTTTTGGGTCAAGTCAAGACTATGACCCAATACCAAAGATGCTAATTCCAGAGTCTCTTGACTCTATGCAGCTGATGGCTCTTGAAAGCACCAGTTAGAATCAGCCAAAAATTTCCAAATAGCAAGAATATTAAGAATAATGGCTAACACATGCCAGCCACAGAGCCAAGGTTTTTATGCATTAACCCTTGAATCCTTATAACAGCCCTAGAAAGCACTTTTACAGAGGAGGAAGCAGAGGGGTCCGTATTCTGCATGGGTACACGTACAACTCTCCCTCACCCACACTCTGTAGAGGGCATGCTTTTTAGAACCAACTGACAGCAACCGGCTATATTGTATACTATATGCATATGTTGGGAATTGCTGATTTATTCTGTTAATATTCTGCTATTTTTATTTTTTTTAATGTCCATTTTTATTATAGATTCAGGGGGTACATGTGCAGGTTTGTTACAAGGGTATATTGTGTGATGTTGAGGTTTGGGCTTCTATTGATCCCATCTCCAGATAGTGAACATAGCACTCAATAGGAAGTTTTCCAGCCCTTGCCCCTCTTTCTCCCTCCTTTTGGAGTTCCCAGTGTCTATGGTTACCATCGTTATGTGCATGTGTACCCAATATTTAGCTCCCAGTTATAAGTGAGAACATGCAATATTTGTGTATTAACCTTTCTCAAGCTGCTAATAAAGACATACCCGAGACTGGGTAATTTATAAAGGAAAGAAGTTTAATTGACTCACTGTTCAGCATGGCTAGGGAGGCCTCAGGAAACTTACAATCATGGTAGAAGGAAGCAAACATGTCCTCCTTCATATGGCGGCAGGAAGAGAAGTGCTAAGCAAAAGTGGGGAAAACCCCTTATAAAATCATTGGATCTTATGAGAACTCACTCACTAGCATGAAAACAGCACAGGGGTAACCATCCTTATGATTAAATTACTTTCCACTGGGTCCTTCCCACGACACATGGAGATTATGGGAACTACAACTCAAGGTGAGATTTGGGTCGGGACACAGCCAAACCATATCAATTGGGTTTTCTATTTCTGCATTAATTCACTTAGGATAATGGCCTCCAGCTGCATCCATGTTGCTACAAAGGACATAACTTCATTCTTTTTTTATGGCTGTGTAGTATTCCATGGTGTATATGTACCACATTTTCTTTATCCAATCCTCCATTTATGGATACCTAGGTTGATTCCATGTCTTTGCTATTGTGATAGTGCTACAGTGAACATATGAGTGCATGTGTCTTTTAGGTAGAATAATTTATTTTCCTTTGGGTGTATACCCAGTGGTGGGATTGCTGGGTCAAATGGTAGCTCTATTTTTAGTTCTTTGAGAAATCCCCAAACTGCTTTCCACAGTGGCTGAACTAATTTACATTCCCACCAACAATGTATAGCCATTCCCTTTTCTCTGCAGCCTCATCAATGTCTGTTATTTTTTGACTTTTTAGTAATAGCCATTCTGATTGGTATGAGATGGTGTCTCATTATGGTTTTTATTTGCATTACTTTGATAATTAGTGATGTGGAGCATTTTTTCATATGTTTTTTGGTCACTCGTATGTCTTCTTTTGAGAAGTGCCTGTTCATGTCCTTTGCCCACTTTTTAATGAGATTTTTTTTTCTTGTTGATTTAAGCTCCTTATAGAGTCTGGATATTAGTCCTTTGTTGGATACATAGTTTGCAGATATTTTCTTCCATTCCATAGGTTGTCTGAATACTCTGTTGATAGTTTCTTTTGCTACACAGAAAGTCTTTAGTTTAATTAGGTTCCACTTATCAATTTTTGGTTTTGTTGCAATTGCTTTTGAAGACTCTTCTTTCTAAGTACTTTCCTGATCCAAGAGAGATTTAACTAAAAGCGTGGCCCTTTTAAGGCCTGATAAGAGACATTTGCCATCTATTCTACATCTTAAGAACCTTGATCTCCACAATCTCTTTTCTTAATCCAGACACTCCTTTCTATTGATTCCAGGTCATTAGATAATAATTTAACTCTTTCAACCAATTGCCAATCAGAAAATCTTTGAATTCACCTATGAACTGTAAGCCCCTGCTTCCAGTTGCCCTGCCTTTCCAGACAGAACTAGTGCATACCTTACATGTAATGATTGATGTCTTATGTATCCCTAAAACATATAAAACCAAGCTGTAACCCAACCACCTTGGGCACATGTTCTCAGGACCTCCTGGGACTGTGTCACATGTCATGGTTCTCATACTTAGAATAAATATTTTATAGAGTTTGACTCTTTTTCATTGATAAAAAGGTATGATCTAATAATAATAAACCGAGGGTGAAAACTCAGCAAGGACTCTCTGTTTAGACTCTTCTTGATCTCTTGGTGTAGCATTTCTTCCTCCTGGGTATTGGGCAAGACCCCCTAGAATGAGGGTCTTCAAGGGAGAAGAAAGAAGAGAGGTTTTATGGCTTGCTTGCGGGGAGAGGGATTCTTGTTTCTATGACCTGCATTGTGGAAGAGGAATTCTGCTTTCTATGACTTACTTTGGGAAGAAAAAGGGGCACGACACAGGAGGGCAAGAGAAGGTCAGAGAAATCTTGGTTCTGAGGCCTTGAAAGCTCCTTTAGTTCAAAATATTCAGTATGCCAAAATTCCTTACTGTTTTTTAAGTATTGTTTTCTGAACCCTAACATTATTATTATAAATTAGGCATAATTTTTGGGCAAACTATATGTAAAATAAGCATTCTGTAGTTCGCAGATATTAGAAGATCACATCACTTAATGTGTCTTATTTTAGAATAAGGCACTAGACAATCTATACAAGGTACTTGGCTTTGATGGGGTTCGGGATATGCTACTCTGAAACATGGCACCTTGGCCTTTGATAAAAACAGCAAAAGCAGGAAGGGCACTCTCACTTTTCCCCTGCTCTTCTCCTCTGAAGCAGGTCATAAGACCCTTAAGAGGTACCCTTTCTATACCCAGAGGAAAGGAACATCCTTACATGGGTTAAAATAAGGGGTTGTGGAGACCAACGTTCTGACTATGTAGAATAGATGATAAATGTCTCTTATCAGGACTTAACAGGTGCTGCACTCTTAGTTAAATCTCTCCTGGATCAAGAAAAGACCTGGAAAAGGGGGGATTCTCTGCAGAATGTAGTTTTTCCCCATAAGAGACAGCTTTGCAGGGTCATTTTTTAAAATATGTCAAAGGAATATATTTTGGGGTAAAATACTTTGATTTCTTTCCGTCTCTGCTTTTTGTCATGTGATGCTGTGCTAGAATCAGTTTGGAATCTGGTCTCTTATTTCTACAAAGAGTCTGTTTTGTCAGTCTTAAGATCTCTGTTTTAAATGTGAATGCTGGTTAGTTGTGCCTGAATTCCAAAGGAATTAGAGGAGGGAGGAAGGTATAATGAGGCATGTCCATGCCCCCTTTCCTACCATGGCCTGAACTAGTTTTTCAGGTTTACTTTGGAATGTCCTTGGCCAAAAGGAGGGTCTATTCAGTTAGTTGGGCAGCTTAGTATGGTTTTGTTTTGGTTTACACTTTTGTCCAATCACATTTCTATATGGCTGTCCATTCGTCATCAAATCTAACCATAAAAACAGACAGTTTTCCTTGGTCTTTGAGTCTTCATTTCTGAAGTCTCTTATGTCACATAAAACTTTGACTAAATAAATCTGTTATGCTTTTCTCTTGTTAACCTGTCTTTTGTTATGGGAGTGTCTGCCATAACCCCTATGATCAGTGAGTGGAGGTATAACACCTTTTTACCCTATAATAATAGTAGCTAACATTTCTGAGCACTTCTCATGTGCCAGACCCCCAGCCTAACATATATGCACTGCCACATTCACTACCACAGCCATCCCATAAGACAGAGATGGCTGGTGCTCCCATCTATAGGGGAGAAAAGAGGGCTCAGAGAGATTATGCAATCTGCCCAAGTTCACAGAGCTAGGAAGTATCAGGCCTAGGGTTAGACCGCAGGCTTTGTTTGCTTCCAGAATCTATGCTGTTAACCACACAGCAGTTGGAGTTAAAGTGGCTGTATATGTAAAATATTTGACTTAAAAAATAAGGAGTATTGGGGGCAGACAGAGCAAAAGGAGGAAATTCGTGGATCAACAGGACCTAGTCCTCAGCAGAAATCTTCCCTTAATTCCTCTGGAGAATGGAAGCCTCGAGCTACAGGGAAGCGAAAGCATGAAATGTCCAGGAAGCCTCATTCAAGAACTTCACAGGGTGGGGGTGGGAAGCTTTGTGTCTCACCTCAACACTTTCCTTTCTTCAAATTCATGTCATCTTTCCTGAACGCATATCATTCAGTCCCAACATTATCCTTTCTCCCTGCTTCAAAAACCATCATCTGCCCTGTGGATAATTTTTATTGACACCCTATTCTCTTTGAGACTCTTGACTTATAGTAATGCATATTAAGAATTTATAAACTTGCTTTCAAAGACACCACAGGAACATTGTACAATTTTTTACACATTGCTTTGTCCCACTGGAAGAAAAAAATTAAGTGTACAATGGAATATAGTGAGTTAAAGGAAAGGTCTTAAGTGATAACAATTGATTTTCTGTGAAGTCTTTTCTTAGAATGCCTTTTAGAGAACAGCAGGGGTCCTCCCACTTTCCAAGGGTTCTCAGAACCATTCTTTTCTCTTATCTTGCAAGTGGAGGTGTCAAGTCACATGGGAGAGCTGTGGGGCTCAGCCCCAACCTTCATGATCTATTCCCAGAGGACAGCAGACTGCTCTCTAAAAGTTGCCTGAAACCAGTTCTAATGGCATACACCAGCAGCATTTAGTCAGACAATGCGGACATAATTACTGCCTTCATTCAATCGGTAGCTGGGGGAAAAACCACCAATCAAAAGCCTTGTAGTGTAGCTTCTTTATTAGGACAGGTTTCAGAGCTGCCTGCTGTAGCAGGGAAGCCCCCTGGAGGATACAGCGTGTGCCAGTAACGATTTCTGGATCCTCTCCTTAACAATTCAAAAGACACTGGGGAGAAATGTGACAAACAACTTTCTACCTAAGAAAAGCCATTTGTTTTCAAAAATTTAAAGCTGAAGAGACAATACTTTAGCATTTTCCAATGGACCCTTGAACTCCTAACAGGGATTAGGCGAGCCAAACTCCCACACACTTGAAAATTTGTTTATCACATTGTTCTCCCCCAAAACCTTACTAAGAGCCTACTGTGGACCGGAAGCCTTATTGGTAACATACACAGTAATGAACACATTTTTAATGTTATATGTATCATGTACTGTATCCTTATATTAATAATGAAGTAAATGAGAGAAAATAAAAATGTTAGCTAAAAAATCATAAGAAAAATATATTTAAATACTATTCATTAAGTGGAAGTCAACAATATTTATTCTGGTCATCTTCACATTGAGTAGGCTAAGGAGAGAAGGAAGAGGAGGGGTTGGTCTTGCTGTCTCAGTGGTGGCAGAAATGAAAAGATGGAGGTGGTGGAAGGGGAGGCGGGAGAGGCAGGCACACTTGGTATGGCTTCATGGAAGCATATTGTAATTTCTGTTTGACTTTTTTGCTTTTTAATTTCTCTAAAAATATTTCTATACAGTACCAATCCTTTTACTGTTTGCTTTAGTTTCAGTGCCCATACCATAGAAGGGGTTATGTCATAAAAGAAGTAGAAAGCAGCCTTTAATATTTGGAACCCTTCTGCCACATTGTCTAATGTCAATTTGTTTTCTGGCTGATATGGTTTAGATGTGTGTCCCCTCCAAATCTCAGGTTGAATTGTAATCTCCAATGTTGAAGGTAAGGCCTGGTGAGAGGTATTTGGGTCATGGGGCAGATCCCTCGTGGCTTGGCACTGTCTTTGTGATAGTGAGTGAGTTCTCACAAGATCTGGTCATTTCAAAGCATATGGCACTTCCCCTCCCAGCTCTTTCTCTCACTTGCTCCTGCTTTCACCATGTGACATGCCTGTTCCCTTTTCACCTTCTGCCATGATTGTAAGATTCCTGAGGCCTCCCTACAAGCTGAGCAGATCCCAGCACCATGCTTCCTGTACAGCCTGCAGAACCATGACCAATTAAACCTCTTTTCTTTATAAATTAACCAGTCTCAGGTATTTCTTTATAGCAATGCAAGAATGGCCTAACACAGAAAATTGATACTGAGAGTGGGGTATTGCTATAAAGATGCTGGAAAATGTGGAAGTGGCTTTGGAACTGGTTAATGGTCAGAGCTTGGAAGAGTTTGGAGGTCTCAGAAGAAGACAGAGGGTGAGGGAAAGTTTGGAACTTTTTAGAGAGTGGTTAAATGGTTATAAACAAAATGCTCAACTTTCCAGGCTCAAGCCATCTTCCCATCTCAGCCTCTCAAATAGCTGGGACTACAGGCATACACCACCATGCCTGGGTAATTTTTTGTATTTTTTTTTATAGAGACAAGGTCTCACTGTGTTGCCAGGGCTGGTCGCAAACTCCTGGGCTCAAGCAATCCTCCTCCCTCAGTCTCCCAAAGTGCTGGGATTACAGGCATGAGCCATTGCACCCATAGGCCCCACCTCTTCACACGGTAGCATTTGGGATTAAATTTCAACATGAATTTGGAGGAGACACAAACATTCAACCATAGTGTCTCTGAAGACACAAGGATACAGAGACAAATCTAAACAAACAGGCCTTGCTAAAATCCCCGCAGTTTATTATCATTAGAGCGTACTCTTGTCCTCCAATCACATTTCTCAGCAACTGCCCACTCTTCATCAAATCTAAGCACAAAAATATACAAGTTTACCTGTTTCTTGGGATCTTAATTTCCTTATACAAGCTCCTGTGTCAGGTAGAACTTCAATTAAATAAATGTGTGTGCTTTTCTCTTGTTAATCTGCCTTTTGTTATAGGGACCTTAGCCATGAATGTAGTGATAGGTGAGAAAAAGGTATTTATTTTCCCCTAAACACGCTACCAGCCTGGTCCAAGATATCCCCTGCCCACTCAGGATCCAGAAGACTCTTTTTAAAGCCATAATTTAGATCAGCCTGTCTTACTTTAAAAACCTCTGATAACTCCCTATTTCACGCTGACTAAAAATCAAAGCCCTATAAAACTAAATATAATCTGCCCCTCTTCCCCTGTTACCTCCCAGATCTCATTTCCACACTCATCCCCTCACTCACTCTGCTCAGCCACATTGGCTCTTTGCTGTTCCTTGGCTATGCCAGGCACACCCTTGCTTAAGGTCCTGTGCCCTTGTGGACACTCTTCCTCTGGGTAACCACATCACTCCCTCCCTCCCCTCCTTCAAAACCTGCTCAAAGCCCCTTTGCTAAGACTGCCTTCTCTGATCAATTTATTTAATCCTACCCTCTCTCTCCAGTCCATTTCTCACTCCACATTCTTGGTCCTTCCTATCTTGATCTACTTCTTTCCCATAGCCCTGGAACACTCTTCCTTCAGATATTTCACTCCCTCACTTGGCACATGGTACATGGGAGACAGTCAATAAATATAATGAATGAATGAAATTTCATTCTGCAAAATGAAATGTACAAGTTTACAAAATGAAGCAAAATTTTCAACAGCTTAAAAATATTTATTGAGCATTCCTTCCCACACAATCCACAGATAAGTTATGGGCAATTTTATACAGTATTTGTGGCTTCATTGTGGCAAAATGCAGGACTAGTTCTATACAAATTTATGAAATTGATAAAATTCCTCTTCTTTACCTTCCCATTTGGTCTTTCAACACTGTGCCCCCCACTTTTATTTTCTATTCTGTGTTTCTCCAACTCCAATTTAGTCCAGTTATCATGAACACAACAGAATGGTGATGAACATGTGCTTTATCTTTACTGTCCAGTATCATAGCCACCAGCCACATGTGGTTATTGAGCACTCAAAATGTGCCTAGCACAACTGAGAAGTTGAATTTTTAATTTTATTTAATTTTAATTCGTTTACATTTAAATAGGTACATGTGGCTGGTGGCTGGCATATTACAAATTACAGCTCCATCCTTACATAACATTTATAAGCTCTTTGAAGAAAAACATGTCTTTTTACCAACGTGTCCCTACAAATATCCCATTCATCGTTATATGGATTAACAAAAAACCAGTTGATATTCTCTCTTATTTAGGAGTTGGGAAAGTAGTATAGAAAGAAAATACTGAGAATCAAATTTTAGATCAAATACAAAGTTTTAAATTAAGCCCAAGGTGGCTAGTGTTGGGAGAAGGGAAACTGGAATGAAGGACACAGATTTCCTCTTCTTTCTTCCTTCACTTCCAAGAATAGAGATGATAATAACATCCCTCCGTGAGCACTGTGCCAGGCACCATGCAAGCATTTTTATCAATAATCTCATCAAATTATCCCAATAACTGTGAAACCCATTGAACCATTATCACCTGCATTATACAGATGAAGAAACTGAGCTTCTGAGAGCATGATTTCCCCACACAGCTGACCTGAGATGCTAACAGTTTATGCGATCCCAGCGTCTAAGCATTGTGCTGAGCCCCCTCTCTCCCTCCTCTCCCAGGGCTGAGAATCTATCTTTAAAATAAATCAAAGTAAATAGAGAGCATCTCTAACACCTCTACTGCATTTTCACAAAAGACTAGGTGATTTAAAATCAGGAATTAAAGCTGACTTACAAGGCACTTATTAAATTTAGCTTACTTTTTGAAAAGTAAGAGCAAGGAAATCAAAAGAGAGTAGACCACTGGGCTCTGGTTTTGCAATGTGAACAGTTCTGCCCACTTGCTTTTCTCTCCCCATTATGATTCCATGAGGGGGTACAGATCTTATCCAAGTCCTCATTTTCATTCATCTCTTTGTAAAAATGTGAAAACAATAATTCACCCATAGTTAATAGCAATGAAGAATGTCCCCCCTTAAGCATTCTCACCCCTCCTATGGGTTTTACTTTTCCACCCAGCAGGGGAGCCCCAGCACTTTATAATTACACATTAATGAAGAACAGAACCCTTCCTCATTTTATTTTGCATTTCATTTTCAGAATAATTTGATGTGTGTGTGTGTGTGGAGAAGGGAGGGTGTGAGGAAATGTAAACAGTGCTCATTTATCACAGCTTTAATCGAGACCAGATCTCCCCCTAATCCAATTCGGAGTTGCACAGTTTATACCAGTGAACAGTAAACATTAATAAAGATCAGCTGCAGGAAGGCGAGGGACAGCATTGCTGCTGGGTATGCCCGCCAGTGCAGAAACAAACAAAAAAACCAATATGTTCATAACTCACCACTTAATTTTGACCAATATATAGAAATCATGATAAAATTTTAGTTCTAAACCGTGTAGTTCTATGAGGCACAATCTTCCAACAATGTAGCTAACCACCTTCCTTCAGACTTATACCTATGGCCATATCCTTGACCTTGTTACCACCAAAACTAATACCAAACCCTGTAGAGCCTTGAGGTTTGGTATCTGAATATCCAGCTTATTTCCTCTAATATTTTATATTACTGAGTGAGCATTCCTAATCTGAAAACCAAACTCCGAAAATGCTACAAAATCCAAAACTTTTGAGCATCAACATGATGCCACAAGTGGAAAATTTCACACGTGACCTCATGTGATGGGTCACAGTCAAAACTTTATTTCATGTACAAAATTATTTAAAATGTTGTATAAAATTACCTTCTGGCTATGTTTATAAGGTGAATATAAAACTATAGTGAATTTTTGTGTTTAGACTTGAATCCCATTCCCAAGATATCTTATTATGTATATGTTAATAGTCCAAAATCCAAAATAAGCCCAAATCCAAAACACTTCTGATCTCAAGCATTTCAGAAAAGGGATCCTCAACCTGCAGTGTTTTCTTGCTGTCATAGCAAATCACTACAAACTTAATGGCTTAAACGACACAAATTTTTCTTACAGTCTGTAGATCAGAAGTCTGACATGGGACTCACAGAGCTAAAACCAAGATGTTGGCAGGGCCGTGTTTTTTTCTGTAGGATCTGGGTAGCATCCTTTTCCTTGTCTTTTCCAGCCTGGAAAGGCCACCTGTGTTCCTCGATTCATAGCTCCTTTCCTCCAGCTTCAAAGCCAGCAATGGAACGTTGGGTCCTTCATCGTGTCACTCTGACCTTCTTCTGTAGTCACATCTGCCTCCAACTGTCTTCTACCATTCCATTTTTAAGGACCCTGTGATTATGTTGAGTCCACTCTGATGAACTTCCTTTCTTAAGGTCTCTTAATTTCATCTGCAATCTTAATTCCCCTTTGCTGCATAACCTAGCAAACATATTTAAAGATTCTGAGGACTAGTGCATGGACATCTTTGAGGGGCAATTATTCGCCCTACATGTTCCAACTCCAGTAATACTTCTTAAAATTCTCAGGACTTAAAATTCATTGTTCCCGCAACTTGAACTCTCCATTGCCTTTCTTCATATCTTCATTTCCCTCCTTACCTAGCCTGAATTCCATGGTCAATTATTATAATCTTGTCTTCCATAAACCCTTAACTCCTTTGTCCCCCCACTCCTGCTTCATTGTTTTTACTTGGCAAAACAGCTGACTCTCTGCTTACTCCAAACCTGCATCCATGCAGCTAGAAATATTACCAGAGCAAATCCACCATCACATAGGACTGCAATGCTGCCTACCTGATGTATAGCATTTCCCTAGTTCATTCATTCTCCCATTCTCTTACATGACAGTTTCATACTTTCTGTATCCTCAAACTTCCAGCACCACCTATCCATCCACACTTGCAGCCAATGACCAATTTCACTGAGAAAATAGAAGCAATCTGAAGAGAATCTTCTACAAATTATCTCTATCACATTTATCTACTCGTAAGCGTGTGTTCCCATGTATACTGCCTTTTCTTCTGATACCCTATGACCTGTCTCTGTCCAAGGCCAGTCCCTCCTCTCTGTCTAAATTCCAGACCCTCTACTGGATAATTCCCATTAGCACTAAAACATGCATTATTTCCCTTTTCCTAAAAGCAAACAAGCAAATCCTTCTGTTGACTCCATTGATCTTTCCAGCTAACATTTCATTATTCTCCTAGCCTTTAGAGTGAAAAACTCCTCAAAGGAGTTACCTATATTTGCTGTCTTCTACTTCTGTCTTTCAATTCTCTCTTAATCTTTTGAAGTCAGGCTTCTGATCCCACCATGCAACCCAGACTGCTCTTATTAAGTCACTAATAACTGCTATGTGGGTAAATCCAATAGTCAATTTTTAGTCCCAGTCTTACTTTGCACATTGATTGCTCCATCATCCTTCAAATATTTTCTTCACTTGATTCTCAACACCCTCTTGCCTCTCTTCCTACCTCACTGGCTACTTCTCAGTCTCCCTTTGATGGTTCCTCCTGGACTGAAGAACCAGATTGATCCTCAGTCCTCATGTCATCTCTATCTATACACTCTTTGTGAGATCATCCATTTTTGTGGCTTTACATACATCTACATGTTGATGATACTCACATGTCTTTATGCCAACCTAACAGTTCCCCTAACCCCATACTTGTATCCAGTTGCTTACGTAATGGAGGAAAAACTTTCCCTTTACCCTCTGAGGGTTCAATAATTGAGTCTATAAAATAAAATAACAGTAGACAAATTTACAGGAGAAAACGTATACAAATTTCTTATGCACATGGAGACATAATATGAAGGAAAAATGAATACCCCCAAACCCAGTGAGATCTAGAAGCTTATATGCCCTCTTCATAGAAGACATGAGGGTGGGTGGGGATGCAGGGAGAGTAAATGATTTGGAGGTAAGGTGAATGGGTCCTCAGAAGAATAAACATTTGTCTGGGCATGGAGAATTCTTTCCTATGATCCAGTTCAACCTTCCCTAGTTAATAAGATTCCTGGGGAGGGGATTCATGACGGCTGAGTCCTTTTGAAGGATTCATCTTTAGGCAGATAAGGAGAGCTCAGAGAAAGCTTCTGTCTGTATATGAATTTCCTGAAGTAATCAGCATACCGAAGTGGCATATTTTGGCACATTCTGAACTCCTTTATTTCCCCTGTCTAAAACTTCTCCAGAAGTTTCATACACTAAAACATGAGTTCGTATAGAGAGGAAAACAAGGTTAGTAGCTGAGTGGTAAGAGACATAGGAATAGGTCAATCCAGTTAAAGAGTTGTGTCTTGGCCGGGCGCGGTGGCTCACGCCTGTAATCCCAGCACTTTGGGAGGCTGAGGCGGGTGGATGACAAGGTCAGGAGATCGAGACTATCCTGGCTAACACGGTGAAACCCCGTCTCTACTGAAAATACAAAAAAAAAAAAAATTAGCTGGACGTGGTGGTGGGCGCCTGTAGTCCCAGCTACTCGGGAGGCTGAGGCAGGAGAATGGAGTGAACCTGGGAGGTGGAGCTTGCAGTGAGCCGAGATCTCGCCACTGCTGCACTCCAGCCTGGGCGACAGAGCAAGACTCCGTCTCAAAAAAAAAAAAAAAAAAAAAACAAAGAGTTGTGTCTCATTTCAAGAAGTGGTGTTGCAGATGGGTTCCCATCAAAATTAGGCCTCTTTATGGTGCAAGCAATCAGGGATTTAATGAGATGCATTTCTATGGAAACAAAAGAAAAACAAAGCTTGTTGTCTGGAGTTAGTAAACTAGTTTTGTAAACTAGTTTCAGAGTCTGGAGGGTATCCAGTTGTGACTATTTCTAGATATTGGGCTTGAAGCATCTTTAGTTGGAGTGCAGGCAGGCAGTGGCAATCTGACAGATTTTCCCGGTTTGCAGTTTGCATTAGAGGTTCCAGTGAACCTTAGGAGTAGTCCATACTTCAATAGGCACAAATGTTGTCCATACATAAGTTGTCGTGGTGAGTTCTCTGAAGTTTATATCAAGACATCTAGCTTTAGCTTGCAGAGCTTTGGGAAAAGGGCAGTTTTAATTTCATAATTTCCAAGTCAGACAGATGGAAGAAAAATTGAAAACATTAGTTTGGAAAGTTGAAGCCAGATATTGGAGGAAACTAGAGGAATTCAGGATCCAGTCCAGTTTGTATGTAAATAACAAACCCTCAAAAACAATAAGCTGGAATCTAATAACAGGTGTACTATAGTTTCCTTCTGTAACATAATTTTTTCTCTCCATAGTCACCTCCCATTTTTACCAAAGGCAATCACAGTAAGATTGCAAATAAGTTTAGTATCATCAAACTTGGCCTGATTATTTACATAAATGCAGCAAGAATAATGACTGACCATACAGGCTCTTTTAAAATCTGTTTTGCTTAAAGGAAGTCTTATATTAGACTTTTAAAAAGCTTCTCTAGGCTAGGAAGCCAAGCCAATGACCTACTACAAGATTTTGCCTATAATACCTTCAGATTTGGATTAGTTTTTCTCTTCTTGAAGTTCCCAAAATATTTTTAAGCTCCTGAACCTGCCAGGAGTTGACATTCTTTACTCATCACAAGGCAAGGAACCCTGTAAAACAACCATGTATGCAAGCTACCAAGGCAATTTTTCCAGTGGGGGAGGCCTTATTGACTTTATAAAGTTAAACCTTAGTTCCTTAAAACTGTCTGGTCATGTATAAAAATATGACATCCTAGTAAAAGCCTTGGTAGTATAAGCAGTGATCTCAATTGTATCCTGTTATAAAGAGAACAGATTCTTATTGAACTTATGCAAATAACTATACACCATAAAATAAGAATACTCACAAACATTTTCCAAATTCTGGAAAGATCAGGTAGGGAAAAAAAAGTAAATGTTTCAATGCTGTTTACGAAAGTATAATTTACCAAATTGTTGTAAGCTATAGATAGATTAAGAGTTTAAAAAAAGTTTTCTTAAATATGGAAAACAAAACATTTTTAAAACCAACAAATTTGAAATCATAAAGACATCCTCATCAGTTTATTCAGCCTCGTGTAATTAATTATTGTTCTGCTTAATGAAGCTATCAGTTTCTTCATTAGAATTTTTAAAATTCTTACCTGATACAAATAAATTCATCAGCAATCTGTATTCGATAGTACTTGCCAGAGTCCTTTCCATGAAACTTCTTCAAGAAGAAGTAATTTTGGACTATGCCTGATTGCAAATGCTTTTAAAGAATAATCAAAGTAAAAGAATAACTCCTCAAGGCTTACGAAAGACTTTAAATGGCCATAGTTAAGAATATAATGAGAGTTCATTTTAATAATGGCACAATTGACAGAAAATTTTGGTTATTTCTATAGTATGCAACATTTTAACATAATAACCAAAATTGTGACTGATAACATATTAGATTTCTAGGAATTTCATATAATTTTTAGCATACTTATATTAATAACATACCCATAAATATAACTTAAAGAAGTTTAGCATCACTTATTATTTGGCAATGCTTCCCATATAATTTAACATGTCATATAATTCTAATTATTTTAATCTCTCTCTTTTATAGGGTGAAAGATATCTCCTTCAAAGCTTTTCAGGGGCCCAACTGGAAAATCTTAATGTTAATTTAAGGTCAAAAGACATAATTTAGAATTTGTTTTGGACAGGCACATAGACCAATGGAACAGACTAGAGAACTCAGAAATAAAATCACACCTCTACAACCATCTGATCTTCAACAAAGTTGACAAAAACAAGCAATGGGGAAGTGATTCTCTATTTAACAAGTGGTGCTGTGAGAACTGGCTAGCCATATGCAAAAATTGAAACTGGACCCCTTCCTTACACCGTATACAAAAATTAACTCAAGATGGATTAAAGACTTAAATGTAAAACCCGAAATTATAAAAACCCTAGAAGAAAATCTAGGCAATACCATTCAGGACACAGACGTGGGCAAAGATTTTACGATGAAATTGCCAAAAACAAAAGCAATGGCAACAAAAGCAAAAATTGACAAATGGGATTTAATTAAACTAAAGAGCTTCTGCACAGCGAAAGAAACTATCATCAGAGCAAACAGGCAGAAGAAGGTGGAAGGAGCTGACTTGCTGAGTCTTCCCACCTTCATCTTTCTCTTGTGCTGATGCTTCCTGCCCTCGAACATTGAACTCCAAGTTCTTCAGCTTTTGGACTCTTGGAAACTTACACCAGTAATTTGCCAGGGGCTGTTAGGCCTTCAGCCACAGACTGAAAGCCGCATTGTTAGCTTCCCAACTTTTGAGGTTTGGGAACTCAGACTGAACCACCACTGGCTTCTTTGCTCCTCGGCTTGCAGGCAGCCTATCATGGGACTTCACCTTGTGATCGTGTGAGTCAACTCTCCTTAATAAACTAGAATATTTCTCAGAAGCCTGAACAACATAACTTCTAAGACAAAGATTTTTTGTGTGGACCAACTCACACTCTCCTTAATAAACTCTCCTTAATAAACTCCTTTCATATATACATATATCCTATTAGTTCTGTCCCTTTGGAGACCCCTGACTAATACACCACCTTCACTCAACTGGACTCTACAGGCAGATACCCAAGAGACTGATATGGTAAGAAGTCTTAACTTTGTCAGATGCCAGGGTTTCTTAGCTGCAGCCTCACAGTTAGCGGTATTTGATACCAACTTCACTGCCAGAACTTTAGGGAAGGAAAAACTTTCCCTCTACTCTCTGAGAGTTTGATAATTGAGTCTAAGAAATAAACTGATAGTAGACAAGTAAACAGGAGAAAGGTATACAAATTTATTGCAGAAAAGTTAATATCCCAAAACCCAGTGAGATCTAGAAGCATATACACCCTCTTCATAGAGGGGAGGGCAGGAGTGTGGGCAACTTAGAGGAGAGTAAGTGATTTTGGGGAAAGATGAATGACCCCCAGAAGAAGAGATAATAGCTTGTGACAAAGTCTGTCTGGCATGGTGTGGACCTCCAGTCTCCTCTCCTGAGATCCAAGTCAATCTTCCCGGGTTAATAAGACTCCTGGAGAGGAGATTCATAAAAATTGAGTTCCTTTTGAGTTCATCTTTAGGCAGATAAGGGGAGCCCAGAGAGCCTATGCCTATATTTGCTGTTTTCCAAGTGCCCTCTGTTAAAGTAATCAGCATATCAAAGTGGCATATTTTGGGATGTCATTTCCTTAACTGTCTTACTTACATGACATGGGAACTTGATAGACACCTAAAAATTAATGTGTCTGAAACTGGCTGATGATCTGAAAACTTGATATCCCTGCAGTCTTCTACACTTCAGTCTATGGCAAGTCTATTTTCTTAGGCCCAAAACCTTACCTCATCCTTGACTCCCCTCTCTCTCTTATACCCATATTCAATCTACTGCAAATCCATAACTTTACTTTCAAAGAACACCCAGACTCTGCCTGCTTCTCACCAGCTCTATGGCTATCATCCTGCTCCAAGCCACCATTATCTGGCCTCAGTTATTATAATAACCTTCCAGCCAGTCTTCCCTCTTCCCCTCTTGGCCCCATCCCCACGGTCTTTTACAATACAGCAGCCAGAGTGATCCTTGTAAAATGTAAGTCAAATCATGTCCCTTGCGTACTCAATGGTTCCCCATTTTTCTCTGAATAAAAGCCAGAGTCCTTAAATGGCACACCAGACCCTGGAGGTTCTGGCCCTGCTTATTTCCATGCTCTCCCCTTGCTTGCTCCACTCCAGCCACACTGGCCTCTGCGGAGTTTTCTGAACTCACTAGGCATGCCACTCAGAGCTATGAATTTGCTATTCCCTCTCCCTGGACTACTCCCTCATCACTATAGCCATAAGATAGTGGATAGAGATAGTCCTCCCCGGACTGCTCCCTCCTCAGGTACAGCCATATGATTTGCTCCCTTGTTAACATCATTTTCTCAAAGAAACATTGACTTTAAGCCTTTCGATGGCTCGTTCCTAACAGTAAAACCCAAGCTTGGCCTGCAAGTCCTGGAGCAATCTAACTGCTTCTCCTCTCTGCAGAGTCATCTCCCCGCTCTCTTCTCCCTGTTTACTAGACCCAGCCATTGCAGCGTTCTTATAGCTTTCTGAAGGCACCAAGTTCTTTGCTGTCCCTGCTTAGAACTCTTTTCCATCTACTTCTCACTCACTAGCTCCAACTCATCTTCTAGGTTTCAGAGCCCACGTCACTTCTTTAGGAACGCCCCTCCTCACTTACCCCTGCCATCTATATTTGATCTCTCTCTGTAAAGACTCTATACTGTTCCTTCATAGAACTTAATGTATAACTTCATATTCTCATTATGTGATTATTTGTGTAATGAATGTTTCTCCTACTCCACTGTAAGTTCCATGAGGTCAAAAATCTTGTCTGTCTGGTTGGTCACCAGATACCCCACACCAGGCACAGTGCCCAGCTCATAGTATGTATTTAAAAATGAATAGATCTGATTTTATTATACCTCTATCTTACTTTTGCTAATTTTTCAAAAGGACTTTATTATCTGTTTACCAGAAAATAAAGTCTATTATCCAAGCTTGTGATAGATTTCTACTTGGCTAAATAAAACATAATATTCTTTTAGGTTCTCTGGGACTAGAGAGTAGTCGAAGAGCAAATGATTTTCATTGGTTTATAATGTATTCCTATAGAAATCACTTTGATAAAATAGAATAAAAATATGCTGGAAGTTTTTGAAAACAAAGCCTATAACTGTTCCTTTAAGGCTTAGATCCTTAGCAATAAAATCCCCCGTGATTCTAAGTCCCACTGAGTCTCTACAGCACTGCCCTCAGCTCTAACAGCTCCTGGAAGCACTGGCAGGACATGATCTACATTTCCACATGGCAGGGTTACACTCAGATTTTGTTCCAAGCATGCTTTTTATGGATCTGATTGTCCCTCTTCTAAAGGCAGAGTTACCTCACTAGGGTATTGAGGATGGGGGGCTGGCTATAGTAGGGATGGTGCTGGAGATTGTTGATACAAAGGGATCATGAAAATGAATAAAGCTGTCCAGGAGACTCAGGAAGATTCAGCCAACTCTAAGGAAGATATCAGTCTGGATTTAATCAGAGAAGCAGAACCACTAGGAGAGAGATATATAATAAAGGATTTGTTCAGGGATTTGATCTTTCACAATTACGGGATTTGGTTATAAAGTCTCTGTAAGGCCCTGTGTCTAATGTTAGAGCCTGAAGTTTTCAGCAAGTAGTTGGGAAAGGAATATGGCTATAAAGCAGAGGTTCTTAACTAGAGCCTATTTTGACCCCCAGGAGACATGTGGTACTGTTTGGAGACATTCTGGCTTGTCACAACTTGGGTGTAGGCTATGACATGTAGTGAGTACAAGCCAGGGAGGCCACTAAATATCCTACAATGAATAGGCCAGTCCCCCACAGTAAAGAATTATCCAACCCAAATGTCAATAATGCTGAGGCTGAGAAACCCTCACATAAAGTAAGGAAAAAACTGGAAACTGCGAGTGTAAGCTGGCGCCCAAGAAGATGAACTAGAACCAATGCTTCCTAATGCTTCCAGCTTTAACAATGCAGGTGTTCGGCAGCAGACATGGGTGCCTTTTGTCAAAAAGCTAACCGTGCACTTCACTAGAGCCAGAAAAGCTGAAGAAAGATCCAGGGGCAGGTGGAAAAGCTGCCAGCCCAGCTGCGGTTCCACACCAATAAGGTGAGCCAACAGATAGTGACAAGATGTGTGAGCTGCAACCAGCACCTGGTGCCTCTACAACAACCACCCCTGCAACCCCTGACTCTGCCCCCTGCACATAAAAGCAATATTGCCACTGCTTCCAAATCCTAGGCCAAATATCTCTTGCGGCCCACCTTAAACATACAGGGAAGAAATCTGTGGAAAATGTAGTTTAGCCTTGCCAAGTTGACACTTTATAAAGGTACTCACAGGATATGCATGGAGGAGTTACGTATTAGGGTTCTCCAGAGAAACAGAAGCAATATAAGGTGTGTGTGCGTGTGTGTGTGTGTGTGTGTGTGTGTGTGTGTGTGTGTGTGTGTGTGTTTGGAGAGAGACAAAGAGAAAGAGAGAGAGGTGTATTATAAGAAATTGGCTCACATGATTATGAAGGCTAACAAGTCCCAAGATCTGTGATCAGCAAGCTGGAAACCCAAAGAGCCGATGGTATAAATCCTTTCCAAGTTTGAAGTCCTGAGAACCAGCAGAGGCAATAGTTGAAGTTTTATTCTGAAAGTCATCAGGCTCAAGACCCAAAAGGAGCCAATGTTTCCATTTGAGTTGAAGGCAGGAAAAGACCAATGTCCCAGCTTGAAGGCAGTCAGGCAGAAGAAATTATTTCTTACTCAGCCTTTTTGTTCTACTGGATGAGACACACCCACATTAGGGAGGGCAATCTGCTTTATAGGAATATAGGAAGCTTTCAGTCTTTCTATTCAAATGTTAATCTCGCCCAGAAATTTCCTTATAGACAAACCAGAATAATGTTTCATCAAATATCTGGGCACCCTGAGGCCCAATCAAACTGACACATAAAATTAACCATAACAAGTTGCTTAAAGCATTTCTTAGGCTGTACTTCAGTAACCTCAAGACGTTGGAATAATGGTCCCTCTCTTCAGACCTTCTGTAAAACCTTGAGTGTGCTCTATTATACCATTTATTGATTTTTTTACACTGTCTTTCACCTCCATCCAACTATTATCAGATCCACTTTTATTCAGTTTTATATCTTTGCCTCCTGGCAAATGGCTTGGCACATAGTAGATACTCAATTAATACTGGTTAAATGAGCACAGGCTTTTAATGTGGAAGAACCCCAAGCTAAATTGGAAATAATAATTCACCTCAGATGAATTTGGTCCACACAAAAAATCTTTGTTTTAGAAGTTATATTGTTCAGACTTCTGAGAAATATTCTAGTTTGCTTACATCAACAACTTCAAAGACCTTCCCTGGGATATTCCAGCAATGACCTGCTAGAATGCTTTGTTAGAGTAAAAAACAAACTGGTCTTTTCTCTTGGTAGAAATGAAGTAAGGCAGAAATAAAAATGTTAAGAGCAAATACTTCAAGTGTAATAGACCCTTCAAGATGATTTTTCACGTTCAAAACATACTAATTAAGCAGCAAAATAGTAAATTCTAAAATTTGAAGCAACAAGAATCGATAGGAGGAAAAAAAGAGCGGCAGACAACCCTTGTTTTTAATCTAATCACAACAGATCACTGTGTTCAACTGGAGGAAGGGAAGCTTATAGAGATGAAAGTTCCCAGGAAAACAAAAATCATCGCTTCCCTGCTTTTCATTTTTATTTTTTGTTTTTGTTGTTTTTGTTTTGAGATGGAGCATCCCTCTTGTTGCCCAGGCTCGAGTGCAATGGCATGATCTCGTCTCACGGCAACCTCCGCCTCCCAGGTTCAAGCAATTCTCCTGCTTCAGCTTCCCAAGTAACTGGGATTACACAGGCGTGCACCACCATGCCCGGCTAATTTTTTTTTGTATTTTTAGTAGAGACAGGGTTTCTTCATGTTGGTCAGGCTGTCTCAAACTCCTGACCTCAGGTAATGTGCCTGGCTCCCTTCCCTGCTTTTTATAAATAAAAAAAATAAAACTGTTCTGAACTTCATTGGTCACCAAGAAAAAAACATATTATCTTAAGGAGGTTTTTTAAAAAAAACATATTATATTACATAGGTTAAAGGATCAAAACTTCCATTTCTATAAACTTTACTTTTCTATAATATTAATAATTTCTGAAATTATTGTGCATCTTGAAACCAGAAGGTCCTTTGGCAACTCTTGAGTTTCTAGTTGGGCTCATTTCAGAACCTGTTAGCTAGTGCCTTTTATAAAGAAACTACTACCAAGGAGGAATGTTCTCAAATCTGATTTCCACAAGAGCTAGAGAAGTGGATAGAAAAACACTGCAATCTCTATTAAGATGGTGTCTGTCATAAGAAGTACCAGATATAACGGGAAAGCCTTGACTATTAAGTCAGTTTCAAAATAATGTGAGGTGCCTCTGGTTTTAGGGAAAGAGTTCAAGATTTGGAGTTGGAAAACTTTAATTTAATATTTGGCTTTGCTGCTTAAGAGCTTCATGACCTTGAAGAGAAAAAAGGATGTATTAGTCCATTTTCACACTGCTATAAAGACATACCTGAGACTGGGTAATTTATAAAGAAAAGAGGTTTAATTGACTCACAGCTCTGCATGGCTAGGGAGGCCTCTGGAAACTTAGGGAGACAGGGAAGAGGCAGTGTTACACAGCGGCAGGCAAGAGAGAGAAGAGGGAGAAGTGAAGGGGCAAGGGCCCCTTATAAAATGATCAGATCTCGCGAGAACTCAGTCACCATCACAAGAACAGCATGGGGGAAACTGTCCCCATGAACCAATCACATCCCACCTGGCCTTTCCCTAGACACATAGGATTATGGAGATTACAATTCAAGATGAGATTTGGGTGGGGACACAGCCAAACCATATCAAAGGAGGAGTGCTATGGACAGAATTATGACCTCCCAAAATTCTCATGTTGAAGCCTCAACCCCTAATATAATGGTATTTGAAGGTGGGCCTTTGAGAGATATTCAGATTCAGACAAGGTCATGAGGACGAGACCCTCATGATAGGATTAGTATACTTGCAAGAAGAGACATCAGAGAACTTGTGAAC
This sequence comes from Homo sapiens, assembly GCF_000001405.40. Classification (NCBI taxonomy): domain Eukaryota; kingdom Metazoa; phylum Chordata; class Mammalia; order Primates; family Hominidae; genus Homo; species Homo sapiens. Next base: position 16,641,504 of record NC_000003.12, on the reverse strand, counting down.
TTTCTCTCTCTGTCTCTCTCTCTCTCTCTCTCTCTCTCTCTCTCTGTCTCTCTCTGTCTCTCACTCTCTGACATATAAGAACACAGCAGGAAAGCAGCCATCTGCAACCTGGAAGACAGCCTTCACCAGAACCCTACCATGCTGGCATCCTGATCTCAGACTTCCAGCCTTCAGAACTCTGAAAAAATAAATTTCTGTTGTTTAAACCACCCAGTCTATGGTATTTTGTTATGGCAGTCTAAGCTCACTGATACAGGAAAGCATTAATCTTCTCTGTGCTTCAGTTCCCTGTTTGTAAAATGGGGATAATGATACCTAAGCCATAGGGTTACTGAGAGATTCAATGAAATAATACAGTACTGCAAAGAATAGTACAAATGTAAAGTGTTGTTCCATGATTACTTGTAGAACAATAATTAATATTCGATAGCACAGTTTATAATATACTTTTAAGCACTTTAATTTGATGGCTAAAACAGTTGTACTAAGTATACAAAACAGTGTGCTCATCTTGTTAGTGAGGAACTGAAAGCCACAATTTGAAAATTAGGTCTTCTGACTCCAAATCAGCAGTATTTCCACTCTGCTCTTAAAAGGAGTTCTGGGCCAGGCGCGGTGGCTAACACCTGTAATCCCAGCACTTTGGGAGGCCAAGGCGGGCGGATCACAAGATCAGGAGATCGAGACCATCCTGGCTAACACGGTGAAACCCCATCTCTACTAAAAATACAAAAACAAAATTAGCCGGGCATGGTGGCAGGTGCCTGTAGTCCCAGCTACTCCGGAGGCTGAGGCAGGAGAATGGTGTGAACCTGGAAGGCGGAGCTTGCAGTGAGCCAAGATCATGCAACTGCACTCCAGCCTGGGCGACAGAGCGAGATTCTGTCTCAAAAGAAAAAAAAAAAAAGGAGTTCTAGTCAACTTCAACAAGACACTGAAAAATGTTTGCAATGAAGGCTCAGTTGGCGATACAGCTCTACATGAACCTAAGATGTTTTCTCGAGAGCTATTGTCCATAGGTACAAGTACTACAGCAAGTCCCTCCATTCAGAGTTCAATTGGTGGGGTGGTAGTGATAATTTTCTGGCACCAGTAAGAAGTGTGGGCACTTAGAATAATAAAGATGCTGAGAGAGGATCCTTGAATGATTATAATTGTTCCAAGAAATCTGGAAATTTGGCAGATGAAGCAGAATTTTTTAAAAGGGAAATATGGAGGGTAGTTAATGACAGAGATTCATGATCCTAATCTCAGATTTGACCTTTATAAACTATGTACTTTTGGGCAAGCTAACTTGAACAAAGCCTCTGTTTCCTTATCTGCAAATGAGAATAATAACAATACCTATCATAGGGCTACCTTAATGATTAAATGAGTTGATTCATGCAAAGAACTTCAGACAGCTTTTGAGCACATAGTGCTCAGTTTATGTGACCTTATGAGGAAACGGACTGTTGCAAGAAAAAAATAGGTGACGAGACAACAATGAGGATTCACAATTCTTTCCTGCCTTCTAAAAAGGGAAAAGCCTGTTTCCTTTAGCTTGTTGCCAGTGTTGGGGTCTAGATTTGCTAGTGAGGACATAGGTGGAAAGATCACATAATTTATAGCTTTTGAGGGTAAAAGGGGGTAAAAATTCAAATTAGGTAACTCTGTGACATGTTTTTAAGTTACTATTTTATTTTATTGATAGATCTTTAAAACAGTTCAAAAAGTATTTTCAAAAATAAATTAATTTCCAAAAAATAAAAGTAACATATACTGTGTACATTAAAGCAATATTTAAAATTGCTTTATTTTGATTATCTGAATATTAAAATATAACCCAAGTAGAATAATTATTTTGGATACATGTTCACGCATTTTAATCTGTTTCTTAACTGTATCTGTCTCTAACACCATCAGTGAGATTTCTCAATGCATTTTTAATGTGGTCTTATTTTCATAAAATAACCTGTAGTCTTCTTCATAGGTGCATGTTATGATTTATAATTTTAAAATTGTTGACACTCTCAATGACTCTTTTCTGTACACCATACTATTCTTAATTGAGAAAATATTCTCTCTATAAGTGCTGAGTTACCTGGTAAACTCACAGTCAATTCTGCTAAATGGAAGATAGTCTTATGTCTAATATTTTAATCCAAATATGTAAGTCTTTCAGCCCAAATATTTTTACATGTATTGTCTTATTGTCTCCATTCAGAATACCTTTATTTAACAAATAGTTTTACAAGACAAAACTTGTCAAATAAATTATCTCAATTTATTATTGGTCACCTTAGACACTAAAAAATACTGCACTCTTAATTTGTTTTCTAATAATGAATATAAATTTCTCTAATTAAAAACGGAAGCTAAAAAATAGTCAGAAAGGAACTCCCTCCTAAGAGTCGATCCCCCTCCCGCTGGATAACTCTCATTGCCCCTCAGGTCTCAGCTTCACCATCTTCCCCTGACCCTGCCACCATGCATTTCCCTACTCTCAAACTACTTACAGCTCCTTGTTACGTGTTTCTACTCCAACCTGGTGATGTTCAGTTTAATGTTTTCTCCCACTAGATTCCACAAGGGTGGGGACCCCATCTGTCTTGTTCACGGCCATTTCCAGCACAATGCCTGACACATAGTAAGTCCTCAGTAAGTAATAACTGAATGACTGAATGAGCAACCCATTTTAAAGACAAATACATAATCAGATCAATCTGTAAGAATTTAATAAGATCCCATGAAATGTGATTTCAAACCATTTTTTTTCCTAATAGTAACTTCACATTGCAGAAACTTGGTAGGCCTATTTTGGCCTTATGATCAAAATTAATATCACCAATAATAAGACATACTGGTACCATGTACCCATTGGTGAGGTGTGCCCAGAAGACATCATCGCTTCAGTGGTATTCTTGCCAAAAATCCACAATCTCAATCTAATCATAAGAAAACACCAGACAAACCCAAACTGAGGGACATTCCACAAAATAACTAGTCTGGACTCTCCAAAAGTGTCAAGGTCATTAAAGACAAAGAAAACCTGAAGAAATGTCTCAGTGTGGAGAAGACGAAGGAGACATAATCACTACATGCAAAGTGGAATCCTGGATTGGATCCTGGACCAGTAAAACAACAGAGAGTAGTGGGAAAACTGCAGGAATTTGAATAATGTCTGCAAATTATTTAATAATAGTTTACCAATGCTGATTTGCTGGGTTTGGTAATAGTATTATGGTATGTGACATGTTATTGGGGAAGCTGAGTGAAAGGTAAATGGGAAATCTCTGTACTATGTTTGCAACTTTCCTCTAAGTTTACTTCAGAATAAAAAGTTAAATATTTTTCCTAGTTACTTGTTCAAAGACCAAAAACAAATGTTCTCCAAATAGCTACCTTAAACACCACATTTACAGTATTTCTCTTGCCAGGGTACGTTGCGCTGGTTCATAGCTCATTTATCAAGCCCATCCACTTCTGCCTGATCATCAAGGCCGCCTTCAACCTGTCCACCCATGGGAGCAGACCCTTACCACTCATCAGCACAGTGCCTCAGCATTCTCTTCTCCTTGTCTTTGCACTCTCCAGGTCTCCCAGTGCTGATGTCTTCCTCTCTGCTACTTCTGCCAAAGGTACAGTCCCTCTCCATCTTTAACATGGCTCAAGGGTCACCTCTAGAAGGCCCTCTGGAATTTGCCCTTCCCAGAGCTGATGATTCCTTCCCCTCTCATGTCCTGGAGCTTGAATGATTATGTGCTCCTATGCATGGCTCTGCTGTGGTGCTGTTAAATCTTCCTTTGCATGCATGATGTGATGCCCAGATCAGTTGTCAGGGAATCTTCTGATGCCCATGACCCCAAGGGTCTCTTCAGGCCCTAAAATTATAACATTTATTGTCTGTAATCAATAATTGATAAATGAGGACCATAATGGCCCAGAGAGGCTAAGTAACTTACACAAGGTCCTGCTGTATGTGAGTGGTAGGGCTGAGAACACCCAGCTCTCCTGAATGGCTGTGCAATGCTAAGCACATGTCTCAGGATGCTCTGGGTGAATGCCATGGGGCAGACCAGGCCCAGATGATGCAGGTTATTGCAGGTCTGGGCAATGTGTGTGGTCTTTAGCCTTAAAACAATGAGGCACCTTTGGCCGGGCGTGGTGGCTCACGCCTGTAATCCCAGCACTTTGGGAGGCTGAGGCGGGCAGATCATGAGGTCAGGAGATCGAGACCATCCTGGCTAACACAGTGAAACCCCGTCTCTACTAAAAAAACAAACAAAAAAAAAATTAGCCAGGCGTGGTGGCAGGCACCTGTAGTCCCAGCTACTTGGGAGGCTGAGGCAGGAAAATGGTGTGAACGTGGGAGGCGGAGCTTGCAGTGAGCCCAGATTGCACCACTGCACTCCAGCCTGGGCGATGAATGAGACTCTGTCTCAAAAAAAAAAAAAAAAAAAAAGAATTATAAGCCTAGTTATTATTGTCAGCTCTGATCATGTAACTGCCTTATTCAAAAACTTTCAGTGGCTTCCACCACCAACATAAACTCTAAAACACTTAGGCTAGCGTTCACACATCCCCTCTCCAATCTGTTTTGATTTACTTTTTCAAACTTATCTCTTATATTTCCCTTTAATGTTATGCAAATTCAAATCAAACAATATACTGCCCCAGCACTTAGCAAAGTGTCTGGAACTGAAACATTCAATGAAAGAACTTTGATTTTCCTCCGAAGTCTTGGCCTATGATATTCCCCTAACTAGAAACACCAGTGAACTCTTTTCTTCATCTTCTCATCTATATTTCCATCTCATTGCTTCCTTCTCCACAAAGTCTGTTTTTAAAAAATTTTTCTAGCTGGAAGAGTGGCAGAATGCCCCCTCCTCTAATGATTCACATGTCTCATATCCTCCCAAATACTTTTGTAAGGCAGAGTCAGTTCTGTTTTGCCTCTGTTGTAGGTGATGCTGTAGTGACCCATCCAGATCCCTTTTACTATGCCAGTACACCATGCCCCAGCTTCTCTGAGGGTTGACTGCAAAGGGCTCACAGATGCCTCCTCTGTCCTGAGAATAGACACTTGTCCCTGGAGGTGACACTCCATAATCCCAACCAAGGCAGTCCACAATGATTGACTGATATGAGATGCAAAAAGCTGGCCCCTTTGTCTCACTGGGGAACAACTCTTCGGCTGTTAATGCTCCCAAGCCCCCAGGGATTGGGCCATGGCTAGACTTCACCTGAATCTACATCCTTCCTTGTTTTCTCCCCCTACCTTGTTTTGCTTCACTCTCTCCCTTATAGGCTTTTCATTTTATTTTCTGGGTTTTTTTTAAATACACAACTGTTTATAGCAGCATTATTTATAATAGTCAAAAAATGGAAACAACCCAAATGGTCACAAACTAGCTAGCAGATAAACAGAAAGTGCTATAGTCACACAATGGAACACTACTAAGCAACAAAAAGGAATAAAATACTGATACGTACTACAATGTGGGTAAAACTTGAAAACACTTCACCAAGTAAAAGAAGCCATTCTCAAAAGACCACCTATTATATAATTCCATTCACAAAAGGCCACATACTATATGATTTCATTCCACTATAACATTTCACATTATATGAGATGGCCTGAATAGGGAAATCCATAGAGACAGAAAGCAGATTACTGGTTGCCTAGACCTGGTAGACAATGGGAGAGTAGCTAAGGAGTTGCAGGGCTCTTGGGGGTAATTAAATGTTCTAAAATTGATTGTGTTGACGGTTGCACCTTATGGGTTTTTATTGAAATGCATTCTCTCAATAAATTACTTTCACAAAAGTAATTCCCATTTTGGGTTCTGCTTCTAGTGAACCTGACCTAAAACATCTGTGACCCTACCAATACCTAGATAAAGATGGGAACTAAGAGTTACTAAATGTCTGCAATGTGTCATGCACATATGCATGATCTCATTTAATCTTCTTGCAACCCTGTGCAATAAGAACTATTATCCCTATTTTTCAGAGAGGGTAATTGAGGGTTAGAGTTAAATAGCACAGCCATGATTTTAACACACATCTGCTCTTTCTACCATACCTAGCTGCTTAGGGTAATCTACTAGGATGATCCCAACTATCAGAAGAACTGAATAATTGTAGAGCAAATGAATGAGCCATAGTTGTGCCATCTCAAGACCGATTGCATAGCTTAGAGTTGGTCATTGCTTTGACCAACTTGAAAGAAGAAATTAAAGCTGGTATCGTGGTTCCTGCAAATAATTACAGTCTCCATGGCAAATATAATGTGCTAAGCTGACCAAAGCAGTGTAATGAATTGAAGTCAGAAAGGAATCATATCTTACTGCCTTAAGTTTGATCATCTCTTGTAATTAACCCAATCTGTTTTGTTTCTGTACACATATTAAACAACCATCTTCAGCCTCCAGCAGCATTTTATAGTTTGTCCATTTCTTTATCTTCCACCTTTTCAACATGCCAGATGGTTTTTATTGCAGTGGGAGGAGAAGATTAAAACAGTTAGACAAACAAGTCCAAAGACCCTCTTGTTTCCATAACAGACTCTTGCAGTGTGGAGAAAACACAACTTTTTCTCATAGCAGACATGGAAAAGACAAAAATGTCCATAGACGCCTGGTCTTCTTCTGTGAGCATTGTCTCTTCTCATTATAACCCTTATTAAAAATAATGTAAAGTATGGTAACGACAAAAGAAAGAGAGTTGCTTTTTCTCTCTTTAAATAAAAAAGGAATGGACTTTAAAACTGGATTGCAGTTGATGATTTCACAACTCTAGAAATTCATCAAAAATCGTGAAACTATACATTTACAGTGTGAATTTTATGATACATAAAGCTACTTCAATAAAGCTGTAGAAAAGTAGTAACCTGTAAGGGTTGGGGAGAGGACAAATAGATGAAGCAAGTTTGATAGTGTATTGATCATTATTGAAGTTGGATGATGCATATTGGGGGTCCATTATACTATGCCTTCTACTTTTGTGAATATTAGAAATTTTCACAATAAAATACTTCTAAAAAGGAATAGAGTAGAACAAAGGGAGACTGCTGCTTTGGTGTTCCCCATTAAACCTTGCCAAGCAAGTGGTATTTTGCCACTGTTCCACACTGTCCCATATAGTGAGTAATTACAATGATAACTACAATCATAATGATAGCAGCCATTGATTGAGTTCTTACTGTGTGCCAGGCACTGTGCTAAGGACTTTTGCAAGTGTCATGTCTACATAGCCCTATGAAGTAGGCACTATTTTTACTCACATTTTACAGATGATAAAGCTGAGGTGCAGAAAGCATAAGAAACTTGTGTAAAGCCACTTGCCACTATGAAACCACATGGTAAGCGCTGTACTAGAGAGAGGGAAGTAATCAGTAGGCTCTGAAAGCGCAGGAGGAGGTGGCAGTTACTTCAGGCCAAGATAGCAGGGATGGGGGTGGGGGATTTTAGGAGGACGTTACAAAAGAGAGAGAAATTCAAGGTGGGTCTTGAGGAATGAGTAGAGGTTCATCTAGCAAGCAAGTGAAGAGAGGGTGGAAGATGATTTCAATCAGAGAGAACATCAAGAATGATGGCATGAGTGTTAGGAAGTGCAGAGCATGTTCAGGGCACCTCAGGACGTGAAAGGTGGGAAGTGGCTGAAATTAGAGAAGAACAGATGACAAAGACAGGAGTTGGGAGCCCATAATGATCTGAGGAGGCACCCAAACCAAGAGGGTCCAGGCCTGTGAGCCCAGGGCTGAGGCTGGAGAAGGTGGTAGAAATAACCCTCAGTGACCTCAGCCTGTTTTCTCTTTGAGGCAGTCCTGGCATATCCACTACATAAGGTTTTTCAAGAATGTTGGAACAAGAATGAGAACTGGTCCCCATGCAGCAAATGTTCAACCTCGTACCAGCCTGCTCAATTACATTGTTTGGCACATAGAGTCAGAAATAAATACCCAGCTGTAACAGAACAAAAACACAGGTATTTTGTCAAGTAAACAGCCTCACTTCACCTCATCTGAACTCACATTACATATTTCATTTTGTCCTGCTCACCAGAAATTGATCCAAGAATGTAGGAATTTACTGATAAGATGTCTCAGTTGAATGAAAGCTGAACTGCACACTCTTTTGTCCTCTTTATCACTTTTCTTTAGGACATGAGAGCCATTTCTTAAGGCCTGGGTATAAATCTATGCCCAAAGGGGTAAGAAAAATGTTGAAGGTCACAGAGTTCTGGCATAAAGTTTCAAAAATCAATATCCTAGCTCAGATTCTGGAATCTTAATATTATTTAAGCAGGAATTTATCACCTCCTTGAACTACACAGGAGCTCAACAGCTTAAATTAGAGATTCTCTTTTTTTTTTTTTTTTTTTGAGATGACGTCTCGCTCTGCCACCCAGGCTGGAGTGCAGTGGCACGATAGCTCACTGCAACCTCCACCTTCCAGGTTCAAGAGATTCTCCTGCCTCAGTCTCCCAAGTAGCTGGGACTACAGGTACACGTCACCATGCCCAGCTAATTTTTTGTATTTTTAGTTGAGATGGGGTTTCACCATGTTAGCCAAGATGGTCTTGATCTCCTGACATTGTGATCCACCTGCCTCGGCCTCCTAAAGTGCTGAGATTACAGGCGTGAGCCACCACGCCCAGCCCAAGATTCTCATAAAAACACTCAATGTATTTTTTACATGAGTTTGAAGAAAGAGAGTAGAAAATACTGTACATATTCAATCTATATAAGACAAAAAGCCATTATTAATACCTCTAAATAAACCACTTTGCCCTGCACACTCATAGTGAATTACACTCACCTAGTGACCTGGTTCTAAATTCCTTATTCCCAAGTGTTCGGTTGACAGTAAATGAACTCTACTAATTAACCCTGGTGCCTTGTCTGTGAGGAGATTTCAAATAAGTAGAGGAACTGAAATTTGCTTTGTGAGTGAATTCAGATCAGGCCACAGGAAGACACTTCCATTTCCACTGCTGTTGCTTTAAAAATCTTCAGGAGAAAAGGCAAGTGCCTGAGGCATCCATGTCTGAAGAAAGCCTGGGCAGCTCCTTAGGAGTGTGCAGAGGCTGTGCCCTTAGGCCTTTTCAAGCCAAGCCAACGTCTCCCTGTGTGAAATCCATCCAAAGGGGAGCCAGCATCCCCAAAGTCACCAAAGTGAGATCCTATCCCCAGGCGCTAGCATTTGTCCTCAACCAACTAGTTCACTGACCATGGGGTGAGAGCAAGATGTTCTCACTCCCCTCCCTCTTTACTGCTCCAATCTTACCCTGGCCTCTGAAATACCCTGTGGATCATTAATCATTTAGGCACTGGACATTATCCCCCGCACATTGAGGTGAAATGCCCAGGGAAATTCCAGTGGCAATGCTAGAAGTTTATCCAACCTCCATTTATAGGCACCCACGGCCAACAAATCTTGATTTAAGGCTACTCTTTCTAAGGGACATGCTCAGGACAGCATCTTAGAAGCTGTCTGTGTCTCTCAACTTGAGAGACCCCCTTTTCCCAATGGGTGCCCAGTAATGATGGAATTTAGATGGCTAGCTCTTGGGGTAGGGCATAGCAATTCTCCTGTTTGGAAAAAAAGTGGCCCCACACAGGTTACTCTATAGGCCACTGTGCAACAGGCCATTTTTTTTCTTAAAACAAAACAAACAAACAAACAAGAAAACTCAGCCCTAGTCATGATTAGGGGAAAGCCATTCTAATGAGACTCTTAGAATTTGAGAATTTAAAAGGCACTTTAGAGATTATATCATCTAAGCATGCCATCTTATAGATGAGGAAACTGAGGTTCAGCAAGTCCACATGACTTACCTCCAAATAATCTGGAACTGAACAGAAGTCTGCAGGTCCTAGTCCAGTCTTTGTGAGGTTCAAGGTAATATGCTATTAGAAGCAGAGCCATAGGGTTAACACAACCTTTTCCCAGAGCAATGTTTAGGTAGTAAAAAAATCATTAAAATGTCATTTTATACTAAAATATATATGATAATTTTTTAAATTAAAATATGTCTCTTTAAGGAAATTTCATAGTTGTGGTCATGTTTAGGGCTATGTTCCCAAACCATAAGCACTGGGGCTGCACTATCAATATGGTAGCCACTGGCCACACGTGGCTATTGAGCACCTGAAATATGGCCAGTAGAAACTGAGATATGCTGTAAGCATAAAATACACAACAGATTTCAAAGACTTAGTAGAGAAAAAGGAATAAAATATCTAAATAATTTTAGTATGGCTATGTGTTATTTTCCATAATTCATTTCAATAAAATGGACTATTAAAATTATCTTAACTGCTTCTTTTTCACAATTTTAATAGTGATACTAGTAAGTTGGAAATTACTTTTGTGACTCTCATTATAGTTCCATTGGACAATGGCTAAACTAGAGGATAGACATTAGGGCCATTCACTAGTTGGGCTATCTTCCTTCCAGGAACACAGTAGGATTGCATGTCCCTGTCCCCTTTGAAATTAGGTGTGGTCATATAATTTGCCTTGGCTAATGACATGTGAGTGGAAGAGGCATACTGCTTCTGGGCAGTGCATTTAGTTGCCAACGCACAACACTGCAATGCCCTCCAAGGAAATCACTGAAGCGAATGTAGAGACTGAACTGCTGTCACGCTGACTGTAAGCTGAGGTGCTGACCCACCTGAGATATGGAAAGTGAGCTCTTTTTAAAAATAAGCAATTGAAATTTGGGGATTATAAATTCCTTTAGCAATCTAACATACTGCCGGGAAAGCCTTCTGGTGTAAACGTGTGCAAAGAACTATGCCACAGCAGCATTTCCCAAACTTGCTTGACCACAGAACACTTTTGAAAGTGTAATTTATTGACAGGATATTAAGGAGAGCTCATGAGGTATAATGCATACTTCAATTATATTAATGAAGACAGAAAAAATAATCACACTGATCAGTTAGTTGAGTCAATGATCAACATTTAATTTGCATGTGTTATTTTTCATAGCACAATGCAAAAAAAAACATTTTTATGTTGAGAATAAACTATATCAAGATCATGTTTTACTTTTTAAAATAAGTTATGCTTCACCAAAATTTTTTCATGAGAATGATGTTTTCATGACTTTTTAGAAATCGTGAGCCTAATATTCGAAATAATGTTGATGATCAAAGACAGCATTTAGTCCATTCCTAAAGTTTATCTTTACTGTGTTATAATCTGAAAAAAATAATATTTCTTTCAAAGTGAAAAACAATATGATCAGTGTACTTTGAGGACTAGTGAAGCAGGCTTCTCCAAAATTCAATTGTTTCATCCTAAATAGCTCACTTCCTTTGTTTTTTAAGCAAATAAAGTCTGTGATTTTCATTTTCATTTTGAAGCACTCATTTTTTTCTTGTTTGAGATAGACACAGTTTGTGCAGTATCAAGACTGCCTTTTATTTGAAACTTTCAATATCAGATCCACAAGGTTCAAGTTTAGGTAGTACAAATATTTTTACATTCAATGAAAACTAAATATTATAAATTGATTTTTAATTAAAATATAATGTGCCACAACCTTTTAATGTGGATTTTCAGTATAATCACAAGTCATGCAACTATCACTACTAATTTCAGAATATTTGTATTACCCCCAAAAGAAATCCCATTCCCATTAGTAGTCACTCCCCATTTCCCTTCTCCAGCTTTTGGCAACCACTAATCTTTCTGTCTCTACGAGTTTGCCTTTTCTGGACATTTCTCATAAATGGATTTATGCAATAATTATGCATAATGAGTCATTTTGCCCTGCTTTATTTCATTTAGCTTGGTGTTTTCAAGGTTCATCCATGCTATAGCATGAATCAGTACTTCACTCCTTTTTATTGCTGTATAATATTCCATTGTATGGAGGATATACTATATTTTGTTTATCCGTTCATTAGTTGATGGTCATTTGGGTTGTTTCCATTTTTTGGCTATTAGGAAATATGCTGCCATGATAATATGTTAATATATACAAGCATTTGTGTGAAAATGTGTTTTCAATTTTGGGGTATTTAAGTAAAATTTTAAGACAAAAAATAAGTTTTAATGCAAAATACTTAGCACAGACTTAGATAAATGCTGTCCATGTAACAAAGTGCATATTAAACATCCTGCCTCTGTGTCAGGCATGATTTGACTTCCTGGGGAACAGGAAGAACTGGGGAATTTCCAGATGGCTTTTATCATCCCAGCTTGGTGCAGGCAGGAGCTTTCCCTTCAAGCCACCATCATCACCACCAGGTACGCATGCCCTTCCCTGCATTTCAGGGGGGCTTCTGAGCATCCTGACTGTTACCCACTCATGGTAAGATGTTCGTCACTTGTGCTGGATAATTGATGAGAATCGTGCTGACAAGGGTCTATTGGCAGTCCTCTCTGGACCGCTACTGGAAGCACAGAAGGCCCATACTTAACTTTTGTAAGCCTTTGGGGACTAGTATCACATTGTGCTAATTCTGCGGGAGCTTATGGTCTCTCGTTTGTATGCTGCAGCCCTTTCAAATGGTTCCTCTCAATTCTTTCTCATATACACCTTTGCATCCCATGAGTTCTACCTTTAACTACTTCTGTAATTTTCGACATATACCAGTTAAAGACTCAAATATGCCATCTTTATTTTCTTGTCTTCTGTGCCCCTATCTACCTGGTGGAGAGGGTGCCTGGATTAGGGGAAAGAAGAGGTGAAAGGTCCAAGTAAAGGAAATAATTCTGATATACAACTTTAGAGTGGGAGGAGGAATGTAAGAAGAGCACCAATTGCTAATTCTCAACATTATTCTACCACGGCCATGTTCTCAGTAATGTCATACCATTTTTAATGATAATTATCCCATGCGATTAAGAATAACTATAGGTTTGATATTTTTCTTAGATATTTAAGAAGAAAGAAATTCACCAGTATCAATTTTCTTCCACTGAATTGTATTAATACTTGGCACAGATTTAGCCCTCTGTGGAACCCAGCTTGAGAAGTGAAACACTAAAAGCATGTAGGCACAGAGCATCCCATTTGAGTTTAGTATCGAGTGCTCTCAATTAGTCCCAACGGAGGAGTCAGGATAGCTGGGCTTTGTTGCAGAAGCAAACAATCCCTACATCAAATTGGCTTATAATCACAAAGGTTTCTTTCTCACCTGGCCCATGTGGGTCTGCTGTAGCTCTGCTCTGCCTCCTCTTCACTCCACGACCTCAACTGACAGAGCAGCCCCCATATGGAGCATCCCCAGTCAGAGGAAAAAGAGCAGAGTACACCACACACTAGCTAGCTCTCTGCCTTGCCCAGAAGTGACTGACACACATCACTGTTTCTATATTTCACTGGCCAAAACAAATACTACAGTCAGTGTGGTGTCCAAGTTCATAGGCTAGAGATATTTAATCCTCTCATAAGGAGGAGTACTACAGTGAGGGGCACTCAATTTGAGTGGACAGTAAATAAGTCAGCTACAGGACCAGAACCAGCAAACCCCACAAATTCTTGGATCCCTGTATAGCAACCAAATCACCAAGTCATACTTTGTCTTCCTTTCAGTGAGTTCTTTTTTTGCGTCTTTTGAGTTTTTTTGCACTGGAACTACCTCTCCTGGTCAAGGCCATCTCATTCCACCCCATCAAGTGTCCCTAACTTTGAATCTCAGAGAGCAGGGATTGGAGTCTCAGAGTCTTCCCTCTGAGAAGACTCTAGGCTCCTTATAGAAATTGATCTCCTTCCTTTTTGGCAATGTGTACAGCATTCTGTTGGCTGCCCTTTCTACTCCCTGCTCAGAGGCAATGTCTGGGTAAGAGAGCCATCTGAGTAGCAGGTTACATAGCTAGCTCCAATCCCAAGCCAAATCACAGATGGCTCCAGATGTTTGAGCTGCCATGTTTTCATGTTTTCGCTGTTCATGATTTCCTCCATGCAGTGATATTGAGTAGTTACAGAATAAGTGACACACCTTTGATTATAAAACGATAGGATCTTAACTAGTGTCAGCAGAAGTGATATGTCTACAGCACCCATGAAGCTCTCAAACATGCATGCTTATGTTTATGTATTTATTCTAAATCTAAAACCTTTCACTTCTTTGACCGCTGTATCAGTTAACATCGCATTCATTTGCAAATGAAGAAGACTCCAAAAATGGTAGTTAAGGCAGGATGTTTTTTTCGTGGAACATGAAGTTCTAAGCTAAGCAGAGCTATTACAGAAAGAAGCTCAATGATGCTATCAAAGGCCCAGGCTCTTTCTCTTTTTCTGCTTCTCTATCTTTAATGTAATGATTTTCACATCCATGTTAGCCAGTTCATGGTCCTCCAGTGGCTGCTGCCCCTCCAAGCTTCACTACCATGTCCAAGAAGGAAAAGAGGAAGGGACCACGGGCAAGGGGCTTTCTCTTCAAGAGGCTCTGGCTTTTTATTCAGAAAGTGACACACTAGGGGCTCCCCCAAGGGCTTCTGCCTGTGTCTCATTTATATCAAGTGTGTCATTTGGTCCCCTAGATGTAACAAAGGCTAGAAAAATCAAACGTTCAGCTTTTACAGCCTCTGTAGTTGAGACGGGTGAGGGAGAAGGAGTTAGACATTGATTTTAGTTCAGCCAGCCTACGACGTCTTCCCCATCCCTCTTTCGAGGGCTTTTACCCAGTATCTCTTTGTCTTGTTTGTACACTCCCCACAATATTACCTACTTCAGTGCCCAAATTAAGCATTTACATTGACTTTCTTCTGAAACCACATGATTATCCTGTGGGAAGCGGTTAGTGTACCAAGCTTCCTTTCCCTCCTTCCTTGGTGAGCAGCCTAATGCCAGTTGGTTTCACCTAACTGTGTGTAAGCCATATTATTCTTTGGTGATCAAAATTATGCAATGAACTAGATGTCTTCTTTCTGTTATATTGGAGAGATGCCAGTCAGTATTAGCCTGAACTATCTAATTTTCACCACCCTTGTTTTTTTTATTCTGTTTCTGGTTCAAGCTCATATTTCCTCGGACTACTAATTTTTAAAATACTGATTGAACCTGATTACACTTAAATATTTTATTCTCAGTTGTACTCCTCACTATTTGACCTCCTAACATATACCAATATAGCCCATATGAAGGGCCTGCTTTTTTTTTTTTAGTGTTTAATTTTTGTGGGTATCTAGTAGGTGTTTATATTTATGGGGTATATTAGATATTTTGATTTAGGAATACAATGTATAACACTCATATCAGGGTAAACGGGTATCCATCACCTCAAGCATTTATCCTTTGTGTTACAAACAGCCTAATTATACTCTTAGTTGTTTTTAAATGTACAACTAAATTTTTATGGACTATAGCCACCATGTTGTGCTATCAAATATAGATTTTATTCATTCTAGTAATTTTTTTGTACCCACTTCTGCCAAAAAACCCTACTCCCCTTCTCAGCCTCTGGTAACCATCATTCTACTCTCTATCCCCCATGAGTTTAATTGTTTTAATTTTTTTAGCTCCCACAAATAAGTGAAAACATGTGAAGTTTGTCTTTCTGTGCCTGGATTATTTCACTTAACACAATGATCTCCAGTTCCATCCATGTTGTTGCAAATGACAGGATCTCATTCTTTTTATGGCTGAATACTAGTTCACGGTGTATATGTACCACATTTTCTTTTCTTTTTTCTTTTTTTGTTTTTTTTTTTTTTGTGTGAGATGGAGTCTCACTCTGTTGCCCAGGCTGGAGTACAGTGACACAATCTCAGCTCACTGCAACCTCCACCTCCTAGCTTCAAGAGATTCTCCTGCGTCAGCCTCCTGAGTAGCTGGGATTACAGGTGCATGCCACCATGCCCAGCTAAGTTTTGTATTTGTTTTTTTTTTTTTTTTAGTAGAGATGGGGTTTCACCATATTGGTCAGGCTGGTCTCAAACTCCTGACCTCGTGATCTGCCCACCTTGGCCTCCCAAAGTGCTGGGATTACAGGCATGAGCCACCACGCCCAGCTTCCCACATTTTCTTTATCCATTCACCTGCTGATGAAAACTTAGGTTGCTTCTAAATCGTGGCTATTGTGAATAGTGCTGCAATAAACATGGGAGTGCAGATATCTCTTTCATATAATGATTTCCTTTCTTTTGGGTATGTATCTGTCAGTGGGATTGCTGGATCAAATGGTAGCTCTATTTTTAGTTTTTTGAGGAACGTTCAAACTGTTCTTCATCATGATTGTACCAATTTACATTGCCATCAACAGCGTACGAGGGTTCCCTTTTCTCTACATTCTCACCAGCATTTCTTACTGCCTGTCTTTTGAATAAAAGCCATTTCAACTGGGATGAAGTGTATCTTGTTGTAGTTTTTATTTGCACTTCTCTGATGGTCAGTGATGTTGAGCATGTTTTCATATACCTAATTGCCATTTGTATATCTTCTTTTGAGAACTGTCTATTCAAATCTTTTACCGAATTTTCATTGGATTATTGGATTTTTCTTATACAGTTGTTTGAGAAGTTATTAATCCTCTGTCTGATTGAGAACTTGCAAATATTTTCTCCCATTCTGTGGATTGTCTCGTCACTTTGTTGATTTTTTTTTTCCTTTGCTGTGCAGAAGCTTTTTAACTTAATGTGATCCCATTTGTTCATTTTTGCTTTGCTTTGGTTGCCTGTGCTTGTAGAGTATTATTCAAGAAATATTTGCCCAGATCAATCTCTTGGAGAGTTTCCCCCAATGGTTTCTTGTAGTAATTTTATAGTCTGAAGTCTTGGATTTAAGTCTTTAATTGATTTTGATTTGATTTTATATATGGAGAGAGATAGGTGTCCAGTTTCAGTCTTCAGCATATGGTTATCCAGTTTTCCCAGCACCATTTATTGCAGAGACTTTCCTTTCACCAATATATATATTCTTGGCACCTTTGTCAAAAATGAGTTCACTGTAAATGTGTAGATTTGTTTCTGGGTTCTCTATTCTGTTCCATTGGTCTATGTGTCTGTTTTTATGCCAGTACCATGCTGTTTTGGTTACTATTGCTCTGTAGCATAATTTGAAGTCAGGTAATGTGATTCTTCCAGTTTTGTCCTTTTTGCTCAGGATAGTTTTGGCTATTGTGGGTCTTTTTGTGTTTCCATACAAATTTTAAGATTTCCTTTTCTATTTCTGTGAAGAATGTCATTGGTATTTTGATAGGGATTGCATCGAGTCTGTAGATTGCTTTGGGTAGTATGAACATTTTTAACAATATTGATTCTTCCAATCCATGAACATGTAATATCTTTCCATTTTTTGGTGTCCTCTTCAATTTTTATTTTATTTTATTTTATTATTTTTTTTGGAGACAGAATTTCACTCTTGTTGCGATCTCAGCTCACCGCAACTTTTGCCTCCTGGGTTCAAGCGATTCTCCTGCCTTAGCCTCCCAAGTAGCTGGGATTACAGGCATGCGCCACCACACCTGCCTAATTTTGTATTTTTAGTAGAGACAGGGTTTCTCCATGTTGGTCAGGCTGGTCTTAAACTCCCAGCCTCAGATTATCCGCCCGCCTCAGCCTCCCACAGTGCTGGGATTACAGGCGTGAGCCACCGCACCCAGCCCTCTTCAATTTCTTTTAACAATGTTTTATAGTTTTCATTATAGAGATCTTTCACTTCTTTGGTTAAATTTATTCCTAGGAGATTAATTTTATTTGTAGCTACTGTAAATAGGATTACTTTCTTGATTTCTTTTTTAGATTATTTGTTATTGGCATGTAGAAATGCTACTAATTCTTATATGTTGATTTTGTATCCTGCAAATTTATTGAATTTGTTGATCAGTTCTAATAGCTTTTTGGTCTTAGAGGCCAAAATGATATGACCAGATCATATGATCTTAAATTTGGAGCCTTAGGTTTTTCCAAATATACGATCATATCATTTGCAAACAAGGATAATTTGATGACTTCCTTTCCCATTTGGATGCCCTTTCCTCTTGTCTGATTGCTCTAGTTAAGATTTCCAGCACTATGTTAAATAACAGTGTTGAAAGTGGGCATCCTTGTCATGTTCCACATCTAAGAGAAAAGACTTTCAATTTTTCCCCATTCGGTATGATACTAGCTGTGGGTCTGTCATAGATGGCTTTTATTATCTTGGGTATCTCTAGATAAACAAGGAATACCATTTTAAGTAATTCTTCTCTAAATAAAAAAAATCTGTTTCAAAATAATTTGCTGTGTCTTTCTTGGTAGAATCTTCCAGTTACAGGTGTAATAAAAATTTACTTGTAAAAACACTACCACACTTTCAAAAGGAGATGGACAAATAAGAACCTAAAAATTTAAATAGTCTGTGTGCTGAAGCCAATAGTAAACAAAGATTAAAGGGAAAAGGCAAAAGCAAATATAATTATTGTGAAGGTACATATGACTAATATTATTCTTTGGGTTTAGTGAGATGCAGAAAATATGGAGAAAGAAGAAGTGGATTAATACTTCTGTCTCAAGCAAACTCTGCACACATATTTACATTTGACTGTTCAGTCTGTTCAATGTAAACAGGGTTATGTGCACTGTGCATGTCCTCACCTGATTTTTTTGCAGCATCATCATGCCCCTTCCAACAAACATAGTGATAGTAGTGTTGAGGATACCAAAGAAAGAATGTCTCAGGATGCCTATCTCTCCCATCTGCTGGTCTTCAAAGCAGGCCATGGCTTATGGCTGCTGTCCTCAGATCCTCTATCTACTTCTCAAGGAGAAAAGAAATCCTAGAAATAGAAAGGAGACAAAAGTGGGCACTTAATTTTGAGTTGAGAAACTCCAGAAGACTCAACATTGTAGCTAAACATGATTTCCAAAGAGTTTGCAAACACAAACTGAGCTTTTATTTCTGTCATCTTCTCTATTTCTTCCTCCCCAACAAAAATATATGGTAAAAAGTAGAAAAATAGATTTTGGAACTTATCTTCCCAGAAAAAACACCTAAAATAGATAATATTCTCTACAGAGATCTTGAAGACAAAACAGATATGGAATCATGGTGCAACTCCAGCTGCAGGTGAGATGAGGGAACACTTAGGCCATGAATGTAACTCTGCCCATCCCAAATGACACATTCAGTCTTCTAAATTTGCCAAACCATGCCCAAGATTTATCTGTAGGTCAAATTCATAAGAACATTTAAAAAATGGCATTCATGACCAAAACAGTGGTTTAACTAGCCAATTAGCTAATTATTTTGTCTCTGACAATATGCAGGATTTTTCTGGGGAAGTCTAATTAAGCTACATGACCTCAATCTCAGATACTAAGAATATGTAACTAGTATTTCCATTTTTCTTTATTAATCTATTTATCATAAACTTACCCATAATGCATTCAAAGCAGCTTCGAACCACTACCAATAGGTAATGTATTGTGTAGTTACTGATACATATATTCATCTTGTTACAATAATTTCGGTTAATATGATCTGTATCTACCATCAGAGAAGTAAGATTTGAAAACCAGAGTGATAAAATTGTACTCAAGTGCTTAGGGTAAGAACTGTCGGCAATATTGGGCAATTTCGTTATATTAAGAGTTTTCTGAATGCAGGTAAGATTAGATAGAAGAATTTATTCTCCCATGTATTCCTGTCAGGATAACTTCTGAAATTTATGTAAAGTAAGAGTTGTGAATCATAGACCTTTAAAATTATTACTGGATTTATGTACATACAATCAGAGCTTCAAGGAACCTTCTGAAACATCTAGTGCACCCCCTTCTTTTAAAGAAAAGGACACCAAAATCAGGAGTACAGACTTCCTTAAGCCTGCACAATAGACTAGTAGAAAAGCTAGAACAGGTAGCATTTTTTTGTTTTTTTAACTTTTAATCAAACACGCTTTTTCCATCAACATTAAGTTAGAAACTCAAGCTCAAGAATGTATTCTTGCAACATAAGGATGGAATAATTAAAATTTATCAAGGAAGAGACTTCTATTAATAACCATATTCCTTCCCTTTCTCCTGCAGTAAAGGAATCCCCATTCTAGCTGGGCATATGGCTACCATTATGCAACCTGCAGATCTGCAGACTGTCCAGGGCCTATGTGGGGCCCACACAAGGCCCAAGCCAGGCTGCTCTCCCAGGGGCCACCAGAACAGAGATTAGGCAGAGCCGGCCACCCTGCAGCCACAACCAGTGAGAGCCCAGCATGGAGCAGAGGCTCTTCCTCCACCGCCTTAAGGTCTTATAAAATGCCCATCTACCAGCTGCCATTTTTGAGAGAATCTGAGGAAAGAGGCTTTATTCTGAAACTGAGACACAGGGACTAAATTACCCCAAAGGGATGACCCCAGCAGAGCCTGTAATATTACCTACAGGCCAGATTAGAGCTTGCCTCCCTCCCATCTCCACCCTCCCCTAACGCCCCATGGGGGCTGTCAATGAAAGTTAAATATCAGGAAGCTGCCTTTTGCTCACACATCCAAATGTAGCATGGGTGAATATTCGACCCTGGCAACTCTTATAAAATCAACGGCAGTGGCTTTTTAAAGATGACAAATCTGTGTATCTGCTACCAATCCTGTGATAGGAAGGTGTGATACTTACATAACATCAGGTCTTGCAGCACTTTGCTAAAACAACGGTGTTTCCTTATGGAGTATAAGAGTATATATATATATATATATTTTCTAATGTGAATTCATGAGTGGCGATTGTTTCTGCTTGGAATCAAAACAAAACAAAAAAATGTATTTCCTTTTTTGTTATTTTGGATATATCTGTGGTCCAGGTGCAACATCTGGAACTTGTTGAATCTGGCTCTTTTTACAAACAAAAATATCTCTAATATTAATTTTGTTTTGTAAAGAGATGGATATTTACTTAAACTGAGGCTGATTGATACAAAATGTTCAGTGTTAGAAAAAAACAAATTTGTCTAATTTGTGACTTGAAACAAAAGCTTTGGTGATATTGGATTCTGGGGGAATTTTGTTTTTACTGGTCAGACTTTGCACAAATGCCCATTAAGCATTTGAATGAGCTATTAACAGAATAGCATTTCTTTTAAACAGTGAACAGAAATATCAAGAAAACTCAAATGATTTTAGACTTAAAACATAGCCAAGGAGTCTTTTGTTCATTTTTAAATCATGTTTTAAATTAAATAAGAATTTTTGAAGTTCTTTAAGAGAAGACTTGTAATTTGCTAGTATATGTGCTTAAAATTGTGTTAAACTTTCCTACAAGATTAATATTATTCTAAAGTAAGAAGAAGTCAAAGTTTAATTTGTATAATATTCAATTAAGACCAAAGTTGGTGTCTCTAATATTAAAGTTAATTTGTAGCCTACTCATAAACAAAATAAGAAAATTTAAAAACATGTACTAAATGGCCAACTGTCTTTTCTTGATTGCCTCTTTTGAAATTAACGTATTTTTTTTACAGATTCTGAAAGTAATTCATGTCATGTGTAGAAATTTGAAATTTAGATTAGTATTATGAAGATAGACCCATAGACAGGACCTATAAATCCTAACACTAACAGATCACACAACCACTGTTTGTATTTTGGAATATATTTCTTTATTCTTTTGTCAATTTGGAATATATTTCTTTATTCTTTTATCAATTTTAAAATACTTTAAATTTATCAAACCAACAATCTGGAATTGCATTTTGCTAATCTGACAGATAACATATCATCATGTTTCTCTTTTTATCTGCTTCTGGAACAGCTTAAAATATTAACTAAAAAGGATTGCAACTGCAGCCAGGCGCGGTGGCTCACGCCGATAATCCCAGCACTTTAGGAGGCCGAGGCAGGCAGATCACTTGAGCTCGGGAGTTCAAGGACAGCCTGGGAAACATGGCAAAATGCCATCTCTACAAAAAATACAAAAAATTAGCCCCGGGCGTGGTGGCATATGTCTGTAGTCCCAGCTACTCAGTGGGCTGAGGTGGGAGGATTGCTTGAGCCCAGGAGGTGGAGGTTGCAGTGAGCTGAGATCACGCGACTGCACTCCAGCCTGGGCAACAGAGTGAAATCCTTTCCCAAAAAAAAGGGGGGTGGCAATCAATCAATCAACAAATAGTAAGGGATCTCAATATACCTTGTTGTTAATACTGTTTTAAGAACTATGAGAAATAACATATGATTGATTTATGCCTTAAACAATTTATAGGTTGTGCGCAAGATGAGACAAACATGAATGAAACAATTAAAAAACAAAATAGGATAGTAAATATTATACCAGCTGTTATTTTAGTGATCATTAACAGAGACCATATACGTGAGTCTGTGATTTAATCAGGGTTAATCTAATTTCGAGAAACAAAACCCTACTAAATGGAGCCTTTATTGGAATGTATCATAGAATGTAAAGTTTTAAAGTTTGGTTATACCACCAACGCACCAAAATCAGGAACTATTGATTCTTGGGCTCTTAATTAAAATCCTAATGAAAGAGAATCTGATTGATTCAGCTTGGGTTAATGTTTATTCCCATCTAATCAGTTGTGGTCAGTAGAAAGAGGTCATGTGGCATCCTGAGTTACCCAAAGAGTAACAGGATTGGTGCCTATGTTATAGCCATTCCCTCTTCTCCTTTGATAATAGAACACCACTTCTGGCAGGAATGTACCCAATCCCAGGAGATGAATCATAGCTGGTCCAAGTCAATTATGATAAGTGCAATTTCCTTCTGCCAGATATGTACTTACTCAGAATCCCTCCAAGCTTGGACACATCACATATTTCTGGCCAATGAGACATAAAAGAAAGCCAAGGGAAGGTTTTCTTCCAAAATAGTAAGTTGTAGGAAAAGAGTTCCTTCCTTCCATACTCTTGACTCTGCTGCATGAATGTAAGTCATGCTTTGTGGTACTAACTGATTCCCAGAGATGGCAATTCAGAGCCATGTATCATTGAGCCTCGACACCAGCACTAAATTAACATGAAGTATCATGTTAATTTAGTTTTTTTTTTAGTCAGTATTATTTGATTACTTTTAGTTAGGCATTCTGTTACTTAGATCCAAAAAGCATCTAAACTGGTAGGTATCTCTTCTGGGGCTCTAGCAGGCATAGATTCTTTCAGAAGGAGATATGAAGACAAGAAGGAAATTGTTGACACTTCTGGTGTAGTTCTTCCTGTGGCAGGCATGATGTTAAGTACCATATACCTATCTTTCCAGCTATCCTATCTTTTACCTAAGAAGTAAAGGTATCCTTACCTCTAAGGTGAAATCAATATTGTCCCCACTTTACAGATGAGAAAATGGAGCTTCAGAGAGGGTGAGTACATTGCCCAGTGTCATTAAGTGCAGTGCTAGGGACAATGCTAACCCAACGCAAATCCAAACACTTTTCCCACTTTCATACGTATTGCCATCCAAAATGGCACATTACATACTGTGGATACTGAAATGGCTACCAGAGGGGAAGATAAACTGGACAAGACAGAAAATTTCACAAAGAAGGGAAAACTTGACTGGACTTTCAATAAGAGGTAGAATTCAGAGAATAAAAGCAAAGCAGGAAGGACATTTTAAATGGAAAGAACACAGAAGGCTGTATGAGAAGGCAATGCTGGTTAGACTGATGAGGGCTAGATAGGATGGGGTCATATATTGAAGGGTTGTAAGAGCCAGCTTAAACTTAAAGCTTATATTCAATATAATAAAATTGGTACTAGGGAACCCTGGAAGGTTTCTGAGCAGAGCAGAAAAGCAATATATTGACAGTAGTGTTTGATAGAGTTTTAAGGTGGCATGAATACCGGTAATACAGGTATTGGAATATTCCAAAATAAAAAGAACATGACCTGGTTTTCTTTTAACCAAGGATATGTGTTATTGTCTAAAAGAAAGTGGTGAAATGGAAAGGAAGATTTGTTAGAGAATCCATTTAAAGAACTTGTTGGCCTGGCATGATGGCTTATGCCTGTAATCCTAACACTTTGGGATGCAAAGGTTGAGGACTGCTTGAGACCAGGAGTTCAAGACCAACCTGAGCAACACAGTAAGATCCCATATTAGTCCATTTTCATACTGCTATAAAGAACCGGCCAAGACTGGGTAATTTATAAAGGAAAGACGTTTAATTGACTCATGGATCAGCATGGCTGGAGAGGCCTCAGGAAACTTACAATTATGGCAGAAGGCAAAGGGGAAGCAAGGCACCTTCTTCACAAGGTAGCAGAAAGGAGAAGTGCCAAGTGAAAGGGGAAGAGTCCCTTATAAAACCATCAGATCTCATGAGAACCCACTGACTATTATGAGAACAGCATGGGGAAACTGCCCCCCATGTTTCAATCACCTCCACCTGGTCTCTCCCTTGACACATGGGGATTATGGGGATTACAATTCAAGATGAGATTTGGATGGAGACACAAAGCCTAACCATATCATTCCGTCCCTGGCTCCTTCCAAATCTCATGTCCTTTTCACATTTCAAAACTAATCATGCCTTCCCAACAGTCCCCCAAAGTCTTAATTCATTCCAGCATTTAACCCAAAAGTCCAAGTTCAAAGTTGCATCTGAGACAAGGCAAGTCTCGCCTATGAGCCTGTAAAATCAAAAGCAAGTTAGTTACTTCCTAGATACAATGGGGGTACAAGCATTGAGTAAATACATCAATTCCAAATGGGAGAAATTGGCCAAAATGAAGATGCAGCAGACCCCATGCAAGTCTGAAGTCTGCAGGGCAGTCAAATCTTAAGCTCTGAAGTGATCTCCTTTGATTCCATGTCTCATATCTAGATCATGCTGATGCAAGAGATGGGTTCCCATGGCCTTGGGCAGCTCTGCCCCTATGACTTTGCAGGGTACAACCCCTCTCCTGGCTGCTTACACAGGCTGGCATTGAGTGTCTTTTCCAGGAACACAGTGCAAGCTGTCGGTGGATCTACCATTCTGGGGTCTGGAGGACAGTGGCTCTCTTCTCACACCTCTACTAGGCAGTGCTCCAGTGGGGACTATGTAGGGGCTTCAACCCCACATTTCTCTTCTGCACTGCCCTGGCAGAGGTTCTCCACGAGAGCTCCACCCCTGCAGCAAACTTCCTCCTGGGCATCCAGGCATTTCCATACATCCTCTGAAATCTAGGCAGAGGTTCCCAAACCTCAGTTCTCGACTTCTGTGTACCCACAGGCTCAATACCACGTGTTGCTTGTGGCTGGCACCCTCTGAAGCAATAGCCTGAACTCTATGTTATCCCCTTTTAGCCATGGCTGGAACGCAGGGCACCAAGTCCCAAGACTGCCCAAAGCAGCTAGGCCCTGGGCCCAGCCCACAAAAACATTTTTTCCTCCTAGGGCTCCAGGCCTGTAATGGGAGGTGCTGCTATGAAGTTCTCTGACATGCCCTGGAAACATCTTCTCCACTGTCTTGGCAATTAACATTTGGCTTCTTGTTACTTATGCAAATTTCTGCAGCTGGCTTAAATTTCTCTTCAGAAAATGGGTTTTTCTTTTCTATCGCATCATGAGGTTACACATTTTCCAAACTTTTACACTCCACTTCCCTTTTAAACATAAGTTCCAATTCCAAACCATCTCTTTATGAATGCATAAAACTGAATGCTTTTAGGAGCATCCAAGTCAATTCTTGAACACATTGCTGCTGAGAAATTTCTGCCACTAGATACCCTATATCATCTCCTTCGAGATCAAAGTTCCACAGATCTCTAGGACAGGGGAAAAATGAATGCTGCCAGTCTCTTCGCTAAAGTATAGCAATAGTCACCTTTATTCTGGTTCCCAACAAGTTCCTCATCTCCATCTGAGACCACTTCAGCCTGGACTTCATTGTCCATATCACTATCGGCATTTTGGTCAAAGGCATTCAACAAGTCTCTAGGAAGTTCCAAACTTTCCCACATTTCCCTGTCTTCTCTGAGCCCTCCAAACTGTTCTAACCTCTGCCTGTTACCCAGTTCCAAAGTTGCTTCCACATTTTTGGGTATCTTTATAGCAGAACCCCACCCTCTGCAGTACCAACTTACTGTATTAGTCCATTTTCATACTACTATAAAGAACTGCCTAAGACTGGGTAATTTATAAAGCAAAGAGGTCTAATTGACTCACAGTTTAGCATGGCTGGAGAGGCCTCAGGAAACTTACAATCATGGTGGCAGGTGAAGGGGAGGCAAGGCACCTTCTTCACAAGGCAGCAGGAAAAAGTGCCAAGTGAAGGTGGAATAATCCCTTATAAAACCATCAGATCTTATGAGAAGTCACTACCATGAGAATGTCATGGGGGAAACTGTCCCCTGTGATTCAATTACCTCCACCTGGTCTCTCCCTTGACATGCAGGGTTATGGGGATTACAACTCAAGATGAGATTTGGGTGAGGACACAAAGCCTAACCATATTAGACCCCATCTCTACAAAAAATACAAAAACAAAATTAACTGGACATGGTGGCATGCACCCATAGGTCCTATCTACTTGGGAGGCTGAGGTGGGAGGATCCCTTGAGCCCAGGAATTTGAGACTATAGTGAGCTATGACAACATCACTGTACTCCAGCCCAGGTGACAGAACAAGACCCATCTCTTTAAAACAAAACAAAATAAAACTTGTTGACTGACTAGATATGGGAAATAACAAAAAAAGTTTCCCTCAACTTCCTTCCTTTTTTTTAAAAAAAGTATGTATATTATCTCTGTGTCTGGTCTTTCTTTATTCCATGATTTTCCTTTGACTGTATTCTCTTCTTTAGTCCTTTCACTTCCTCGTACTTGCTCATGCTGGCTGAAATGCTAGCTGCAGGTACACAAAGTTTTTGCCAAAAAAGTTTTGAAATTGTGGACTTTTTTTTAGTCAATTCCACATAAAACACAGGAAAAAAATCCTTCATGGGAAAAAACAAACATTTCAGCTTCTCCTTTTTATGGTGATCAGAGATTAATTTAGTTTAGTTTCGCATTAATCAAGTTGTTGTCAGAACCTTTCCTGCTAATCTGTAAATGCTGGGCTTTTCAATGTTGTATTTACTCACGTGATGTCTCACTTCTTTTCTCTACAGATATTCTCAATCTAAATTAAGGGAATCAGGGCAAGAAGAGAAATTTAACAGTTGTTAGACCACAACAAAATGTTGCCCTCAGCAAAGTGCTTTGAGATTGTCACATTGCCTAAAAAATGCAATATTTAGGAAAGTTTTTTAGAAATCACACCAAACAGTTCTCCTTTTCTTTGGCAATTCCTTGAGCTCCTTAAAAAAATGTTTGAAAGTACAGAGCTAACTGACTTGAGTAACAGCTCTCATCTGATTTTTTAGGAAGAGGTCCAGTGAAGTTGATGGGTTCAAAGACATTGAAAGGTTCAGTGGTTGATGTTTACACCAGAAATTTCCCTCCCTCTCTGATTCATGGCTTAAATCACTCCAGTTTAGGGAAAGAAATTCTTGGAAATTGATGTAACTCTCGTTCATTACACTGGACTGGAACACTTCAAAGAGGCACCAATACCACTGCACCTTTTCCTGAGGGACTGAGGAGGAAAATAAAGAGGGAAGCTGGCCGGCCGTGGTGGTTAACACCTGTAATCCCGGCATTTTGGGAGGCCAAAGTGGGTGGATCCCCTGAGGTCAGGGGTTCGAGACCAGCCTAACCAATATGGTGAAAACCCGTCTCTCCTACTAAAATTACAAAAATTAGCTGCACATGGTGACATGCACCTGTAGTCCCAGCTACTCGGGAGGCTGAGGCAGGAGAATCACTTGAATCCAGGAGGCAGAGGTTACAGTGAGCTGAGATCACGCCACTGCACACCAGCCTGGGCGACAAAGCCAGACTCCGTCTCAAAAAAAAAAAAAAAAGAGGGAAGCCAGATTCCCACAAAACAATATGAAAAAGACAAGCAACTCAAAGGGAAATTGGCCAGAGACTATAAACAGGTCATTCAATGATGAGGAACCTGAACAGTCAACAAACAGTAGAAAAAAATTTAACTCCATGAGCAATCAGGGAAATGCAAAGTAAAATGAAAACGAGATGCCATTTCTTGACCATCAGGTAGGCAAATTAAAGAGTGGTGATATCAATATTGGAAAGTGAATAGATAAATGAAGACTAACTCACTGATGGTGGAGTGTAAATGGGTATACATTGGCACAACACTTTAAAGGGCAATTTTGTGATATCTATTAAAATTTGAAATGTGCATATCTATGAACTGGCAGATATACTTCTTGGTGTTCACCCCAGAAAAAAAAATACTCATGTGTCTCCAATGAGACAGTTTCATTGTATATTATTTATAACCATGACAAAGTACAAAAGACCTAAACATCAATTGACCAGGGAATGGCTAATAACTGTGGCGTATCCATATTATGTAAAATTATGCCAAAGTTAAAAGGAATTAGGTAGATCTATATGCTGACATTAGAAATTTCTGAGTAACTGGGTGTGATGGTACACCCCATTAGTCCCAGCTACTCAGAGGCTGAGGTGGGAGGATCACTTGAACCCAGAGGTTCCAGGCCAGCCTGGGCAACATAGCAAGACTCCATTTCTAAAAAAGAAAAAAAATATATCTACCTAGTAATGTAGATATTTCTGAGTCATATTGTTGGAGAAAAAAAATCAAGTTACATACATTTTAACAGCATTTTTGTTCAAGAACATATACCCCAAAATAATATATATTCCCTCTATATACCCTTTAAGTATAAATATATAGTGTAAGCATATATTTTCTATAAGTTATATATAACATTTTTATATGAATATAATTTCTCTATTACAAGTATAATAAAAATACCACATATTTTATGTATCAATATGTTCTATAAGTTCAAATAGCAAATGTTCTATGTAAGTGTTAAAAGAAAACACCTAGAAAAACATCTGAAAGGATTTACACCAAACTACCAATCTCTGGGGATGGATCTGGGATGTAGAGCTGGTGGTCAAAAGGTAACTTAAGCCTACCTTAATGTTTTTAATTTTTTAAAGAAAGGGACACATATTATGTATTACCATATTGTCAAAAAAGGATAGGAAACAAAAAATTAACATAGAAAGAATAAAACTATGGAAATGGAGGTGAGAGTGATTAGGGATGAGGAAAGGAAAAAGAGTGAGTTCTACCAGCTTTTTCTCTCTGCTTCTTCCACAAGTGTTCAACAGCTTCTACCTCTCTGATTTGCAAGGGTTCGCTCAGCAGTGATGCCTCTTGATGCAGAAAAAGCAGTTTCAAAGCAACTGGGAGAAGTATGTGTGTGAGTAGGGAGTCAGTGGTGTAGAGATAAGATTGATTCCAACATTTGAAAAAAGTACTGAAAGATTTGTTAACAAGCAAAATTCAGAAGGAAATGTGGAAATTTTATTTTTGTTAAGCAGATAGGCTCCTCAAGGGCCAATTGTTTTGGAGCAATTCATTAGTGTAGGTTGGTGTCTTATCTGTTCAGGCTGCTATAATAAAAGCAATATTCCACAAAACACTAGTACACGAACATGATTCATCCAAGTTCGTTGCTACTTTATAACAAGGATTGCCTTTCCTCTAGTTTCCAATAACATGTCCCTCACATCACAATGGCTTTTACTGTCCATATTTCTACCAAGTCTGTTCACAACTACTTAGGCACTCTCTAAGAAGAGTCAAGCTTTCTCTACAGCTCTCCTTTTCTCCTTCCAAGCCCCCATCAAAACCAGCCCTTTATGGCCTGGTCTGTTCATAGCAATGTAGGATTTTTCTATGATACATGTCAAAACTCTTCCAGCCTCTACCCATTACCCAGTTCCAAAGCTGATTCCATAGTTTTAGGCATTTATTATAGCAGCACCCGTCTCCCGGTACCACCTTTCTTAATCTGTTCAGGGTCTTACAATAAAAATATCTTAAACTGGGTGGCTTATAAACAACAGAAATTTGTATCTCACAGTTCTGGAGACCGGCAAGTCCAAGATCAGGGTGTCAGCATGGTGAGGTTCTGGTGAGGACCCTTTTCTGGGGTGCAGGCTGCCAACTTCTTGCTGTATTCTTACATGGTAGAAGGAGTGACTAAGCTCCCTCAGTCCTCTTTTATAAGGGCATCAATCCCATTCATGAAAGCTCTGCCCTCATGACCTAATCATCTCCCAAAGGCTCCACTTCCTAATACCATCACCTCAGGGACTAGGGTTTCAACATATGAATAGGTGAGGAGGGCAAACATTCAGACCATAGTGTTATTTGGGGTTTTGCTTCTTTGTTTAGCTACTCTCATGGGAACAAGAGATTTAATACATAACTTTGTCCCATTATATTAGCCCTTTCTTCCTCCATGTAGTTTGCTAATATAGCATAATGGTTGAGAACTCAGACTTTAAAGTCTGACTGGGTTTAAATTCAGCTCTGATACTTACCAACTATCATCTCAGGCAAGTTATACAACCTCTGTGCACCTCTGCTTCCTTCTCTGTAAAATTGGGATAATAATAGCACCTACTATTGTTAGGAGGATTAGATGAACTACTAGTAGAAGTAAGATAATTAGAATAATGCCTGGTACATAGTATGTACCGTATTAGTATCAGTGCCTAGTGTCAATATTATTACTTTTAACAAGTCAATCATTTTTCAGTTAAATATTTAGGCAAGTATCATGAGGCCATCGTGAAGATTATGTCAGTTTGCTTCAGACCAACCCCAAAATTCAGACGACCTGCTTAGGAGATTTAAGTTTTGAGTGAATAAACTATTATTGCAGGTACCAGGGTTAAAGGTGAATAAGCAGGGCTTAAGCAACATTGCTCAGTTGATAGATGTCTCTGCAAGTATTCACAAGTGTACATGAGATGTGTGTTGCTATGCTGGACCACATGAATGCAGGCCCAATAAAAGACAAGGCACCATACCTTGAGATTTAAATGGAATTGGTTTAAACATCTGCTTACATGCAATGGAAATAGCACATATTTCTTTCTATCTTGCTGGGAATACTGAGCTTATGATTTTTGCTTTTCCAGGTCACTTTTGGCTGTAAGCTACTGTTCCTGCTGAATTATTTCATCTGTGGGTCATCTTGCTGTAGATCAGCATGCTATCCCTGTCCCATGTTGCAATGGAGAGTGTCCTTGAGACTCCTCGCAAAACACCACTGACATAAGGCATTTGTGTGTGTACTGGAAGCTTACTAAAGGTTGGACACAATAGCAGGACATTGCTACATAATCACAGCAAAGAGTCATAAATCTTTTAGCTGTTAACCTTCTTTTTAAAAGCAGTTTGGCTGACCTCACTCATCACCTAATGTAGTCCAGAAGCTTTGTTGTAAGCAATAGTCACAGAAGTTTTGGCTGGTTTAAGCAGGAAAAGAACTTATTAAAATTTATTGGGTAACTAGCTCACAGAATCTCAAAATGAACCAAAGGGTCAGGTTGTCTCCAGGAATGACACACGAAATCATGCTGCAGAACTTGTCCAGTGAAGAAACCTCAGCTGGCACTGAGTACACCATGGTTTGCACAACTGACAGTAGCAGTCATTGCAGCTCTAACCTATACCATGGCTGCTGCTGCTGTTGATACTCTTCTCCAGAAAGTATTCTCTGCAGTCCCTTCATTATGGCATCATTAGTCCCCTATTCAAAATTTAGGATGGCTGCATCTCATTGATGTTGTGTAGGTCACCTGCCCAAGCTGTTAGCTGCAAGAAAGGCTGAGAAAGTAGACTCTTAATTTGTAAGGTGAAGGATTCTCAAATCCAGGGAGGTAAGTTGTTTATGACAAGTGCTCTCTATGGCAATGTTTCTTCACCTTCAGTGTGCACATGAGCCATTTGGAGATCTTGTTAAAATGCAGATTCTGATTCAGTAGGTTTAGGGTGGGGCCTGAGATTCTACAGCACTCACGTGATGTGAAGCTGCTGATCTGAGGATCACACTTTGAGTAGCAAGGCTCTATAGCACCGATTTTCAAATATGGCTGCATACTGGAGTAACTAGAGAAACATTTATATATATATATATATATATATATATACACACACACACACACACACACTGACTTATGAGCCTTGCCCTCAGCTGATTTAATTGGTTTGGGGCGAGGCATGGGCATATAAATTTTTTAAAGTTCCCCACATGATTCTAATGTACTCAGATACCTTTCACTGCAGGCTCCAACTTTTTGTCACTTTGCAAGGTTATTTTTTATTTTTTTGAGACAGAGTCTCACTGTGTCACCCAGGCTGGAATGCAGTGGGGTGATCTTGGCTCACTACAACCTCCACCTCCCACGCTCAAATGATCCTCCCACCTCAGCCTCCTGAGAAGCAGGGACCACAGGTGCACACTGCCACACCCAGCTAATTTTTTGTATTTTTGGTAGAGACGGGGTTTCACCACATTGCCCAGACTGGTCTCAAACTCCTGAACTCAAGTGATCCATCGGCCTCAGCCTCCCAAAGTGTGGGGATTACAAGCATGAGCTAACATGCTGACCTGCAAGGTTACTTCTTTTCTCCAGCTTCTAGGACCTCCAATTTCCCTGTCTTGCTTGGTTTCTCCCCTTGTAATATGATTACTCTCATTTATTAGGCAGAACAATTTGAAACTCTACTCTTTAGTCCCTTGGGCCTAAGTTTGCATATCTAAAGCTCTATAGAGTTCTGCTAATCCAGTGTTTCCCAAAACTATGTTACTCGCTGCCCTGGGAGTATGTGGTATGAAGTGATGCATAAACAAACATTGTTTTAAATTCTAATCATTCTGTATTTATTTTAATGTCATTGTTAAAAAAATGTAGCTAAAACAGTAAGTCTGATCTTGCAAATATTGTTGTTTAGGACAAGAAGTTAATTTTTAAAACAGGTAAATAATAATAGAGACTCAGGACAGATATAACAAAAATCTTGAAAATGATTTGCAGAAGTGAAGTTCAAGTGCCTATACAAACATAGCCTTCTTTCCAAAGCCGTAGGCTTTAGGAGCACAGAAGAACTGGCAGAGGTGTTCAAAGACACCAGCGTTTTTTTCTTCTCCCCCCATATAGGAAGCAATATAGAGATTTATTTCTGAACTGATACGAATTATGCCACTAATCTTAACACATTGAAATGGATACAGTCAGTTTTGATCTTAGATAAAATTCTTTCTATTAAGCGATTTCAAGAAAACAGCACCAACCTTTGAAAAATTCATGATCTAAAGAAAAGTAAATTATAAGAATAACTTATGAAATATAAAATACAAATAATGTTTAATCCCTTAACCAGCTAATCTTTAACAAGAAAACGGGTGAAACTGTTCAGAATTATTAAGAGCTAATACACAAATCCAGAAAGTCTTAAAACTCCTAAGCAGGAGAAATTTTTTAAAACTCCACATCTACTTACATCATTGTGAAAATTCAGAACACCAAAGAAAAATTGGTCTTAAACATCAAAAAGACTGACAGCAGATTTCTCAGTAGCAATAGAAAATAGAAGATAACAGAGTAATATGCTCAATATTCTGAGGGGGGAAAAAATACTTGTAAACCTAAAATTATATATTCAGTAGAATTATCATGAAACAGCAGGGAAAAATCAAAATATTTCAGGTGGAAAAAAACGCAAGGGTTTACCACATCACACTCTCATTCAAGGAAATTCTAAAGAATTTGCTACAGGCACAAGGAAAATGATTCAGAAGGAAGATCTGAGATATGCAAAGAAATGGTAAGCAAAATGTTGTTACATATGTGGGTGTGTCTAAAAAACGACGTCTAATTTATATGATGAAACCAGGATAGAACTAAAATAGTGAATAACTTATAAACTGAGAGAGGGGAGGGTGTGTAGAGCTAAGACATCCTAAAGGCCTTTGCATTATTCAAGAAGAAAGTAAAGCTATTTATTAGCTTTATATTTTAAGTTTACATTTTAAAATAGTAATACAAATCACTTAAAAATACGGAGTGCATTGGCTCACGCCTGTAATCCCGGCACTTTGGGTGGCTGAGGCGGGCGGATCACGAGGTCAGGAGATTGAGACCATCCTAGCTAACACGGTGAAACCCCATCTCTACTAAAAATACAAAAACAAAATTAGCCGGGCTTGGTGGCAGGCGCCTATAGTCCCAGCTACTCGGGAGACTGAGGCAGGAGAATGGCATGAACCCAGGAGGCGGGGCTTGCAGTGAGCCGAGATTGCGCCACTGCACTCCAGCCTGGGCAACAGAGCGAGACTCTGTCTCAAAATATATATATATATATAATTAATATAATATAATTAATATAATATAATTAATAATTAATATAATATAATTAATAATTAATAATTAATATAATACATATACACACACATAGAGAGAGAGAGAGAGAGAGCCAGAGCGTGAGCATTACTCCAAATAAGTTGAGGAAAAAAACTGAGAAAAAGAAAAAAAAACCACGTATACACAATGCAAAAGAAGCTGCTTCTGTTAGTTTTTGACATTTTAACTTTCTTTTTCGTATGCCATTCTTATTCAAGGTAAGTAGTATTGTATAATTTTTTATTGTGAGCTTTTCATTAAAGGGTCATTTTCTTATGAGAATCACTTTCAGCCTAGGTTGCAGAAGCATTCATTCAAGTCGGTTTTATGTTTGCTTCTGCCAGGCATTCTAGATGCCCCATGTCTAGGATCTCTTAAGGCAGGAGAGAGGGTGATGGTGTAGGAGGATCCATTTCTTGGCTTGGGGATTCCAATAATATATTATAGATTTAAACTCCAAACGTTGATGAAATGCAGGTCTAGGGTTTTGAAATTTAATCAGAGTTAAATACATATTTTCTTCATCCAGAGATGGGACAAGCCTCCTCATCTGCTCGCCATGGGTGTTTCACATTTTCCCTACTCCATCCTTTTCCTAAGGATTTTAGGGACAATGGCGTTTTGCAGAGTACTCAGTTCCAGCTCCCACCCTGAGCCCTTACCTCCTACCACTAAACATCCAGATCTCAAGTTACAGAGAGTAACAACACTTTGCCCACACCTAGGATGACCAATCCTTCTGGTTTCCTTAGGGACGTAGGAATTTCTCAGTGCTAAAATCATGTAAGTCCTGGGCAAACTAGTATGACTGGCTGCCCTACAGCCCAGCCCCCATATCCCGGGCAGGAGAAGAATCAGTTGAATAAGTCATTGCTCTGGTTTTCAGTTTATTTTTGGTACTTGGAATTTCCCTTCTTTTCTTATGGGTTTAGCTGCATATTGAAAATAAAACGTTTTATTTTAATCCCGCATTACTAGGTGTTAGTAATGAGATACTGCTCACGTTATAGAAGTCCACCGTTTTGCCAGCTCAAAAAGTAACATTTTAATGCTTTCCGTCAGTACAGAAGTGAAGTTTGTGGATAAAGGTCATAGCTACTTAGCCCTGTGTGTATAGCTAAGGTGCTGCAGTGGTTCCCGAAGTTACGTGATGGGCTCCACCAACTGGCCCACAGCTTGCTCCTGCTCTACGCCCGTATTCTGACCTTAAGAATGTTCTAGAATTCTCTAGGCAGGCCTAGCGCCTTCCTGTAAGGCCTGGAAGGTGAATTCTCCCATTAAAATGTAAGATCCCTGAGCAAACACATGTTCTGTTATTCTGTTCACTCCTGCATCTGCTGTACCTGGTAATCACAGGCACTCAGTAACTATTTCTTGAAAGAACAAACATCCTGAATGTCAAACTGGCATTTCCTCCCATCCAACCCCTTCTATCTCAAACTTGACAGAAAGGAGTGCAAGTTTCTGGCCTGTTGATGTCTCCTTCTGTTTTCCACAGACTTGCTTCGATTTATTTCTGTAGGCATTTAAAAAAGATTTTGGGGTGAGTGTGAAGCTAAAAGTGATGGCGCTAACCCTGTGCCTTAGAGAAGCCATTTGGAAACTGCAGCCTAGACACATTAGATTATCATTTTTGTAAACTATACCATACATTTCAGTATGCATACTTATTTTAGGGGTGTTTTGGGGGTGATGTGTGTGTCTGTGGGTCTATGTGAGCGCGGCGCCTTCCTGGGACTGAGGCACCGGACCTGCGCACACGCGCTGCGTACCCTACGCCCCCGCCGCGTGGGCGCCGTCGTCCCCCGCAGCCCCCCCACGCAGGGGGCGGGGCGCTGCCACCCATTGGCTGAGGCCGATACCACGCGCCCCGATACCCGGCGCAGGAGCCACCTCCCTGAGCCCCGCGGACCACGCCTCAGTCCGCCTGCGCTCCTCAGCCTGACGGTCCGCCTTTCGGGGCTCCTCAGCCTTGTCACCCGCTCTTGGTTTTCCTTTTCTCTTCATCTTTGGCTCCTTTGACCACTCGAAGCCGCGCAGCGGGTTCCAGCGGACCTCACAGCAGCCCCAGAAGTGGTGCGCCAAGCACAGCCTCTGCTCCTCCTGGAGCCGGTCGGGAACTGCTGCCTGCCGCCATCATGGTGAGTTGAGGGAGAGGCCCGAGGGGCAAGGCTGGCGGAGTCTTCACTCGTGGGTGAAACTCGGCTCTGCAGGGTCGGAAAGTGAAGTCATCCTCGGCTTTCCTGTTTGGGGGGCACCTGCCTGGACGCACCACAGCCATGGCCCACAGAGTTGGGAGAGGCGGCCTGGCAGTGGCGCGGCCTACACAGAGAGGCAGGCGCGGGACGCCAAGGGCGGCAAGGTGGGGGTGGGCCCCGAGGACGCGCTGCCTCGCCGGCCACGTGCAAGGGCCACGGCCTTCTTGAGGCACCCATTTCCCGGTTCGGGTTCTCTACTGGCAGAGGTTTGGGGTGCGGGTTCCCCACCCCCGACTGCCCCACCCCGCCCCCACTCCCACGCGCTCCCCCACTCACGCGCCTCCGCCCCTCCCCCACTCCCACGCGCCTCCGCCCCGCCAGCCTCATTTCTGGCGCGCTCTCCCCGTGGCTCCGCAAGATGGCGGCGGGCCTGCTGAGGGACTTGCCTTCTTAAACTTCGAGGGCCGGAGCTTCCTTAGGAAGTGGTTCCCTCCTGGTCCCTGTACTTGGTGGGGTGGGCGGGGTTCGTGGGGGCCTCAGCGTGGGGTGTGGGGCGTCCTGAAGGCATGGCCCTGTAGCTGAGGGGGCTGGGCCGGAAGTGCCTCTGGTCCCCTCGCGCCTGTCAGCTGCGGGGGACTTGCTGATGGCGGCTCCCTCGTGTGGCGGCGACAGAAAAGCTCGCCTGACGCCATCTTTGCCGCACGAGGTTGGTTTCAGCAGTTACCATTAAGAATTTTAGAATTTTTAAATTCTGGGTACGGTTTTTTCCCTCTCGATAAACCAGGATCCTTTGACAAAATGTCCATTTGGTAGATAGCGTTGGGTGTGCGTTTTTGTGAGTTTGGTAAATGCCTAGCGTTGCTTCAGCGCCACCACAAGATGCAGCTCTGAACACGCAGACCAACCACTGAGTCACGAACGCGCGTATTACATGCTGTGTGTGTGTCTGCATTGATAATTCTCAGTCTCTTCAGGGAGGAAATTTATACACAGTTTATATTACCATGTATAAACATTAAAATAAAAATAAACACCTATTATGTGTAATTGTGCAACATATAGTTATCCATGCTAATAAAAAGTAATCACCTTGAGTTGTAAGTAATTATTTATTATAACACTTTTCATTTTTAGAGTTAAATCCGAATTGTTTCATTGGATTATTTTTCTGATTATAAAAGTATCATATTTACTCATTTGAAAACAATCGCTGTAAGAAAATAGCAATCCATCTTAATCCCAACACTTATAACCGTTAAATTTTGGTACATGTATGACCTTCTAGATTATTTTTATGCATGTATTGCATATAGATGGGCCAACTTTTACAAGAGTTACACCGTGCTGCATAATACTATTTTACAACTTGCATCTTTCAATTGATGTGGGCATTGTTCTGAAGATAATTTTAATTTTCAGTATATGTTAAAAATTATACCATTATTTTACCGAATTCGCTTATGATGAATACTTTTTCAATATTAAAACAATACTATCATGGGCTGGGCGCGGTGGCTCACGCCTGTAATCAATCTCTTTAGGAGGCTGAGGCGGGTGGATCACTTGAGGTCAGGAGTTCGAGACCAGCCTGGCTAATACGGCGAAACCCCATCGCTACTAAAAACAGAAAAATTTGCCAGGCGTGGTGGTGCGCACTTGTAATCCCAGCTACTCGGGAGGCTGAGGCAGGAGAATCACTTGAACCTGTGAGGCAGGTTGCAGTGAGCTGAGATCATGCCACTGCACTCCAGCCTAGGCAACAAAGAGGGGAGGCTCAGTCTCAAAAAAAAAAAAATGCTATGAATATCCTTGTGTAAATATCTTGGCATGCTTGTATTATTAATTCCTTGAGATGAATTGCTGTAAGTGGAATTGCTGGGTGAAAGCGCTTTACCCCTTTGGTAACAATTTTAAGTTACACCCCTCATTAGTATAGTGATGAGTATCCTCGCCTATCAAATTATGATACATCTTTTCCAAGCTACTCTTGGTGTAAAGAATGTATCAGTATTTTCCCACTGATGGTGTGTAGAGTGATCTCTTTTC
Organism: Homo sapiens; assembly: GCF_000001405.40. Classification (NCBI taxonomy): domain Eukaryota; kingdom Metazoa; phylum Chordata; class Mammalia; order Primates; family Hominidae; genus Homo; species Homo sapiens. Next base: position 16,603,099 of record NC_000003.12, on the reverse strand, counting down.
CACACCCTTTCCAATGAAAGGTATTAGGATTTTTTGAATTGTCAACCTAATAGCTGGAAAATATTTTACTATGTTGATGTGCACTTTTAAAAATCATCAATGAAGTTGATCGATCATTAGCTTTTTAAACTTCCTTTTTATTTTTATTTGTATTGATTCATAAAGACTGTATTAATGTTCACCTTTGTCATACATAGTGGAAAAAAATACATAGTAGTAATAAGGAGGTGCCCTTACCTTATTCCTAATTTCAATGGAGATGACTCTAGTATTTCACTTTAAGCTTAATGATAGGGTAGAATTAGATTGATAGAAAATAAGATGTCTCTATTTCTGTTTTACTTGGATATTTAGATAATTTAAAAATGAATGCTGTATTTTGTCAAATGCTTTTTCAGTGGTGAGTTAAAGTAACAATATCCTGTGAAGTATTCTTGCATTTCCAATATAAACTATATTCTTTATATACTGCTGGAATTTTGCATTTGTGTTGAGGGCAGGGATGGCTCATCTTGATGAGGCTTTGTTACTTATATGCTGTTAGCTTTGTAAAATGCGTTGAGAAATACTTTTTTCCTCTTTGAAAATTGAAGAAAAGTGTTTGAATTTTTTAATCTCCTCTTCTGTGTTTTCTGTCTTTATTTCTGGTGTCTGATGTGTATGTGCACCTCTCTCTGACACAAACATACACCCAAGTTATCTATTTCTTTACAAGTTGAAAAAACTCCCACGGAAACTGAGCCAGGTATCATTAGGTGTTTTTTCTCAAGATTGTTTTGTAAAAATTTAAATTTCTCTACAAGTTTGTCATGTCGTTGATTTCCAAATTTATTTCTATAGAGTTTATGCATAGCATTGTTTTATAATCTGTGGTCATAACCCATTTCTCAGGTCTCATATATCCTTTTGCTTTCTTGCCTTTTCTTGCTTAGTTTTGCCAGGATTGTTTATTGCTTGAATTTCATCCTCCCCACCCCCAACTCCCCAAGAATCTACTCTTGGATTTACTTAAAGTTTTGATTCTGATTTTCATGTCATATTTTCTTAATTTTAGCATTCTCTTTATTCGTTCCTTCCTATTGGTGTGAACGTAACTTTGATAACTACAAATTATAGCCTTTTTCCTGGTCAGTTTATATAAATCTCAGTTTGCTTTCATGTTCACATAGTAATTGAATTAGATAATACTGTGAAAGAAGCTGACATCCCAGGAGTTACATAATAATTTTTTCCAGCTTTTAGCTGTCTTTGTCACTTGGTTGTCCAAATATAACAAGGAATATGTTTGCTATAAATAACAATGAGAGTTGTGTATATGATGGTCTTGAAGCTCACCCGTTTACTATTCCAACATTTCTCATTTCAAAATTCACCAACTCACTTGAAGGTATGATTAAGAAAATTACTTCTTTAATGCAGTTTGTTTTCAGGATGCTATTGACAGTTACGATGGTACTTTCTTTAAAATTAAGCTTTTGCTTATCCTAAGCATTCATTTATATTTTTGGCCACGGTTTCACCAAAGTTTGTCTATTGATTGTGGATTTTTATATATACATTATAATTATGTATAAATACAGTAGGAATTTAACAACCCTTGCTAATCAAGCCGTGGTAAAAATGAAGTACATTGCTTACTTTGTTAGCTTTGAGCGCCACCTGCTGGCTGAGAACTAGGACATGATGGTGCCTCCTTAATTTAAGATGTTATTACGCTATTAAAGTGATCCTATGAATTTTATATTTACGATTCCAGTTAAGCAGGCAGCCAGTTTGTAAGATCCAAGCCAAAGTCAGACTTCCTAATAATATCAAATGCCTCTTTTCCTCTTTACCAAACTACTGTTGTCGCCAAGTATCCGTTTTACTCTTGTATAGGGTATGAGAATTAGAAGAGACACCAGAGATCTTTTCCAACCATTCATTTTCAAGCAAGGAAACTGAGGTCCTGAAAAGACTTACTTTACTGAACAATGGAAATCAGGTTCTTCCCAAACAATAATTTTCCTCCTCAATTCTTGTGGCACTGTCACAAGGTTTCTTAACCACACCCTATTCAAATTTTGGACCAAATAGTTCCTTGTTGTAGGAAGCTTTCTTTGCATTGTAGGATGTGCAGTAGTATTCCTGGCCTTCAGCCCATCAGATGCCAGGAATACACCTCAGTTGTGACAAGCAATCTCTAAACGTTGTTAAATGCCCCCAGGGCTCAAAAATCTTCCCCAGTTGAGAATCAATGCATTATCATGACCTCTTATAATCTGACACAGTTTTCTGCCAGATGTTACACTTCTAAATTAAAATACATCCAAACACTGTGATGCAGAGACAATACTGTATATATAGCTTGTTTATCAAAGAAAAACATATCCAAAGTTCATCCACAAATCAAGGGGGAATTGAAAAGGAGAAAAAACTACAAGAATTTCAGAATTTATTTTGTTTTGTTTTATTCTGTTTGGGATTTCTGAATGAACTGAGAAGGGATTGGTAAATTGTCTGTAGGGGGGAAATCTAATCAGGTTCCTAATAGTTCAAGATACGCAGCTTAATGTCATTTAGAAAAACAACGTAAGACATTTTTAGAAAGGAAAAACTGTAGAAATAGTTTTTAAATTTTTCTTCCACATCATTGTCATGAAATACCACTATTAAAAGAAAGAATTAGGAATTATTTACAAACCCAAAATAGCAAGTATAAGCACAAACGAATAGAGAAAAGCAATAAACTCAGCTTTAGTTGATTTGACAATTTAGATTTCATCTCTAGTAAAGCTGTGTAGAATCAGTAACTTCTAGCATCTAATTAACAAAGCAGGAACTCTACTTTCTTATTAATTCCTATAAAATTACTGTGCTTTTCAAAAAGATAACAGTTGCTTTCTTTTGTCTTGTTTTCTTTCAGACAGGTATATGTGTAATAGCTTTCTCTTTTGCAGCTTTTTGTAGTTACCTTTTGTAGTCAACAGGCACTTCACCAATGATTTTTAAATTAATGATGTTTCATAGTTTCCTGATGTTTCAATTCGTTCTTAATTAAAAGTATCTTCAAGATAAGTCAGCTAAAATAGTAAAGCCAAAAAAGAAACTTGAAAAAAAATCTGAAAATAAATTCAAATAACAGGACACTAACTTATATTGATATACCACTTTATACTTTACAAAATGAATTCACAGATGTTATCTCATTTCCTTCTCAAAGCAGTTTGCCCAGAGATACACGGCTGGCAAGTAAGTGGCTTGTAACCACTTACCTGTAAGGGACATAAACCTAGATCTCCTGACTAAATTAATTTTTGTTTCACTCTGCTATATTGCTTCTCCAACATATATATTACTTACAAATTCTACTTCAGAAAATTTTACATTAGCCTTAGAGTCTACTGCGGAAAGAATAAAGACAGTTCTGATCAAAATCCAGAAAAAATGAGTTATATGTGTGTTTCTTTATCTGAAAATAAAGATGGTATAATTTATATCTGCCTACTGTGATAATTAGAATTATCAGTGGGACTGATTTGGTGTTAGGAAGAAAAATGTTATTTCAAAAAATGATTTGAACACCCTAGCATTAGGGAAGAGGATTATAATCCTTTTTTTAGAAGGAGCTGTGACATGTGAGCAAATAATGTTTCCATGATCCATTTCCAAAGTAAAGCAGGCATACTAACACAGCGTTAAAATTGTAAAAATTCATGTTAATTTTGGTGAAAAAGGCGAAGCAGGACAAATTGGTTTAAAACTTTGAGGCTTATTTTCTTTTTGATGTGGCTTTTTGGAGTTTTTTAATATTTGTCATCCTTTTTATTAGTGTACTCAGTAAAATGAAAAGTTGTTTATGAATATAGAACAGGATGATTTTAATTTTGATTTTTACAAATCTGAACTTTCCAATTTTGGGTTTGTTTTTTTTTTAAGTAATTCACATAGTATTTTCACAAATACTAAGTATTCTTCCACAGCATTGTGCAAGACTCGGTAATGAGCAATACTGGGTTTAAGAAAGTACTGTATCCTGGCTGCGCGTGGTAGCTCACGCCTGTAATCCCAGCACTTTGGGAGGCCAAGGCGGGTGGATCACCTGAGGTCGGGAGTTCGAGACCAGCCTGGCCAACATGGAGAAACCCCATCTCTACTAAAAATACAAAATTAGCCGGGCGTGGTGTCGGGCGCATGTAATCCCAGCTACTCAGGAGGCTGAGGCAGGAGAATCGCTTGAACCTGGGAGACAGAGGTTGCAGTGAGCCGAGATCACGCCATTGCACTCCAGCCTGGGTGACAAGGGCGAGACTCTCTCAAAAAAAAAAAAAAAGTACTATATCCTTTCATTAAAATTTCATGCTGATCTACTCTGATAAGTTTAAATCCTGAGCCTGAACTAACTTAGAATGAAAGTAATTTATATAAAATATTTTATACTTAAAATACAAAAATTATATTTCACATTATGTATAGGTTTTTCCTGTGTATCTAATTATGATGTCTACTTTCCAAATTACAGTCTACTGCAAATCCTGAAACTCCAAACTCAACCATCTCCAGAGAGGCCAGCACCCAGTCCTCATCAGCTGCAACCAGCCAAGGCTATATTTTACCAGAAGGCAAAATCATGCCAAACACTGTTTTTGTTGGAGGAATTGATGTTAGGGTATTGTATTCATACCTCATTTTTACCTTGAAATGCATTATGAATAATGGGATTTGGGCCCTGTTACAAACTTAAGGTTTTTTTGTACTTCATGGAGGTTTAGAATTGGTTTTACATTTGACCCATAGGTACTAAAAATATCTTTGACAAAGAGCTACTGGTCATTTGGGGATAAATGGGGGAGAAATTGTCACATCATCGAACCTTCTTTTAGTAAAATTAAAATTTTTGAATGCTGAATTTTTACTCTTGAAGTTCAATTCTTTTCCATAGATGGATGAAACTGAGATTAGAAGCTTCTTTGCTAGATATGGTTCAGTGAAAGAAGTGAAGATAATCACTGATCGAACTGGTGTGTCCAAAGGGTGAGTAATTTTATCAAAAATATCTGAACTCTAGCCACGTATAGAGTATCAGAGAAGACTTCAAAATTGGTATTCTGACACTTAACATAAATTTGTTGCTGTGTTAATTTCTTTCATGTAGAGGATAAAAGTTTATTGCCAGCTCTTTTAATCATTTTTCTAATGTTTGTTTTTGAATATCTTCAATCTTTATTTCATACAAATGAATTAATCAGTTTTCTCAAAGAACTGTTTTCTTCATACATTGCACAGTATCTTAAATTTTAACCACCTTGTCTTAGATAGTAAGTTAAATTCAGGTTCATGGATATGAATTCTTTGTTAATCAATGAAGTTTTCACACTACCCTAATCTTAGCACATTTTGATTGACATAGTTCAGATGAAGAAAAAGCAGTATTTGTAGAGGATCTATCATGTACATCTTAAATATTTAGCATAGTATATTATTCATATTTTAGTCATGATCACTTCCGTATATAGTAGAAGTTCTGAACCATGTACTGTATGATGGTGATTTTATACTTCATTTATCTGCCTTTATAGCTATGGATTTGTTTCATTTTTTAATGACGTGGATGTGCAGAAGATAGTAGAAGTAAGTAATCTAATAGAAAAATCTCATTTGTTTAATTGATACAATGTTTAGTGTCAAGTGATATACTCAGTCTTGTGTAAAATTTGGAAGACGATACACTTTCTGGTCAAAAAAATCCAAACTTAGAGGAATCTTACATAACTTGTTAGAACCTGTTTATTTTTGACTGGGCACCTAGGTTCATGAACTACAGACAGGAAGGGTTGGAGACAGGGCAGGGTAATGAAAAGTTTTTGATCAACTTTCACTTGATGCCTCTTGACACTGATTAGAGAAATAAGGGTAAGGTAGCTTCATGATGACAAATTTTAATTTGGTGTGTAGTTATCACTGATCTTCTATGATAATAGGAATTTTAGAAGACTTTAGGTGTTCATCCAAGTCTTGGAAGTAAAGACTTGAAAATTGATTCTAGTTTTGTTACTGTTTTATTTTCAGTCACAGATAAATTTCCATGGTAAAAAGCTGAAGCTGGGCCCTGCAATCAGGAAACAAAATTTATGTGAGTACAAAAAGAAATTGTTCTTTTTAAACATAAAAGAAATTGTGTAGCTTTTCAAAGAACTAAAAATAGGCCTTTTCTTTTTGCTTTTCAAAAAGGTGCTTATCATGTGCAGCCACGTCCTTTGGTTTTTAATCATCCTCCTCCACCACAGTTTCAGAATGTCTGGACTAATCCAAACACTGAAACTTATATGCAGCCCACAACCACGATGAATCCTATAACTCAGTATGTTCAGGTAAGAATTGCTTAACGTTCCTATTCTCTTGTTTATTGTAGTCATCGTACCTTCTGTGGAATTACATCCAATTTCTGTAGTAAGTGGTAATGGCATCCCTGTTTGAATACTTTGAGTGATGGGAAATTTATTACTTTTGTTAGAAATTTCTTATTCTTAGTGTTGTTCTTTATATGAGCTAAAGATCTTCTGTATACTTTGTCTTTATCTTAGAAATGACCTCTGTAGACACATGAAGAAATCTCTTCCTTTTTCCCCCCATATAACTAGTTCCTAAAGCATTTGAAAGCAGCTATCGTTATGTGTCTGTCTAGTATATTCTTCTCTAAGGTTAGCAAATCATCTAGCTATTCTTTATTTGCAATGATTTCCAGATGCCTCCTCATATAAATTGCTGACTTCTGGATATATTCTGGTTCTGGAATGGGTAGATTTCTGATGTGTTTTACTATGTAAATCCTGTGAGTTTCTGGCATATAATTTCTCTGATCTTGGTTACTTTGATATTTAAAGTAGGATTTGACATACTATCACTTACTGGTGGTAAATAACATTTTCTTCTTAGTTCATTTTATTTAACGATTTAGTTTAAAAGACATTGTCTTTGCTGGAAAATAAAGTAGCAAAACAGGAGTGAAATAGTTCTTCAGTGTCTTTCATTCATTGACATTTTCCATGTACTTGAAATGTGTAGGGTGTACCTCCTCTTCTTTCTCCTTCTCTGAACAATGGCTAGAAAAAAAAAAGCCCTACTTGTTTCTAACATTTACTGTGAGTCATTACTGCATCTGGGTGTATTCGTGTATGCTGCCACCTATATGTTTTCAATCAGTAGCTATTTATTGAAAAATATAAGACATTATACTGTTTCTTTTCCAGTTTTGGATTATATACAGCCCTTAGTTCTTCGAAATGAAGTACAGAAAAAGCCATAGCATCTGTAGGAGGACTACATATTACCCTATAATATTGTCAAACACAAAACTGTCTAGAAGTATTTTGACAAAGAAATAGCAAATGTATTAATTTAACTTACATTGAAGTCTGTCTGAATAGAGCCTTATCACCAGTATAAAAAATAACTTCTGGGTGGGAATAAGTACACAGTATAAATATGATAAACTTTGCCTGTTGAAATAGTCACTTCTTTTGTCATTTGTCTGTTCCCCCTCCCCACCCAAAGGGTAACACTTGACAGAGAATATTTCTTTCTTCATAAAGTCAGTCATGCATTTAGAATTCTGCATTGTTGTATATAGAAAAATATTTTAAAAGTTTTCATATTTTTGTTATATTGGGAATAATATTTCTAATTTTAAAAAATGTTTTATATTATTCATTCTTTCTGTAAACTTGATTTTCAGGCATATCCTACTTACCCAAATTCACCAGTTCAGGTCATCACTGGATATCAGTTGCCTGTATATAATTATCAGGTAATTTAAAAGGGAGTAAAATGATTTACTTTCAGATTTTATTGAGGCCTTTAACTTGTTTATACAAATTGTCTGAATGGTTTGTCATTTTAAACTAGTGAAATGTACCTAAAATTTAAGAAAAAAATTAGTCTAGAATTAAGACCTCTTTATTATTTAGAAGTAATGGAATAATATTTTGACAGGGATATACTTAGCAATAACTTTTCTCTACAACAGTTTTATGAGATTCGGTGTCCCCTTCTGTATTTCAGCATGTATTTTTTCATCTTTGCTGTCAAATAGCCGAAACAGCCAGACGGACTTTCATCAATTTTTTAGGGAGATAGAGTGAAATAAAATTATCCAATTCTTAGAGCACAGAATTCAAATTGTATTTTTATTTTAGCTGACTGCTTCATGATAGTAGTTCTTTGAGACTCTTTACATAGATATGACTGTATCTGTGACCCATAATCATATCTATGGTAATAAATTCAAGGAACTAATATCTCTGAGATTTCCACAATGCCAACTCCAGAAAATTGGGAAAAAGGTGAGGTTTTATATATGGAAGTAACAAGAACATCAGGGATTAGAAACATAAAGTACTTTTTTTTCATTCTGTTTCTTTTATTATAACAACAAAGGAGCCAGCATGATAAGTACTTCAATATTGTGTATCTCGTGTGTTTTTGAAAATTTGTAGGAATATTTGAATAATTTTGGTTTCCTTTTTTTTTTTTTTAAGATGCCACCACAGTGGCCTGTTGGGGAGCAAAGGAGCTATGTTGTACCTCCGGTAAAGTGAATTAGCCAAACATATAATTCCTGTTATTTTAAAGTATTTTTTTTTGTTTAACTATATTTCTTGATTGTTTTCCATGTCATATATGCCTATATTTTTAAATAGTTTTTTGTATTAATGTGTTACATTTTGTTACTTTCTTTTTAACCCAGTTAGAAACTCCCATGGGAGCAACAGTGCCTTCTTCTCTCAGGTTTTTGTGTGCTTAAGCAATGGCTGGTCCACATAATGATAAGTGTTCAGTTACTTGTTGATAGACTATATAATTCAGGAAAGGTAGTATTAATGTGGCTTTAGAATTAGCATGTATCTGCCTAGACTCTGCCTCTGGCTTTACCAGCCATAAAAAAAACTGTTGAAGAGGAACAGAAATGTTTTGCTGTTAATTACTGTTAAATAAAAATAGGAATAAAACAAGAGTATTACGTCTAAAACACCCAAGCTGCTGTCTTTTATCAGGATTGGAAATTTGAAGGATATAATAAGTGTTAAAATTCTCAAACACTCTCTTACTACATTAGTTTCTTAGAGTTCTTCTACTTCTGATTATGTTGATGCCTTAAAGACATTCTAAAACAGAAGGCTGCCTTACTGTATTTCAACTGTTCATTTAAAACAAAGTTTTTGAAATAATATAATTGAATTTCAACACAACCTACATTGAAACTTTTGATACCAGCTTAGCTTTTTGAAGAATAAGTGGCTTTTAAATATATCTGTATATCTGTTTAATTACACTTTCATTATTTTAAATATAGGCTTATTCAGCTGTTAACTACCACTGTAATGAAGTTGATCCAGGAGCTGAAGTTGTGCCAAATGAATGTTCAGTTCATGAAGCTACTCCACCCTCTGGAAATGGCCCACAAAAGGCAAACATCTAATTTTGTTTATATATATTTCATATTTATTTTTTCTAGTTTTAATAATGGTTTTTTGAGAAGCAATCATCCTTCAGCAGAAATTTGTAATTGAAAAGGTTAACTAGAGAAGAGTTAGTTGACTGGCTTGACCAAATAGTAAAAGAAAATTTTAGATACAGAAAGCAGATCTTGGCTGGGTGCAGTGGCTCACGCCTGTAATCCCAGCACTTTTTGGGGCTGAGATGGGTGGATTGCTTGAGCTCAGGAGTTCGAGACCACCCTGGGCAAGATAGGAGCCATAAATTATAGATCTTAAATAATTGACTAATATTCAGCAGTTAATGTAAAGGTTGGTGAAATTTCAGATAGCCCAAATTTTCAATGTATACATAAAGTTTCTGATTCAGCAGTCCTTTCCTATATTCCAGTTCCACTAATTTTTAAAAACCATACTTCAATAAATACTATATTAATAGGATTTGGCAGAATGTTATGGGAAGGTTTCCTCAAGAATTCTACTCTTCAAAAGAGGAATTGGTACGAATTACATGTACCTTTTCTTTTATAATTTTGATATTTACTTAAACAGTGAAACACATTACTTACGGCATTCTCTCTGTAACATTATATATGGCAGTAGTTCCCAACAGTGGTGAAGTCAGTAATAATTATTCAAATATTGAATTAGGCAGGGTTCTTTCTTCTTTTTATCATTAGAGCAAATTTCCATAATAATACTATCACTCTTGAATCACATATGTTCTCTTAAATGAGCGGGAGTGTAGAAGTAGTTGATGTGTTGGTAATATGTATAACACTGAAGTCCCATTGGAGTGTAAATTCCTTGATTTGATACTCGATTTTAAAATGCGAATAAATATTAAAATAGCTTACAGTGTAATTTTCAGGTTTTGTCCTGAATATTTTTTCTTGAAACATTGGAGTTCACTTAGGGATTTAACAAATTCAGCTTTTTAAACCAGTATTCTATCACTAAGGTTCTAAAATCTTTGTCAGAAAACTTGCATATTGAGTGATACGTGGTAAGAATTATGAATCACATTTTTATGAATTTCTTTTTTTTTTTTTTTCCCCAAGACAGAGTCTCGCTGTGTTGCCCAGGCTGGAGTGCAGTGGTGTGATCTTGGCTCACTGCAATTTCCACCTCCTGGATTCAAGCAATTCTCCCTGCCTCAGCCTCCTGAGTAGCTGAGATTACAGGCACCCGCCACTATGCCCAGCTGATATTTGTATTTTTTTAGTAGAGATGGGGTTTCACCATATTGGCCAGGCTGGTCTTGAATTCCTGACCTCAGGAGGAGGCAGGAATCCTCCTGCCTTGGCCTCCTAAAGTGCTGGGATTACAGGCGTGAGCCACCACTCCCAGTCTCTTTTAGCATTTTTTGCATTTCTTTAGAAATAAAGTAATATATTCATTAAACTATCAAAAAAAAACCCTTACTAAGAGTGAGTGAAAGAGTCGTCTTTACATTACTGAAAACTTCTGTGTTTCAGAAATCTGTGGACCGAAGCATACAAACGGTGGTATCTTGTCTGTTTAATCCAGAGAACAGACTGAGAAACTCTGTTGTTACTCAAGATGACTACTTCAAGGTATGAATATAACAGTTACGCACAATTAAAAAGCACACTTGTTAGCTTTAAAGTATCTGTTTTCCTTGTGGTATATGTATTTTGAGATTTCTTAGAGCATTTAATTAACTGTTGGCATTTGACTATAACACAGTAAACCAGAGTGGGTTTTACCTGGCAGTATATTTTCTGCTGCTGAACCTTGACATAATGTAGTTATCTTTAGGGAAGAATCCTTCAGCAGAAATTTGTAATTGAAAGGGTTAACTAGAGAAGAGTTAGTTGACTGGCTTGACCAAATAGTAAAAGAAAATTTTAGATACAGAAAGCAGATCTTGGCTGGGTGCAGTGGCTCACGCCTGTAATCCCAGCACTTTTGGGGGCTGAGATGGGTGGATTGCTTGAGCTCAGGAGTTCGAGACCACCCTGGGCAACATGGCAAAACCCCATCTCTACAAAAAATACAAAACTTAGCCAGTTGTGATGGTGCACGCCTGTAGTCCCAGCTACTTCAGAGGGAGGCTGAGGTAGGAGGATTGCTTGAGCCTGGGAAGTTGAGTCTGCATTGAGCCATGATTGTGCCACTGTACTCCAGCCTGGGCAACAGAGTGAGACCTTGTCTCAAAAAAAAAAAAAATACATGCATATTGGACTATAGAGAAGAAAAGAAATGGTTTACTCAGAAGATATACCTGAACAGTGTGAAGGGAGAAAAGGGGTAAAGTGAAGCAGTAAAATGTTGAGTAGAAAGAATTGGAGGTTGATTCAGACAGAGTTGGTAAAGTGGAAGAGAATGTGGGTAGTTGAATTCCAGAAAAATCTGATTTCTGATCCCGCCGTCTATCCATGTTGGATAGATAAATCTTATTAAGACTCCAGTTTTTACAAGTCTAAAATGAGAAGGTACAGGACTAAAGGTTTCTGGGTCCCTGTAGTTCTAAGTCTATGAATAGGAAAAAGAACTAACTTGGTCAGTCCAATGGGAGAGAAATATTACGGTTAGTAAAGGGAAGGTGTTTTTTAAATAATAGGTTTATTGAAATATATAATTGAGATACCAGTAATACAATTTACCTATTTAAAGTTTGCATTTCACTGGTTTTTCATATATTCAAAGTTGTGTAACCATGACCACAATCAATTTTAGAATACTTAAATCACCCCAAAAATCACCCCCCTACCTTAGCAGTCACCTGCTATTTTCCCCCATCCTGTGCAGCCCTAGGCAACCACTAATTTACTTACTTTCTCTAAGGATTTTCCTGTCCTGGACATTTCATGTATATGGAATCATACATAATGTGGCCTTTTGTGACCGGTTTTTTCAGTCAGCATAATATTTTCAAGGTTCATCAATATTCTAGCACGTATCAGAACTTCATTTCTTTTTATTTGTGGCTATTATTCATTCTGTTTATCCATTCATCTGTTAAAGACATTGGGATTATTTCCTCTTTTTAACTGTTAGAAATAATGCTGTGAACATTCATGTACAAGTTATTACGTGGACATATGTTCTTATTTCTCTTGCGTATATACTTGGGAATGGAATTGCTAAGTCATATTTAACCTTCAGTGGAACTGCCAGAATTTGTCAAAACTGGCTACACACTTTACATTCAAAAGGAAATGTTTAACCATCACTTTGTGTCTTAAAACAGAAAGACTAGCTTTTTTTTCATCTGTGAATGGATATAGGATGAAGCTTAAGCCTTTTTAAGGGGTTATTATTATGGATCTCCTGTATAATGTAGAAGAGTAGAGCCGTATAGCAGAATTAAGTTCTTAACATCTTCGCAACAGGGAGTAAACATACTTAAAGTTGACATTTGTTCTCTTGTTGCTTCATTCTACATAGATAGTATAATTTAGAAAAGAAGGAACTGAAATTGTATATCAGCTTACTTTGCCCAAAGTTCTGATGATTACATAGGTGTCTACAGTAGTACTTAAATGATTTTCAAAGCAGAAGATAGTCTTCTGTGGTTTTTTGTTTTTTTGAGGTGACCTCATTTAGTCACCTAGGCTGGATTGCAGTGTAACAATCACAGCTTACTACAACCTCAAACTCCTGACGCAAGGGATCCTTCTGCCTCAGCCTCCCAAATAGTTAGGACTACAGACATGCACCGCTACACTTGGCTAGTTAAAAAGATTTTTTTTTTTTTTTTAAGAGACAGAATCTTACTATATTGCCCCTGGCTGGTCTTGAACTCCTGGGCTCAAGTGATCCTCCTACCTCAGCCTCCCAAAGTGCTGGGATTACAGGCGTGAGCCACCATGCCCAGCCCAGAAGGAGTTTTGAAACTTGAGTTCTCACCTGGTATTAGACAAAAGACTCCCTTTAAACTCCCAGAGTTTTCTGCTTGTTTGGGAGACGAATCAGAAGTTGGCATCCTGTGGTTGTCTGACATCTAGACCTATTTTGATTGACTGCATGTTGTTGTATTGAATTTGAATGCATGAGGTATTTTTGAATGTATTTACTATTTCCATAGCTAATTCCACTCTTCACTGTCTTGATTCTGTAGTCCCTTCATAATCTTGTTTCCTGCGTGACCTGTGAAGATACATGTTGGTGACCAGTTTTCTAGATTTTAACTTAAATAGGATATCACTCTTTTGACAGATTAGGTAACTTCCAGAAGCCACTTTTATTTATATGACAGTGAAACTGAGGTCCTAGGAAAAGGGCACAGTTAACTTTGTAGAAAATAAAATGCTATTATGTTATTACTCATTTGCTTAGTCCCATTTCTCCTTTTAAGGCCTCTCACTTTTTTCTCTCTGCACATCTGTAGGCAACATAGAGTGAAAAGAAAGTTTTGCATGTATTTAAATTTTTTCTCTTTCTTTCTAAAGAATAATACATCTTCACAGGTTAATGATATGTCTTTAAATGCCAAAACTTACATCTTTTAACCTAAAAACATGAAATTTCAGATTGGAGAGCTGTTCACAAGCCGTGGTTCCTATTAGATGCAGTTCAGTCAGTGAAAACAGTATTTTTTAGAATTACATTTTCTACCAGCTGTCTTTGGGACATTACTGCAAAATCATTAATTAAGAAGTACATAAAATGATATTGAGTCTAAGTCCTGTTATTTCTGAGTTTAATGGGATTTCTTTTTTTTTAATTGATTTCTTTTTTAACTAAACTGTTTAATAAAACTAGCCATCCTGGTATATATGTTATCCCAGTGTTCAAGAATGCTTCTCAAAAAGAATAATCTTTTTTCTCATTATTTATAATGTTTAAACCCAAAACAAATGGTTTAAGTTTTTGACAACTTTCAGATCTATAGTAGTAATCAGAAATTTTCAGTAAAGTAAAAGGACTCTTTCTGTCTTTTCCAGGATAAAAGAGTGCATCACTTTAGAAGAAGTCGGGCAATGCTTAAATCTGTTTGATCCTCCTGGCTTATCTAGTTACATGGGAAGTTGCTGGTTTTGAATATTAAGCTAAAAGGTTTCCACTATTATAGAAATTCTGAATTTTGGTAAATCACACTCAAACTTTGTGTATAAGTTGTATTATTAGACTCTCTAGTTTTATCTTAAACTGTTCTTCATTAGATGTTTATTTAGAAACTGGTTCTGTGTTGAAATATAGTTGAAAGTAAAAAAATAATTGAGACTGAAAGAAACTAAGATTTATCTGCAAGGATTTTTTAAAAATTGGCATTTTAAGTGTTTAAAAGCAAATACTGATTTTCAAAAAAATGTTTTTAAAAACCTATTTTGAAAGGTCAGAATTTTGTTGGTCTGAATACAAACATTTCACTTCTCCAACAAGTACCTGTGAACAGTACAGTATTTACAGTATTGAGCTTTGCATTTATGATTTCTCCAGAAATTTACCACAAAAGCAAAATTTTTAAAACTGCATTTTTAATCAGTGGAACTCAATATATAGTTAGCTTTATTGAAGTCTTCTTATCTAAACCCAGCAAAACAGATTCAAAGCGAACAGTCCAATCAGTGGGTCATATGTTTATTCAAAATATTTTATCTTTTAGCTAGAATCCACACATATATATCCTATTTGATTAGGGTAGTAATTAGGATAACTAAAATTCTGGGCCTAATTTTTTAAAGAATCCAAGACAAACTAAACTTTACTAGGTACATAAGCTTCTCAATGAGTCACCATTCTTCTTTTTTGTAAAAACTTTTTTCTTTGAAATGCTAAACTTGGCTGTATGTCAAATTGTGCAAAATATTGGTATTAAAGAATGCTGCAACTTTTTTATGTCTCTTAGAGGTTAATCAGAGTATCTGAAGGGAATTGTTTTTATAAAAACATTGAAATATTAGTTACTTGCTATAAATAGATTTAGTCTGTTATATTTCCTTTTGTAAAGTAAAATATGTCCAGAAGAGTCAAAGTAGTTAGTTTTGGTTATTTCTAAACCACAAAAGTTGTTTAATAAGTATATCTTAAGAATGTGCTAGAGTTAAAAGTTAGCATTGTTTCTAGATTAGCTGGTGTCTTCATTTTACATTGTGACAAACAGCTAGAGCATCAGAGCCCTTTTGCTATACCACAGTCTTTCGTTTCCAGCCTTTGTCACTAGTCTTTGAGGAGGTTTGCTCCTAGAACTGGTGATATAAAGAATGAAAGTAGCTGTATGAGCAGAGCAGTTCAAGGGCCAAACCCTGGAACGGTAGCAATGGGATATAATACCTTTCTAAGGGAAAAAGTTGTATCAGTACCATTTGATCTGCCATGGACATGAGTTTAAAGCGGCTTTCTGGCCCTTCTTTCAGTGACTTCTTCCCTAAAATGTAGAAATTCTAACTTAATGTAGTTACTGTGAGCCATATTACTAGTGCCCCCTAGGGTCTATAATTCCTTAAAATTTTCATTCTGAATCTGAAGGAGAGAGTCTTTTAACTTTAGAATTCCCAAGAGGGCTTTATTACACCTCAGAAATTGAAAGCACTATGAATTTGTCCATTTAAAAATGATCTGTAGTTTTTTTGGTGCTATAACATTCTGACACATATCATTCTGTGATTAAATCTCCAGCTTACTATAAATGATATCTATATTCTAAAGAGCTACTTCTAATTATTCCAATATGACCTTAAGGAAAAGTAAGGGAATAAATTTTTGTCTTTGTTGGAGTGAAGCATTTAAAAGAGTAAGGGTAAAAAAGATAAAGTCCTGAACCTTTCAAAATGGAAAATTAATTCTAAACTTAGAAATATGCTTCTGCCTATTGCTGATACTGTCTTTGCATACATGAATAAAAATAAAGTTTTTTTCTTCAAAAGTGTTTTTAGCATTCTGATGTAATAATCTAAAATGGTGGGGAGTTGGGTGGGAACTGTGTAACAAGATTTAGATTCTTAAAATGCAAAAGTATAAAGTTCAATTTACTGATCTGGCAAAGTTAGGTCATAAAAGCAAATTCAGGTACAAAGAGAAATTTAAGAGATGCATGAACAGCAGTGCCGAGTAGGAATGCTGATGAACACATCTGACTCTGCTATCTCATGGCTAAGGTCCCTCTCAATTTGGACCCTATGAAACATTTTGTCTACTGTACGCTTTGGGCCTAATCTCTAGACCTTTTATTTCGGGGTATTGCGGTTGCCTAATAGAGCTTAAATTTTTTGTATTGCATGTACTTCTTATGGATGCAATCAAAAAAAAATCAGTACTTACTACCTCTTCCAGCTGTAGTTCTAGTACTCCCAATTCTATAAGCTGAGCCCAGTGGAGAGGAAATTCTCCCCTCAGACACTGCTTCTATATTTCATCATTTAGTAAGCTTACTGATTCATAACCAGAAAGTTGACTCCAAGGTTCTGCAGGATACCAAACAGTGCTTTCTGCATCACCAAAGATTAAATTGTGATGTTTAATGTCTAATAATAGGCTAAAAATTAGTAATTCTTAAATGTGTATATGTGTATATATGTATACATATGTGTGTCTGTATATGCGTATATCTATGGTTACGTATATACCAACCATTACCCAGAATATTTGGTTATAGCACAAGCTCAGTGAGTTTATGGTATTTTCAGACCCCAAAACTAGACTTACATATGCCTTAAGATAGTTGCTTTACACCAGCTTGTTATCTCAAGCATGTTTGTGGTTTAGTATTAAATTCTTAACACAAAATCAAATCTTTGGAATTGAAAAATACTGTTCAGCACTTTTTTGTAAAAAGTTCAAGTTATGGCAAAATCAAGCAACTCTAAAAAGGTTGGTCACCTCCATAAGTGTATTCTGCATGTTTGTTTTTTCTTTTTCTAAAATCAGATTACCTTTAATTCAGAATAATTTCAAAATTGATAGTACCCATCTTGCAAGGAAGTCATTAACTTTTAAAAATTAATACTCCATGGCAGTTCCCTCTAGTTGTAAAGCACCTCTGGCCCTTCTTCACTAAAATTCTCTTGGCTGTCTTTAAAGGTAAACTCAACAATGGGCTGCCACATTGCTTAATCGCCTTGCCTGCTTTCATTGCTGTCAATTGAGGGTAATAAGGAGCAGCAACTATAAGGCAATGTGCCACTCTGCTTTCACAAAGATGGCAATAGAGAAGGTGGGGAAATATAAGGGAGAGAAAAGCAGCAGTATTTTCCATTGACCAAGTCTTGCGAATAGGGCCAGCTGTTGAGTATGATCATTTGGAATCCCTGAAACACTTCTAGATGAGGATTGCTCCTGTACATATTTTGATAACTGTGTAATCTAACCCTTCCCAACATTATGTGTAGTATGTCTCTCTCTGTGTAACTGATGGTTGTGAGCAATTCCTCACCACCCATCAAAGACTGAGTTTTCCATCTGTAGACAGTACATTTGGTAGTAGAAAACAATAGACATAAGAAGTTCAGACTATAAACAGGCGTTTTTGAATGCTCATGCAGAATATTCAATCTGCATAGCAAAGAAATGATAGGTAATTCTACATTGCATTTAGAGTTAAAAACATCTGTCCAATATGGCTGTAGCTGTGGGCCTATCCCAAGAAAATGCAAAAAAATTGTCTCCTGGTACAGAAACTGAAACTACCACTGTACAATTAAACTCTATGGTAGCTGTATTTTACATTTTTAACTGGTCTGAAACAAAGTTTTCTAGTTGAGTCTCTAGTTCATTTTCCCAAGGCAAGGCTTTGTATCTTATGTGCACCTCCATTAAGGCTGCATGCCAGGAATGTGCGTTTTCCCACATATAAAACTTAAAGATACCAGTTCACCAGGTCTTTAACAGTAGAACAAATGCTTGCCTGACTGGGATATTCAGGTCATGAAAGCTCTTTATAAATTTGAAGGAATAGTAACATTTCAAGCACTTTGGAAAGTTGGAGGTTTTATAATCCTTCATTAGTTCTTTTTTACAGAAAAAAAATCTAGCAAAAGTATACTAAGGCTCTAATCACATCTATTGTCTTTGCCCAAAATAAAATGGATAGAGACACACCATTCTGGCTCAATCTTAATGGAACTCTACTATAGAAGAAAGGCAGAGTTGATACTAATACGGCCAGGCCGGCTGTTTAAGTGGACATGTCCCCTCTGCCCTTGTACCTTTGTTTAAAAATTTTGATATGATTCTCCCCACCTCCTCCACAACCTCCATAAATCTGACTGGGCCAGTAAGAATGGAGACAGGTAATTTAAAATGCAGAGAACATTTTCTCTTTGTTTTTATCTATGCTGATCCCCTACCTAGTGTTGGAGTGGCTTCACTGAGTAAAATCTGAACAGTATTTAAGTAGTACACCCGCTATATGAGAAAAGCTTGACTCTGCACTTTTTTTTTTTTCTGAACATGACTTGGTTGCTGCTTATCATTCTAGTTGGTGATGTGTCTGTCTGACAAAAAACCCATATGCTCACCATCCAAAGTTGTATCCATGATTAGATTAGATCAGCCCAATATTTGATAGGGCAGGTTTCCTTGATGCCAATTTTACAGGGAAATCAAAGAGAATCAGAACTATCATCAGGGGTGTTTTTCAGAGTTGCCAAATCCTGGGCCCCATTCTCAGATGCTCCTATTCTAATGCTCTGGATGGGCCCAGTGATCTGCATTTTTAACGTGTGCTCCAGGTGATTCTGATCACTGTAACACATACTTTGAGAAATACTGCCTCAGATGAGGATCTCTCATTATATCATCTCAAGCTACCCCTGGATTTAGGATAGAAACAGCCCTGTCAGGTCCATTATGACTTTCGTAAAGGATTTCATTGGCTTAATTCACTGAATTCATCTTCCCCTGCCAAGCCTGTGCCCGGGAGTGCTGGTTGTCCATAGGCAAGAGTGACTCATGAATGGGCTGAAATGGATTGAATGAAAAGTCCGAAAACCAAGACTTTTGGCCGGAAATGAGTGATAGGAGAGAGTGATTACAGAGGCAAAGCTGGATTGCAAGGCCAAGTGCAGGCAAGCCAAGGGTGAGGGACTAGGCTCGAGTGGGAGGGGGCAGAGTGGATATCATGGAGACAGAGACACTGTGCTTGCCTCCTGGAGTGAAGAACTATGCCCTTGACCTACTTGACAAATTTTACAAACGCTATTACCCATGGTTTTCAGAAAAGTATGGCCTGTCATTGCTCCTTTTCCTGCCGTGGAATTAACTAATATATCTTTAAGCAAGAATAATAATGACAAATCAATATGAAAAATACTTTGAGATCAAGTTCCAGAGACAGCCTTTAGGCATTTGATATCCATATTCTTTTTGAATGTGTGTTTGTGTTTTAAAATTTCACATTTAATTCACTCAAAAGTATAAAAATATTTCTTTAAAGAATAATACCCGTTAGCTTGAGAAATAGAACATTTCATTAATGAAAAAATGTGCCCTTCCTAATCGCACCCTCTTTCTCCCCAAGAAGAAGCCACTAAATTGAATTTTGGTTTAATCATCTGCTGAATAAAATGTTTATTTTCACATGATTTTGAACTTTAGAAGAACTTACACGGAAACTTTTTTTTTTTTTTGGCACATTGTTATACTCTTCCATGTTGACTGGGGGATTGTATTTATTTTACTGGTTTTTAGTTGTATCAGTTGAATATTCTGTGGTTTATCGTTTCACATGCTGGGGGACAATTGGATTTTATTTTTCATTTTAAAATTTAAAATGTTTAAATTGTGATGATTGGTTGATTGCTGTTACAAACTATGCTGCTATGAACATTCTTAAATGTCTCTGATCACTTAGGTACTAGAATGTCATAAAAAAGAGTGAACTTTAAATCCTAGCCCCAGATACTTCGCGAATAAGCTTGGATGAGCGTCTCACTGAGCCTCAGTTTCCTCCTTTGTAAAACAACAACACTAATACCTACTTTATAAGGTTATTATGAGATTAAATTGGGCAACACATCAATGTGGTTAGCTTCCCATCCGCCAGTCTACCCACCTACCTCCCACTCAAACCCAGCCAAGTTTTCTCTGGCCTTTACATTTCAGTAACTAGAACTTCAGAAGTGGTCTATGTACAGAACTGCCGTGGTTTGGTGAATGGCTGTGTCCTGAAATGTAGTCTTTTGTGTACCTTCTTTGGTAGTAGGAAGTAGGTCATCATGCTAGGCTCTTCAGGATATGTTCTGGAATGGTTCCCTTTCTTCTGAGAGGGCCTTAAATGAGTAGAACACTAATAAATGAGTAAAATCATTGTACATAGGCCAGCATTCCCTAAGCACAATTTCTGTTTTTCCTTCATAAAATGCTGGAGGTGGCAGGCAGGATTTCATATCCCATTTTTCTCATTACATGTATACTCCGTGATATTTGTATAGGAAGGATTTTAGGGCTTTCAGAGCTACTTCATATATATGATTTCATTTGGTCTTCATCAACTCCTTTGAAGGGCTAGACATGTCCAGGTTTTAGGTGTGATTTTCTTAAATGTACACACCCTGGGATTCAGATAAATAAGAACTTTATATGAGACTTTACATCTGGGCCATTGCTTTTTCTACTATATCATAGATAGCAGACTCTCCAAAAGACAAATTTTTTTTATGAATACATAATAATTATGCATATTTATGGGATACATGTGACAATTTGATACTTCCGTACAATGTGTGGTGATCAAATCAGGTTAATTGGGATATCCATCACCTCAAACATTTATCATTTCTTTGTGAGGGGAGCATTCCTAATCTACCTATTTGGAACTACACAATAAATTATTGTTAACTATAGTCACCCTACTGTGCTGTCAAACACTAGAACTTATTCCTTCTAACTGTATTTTTGTAACCAATAAACAATCTCCCTAATCCCCACCCCCCAACCCCAACACTCACTCTCTATAGCTTCTGTTAACTACTGTTCTACTCTTTACCTCCATGAGATCAATTATTTTGGCTCCCACATATGAGTGAGAATAAAGACATTTATTTGTCTTTCTGTGCCTGGTTTATTTCATTTAACATAATGTTCTTGGTTCCATCCACGTTGTTGCAGATGACAGGATCTCATCCTTTTATGGCTTAGTAGTACTCCATTGTGTAGATGTACCACATTTCCTTTATCTATTCATCTGCTGATGGATAGTTAGATTGGTTCCAAATCTTGGATATTGTGAATAGTACTGCAATAAACATGAGAGTGCAGATATCTCTTCAATATGCCATGGTGTTTTGGTTACTATAGCTTTGCAGTATATTTTGAATTTCACTAGTGTGATGCCTTCAGCTTTATTCTTTTTGCTCAGGATTGCTTTGGCTACTTGGAGTCTTTTGTGGTTCCATAGAATTTTAGGATTGTTTTTTCCTAATTTCTATGAAGTCTTTGGCATTTTCACAGGGATTGCATGAAATCTGTAGATCACTTTTGGCAGATGGTCATTTTAACAATATTAATTCTTCCAATCCATGAACATGGGGTGTCTTTCTACTTTTTTGTGTCTTCTTTATTTCATAAGTTTTTTATAGTTTTCCTTATAGAGGTCTTTTACATCATTGGTTAAATTTATTCTTAGATATTTTATTTTTTGTACCTATTATTATAAATGGGATTGCTTTCTTGATTATTTTTTCCTGCTGGCTTGTTGTTGGTGCATAGAAATTCTACTGGTTTTCATATATTAATTTTGTGTACTGCAAATTTACAGAATTCATTTATCATTTCTAAAAGTTTTTTGGTGGAGTTTTTAGGGTTTTGTATGTATAAGATAATGTCATCTGCGAACAAGGACAATTTGACTTCTTCCTTATCAATGTGGATGCTCTTTATTTTTTTCTCTTGCCTAATTGCTCTGGCTAGGACTTCTGGTACTATGCTGAATAAAAGTTGTGAAAGTGGATATTCTTGTCTGTCTGTTCCAGATCTTAGAGGAAAAGCTTTGAACTTTTCTCTGTTCAGTATGATGTTGGCTGTGGGTTTGTCATATATGGCCTTTATTGTGTTCAGATATGTTCCTTTTACATCTGAGTTGTGGATTTTTTATCATGAAGCCCTGTTGAATTTTATCAAATGCTTTTTCTGCATCTATTGAGATAATCAAATGATTTTTGTTCTTCACTCTGTCAATGTGATGTATCATATTTAAGTTGGTTTGCATACGTTGAACCATCCTGTCATTTTGATAATTATTTTCTGGTTGTTTTGTATATCCTTTGTTCATTTCTTTGTCTTATTGTTTATCATTGCAGTTTAGTATTTTCCTGTAGTGATAAGGTTTGATTATTCTTCCTTTCTCCTTTGTATATCTGCTCTACCATGATGAATCCCTTGCATCCCTGGGATAAATCCCACTTGGTCATGGGGAATGATCTTTTTAATGTGCTGCTGGATTCAGTTTGTTAGTATTTGGTTGAGGTTTTTGCATTTATGTTCATCAGAGATGTTTCATTTTTTTGTTGTGTCCTTGTCTGGATTTGGTATCAGAGTAATGCTGACCTCATAGAATAAACTTTGAAGAATTCTCTTCAATTTTCTGGAAGAGTTTGAGAAGAATTGCTATTATGTATTTAAATGTGTGGTAGAATTCCGCAGTTAAGCCCTCAGTTTCTCAGTTATTTGATGGGAGGCTTTTTATTACAGATTCAATCTTGTTACTCATAATTGGTCTGTTCAGGTTTTCTATTTCTTATTGGTTCAGTCTTGGTAGGTTTTATGTGTCCAGGAATTTGTCTATTTCTTTCTGCTAGGTTTTCTAATTTTTTGGTGTGTAGTTGTTCAGAATATCTCTAATGATCCTTTGTATTTCCTTTGTATTTCTAGGAGTTGTAATGTCTCCTTTTTCATTTCTGATTTTATTTGGGTCTTTTTCTCTTTTATTCTTGGTTTGTGTAGCTAACAGTTTGCCAATTTTATCTTTTCACAAAACCAACTTTTTTCTTTTGTCAATCTTTTGTATTTTTGTAGTCTCCATTTTATTTCTGCTCTGATCTTTATTTTTTTTTCTTCTACTAATTTTGGTTCTGGTTTGCCCTTACTTTTCTAGTTCCTTGAGATGCATCATTAGTTTTTTTATTTTCTATTTTTCAGATATAGGTATTTATTGCTATAAGTTGCCCTCTTAATATGGCTTTTGTTGTATCCCATAGGTTTTCAAATGTTGCTATTTTCATTTGTTTCCAGAAATTTTTAAATTATCTTCTTAATTCTTTTATTGGCCTACTTGTCATTCAGGAGCATGCTGTTTAATTTCCATGTATTTGTATAATTTCAAAAGTTTCTCTTGTTATTGATTTCTAGTTCTATTCCACTGTGGTAAGAGAAGATACTTGCCATGATTTCAGTTCTTTTAAATTTGTTGAAACTTATTTTGTGGATGAACATGTGGTCTGTCCTCAAGGATGTTCCAAGTGCTGAATGTACTGATGGAAAGAATGTGTATTCTGCAGCTGTTGGATGAAATGTTCTAGAAATGTCTGTTAGGTCTGTCTGGTCTCAAATTCATTTCAGATTTAATGTTTCTTCGTTGATTTCTGTATATGTATCTGTCCAATGCAGAGAGTGAGTGTTGAAGTCCCCAACTATTACTATATTGAAGTCTCTCTCTCCCTTTAGATTTAATAATAATTGGTTTTTATATATCTGGGTGCTCTGACGTTGGGTGCATATATATTCACAATTGTTATATCCTCTGGCTCAATTGGACCCTTTATCATTACATAATGACCTTTTTATCTCTTTTTGCAGTTTTTGACTTAAAGTCGGTTTGATTTGATAGGTATAGCTACTCTAACTCACTTTTGGTTTTTGTTTACATGGAATTTTTTTTTCTATTCCTTCACTTTCAGTCTATGTAATCACACAAGTGTCTTTACAGGTGAAGTCAGTTACTTGCAGGCAGCATACAGTTGGGTCATTTTTTAAAATCCATTCTGCTAGCCTAAATCTTTTATGTGAGGAATTTAATCTGTTTACATTCAAGTTATTATTGATAGGTGAGGACTTCCTCCTGTCATTTTGTTAATTATTTTCTGGTTGTTTTGTATATCGTTTGTTCATTTCTTTCTGTCTTATGGTTTATCATTGCAGTTTGGTAGTTTTCTATAGTGATAAGGTTTGATTATTTTTCCTTTTCCCTTTGTATATCTGCTCTACCAGTGATCTTTATACTTGTGTCTTTATAATAGTGATTATCATCTTTTTACTTCCAGATGTAGGACTTCCTTGAGCATTTCTTTTTTATTATTATTGAGACAGAGTTTCGCTGTTGCCCAGGCTGGAGTGCAGTGGTGCATTCTCGGCTCCCTGCATGCAATCTCCGCCTCCTGGGTTCAAGCAGTTCCCTGCCTCAGCCTCCCAAGTAGCTGGGATTACAGGCAGCCACCACCACACCTGGCTAATTTTTTTGTATTTTTAGTAGAGATGGGGTTTCACCATCTTGGCCAGGCTGATCTTGAACTCCTGACCTCGTGATCCACCTGCCTCAGCCTTTCAAAGTGCCAGGATTACAGGTGTGAGCCACTGCACCTGGCCGAGCATTTCTTGTAAGGCTGGTCTAGTTGTGATGGACTCCCTCAGTTTCTGCTTATCTGAGAAAGACTTTATTTCTCCCTCATTTCTGAAGATTGTTTTGCTGGGAATAGTATTCTCGACTGAAAATTTTTTTCTTTTAGCACTTTGAATATATCGTCTCATTTTCTCCTGGCCTATAAGATTTCTGCAGAGAAATCCACTGCTAGCCTAATGGAGATTCCCTTATATGTGACTTAATGCTTTTCTCTTGCTTTTGTAGAGAAAGACTCATCTGCATCTGAGTTTTCATGTGCCAGTTGAGAAGGGTGTAGTGATTCTGTTTCAAGATAGGTGCAGTGGTATGGCCTCATGCACCTTCTTTGGCTGCATTCAACATCAGCAGTAGCTGTGGGTACCTCAGTTTCTTAGGCCATAAAAGTTTGTGGTGGTGGTGGCATAGGTTGTTAATAGCCTCCGTGTCAAAGGCTTTGGGGGGTTTCTTTATTCTCATTTTCCATACAATGGGGAGATTTAGACTATAGAGTATCCCTTTTGGAGTCAGGTCTGACATGGCCTGTAAGCAGCTATAGCAGTGCTTGGTTCCAGCTTCAGGTGCTCCTAATGGCTATGGTGCTGGGGTCCTAGGCTCAAGGTCTCATGAACTTTTTGTGGCACTTGGATCTTGGGGTGCTTGTTTGTTCTCTGTGGTGAGGTTGAATGCAGGTTGCCCAAAGAGCCAGGATCTGTGACTCTGAGGTACCCCCTAGCAGCTTGGGCCCAGAGATTTGGGTTGTAGCTGTGATTCTATCTTTAGGGGCCAGGGAATGGCACTGGACCAACTCTGGAGAAGAAAGGGTGCTCTGGATATTTGGGCCTAGGGAGCAGGATAGTGCTGCAATTCAGGAACCTAAGCCAGTAGGGATCAGTGGCAATGTGGGTCCCATTGTAGTTGTAGTAGTAGTAGTGACTCTAGACCTTGAGATGGTGGAGTCAGCAGTATCCCAGACTCTCTGAGGCCAGGTGCAGCAGTAGCAAGTACCCTGAACACTGGAGCACAGCTGTCCTTTGGGCCCTGTTAGGCAGGAAACAGCACCGTGATGATTTTACTTCCCAAGGAGAGGGGTGTCTCAGCAGTTCCAGCTCTAGAGGGCTAGTCCAGCTCTCCAGGAAATTACGGTACTAGAGTTGTCTGGCCTGTAGGGCACATGGTCTCAGTTCAGCCACTGTTCTGTTTCTCTGGGATGCAAGGTACTACAGCAGTTTAGCTGTGGGGTGAACAGCTGCTCAGCTTGGCCAGGGCACTGATTCCCCAGGTGACCCAGACACCATTTTCTGGGATACAGGGCACTGCTTCAACTTAGGCACAAGGAGGCAAGACTGCTCAAAGTGACTAAGGTATTGTTTTCTAGGAGGCAGGGTACTGTTTCAGATCTGGCCTGAGGGGTCAGGGGAAGAGTAGGTGGATCAGCTCCACCTCCACTTGGCCCCACGGAGAAGGGTGTAACGGGCTTACAGCTCACCTTGGGGATGATCAGTCCCTAGGCTGGGGGTGTTTTGGTGGCAGTTTAGCCTCAGTGATGAAGGGGACCTGTGACTACTTGCCCCCTGAGCAAGACACACTCCAGCTGTAGGTCTAGCTGCGAGATGTTATAGCACAGTAGCCATGTGGGCCACAGAGGGGAACATAGTGTTAGCACCTTCTCTGGAGGGAACACAGCTTTGCGGGCTCTAGACAGCTCCTTCAGCTGGGCTTAGATAGTGCCTGTGAGGAGACTGCAGGGAACCTTTGCAGTGGTGAGTTCTGTGGGTGTCCAAGGTGTTGATAGGGGTTGCCGGGATCCTCTTGCTTACCTCCTCACTGTATGGAGAAGTTCCTCTTTGTTCCCAGCTGATCTCAATTTGGGGATGGAGTGGTGAAGGCCTGGCATTTCTTTCCATTCTGTATGTGGCTGTTCTGTTTCTGTGCTCATCAGCATTCCTGCTATTCCTCTGATTTTCTCTGGAACTCTCCTTCAGTTACTCTCATTAAAATGTAGTGTTTTTTTTTAGTCATTCTGGCATCTGTGATGGAGACAAGCACTAAGGGCTTCTAGTCAGCCACCTTGCTATAGAAATATTTTTGACTGGGCTTTATAAAAGCTATAGCTAGGACTATAATGTGAAATGGACAACTTAAACTTTGAGGGAGAAAAAAATTCACTTAGAATAGGTTGAGCTAAAATTTACCATGTTTCAGGCTCTGTACAAAATTGCATCAAGTAGCTTACCCCATTTAATCCTTACAACACCCTAGTGAGATTAGATATTGTTCTTATTTTTTATAAATGAGAACACAAATACTTATAAAATATCTTGCCTAATGTCACAGAGCTAGTTAGCTACAGAGGCAGGGGTCTGGCTGCAAAGACCCCCAGTTTAACTACCACCCTAAATTCCTATGTCTGTCACTTAAACTTCAATCCCACCACACTCCACGCTCTTTTCTTAGATTGCAGTGGTTTACACAGAACAGATCTGATTTGTTTAGAATATGGAGAATCTTTTGAAAAAATAATTTGTTGAGGTGAAATTAACATAACAAAATTAACCATTTTAAAGTAGCAGTAAGTACATTCATAATGTCATACAAACAGCACCTGTATCTAGTTCTAAAATGTTTTCATCATTCTGAAGTAAAAATACCTTTAAGCAATTTTTCCCCATCCCACTACACCTGCAATCACTGGAAACCACCAATATGCATTCTTACCTTTTCTGGATATTTCATATAAATGGAATAATATAGTATGTGAACTTTTGTCTGCTTTCACTTAGTATGTTTTGTTCACTTAGCATACATTGTAGCATGTATCAAATACTTCATTCCTTTTTTTTTTCTTTTTTTTTTGAGACGGAGTCTTGCTCTGTCACCCAGGCTGGAGTGCGGTGGTGTGATCTCACCTCCTGGGTTCACACCATTCTCCTGCTTCAGCCTCCCCAGTAGCTGGGACTATAGGCGCCCGCCATCAGCCCAGCTAATTTTTTATATTTTTAGTAGAGACGGGGTTTCACTGTGTTAGCCAGGATGGTCTCGATCTCCTGACCTCGCGATCCACCCGCCTTGGCCTCCCAAAGTGCTGGGATTACAGGCATGAGCCACCACGCCTGGCCTACTTTATTCCTTTTTATGGTTGAATAATATTCCATTCTATGAATATACCACATTGTTTATCCATTCCCCCTGCTGGACATTTGGGCTGTTTCTACCTTTTGGTTATTGTCAGCAGTGCTGCTATAAACGTGTGCACATGTACTTGAGTCTCTATTTTCTTTTTTTTACACTTTTATTTTAGGTTTGGGCGTACATGTGAAGGTTTGTTATATAGATAAACTCATGTCATGGGGGTGTTTGTTTTACAGATTATTTCATCACCCAGGAATTAAGCCCAGTACCCAATAGTTACCTTTTCTGCTCCTCTCTTTCCTCCCACCCTCCCCCATCAAGTGGACCCCAGTGCCTATTCTTTCTTTCTTTGTATTCATAAGTTCTCATCATTTAGCTCCCACGTATAAGTGAGAATATGCAGTATTTGGTTTTCTGTTCCTGCGTTAGTTTGCTGAGGATAATGGCCTCCAGCTCCATCCACGTTCCTGCAAAAGACATGATCTTGTTCCTTTTTTATGGCTACATAGTATTCGATAATGTATATGTACCACATTTGCTTTATCCAGTTTGTCATTGATGAGCATTTAGGTTGATTCCTTGTCTTTACTATTGCAAATAGTGCCACAGTGAACATTTGTGTACATGTGTCTTTATGGTAGAGTGATTTATATTCCTCTGGGTATATACCCAGTAATAGGATTGCTGGGTCGAATGGTAGTTCTGCTTTTAGCTGTTTGAGGAATTGCCATACCGCTTTTCATAATGGTTGAACTAATTTACACTCCCACCAACGGTGTATAAGTGTTCCCTTTTCCCCGCAACCTCACCAGCATCTATTATTTTTTATTGAGTTCTTATTTTTAATTCTTTTGGGTATCCACACAGAAGTGAACTTAAGGGTCATATGGTAATTCTATGTTTAATCATTTGAGAGATTGCCTTACCGTTTTCCACAGCAGCTGAACCATATTACATTACAACCAGCAATGTACAAGTTCTAATTTCTCACCAGCAGTTGTTATTTGCCATTTTTAAAAAAGTGTAGCCATTCTAGAGGCTGTGAAGTGATACTTTATTGTGGCTTTTATTTGCATTTCCCTTATGACTAATGATATTGAACATTTGTAAAACATGTTTGCCATTGTATATATTCTTTATAGAAATATCTATTCAGTCCTTTGCTCATTTTTTATTTGGATTGTTTGTTTTTTTGTAGTTGTTAAAAGTTGTTTATATGTATGTTCCCAATACTAGATCCTTATGAAAGATATGATTCACAAATATTTTCACCCATTTTGTAGGCTGGATTTTTATTTTCTTGGTAATGTCCTTCCTTTGATGCATAAAATGTTTAAGTTTTGACAATATATCTAGTTTTGTTTTTTATTCTTTTGGTGTCATATGTAATAATCTATTGCCAAATCCACTGTCATGAAGATTAACACCTATGTTTTCTTCTAAGAGGTAGAGTTTTGGCTTTTATATTTAGCTTATTGATTCATCTTGAGTTAACTTTTTATATAGTATGAACTAGGGGCTTGGCTTTATTCTTTTGCATGTGGATATTCAGTTGTCCCAGCACCATTAAGAGACTCTTCTTTCCCCCACTAAAAGGTCTTGGTACCTTTTTGTTTGTTGAATAAGTGATTAAAGTCACTTTAGCTTAATGCAAAGAATCAATGAGAAGAGGAAGTGCTGGGACTCTGCCCCATGTTTTCTTGATATGTCTGTCATCCAAGCATGTTCTTCTCAAGGTTCAAAGAAGGTCCATCCCAAGTGTCCTCCTCTCCACTGGCTGCTTCTCCTATCAGTAACAGACTCTAAAGTCTAGGAAGTCACCAGATTCTTCTCCCTACCCCAGACCCACAAAATGGTTCTCTGTTGTTAACAAAGATACAAATTGGATGCCATGGGTCTCATTCAGGCCCATTCACAGCCTTGTCAGTTTTACTTTTTCTCTTTTCCATCCTTTTAACAGCTTCATTGCAATATAATTATTGTACATAAACTGCACATATTTAAATTGTACAATTTGCTGAATTTTGACATGTGTATACAACTGTGAAACCATCACAACAGTGAAGATAAGAAACATTCCCATCATCTCGTTGTAATTCATTCCCCACCCCACCCTCAACTACTAATCTGTTTTCTGTCACTATAAATTAGTTCAAGCTTTCTAGAAGTTTATGTAAATGGAATCATACAGTATACACCCTTTGGTCTGTGGTTTCTTTCATTCCTCATAATTATTTTTAGATTCATCCATGTCATTGCATGTATCAATAGTTTCTTCCTTTTTATTGCTGAGTAGTATTTCATAATAAGGATTTTCCACAATTTGTGTTTCCATTCTTCTACTGATGGGCATTTGGGCTATTTCCAGTTTGGGGCTATTGCAAATAAAGTTGCTACTAACATTAGTGTATAAGTCTTTGTGTAGATGTATGCTTTTATTTCTTTTGCGTAAACACCCAGGAATTGAATGGCTAGGTCTATATTAGGTGCATTTTAAGTTTTTAAAGAAATTTCCACACCATTTTCTGGAAACACACAAGAATAAATTAACATAATCTTATCTTTTGTCATCTTTGTGCTACTATAACATTTGGAAGTCCTTATAACAATAAAAGTGTGCATCTATGTCACCTATGCCTTTGATTGCTTGGAGTAGATTTACTTGTTCTTTTTTTTTCCTTCAATTCCTAAAACAGTCCTTTGCATAGGAGGGTGGTTAATCAGCTTTGGATGAACAAATGTCAGATAATGGCTTATCTGAACAAATATGATGATGAACCAAAATGAATGATAGGGCAAAATTGGAGATGAGAGGAATAAAATAGGTAAATAAATAAAATAACACTGTCTTTTAAAATTATGCACATAATTCATGGGGAAAAAATCCAAAAATACAGAGTAGCTTAAAGAAGAATATAAAAGTCATCCGTGATCCTTCATGTCACTCTTTAAAAAATTATTTTGTTGTTTTATTTTCCACCCAATATTCTCTTAAAGTTAGGGCCACTGGTTCTCAACTCTTCCTACACATCAGACTACTCAGGGAGCTCTTTTAAATAGATCCAATATCTGGATTCCATTAGAGATTCTAATTTAATTGGTCTGAAGTGGAGTCTGGGTGTCAACAGTTTTTTTTAATCAATCTTTCCAAGGTATGATTTACGCACAACAAAATGCATTTATTTTCAGTGTACAGTTCAATGAGTTTTGACAAATATATATCCTCCCTATAAACACCACTCTAATCAAGTATAGAATATTTCCATCATCCTCAAATACCCCACATTTCATCCCAGGCAACCCCTGATCTGGCTTGTTACTATAGATTAATGGTAATTATTCAAGAATTTCACATAAACAGAATCTAACAGTTTGGCTTCTTTCACTCAGCATGTCTATGAGAGTCATCATATTGTTACATATATCCACAGTTGTTTATTCTTTTTTACTACTGATTAGTATTTCATTGTATGGAGGTACCACATTTTGTTTATCCATTTACCTGTTGGTGGATATCTGGGCTGCTTCCATGTATTGACTGTTAGGAATAGAGCTTCTGTGTACACTCATATTAAAGTCTTTGTGTGGCGATATGTTTTCATTTCTCTTGGGTAAATGCATAGGAGTGGAATTTCTGGGTCATGTAGTAAGTGTCTGTTTAACTTTATAAGAAACTTCCAAACCATCTTTCTTTCTTTCTTTTTTTTTTTTTTTTTTTCCCCCAAGACGGAGTCTCGCTCTGTCTCCCAGACTGGAGTGCAGTGGCATGATCTCGGCTCACTGCAACCTCCACCTCCCAGGTTCAAGCAATTCTCCTGCCTCAGCCTTCCGAGTAGCTGGGATTACGGGCATGTGCCACCATGCCCTGCTAATTTTTGTATTTTTAGTAGAGGCGGGGTTTCACCATGTTGGCCAGGCTGGTCTTGAACTCCTAACCTCGTGATCTGCCCGCCTCAGTCTCCCAAAGTGCTGGGATTGCAGGCATGAGCCACTGTGCCTGGCCTCCAAAACATTTTTCAAAGTAGTTGTACTGTTTTGCACTTCCACCAGTGATGTGTGAGTGTTCAGTTGTCCTACATATTTGTCACAACACCAAATATTGTCAGTATTTTAAATTTTAACCATTATAGGGGGCATTAGCAGTTTCTAAAAGCTCCCCTAGATATATGTACTTTTCTATATGTAATACATCAGTAAAAAGGGAAGAAAAAATAACTCTAAATGATTCTAATGTTCAGTCAAGGTTGAGAACCACTGAGTAAGACTAGACAAGTCCCAAGTATTTAAATAATGACAGATTTTCATTTGTGCATTATTTTTTTCTCACCCATTCATTTATTCAATAAGAGCTAGTGGGCAATATAGAGATACTACAATATTTCTGCCCTCAAGAAGCTAACAATTTCTTTTTTCTCTTAAGAAAACCAAATTTCACCTGTGTGACCACAGTTATTTCAGACAGCTTAGAATTTTTAATTGGTCTTTCTCAGTATTTTGCAGCCCTGGCCTTGAGTCAATCCTGATGAGGGGGAAAAAATAAGGGGATCATTCACGGTGTTTGAGATGTTGCTTTATTGATTTTGCACTTTTCCTTTCCTGCTTCCTGTCTCCCGTATTTGCTTTCGTACATAATTCAGCTTTGGGAACAGTGTCTATAAATGAGGTCACCACGGGAGCCATAAAAATAAAAATAAAAATACTTTGCTTCTGGTATTTGCACATTGGTGACTGCACTCCATAGAGGCCATGGCTGATTTCTAATTTTCATATTTTATTTTTCTCCTTTGTTTTTTTGATATAGGAAATCTTCAATAAAAAGAATATTCTAATAAAAATAAGACAAACTAGCATAACATTATAAAATCCTCACCAGAAGCCTATTAAAGAAATATAGTAGATGGGTAAAAAATAATACGGCCTATAAGCCCAACAAAACTCACATGTAAAATTATGTAATCAAATTGTAAAATATTCTCTTATTTGCTATTAAATGTACACTATAAAAAGACTTTGAAATGGTACAATAATGTCTACCTCCCTGGAATTGTTAGAAAGAAGTACGTAATACTTAATTTCTGTGCAGAATTTTTTTATCTTCTAAAAAATGGTAAGGTCAGTGTGAGAAGTGTTAAAATTGGCTGTAACTTGCTTGCAAAACAGGTTCTGCACAGCGCAATGATAGGAGATTTCATTTTCCTTTTTCTTGGGGCTTTAGTGATTTCAGAGACCCCGAAATTCTTGTGAAAAATTGGCTAATGAGAAAAGTCCAGTAATGAGTAGAAAGTTATTTGTCTAGCTGTGGCTTTAAAGAAATTTCATCCCCAACAGAGGTGGCTTTTCATCAGGAAAATATTTTCCAGCACAATGTCAAGCCAATTTAATCCCTTGATTGGTATTCTGTACCATGCAGCAAAGCCAGTTTCCATGTTTGCTGTGTTTATTTTTATTTCATCGAAATTTCTTTTCACTGCAATTCTTTTCTTATTTTCATTGTTTTTACACAAATCAGATTCATTGATCAGTTTTTTGTACCACATTAATTCTTCCTTATTTAGTTTCAACAGCCACAATTTTTGCTTCTGTTTTACAAATCCAAATCTCCCTGACATCAAATTTTGCAAGTCTAAATTTTGTCAAGAAAATGTCTTTTGCAGCAACTTGGATGGAACTGGAGGCCATTCTAAATGAAGTAACTTAAGAATGGAGAACCAAATACCGTGTGTTCTCAGTTAT
Source organism: Homo sapiens (assembly GCF_000001405.40). Classification (NCBI taxonomy): domain Eukaryota; kingdom Metazoa; phylum Chordata; class Mammalia; order Primates; family Hominidae; genus Homo; species Homo sapiens. The sequence goes on along the minus strand of NC_000003.12, from coordinate 16,569,265 downwards.
AAGTGGGAGCTAAGCTGTAAGGATACAAAGACATTCAGAGTTATATAGTGGACATCGGAGAATCAAAAGAGGGAGAAAGTGGGTGAGGCATGAGGGATACAAAACTACGTATTGGGTACAATATACACTACTCAGGTGATGGGTGCACTAAAATTTCATACTTCACCACTATACAATTCATCCATGTAACAAAAAACCACTTGTATCCCTAAAGCTACTAGAATAAAAAACAAAAACAAAAAATAAAAATTGGATAAATTTTATTAAAATGATGTGAGCCATCTGTCCACTTTTAATCAATAGCAATGTTGCCATGTGTGGTATGATCTGTTGTCAGTTTTATTTTATGCTGATTATTTCTACCAGCCGTAACAATTTGGAAATAGGCAAAAAGTTGGTTGTATTTATTTCCTAGATAATCAATAACAAAATCAGAGCAATCTAATGAGACAGAGATACAGGTAGACAGAAGGAGAAGAAAAGCTACAGTTGTGTGGAGCATGGATGGTTAAACTCCCAGTAACTGGATGGGGTCAAAAGGACAGTTGTGGCCCAGAGTTCAGATCTTTCGGCAGGCTCAAAGGATCCTGCATCAGTCCCTGGCTGCTCTCTTCTAAGTTTTCAGCCTCTCCTCTTCTCCATTCCTCACCAGATCCCTGGCCTCTTTGGAGCTACCTGGACAAGAGCTTTCTTGACCTCTGGCAAACTCCTGGCCAGGTTGTGGTTGGAAATTCCTGATACCTTTAGTTGAGTTCATACAAGCTGAACGTTTTCAAAAGGAACTAATTTTACTTGAACCAACTAAACAAAACCAAACTACACAAAGAAAATACAAAGGCACAGAAATAGATGAGGTTTCCATGCTGTGGGCATTTTAATCATGTGTATCAAGAACGTTTACAGAGTTCATGTCTGGCCCAGCCAGTCCACTTCTAGGAAGTTATCCTAAGGTGATACACTGGACATGAGTCAAAAGATATATATATATGACCTATTCATCAACAAAAATAGAAACAAGCTAAATGTGTTCTAATAGAGGAATAATTCAAATAGAATATTTTCATACCATTTAATACTCAGCTACAAAGCAGGGCTGGCAAACTCTTCTGTAAAAGAATAGATAGTAAATATTGTAGATTTGTGGGCCATATGGTTTCTGTCAGAAATAGTCAATTCTGCCATTGTAGCACAGAAATGGCCATAGATAGTACATAAAGGAATCAGCATGATCATGTTCCACTCTAAAACTTTGTTTACAAAAAAAAAAAAAACAGGTGGATTTGGCTTATGAGCCTTAATTTGCAGATTCCTGGTTTAAAGAAATGATACGGATTTATATTTACTGATACAGAGAGCTCATCGTTATATACTGTTGAGTAAAAACAAAAACAGATATTAGTATAGCATTTATGGTATGATGTCACGCAAAATGAAGATTTATATGTGTACATATCAGTACAGAAGTGTCTAGAAGAATGTTCAGCAAATATTAATGGGGGTATTATCACTAGGTTGAACAATTCGGGATGATTTTTTCTCCTTTTTATGCTTTTGTAGTTTTTCATTACCAGAAAAAAAATATTTTTATTTAATGATTCATACTCTTTGACAAAGTAATTCCATGGTGGTTGTTGGGGTTGCCGCACAGCTGTGAAGCCTGTGCAGTTGCACAACTCCAGGAGCTGCCATCACATGGATTACAGTGTGAAGGGTGCACCCAGAGTTGTGTGACGAGGCAGTCTTCCTACCTTCCATTCTCTGTTCAGCTCTGTCCAATTAATTCAACAAGCATTTGTTTGGCATCTACTACACTAGACATAGTTCTAGATAGAAATATCAGGAAACAAAGCACACAAAAATGTTGCCCTTGTAGTGCTTATTTTCTAGTCAAGGAGAAAGACAATAAGGAGAGTAAGGAGTGACACATATGGAAGGTTAGCAAGTGGTACTAGAGCAAGGAGGCAAGGGAGATCCAGATGGCTTCAGCAGAGTGGGATTTCCATTTTAGATAGAATGGTCACAGCAGGCCTTACTCAGAAAGTTACAAATGAGCAAAGACTTGAAATAGGTCAAGTAGGAAATCATACTGATATCTTGGGGAAGAGCATTGCAGACAGAGGGGACAGCCAGTGCAAAGGCTCTGAGGAAAAAGCATGCCTAGTGATCTTCAGGAACAGCAAGTTGGTCAGTGTGGTTGAAGTAGAGTGAGGGAGGAACCCAGTGGCAGGAGTGAGGACAGATTGGTAATGGGTGGCCATGTCGCAAAGGCCCTCAGAGGTCATAGTGAGGACATTGGTTTTTATTCTGAATGAGTTCTTAGCCACTGAAATATTTTTGGGTAGAGAAGTAGTGATATTGCTTGGCTGTGTCCCCACCCAAATCTCATCTTGAAATGTAGCTTCCATAATCCCCACGTGTCATGAGAGGGACCTAGTAGGAGGTAATTGAATCATGGGGGCAGGTTTTTCCCATGCTGTTCTCATGATGGTGAATAAGTCTCATGCGATCTGATGACTTTATAAAGGGCAGCTCCCCTGCACACACTCTCTTGCCTGCTGCCATGTAAGAAGTGCCTTTGCTCCTCTGCCTTCTGCCATGATCGTGAGGCCTCCCCAGCCATGTGGAACTGTGAGTCCATTAAACCTCTTTTTCTTTATAAATTACCCAGTCTTTATTAGCAGCATGAGAACAGACTAATACAAGTGGCGAGATTTGATTTATTTATGTAAAGAGTCACTCTAGATACTGAGTTGAGAACAAACTGTTAAGGTATTAGGGTAGAGGTAGCCCTTGACAGTGTTTTCGAATTTCCTTTTTTCTTACCTGTCTCCCTCACTGGCCTGTAGATTCCTGGAGGTCAAGGAGCCCAGTTTTTAGTAGAGGGAATAGCCAGTGGGAAGAAGGCAGGCAGGGCAAATATTTACAACCCTAGTTTTACAGAAGAGAACACTGGAACTTAGGAAGGTTTAAGTGATGGCTAAGGGTCAGAACAGGGTCAGCACCAGAAGCAAGTCCTTTCAATTTCAAGGTCAGGGTCCCTTCTACACTAGGACAAGAGGCAGCACCTACCAGATCAGGTGGAGGTGAATGAACAGAGGTGGCTTGAGTTAGATTCTGCAGACTTTTATGACAGGCCAAGGCATATAAATGATAATAGCTGACATCACATTAAAAAAAGATGCAACATCTCATGAGATCTACTACATGCTGCTGCTTAGGAAAGGAAGGTTGAAAAATAGCACTGAGTTTAAAAAATAGCATTTAGAGTATAAGCCTCATGTATTTAATACATGAATGCTTAAGAAAGATGTTCACCAAATGTTAATGATGCTTATTTCTTGATGGTAGGATTTCAGAGAGTTTCAAATTTTTTTTTTCTGAATTGTTTCAGTTTTTTGCAGTAAGAATGTGAAAACAGGAGAAATAAAGTTTGATGTTAGAAAGAGACCTTTAAGCTAACATTTACGTGCTCTTTGCAGTTCCACAGCACCTGTAGTACCACTATTTCTTTGTAAATTCTTCCAGGGCAGAGATTGTGTTTTATTCATTCTTGTATGCCCAGCATGTGGAACCTGCTAAAAAATAGGTGTTCAGTAGTGCTTGTGGAACCAACGCAAAGTGCGTTTGTGAACTGTAGCTCATATAATCTTCAATAGACACCTAGGGGGCCTCATGAATGACATGAACACAGTTTCTAGCCAAAGGGAGTTTCATTTCTTTTTCTAGTTGGAGTTGCCATGGCACCCAGAAAACCAGAGATCCTGGTAAGAAGGTTTTAAAAAGCTTAAGTGTTAAGTTTGTACATTTGTGATACCTGGTCTCAGGTCCTACTTTAGCAATCTACAAAAATTGAGCCTTTTGAATAGAAGTGTTTTAGTGAAGAATCAGTGATGTGACAACTTATTCTGATGATATTTCAATCTAGCTTTTTGGTTTTAATGGCAGTTGTCATTACTATTGGGCTGTATCATTCCCAGGAATGCCTTCTTTTAAAATCAGTACAGGTTGAGCATCCCTAATCCAAAAATCTCAATTTCAAAATGCCCCTAAATCTGAAAGTTTTTGAGCGCTAACATGAGATAGTGACACCTTTGCTTTCAGATGGTTCAGTGTACACATTGTTTCATACACAAAATTATTTAAAATATTGTATAAAATTACCTTCAGACCATGTGTCTAAGGTATGTGAAACATAAATGAATTTCATGTTTAGACTTGGATATCTCATTGCATATATGCAAATATTCCAAAATAAAAAAAAAAAACAACAAAAAACCCCAAGTCCGAAACATTTCTGATTTCAAGCATTTTGGAGAAGGCATTTTCAACCTCTACTAGAGATGCATTTGTTTGATGTGGTCAATTGCCTGATTATTCAGACTCCTCAAAAAGTGCTGGGTTTTCCTCCATACCACCTGGTTAGGTTTTGAATCATTTAGAAAAAAAATAAGTGACTGTCTTTAAGTCATCCATTAAAAATTAAAAAGCTTAAAATGCTTCCATTTCTATTTTATTACTAGTTACTGCTCAAAACGAGTTTTAGTAGTAAGAAGGAAAGTTGTCACCCATAGTTTTAGGCACAATTTTTCAGTCTCCTTTACTCACTTAGCATTAGACCATAAACATTTTCACAATGGTTTTGGGTTTTTTAAATACTTGTGTAGTATTTGAATTTGTAGATTATCACACTGTACAAAACCATTGCACAATTAGCATACATTCACATTGGTGCTAGTTTTTTCATGATTTTTAATTGAACAAGGAAATTATACTTATTTGGCTCTATTTATTCTCTAACTACAAGCAAAATCTTAACTGACTTTTCCTTCTTTCCACTCTTAATTATTAAACTCACCTGACCATTTTATCTTTATTTACTTAATTGATGAAGATTATATATACCCAAGGTATACAATGTAATGATTTGATATACATATATTAGGTTGGTGCAGTTATGTTTGCACCAATCTAATGCATCGTATAATGATTACTACAATCAAGTTAAAACATACATACATTATCACCTATGCTATACATTAGATTCCCAGAAAATGCTCATCTTATAACTGAAAGTTTGTGCCCTTTGGTCAAAATCTACCCATTTCCTCCACCCCCATTCCCTGGCAACTGCCATTGTACTTTATGTTTTGATGAGTTCTACTTTCTTAGATTCTGCATATAATATACTGTTGACCCTTGAACAACATGGAGTTGGAGCACTGACCCCTGCACAGTCAAAAACCAGCATATAGCTTTTTTTTTTGAGACATGAGGTCTCACTATGTTGCCCAGATTGGCCTTGAATTACTAGGTTTTAGGGATCCTCCTGCCTCAGGCTCCTGAGTAGCTGGGACTACAGGTATGTGCCACTGTGCCCAGCTCTTGCATAACACTTTTGACTCTCCAAAAACTTTAATGACTAATAGCCTACTATTGACCAATAACATAAACAGTCGATTAACACATATTTTGTATGTTATATGTATTATATGCTGTATTCTTATGCTAAAGTAAACTATAGAAAAGACAGTGTTATTAAACGAAATAATAAGGAAGAGAAATATATTTACTATTAAGTCAAAGTGGATAGGTCTTCAACCTCCTTGTCTTCCTGTTGGGTAAACTGAGGAAGAGAAGGAATAGGAGGATTGGTCTTGCTGTCCCAGGTGTGCCACAAGCAGAAGAAAATTCACATATAAATGGACCTGTACCATTCGAACTCATGTTCTATTGGTCTGTTTGTTTTTATGCCAGTACTGTACTGTTTGGATTAATATAGCTTTGTAACATAGTTTGAAATCAGGATATGTGATGCCTCCAGCTTTGTTCTTCTTTCTCAAGATTGCTTTGGTTATTCATGGTTTTTTGTGGTTCCATATGAATTTTAGAATCATTTTTTTCTATATCTGTGAAGAATGCCATTGGAATTTTGATAGAGAAATTCTGTTGCATTGAATCTATACATCACCTTTGGTAGTATGGACATTTTAATAATATTAGTTCTGATACATGAACATGTGATATCTTTATTTTTATTTGTGTCATCTTCAATTTATTTCCTCAGTGTTTTATAGTTGTCAATGTACAGATCTTTAAACTCTTGATTAAATTTATTCCTAAGTATTTTTATTGTGTTTGATGCTATTGTAAGTAGGATTGTTTTCTTTCTTTCTTTTTCAGATAGTTTGTTGTTGGTGTATAGAAATGCAATTCATTTTTGTATGTTGATTTTGGTATCCTGCAACTTTACTGAATTAATTTATCAGGTCTAACAGTTTTTTGGTGGAGTTTCTGTATACAAGGTCATGTCATCTACAGAGACAAGTTTGCTTCTTCCTTTCTGATTTGGACGACTTTTATTTCTTTTCCATGCCTAACTGCTCTAGGTAGCACTTCTAGTACTATGTACAATAGAAGTGGTGAGTGTAGGCATCCTTGCCTTGTTCCTGAACTTAGAGGAAAAGCTTTCTGCTTTTTTTTTTTTTTTTTTTTTTTTTGAGACAGAGTCTCACTCTGTCGCCCAGGCTGGAGTGTAGTGGCATGATCTCGGTTCACTGCAAGCTCCGCCTCCCAGGTTCACACCATTCTCCTGCCTCAGCCTCCCGAGTAGCTGGGAGCTGGGACTACAGGCACCCACCACCACGCCAGGCTAATTTTTTGTATTTTTAGTAGAGACGGGATTTCACCATATTAGCCAGGATGGTCTCGATCTCCTGACCTCGTGATCTGCCCGCCTCAGCCTCCCAAAGTGCTGGGATTACAGGCGTGAGCCACCATGCCCGGCCAGCTTTCTGCTTTTTACCATTGAGTATGATGTTGGCTGTGGGCTTGTCAAATACGGCCTTTATTACATTGAGGAACATTCCTTCCATACCTAATTTGTTGAGAGTTTTAACGACATTTTGAAGTATAAATGACATAAAATAAACAGCATATATATATCTAGTGTACAGTTTGATAAGTTTTGACATATGTATGTACCCATGAAGACAATCAACATAGTGAACATATACATTACCCCAAAAAGTTTCCTCATGCCCTTTTGTAATCTCTCCTTCCTGTCTGTCTCTGTGTACCCTCCTCTCAGGCAGCCACTGATCTGCTTTCTGCCATATAGATTAATTTTAATTTTCTAGAGGTTTACACAAATGTAAGAATACAATAAGTACTTTTTTTTGGTCTGGCTTCTTTTTACTCAGCATAATTACTTTAACATTCATTCATGTTGTTATATGTATCAATAGACCTTTCTTTTTATTGCTGAATAGTATTTCATTGTATGAATATACCAAAGTTTCTTTATCTAGTTACCTATTATGGACATTTGGGTTGTTTCCAGTGTGGGACTTTTACAAATAAAGCTGCTGTAAACATTTATGTATGAGTCTTTTTATGATATGCTTTTAGTTCTCTTGGATAAATACATACGAGTGCTGGATCATATAGCAGGTATATGTTTGACTCTTTAAGAAACTGCCAAACTATTTTCCATTTTTTGTTTCCAACAGTGTATGAGTTCCAATTCCTCCACCTCCTTGACAACATTTGGTATTGTCAATCTTTTTAAATTTAGCTATTCTAGTAGGCATATAGTGCTTTTAATTTGCATTTTCCTAACTATTAATGATTTTGAACATCTTTTCATATGCTTATTTGCCATCCATATATCTTCTTTGTGGAAGTGTCTGTTCCAATCTTTTGCCCATTGTTTTATTGTTTTTATAACTGAGTTTTGAGAGTTCTTTATACATTCTGGATGAAGGCTCTTATCAGATGTATTCTGTGCAAATATTTTCTCCTAGTCTCTGGCTTGTTTTCTCATTCTCTTAATAGTGTCATCTGAAAAACAGAAGTTTTAAATTTTGATGAAATCCAATTTATAAATTTGTTCTTTTATGGATCATGCTTTTGGTGTCACAGCTAAGAAATCTTTGCCCAATGCAAAGTCACAAAGATTTTCTTCTAGGAATATTATAGTTTTTGGTTTTTTCATTAGGCCTGTGACCCATTTTTCAGTTCATTTCTATGTATAGTGTGAAGTATGGATTTTGCATATGGTACCCAATTATTCTAGCACTATTTGTTGAAAAGACTGTCCTTTCTCCACTTAATTGCATTTGCACCTTTGTAAACACACACACACACATACACACACACAGAGTCCATATATGTGTAGGTCTCTTTCTAGGCTATTTTGTTTAATGATATCCCTTGTCTATTGTGATGTCAATACCCACGATTTTGGTTACTGTAGCTTTGTAATAAGTCTTGAAGTGAGATAATGTTCATCCTCTTAGTTCTTTTCCCATATTGTTTTGTCTAGCCTAGGTCCCTTTTATTTCCATATTAATCTTAAAGTCTTTCAATTTCTATAAAATGTCTGCTAGGGTTTTTATTGTGACTCCATTGAATTCATAATTTGGAGATCATTGGCATATTAACAATAATGAGTCTTTTAATCCATAAACATGGTATATCTCTCCATTAATATAGGTCTTGAATTTCTCTTGGCAATGTTTTATAGTTTATAGTGTACAGGTCTTTCACATCTTATGTCAGATTTATCCCTAAGTATTTCATATTTTTATGTTATTTAAAATATTTTTAAAATTTCAACTTCTGATTGTTCTTTGCTAGTCAGTAGAAATACAATTGATTTTTATATTGATATTTTATCCTAAAACCTTAGCTAAAATCAATTATTACTTCTAACTTTTTTGTGGTTTCTATTAGATTTTCTACATAGATGATCATGTTGGCTATATATAAAAACAGTTTTATTTCTTCCATTCTGGATGCATTTTTTTCATGTCTGATTATATGTTCCAGAGTCTCCAGCACAAGGTTGAATACAAGTGGTGAGAGCAAACATCCTTGTCTTAGTCCTGATCACACAGAAAATGCATTCAGTCTTTTATCATTAAGTATGTTGTTAGCTATAGATTTTTCATAGATGCTGTATTATTCAGGGTTCTCTAGAGGGACAGAACTAATAGGATAGATGTATATATGAAAGGGAGTTTTTAAGGAGTATTGACTCACACGATCACAAGGTGAAGTCCCATGATAGGCCGTCTACAAGCTGACAAGCAAGAAAGCCAGTCCAAACCCCAAAACCTCAAAAGTAGGGAAGCCAACAGTGCAGCCTTCAGTCTGTGGCCCAAGGGCTGAGAGCCCTTAGCAAACCACTGGTGTTAAGCTTGAGAGTCCAAAAGTTGAAGAACTCAGAGTCTGATGTTCGAGGGCAGGAAGCATCCAGCCCAGGAGAAAGATGAAAGCCAGAAGACTCAGCAAGTCTAGTCCTTCCACGTTCTTCTGCCTGCTTATATTCTAGCTGCACTGGCAGCTGATTAGATGGTGCCCACCCAAATTGAGGGTGGGTCTGCCTCTCCCAGTCTACTGACTCAAATGTTATCTCCTTTGGCAACACCCTTACAGACACACCCAGGAACAATGCTTTGCATCCTTCAATCCAATCAAGTTAACGCTCAGTATTAGCCATCACAGATGCCCTTTTTCAGTTTGAGGAAATGTTTTTTTATGCTTAGTTTGATGAAAGTTTTTATTTAATAATATGTGTTAGATTTTTGCCACATGCTTTTTCTGTGTCTTTTGAGATGATCATATGATTTTTCTTTTCTGCTAATATGGAGAATTGTATTGATTTATTTTCAGTGTTAAAGCATCCTGAATTCCCAGGAAGGAAAATCCCAATTTGTCATGATATTTTATTCTTTTTACATATTTTGAATTCAACTTGCTAAAATTTTAATTTTTTTCTTCTATATTCATGAAGGATCTTGGCCTATAGTTTGCTTTTTTGGTTATATCTTTGTAAGGTTTTTGTATCATGGTAATTCTGGTCTCTTAGAAGTATTCCCACCTCTTAAATTCTCTGGGATAGTTTGCATAGAATTGGTATTATTTCTTCATTAAATGTTTGGTAGAATTCACTGGCAAAGCTATCTGTGTCTAGAATTTTCTTTGTGGGAGATTTCTAACTACAAATTGAAATTTTTAAAATTTATTTTTATTTATATATTTACTTATTTTCTGAGATGGAGTCTCTGTCACCTAGGCTGGAGTCTAGTGGCATGATCTTGGCTCACTGCCACCTCCATCTCCCGGGTTCAAGTGATTCTCCTGCCTCATCCTCCCTTGTAGCTGGGATTACAGGTGTGTGCCACCATGCCCAGCTAATTTTTTTGAATTTTTAGTAGAGACGGGGTTTCGCCATGTTAGTCAGGCTGGTCTTGAACTCCTGACATCAGGTGATCTGCCTGTCTTGGCCTCCCAAAGTGTTGGGATTACAGGTGTGAGCCACCATGCGCAGCCTAAATTGAATTTTTTTTAAAATATAAGGCTATTATCTGTTTGTGACTGAGCTTTGATATTTTATGTGTTTTAGGAAATTTATTAATTTCATTTCCATTGTAAAATTTATAGGCATAAAGTTTTTAAAATGATACTCCCTTTTTATCCTTTTAATATCTGTAGATATTATTCTGTCATTCCTAATATGAAAAATTTTGATCTCTCTTTTTTCCTAATCAGTCTATCTCGAGTTTTATCCATTTTCTTTTTCTTTTCCTTTTTTTTTTTCTGAGATGGAGTTTCACTCTCGTTGCCCAGGCTGGTGTGCAATGGGGCGATCTCGGCTCAATGGGGCAACCTCCGCCTCCCGGGTTCAGGCGATTCTCCTGCTTTAGCCTCCTGAGTAGCTGGGATTACAGGTGTGCACCACCAAGCCCAGCTGATTTTTGCATTTTTCAGTAGAGATGGGGTTTCACCATATTGGTCAGGCTCGTCTCAAACTCCTGACCTCAGGTGATCCAACTGTCCCGCCTTCCAAAGTGCTGGGATTACAGGCGTGAGCCACCATGCCTGGCTCCATTTTATTTTTCTTGTCAAGGGACCAGCTTTGTTTTTGTTGATTTTCTCTACTGTTTTTCTGTCTTCTATTTTATCAATTTCTGTTTTGATCTTCATTATTTCCTGTTGTCTGCTTCCTTTGAGTTTAATGTGCACTCTTGTTTTTATTATTTATTTCCTGAGATGGATCCTGAGGTCATTGCCTTGAGTCATTTCTTTTTTTGTAAAATAGGCATTTGGTGCTATACAGTTCCATCAGTGGCATCCCACAAATTCTGATATACTGTATTTTCATTTTCATTCAGTTCAGAATATTTAGTAATTTCCCTTTTTATTTATTCTTTGAACTATGGGTTATTTAGAAGCATGTTATTTAGTTTCCAGATATTTGGATATTTTTCAGTTATCTCTCTTCTATTGATTTCTAATTTAATTTCATTGTGGTCAAAGAACATATTTGTATGACTTGAATCTTTTTACATATATTGAGAATTGTTTTATGGCTCAGAATGTAGTTGGTCTTTGTAAATGGCCCATGTGTACTTGAAAATAACATGTATTCTGCTGCCATTGGATAGAGTGTTGTAAAAATGTCAATTAGGAGTTGTTTGATAGTATTGTTCAAATCTATTATATCCTTGCTGATTTTCTGTCCACTTGTTCAATTAATTATTGAGAAAGGATTATCGAAATCCCCAACTACAATTATGGATGTGTTTATTTCTCCTTGCAGTCTATCAGTTTTTGCCTCATGTATTTTGAAGCTCTGTTATGAGGTACATAAACACTTAGGATTGCCACATTTTCATTAATTGACCAATTTATCATTATGAAATGACTCTCTTTGTCCACGGTAACATTTTTCACTCCGAGATTTACTTTTATTTTATTAATATAACCTCTGTCGAGAGCTGAGCTGCTAGGTTTTAAGGTGGTCAGTTAAGAAAACGGCCAAACTAAAAAAAAAAAAAAAACCATTAAGACTTTATTCACTTATGCAATAATATAAGCAAGAAGCAAAACAGGAAGAAGTGCCAGCTCCCAGAGTGTTCCATGTTTTCCCCCATGTAGCAGCTCTGAGGAGGGGAATTGGAGTATGGGGGTGATCGTCTCCCTGCTGAGGGAGAGGGGCTGCCGAACAAGAGGCTCCTGCTATTTTGCTTTTGCTGGGATTTTATGGACCCTGTGGTGAAGGGTGGGGATTGGGTAGGGGAAGGCCAGGAGTAGAAAAGTACTGAATGCTGGGTTAGAATGGAGAAAAGCGGCTGGGCACGGTGGCTCACACCTGTAATCCCAGCACTTTGGGAGGCTGAGGCGGGCGGATCACAAGGTCTGGAGTTCAAGACCATCCTGGCCAACATGGTGAAACCCCATCTCTACTAAAAATACAAAAAATTCTGTAGTCCCAGCTACTCGGGAGGCTGAGGAAGGAGAGCTGAGGCAGGAGAATCGCTTGAACCCGGGAGGCGGAGGCTCGTTGCCGTGAGCCAAGATCACGCCACTGCACTCCAGCCTGGCGACAGAGGGGGGAAAAGAAAGAATGGAGAAAAGCATGTTCAGGTTACCCCCAAAAGGCGGTCTCAGTAGAGGCAGCCAGTAAAGACCTCTGCCAGGGCCCCCCTGATCCAGGGGCCTCTGCATGGAAATGTCTGAGCTGGGAATGCAGGTATGTGTAAGAACATGAGGGCAGGGGAACTGAGTCCTTGATACAACTCCCCCCAAGGGACTTCAGTGCTCAGACTGTGCACCGAGGCCAGGTGGGGAGGGCCCATGGAACAAACCCTGTGGTGAGGCCTTTGTAATGGCTAAAAACTCACACACAGGGTTGGATTTTGGCTCCCAGGGAACTGCTCAGCCACTCCAGCTTCCTCTTGACTAGTGTCAGCAATGGCATACCCTTGTCAAAACTTTCACTATTTGGCTAGGCACCATGGTTCATGTCTGTAATCCCAGCACTTTGGGAGGCCAAGGCAGGTGGATCACCTGAGCCCAGGAGTTTGAGAACAGCCTGGCCTCAAGAAAAAAAAAAAAATTCACTTTTAATCTATTTGTGTCTATATATTTTAAAATGCATTTCTTGCAGGCAACACAAAGTTGTCTTGCATTTTTATCCAATCTGAGAGAGTCTGCCTTTTAATGGGGCTATTTGGACTATTTTTATTTAAACTTTTTATCTGTAATGGCTAACTTTCACTCTATCAGGTTGGCATTTGTTTCCTATTTTTCCACCTGTTCTTTGTTCCTTTTTTCCTCCGTCTTCTTTTAGATTAATTGGATTATTTTAGATTAACTGGATTGATTTGAATTAGTTGGGCATTTTTGTGGTCTATTTTTATCTCCATTATAGACTTATTAGCTTTAACTCTTTGTTTTATTATTTTAGTGGTAGCATACATCTTTTCTTATCACAATATACTTTTGAGTGATATTATGCCTCTTCATATGTTGTATGATATCCTTACATTAGTATACTTCTGTTTCTCCCCATCAGCCTTTATGTTATTGTTTTTATGTTTTCCAGTTTATATAGGTGATAACCCCTATAATACAAGGTTATTATTTGTGTTTAAATAGCCAATGATCTCTTATTGTTAATTTTTATTGTGATAAAATATACATAACAAAATTTACCATTTTAGCTGTTAGCAGCGGCGAATCCATACAAGACTGCAGCAACCTCAATTCTTATCTCCTCAGAAGAAATAATTCAACCAAGGGGAATAAGGCAGAGGGAGAAACTGAGGCAAGTTTAAGGGCAGGAGTGGAAATATATTAAGAAGTTTAGAGCAAGAATGAAAGGAAGTGAAGTACACTTGGAAGAGGGCCAAGCGGGTGACTTGAGAGATCAAGTGCGAGGTTTGACCTTTGACTTGGGGTTTTATATGTTGGCATGCTTCCGGGGGGATTGCGCCCTTCTCCCCTGATTCTTCGTTTGGGGTGGCCTGCCAGCACTTAGGAGGGGCCACATGTGCAGTGTGTTTACTGAAGTTGTATGCAAGCTGACTTGAAACATTTTTCCCTTACCGGTGGAGTATTCCCAGAGGAAGGTCATATACCGGTTAATTCCACCATTTTGCCTCTTAGTGTGCATGCTTGAGTTCACTCACCCAGCTCCTGAGATCTTATCAGGAAGCTGCTGATCATCAGTTTCAGGTGTTTTCTATCTATTGAGAGCTTGCCTTTCCCTGGCACCGGCTGCAACCAATTTGTATTTTAGAGACAGTTTAACAACCACTTGATCATCACCTGATGGTCGCCTGACATTCCTGGTGAAGGGGGCCCTCTCCTGCCCTGCTCGTGTCTGCCTAACTACTTATGGTAACAAAAGCTTTTTTTTTTTTTTGAGACAAGGTCTTGCTCTGTCGCCCAAGATGGAGTACAGTGGTGCAATCACGGCTCACTGCAGCCTCAACCTTCAGGGCTCAATTGATCCTCCCACCTTGGCCTCCTGAGTAGCTGGGACTACAGGTGGGTGCCACCACGCCTGGCTAATTTCTGTATTTTTTGTAGAGACAGGATTTCGCCTTGTTGTCCAGGCTGGTCTTGAATTCCTGGACTCAAGCTATCTGTCAGTCTCCACCTCCCAAAGTGTTAGGATTACAGGTGTGAGCCACGGCACCCAGGTCCCCGCATGACCATTTTTACAGAGACAGTGTGATAGCTGTCAGACCATCACCTGACATTCCTAGTAGGTGGGGGAAGAGCACTCTCCTGCCCCGCTCATGCCCATCTAACTACCTGCAACAATTTAGCTCAGCTTACTGTTATAATTTTTCTCACTGACATAGTTTTTGCAAAGGCAGTTTCAATACTATCAAAAGAAATAGTAACCATTTGGAAAGCATTTAGAACTAATTAAAGTCTCTACTTAAGTCAAATGAGGAAAAGCCAAACTACACTGTGGGACACACAGTAAAGCCCTGCATTAGTCAGCTGTTGCTGTGCAAAAACCTCCTCAAGACTCGGCAGGGTAAAGCAATGATCATTTATAACTGCTCTCATGTCTGCAGGTCAGCTGCTTTTTGGCTGACATAGGCAGGGCTCAGCTGGGCTGGCTCTGCAGCGTGTGTCTCTCATTCTCCTCGTGTGGCAAACAATGGCAGATGGCAATGGCAAATGTGGAAAGCCTTTAAGGCAGAAATCTCATAACTGGCTCCCTGTCACTCCCATTCATCTCCGTCTTTCAGCCAAAGCAAATTACATGGCCAAACCCCAAATCCAGGGGTGGGGAAATATATTCTGCTTTTTCTTAGGAGCAAAGTCACATGGTGGTCAGTGCAGAACCGGTTGAATAACACAACCATTCATCAGCCCTGAAGAAACTCATCGCCTATCTGCTTCCTCAAGACTCCCCTTATCAGGGTACCTGCTCTCCTCCAAAACTTTCTCTTTCCCAAACTGTATCAAACAGTCCACTCACACTAGCTACCCTGCTTCCTTTGGCACCCTCTTTCCACTAGATAACCTGTTCTCTCAGCATTTCTATTTTCATTTGCATCTCCACCGTTTGCCCCATTACCCTAGCAGCTCACAGCGGATCCTGACGGAACAGGCAAAACCCAGAAGTTGGGTGGGTAGGCAATTTTTGAAAGCTTCCACGTTCCTGATTCCTCCTTGCCATAGTCCATTACTAGCGAATGACATGTTTGGGGCCTTGCATGTTTGCAGAACCAAATCAGTTGTGGAGGAAATATGTAAATATCTCCATGGGTGTGTGATTGTACCGTACCTCACCTTAGCAAAGCTTAAATGTCATTTCCAAACTTGGCTAGGTTTCCCTGCGTTATATGTCATCGAGAGCCACTATAACTAAATATTTGTGGGAGTCCTAGCTGACTGCCTGCTTTGTTTCTCCCACTAAAGTGTAAGCTCTTCATGAACAGAGTGTGTCTGTATGATTCACCAGCTGTGTCTCTATCTTTACCCCACAGCCAATCCACAAATGAATGCCATCAGCCTTGCCCCCCATCATATCCCAACCATCCGTGTTTGGCTACTCCATTGCTAGCCCAACCTTGCATCTCATGCCTGTGTTATTTCACAGCCTTCTAGGCTGATACTCCCGCTGCTGCTGTGCCTGGCTGCAGCCTATTCTCCACATCATGAAGAGGAAACTTTGAAAAATGGATAAAATTGATAGCAAATTGTGTTTCTCCTGCACTCAGAATCCTCCTCTGGCTCCTCACTCTAATCTCTGGCTTCAGTAGTTGATGGCAAATATTTAAAAGTCAGCCTGCAGGAAGGACCCTGATTTACTGAGTTTTTCAATGTTGGTGGTGTAAATACTCATCATGGCCAATTTCAAGCCGCCTTCTTTCCTTCCCTCCCTCCCTCCTCCCCTTCTCCCCTCCTTCTTTCCTTCCTTCCTTTCCTCCCTCCCTCATTCCTTCTGTCCTTCCCCCCTTCCCTTCCTTTCCTTCTTCCTTCTTTCCCTTCTTCCTTCCTTCCTTCCCTCCTTCCCTCTTTCCCTCCTTTCTTCCCTATTCTCTACCTCCTACTCTAGAATTGACATTCCATGACAGGCAATCCATGTCTGTCTTAGTCATTGCTTAGACGTACCTGGCACATAATGGAGGCTCAGTACGTATTTCTTGAACAAATAGTTGACTAAATGAATAGATGATCCTTTCTTAATTCTGTACCAGGATTTAAGAATTATTCAAAGTAGATGTCATTGTTTTACAATAACCAAGTACTGCTCAGCACTTTCAAGTTCACAAAGCACGCCTCATGCATCATCTCTATGATCTGTACCCAGGTGCCATCCTGAGAAGCTGGGAAAGGCTTTTCTCTTCCTCCCCACTTTATAAATGAGGAAACAAAGACTCAGAGAGGTGGAGGTTCCCCCTCAAGGCCACACAGCAAGTGTGTATGCACAGGTCTGACTCTCAGTCTGGCACTCTTCTCAATGGTGTCCAGTAACTGTTTAGCTCTTGAGGGGATCTCATCAGAGAAGCCTGGAGGCTTCAGGGAAAGCCGTTCCAAGGAAGAGGAGAGAAAGACATGGTGGCGAGGAAGGAGGATTGACAACCAGGGAAGGCCTTACCTAGGCCTCCACCAGGCTGAGCTTCTGGCCTCAGGCCAGTAACATAATGATTCAGGTCCCCACTCCTGATTCTGCCACTAGATTCCCACTATCCTCCCCCAAGACATGGAGCATTGAGCCCCCCTTCCCCACAGATAGAGTACCCTGGATAGAGTGGGCTCCACACCTAGCACCCACCTTCTTGCAAGACTATAGCAATGAACAGCAGAGAGCGCAAGCTGGAGACCCACAAGCTGAACTCAGTCCTCGGGGATGATTTCTTTAGCCCCTGTAGAGTTCAAAAACTTGGGCCAACATTTACAAGCAGGAGATCCCAAGTGGTTACTTTCTTTAGGCAAACAGGAAAATCTTGCCACACCTCCTGGCCATTCTGGGCTGACACCAGTCATCCACCTGAGACCAGACAAGTGTTGTCCAGTTCAACGCAGCCCCAGTTTCCTATCCCCTCTCCAACCTTGAGGGCAGCCATCGACTGCAGTTCATTTCCATGCTAGTGCTGGAAGTTTTACTGGCGTCGAAAAACATGGCTCTGAAACCCAAGCTTATACCAAAAGGAGAAAAACAATATATGTAGGGCCTCATGATTTTATTACATCATGACTGACATAACCCTGAGTTTAAGAGCCTTGGGCTATGTCTCCATTTCAAATATACCTTTTCTTTCCCCTTTCTTTCTTTCTTTTTCTTTCTTTCTTCTTCCTTCCTTTCTTTCTCTTTCTTCTTTCTCTTTCTTTTCTTTCTCTTTTTCCTTCCTTCTTCCTTCCCTCTTTTTCTTCCTTTGTTTCCTTGCTCCCTTCCTTCTTTTCCTTCCTCACTCCCTCTCTTTCCTTCTCTCTCTTCCTTTTCTTTATTTCTTTTTTCTCTTTCTCTTTTTTCTTTCTTTCTCATCTTTCTTTCTCCTCTTTCTTCTCTTTCTTTCTTTCTTGACAGAGTCTCTCTGTTACCCAGATATGGAGTATGATACAGGCTCACACACCACACCCAGCTAATTTTTTAATTTTTATTTTGTAGAAATGGGGTCTTGCCATCTTGCCCAGGCTGGTCTCAAACTTCTGGCCTCAAGTGATCCTCCTGCCTCAGCCTCCCAAAGTGTTGGGATTGCAGACATGAGCCACCTCGCCCAGCCAAGTACACCTTTTCTTTGTCCTGTGAACAGTCTCACAAAGAAGGCATCCAGAAGCCTCCTTTAGGTGAGGATCCTTGAGTTCAGAGGCGTGGAGGGACTTGCCCAAGGTTAAATAACTAGACATAGACACAGTACGTGACGATAACATCTCATCCAGCACAGGCATCTGCATAAACTGCATTCCCAGCCACACACCACCAGTGTGTTCACCATGACAGGGTGTGCGACCTGATGCAATAGCCCTTGTGTAATCTGACACATCCCCATTAGGTGGCACCATAAACCAACAAAGCTTTCCAGGACAATGCCTTTGCGGAAATTGGTTTTCTTGCATTATTAGGGATTTTAAGGCAGAATTGTTTTTCCCCTCTTTCTCTCTTAAAAAAAAAAAAAAGTCTTTCAATATACAATGTAGCATGGCTTTCGTGCCAGGCATAAAATGAAATTTGCCTTAATCCATTGCCTAGGGAGAAAGTGTGTGTGTGTCACAACTGACATCTGTTAAATGTTAAATGAAGTAAGCAAGCAATAAGAAGGTCTGAAATACATTCTTTGTTCAAGAAGTCGTGCAGACACTGATCAGCTGCTCTGTACAACTGGGAATAAAACAAGCACCTTTTTCTCCCCCCAACAAGCGCCACTGAAAGCCCCCAAGGAGGGCAAAAGCAGAGGATGGGTGGACTTGCGTGCCGTGAGGTTAACACTTCTGTTTCAAGTTCAAGCAAATTGGCTTGGCACAGCAGGAATGACCACACTGCCAGCTCCATTGTACCTGCTTCCTCCCCAGGGCTGAACAGGAGCCCAGGCTTGTCTGTCCTTTCCTGCTATTTCTTTTGCAAAGTGTAAGAAGGTGTGAGGCTTCATCCAAATTACCTGATCAGTTTTGACCATCAGCATGTTATTATGGTGGATCTATTCTTAAAATATATTTGTTCTTTTGTTTTCCTCACTAGCAAGGAATTTTGAACCAGTCACTCCAAAGTTAGCCCTTGCAATTTATTAGTCAAGCTTCGTTATTAACATTATTAACAAGAGAATGAGAACAGATGTAATTCCAATATGCAGCTGGAATATCAGCTAAAAATGTGCTCCTTATAAAGATATACAGGATTATCAAATGAGAAAGAGAAGCTTTGCCTATGCAACCAATTATAATTGTGGGATGGTGTATTTTGGGTATTGGAATTTTTTGATAAACATAAGGATAGGCAGAAAGCCCTTCGGTTTCAATCCTTTGTTTCATCCTTTCCCTCATTCCTAGAAATAGGTTAGGTATCTATGGCAGTAACAGTGAGTGCTTCCCAAAGAGCCACACACGTTTTCAAGCCTCCCCTGCGGTTGAGTTGAGCCATATGGATGAGTTCTGGTAAATGGGAAAATATTTACTTGTATTTTCTTTGAGTTCTATTGTAGTTTTATTTTTGTATTTAATCCCTGTGGAATTTATTTTAGTATATTAGTTTCAAGCCGGTTGTTCCCAGACTATTTAATTAATCTTTCCTTTTCCTACCAATTGCACATACCAATCAGTATATGATAAATTCTGATTTCTGGTTCAGTAATCAATTTTCTCATTCCTATGTTGGTATCAAATTCCCAAATTAGAGTAATTTTGAAATATATCTTACTATCTAGTAACAGCTATCCCCTTTAATTTTTTAAATGGGGTCTCACTATGTTGCCCAGGCTGGTCTTAAACTTCTGGGCTCAAGCAATCCTTCTGTCTCAGTTCAGCCTCCAGAGTAACTAGAAATACAGTCCCGTAACCACCACACCTGGCTCCTTTTAAAAAAAATTATTTTAGTTACTTTCACATATTTATTCTTTGAGTAGAATTTAAAAATCAGTTTGTCAAGTTAAAAAATTAAAGATGGATTAAATTCACAGATTGATTTGGAAATAATTGACATTATGTCGGCCCCGAGCCTTCTCATTCAGGTGCGTGATGTTTCCCTGCATTTCAAGTCTTCTTCCATGTCCTTAGGTCGTTTTGTTTTTCTTCTGTGTTTGATCCTGAGTATTTGATTTTGGTTGCTTTTGTAAATGGGATATTTTTCCCATTTCTCATCATTTTTTTCTAATTTATTATGGCTGAATATTATTCCACTGTATGTATATATCACAATTAATTTATCCATTCATCCATCAATGGACATGTGGTTTGCTTCCACCTTTTGGCTACTGTGCTGCCATGAACATGTGTATACATGTACTTGTGTCCCTGTTTTCAATTCTTTTGGGTACAGACACCTAGGAGTGGAATTGCTGGGTCCTGTGGTGATGCTGTGTTGAGTCATTTGAGGAACCGCCAACTGTTTCCCACAGTGGCTGAACCGTATTACATTCCCACCAGCAATATACAAATTCCAGTTTCTCCACATCCTCACCCATACTCGCTATTTTCTGTTTTCTTTTTTTTTAAAATTATTCCCATCCTAATGAGTGTGCAGCGGTGCCTCATTTTTATTTGCATTCCCCTAATGATGAATGATACTGAGTGTGTTTTCATGTGTTTGTGGGCCATGGTCTGTCTTCTTTGGAGAAATATCTATTCAAGTCCTTTTTTCATTGTTTAAGGGATGGTTTGCCTTTTTGTTGTTAGTTTCCTAACTTTTTGACAGGAGAAAGGTTAACTGAAAGTTGCTGTGTTACATAGGATGCTTTCAAAAGCAACAACTAGAAGATGCAACACAAAATGTCTTAAATGATAAAAAAATGTTAAATGTTTGAGTGATCAGTTATGGTTCTAGCATTCTCCACATATCAATTCATTTAATTCTAAAACGAATACTACAGGGTAGGTATACAAATCAGAAATATGAGGCACAGAGAAGTCCAAAGTCACACAACTGGTAAGTGGTAAAGTTAGAATTTGAACCTAGGAAGTCTGACTCCATAGTCTCATCTCTGAGTGACTAGGTACTAAGTTTGTAGGGAGGCAGTACTGGCATTGATTGGTTTAGCAGCTCAACCTAATATAGGAGTCTAGATTTGTCGATATTCCTATTCTGCTACCCTAAGCATGTTGCCTTTGCCTCAGGCTTCTTCCCTCATGATTGCAAAATGGCTGCAACAGCTCCAAGCATCACATTATCTCCCAGCAACATCCAAATGACAGAAACAGAAAGTCTCTGTGATTTCTTCTTTTTTGAGATTAAGGAAAACTCTTCTAGAAGTACCTCCAGCAGACTTCTCATTGACTACAATTGTGGCACATGCCCCATCCTGAACTCATCACTAACAAGGGAAACAGAACTACAATTTTGGACACAGACTGATCAAGGTTTACACCTTGAAACTTCAATGGGGTCCAGATTCCAAGAACTATCTGCTGCTCAGTTCCTGAACAGAAATCATTTTCTATTAACAAAGAAGAAGGTGGTAATCACTGTTGAGTTGGTGACCAACAGCTGTTGCCACAATTGTCATTTACTTCTGTTAGCCTCAAGGTCAGTGACATCTCCTCTGTGGGCTGGTGATTTCTCACTCTTGATTTCTCCTAGGCCATGTGTCTGATTTCTTCTAGGCCACAGATGCAACACGTACATGAAAATCTGAATTCCCACCGCACATTTGTTTGCAAAACTCTGTTTGCCATTTCTCTCCACTTCTTACGCCTACCTCTACAGATAATAGGGGCATGCATCTCTTTAGGGTGACCTTTGCATATTTATGCTAATTGCAGATTTAAACTATAAGCCCTAACACTCATAATCTCCTAGCTTCCCTCTGTAAAAAAATCCCCCTAAGTGATACTTAATTTCACATGCTTGCCAAATCTTAAATCCAAAAGCAAAAGCCGATTTACCTCTGTACTGAAATTAAAGCTATACAAAGTTTTTGGCTGTGGGGGCACACCTCACTGTCCTCAGTGGCCCTTCGTAGCACAGATTTAAGTTAGGAGTCTCCCTAATTTATTATGACTGATATTTTAAAATGTCATCAAACTATCCTGTCTATAAAGAAATGACGAAGCTTTCTTCCACATTTATGCAAGTCACAGGAGACCTTTCTAAATGGACGAAGTAAAATAATCTTGGGACAAAGCATTTTACTCCATGTAAACACAATGAATACACTGCCCTGAGCATCTGTGATTTTTTCTGAACATTGCCCCTAATCCAATTTTAATGTAGGCTTGTCATGGAAACAAAAACAAACACACTTAACCTTCAAAAGGGAAGATGAATGACACTGACTTCAGGTTTTTGACAAATATCTGTAAATATCTGAGCAACCCAATCTACATGATGATCTTTCTGCTATTGCTGGCAGAGTCTAGTTCTCCCTTCCCATTTACTCTGGAGCTTATATGAGGTGGCTATGATCTAACCAGAGCAAGTTCAAGTCATAAGGCTTTGTGGTAGTGAGTTTCTCATCAAAGAAACGTAATAAGTTTCCCATAATAGAAAGGAGTCAAGCAGAGGGTAGATGACCTTTTGTCCAGGATTGTGCATAGTAGAGGTTGAACATAGAGAACTTACTGAAGGTCTCTTATTGAAGGTCCCTTCCAAAAGATCCTAAGATAAGTCAGGAAAACAATCCTTATATTCATGTGTTGTTTTATGAATCAGAAAACTCTTAGACATGTGCTTTGTCTCATTTAAGCATCAAAACAACCCTATGAGGTAGGTGGGTTGATTATTCTTGTTTTACAGATGATGAAATTGAGGTTCGGGTAGAGGTTAAGCGACTTATCTAGGGTCACACATTTAGGAAGTGGGAGGTCCTAGGACCTCTGGGTCACAGATATCTCCGTTCTCAGGACAGGGCAGACAGGAGGCAGGCCCGTCTCTGCGTGGCTGAAGCATTGTCAGGCGGGCGGCTGCACTGCTGGGCACAGAGAAGTGGCTGCTCCGGCCTTTCTTTTTCTCCTACGCCCTAAGGCTGGTCCTTGGCAAAGCTGTCTGTCCTCAGGGACCCCTATGTGTTCTTTCTCAGTTGCTGCAGGTCGGAGCTGACCAGCCTCCCCAAAAGCGAAGTGTGTGAAGCCTGTGGTTTACACTTGCTTGGTGTTTCAACCCATGCCCTGACTACACCCTCTTTTTTTCTTTATTTTTTTTTTTATTATACTTTAAGTTCTAGGGTACATGTGCATAACGTGCAGGTTTGTTACATTAAACATGTGCCATGTTGGTGTGCTGCACCCATTAACTCATCATTTACATTAGGTATTTCTCCTAATGCTATCCCTCCCCATCCCCCAACTCCACCACAGGCCCTGGTGTGTGATGTTCCCCACCCTGTGTCCATGTGTTCTCATTGTTCATTTCCCACCTATGAGTGAGAACATGCGGTGTTTGGTTAAAAGGACCATGGCAGAAACACCCCAAAGTAGGGGGCTGTCAGGTGGGCTTTCTCTCAGCCCACAGTGTCGGTGAAGGAGAAGGGGAACACTTCTGCTCAGTGGGGTCGCTCCAGTCATGCCGTACAGGCTACTCCACCTAGTCTGAATTGTGTGAGAACACAAAAGAAAATGCCACTGCTTGGTGGGGAAAGAATGTTGGTGGAGGGGACAGGATGTCCCGTTTCAATTCCCTCACAGCCCCCAGGCTCTGACATAGATGGGAGGACAGAGTCCCTTGTGTGAGGGCCTGGGAACTGAGCTTTCTTCCACGTAGTTCTTCCAATCAGATTCTGCCCTTTTCTGGTAATTCAATGGGAAATGAATCCACCCAGGAGTCTGGGCTGGCCCCCGAAAGGAAGGTAAATACAACAAAGAAAAAATCATTGCCAATTGCAGAGACCATGTGTTCACAGGAATAAACAGGAATACAGCTGAGCGGGAAAATGGGCGTATCACCACACATTACATCTGATCAGGCAAGTGCTGGGCCAGAAATGAGTTTTGTATCTTTTTTCATTTGGGTCAGCCAGAAGGGGTATATGAAAGGGAATAAAGTATACACAGATAGCTTCAAAAATAATATCTCTAAGCTTTTACAAAGCCATCCAGTCTTGCTATTCCTAATGCAACAGGAGATCATTACATTTTCATTGAATCTGGAAGATTTTTCTCTCTCTGCTTGACTGTATTTAACCACACAGGATGAGCCGTGGGCCTGCTGGCAGTATGTTTCCTTACTGTGAGGGCCTGAGGAAACTGATGTTTGGAGAGAGGTCAGAGGCTTGCCCAGGGTTGCACAGCTTGGAAATGTGAGGTCAGGACTCTCCACCTATGTCCTGGGTGACAAGACCCAGGCATAAGATAAGCCAGGCACCCACCGCACAGCAAGGTGATGTGCGGGTCCCGATTTCCTCATTATTTTCACCCCAAGGGCTTTCTCCCATTGGAACTATGCTGGGAGGTATCCGCTCTCTAAAAGAAGGGATGCTGAGGCATAGGAAGAGAAACTCATGTTTTCTGTTCCCACACAAAAGCTTTTGAGATGCAGGAGCTTAAAACCCTGAGCCTTAAAGGAGTTCAGGTACTAAGTTGATGCCAGAAGCAATTGACTTGGAAGGGTAAATGAAGTTGCAAGAGCTGGTTCTTCTCACTCCAGAGAGCGCGAGAGAAGAGAGACGTAGGGACCACGACAATTTGGCTGTTGGTAAATGTCACTGAGAAAGGGGACTGTGCCTCATTCCTGCCACAGATCTTTCACAGCAGCCCCCCAGGGGGATGTGGGAATCGCTGAGAGGATTCACTGCAGTCAGGGAGCCCTTGCTGATGGGGCTAGGGCAGAGGAGGTCTTCGTGGACCAATGGTGGAGAGCACAGGACAGCAAGGACATCTCAGAGGCACAACAGTGGGTGGCGATGGAAACCAGGTGGCCCCTGGGATCATGACTGTCACAAACCCTGGGAGTGATGGAGATACATTATCATCTGGGCCATATGTAGTTGCTGTTTTTATAGTTTAGAAAAGATCAAATAGCAGCAATTTCATATTGTTCTGTGTAACATCATGGGAAAGCCTAAATGGCCTGAGATTTCATTTCTACCATCCAGTAGAATAAGGGTTTGAAGCGGAACCAAATTCAGTCCTAGTCAAAGACAATTAGGCTTCTCACCCATTTGTGTGGAGGCTGCGTGTGGCACTCACCACACTGAATTGCCTCGACACTACCTCGCCACCAAGCAGTTCTTGAGATGCGTGATGGTTCAGATCTGCTTCCCCAGGAGGAGGCTGGGGTGTCTCCATAACATTTGACTCTAATTTGAATGGATTCTCCTCCACACTCTGCTATTTAAGACTTACACATAGATTCCGGTATTCAGATGGAACAGGCTTGGGAGCTGGGGAAACTTGATCTTTCCTCACAATTCAGACAAGATTTCAGTCTTGTCTATGTTATATGCCCATGAGCACAGGATGAGAGGAATGTAGGTAATTTCAGAATGTATGCAGGAGCCTACAAATTATCGCTTTTACTTTTTAAATGGGTTGGGTTTTGCTTCAGGCTTCTCACTGGAGTAAGGCAAACTGGATGGGGAAGCTTGGTTCCTCCTGGCTGAGGAACGATAGCCGGGAAATTGCTGGTCAAATCATCAGCCCTCGGTCCTCCTGACATGACACAGGAACCTGGGAAGGACAGAGGAAGTGGCTGCCAGGGAGGTGAGAAGGCATTACTCCTCCAGCAGATCCATATCTAGACATAGCATGGCGACTTGTACCACCATGCTTCTCAAGCTACATGCTGAGGCTCTCTGAGGAGCCTCAGTGAACACATAGGAATGCTGCAAGATAATTTAGATTTTTGAAGGAAACTCGTTAACACCTGTCAGATACTGTGCAAAACCACTAGTTTTGATGGTTTTGCCTAGTATCTGAGTTTCAGATGGTTGCTATGATAAAAAAAAAAATAACACATTGTGAAAAGTCAATGTGAAATAGAAAATGACAATGGCAGTATCCAATTTGAGTCCAAGGTTTGAGTAATTGTTCAGTGCCCAACAGGCACACACCTCCCATTATTAAGAAATTATGATCATTTAAAAGTAAAGTAAATGTATTTTTATTTCAGTCTGTCTGTGTTATTTTTTCCCGAAGTGGCAACTATGTTTTCAGGACATAAATAATTATTAAATTATTTGGACCTGACTAATTCATAAGCAAATTTTCTGGGTATTTCTTTTGACCTGTAGTTGCTATGAAAAAAATTACTGAGATACTAGGGGAGCTGTGAACTGAAAAAACTTGGGAATCTCTGCTTTAGAAGATGGTAGAGCAGGAAAAACAAGCTAAAACAAACCTGGGTCCCTGTATTGACCTCCCCGAACTTCCCAAGACCTCTGGACTGTTGGGTCTGGACTACTGGGTGAAAGAAACAAACTTCTAATTTGTTTGAGCCACAGTACTTAGGGTCTCTTTGTTACAGCAGATTAGCCTCTTCCTAAACCATACAGCAGTGCTCAGTAAGCACTTGTTGGTGAATAGGCTTGGCATTGATTTCTTTCATTGTTATAGATTTTGGATTTGCTTCTGGAGCAGTAATAAGGGGTGGGTTATGAAAGAAAGAAAAACATAGCAACAAGGGCCCATGGGAAGTATAAGAAAAGAACACTGGGTACTTGGAGCTTACTTGGGGTAAATTACCATGATGTTGGTGTCAGGATCCTGGTCTGTAAAATGGAAATAACATTTCCATCTTGTATACCTTGTAGTGCTAGAAACTGGATAAGATAATAACCATGAAAATATTTTGAAAAATGTTGTGTGAGTAGTCTTTCTTGTTGAAAGATTGATGAAGATGCTAATGACTCAGGGGACCATCTTAAAAGGTGCTTGTTGGTAGGAAAGAAAGCCTGAATTAGTGCAAGGTCTGAATAATCGGGTTTCTTCTTCCTTTTTTTAAAAAAATCAAACTTAATTGTTCACAAGCAGTTCAGAAATACATTTTAAGGGCTACCACTTAGAGGCTAAATTTTGACAAATAAAGAAAGGCCAGGCACAGTGGCTTATGCCTGTAATCGCAGTACTTTGCGAGGCTGTGGTGGAAAGATAACTTGAGGCTAGAAGTTTGAGACCAGCCAGGGCAACATAGTGAGCCCCTGTCTCTGCAAAAATTAAAAATTAAAAAAATTTGCCGGGCATGGTGGCATGCACCCGTAGTCCCGACTGTTGGAGAGGCTGAGACCAGAGGATTACTGGAGCCCAAGATTTGGAGACTGCAGTGAGCCATGATCATGCCACTGTACTCCAGCCTGGATGACAGAGCCAGACCCTGTCTGTAAAAAAAAAAAAAAAAAAAAGAGAGAGACAGAGAGAGAAAGCTAAAATTTCAGCCTCAGTAGCTCACCTACTTAGGTGGTTTGACTATCATTAAATTCATCAGGGTCCCCAAACAGTTAATTAAGTAGTTAAACAATCTACCATTTTGTTGATACCTTTTATTAAAAACTTTATTTTTCTTTGTCAACATTACTGTTAAACTCCATTCCTTCCCCTATGTGAGCTCTTGTAATATCAGATTGGTAGGATCTGAATTCATAACTGTTTTGGATAAATCTATCACATTTAATAAAGAACCTAGGAAAGAACAACTTGAGAGGTGGCCATAGAGGGGACAGGAGCCCTGTACCACATTGATCATTCGCAGGCTGCCTGGCCTCTACTTCCCTCTGTGACTGCCTCCTCTTGAGGGATTTTCCATTATGTGGGGCTTTGGGAGGTGGGAACACAGCCAGGGAAGAGGACTCTACCGTTTGTGCCCAACTTTCCCTGAAGACTCTGAATCCTGTAGACATGGGGCAAGCAGTGGCCATGGTACATCTCAGACTGAGGAGAAGCTTGGATCGAGTAGTTACTGTGACATGGCCCTTTTCAGGACCTCCCTGGTTCTGGGACCCCCCCCCAGTCTAAAATCAAGTTAATAAGCCCCAGAAATTACTCTTCTTTTCATTCAGGAGAGCCAGAATCGGCTTTTATTTGTAAATCGACAGCCTGCCTAATAAGGTGTCCTTTTCTGAACAGTTTTTCACCTACAAACAACTTTTTTGGTGCTAATCTATAATGTTGCTGAGTGAAGTGTTTAACAAGAAGGAAATCAGAGTGATTTCAGCAACAGGAGCATTCATGCCTGTCTCGATCTAGAATTCCTGAGATTTAAGATGGATCTGGAAAAAGTCTGTGTTCTCTTAAAGGGTAGCCATGTTTTCATAATTGATGTGTTGTGCCTTTTTAATACACTTTATCTGCGTGCAGCTGTAAAAATTATAAAGGAAAGTTTCTGTCCCCAAAGCATAATTCCTCTACAGAAAGTGGTTTGTTGGTTTTTTTTTTTTTTAAGTCACAATCATGTTTCTGAGAATGTTTATCTCACTTTACTATAACATCATACAATTCAACCTCATGGGCATTTTTATTCTGACACTTATAACTCTAAGTAAGAACACCATCCATCTTGGGAGAAAAAGCACAAGGAGAATGTTTCTTTAATAAATATGCTTAATGTTCAACTAAAGTGTGTCTGTGGCGGAGAAGAGGGACAATGGATTTTTCTTGAAATTTGTGGAAGACTAAGTTATTCAACACAGGCTGTCTACCTTGAATAAACTTTATCAACTAAAAACATTAAGAATTTGGGTCTTTGGATGCTGACATTCTTAACCTTGGATACAAACCCAAAGGAAGTGATTGCAACACCAATGGCTATATTTTGTCTGTAATATTCAGTCTGAAGGAGAGACTAATTATGAATGCAACTCTGCCTTTTTGTGTGTAAAATTACTTAGCTTACCATCCTAATTTTTGATTCAGCTCTATCTGTGCTAACCAAGTAGTTTAATCAATTCTCTCAAGCAATTTTCTTCTCTCTGCCACCATCTTGGTCCAGGCTGCCTCATCTCCTGCTCTTAGTAACATGACAGGTTTTTATCTGATTCTGTTATCCTCTTCTCACTCCCACTCATCTTCTCCAGTCCATTTTCAATAGCCACAGAGATCTGTTAAAACACAAATCTGGCCACTTTATCCTCTGCCAAAGATTAATATCTTTCCATTGTTCTTAGGAGGAAAACCAAAATCATTAATATGCTAAGGCCAGCATTATCACTTTATTTTTAACATTTAAAAAACCCCTGAAAGGTTTATCATATAATTGATATCTACCATATCATATAGTCAATTATTTCAAACGAATGAACCAGAGATGGATTTTGAAACTTGTAACTTGCCATCTTTCAATAACTTCATCTTTCAATAACTATCAGTAAATAATTGGTCAAATTTCATGCTTTTGATGGGGAAAAACTGACATTGCAAAGAAACAGAAACATCTGGTTTGATGGAAAGAAGATGTCAAAACTAAGCAAAAATATGTAAGTTGGCAAAAATTTGAGCCAAGAAACCATGGAGAAAACAGCCAAGCCCATCCATCAGGAAGCGCCTGGTTAGTGCCCATATCCAGCCTGGAATATACAATCCCAAAAGTTGAAAAATGTGTGGGAAAAATGTAACTTTGACCAATAGTCACTTTT
This sequence comes from Homo sapiens, assembly GCF_000001405.40. Classification (NCBI taxonomy): domain Eukaryota; kingdom Metazoa; phylum Chordata; class Mammalia; order Primates; family Hominidae; genus Homo; species Homo sapiens. The sequence goes on along the minus strand of NC_000003.12, from coordinate 16,539,800 downwards.
TTTTTTTTAAAGACGTATGTGCTTGTCAGTGGGAATAAAAACAAAATGATATGCTTTTGGAATAAAATTGCTCCGGTTGCAATATCTTCCTCAGTGGGCAATTGGCCATGCATCATAAAGAACACGGTGCCAGAGGGAGATCTTTAATACCACATCTTTAGTATAATAGCCCTATTAACCTTGACTTCAGATGGATTGGCCATGGGGTTCGCTTCCTTCAGAGCCCCAGCCTACAGAAAAGGACTTATGCAAAACTAGGCTTATTTTTTCTTACCCTAGAGGGAAGGGATGTGTCAAATGTATAAAGATCCACTGCTTTCCTAAGTCGAGGTTCAGAACTGTAAAATGGTGTGGCTGGACTTGGAAGATCTTTGATCTGTGCTAGGATGCATTCTTTGCAGAGGTAATGACAGTATCTTCATTCTCTGGAGAAAAAGTTCAGATAGACCTGAATCAAAAATTAAGATGGTAAGCTAAAATTATTTAGCTAAAATTATTTAAAATTATTACATATTAGGCACTTCCCATAAGCCACACTGTGCTCTGTGTTATCTCATTACATTTTCACAATGTAGCCACAGTTGTTCCCATTTTACAGATGAAAAGATGCAGTCCCAGAGAGAGAAGAGACGTCTCTGTCTGCTCCATGCTCAGCATCCTTCCCCCTTTTTCTGGTGCCAGCATCCTGGCTTTCTTTGAGGGATGTGCTTTCTTCCCCCATGTTGGTGAACAGATGCCAGGAAGCCACCACTGATGGTATCCTGCTCTCCCCTGGCCAGTCGTACCCTCTTCCCAAAGAACCCAATATTGATTAAGTAACAGGCAGATAGAAAATGTTTGGAAGAGATTCATCTCTCCCTCAAAGTATCTTCTACCACAATCCCCCTTCTTCCCTTTCTGAGTTCTGGTTCTTCAATTTATCTTCCTTTCTGGCTTAGGTTGCCCAGAGTGGATTTCTGTTGCTTGCAGTTAGATAACTGTAGCTGAAACGAGAGGGTGAGTAGCTTTCCTGCCCACACACATTCCCACTGCTACATCCCTCACCCCTTCTGCCTCATCTCCCTGCTGCCTGTGGTTGTGATTGCTGGGCACTGGGTGCTTGACGCACGTGGGTCCCGACACTCCTTCCCACACTAGGGAAGTGGAGGAGGTGGTCATGCTGTGCTCTCTGGGCACAAGGGTTTGGGTTGCTGTTTCTCAGTTCTTAGCCCAGTTCTCAGCTGGACTGCACACAAGCCAAGCTTCCATCTCAGTGTGGTTTGAAGGTGGCCAAATGCTCTGGTGGCCTCCAAGTATTCATTCCCTGACTTGTTTTTGTTGTCTGAAGCTCCACCATGAGGGTCACTAGCTATGGGACTATTTCTAGGAAGTTCTTGTTGAATGGCATTAAGCTAGGAGTTGGTTAACCCTAGCGGATAGTAGGTGTGTATTTAGTGTCTATTGATTATCTAATCTTACATAATTATTTTTAATGAAGTATTTTATTCATCACAATGACTATATATATTTATTTTTAATATATATTTTAATATAAATATATAATAAAAATATATGAATATAAATATATAATATAAATATATATATTATATAAATATATATAATATAAATATACATAAATATATATAATATAAATACATATAATATAAATATATATAAATATATATAATATAAATATATATAAATATATATAATATAAATATATATATAAATATATATAATATAAATATATAAAAATATATATAATATAAATATATAAAAATATATATAATATAAATATATAAAAATATATATAATATAAATATATAAAAATATATAATATAAATATATAAAATATATATAATATAAATATATAAAAATATATATAATATAAATATATAAAAATATATATAATATAAATATATAAAAATATATATAATATAAATATATATATAAATATATAATATAAATATATATAATATAAATATATAATATAAATAGATATTTATATTTATTCATCACAATGACTATATATATATATATATATATATATATATAAAATATATACATTTGAAATATAGTGGTAGAACCCTGTGGGAGACACAGAAGAGATTGGTCCATGGACAATAAGCTTATCGATGGGTTTGAAGATCATCTCGCAAAACCTCTCTGTCTCCCCAAAAGAGCCTCCTGGTCTATGGGTGGGGATCCACTGCATTAATCTGTGCAGTATTCATTATCATATAGGAAGGATTCATTTGACAGACAACAGAGGCTGGAGAATCACACCCAGACAGATGCGTTGTGCTGGAACCTCCTCTGCTCAAAGCTCAAAGCAGACCCACAGAGGACGGCCCCACAGGGACCTGAATGTGGATTCTGCAGGTACCTTTGAGAGGGCGTTTAACTTACAGGAGGGCTTTGAAGACTAATTTTGCTGCCTCGTGGTTTGGGTTTGTTTGTGCCAACATTTTTTGAGAATCAGCAGTGGAAATGTAAGAAATGCAGTCCTGATTTTAGGAACATCAGTTTTCTTGCTAAAACTGCCTGGAGCTTGAAAACTGAGGCCCATGGCTAGGATGTGGCAACCATGCAGTGCATGTTTTGTTTTCCAGCTGAGCCTAGGGTGCAGCTGATCATAGGAGGGACTTGTGTGGACAGAGCTGAGGGCGCCCTGGGGAGCACAGTCTGCAAGGAGAAAAGAGACATTTGTTTAATCTTGTCTGGGGACGGAGGCTGGAGGGGGGAAGCTCCAAAATGGCAGAAAGGAAGATATGGAAAAAGAAATAACCAGGGGGTCTGATTCCAGCCCAGCCCAGGGACTAATAATAAAAACTCCCACTTGTTCATTTGGTCAGGGCCAGGCACTGTGCAGCCTCTTGCTCGGTCCTCCCAACAACTCTGTCGCAGGTACTTTTACTATCCTTCCCATTTTAGAGAAGAAGAAACTGAGGCTTGGATGGTAATTTTCCCAGAGTCACAAAACCAGATCTGTTGTTCTTTGAAAGCTGACTTAAAGGCCCTCCAGGGCTAACTTTTAGTGGCATGTTTCCGTATCTGTGGGCACATGACATAGCTCCAGTGAGTGAAACCTGAAGGGGACACTTTTTTTGGCACCTCAACATTATCAACTTTGGGAGTTGAGTGAATCAACCAACCTCAAGGGTGGGGCATTATTGTCCTTGAGGAACTAAAGTGCACACCAGCTATGGAAACTTGAGACTCCGTCTCTTCGTCTGTAAAATGGGATGACAATGCCTCCTATATCAGAACTGACAGAAAACACAGAGTTAACAGTAGCCTAACAGGAGAAGTATATTTCTCTCTCACATAAACAGTCTCTGGAAATTATAGTCCAGAGTTTGTATGGCGGCTCCGTGGTCATCAAGTACCCAAGATTTCTATATTTTTGTTCTGCTATTGTCACCACATTTCTTCCATCTCATAGTCCTAAATAGCTGCTCTAGCTCCAGCCACTGCTTCTGCTTTCATCCATCCGGAAGGCGGAAGGGGCAAAGAAAGGCACAAGCCCCTTTAAGGTCACGCCCTTCCTGGAAGTTGTACGCGACCCTTCAGTTGACATCCCATTGGTCAAATTCAGTCACGTGCCAAATCTAGCCATCAGGGAAGCTGCGAGAAATGTTTTTTCTGGGAGACCACAAGTTTAGCTAAAAGCCAGGAGTTCCATTCCTAAAAAACAAGGGGAGAAGGGCTGCTGAGGCTGCAGGGAAGCTGGAATGAGTTAAACATATGTAAGTTACCCAGCAGGGGGCTTTCCTGGCACTTCGCGGACAGTAGATAAACACTAGTCATAAATCTTTCTTTCCTTCCTCTGCAAGTTTTCTGCCAAAACTTTCCAATTTGGTCATATCTACATTTACATATGGATAGCAAGCTGATCAGGCACTTATCTTTTGGTGCTCTTATTATTTTCTAATATTTTGTAATAGAAATTTTTTCATGTAGCATTAATTTTTTTTTTTTTTTTTTGAGACGGAGTCTTGCTCTCTTGCCCCAGCTGGAGTCAGTGGAACGATCTCAGCTCACTGCAACTTCTGTCTCCTGGGTTCGAGCAATTCTCCTGCCTCAGCCTCCCGAGTAGCTGGGACTACAGGCACACGCCACCACGCCCGGCTAATTTTTTGTGTGTTTTTTGTAGAGACGGGGTTTCACCATATTGGCCAGGCTGGTCTCGAACTCCTGGACTAGTGATCCGCCCACCTCAGCCTCCCAAAGTGCTGGGATTACAGGCGTGAGCCACCGCACCGGGCCCATGTACCATTACTTTTTTAAAATTCCTTGCTGTCTCCAAAGATTTCTTAGTAAGGGAGTGGTCTTTACTTCTAAAGTTGCAATACTTGGCTTTCTCCCCTTTCCCGTAATATAATTAATGCTCATCACAGAGGGCAAATAAAAATGACATCAGTATTGTAATAAAGTGTGATAACTGAGAAAGCAAAACACCATACTCATCTTTTCTTGGCCTTGGGATAACTACTGATGCTCACAGCACTTCCCAAAAGGCAAAATAGGGTCTGCCACACACAGGCTATTAGAGTTTGGGCAAGTCAGTTTCCTGCTGTAAACCTTTATTTACTCATCTAGCAGATGGGGCTGTGAGGATTAAATGGAATGATTGATGGAAGGAAAACGCTCAGCAGACGGCCTGGCACATTATAAGCCCTCTACAAAGGGCAGAACTTATTGATTTGTTTATTTTTCTATCCAAAAGGATATTAGGCTTGGTGGGAGATTTTTATCAAGGCTTCAAGCTCATGACATTTTGCTTTTGTTATAATAAAACATAAGCTCTTAAAAAGCTTTATTCATTATATCCCCAAACTGGAAACAGTCCAGTCCATCAACAAAAGAATAAAGAAACTCTGGCCTATTCATGGAAAAGAATACTGCTCAGCGATCAAAAGGAATGAACATGGGTGAATCTCAAAACCATTATGCCGAGTGAAAGAAGCCAGACGCGAAAGAGCACATACTGTATAAATCCACATAAAGTTCTATAACAGGCAAAACGAATCTATGACAGACTTTTAAGAACCAGGATAGTGGTTGTGTCTGGAGGGTGGAGGGAGTGGATTACTGAGAAGGAATCTGAAGGAACTGTCTGGGGTGATGATAATGTTCTGTACCTCGACAGAGTTTGAGATGCATTTGTCAGAACTCATCTTATGGCACACTTAAGATTTGTGCACTTTATCATATGTAAATTTTACCTCAAAAGGCAAAAAGAGGCAGAGGACTTTGAGTAGACATTTCTCCAAAGAAGACACACAAGTGGCCAAAAGGCACATAAGAAGGTGCTCAACATCAGTAATCATTAGGGAAATGCACATCAACACCACAATGAGATACCACCTGCTATAGTTGGGCTTGTTTGACCCTTCCAAATCTCATGCTGAAATTTCACTCCTCCAAATCTCATGTTGAAATTTCACTCCTCCAAATCTCATGTTGAAATGTGACCCCTCCAAATCTCATGTTGAAATTTGACCCCTCCAAATCTCATGTTGAAATGTGACCCCTCCAAATCTCATGTTGAAATGTGACCCCTCCAAATCTCATGTTGAAATTTGACCCCTCCAAATCTCATGTTGAAATTTGACCTCCCCAAATGTTGTGTTGAAATTTAACCCTCAGTGTGTGGTAGGGCTTAATGAGAGGTGTTTGGGTCGGGGGGGGCAGATTCCTCATAAATAGATTAATTCCCTAGGCACGGGGATGAGTGAGTTCTCACTCTATTAGTTCCCATGAGAGCTGTTGTTCAAAAAAGGCTGGCACCTCCCCCGGTCCCTCTTTCCTCCTCTCTGGCCGTGTGATCTCTGTACACACAGGCTGTCTCCATCTTCTGCCACAAATGGAAGCAGCCTGAAGCTCTCGCCAGAAGCAGATGCTGGTACCATATTTCTTGTGCAGCCTTCATAACCATGAACCAATAAACCTCTTTTCTTTATAAATTACCCAGTCTGTGAAGGCTAAAGCAACTCCATCTCGGATGCTAATCTGCCATGACTTCTTATTAACCCCAGTTCTGGGAATACCTCTAAGATATCTATTTTCACATATTTACCATAAACCCTGTCCTTAGGCAAATTCCTTATGGTATATAAGCCCTGGGCCTGGGGGATAACAGTGCGGGGATCCACCATCTTGTCTTATGGCTGCCCAAAACATGCTTCTGTTCATAAATCTCTGTTAAATATTTTTTTTCTAAGAAATTGGATTTGTCAGCTTCTTTCTTTGGTCTTTCATCTTCCTTGGCCTTTGGGGGTAGGTTTGCATAGACCTGCTCACCATGGAACACAGCCTCAGATATCTCTTTCTAATAACACAAAAATGTACTAAGACACCACTTCACATCCATTAGGATGGCTAGTATGAAAAAAAAAACATATGTTGGGAAGATGTGTAAAAATTTAAACTCGTGCATTACTGGTGGTAATGTAAAATTGTGCATTCACTATGGAAAACAGTATGGAAGTTCCTCAAAAAAATAGAAATAGAATTATCATATCATCCAGCAATTCCACTTCTGAGTATATACCCCAAAAATTAAAAACAGAGATTTCAACAGATACTTGTACACCCATGTTCATAGAAGCATTATTCACAATAGCCGAAAGGTGGAAGCAACCCTGTGTCCAATGACAGATGAATGGATAAACGAAGTGTAATATATACATACTGGAATATTATTTAGCCTTAAAAAGGAAGGGAATTCTGACACATGCTGCAACATGAATGAACCTGGAGCGCATACAAAGTGAAATAAGCCAGTCACAAAAGGACAAATACTGTATTATTCCATTTATATGAAGTATGTAGAGTAGTCAAATTCAGAGACAAAAAGTAAAATGGTTGTTTCCAGGGGCTAGGAAGAGAGGGGAATGAGGGAGTTATTGTTTAATGAATACGGAGCTTCAGTTTTGCAAGATGAAAGAGTTATAGCTATGGATGGTGGTGATGTTTGCACAGCAATGCGAATGTTTTTAATGCTACTGAACTGTACACTTGAAAATGGTTAGGATGGTAAGTTTGATATTATGTCTGTTTGGCCATAATTAAATTTTTTAAATTTTAACAAGGAAAAACAGAAATGCCAACAAATATTGGACTCTAGTTAAGGATGTGCATGCTAAAATGAGTAGAGGTAAAGCATATTTATGTCTGCAACTTTGCAATGCATAAAAAAATACAATGGATGGATAGATAGATGGTTGAACTGATGGCTAGATACGTGATAAAGCCTGCACAATAAGCTGTAAAATTTAGAATTTAGGTGGAGAATGTATGTGTGATCACTCCACGATTTTAATTTTTCAGTGGGTTTGAAATTTTTCATAATAAAATGTTGGAAAACAAATCAGCACTTAAGTAGGACAAATATCTTGTGAACCTGTGCAATGCTTTCACTCACCCACTCACTCAATCATTCAATGAACTTTTATTGCATTTCTACCATATGTCACTGTGCTGAGCTCTGGCAATGCAAAAATATAGAAAACAGCATCTCTGTCCCTTCTAATGAAGCCAAAACAGATGTCTGAAGGAAACATCCCTAGACACGGGGAATGCAGAAATATTATTTTCCCTAAAAATTTACTCCAACCCTTTGTGCTCATAGCTGAGACTGCCTAATCAGTGGCCCCAAAGCATGCTGGGCTGACCCCCATAGCCTCTCTCCCTTCTCTGTCTCCTCTGGCCTAGCCCATCCTTCAAAGCTCTGTTCTATTTCTAGCACCGCCAAATAGCCTTCTGAGACTGTTCCTGCCCAGTGAGCTCTGGCTTCCTCTTTAAGGTCTCTTCACGGATTTTTGCTAAGTTGAGAGGGGCCAGGCTAGGGCTTGGGGTGGGAGTCCAAGACTTTGGACAAATATGAGTACAAGCATCTGGCTCTGTTAGGTATCAGAGGCTGTCTGCAGATGGTAGAGGCTTCAGGAAAGCAGAAACCCAAAGTAACCATAGTTTACATGGATTTGCATTATATACATTATAAATAGCAGTATAAAAATGTAAAGTCTTAATTTATGTACAAGACATAATAATTCAACCTATTACGTTGAAAAGCCTGTCTAGAATCAGGTAGTATTTCTGAGCTGCAGACTGATTGAAAGGTGGGTTTATGCTGCTGGCACCTGGAGGAGCCACTCCAGCCATGGAACAGAGTTACTATCACGCTTTGGAAGGATGTCTCTGGGATTATGTAAATCTTGACTTATTCCAAGTCTTCAGGGATGCACGGCTCCTGTAACATGCAGCCTCCGCGTAGCCTGGATGCAGAGCACTGAAGAGTGCGGCTGAGGTAAATGTATGCCAAGAGATCCTGGGGTTGGCAGAGAGAGGACACGTGAAAGGATACCGGGGGTGACAGCACAGGCGCTCTTGTCCCCAAGACAAGGGGACATAGTGGGGCAGTGCATCTGTCTCTGCACTCACTGCCCACATCTGGTTCTTCACGGAGGCTTTGGGCTGGTGTGAGTCGTAGATGTGGAGGCATCCCTGTCACCTCCCACCCCATTTGTTTCATCCCCAGGTTCTATCCATGCAGCCTCTTCAGTCTCTCCCAGTTTGCCATTTTTTTCCCTTTCCACCAGCTCTACCCCGGTCCAAGCCCTCAACACTCTCCCAGGAACAACTGCATTGTTAATTACCTCCGTACCTGGACAACTAGTATCCCTGGTCCTACTCTTTCCCCCAGCCATCCTCTACACCACAGGCAGAGTGGCCTTTATAAAATGCAAATCTGATCATGTCGACCTCCATTAAAACCGCTGGTGGGTGACAAGAAGCCTCCCCGATCCTGCAGGCCCTATCCACTCCCTCGCCCGCTCCCAGCACCTCACTTCCCCAGCTTCACTCAATCTACCCCAGCTGTTTCAGCCCCTTATTCCTGTCATCCCAAGAAATCACCTGGACACATGCTGGTCCCTCTGCCAGGAACACTCTTCCCTCCCCTCTTCACCCAGTAAACTTTTATTCATCCTTCAGACCTTAGGTCCACATCATTGGCTCAGGAACTTTTCTGAGCCCCTATCCCCGCTATTTTAACTTCATACTGTCGAGAGGCCCTTCACTTGGAAACATTTCTCACACTGACCACTCTTCATCCTCTGGTGGAATTTTTTCCTTCACATTTGTGTCCCCACAAGGTTGCAGATTCCTGGAGGCAGGGGGTGGGTTTGGCTCACCACTGTCTCTCCATTCTCTGCTCCAACAGCTGGCTTAGGCTAGAGACTCACTTAGTGTTAATTGAAGGAAGGAGCAAGAGAGGGAAGAAGAGAAGGAGGAGGGTGTGGCTGCCATGAGCACGCACCCAGCAGCATGCCTAGCACAGGGAGCACAGGTGGTCAAGGGCCCTGCTGCTGTGCTGAGAGGCCCAGCTCCACACTGGCGTGGAGCTTGCCTGGTGCTGCTGCTCCCAACCAATGACCCAGCACAGCAGGGATACTGAGGCAGTCCTGTTTCTGGGAGACATGGGACTTCTTGGATGGCAACTTCGGCTCAAGGGCTCCCTAACAGCCTTGCCAAACCTTCTTTAGGTGACACAGCAGTCTAGGGCACGCAGCAGTCTAGTCTCCCTTCCCTCTCTCTACTTGGGTGGACTTGCATTACCATTTGACTCTGGTACTCTCCAAGCCTTGCCTAGCTCCTGCCTTGTTTTCTCTGGCATGGGCATTTCTCCTAAGAAAATCCTTGAAAGTTGAACCCACCTTGGCATCTACTTCTCAAGGGCTCCAAATCACATAGAGGAAATGAATGAATGAACGAGCCAGCGCTGGCTTGGCCCAAAGTGACATCCTGATTGTCCAGCAACACCTTCTAGGTGGCTGACATATGTTGCTGTTTGTATTTTCATTACTTCAGTGTCTTGCCTCCATAGTTAGCTGCCTGAAGGGTGAAGGAATGGTCAGTGTGCTTCATGTAATTTGTTCCTATCCTTCCCCAGGACAGGTAAGCAGCCTTTCACACAGAGGAAGCAAAGTCCCAGCCACTATTTTAAAAAATGGAAACAGATTGGGCATGGTGGCTCATCCCTGTAATCCTAGCACTGTGGGAAGCCAAAGTGGGAGGATAGCTTAAAGCCAGAAGTTTGAGATGAGTGTGGGCAACAGAGCAAAGCTCTGTCTCTACAAAAAATAATAAAATAAAATAAAAATTAGCTGGTTATGGTGGTGCATGCCTGTAGTCCCAGATAGTTGGGAGACTGAGGTGGGAGGATGCTTCAGGCTGGGAGTTCAGAGGCTGCAGTGAGCTATGATTACTGCACTTCAGCCTGGTGACAGAGCAAGACCTGTCTCTAAAAAATGAAACATAAAAAAATGGAAACAGAATCAGACAGAAGAGGGCAGAACAGAGTGCAACTGTCAGGATATATTACACAAAGTAGGAGTTGGTTTTGTGTCCTGAGTGCTTTGTGTCAGTTTTTTACATATAGATGTGTTTGTATCAGGTCATGGGGTGAAACGTGTTTCTGACTGTGGGTCATGTTCAAAAATGTTTGGAAAGCTCTGATCTAGTGGGATAATCTAGTTCAGCATTTCTTCAGGATACATTTGTCAGCTAAAGTATGCCTTTTAAAAGGGATTTCCTCATGAAATTGCAGGATAACCCTGAGTGAGTGATTCTCATAGAAGGAAATCTCCTTAGTACATCACAGTCTGCCTGGAGACACACAAGGAATTTAGAGTAGCAAAGTCTCTGTCTGCATTATCAAATCTAGCAAACAAATAATTTTTCAAACACATTTGAGAATTAAATGCCGCCCTTTTATGTTTAACCGCCTGGGAGCACCTATGACTCTTTCCCTAGACATGACCGTGGTGAGACATGGCCCAGGCTCAGTGGATTTCTCACTACACTGTTCTTGTTGGTGTGACAGTGGTGATAGGGAGGTGGCAGGACACCTCTTTGGTGTCTGGCCAAGCCTCTTGGCTGCACACTTCCCACTCAGACGATGATACACTCAGAGGTCCACTGCCATGGCATGTGAACACCAAATGGCTTTTTTCCATTACGCCCCAGTAGACCTCCAGGATGCATTTACACTCTCTCCTGGCCCTTCTGTGCCAAGTGCATGCATGTGCAAGACTGCAGCCAGTCACAGGACTAACTCCTGAGTCATGAAGAGAGGGAAGTTAAGTGGCCCACTGGGGACTGGGTTTGGGACCTGGCTCTCGTTCTTCATTCTTGGAAAAATGGAGTGAAATAGGATGCTCTGGAATCAAAGAAAGTAAGTGCTAACAGTGTAATAGAACCCTGCTCCTCTTCTATAATTGGCAAGGAAGTTGGTCTGCCCTAGAGGACAATCTGAGTCAGGAGGTCTAGGTTCTAAACTGTGTCCTGGCTCTGTGACCAGGGGAGCCCCTGGGCCTTATAGGTAAAATCAGGGAGTTGATTTAAAAGATCATACTGACATAGAGCAGTCGAGGTGAAAGGGACCTGAGAAGGCTTTCGGTTCATGCCTTTGGTTGAACAGGTGAAGAAACTGAAGCCCAGAGAGGCCAAGAGACTTGTATTACTAGTCCATGACACAGATACCTGGCTCCTATTCCAGGCCATCCCCATCTGACTGGGCTGTCTTCCCATCGCAGCGTTTTCCAGCACATAAAATAATGACAGCAGAGGGGCCTCCAGCGTATGCAGCTCATGTTAGTGATTCTTATATGGTCTCTAAAAACAGAAAACAGTTACAGAAATGTAATTGACAACAGCATTAGCACACCATGAAATTTCCAAGTGCTTGAAAAATCTTATTAGCTTAATACAAATACATGAAGCTTTTCCCTGGTTTCCCTTGACAAATCATTTCCTTAATTCCAAACAAATAGCCTTTACATTATTGGGTGTTTGTCCAATTTCTTAATTAACCAAGACTCTTATGTGCAGTAGATAGAAATCCAATGATACCAGTTTGAGAAAGAAGGGGAAATGTATGGCTCACGTAAGTGGAAGTCCGTTCACAATTGCATTCAGAAGCTTAAGTGAGATTGTCAAGACGGTAGTTCATTCTCTCCCTCTTGCTGTCACGGGCTCTCTAAACTCTACACATCTCTGTGTTGTTGTGGCCACATTTTCTCCTTCTAAAGATACGCTTTCTCCACATAGTGGGGAAGATGTTTGCCAATAGCCCATTTCCAGCTGTATCACCAAAAATAATACTACCTCTTTTTCTCTATCTCTAAATAAAAAATTCTGGGGAAGAAACCTGATTGTTTCTGGTGGGGCCACCTGAGTATCTGTAGACTAAGCACTAGGACCATGTGATTGGATTATTAGGAGTAGCTGGGTCTAGATCATGTGCCCACACCTATGGCCAGGATATCTATCTGTTAGTATCAATAATGTCCCAGAATCTCATGATTAAGCTTGGGAAAAACACTCCCCAAACCAAATATAGAGCCAATTGTAAATGGTAAAAATTAACTAGGAAAGCAGAGATTGAGAGAAACAAGTAGTCTGCCTAAATTCCAGAAATGAGACCACTGACTAGGGCAAATATTTACATGTCCACACCTTGTTCACAGGTGTGTATTTGCAAAAAATAACACAACCCTTTTCACACAGCTATCTTTCAGCTGGAAGTGACGAAGCTACATAATTCTGACAAATGAAACGTAAGTGCTTGTTTACTCTGTGGTTTTTGGGCAAGCATATCCTTCCATGATATGCATGTTGTCTCTTCCCTCCTCCTTCTTCTCTGCAATGGAAGATCATTGTGATACTTGGTGTTGCAGCAGCCATCTTGCAGCCATCTTGCAACCATGAGGGAAAGGCCCATAGCATCATGAGATGCAAACCAGGGCCAACAGCTGTTGTCTTCAGACTTTTGTTATGTAAAAAAAACTTCTCTATTTGTTTAAACCATTAAGATCAGGCTATCTTGTACTGGCAGCCAAAATATTCCTAAATGATACAATGGATAAATCAGATTCATTTGTACTCAGAAATAAAATCTCAAAAGTTATAGAAGCTGATACAGTTCTCTGTCTCTCTGTGTGTTATTATCAGAGTTTTCAGTTATCCATCATTTCAAACTTTGGGGAAGATGAAGAAGACACAATTCTTTTACCCAGAGGAAGCTTACAATTAAATAGAGCTTAAAATTTAGGCCAATGTTGAACAAAGAATTCCTTCTCATGTTTAATTCCGCAATGTTTCAATTAAGCCCATTTGCTTTTTATTTCTTCCTCAGTAGAGCTCAGGAATGGCTAGTTACCATCTTTTTTTTTTTTAATAGGGAAGATGACTTAATTAAAATACTTTTCCATCTCTGTTGTGTGTGTGTCTATGCATGTGTTTCAGTTTGTTTTTCCTGGTTAATTAGCACCAATTTCTTTGACTCTTTTCATAGATTTTATTTTTCAAACCTCTAATCTTTATTTAAGATTATATCAAACAAAATCTATACGTAGAGTTTTTAAAACTTCTGTGGTCACTAAAGCCCTCTGGCCTAGTGGAGAACAAAATTGTGATGACTTTTTAGCCTGCTTTCAAATCCTCCAGCCCCAAAGCCGGAGCCACCTGCCTCTCCTGGGTGATTGAGTCTTCAACTGCATGACTCTTGCTCTCAATTCTGGAATCAAGATTGTCCCTGGGTAGAGGAATCTGATGCAACGTAGGTTCAGGGATGTTGAGCTCTGAATGGAGTCACTGTGCCTACCATGATCATTTTAACCTGCTGTTCTAGTTCACCAGTGACTGAATTCCTTACATGGTCTTTACTTTCCTTTGTTTGGGGTATTTTTCCTGTCTGGTCTTATCCCACTTCTGGTAATCACTTTCCGATTTTCCTGTGACATTGCTTCTCCTTTCCACTTTTGGAGTGAGCTGATTGACAAAACAGAAAGGCCAGCTACAGTTGGTGTCCACCTTAATCCTTGGGTTTCCAGTGAAATTAACTCCCTCCTTAGCTCCAACGGTGGGCATGTGAACCAGGCCTGGCCCATCAGAGCATCACATCACCTTAGCCACAGTGATTGGTTCAGAGATGGCCATTCGATCAGGTCAGGCTAATCAGGCCTATGACACTCAATGACGGAACTTTTGTAAGCTTGATTAGGAAAGGAAAGCCCTTTTCTCATGGGTATGCGAAGGAGAGAATATAAGCCTGGCATTATTGGCAGTCATCTTTCCACCAAAAAGGGACATACCTCCTAAGAATAAAGTCCACAAAAAGAACTGATAGAAGAAGAGCGGTTAGAGAGAGAAAGAGAAAGTGCTAGACCTTGGAGATGCTCTTTGAGCCCTGGATCCAATCTGGGTCAGCACTGTCCATTGACTTTCTCATTTCATGAACCAATGTATTTCCTTTTTTGCTCGTGGCAATCAGTAGACTTCCTGCCCTAAACCCCAAGTGTCTTCTGACTGGGTCCCCAGATCCTGTTTGGATTAGATACCTTAGATGCACACACCTTCTGCTCAATCCTTCACCATCTCCCATCCTAAGGACTAATTCCCTGGACTCACCTTGAAACTCAGGTCCTTACCTGCTAGTCTCTATAAAACAGGCCTTGAATGTGCCCCCATATCTTAATGTAGCTGAGGCTGTTGCAGTCCCAATCAGATCTCTGGCAATCTTTTTATTAACTGCTATTAAAGGCTCACAGAGCAAGCCTTGTCTGGGAAATGCCTTTAAGCAAGAGGAGTTGCCTGTCTACGAGATACCTAGGAGTTACAACCCTTCCCCTGGGGCTTCCCTAAGCTAAGGGTTGACTGATATGTGTGTACAAAAGCCCCACTTTTTTGCCTCAAGGAAGGACAAATGCTGCAGACAATGTGAGATCCAGTGCTGCCTACAAGATCAGGTTGAAGCTGGACTTCACCTGAAGCTACATCCTCGCTTAGCTTCTCCCTCTTCCTTAACTCACAAAAGAACCCCTATTTCAACCTCTGCTTCTAGGGAACACAACCTGTGGCAAATTGTAATTTCTAAAGATGGCAGCCATAATACCTCCCATTCCACATGCCCCTCTTACAGGGTGAGTCCTCTTATTAGGGCAGAGGTGTCTATATTCCCTTTCCTAGAATCTGGGTGGGTTTGTGACTGTTTGACCAACAGAGTATGATGAATGTGATGCTCTGTGACTCCGAAGCTACGTCATAATAGGCAGTGGAGCTTCTGCCTTGTTCATAGAAATATCTGCTATGGAGCCTTCGGCTTCTGTGTGAGTGAGTGCTCAAATTAGTCCATGTAGAGACTACCTGGGGAGAGAAAGAGAGAGAGGGGAGAGGGGATGGGAGAGAGGGGAGAGGGCAGAGAGGAGAGGAGAGAGGACAGAGGAGAGAGAAGAGAGAAGAGAGAGAGAAGATGATGCCCAGCCAGCTGCTCCAGCTTCAGGGTCCCGCTCCAGCCATCTGACTATAGCCACATGAGAGACCTTGAGCCAAAACCACCCAGCTGAGCCCTTCCTGAATCCCTGATGCACAGAAACCCAGAAACTTCTTAAATGGTTATTGTTTTAAGTCAATACATTTAGGCATGATTCACTGTTCAGTGATAAAAATCTGGAACACGACATGAGACACCAATCCTCAGCCTTTATGAAATATATGTGTTTGACCTGATTTTCCCTGGTCCTATTTGGCAGCTCAGAAAGCCAAGTCTTGGCAACAGCTGTTGATAGTCCTGTTGATGAACACATGTGGAAAAGCTGTGGCTTTCCAGTTTTCCACCATCAGGAAATGGGACAACATGGACACTTGTGGGTTATCATTGTCATTCCACCTATACCCAGGAGCGCTTATCTGCCAGGAATATGTGGCACTCCACTTGCTGTGTGGTCAGGCAAATGAGTCAGAGCCTGTATTTTTCCCTCCTGAACAGATTTTACTTGTAATATTCATAACACTTTCTGGGAAATTCCCAGATGTCAGGGTTTGAAAATCCTGAAGCAGCTGCTAATTGTGCCTTGGTTTTGTTTAAGTAAAAATGCTAATGAAGGTTTCTTCTAAGTGTCGTAATGAGAACCAAAAATAGGAACTCAAAGCTGAGGTAAGCTAGTGGTTCTCAACAAGTAGCAGGAATACTTTTGTTATTGTCCCTTTGTGGGCCACAGGACTCTCTCTCTCCAAACGATCTGAGGGTTGATGAGTCTTAATATACATCCCATAAAGTGAATGCATGTTTGTATGTGTGTGTGTTTGTGTCTTATAAGGCTTAGAGTCATTTTCTTACATATTTCAACCAATATTTTTAAAACGAAAAATGAGCATCAAAAAACTATGGCCCCCTTTAAAAAAAAAAAAGATATAGTCACAAAATAGGTGCCTACCCAAAAAAACAGCACCTGATATCTTTGACTGAGTTTTGTTTTATAGTGGGGACAAATAGGAATGGCAGGAAAGAGGGGCGGGGAGATTTCTGGAGGTTTTTGCTTTAGATTACTAACTTTACACTTAAGAAAACAATCTGTATGCCACTCTGAAAATTCACTGTTTTTTCTTATATTTCTGTAGAACCAGTGACTGAGCAGTGTGAAGTCTGGGCAGGGTGGAGGGAATCAAGCTCATGAGAAGGTTCTGTGTGAAGAAACTGTTTTTGATCCTGTTCTTACATTCCTTTGTTTCTGACTGTTCTTTTCTGCTTGCCTATTGCTGCATGATATGGCTTGGATGTTTTGTTTTCTCCAAATCTCATGTTGAAATGTGACCTCCAGTGTTGCAGGTGGGCCTAGTAGTAGGTGTTTGGGTCACAGGGGCTGATCTCTCATGAATGGCTTGGTGCTCTCCTCATGATGATGAGTGAGTTCTCACTCTGTGAGGTCACATGAGACCTGGTTGTTTAAAGGAGGCTGGCACTTCCTCTGTCTCACTCCCACTCTCACTGTGTGACAGCCCTGCTGCCCCTTCACCTTCTGCCATGATTGAAAACTTCCTGAGGCCCTCACCAGAAGCAGATGCCAGTGCCATGCTTCCTGTACAGCCTTCAGAACCATGAGCCAAAATAAACCTCTTCTCTTTATAAAGTACCCAGCCTCAGGTACTTCTTTTATAGCAATACAAGAAGAGACTAACACACTGCATAACCAGTGACCGTAAAACATACTGGCTTGAAGCAACACCAATCATTTTGTTATTTCTCATAATTTTTGTGGGTCAGGATTTGGGCAAGGCTTGGCTGGGTGGCTCTGGGCTAGGTCTTTCATGCAGTTTAAGTCAGTGAGGGGCTGGATCAGCCAAGAGCTGGCTGGGCAGTTTTCTCTCTCTCTTCATATAGTCTTGAGTCCTCTCCACATGGTCTCTGTGTGGTCTAGTTTGGGCTTCCTCAAAACATGGTGAGTTCTAAGCATTTAGACTACTTACATGGTAGCTTAATATCTCCTCAGTGAATTCTAGCCATCTAGGTGAAAAGTACGTTACCTACTAGCCACAGAAGTCACACAGCTTTACTTATGCTACATTCTACTGGTTACAAGTGTGTCACAAACTGCCCAGATGAAGGAGAAGAGAATTAGACTCTACCTTTTGATGGGAGAATGTCCACACTGCTTAAATCTGTTTTCTCAGCCTTCCCATCAATTCTGTGAGCTTCCCAAAAGCCTTTTTATAATTTTCTTTACAGGTTAAGGTGACCGAAGCCCATCTCTCTGGTATGCAATAAGAACCCTGACTGGCACACTCTTAATTGTTTAAATTGATATTTACTAATAGGCTTTTGCTTAGAGCCTCAAACTGGGGTTAGAGAGAATACAGGGGAGAGGTGGCTTTTAAAATCAGGGTTCCTTCCTTAAGAGTCAGTGTAATAACCTTGAGAGAAAAGGAGAGATGAAAAGAAGGACTTGCCTTATTATATCTTGACCATGAAGGTCTTGTCCTGCATGATTTAATTAGCCATCTTTTCAAGGAGTGATAACACTTGTAAAATATTGATAATTCCTTAATAATAGCATTAGCAAAGATGCTTGATACTAATTCCTGGAGAAGAAGGCAGATGTTTGAGCCTGGCCTATTGCCATCCAGCTGTTTCTCAGCCAAGGCTGCCTGCCAAAACCGGGATTTTAGGCCTGTTAAAAAGTCTCTCGTGCTCTTTCCCCTGACTGCCAAGGCTGCCAGCCCGACTCTTGGTACTTGAGCCTGGAAACTCCAGGGCTGAGGGAAAAGGGCTCAGTGGTGATTGACAGAGAGCTCTATTCCAAAACTCCCATTTCAGCTGAGAGAAAGACCACTGACAATGGGAGGGAGGAAAGTGGGCTTGCAGCCACTGACATTTAAACCCTCTAAATGCAACTCAGAAAGGGGTGGGGAGAACAGAATGAGTCTGGAGGAGGGAAAGAGCAGGCTTTACTAGAAACATTGTTATTTCAATATATACACATCAGCTCCTGGTATGAATGGTATTAACTTCTTCATCCATTCATTCAGTTCTTTGTTCATTTGTTCACTCATCATGTTGTTTCATATTGATATTTCTCATTCTGGGAAATGGGGAAGTGACTAAATCAGAACCCTCATGTGGTTGGGGAAATAGAGGAATAAATGGCTACCATATAAGGCACTGCAGTTACATCTCAGTTAACACCACCTCTTAGAAGGAAGTCCCTTTATAGAAAGTTATATTTGGTGGGTAGTTGGGGTGGATGGGGGAGTAGTGGTGGGAAGCAGATATCTTGAGAAGCTGTTCTCACACCTTAGAACCTGAACTACGTGCTAACAGTTAAGGGGGAAATAACTCTAAGTAGTTTCCATCTATACAGCATGGCGGGGGTGGGAAGAGGTCCTTCTGCTTGTCTGCTAATCATAAGTGTCAACCTTCATTGTCTAATCTTGTCCCTCATCTCAAACACACACATTTATCTCACAGTAGAGATTCAGATGTCCTAGGAAGAAAACATGCCTTATGTTTCTGTAACATTTCAGAGGCTGAAAGAGGCAGTAGAGGCTTATTCCCAGTCCATTTCAGAATGGGTCTCAGCTCCCCTGGAGTTATGCATGAGTTCTGCAGGGCTCACATCATGCCAAGGCGTGAGCAGGATTGAGTGTGCCTGGTCTGTGTCATCAACATTCAGGACAGCATCCACAGGACATCTTTGCATCCTCAGGCTGCCTGTTGTCTGATACTGCTCTCTGCTGCGCTATCCCTGGGGTCTGTCACAAGGCTCTGTCTCTCAGCTGACTCCCTTGCTCCTCGCAGGACATGAGAGCATTGTGCTGCTTTAGCGCCTTCACTGACTACAGAAATCTTTGTGGGACTGTTTGCAGCCCTTTGTCACTTCTGTGCCTCCCCACCCCACCCCCCACCCCCGCCCACCCTGTGCCCAGGATTGATTCTATCTCTTCCACAGTGTGTCAGGGGCCAGGGAACCGGAGACTCCCTCAGGCCCATCTGTTCAGTTGCTGTGGTCACTAGGACCTCTGTCTCTTGATTCCTCTGTTGGGAAGACTGTGGGTTTCTGCCCAAGTGTTGACTTCCCTATGGGGCACTCTCTGAGGTCTGCCCTTAGATGAAAGCAGCTGTAAAAAAAAAAAATGCAAAATCCACCCCTTGATGTTTCCAAGTGTTGCCTCCCTCCTAGTACCTGCCTATTTGTAGTTGTCCACCACTGCCTTCAGAGTTGGGTTTTAGATTTTGTCCCGAGTTCATCTGTAGGACAGTTGGTTCAATATACTTTACTCTGCTATGCCAGAGTGGCATTTGCTGCCCTTCCTTTTGAATAAATGGTAGGGGCAGGATATTGGCTCATCTTTCCTTAGGGGTTTACGGCGTCCACCCCCTCCTGCTTCCCTTCACGCTCCTTTCTCCCTCCCTGCAGTCTGGGGATATGTTATGCTCTCCAAGAGGTTGGGAAATATTTTTCTGGCACTTTAAGATTTTTTCTTCTAAATTCTGAGTCCCTTGGACATTTGCAACTCAAACATCCAAGGATTTGAGTCCTTAAAGACTTTTCTGCTGAAACAACCATGCCCTGAGATATGGATGCCATATAGTTTAGCCAGTTCTCAGATTGAAGAAAAGGAGAGAGATAACAGAAAATAATAGGAAATGTTGGGATTGTAAAGACCATCAATTAATATTTCAATAAAAATATTCCTCGAGATCAAGCATAACACCTATCTTGAGTGATTGCTGGCTTCTGGTTTAGCATGAGTGAGATAGAGTGCATCTGATATTTCAATCAACAGTTACAATTATGTAAGCCCACTTATTCATTTATTTATTTATGCATGTTTTATTCATTCAGCAAACATTTAGACAGTGCCTGCTATTTGTCAGTCCCTGTTTTAGGTACTAATTATGGAATGAAAAGTTTGGCTTATTAAAGAGGTTTCAGGTATCAGCAAACATTAAGGAAGGAGACATAAGGTAGCCTGGAGTTAAATTCCACCTACTCCTTGGAGCAAACTCAAAGTTATACTGATTCTCTTATTTTTAGGTGGCTTAGAAGAGTGAAGAAAGCACAAAATTTAGACTCATAAAGTTCAAGTGAAGTCCCACTTTACCATTTATTAAAGGTATCACCTCGGGCAAGTCTCTCAATTCCCCTAGGCTATAGTTTCATTTTCATGCAGTAAATAACTGCCAAGTGTTACTAGTCTGAAAGCTTTTTGAGGTCGGGAACAGTGTCTGTTTATTCCCTGCTGTATCCCCTATTCCTAGCACACAGTGAGCGCACAGAATAGATCCTAAATAAATACTCCTTAAATGAATGAGTAAATAACAGCTCTTTATAGTTTTTTGATCATGGGCTTCTCTAACTGGAAACCTTGGGAATTATTATGATTCCAGGTTAATGTGGGAAATGTTTCTCTAATTGGATCTTTTCCTTTGGCCTTCCAGCTCCTAGGTATGCTCATAATGCCTTTAAGAACATTCAATGGATTCTAGTAAGGTGTATCAGTCAGTATAGGCTGGGTTATGCTGCAGAAACAGACAACTTGTAATTTCAATGGCTTAAAAACAAGTCATTTCTTGTTTATGTTATGTAAAGAGTATAGGTCAGATGGGGGCTCAGCTTCTCACAATCACTCAGGGATCTAGACAGATGAGCAGCCATCATATGGAAGGTTGCCAGTGGCCTTGCTAGAAGGAAGAGAAAGCCCTGAATGGTCTTGTCCTAACAGTTGATTAATTGTTAAGGAAGTGATACATTTTGCTTCTGCTCACAATTCATTAGCCAAAGCTAATTACAGCCCCTCCCAACTATAGGAGCCAGGAACAGCCATTACTGTGGGGCCAGAAGGGGAGGACTAGGAATATTCGAGGAACAGCATTGATGATCACCACAGTGCTACCTTGTAAGGGGGATACTGAACTGGTCCCTTCGGGTTCTTCTACGTACAGGTGTGATGGGAAGTAGGTGGGAGCATCTTTTCATACCCTTGGATCTTCTCAGGGTCCAGGGCCCTGCTGTCCATCTCAAGAGCTTACCAGCACTCTAGGCTATTAAATGAGGGTTGAACTCATGGAATAGGAGTTAGCCTCTCTGGATGATCCACGGGTTGTGCTCTGGCTGCTGTTGATGGGAGTTCATTGTCCAGCGTCAATGGGAAGGATGAACAGCCTGTTTCCTTCCTCTACTGAAGGTCTATAATGCTCCTCCTGCACAAATCCCAAGAGCTGAACAGCTGTCCACAGGGTTCTCAGATACTATGGATGGATGATTTTCACTTGAGTGGAGGTGGTGGGTTTCTGAATTCTGACTCTGGTCAGTCACTGTGTCCTACCAGTTGCTGCCATCAACATATTCCCTGTGCCTTTCCTTCCTTGCTTTTCTCCAGTTGTGAAGCTTTTATTGATTTTTTGAAGGTATGTGTGTACAGGATGGTGGGTGGGTAGCAAAAGGAAAGGAGATATGCTGCGGGACACTGGTTCTGCCTGATTTCCTATTTTTCCATGTATTTTCGTTTTATGCCTGGACATTGACTTCCAAAACTCAAAAGCCAAGAATTTGACTTTTTTTCTGGTGGAGTTATGATAACTCTCCTTTTGACAACACTTCCGGCTGTCCAAATTGATGGGAAGAGAGTTGTACAGGAACAAGAAATACAAGTTGTACAGTGTAGCAAGAAATACAGTGGGGGCGGGGGAATGATGGTGGAAGGGAAATCAGATTAATTAATATATCAAAATGTTATCCTGCCATTCATTTAATGATGATTTATTTTTATGATCTCCTTATTTTGACATCTGTAGAATGTATAGGCTCCTTATACACACACCCCCCCCCCCCCCCACACACACACACACATTTCCCCCTTATCTCTGGTAATAAAGTTCTCAAATGCAAGTCAACAAATGTGTCCCATGAATGGAATAACCAGTGAAGGGGTGTGGATGTGGATGGCTTTTGGTAAATTCAGACAATTCCTCAGGCTGAGTGAGGGAAACAAAGCTACAAATAGCAATGTGTTGCACGCAGTATTCCTGAAATTCAGTCTCCAGTGGCTCTTTGCTCCAGAGAACAAATTCCATCTCAGCCACAGGAGGGCCCCTGCTCCCCTGAACTGCTTGACTCAGACTGGGAATTCAGAGGTAAAATGAGTGGATTCAGGAGCAGAATAACAATAAATGTGGGTGGTGGTTTTTTTTTTTTTTTTTTTTTTTTTTTGTATGGGAGTGAATGGAACATTTGGCTATCATCCAACATTTCCTCAAATTGGTGATGTCTGTGGGTGGCATTTTCAAAGTATTGTTTTGACTATACTTTGGACAAAAGTCCCTAGCCTTGGCTGATCAATGCATATGCAAAAAATGCCCTAACCAGCTCCCTGCCCCCACCCTAATTCACATCTCCACTGTACTGGGGAGTCAAAAGCATGTTTTGGCACAAGTGTACTCTGCTTTAACGTGGCCAAGGGTGCCATGGTCTTCCTAGGGGCGTGCCTGTGCAGGCTGTGCCTGTCACCATGAACAAAGGGCAGGGGCCTCCTCCAAAACCACTGGCTTGGGGCACAGAGCTCAGGCCCCTGCCACCGTGGCTCCTTACAGGCACGATTGTCACCGGATGCAGGGCCAGCTTCCTATAACTGTTTAGTACAGAGCAGCTGGCCAAACTGTGAGCTCACTGTGGCTGCAAACCCATTAAAATATTAACTGTGATGATAAAGATGAATAATTATTGCACCTCCAGGGCATAGATAAGTCTAGTTCTGTCTCCCACCAGCCCTGAAACTCTGCTGTTCAGCTGGCGAGTGTAAGGTCTGGGTTTCGTGGTCCTGTACATAAACAATTAGGACAATAGCTCTTCAGGTTCCAAAGCTTTTGTTTGATCCATTTCTGCTATGAACTGTGATTACTCTCTGCAGAGAGGGGGAATTGAATTATTTTGGGCTAAGTTAGGAGCAGGGTGGACCTAAGTGAAGTGAAATTGTGGGGATGGGGTCTGGTGGGAAGAAGGTGAGCAGAATAGGTTAGCTGGGATTCTCCTTCCCTCCAAGCCTCAGCATAGTTAGGATGCAGCGAAATTGCTCCGGCTGCTGGTACCCATGGCCTTAATCATCTCCAGAGTGGGGTGGTGCTGCTGAGGCCAAGAAAGAATTATTCCAGCGGGGGGTTCCTTTAACTGAGCTTTTACAAGAATCGTGCAGTCTGGCCACAGCAGCTTCTTACACTTGCCTAGGCTGGCTTAACTCCTCTTCTTTCCACAGGGGGTGTGAGGAGATCCAGCTTCCCCATTAGCTTGGGACCTGCGTCTTATTGACTGTGAACACTCGGGACCCCAGTTCTGGGGCCATCTGTGACCTGTCATGCAGTAATAGCTTGGTTTTTCCCGTGTTCAGCTCCTCCCCGAGTACTTAGTGTTAAATCACAGGGGGAGGAAGTGTGAGCAGAGAAAAAACAGCACTATTACATGACCCCCGATGAGACCGCTGTGATAGAATTAAAAGCTGCCGCCCTAGGACATTCTAACAGATGACATTGTGAGGTTGCCAAGGTAACCCACTAGGATACAGTCCCAGCATCTTTGGGGTTGGGGCTGGGTAGGCAAGGTCAGTTAGAAGTGAGACCCAGCTGCCCAGGGTCTCTCCCATGGCTGGCCAGTCCATAGCAGTCAAGTGGAAAATCCAGGCAGCTCTCTACAGAACACAAGTGAATCCAACATTTGGCTCCTCATTAAATATTCCAGGTGAAAGAGAATTGGAACACCCTGGATAATTGCTGAATGCAGGTTAAGAAGAGCCTTGAAAGATCTGCATGCTATTGGCTCATCCACTCATTCCACACATATTTACTGAACACCTACTATGTGCCAGTAGGAAGCATCAGAATATCAAGAAGATCAGGAGTTCTAGAAAACCCTCAAAAATGCAGATCCAAGCAGGGAAAAAAGTCATTTAAGACATTTGCCCATGATTATTAGCACTCGGGAAAATATTGAGTGGAAGAAAATGGAAGCAATCAGAATAGCATATTAACCTCAAGCACTGGTGTCTTAAAAAAAAAAAGCACAAAAAACACAACGGTGTGCAAAAGTTTTATAGAGTGAAAATGATTTGCTTAAAAGAAATCAAGCACACTGCAACTAGGTTATGCTGCATTCCCCCACCCCCACCCTCCTTTTTCCTTTATCTTCTTTTAAATGCCTACCGGTTAACACCTATCAATTTTATTTTCTTTCTGTGGCCTAGTGACCAGCAAAGGATCAGAAAGATTTTGGATGGACCCTGACTTGCAGCAATTCAAGGCCTCGGGCAGATAGATAGCATGAAGACCCCTCCCTTTGGCTTCATAAATGGGTGTTCACAACCTCTGGTGATGCCCCTGAGCAAATGTCCCTGCGCACTACTGTCTGAACCTGGACTTACGTGGTCACCTGGTCTTATTTTCTTTCATGTGGCAAGCTCAAGTGTAGGGGGGAAATGGGGGACACTGGGGATAGTGGTGGTGAGTGTGACACCAGGAAAAGGTGGGGTGGAAAGGGAAAGGAGAAAAACAAATAAAAACAAAACAGTGGTGAGGGAGGGGGAGCAAAACAGAACTAGAAAGGCTATGGAAAGAGAAAATAAGGAAGAAAATCTCTGAGAAGCTGTGGTAACAGGAAGAGTCCCTGAAAACAAAATAGTGCTTCCTTACTTGCTGGAGGAGTGTTATTAGTGCCAGAAGGACCTCATCGAAACACTGCTGGGCCCCTAAACCAGCCCTCCACCCTGTGTGCTCCAGTGCTTAACTTTGCCCACACAGGGTCTTCTTTGCCCAATTAGAAAATGGAGATAATTAATTAAATTATCTCACCCTTCTTGTTCTAGCCCCCTTAAAATAATGATAATAGCTAAGTTATAGAGTGGTTGCTAAACACTTTACATATAATAACCCACGAAGAAGTGCCATGTGACAAATAGGCGCAGAGCAGTTAAGTCACTTACCCAAAGTCACACAGCCAGTAAGTACTAAAGCCAGGAATCCAACCCTGATTATTTGACTTTAAAGTTCCCCCTCTTAACCCCTACACTGTAATTCTGCTTGGTTTAGTTTTACGAAGAAAATATTTTCTAATGGCTCCTTGCCTCACATCTTCACTTTACTAATGCAGCCTGGTTTACTAGTGCTTCACTCTTTATATAATTTTCTCCCTGGGTGCCTCAAGTTGCCACGCAAGGTGATTCTCCAGATCTTCTCAAACCTCTGGACATCTTAAGTAGGTAGACCAAGGGATGGCAACGGAGACAGTGGCATTACCCTTCCCTGAAGCACTAACTCGCAAGAGAGAATTTCAGCAGCACCTGAGATGTTTAGGGATGCTCCCACCTGTGGAATGGGGTCGAGAAATGGTCCTCTCTCAAGTCGGCCCCAACCCCACCCCCAGCCATCAGCACCTTGATGGCAGTCGCCCTTTCAGCATCCTGGCTCAAATCTTGAAGGATCCTTGTCTCCCAGGCGCTCTTCCTGACAGCACACAACCTTGATTAGGAGGGGCTGGGAGGGAGGATCGATGAGCCCCTGACCCCTGGGTTCTGAGGCTGCCAGGGTCGCTTGCAGCTCGGCCGCGTGGAGGTGACCGGGCGGAACTCCGAGGGGGCGCGGGGAGAGCTGGGCGGGCCCACCGCTCCAGCGGCTGCTGTCAGGGGCCGCGAGGCTTTCCCTGAAGATGCAGCGTAGCATATTTTGCACATGAGTTCAGAGGAAGAGGAAGTGTAGCCGGCGGACGCGCGGCGGCGGCGGCGGGGGCGCGTCGGGGCTGGAGCCGGAGCGCGCCGGGCGCTGGGCGCAGCGAGCGAGAGCGCGGCGGCCGCGGGCTCCGGCGAGGGACAGACGCACCGATCGCCGGAGGGACAGACACACGACCACGCGGCGCCACCGCCCACGCCTCCACCCACCGGCGCCCAAGTCCTCCCCGCGCCGCCTCCTCTGTATGGCACAAACTTTCCTCCCGGGACGGAACACGCTGCCTCAGGGAGCCCGCGACCGCGCCTTCTCCTCCGCCGGTCCCATACGGTAGGCGGCGGGGGGGGCGCGACAGGGCTTGGGGTGTCGACCGGCACAGGCCCCTCCGTTTGGCCCCATGGACCGGGTCTCTGGCGGGTAGTGGGAACCGCGCGTGGCGCCTCCCTGCAGGTTGCTCTTTGCCGGGGCTCCGGAGCTGCCAGAGCAGCACCCCCTGGCCCGCGTCGGATGGGGACCTGGGCTGATCCTTGGGACGCCTGGATCTTGGGCCAACTTTTTTTTGCGGGGAACGGGTGTAGGGGAGTCATTCCTGGAGCGATGTAGGGAGAGGCACTTCGGAGCAGCCTGTTGGGGGTCGTAGGCTCTGCAGGCTCAGAAGCGCCTAGGAAGGACGCAGAGGTGGGGGAGCTTGGAGGCTACAGGTGGGTCCAGGACACACTGCCGCTGGGGTCCTCGGAAAAGAACAGGAGGGAGCTGGTCGCGGAGTCCAGGTTTCCGGGGTGCGCGCGGCCTGGGTGGGGCAGGGTGGAGGCGGTGCCTGACTGCCCCTCTGCGTGTGCCCTGGGAGGTGGGTTTGCTCTGGGGACAGAGGTGCTGGACGTGTAGGAGCAGACATGCCGCGCGCTCCGAGGAAGCGCCGGAACCACCAGAAGCACAGGGACGCGGGTGCCGAGAGTCCCCAGCACTGAAAACGGGGATCTCCTCTTCTGTAAGGGATTTTCTTCCCTTGTCTTAACCCACTTCTCTAGACTCAAGGGACGCCAGGATGGATATGGGTCTGGGCGAGGAGGAGGTGGTTGTGTATTTCGGGAAGCCCCGTTGTCAGGCACGCGCACCCCAGTCCTAGGCCAGGGCTGGTGCCCTTCACCTCCGGTGTCGCTGCCTTTGGCAGCAAGAACCGCGTGGAGGCCAAGGTTGTAGAACCAGGCACGCTCCCTGCTGTCTGTCTGTGACTCTGTGCTTGCCCTCAGCTGCCCTGTGTGGTTATGGGTGATCCCTAGGGACGCTGGGTGGTGTCAGTGAGTTTCTTCGGGGGCTTAAAACAAACAAACAAGAAGTACTTTTTTAAAAAAAAAGTCTGGCTCAATCTCTGTCAGTGGTCACCCCAGTTTCCAGCAACTCATGTGCTGGAACCCTTGTAGTCGGTACAGCTGTTTCAGGAGCTGGGCGCTCAACTAGACTAGGCATCTTCCAACCCCTGCCATCGTGTGTCATCTCAGGATAAGTTAAGGCCTTGCCAGGAAGGAAGCCGGGTGTAATGTGAGCGACCTCTGGGCCTGTGGGTAGGGCCTCTCTGCTGCCGGGATTCCTAATTTGTATCTCTGAACAGCTGAATCCCAACGAAGTTCAAGTGACCCCAGATGTCACCAAACCCCAGAGAGGGGTTACGAAGCAAGCTGTTTGGGACTCTTTGGTGCGTGTGTGCTAACCTCAGTGAAATCACTCTAACCTCAGACTGAGCTCTGCATCCTCTTTTGCCTTCAGTGGGGTTTCTGGCCCGCCTGAGTGATTCAAAGCCCCAGAGCTGGCACGTCATCCTCTGGCTGCATTTGTATATCAAGTCACTGGGTTGGTTTTTCTTTGTTTGCTTTTTGGCTGTATGGACATGGGGCAAATGGAAGTGGAGTGTTGTGCAGTTAGCTAGTAGATTTGGTACAGGAATTGAAAGATAATAAATTGGGAATACAAGTCAGTGAGTTCTTTTTCTCCCTCTTGAGCAGGAATTTTTGGCTTACATTCAAATAATTGCTTTGTCTGTAGGGAAACAAGCAGAAAATCTTTGGCATGAGTGATGTGAGTTCCTGTAAAGCTACTTATGTTCTTCCAGTCTTCTCTTTTCAGCAGAATTGAAACTATGTGGTCCCATGGCTTGGTGGGGCATGGTGCTTTGCCAAATTTCTAACTTGGTGGACTAAGGAGAGGACACTGTGACTCTATCCCCATCCCATTTTTTAAGATATAGAAAAGTTGCAAGAACAGTGACCCCCTAAATATACACACCTAGAGTCTAATTCACATTTTGCCATCTTTGCTTAACTACACACCTCCCCCAACCATCCAGCCATCCCTGTGTCCATCCATAAGTCCAGCTGATGGTTTTATGCACTTTAAAGTAAATTACAGATGTTGGTACAGGTCATTCCTAAACATTTTAGTACACATTTTATTATTTTGACTTCAATATGTGCTTATGGTTTCCTTAAGATAAAATTTATATACATATAGTGAAATGTGCAAAGATGGAAAGTACCATTTGCATAATGTTTTGACAGATGCATGCACCTGTGTAACCCTAGTCCTTATCAAGACAGAGAATATTACTGTCACCCCAGCAGGTGCCTTCATCCTCATTCTCAGTCATTCTCTGCCCTCACCCTCTCAGTGGCAACCACTGCCCTGTATCTCATCATAGGTGAGTTTGGCTTGTTCTTGAACTTCATGTAAATGGAATTCTGCAATATTGTGTAAAGCTCACCATATTTTTGAGATTCATCCATGTCGTATCCATGATTTGGTCTTTTTTTATTGCTGACTTATGTTCCGGAGTATGTCTTACTCCACAGTTTGTTTGTATATTCTGTTAATGGATACATGGATTATTTTAGTTTCTTTCTTCTAGTTTCTTTCTTTCTTTCTTTGGTTATTGTGAACAAAGCTGCCGTGAACATTTGTGTACAAGTCTCTGTAGGGACATGTGTTCTCATTTCTCATGGGTAAACACCTAGTAGTAAATTGCTGGGTCAAAAAGGAGATATATGGAAACCTGAAAAGAAACTGCCAGACCTTTTCCCAACATGGTTATACCATTTTACAGTCTCACCAGCAAAGAATACAAGTATGAGATTCCAGATACTACAGCCCTGTCTTTCCTATCCTAAAGTCAAGAGCATGGTTTGACTAGTGTTCTTCTGGGGCCAGAGGGAATCTGAGGCAGTGGGGAACATGTTTTTATAGGTGGAGGGGCCATAGGAAGTCCCTGACTCTGCCTGAAAATGGGTTTAAACTTAAATCATTGCAGACGATCAGATGAATATTTTATTTTTAGAGATTTTCAGAGAAGGGAATTCCATAGGGGAATGTACCCTTGGTTGTGAAAGAAGATTGATTGAGTGCTTTCTATAAAAAGAAAAATAACCCCAAGCCCCACAGAATTTTACTAAGCTTCTGCCTAGAAACTCCCGGGGGATTTCTGGTCTATTGGTAGGGTTGATATTAACTTGGTGGAGAGTCCCCTTGGATTTCACCGGCTTGGTCAGCCGGCTACTGAAAGGGGTTGTGTTTATTTTGAGGGGCAGGTCAGATTTGGCTTTGTTAAGACTCAGAGAATGACTCTCTTGTGAAAGTGATCTGGCCTCTCAGTGAGAAACATGGCCTGTCAACACCCCTCTTATTGTCCTGACTGGGAAAATGGGCCTGTGCCCCTCGGGTCCCCTAATAACTTAGTCCCTCTCTGTGGTGCCAACAGCCAAAGCTTGCCTTGGCTGATCTAGGAAACGGGAAGTGAACTTTTCTGTCTGAGTGGGACCCCAGGATGCATGTTTTGCATCCCATCAAGGTGTCCCAGGGCTGACCAAGCTTTGCAGGAGTCAGATGGCAGACAGCTCAGTCTTGAGACATTGCACTGTGTTTGGGGACTGTTCCCTCCTCCTTAAAAGCCTAGCGCAGTGCCTGCCAGAGGGTAGGGACACAGTAAACATTGGCTGAGTGATTTCGTGACTCGTGATACCCATCTGGGTGATCGCCTCTCTGGAGGTTGACAGTGGGTGTCAAGATGTCAGGGCCCCAGGATGTATTTTACTCGAGGGCACTTTACCATGGCTTGGAAAACACATTCAAAGGGTTTGGGCCTAGGAAAATTTTGTTCAGTGTAAACTTTCATTGTATTAACACTGTTCTCTTTATTACTGATTTTAATATTGTTAATAAAATACAAATAATTATAGCTGCCACTTGCTGAGTGCTTACCCTTTGCCAGGCACTGTTGTACATTTTGCACGCATTATCTGAATTTAATCCTCATGAGAGGCGAGTACTTATATTATCTTCACTTCAGCCCTGAGGAAATTGAAGCTTGCAAGGTTAACTTTCCCTAAGTTCACGTTTTCATTTTTCTAAGACCTTAAGGGAAGAGACTGTGACATTCTGGTTTTTTGAAGGCAAAATCTGTCTACAATCACGGATTTCCAAATACACAAAGCCATATTATAATAGAAATGTAAATTAGATAATCAGAACAGCGTTACAGGAAATGATACACTGCAATCATTTTCTTTAGTTTTTTTTTGTTGTTGTTTGTTTGTTTTCATTTTGTCTTAAGCTTACTGAGTTTGGCACAGCCAGGGGCTTATACTAATTTTGATGATAATTTAAAATATTATTGGTTGATTAGGATTACAATTTTATTGAAGGAACAGAAAGACGTTGCCAGCTGAACTGTTCAATACAGTAGCCACTAGTTACATGTGGCTATTTACATTTAAATGTAATGAATTAAAAGAAAAGAAAATTTAAAATTCAGTCCTTCCGTCTCACTCACCGCATTTCAAGTGGCCCAGAGCCACGTGTGGTTAGTGGCTACTGAATTGGATAGCACAGATAGTAGTTTCATCATTGCTGAAAGTTCTGTTTGACAGTGCTGCTCTGTGGTGTTTTTTTTTTACCCTTCAGTTTAAGAATTGGTAACACACTTGGCTAGGGCTTCTGCTATTTTTCACTGACAAAGGGATACATTTAGCCAGATGTTGCTTTTGTGTTTACCTTTTAAAGGGGTGTGTGTGTGTGTGTGTGTGTGTGTGCGTGCGTGTGATCTTTCCTTCCATTCACATTCAGTTTTTGACATACGTTTGAATCTCCCTTTTCTCCTGGGCCCCAAAGGGGCTTTCATTATTAGCATTGCATGTTTTATCAAGACACTTTCTCATAAAAAATTGGTACAGCAGGCAAGCGATAGCCACTGCTTGAACCCGGCTAATTCCTTGCTCTCCAAATAAGAATTCAGTTCAGCTTTTAAATATGCAATTGTGTGACTTACTCCCTACCTGGGCTGAATTCAGGAGGAAAAATCACTCTCAGTGGGCCAGAACCAAAGAGCTGGAAAATCAGGTGACATTCTGCAGTGATGGCTCCCTGCCAGGACTGAGATGGAGGAGACACCATTTGGGGTACTTGAAAGCTTCGTTTAGAGTTTTCCTGGATTTGACCTGCCTCCGGGGTGCAGGGATTGATGGAGAAGGCTGGCAGCTTTGATGTCCCAGTTACATGGGACAGTGGAGGGCTGGTACTGTGGCTGTCACCTCTGCTGGGGTGTACAGTACTTCAGAACCAGCCTCACAGGAGAGAGGAAGCCACTCCTCAGGTGTCTGCAAGCAGCAAGTCCAGCCAGAAGTGGGAAATCAACATAAGCTATGCTTGGCTCAGTTGTTTGATGCCGACAAACTCTTATGCTACTTTAAGATCCCGTATTGGAGGTTTCCAC
This sequence comes from Homo sapiens, assembly GCF_000001405.40. NCBI lineage: Eukaryota > Metazoa > Chordata > Mammalia > Primates > Hominidae > Homo > Homo sapiens. The sequence goes on along the minus strand of NC_000003.12, from coordinate 16,508,016 downwards.
ACTTCTTCAACCAGGAAGCCAGATGCACCTCACTGACAACTTTCTCTGGCGTTTACACCTGAAATGTCCCGTCGTGTTGTTCCATAGGCAGACCTCCTTGAGGGTTACAATTTATTCTTTACGGGGGCCTATCAGCTTTCATATGTGTGCATGTGTGTGTGTATATATATGTGTGTATGTGTGTGTGTGTGTATGTATGTATGTATGTGCGTTTGTGTGTGTTTGTGTGTATGTGAGTGTATGTGTGTGTTTGTGTGTATGTGAGTGTGCATGTATGTGTGTATGTGTTTGTGTGTATGTGTGTATGTGTATGTATGTGTGTGTATGTGTGTGTTTATGTGCATTGTGTGTGTATGTATGTGCGTGTTTGTGGATGTGTGCATGTGTGTGTGTATGTGTGTGTGTGTGTGTGTGTGTTTTGAAACTCCCTACTTTGCCTTTTACCCTTTGTCCTGAGGAATCCTTCAAGTTTTATGGAATAGCGCTAAAGTTCCTCAGATTTGGGGGAACTGTTGTAATAGATTTTACTCAGAAAGTTGGGTAAGAGATTTGGTTAATCATAGACTCTGGTTAATGGAACCTGATCATATCATGTATTAGCAAATTTTGGAAATATAAAGCACAAGAAATCAGGTTGTTTATTTAAACACTTCTTTAATTTAGAGAGGTCTTTTGGGATTTTCTGGTGTCTTATGATACCTTATAAGTGCCCTTTTCAGTGTGGCATAATCATGACTATAGGCCAGAGTAGGTCAAAAGGTGTCTTCATAATGAGCAACAAGTAATCCCAGTAGAGTACTAAAACGGTTAATATTTATACTGCTCTTTCTATGTGTCTGAGCTCTTCTGAGCCCTGTTAAATAGTAACTCACCCTACCTTATTTAGTCCTCACCCTAGAAGTAGATATTGCAGTTGTCCCCATTTTACAGATGAGAAAACTGAGGTTAAATGGCTTCCTTGAGGTCACACAGGTAGGAAATAAGGGCAGCAGGATTTGAACCTAGTCAGTCTGGTTCCAGAGCCTGTATGACCAACCCCTGTGCTGTACTGTTAAGAAAGTGAATTTGAGAGCCACAGATGGAATATTCCAAATGCCCTTTACCATCCTGTACCAGATAAGTGTCTTTCCTATTCCCGAAAGATGCTGCTAAGTAGGTATTTATTGTGCATCTGTTATGGGCAGGGCATTGGAATAGCTGCTGTTGGGGATGAAGAAGACCCGCTTGCTGCCTTCCAGAAATTTACTGTCATGTAGGGAGATGAGGCATTACCAAGAGCTGTGGAGCTCTCCTCTGAACTCGAAATGGTACATCCAGCGGCCTACTGCATACCTCTGCTTGGGTGGAGTTAACATGGCTAACTCCTGGCTTCTTCTACCCATCTCAGAAGATGGCCACTCCAGCCTTGCAGGTGCTGGTGACCAACCCTAGAGGTGTCTTGGATGCCCTCTTTTGCTCATCCCCTTTTTCCAAATCATCAGTCAATCCTGTTTTCTGCCTTCAAAACATATACAGAATTTGACCACTGCTCACACCTCTACTTACTGTCATCTGGGTTCCCTGCTGTCATGGTCAGTCATGGCCAGAGTAATTGATGTCTTCTTTCAGCTCGAAACCTTCCAGAGGCTTCCAACTCAGTCAGGGTAAAGCTGAAGTGCTCACGGCCCGGCCAGGCCTACGCTCTGTCTCCCCAGCCCTGTTTGACTTCACCCTGAGGTCTGCTCAGCCTCCCAGGGGCCCCACACCCCAGCTTGTTTGCACCTGCCACTGCCTTGCCTAGCCCACCCTCCCCCTTATCCCATGGCTCGCTCTGTGGCCTTCCTCATGATTTTGCTTAAACGTCACCTTCTGGGTGTGGCCTTTCCCAATCCCCGTATTTAAAACACTATACCTCCTCCTGTGATTGCTATCCCTCCCCCCTGCATTGTTGTTTTCTAGTTGGCATACTTTAAAAATGGGATTTTGTGTATTATTTTTATTTGTTTGTCTATTGCCTGTTTCTCGGCTTCTGAAGGTAAGGTCCATGAGGGCAGGCGTGCTCTTTTATTGTGTGAATCTCTTTTGTTTTACTTTGGTATCACTGGCATTTAGAACAGGGCCTTGCACATAGTAAGTGCTCATTACTTATTTATTGGATGAATCAATGGCCTAGAGTGGCAATCCTGTTAGAGCTCAGCCTTGAAGGAGTGTGATGGTTAATTTTATGTCATTTTTTCCTAGGCTACGGTGCCTAGTTTTTGGCCAAACACCAGTCTGGGTATTGCTGTGAGTTATTTTTTAGGCATGATGAACTTTGAAATCAGAAGACTTGGAGTAAAGCAGATCACCCTCCATCATGTGGGTGGACCTCATCCATTCAGTTGAAAGCCTTAAGAAAAAATACTGAGATCCACAAGAAGGAACTCTGACTCCAGACCGCCTTTGGATTCAAGATTGCAACATCAACTATTCTCTGGGTTTCCAGCCTTCTGGCCTGCCCTGAAGATTTTAAACTTGTCAGCCCCCCAATTTCATGAGCTAATTCCTTATAATAAATACCTCTATTTGTCTCTCTCTATCTGGGTACACACACACACACATCTGACTGGTTTTGTTTCTCTGGAGAACCCTGACTAATAGAGAAGATGAGAGGTACGGGAAAGGAATGTCAGGTGGAGGTCCACTGGAGGAAAAGGGTGGTGCCTGGAGAGTTCTGAGGGTGTACAAAAGATTGCAGTAGCTTAGCCTGACTTCACTCTAGGGTCAACTGTGAAAGGAAACAATGGGAGGTAGGACTGGAAAGGAGGGAGGATGGAGGGAGATTGAGGCTGAGGACTCCAAGCTGCACAGCAGATGTGATTATGCTCTTTGAGCCACTTGTGTGGTGTAAAATGGTTAATGTGGGAAAAGCTGGAGATAGGAATTAGATGGATGAGGGGGAGGCAGATTCCAGGAAAGCGTTGGTAGCTGTTGCGATGGCAGATTGGTTTGGAGAATAAAGTGGAGGAATGGATAGCATCCACCAGCTCTGGATGGGCCAATGTCAGGGTGAGGATGGTGGCGGGAGCAGGCTGATACTGGGGTTTTGGGCCTGGATGTTGGGAGGGCAGTGGTACCACCCAGAGACGAGAAATGCAGGAGGAAGAGCAAGCTTGTTGGGCAAGGTGCTGCATTCTGTGGGGCATATTCTTCCAGAAGTGCTGAGAAAGTCTCAGGTGAAGAGAGAAAGTTCCAGGTGGAGATGTTGAAACAGTTCTTGGAGATGTCTGCCTGGAGCTGGAGAGAAGACAGGCAGGCTGGGAAGGGAACTGGGGAGCTCTTGCCTGGAGCAGGTCAAGTTAGGGCAAGAGAGGGAGTGTGAGTGCTAAGGGAGAGACAATAGCATGTAAGTAACTTTTTTGAGCATACATAATACTATGTATTGGTGGTTCCCAAATTCTGTGCTAAGATACCGCAAGGCACTGCAGCAAAGGCACAGGGTGGCCAAGGGATATTTCACATCTTTGAGGGAAATGCAGCAATACTTAACATCTGTCAGATACCACGCTAACTACTAGCTTGAGGCACTTCACAATATCAACATCTGACAGTACCATATTACTCTTGATGATGTCATATCTTTACAAGCTACATTTTGGGTAGTTGCTAAGAAAATCAGTGTGGAACTGAAAATGAGGGTGGTGGTGTTCAGTGTGGTTCCAAGTTTTGAGAAGTTGCTCAGTGTCCAACAGATGCACACATCCCATTAGCAAGTAATTGTGGTTAGTTAAGAATGAAAGAAAAAATATTTCTTCTTTCAGTTTATGTGTGCTATTTTTCTGAAAGGCTGCTGTTGTTAGGCTGTGAATAAGTATTAAGTTGTTTGGACCTAACTACTTAATAAAACGAACTATTGGGTATTTTTTTTTTAGTCTAGGGCATGCCATTAAAAAATGTACAGAGAAACTAAGGGCACTGTGAACGGAGAAATCCTCAGAATCTCTGCCATATGTTGTTCTGGGTGTTATATATAGATTGTAAAAGAGTACACGCAGGGATAGAAAGATAGGGAGACAGGGAATGGCATGAGGACTGTGTCCAAGATGTCTATTTATCCAAAAATAAACTATCTGAAGCAAATAAGGTAAAAATGTAAGCACTTGTGAAATCCAGGTGGTGGATCCATGGACATCTCATTTTCTGTACTTTTCCATATGTTTGAAGTGGTTTATAATTAAAATAATTTTGGAAAAGTGAGGCAAGAGGATGGAGGAGGACAGAAATGTAGGAGGTGCCTGTGCTTGCCTGGGAGGATGGCAGAGGAGACTGGGAAGGGGTGTCTGAGGTAGAAAGAGATTCAAGAGATTGAGGGATGTGGAACTAAGCAGATCCGTATGGCTGAGCTCTGAACTGTGGTTCTCAGTCCTGGAGGTGAGGGTGTAGGAGAGATCCTGGGCCCTGCTGAGTCCTGGCTATTAGGAGATTGGAGAGGGCTAGGAGTGGGAAAAGACTGGGTTTGCTCCTAGAGCACTGATGCTCAACCCTGGCTGCATGTTAGCATCACTTGGGGGTTTTAAAAATAATGGTGCTCTGGCCCCACCCCTAAATGCCTGAGCATCAGGGCTTTTAACAGCTCTCCAGATGGTTCCAAAGTGCAGTCAAGATTAAGAGCCACTGCCACAGCTCAGGGTTTCTCAAACTGTACTGTGAGTCAAACTTTAAGGGATCATTTATTGCTCAAATACAGATTCTGATTCAGCAGGTCTGGGATGGGGCCTGGGATCCTGCATTTTTAACAAGATCCTGGATGCTGCTGCTGGTCTGAGGTCCACATGTTGAGTAGCAGGTTCTGAGTGGGAGCTATTTTTAGCGAAGGGTGGCTGGAGAGCAGCAGAGCAGAGATGGACTCAGGTTCAGACCCCTCCTGAGACAGACTGAGATGGTGGTAGGTGTGGGAGTTGGAGGAGTGGGGGTAAGCAAGTGTTTTCTTCTTATAATGCAAACACCACTCCTATTAGGTATCTTTTATTGTGTAACAAATTACACCAAAACTTGGCCGCTGAAGAGTCAGCTCTCAACCACTCCACAATGCCACTTCTCATATAGGAGCAAGACTTCTGTTAACATGAACTGCCTGGATTAATTATCTATTGATGGGTGGTAAATTGCCCTAAAACCTGGAGGCTTAAAACAACAAACATGTTATCTTGCATGGTTTCTCTGAGTCGGGAATCCAGAAATGGCCTAACTGAGTGCTTCTGACTTAGGGTCTCTCATGAGGTTGCAGTGAGGATGTTGGCCGGGCTGAAGGCTGTAGGATCTACTTCCACATGGGTGCTGAGTTAGTGCTGACTGTTGGCAGGAGGCCTCGTTGCCCTGCAGTGGAACTTCATCCTGCTGATAGAGTGTCCTCACAACATGGCAGCTGGCTTCCCCCAGAACGAGAGATCTAGGAGAGCGAGGTAGAACCCACAATGTTTCCTATAAAGTAGCCTGGGAAATCACACTCATTTCCACCATATCCTTCTGGTTACACAGGTCAGCCCTATTCACTGTGGGAGGGGACCACACAAGGGTGTGAATACCAGGAGGATCACTGAGGGTCGTCCTGGAGGCTGGCTGTGATATCCTTATTGTTTTCTTTTCTTTTCTTTCTTTCTTTTTTTTTTTTTTTTGAGACAAGGTCTCACTCCGTTGCCCAGGCTGGGCAGTAGCGTGCAGTGGCACAATCATGCAGTGGCGAGATCATGGCTCACTGCAGCCTCAACATCCTAGGCTCAAGCAATGTTCCCTCTTCAGCCTCCCGAGTAGCTGGGACCTGCCATGTCCAGCTAATTTCTTTTTTAAATTTTTTTGTAGAGACAGAGTCTTGCCATGTTGCCCAGGCTAGTCTTGAACTCCTGGGCTCAAGTGATTCACCTGCCTTGGCCTCCCAAAGTGTTCTTATTGTTTTCAACCATGAAAATAATGCATGCTCAACAAAGAAAACTTGAAAATGTAGCCCATAGTGTCATGACTCAGAAAAAAGTTCTGCTAACAGGTGGTTTATGAACTGCCAGTTTTTCAAAAGTATGGATTTTATAAACAAATACACAGGCACTTTTAAAAAGTGGTACCATATAAACCGTTAATACAGTTTGATATAGATTGTTCTTTACATCTGGCATTGGATCAGGAACACTTTCGACGGGTACATTTTAGTTTTCCTAGGGTTTCTTAGACTCTGTTGCAGGACAGCAAAAAGTCTGACACCATCTGAATACTCTACTGAACTTTTAAGTTTAATTTATATTTCTGGATCTAGAGAGATGTCGTTATCATGTAAAGACTTTTTAATTTGGATGATCAGTTCTTACTTTGGATGACTGAATGAAGTAATAAACATGCTTGCGTCTTCAAATACAGAATTTGAGTGTAGAGATAAAAAATGGGGTTGCCAGCTGATCCAGCATCATTGCATATAATTGCCCCATCTCTGGTTGCTTGTCACGAGCTGTTGGCATTTGTTAAAATTAGCTTTACAGGCTGCCTTAGATTAGCAGCAAGTGTGGCAAATGAGGGCTTACTCTTAATGAAGCTAATTTGTATTTGAAAATATAACTGCATTTATTGCCCCCATTATTTAAATGCATGCATGCTAGTTGATAGTAAAAATGAACTTTTAAACTAAGCCTTTTCTACGTTATAGCTGAAAAATAGTCTTTTAAGAAGGTGATCCTTTTGAAGTGGTTTTCCAGTCTTTTTATGGGCATCGTGGGAAGCATTTCAGAAACAAATTAGGATACTTTTAAAATAATAATTTAAACATTTCAACATTTAAAATGACACAGGACATTGTGCCGCATTGCTGGTCAGCTTCTTCTGGAGCCAAGTATTTGGCGCTGTGCTGTGTTTGTGTGTGTGTGCGTGTGTGTGTTTTGTTACAGACAAGTCTTGCTCTGTCACTCAGCCTGCAGTGCGGTGGTGCGATCAGAGTTCACTGCAGCCTCGCAATCCTGGGTTCAAAAGACTCTCTCACCTCGGCCTCCCAAGTAGCTGGGATGACAGGTACACAGCACCACACCCATCTCTGTTTTATATAACAGCGATTTGTTCCGAATGCTCCCGCATTCTGTCCAGACTTCCCGAACAGTCAGCCATACTGCACCATGGGTATCTCGTCATTGTCTCTGTGATCTCCCTGAGGGCAGGGCCTGGCCTTCCCAGTTTTAGTGTTTCCTAACCAAGTGCCTGACTCAAAGCAGACCTCAATAAATGTGTGTTGAATGAATGGATGGATGAATGAATTTGGAACATAATTTCCCTCCCTCATGGAACTGATAGCTCCTGTAAGAAGCTGATCCACCGCTTACCAAAGAGACATCCCACTTAAGGTTTGATTCAGCCAAAATTTTTTCCAGAAGATCACCATTCAAGGGATCTTTGTTTCCAGATCATTTGCAATGTCTGTCATCTTCTTCTTGCAGTTCGGGTCTCGGAACCTTCTTCTGATTACTTTATTTTCCTCTTTAGAAAGCATCCAGTTCCTAATTACCCTTACCAATTTCTGCTAGGGAACTGCATATATGCTTTGATTATTTCCCCACTGTTTCACCATAGAAATGGGGAAAGACCTCTTCCATTTCCTCTACCTTTGAAGACTTCTTGGAAAGTTTTTCTTGGTACCTTGATGCTCGGGAGACCCATACACATAGTTTCAGGGATGTCTGCTGAGAAAACAAAATATAAAAAGAGAAACAAATGCCTGGACACCTGTCAATCAAAGCTGATCCAACAATGAACTCACACATAAAATAGGTAATCTGATTGACATTAGGTGTCAGTGTGAGGTGAGCATAGGAATTTGGAAGGGTGGAGCTGTGGGAGCAGGATGGAGCATAGATGAAGTACTGGGGGAGTCTCACTAGACACAGGTGACTTTTAGCATGTGTTTTTTACAAAAACAAGCAACAACCAGAGAAAAAGTCAGTGAATAGCACCGCTGGGCATGATTCCACCTAGTGGGCTGATGCCTCAGTTGAGCAGGGGCTAGCTGATCTTTGAGAGATCTCACTTTCCATACACTTTTCATGGCGGCAGTATCTGGACATCCTACATGTGTAAAGAGAAGCATTTTTTCATTAACAGGGCTCCTGCACTTATCATATAACCCAACAACCCCACTCTTAGGTATTTACCCTAGAGAAGTGAAAACTTATGTCCATATAAAAACCTCTACACAAATGTTTATAGCCACTTCATTCATAATCAGCCAGTGCCAGAAACAACCCAAATGCCCTTCAAAGGGTGAATGGCTGTAACAGGGACCTTAAAAGCAGGCCAACTTCAGCAGGTGCCAAGGAGGCGGCAGGCCATGGTCATTTCGAGCAGACTTGGTATATAAGTTGCTTATGGTATAAATGAACCACTCCAAAACTTAGAAGCTTAAAACAACAACAGTAGCTTATTTTGCTCAGGAATCTGCAGCTTTGGCAGGGCTTGGTGAAACAGCTTGTCTTTGCTTAACATGGCATCAGCAGCTTGACTGAGGCAGAAGCTCTACTTCCAGCATGGCCTGCTGGCAAGATGGCCAGCAAGTTGGTCCTGGCTGTCGGTTCCTCTCCACATGGGCCCCTCTTTGGGGCTACTTGAGCTTCCTCATGGCATGGTGGCTGGATTCCACGAGCAGGCACCCCAAAAGTCAGGGAGTAAATGCTCTCAAGTTTCTTAAAGCTGGGTCCAGAAACTGGAACTGTGTTATTCCGTCATATTCTATTGGTCAAGCCATCCTGGAGCCCAGATTCAGGGTAATTGACATAGACCTCACCTCTCAATAGGCTCAATAGGAGGAATGTCAGTGGATTTTGGAGCCACATTTAAAAACCATCCTACTTACCATTTACCTTCCACCTTACTAGAGACTTTGACCCATGTGAGAGATGTCCTTCTACTGAGACACTCCCTGAATGTCTGTGTGCGGGAATGTGCAGCACACCTGTGTCTTCTGTCTGCATCTGACAGTACTATTCCTTAGACCTTTTCCTCTGCCTTCCCTCCCACTGCCCTCAAAAGCAACATACCCATCTTTTGCCTCCATCCTCTTGCAGGATTCTAATGTGAGCATGGTTTGGGAATGTCACATGGTAAATAATATAGTCTACAAAACTCTACAATAGTGTGCAAGTCACTGTTACAGCTGATTTTTCCTACTTTTTATAAGCTAGATTTTTCTGACTTGTTTTGAGCATGGTATAGACATTTTTGAAATGATGTAAAAGTCTTTCCTATTTTGACAGGGGTGGGAGTTGGTGGAAGAATCCAGGGCGAAATGAAAGGAATGCCGGTGTGGCAGCAGGGAGCAGGCTAGCTGCCTCTACACAAAAGAGTAGGAGGAACTAATTCACACTAAGGTTTTGATGGCCAGCAACTACTTCCTGTGTCTCCCTTTCCAAAGAGGGCTGTGCTTTAGAAACAGTTGCTTAGCCAGGGTTGCACGCACTCCAGAGAAATCAGTCTCTAAAATTTGAGATTCAAGGATTCAATGATATTACAGTTTTGCTGCTGGCTGGTATTTATTAAAAGAAAAACTTGATACAAATTAAATTTAACAGAGTTTGAATGAGCAAAGAAAACTTCATAAATTGGGCAGCCTCAGAACCAGAACAGGTTCAGTGACCTGCCTGAAACACATCCTGGCAGTGTTTTGTGTACAGAAAAGAGAAGTGAGGTACAGAGACAGCTGGCTTGGTTACATTAATTCACTGCCTGTGATTGACTGCATTCTGCTGCTGTGATTGGCTAAGACTCAGCTATTTGTTACAGAAGTTTACATCCTAAGTTAGGCTTTTATATAGTTTACCTACTAAACTAAGTTGCAGTCGTTATGTAATGACTCAAGTATGGAGGCATCGTCAAGCCAAATTTGGTTTAATGTAACATACTCTTTATCTTTTCTGTGTCTGATCACATGGATGATTTGCCCAGAGCCCCTTTATGTCCTGTGATATCAAGCACAATGCCCTTTGGGATGAGCTGGGGCAGAAGCCTCAAGGTTGGGAGTCTGATTGAAACTTTAAACTCTTGTGAATCACAAGAGTTTTCTAATGCTTCTTGGTACTCTTCTGATCCCCACCCCAACCCTTTCCAAACCTTTCTTCTCATCCTGGTAACCCTCTCCTTTCTGCTATCAGGGAACCTGTCCTTTATCAAAGAAACTAAATATAGATTAAAAATTATAGACAAAATAAAATCAAACTAAAGTGGTAGTGGCTACCAGGAGCTTAGTTTCTTGTCCTTCCCATGGAGATATTTGTCATTTAAAAGCAGATACTTAGGAAAGGTAATTCTGATTTCAAAGGAATGAACCTCTAATATGAGAATTTACAGAATAAGGTAGCAAAAGTGGGAGGATTTTTGAGGAACAAGCTCCTTCTTGGAGGTCTTCAAACACCTTGCCTTCCAGAGCAAGGCAGGTCTGCCTGAGTATGCAGCAGGGTGGGCATGAGAGCCTTCCCTTGCTTGCCAGCCTATCCGCTCCTCATTCAGCCTTGGTCCCATCAAAGTCTCCAGCAGGGCCCAGTAGGGAGAACCTGCCGCTACCCATTAGAAGCTGCCACCAGCCTGATAGAGAGAAGAGTCCTTTCGCCTTCTCAGAACTCTGTAATGTATACACAGTGGCTTTATTGGATAAGCTAGCATCAGATGAACATGCCTACTGTAAATATTGCTTCAGTTTTTATTCAGAAGAATTGAGACCCAGTACGTAGATGATTTTGTGTTTTGCCTTTATTCCATCCTCACGTTATTGTTGGAGATGTATCTGTGCATTTGTAAGGTCACAGATTTGTTTATTATTTTTGAACGTTTTAGTGTAAGTATGGGAAAGCACACAAATCAATACAGAGACTGCTCAGTGGCCCAGTGAATCGTCACAAACTGACACCCAGATCAAGAAACAGCAAAGCTGGTACCCTAGAAGCCCCCTCATCCTCTATGCAGTCACTGTTCTCCCAAGGGTAACTGGCACCCCAGCTTCTAACACTGGAGATGAGTGTTGCCTGTTTTGGAACTCTGTATAACGGGAGTAAGAAAGAATGTACTTTTTGTGTCTGGCTGCCCCCACCCCCACTCCTTTTTGATTTTTGAGATTCATTAATGTAGTGTGTAATCCTAGGTTCCATGTTTTCGTTGCTTTATAATATTTCATTGTGTGAATATACCATAATGTATTCATCTATTCTCCTGGAAGGTGTTTGGGCGGTTTCCAGGATGGGGCTGGTATGAGTAATGCTACTGTTAGCTTTCTCATACGTGTCTTTCGATGCCCATATGTACACATTTCTGTTGGTATATACCCAGGAGAGGAATTTCCGGGTCACAGGATAGGCATGCGTTCAGCTTTCCAACATATTGTCAGTTTTCCAAGGTGGTTGTACCAATTCACACTCTCACCATCAGTGTAGGGGAATTTCATTTGCTTCTTATCCTTGCCAACATTTGGTATTATCAGTTTTTAAAATGTCGAGCTATTCTGGTAGATGCCTGTTAAATCTCACTGTGGTCTTCCCTTCATTTCCCTGATGAGTCATGAAGTTGAGCTTCTTCTCTTATGTTCCTTGGCCATTTGCATATCCTCATGGGTGTTTGTTGGGGCATTTCACCTGTTTGCTGTTGGGTAGTGTATCTTTTCCTTATCAATTTGTTAGGCGCTCTTTGATTCATGGTGGATGTGAGTCCTTTGTTGCATGAATGCATTAGTGTGCAGGAGCCAACACACACTGGCTTTTGAGAGCTGATTTTAGCATCTCTTCCTGACTCTGCCTTCTGTGGCATCATGTTTGGCAGCTTGAAAGCTGCCATGGTGGGTGTGTTTACACCACAGAAATAGGCAAACTACAAATCGGGGCTTCCTCTCTTTCTTGGAGAGCTGGTTTACCAGTGCACCACTTGACAAATGTATTGCAAATAGCTTATTTCAGTCTCTGGATTGCCTTTTCACTCTTTAATGTGGGTTTTGAGGAACAGAAGTTTTAAATCTTAATATAGCCCACATTGTCAAAATTTTCTTTTGTAGTTAGAGCTTTTTGTGTCCTCTTTAAGAAATCTTTGCCTCCACCCCCATATTTGTTTACATGGCTAACTAATCATAATCAATTTTGCTTAACTTCCCCCCTACTGAAGCAGCACTGCCACATACAGTTATAAAGATTGTTCCCAAGGGGGGATGCAGGGGCTTAAATCCAGACCTTGCTGTGCTCAGTAAGACATGGCTGGGACAGGGCTGCATTCCTCAGAAGAGGGGGCACCTTTTTCGAATTCTCACAAAGGCACCATATGGGCTAGTGGTGGGATCTCTGACACCCTAAACCCCACGCTGCCTCTCTGGCCTGCCAAACCACACTGCCTGCCCTTTCCCTTCAGGTAGGGCAGCTTCCTGCCTCCATGCCTTTGCTCTTGCTGTGCCTCCATCTCTACGTCATCAAATTTGGGATCTGTCCAGCAAAGCCCATCTCAAATACCCAATCCAGGTCCCTGCCATTTTCCCATCTTGTGTTATAGCTTGAATGTCCTCCCTCTTGTAGTAGCCTAACCTCCTTGAGGGCAAAGACCACATTGTTTGAATCGCTAATAATGCTTTGCCTGTAGTAGGCATGAGTAAATCTGCATGAATGAGTGACTTGGCGAGCCTTTGGGCTCTTTGCAGAGAGTAACAGTGCACATCTTGACGGGCTACGTGTTCCCAACACTTAGAAGCTTCCTTGTCCATTTCTTTTCTGCTTTGTCCCAGTGGATGCCAGCCGGCTTGCTTTTCAGCAGTTAAATATGCAGCCTTTTACATATCAGCTGTTTCATCTGCAGAACTACAGAGTATTTTACAAGTAATCAGTTCATGCAGATTGCACATAAATCATGTCTGCTCTGGCCCTTTGGATACTCATGTTCCTTTATTAAGGCATAAGTAAGCCTTCCTGTTCTCATCCATTCTTTCAGACTTTTTTTAATTACTGAAAAGTAGAGCCTGGTTGTCGCTACACCGTCTCCTTCCACTCCACCCGCCCCATGCCCTCGTTGCTTTTCTGAGGTTCAGTTTGTTTTTCTGGAGCTTGCCAAATTGCCTTAGGAAGCTGGGTACCTTGTAAATGAATTAAGCAAAAGGAAATTCTTATCTCTAAAAGGAAGCGGTCACTGGGTTTCTGTGTGTGATATTCTTGGCTGGTTAATATTTTTGTGAAATATGTTCTGATGGCAGCAGTGGTACCCCAGAGAGGAGGAAAGCATCGTTTATCCTTAGTACACAGAAGCAAAATCTCTTCTGCTGAAGTTGGGAGAGTGGATGAAAAGCTATTTCGTGAAAGTCATTCTGCCCAAATAAACAGAGAGCCTTCATTGCTTTTAATCCCATGGAAGATTGGAAGCTCAGCTCACCTTAATGTGCCCATTACTTTAACATTTCTTTATTTTCTTTTCAAACTGGAACTACAGATTTTTGCTGTAATACACGTGGATTTCTGCTTCCAATTGCTCTATCCCTGCTATTAGTGTTCAGTCAGTTTTCATTTTGGTCTAAGATGACTCTCTAAGAGCTTGGAAGTATAAAATTATTTCCTGCAGTTTGGTCTAAAAACGAAGAAAAAGGGGACTTTCAGACAAGGCCCATAAAAATACCACCATCTACTTTTAGGATGTTTTATGAATATAAATTTCCTGTCTAAATAATTACTGTTGAGGGTAGAAAGGACTCGGAGTTTGGAAACTGTAACAACGACTTATTCTGTGTTAGCAACCACAGTGAAGGTGACACATCTCTTGTTTTTTATAGATGGGCTGACACTATAATGCACCGTATTGCTTTTTAGATTCCATTTTTTATTCATGGATACAGATTATAGTGGAACTGAGGCAGTGGGAGGTATTATTTTCCTCAGATGGGGAAAAAAGATATAAAACAGGTATGCTTTTGGTGTCATTTAAAAAAATCTCAGGACGGCTGGTAATAGTATCTTAGCAGAAGGAGAAGCCAGCCTGAGTACTGAGCACAGTCCTCTGTGTTCAGGTCCTATATTAAATTATACTCTCAGTTTCATAAGGGCTGAGGTCTGTCATGTATTCTTCAGGAAAATTACGGCATCTTTTATACTAGGGTGTTTAAAGACAAAATCTCAGAAAAAAATCACCTCCCCGCCTTTTTCCTTTGGCCAGCAGCTGCTGAAATGGGTTGCGGATTGAACAAGTTAGAGAAACGTGATGAAAAACGGCCTGGGAATATTTATTCAACTTTGAAGAGGCCTCAGGTGGAAACCAAGATAGATGTGTCCTATGAATACCGCTTCCTGGAGTTCACGACTCTGAGTGCTGGTGAGTACATGGGGTGGGAATGGATGGGGGCAGGTGGGGTCTCCAGCAGGGGCCTGCAGGGGATGGGGGTGCAGTTGGAGAGCTGGATGGGGTGGGGGCTGTGAAGAAATGAAAAGGGCAGGCCTGTCTCAAGGGGGCGGCTTACAGAGATCCAGATTTTTATGTGAAATCTCTCACTTTTTAAAAAATAGTGTCTGGGCACAGTGGTTCACGCCTGTAATCCCAGCACTTTGGGAGGCCGAGGCGGGTGGATCACCTGAGGTCAGGAGTTCAAGACCAGCCTGACCAACATAGTGAAAACCTGTCTCTACTAAAAATGCAAAAAGTTAGCCAGGCGTGGTGGCGGGTGCCTGTAGTCCCAGCTACTCGGGAGGCTGAGGCAGGAGAATTGCTTGAACCCACGAGGCGGAGGTTGCAGTGAGCCGAGATCACGCCACTGCACTCCAGCCTGGGCGAGAGAGCGAGACTCTGTCTCAAAAAAAAAAAAAAGCAACGAATTACAGTTTTAACAAATGAAAATCATGTGTGAGCCAAGCAATACATATGGATAGGCTGAATTTGGCCCATGAGCCAACCAGTTTGCAGACTGTTTCATAGCAAGCTCCGTGGAGAAGGAAGGTTTGCCTTCTCTCCTCGTATGAAACTTCCTCTCCACCCAAATTCACCTGCCTGTTGTCTGCCATCTCGCAAGAGGGCTCATTCATCTGGGCTTGGCTTTGCCTTGGCTGAGCCAGAGGGAGTCGGGTCACCTACCATACAAGTGTCCAAGGACTAAGGAAACAGGGAATAGCCCGAGAAGACTGGCAAGGGATGGTCAGCATCAGCATCAGAGCATTTGCTGAGCACCTGCTGTGTGCAGAGTGTTGGGCCAGTGTTGGGGGGGAAGTCGTGAGCCTGTCCTGGCATCTTGGAGTGTTCTATCTGATGGGAGACAGGAGACCCATACAAATGAAAAGAATAAAAGAACTCCACAGGTTTTAATTGTAAGTTGGAAAACAGTATAAGACATGTTTTTGGAAGAGGAAGAACATGCTATTCTTTTTGGGTCCCAGGAGTTTGAGAGCAAAAACTGGGCACTATGTAATGAAGTCATCTGAACACATTTTCTCCCTGGGCTTCTGGATATACTTTAAGCTTCTATGATCAGAAAGGAGAATGAGTGGGAAAAGCCCTCATGCTCATGGATTTGAGTCCTGGCTCTGCCTCAGAGCAACTGGGTAAATCACTGAGCTTCCCAGTCCTGCAGTGTCCTCATCTATAGCAGTGTCCTCATCTATAAAAGGAACACGGGTGTCCACTTCATGGGGCAGTTGTGAAGATTAGAATGGGGTAGATATGTGTGAAGCTCGTAGCACAATGTCTGGCATACAGTAGGGTCTGCAGGTGTTTCTCTTCCTCCCCTCCTCCTTGACTACTCTTTCTGCTGTGACTGTCTCCGTGCGGAGGCTCCAATTGCTTCTTGAGCTCTGAAAAAGGACAGCTGAGTGTCTCTGCAGGGACATTCTGTGCATCCCCCTCAACAAGTCACCAAAACTGAAGCCAGCATCTTCCTTTTCAGATTGCTCCCTTCCGGTGCCCTTGATGGGTCAGTCATGCCACCACCATCCTCTTAAACGTGCAGATACCTATGACCATGCCTTCCCCCTGTGTGTAGTTGCCATTCCTTCACTCAAGCCTATTAAAACCATGTCTGTAAATGCCTCTAATATAGCTAATGTAACATACAATTATTTGGAGCATTTGGTCATGCATTTGGCCCTCCATTTTTTTGTTCAGTGAATTTTTAAGTGCCTACAATGTGCTGGGCATTGCGGGAGGATTAGGGAAAAACAAAAGCGTGTCTAGGAGAAAGGATTGAAAAGAAGTATATCAAGATGTTAAGTATTAGGATGCTGAGATGTTGGGGGAATTCTTTTTTCTCCCATTTGCAGTTGTTTTTTTTTTTTGTTTGTTTTGTTTGTTTGTTTGTTTGTTTTTTGCATCGTGGTTATGTGTTTTTCATTATGACGAAGAGTAACTTTGCTCCTAAGAACCTTCACAAACACATGAAGTTTCCATGCAGTGCTTTGTCCCCCCACTGCTTCATAGCTGGTCTCTGAATGATTTCCCCGACCTCCTTATTTGTTTGTTTCCCTGAGCTTCAGCTGCAGCATCCACACTGCTTTTGTGCATTGTGCTGTCCTTGATGGAATTATCTTTTGTTTTCTGCTTATGAAATAAACATACACCCATTATAATGAGCTAGGACAACACTGGGGGATATCCCACGTGGCCTCCCTGCTCCTGCCCTCGTCCTCCTACAGATCCTGCCAGTTCTCTGCTCAGAGCTCTCCTGTGGCTGCCACCACACCAGGAGTGACATAGCTCTCCTTGACCGCATTCTCCCACTGCTTGTCTTTGGTGTTCCGCTGCTTTGACTTTGCTCTTTTGTGAACCTGCCAGGCCTCCTCTGGGCTTTTGCACTGCCTGTTCCTCTGCCTGGAAGTCCTCCCCCAGGATCCCCCTGCTCATCTTCTTAACCCCCTTCTCTCTGAAACTTTCCTTGACCACCTCTTTAAAATTTCTACCTTCTCCCCAATTCTCCATGTCTTTCCCCTCTTGATTTTCTCCATAGCACTTCTTACCATGTAACCTGCTATATATCTTGCTTATTGCTATTTGTTTCCTCTTTGTTGTCTGCCTTTCTTCATTAGAAGAGAGAATCCCTTCCCATGAGTGCAGGGATTTTCTCTCTTTTATTCTCTGCTGCTCCCTCAGTGCTTAGGACAGTGCCTGGCACTTAAATAGATAATCAGCAAATATTTGCTGAGTGAATACTCACCATGTATTTTTGAATCCTGCTTTTATGCGACTTAACATTGTACAGTGAGGTGTGCACCTGTCATGCCTATGCTCGGAAAGTATGATTTAATGGCTATATATGATTTAATCACTCAGTGTACCATAATTTATTTTGCAGTCCCCTTTTATTGGACATTTAAGTTATTTTGGGCTTTGGGCTATTACAAATAATGTTGTGATAAGCAATATTGTCCATAAATCTTTGTACACATTTCTGACTATTTCCTCAGGAATTACTGAATTGAGGGATGCGAATGTCGGCACTCTTGATAAATTGCCCAGTTGCCCTGTAGATAGGACCTGCTTGTGTAAAACACACATCTGATTCTGCACAACTCTTTAGGGGGTTCCCCTGGATGGATGAAGTTGAGATTCAAGCCAGAGCTCAGGGCTTTCTGTAGCTTGGTCTTGCCCTTCCCAGATCCTCCCCCTATTGTTCCCTGGAGGACAGTGTGTCGTGCCCACTGCCCCCGCCTAGGACCCTCCTTTCTCTGCTTCTCTGATTCAGTGCAGGCAGCTCTTTCTGCACAGGCCCCTACCTCTTACTGCTTGCTAGGACCCCACCCACCTGGATTTGTTCCTTCTTGACAACCATTCTATCAGAATTAGTCTCTTGTGCACGCCTGTAGTTTGTCAATACTGTCCTTTTGACATTTTGATTACATCATATATTAAACCTATTTGTGTTTCCCTCAGGGCAAGGACCAAGCCTTGTTTATCTTTCTGTTTGTCTTCCTTGTTCAGCTTTCTAGCTGAGATGAGCCTGTCTTGCATAGTCGGGTCCTAGTAAACCTAGAACTAAATGCTGACTCCTTTCCCTGGCGGTCTCTCATGTTTTTCTCCCAGGAGTTCTAATGAGATTATTCTTTATTCTCCAGAATGGAGCTGACGTTTGTTGAGTGCTACTATGTGCCCAGTCCTGTGATAGGACATTACGTCCTCACCTCATTTTTCTTTCTTTATTTTGTTTTTTTTTGACATGGAGTCTCGCTCTGTCACCTAGGCTGGAGTGCAATGTTGTGATCTCAGCTCACTGCAACCTCTGCCTCCCAGGTTCAAGTGATTCTTATGCCTCAGCCTCTTGAGTATCTGGGATTCCAAGCATGCACCACTACACACGGCTAATTTTGGTATTTTTAGTAGAGATGGGGTTTCACAATGTTGGCCAGGCTGGTCTTGAACTCCTGACCTCAAGTGGTCCACCCACCTCGGCCTCCCAAAGTGCTGGGCTTACAGGCATGAGCCACTGCACTGGCCTGCTCTCATGTTTCAGAAATTTTTCAGCTTTATCAAGGTATAAATGAAGTACACTACATTGCACATATTTAAAGTGTTCCAACCCATAAAACCCTCATCACATCAAGATGCAGAACATTTCCATTGCCCCAGAAGTTTCCTCATGCCCCTTTGTTATCCCTCCAACCCCAGACAACCACTAATCTCCTCTCCATCACTGATTTTTTTTTGAAGCGAAGTCTCACTCTGTTGCCCAGGCTGGAGTGTGGTGGTGCAATCTCGGCTCACTGCAATCTTCACCTCCTGGGTTCAAATAATTCTTGTGCCTCAGCCTGCCGAGTAGTTGGGATTACAGGTGCCCGCCACCATGCCCAGCTAATTTTTTTATTTTTAGTAGACACAGGCTTTTGCCATGTTGGCCAGGCTGGTCTCGAACTCCTGATCTCAGGTGATCTGCCTGCCTCAGCTTCCCAAAGTGCCGGGATTACAGGTGTGAGCCACCTCACCCGGCCTCCATCACTGATTTTATTTCCCAGGATGTTATATAAATGGAATCAAATAGTACGTACTCTTTTTCAAAACCTAGCTCTTCTCATTCACTCAACTTACTCATTTAAGATTGATTTATGTTGTTTGGTGTGTTTTCTGTTTTACTGCTGAGTAGTATTCTGTTGTTTGATTGTACCACAGTTTGTTTTTCCATTCACTGGTTGATAAACATCTGGGTCATTTCCAGGTTTTGGCTATCACAGGTTAAGTTGCTATGAACATTCATCTTTGTGTGGCTTCTTATGTCATTTTATGTTTGCAGTAACCCAGTAAGGTAGGTGGATACACTCATTTCTTTTTGCAGACAAGGAAATGGATACTCAGCGAGGTTAAGTAACTTGCCCAAAGAGGCAGTGCTAGGAAGTGGTTGGGGGAAGAATTCGAATATAGAATTCTAGAATCTTGGGCATCAAAGCTCTTGTGATGCCAGACTGCAAGATGCGACACAAATAGGCATTAACACCAACTGGAATGTTGTTGTTAGAAAACTTATTATCATGTAGAATGGTATAAGAAGATTCCTCTTCCATAAGGTTTTAACCATAGCAGATTTTTAAATGACACTCTATACACTTATTTTTCATGGAGACGATGCTTATTTGACTCTTAGGCAAATACAAGTCAGGGAGGTATTGGCCCATGTCCACCTGATGGCTTAGGTAGGAAGGGTGCCATGTGCATTTTCCAAAAAGTGAGGATAAGCTGGGTGCAGTGGCTCACGCCTGTAATCCCAACACTTTGGAAGGCCGAGGCAGGGGGATCACCTGAGGTCAGGAGTTCGAGACCAGCCTGACCAACATGGAGAAACCCCATCTCTACTAAAAATACAAAGTTAGCCAGACATGGTGGCACATGCCTATAATCCCAGCTACTCGGGACGCTGAGGCAGAATTGCTTGAACCTGGGAGGTAGAGGTTGCGGTGAGCTGAGATCGCACCATTGCACTCCAGCCTGGGCAACAAGAGTGAAACTCCGTCTCAAAAAAAAAAAAAAAAAAAGTCAGGATCACAGTTAACACTGTTGAGTTTGTCCCTTGCTTAAAGCTCAGTGCTGTTGTTGAAGATACTGGAACATGCAGCCTCACTTGTGGGGCTGGCAGAGGCGAAAGCAGCAGGAATCTTACAGTGAAGCACATAAGCTGCCAAAAATCTCAATTCTGGGTGATTTGATTGGGTCTTAAATTTTCAATTAACTCTGGTCACCGAGGGATGAACCTGCCCTTTGATGGGTTTCATCGCAGATGGAGGCCCATAAAGCATCACAATTTCTGCAAAACGGTACCCCGTTATGCCTTTTATGTGAGCGTTTTGCCAGCCTCTCTGTGCCAGGCCACTCTAACACCACTTGAAAGCTACCTATGTCAGCTCTGTGAAAATCGACTATGTTTTATGCACATTTGGTGCCAGGGACAGTTGGCACGGAGAGCAATCTGTGTAATGAGGCCGGTGCCCAGGGCTTGGGCCTTCCTTGAATGGTCCAGTCCTGCACTGACTAGTACAGGAGCCACCAGCCACATGGTATTTATATGTAATCATTAATTAAAACAAAGTAAAATAGAATATTCTGTTCTTCTGTCACACTAGCCACATTTCAAGTGCTCAGTAGCCATGTGTGGCTGGTGACTGCTATTGGACAGCGCAGACAGAGAACGTTTTTATCATTGCCGAAAGTTCTATAGCTTAACACTGTTCTAGTCTGTTTTCAAGAGAGGAAAATTCGGTTTCAGGTCAGAATCTGTGTCTCTAAGTCATAACAATGTACCATTTTATCATGAAGATTTGCCCTTAGGTTCATAGTGACCATAAGAGGATTCATTGATTCCACAGATATTTATTGAAGGTCAACCTTGGGCCAGATGCCATGTCTTGGGGACATTTGGGTGAACTAGACAGGAGGTGTTCCTGGGTTGCCTTAGTCAGCTCGGGCTGCCATAATAAAATACCACAGACTGGCTTAAACAACAGATGCTTATTTTCTCATAGTTCTGGAGGCTGGAAGTTGCTACCCTGGATATCAAGGTGCCAGCATGGTTGGGTTCTGGTCAGGGCTCTCTTGGCTTGCAGACAACAGCCTTCTCATTGTGTCCTCACATGGCAGAGAGGGAGGGAGGGAAGACGGGGGTTGGGGGGAAGACAGAGAGAGTGAGAAAGAGAGAACAGGAGCGAGCACAAGCTCTCTTGTGTCTCATCTTGTAAGGACACTAGTCCCATCACGTTGTGCCCCATCCTTATGACATGATTTGACCTTCATTACTTTCTTACTCCAAATGTAGTCACTTTAGGGGTTAGGATGATTTGGAAGGACACAATTCAGTCCATAGCACCAGACTATAGATTGGTATTTTACTTTGGTTCAAACTCTCTCACAGATGAAGAACCAGTACTTGATGCTAGAGTAATGGAGACTGATGGGATGGTGGTAGCCCAGGCTTGATGGAGGAGTCTGTGTGTCAAGGAAGACTTGAAATCCTCAGGTGGATTTGGAGTTTTATGCAAATTTGGTGCCAGGGACAGTTGGCTGTTAGTCAGGCAAAAGATGGGAGAAGAGGGTGGAAGCAGATAATCTTTTCACGAAGAGGAGACAACTTGTGGGAGGGATCAAAACACGGAGATAACCCTGCATATGTGGGGAGCCACAGGCAGTTCAGTTTGGTTGGAGCATGTTCTTTGGGGGAGAAGAAAGTAGGGCCAGATGATGAAAGGTCTTAGGTGTTGGGCTGAGGAGTCTAAGCTCAAAAGCACTGAAGGTTTTTAAGATGGAGGGGGTGCAGGTGACATCAGATTCTCATTCTGGAAAGATTTCTCTGGATTTAGAATGAGGAAGGATGGAAGGGGCAATGCTGGGGGAGGGGAAACATATAGAAACCATTGCAGTCATCAGGCAAGGTAAAGGTGGCCTCAGTCAAGACAGTGGCAGTGGGGACAAGAAAAGGAGTGGGGGAAAGAGAAATTAGGAGGTGGTCCTAGGGACTGCCTGGCAGGTGAAGGAAAGCAGAAAGCAGAGGAGGAGGTGGGTGTGCTGGGCACCTGGGATGACACGAGTTCCCCACAGCCAGATGCTGAGTCTGCTTTAAAGCATTCTCCAATAATGCTCTCACTTGATGATTCAAGTAGCCCCGAAAGTTGAAAGGAAGGTATTTTTCTTTTCTTTTCAGATGAAGAAATTGATTTGGCAGGTAACAAGTAGTAAGTGGGCCCAGAATCCAGTGTTTCAGCTCTTTCCACTCAAAGCTTATCCACCGCACATGAAAGAGAGCTCAGCGCCAACTGCCAGTCCACTGAAGGGTGTCGCAGTGATATTTGTTTGAATAACTTTATTGAACTATAATTTAAATACCATGAAACACACCCATATGAAGTGCCTGGGTGATGAGTTCTGATAGGTGTAAACATTTGTAGAACTATCACCACACTCAAGATATAAAACTTTTCCATCACCCCAGAAAGTTCCCTCAGGTGCCTGCCCTGACCCAGCCAACTGCTGATCTGCTGTGTCACTGTTGAATAGTTTTGCTTCTTTTTGAATAACATGTACATAGAATCATACCGTGTGTGTGCCTCTGGCTTCTTTAACTCAGCCTAATGCCTTTGCAGTTCAATCTGTGCTGTTGTATGTATGGAGTCCTTGATGTTGTATGTATGGAGTCCTTGCTGTTGTATGTATGGAGTCCTTGTTGTTGTATATATGGAGTCCTTGCTGTTGTATATATGGAGTCCTTGCTGTTGTATGTATGGAGTCCGTGCTGTTTTATGCATGGAGTCTGTGCTGTTGTATGTATTGAGTCCTTGCTGTTGTGTGTATCAAGAGTTAATTCCTTTTTGTTTCTGAGTAATATTCCCTTGTTTGCATGTGCCACAATTTGTTGAATCATTTTCCTGTTGAACATTTGGGAAATTTCCAGTTTGGGGCTATTATGAAAAAAAAAAGCTGAATATCCACGAACAAGTGTTTTGTGTGGATGTTTTCACTTCTGTTGGGGAAATATGTAGGAGTGGAATTGTTGGGTTTATGCTAAATACATGTTTACCTTTATAAGATACTGCTCAACTGTTTTCCAAAGTGTTTGTTCTATTTTACATTTCCAACAACAATGTATGAGAGTAGAGAGCTTCATTTTTTATAGGTAATAATCAGAGTTACTTTTTATTCAGCACCTACTGTTGTATTAATCTCTTCTAAACAAACTAACAACAATCTTATGAGGTAGGTGGAGTCACCCCCACGGTATAGAAGAATAAATTGAGATATTGAGTTTGGAGCAGTTATAAAAGAAACTTGCTAGGCCACCAAGCACTTGGAGCTTTGCAGGATATCTTGTAGTTTTACTGAACAGCAAAGCCTTCACTTTGGCTTTCTTGGTTCCTGAATCTTCTGTGTGCTGTGGTGGGTTTAAACTAAATTGAAGGGCTTCAACATGAAAAAGTTCAAAGGTAATTTATTCACCTTTGCCCCTTTCTCAAGCTTGTCTTCTTCTATTTCTATTCTT
The DNA here is from genome assembly GCF_000001405.40 of Homo sapiens. Taxonomy (NCBI): domain Eukaryota; kingdom Metazoa; phylum Chordata; class Mammalia; order Primates; family Hominidae; genus Homo; species Homo sapiens. Next base: position 16,484,612 of record NC_000003.12, on the reverse strand, counting down.
AAGTTCCTCCTTATAAGACATTCCCATGACACGCATTACAATTTCGAGGATCATTCCACACTGCTGCATTTTACAAATTCCCATCTTTGTGGTTTTCCTGTCTAAGAGGACTTTAAGAACTGATTTTCGGGATGTTTTCTTCGACATTGTGCTGACCAGGCTCATACTTGGCTTTCGGCCACCAGCATTCTAGCCTTAAACTCTGTATATAAATTTTGGGTGGTCATGATAATAACAGGATGACATTCCTTATTCAAGACATGCACATTGCGCAATAAGTTTTCTACAGGTCCAGTTTTTCTTTGACCTCCAGTCTGGGGGGTGTTAGTCTGACACACAACTACAGAAGCAGCTGATAATCATTGTTTATAAGAGTTGTCCTTTCAGTCTCCCTTCACGGCTGGGAAAAAGACTAATCTAAAAAAATGGATCATGATTTACATTATATTCTGAAAATTAAGAAATGAAAGTTGTGGGGAGCTAAGTGTTTGGGTGCCTAATGGCTAGTTATAAATCCTGGCACTATTAGCCTTTCTGATTTCGTGAAGGGAGATGATAGGCCAGTTCCATGGCCTCATCTAAAATAATGTCAATCTCCAGAAAAGCCTTTAAAACTAATCATTAGCTTAAAGGAGTGGTTCCCAACCTTGAGAGTGAATCAGAATAGCCTGGAGGGCTTGTCAAAATGCAGAGTCCTGGGCCCCATCCTCAAAGTTTCTGATTTAGTAAGTCTAGGGCAAGGCCTGAGAATCTGCTTTTGTAATAAGTTCCCAGGCAATGCTGATGCTGCTGGTCTGGGGACCACACTTGGAGAACCTTAAAAGATCATGTGGAGTACAATTTTTTTTTTTTTAATTTGAGTGGAGATGGCAGAAAAAAATTATACTAGTGTGATCTTTTGAGTATAAAATAAATTCAACAAATGTTTACTTACCTACCTATGTATTATGACCAAATCATAACTTACTTTCTTTAGGTGACTTGGAATATATTTGGGAGGACAGGCCAGAGGAATAAAAATAAGGATACAAGGTGACACAATGATTCTCAAAGTTTGTTTAAAAAGTTCCCATGCCCAGCTGCACACCAGACCCATTAAGTCAGTCTTGGTGTTGTGGTTTGGTTCTGTGTCCCCACCCCACCTACAGTTGACACTACAGAACAGGTGTCAACAGACTCAGCTTAAGTCTGTGATGTCTCAGGGAGCTGGCTAAGATGGATACCTGGCTGCTGGTGCCTGCAGGTTCTGGGAGGGAGGGGGGTGCTTTACAGGGGAGCCCAACATCGTAAACTAGGGAAAGGAAGGAAGAGAATTGGAGGGGATGAGTACTTATTTGCATTACAGGAGGATTCTTGGTTTAAAGTGGGTTTCACCATGGGGTTCCTTTAGATAGAGCCTCAAGTACTCTGAAGTGTTTGTTTTGCCTTTCCTTAATGAGGTATTTATTACCTCTCTGTAAATATGATACCTGCAGTTTTAGAACATAACAAATCCATCTATAACATTTGCAGCTCTTCAGCAGAACTGAGCATACAGTCACTGACGTTGATGGCATTTTTTCTAAGTAAAAACAAACAAACCTTGGAGCAAAATGTCAGAAGCCCTGGAGGAGGGAAGGTGGATGGCTAGAAGGGAGGCTCTAAGCAGCCCTTGATACTGCTGCAAGAGGCCCCAGGGTCAGAGTTGGGTGGGGCGGGACTTTCTATATTTCCGCAAATTTAAGCTCACCCCGGTGGGAGGCTCCTCCTCGTACAGTCCTTCATCTTCATGGCAGAAAGGCTGTTCTGCCCCTGCGCCCTCCCTGGCCTCTCTGGGGATCCCTGCAGCTGATGTATTGTGATGGAGCAGTGGACTTGGATGCTGCTGGTATTGATATAATCATTGTTAACAGTAGCAACAGTAATAACAGCTAATGTGGCATGCATGGTGCTCAGTGTCAATTAATCCTTATAGAGATCTTGATTTTACAAATGAGGAAACAAGGCTCAGTGAGGTTACCTAATGTGCCCGTGGTTCTGCAACGAATGTGTGATGAGCTAGAATCAGAACTCAGACTTGCCTTCTTCAATTCTTTACTCTTAAGGATTGTGGACAATACCAAAGGTCCCTCGGGTATGGCTTTGAGATTTGGTTGGCTGTGATCGGTCATTCAAGGACCCCAGCTTTGATGTTCTCTTTTTGATTGAGCCCTACTCTAGGGAGAATTTGGCTGCATGTTTTGGTGAATCATAGATGGTGGGGATGAGAATAGACTGAGTGGTTGAGCATTGTCTTATGCTGTGTTGTTTGCAATGCAGCTTGATATACTTTAGCTCAATTCATCCTTACAAGTCTAGAGATGTTTTTTGTTCTGCTTGACAAATAGGGAGCCTGACAAATAGGGTGGTCTTGTCTTACAGAGCCGCAGCTTGCACTGAGGTCTTCCGACTCCATGTGCCCTGTGTGTCTTGCTGCTGCCTGGGACCCACAGAGTCTCTGAGGGTCCGGAGCCACATTAAGGGTCATGCTGCCCATGACCTGTTGGTGACCACTTTCCTTAGGTATCAAGAACATGAGTGTTGGTCAATAACCCACTGGAGCGTAGTGCTGGCTTCTGTTGTTCCCAGCTTTAAAATAGGGCTAGGTTTGACCTCCAGCTCAGATTCAGAAGGCCAAGTCTGAGCTTGAGTATGTGTGGATGGCTGCCACTTAGTCCCAGTTTTGTAAGTGTGCCAATATCGGGACTTTTCCTGTGCTGAATATAGACTCCTCCTTTGCTGAAAATAGTATATGCGGTAGGGTAGGGAAACATTTTTCTTTCCTAGAAAATCGCTCCTTGCTCCTCTAGGTAACATTGACTTCTGTGAAACCATCTGTTTCTTCCAATATAATTTCCAGACTATTAGATTAAACAGTTTCTCCTGACCCACTTTTGGCTTCTGTTTCTTTTCACTGTTCATTAATAAATTGTGTAGCAGAGTTTTTATGGAGAGTGTGTGTGTGTCTATTTATTTAATTTCAGTTTAGGCAAAAGCAATTGTTGGATGCAGTGAAGTTATTTAACTTCCTACTTGTGTTTCATTTTTGTTTCCGGTTTCTATAATTGCTAAGAGTTGGTTTTTGTTTTTGAGATTCATGCAAGGAAGTCAATGGCATGAGTTATGAGTTGAGGTTCTGGCTGGGAGGTGTGTTAAAAACAGACCATGTTTTTAAACAGAAGATGCAAAGAGTAATAAGGAAATCGGTTCCCATAAAACATGTCTCAAAGTAGATAAATATGCTCTTACAGTTTGAAGAGATTTTCAAAAGATAAATGAGATAATATGTGTGACGTAGCTTTAAGTTTTTCTGAGCAAAGCTGTTATATTCATCTTTGGTATTGTTGCTTTTGATGTTGCGACCAAGTCTGCTATTAGCGTTAGTGTTATTGTTAAATATTCACTAATGGGAGTAATAAGATTAGATTTAAAAGGAAGGAAGGCATTCTTTACATTCCTTTGCATTCCTTTCTGAATGTAAAAACTCTTCATGCTGTTTTCCCAGCTACTCTAAATCCAGACCAAGAAGCAACACTACTCAGTCTTGTATGAAAATGGGCTCAGGTGTGTGTGTGTGTGTGTGTGTGTGTGTGTGTCTGTGTGTGTGTGTGCATGTGCATATGTGTGTAACCCAAGCAGTAAATTTCAGCAACTAAGCCTGCCTTCAGTAAAATGAAATTCCTTGCTGATGACTGTTATCTGTCAAAGCAAAACCAAATTATTTTTCTGCAGGGATTCATAAAAGCAGCCTTGAGGTAGTGGTAATAATTGTTATCTAATTTGGTTAAAGCGGAACAGAAAACAAGTTAATATTCTATGCACCCTACTAATTATTATTAGCAATATTGCGTTAAAGAATTTTAAGCTTTCTCTAATTTCACTGGGTCCACTGTCATTTTATAGTTTGACCATATTTCACCAATGCTTCAGAAGACAGGAGTCCTGTTGAATTTTATCTACGAAATATTTTCAAAAGCAAATCTGGTGTGAAAAGGTAGGTGATTCTGGCCTCAAGTTGCATGCCACTGTCATTAAGTCTAGAAGGTCATTTCCTCAGTTCTGTGTTTCAGGCATACTCTTCTTTGTTTACAGGTCAGGGCTCCTGATAAGTAAAAATTACATGGGCAAGGAGTACCTGCTACACTTAGCAGCCACTGAGATGTTTTTCTATTCTGTTGCATAAACATACTTTGCAGGTACATACACATGATTTATCAGGAGGAGTACACATTAGTTTGACAGCCTCATTGGGCCCTCTTAAAAGAGGGAAGGGATTATTTCACTTGGGCATCCCTAGTGTAAGCTCAGAATTAGTTTGTAAGCATGAGTACAACATGGCACTATAAGGAATGCATGTTGCTTTGACACAAGATAGGTATAATAATATATTCCCAAGGGAGCTGGCAAGCTTGTGGGTGGACTTTTCTTTTTGGAGAAAGCAGTCTTGTCTGGCAAAGTTACTTAACAAAATTGATCCATTCAATATTTATTGATTATCTACTCTTTTTCAGGCTCTGTATTGAGCATGCAATGGTGAACAAGATAGTAAGGTCTCTCAATGTAGGAAACAGCGTCTGAAACATCCCACCAAATTCTGGAGTTTTTAATGTCCTAGTCTGGTGTCTGTTCTCCTATATCTGGAAACCAGGCCAGCTTGGGTATAGCCCTAATAGAGTCTGTGTGTTATCTTGGAGAAGCATCTGCCATGATTTACCATTATTTGCCTTTGGCCTGCTGCACCTTGCATGGCTAGAGACTTGTCTGCTGTTTGGTAGGTGCAGGGGGCCCTGGAAATCCTAAACCAAATCTAATCTTTGGACCCACCAACCAAACTGCAGCTTGGAAAAGGTACCTCAATCAAACGAGCTTCCTGGGGGTGAGTGGACTCATCAGGGCTGCTGATGCCAACAGGCTGAACTTTTAAGGCCTTAATAGATGCATCAAAGATGCCCTGAGCATGGGCTCACCGGTCTTCAGTCCATCATGGCTTGCTTGGTGAGAAATGGTCGAGATGAAGTGTGTGAAAGAAAAGTTACTGATGCTGTTTCTAATAGCCCAGGCTGGAATAATGCTGTAAAGGTGTGCAAGGAATGGGGAGAAGGATGTTGAGGTTTTTCTGGATTGCCTTCCATATCCCTCAGACTGGTGATCCAACTGTTTCTTTTCTTACCACTGTTTCTTGCCAATCTAGAGACTGTAAATGAAAACAAAAACTTACTCTCATGTCTATAAGTAGTTTCTTATTGTGGACTTCATTTAATGAATTAGCCTAAAACAACTAAAAACCAAGAAAATATCTTTTTTCTTAATACCATTTACTTTCTTGGATATAAAGTGTGAATTCAGAAGTGGCTTAAGGCAAGTGATGGGGATCAGTGTCCCTGAGGGGTGAACCAGCCAAGGTTTTGTTCTCCTACCTGCAAGGAATGTTAGAGTACTATACAGTGCTTGGGTTTGGGAGCCAAGTTACCTAATGAAAAAGCAACTTTAACTCAACTTTCCTGCTCATTAGTGTTATGATATCAAGTAGCATGGTGGACATCTGCCAAGATGGCCCCCAGTGACCCCTGCCTACTGGTATCCACGGCCTTGTGTACCTAGTGAATTGCTTCTAGTGAACAGGATACAGCAAAAGTGATGGGTTATCACTTCCGAGATTAGGTTACAAAAAGATTGTAGCTTCCATCTTGCACTCTCCCGCTCTCTCTTGATTACTCCCCTGAAGGAAACTGGTTGCCGTGTTGTGAGCTGACCTGTGGAGAGACCCATGTGGCAAGGAACTGAGGGAGGCTTCCTGTGAACAGGCAGTGAGGAATTGGGGCCCTAAGCCCAATAGCCCTGGGGAAAGTGAATCTGAATCTTGCTCAACAACTGTGTGCATGAGCTTGGAAGTGGATCTTCCCCCAGTGGAGCCTTGAGATGACTTCAGCCCTGGCCAATGTCCTCAGGCAACCTCATGAAAGATTTTGAGCCAGAGGCACCCAGATAAGCTGCACCTGGATTCCTGACTCACAGAAACTGTGAGAAAATAAATGTTGTTTTAAGCCACTGTTTTGTGGTAATTTGTTATATATTAATAATGCAGGCAGTTTATGTTAAAAAGTCTTGCTTCTATATGAGAGACAACATCATGGAGTTGTTGGGAGCACAGACTCTTGAACCAACCTGGTTTCAAATTCTGGCTCTGCTGCTTATTAGCTGTGTGAGCTTGAGAAAGTCACTTCACTTCTCTGTGCCTCAGTTTCCTTATTGGGAGATGGGAAATGTAGCTTTTGGCCCCCGGGCTCTATATTTCAGGAAGATTAGCTAGAAAGAGGTGGAAATGGGTTTTAATTGACACAGCCCACAGTCTGTGTCACAGTGAGTATAACAAAGGGGTCACATTAATAGTTTTTGTGACACTCTCAAGTCACTTAAACTCCCCCAGGAAGCTCCTGTTTGGTTGGGGACAATTTTCCAGAGGAAGGGGCAGCTGTGAGTGCTTAGCAGCCACCACACAGCACCTGGGAGATGGGAGCGATGGTCCTTTAAAGACCATCAACAAGAGTGGTCCCTACGATGTTCTTCTGCTAATCTAGAAGCAAATGATCACTGTGTTGATTTTTCCATTTTTGTCATTTCTTTGATACTGTGGAGACACATGCTTAGCATGTTTTTCTAATTTCATGCCATGGGCCTGTTGAGCAGAGCTCATCACTTCTCAGATTAAATTATATGTTTAAGAAATGCCTTCTGCGTCAACCAGTTATTCATCAGCCTGGTTGTAAGTGGCTAAGCCTGGCTTTCAGCTGTGAAAGTCAAGATTTGTGACATTTAAACATATTGATGAGATGCAAATGTCCTGTGGTTAGCCTTCCACAAGGCCCTAGCACTCATGTAAATAAATGAGAAGGAATTGGAAGTGTGGGCAGCAGAGCCCTCCCTTGAATAGGAAAATTGTTTTTTCCTGGGTGCCAGCATCTGGTCGCTGCCGTCAGTGGTAATGAGGTTTGGCTCTTCCCATATGTCCCTGATTCATTGCAGGTTGTTTATTTGTAGATACAACTTGGTTGTTTTTCTCCTTTTTCTTTTCTTTTTTTAAACTAGGTTTCCCTAATTCAGCACCACCACAGCCTCTCTAAAAATAAGCATCAAATTATTTGTCTAGGGAAACATTTTTTTAAATGATACTAGCTCTCCTCAACTTGTGAAAGTTTCTTGTGTCTTCTTGCTGTTTTCACTTTATCTGCTCTCTAGCAGAAAAATAAAATTGCATTCAATTGACACACTTTCCTGCTGGGAATTCAAGACATATTACAGCCCTATCTGTGTGTTCTCAGTTGTGATGAAACTGTGGAAAATCCCCAGCAACCTTAAATGAGATAGGTGCAGGTGATTAATCCAGTTTCAGGAAAAAAACCAAATAATTTACTCCTTTTTCCCCATTAAAGAAACAACCATGCATTGAGGTAGCTGATGCCATGTGAGCAGGAGTGTGCTTTAATGGAGGCACCATTAATAATTTACCTTAATAGTGTAATAGTTGCCATTTTTGTGACCAAAAATTTGTTTCAGCCCCTGCTTTATGGATGAAAAGTAGGATCAATTAATATTGAGTGATGACAGCCTCCCTGTGGAGAGAAAATGGGAAATCTTGGTGTCGTCATCCGCCTTATGACTAAGAAATAGCTTTTCTTAATTGTACGGAACAGAGAAACCCAGGGGGATGTAATTCATTTCTCTCCAGGCTTGCAATGTAAATTGAAAGTAAAGAAAAATAACCACATGCCAGAGTGAGGACATGAACTCAACCACTAAGCTATATCTGATTTGTAGGATTTGCTGAAAGTAAACAAACAGTTTCCCCCACGATGGTGAGTCTCCTTCGACTGTGGCATTGCTCCAAATACCTCTTATAGCACATGACCCAGGGTGTTTCTCTCTGATGGGGTAATGGAGCCCCTCTGCCTAGAAGCCTTGGGTCCCAGGTCTTCTCCCAGTTCATTCACTCTTCCCTCCCATCCTTATAGTCTCTGCCTAAATGCTAGCTTTTCAGAGAGGCCTTCTTTTACCACCTTGCCCCAAACAGCCTCTTTCCTTGCCCAACTCACTGTCAACCTCTGTTTCTATCTTATTTTCTTTGTGGAACTTACGATCATCTGAAATCATATTATTGTTTATGTGGTATTTACCATGTCCTCCAACCATAATGGTAAGCTCCATGAGGGCATGGTTTGTCCTTGTTCTCTAAGCAGCTAAATCCTTAGGGCCTCAGTGCTGAGGATGCTTGTTGAATGACTGAATGAGTGAATGATTAATATGAAAATGCAATAATTCAGAATAATTTAAAACTCTTGCACATGCACACCAGCTTTCTGTAAAGGTATATTGACTTTAAGGTTCCCCTCTGCCTTCTCCATCTTGAGCCCCTACTGGCAGAACCCAATAGAAATTCAACTGGCAAAGCGAGGATGCAGTTTGCACAGTCCTCGCCCCACCACACAGGTCAGACTTGGATCAGAAAGATGGCAACTAAATGACCAGCACAGTCCAACCCTTCAGATTCTCAGCATTCACATATCCTCCTGCACATTTTCAACTTGGCACAACAGCAGGACAGCTTTGTTTCTGCCTATGATGTGTCTATGCTTCATGCAGTATTCACACTCTTAAGGGAAGACAAAAAGTCCCAGTTGGCATGGTGTCTGTCTCTGGGTGGCATAAATTATTTTCCTGGTTCAGTCTGTAGGATATAGAATATTTATCTGGGATTGGTGGAATGAGAGGAGGAATTAACATTGCTTCAATATGGAAACCGTGACTGCTGGGACTTGGCTTTTGCCCTCAGCCAGCACCTTCTGTGGCAGAGGTTTATTTATTACCCGGTGGAATAACCTAGGGATCTCAATCCTCAGTGATTCTCTCTGTGTGTCTGTTAGTTGCTTTAGTTTTCCATTGATTTTTACTCTTGGACATGGAAGTACCAAGAGGCACTCTAGAGACTCTCCAGGTGCCAGGCATACTCTTCTCTGCCCCTGTTGTATGGCAGCAATGGCACCAGTCCAGTTTCCCTGTGGAAATTGGGATCATTCACCTCACCCAGTAGGGTAATTGCCTTCTTTGCCTTTTGTTTCTGTGGCATTGGTAGTCTAAAATAGCCAAGGGGCAATCTCAACTTCTAGTTCAGTAAAACCATTGCAGTGTCTCCTGGAGGAAGCATTCCTCTCTTGGGAACCAGCAGCTCCAAATCTGCAGATTCAAAAATTGTGGGGCTGGTAAGCAAAACTCTAAACATACTAGGTGTCTTGGTCTGTTTGTATTGCCATAAAAGAATACTTGAAACTGGGCAATTTATAAAGAAAAAAAGTTTATTTGGATTATGATTCCACCAGCTGTACAAGAAGCATGGCGTCAGCATCTGCTTCTGGTGAGGGCTTCCAGGAGCTTCCAAACATTGTGCAAGTGGAAGGGGAGCTGGTGTGTCACATGGTGAGAGAGGAAGCAAGAGACGAGGAGGTGCCATGCTCTTTTAAACAACCAGTTCTCACGTGAACTCACTCATTACCTCGAAGGAGGACAGCAAGCCTTTCGTGAGGGATCCGCCCCTATGACCCAAACACCTCCCACTAGGCCCCACCTCCAACGTGGGAGATCAAATATCAATATGAGATTTGGAGGGGACAAATATCCAAACCATATCACTAGGTTTAAGAGGAGAGGAGCCATTTTTGCTTCTACCCCTTGATGGCTAGTCCTGTGTATTCTGGCTGGGGAAGAAATAGAACTGATGCAGCTTGTATTCTTTGTCCCGAAAGAGTCCAACTTGTCAAGATGTCATCTCCCAACTGGCTCCATGGGGAATGTTGGGCTAACAAATGGTGCTTTTTAAAACAAAGTACAGAATTTTTGCAAATACAGTAGTGGCTAAGGTTCTTTTGACTTTAACACTGCATTGCATGGTGAATCAGTGGTTTAAAAATTGCATTGGAGGGGAGCCTATTTTTTTTTTCTTCACCTCTCCTTGAGTGCTTTAAAGTGGCCATCAGATGCCCATAGATGTCCAGTCTGCTGTTCCCAGCATCACTCATCACCAGAGAATCGGCTGGCTTCCTGGGGGTGTACTGGTATCTTTCTCATGGTCAGCCTTTGTTTATCTTGGGGGAGGAGGGCAAATAGCAGCAGCATTCACTAATTAATCAGCAGCTGTGTAGCAGTCCATCACCCTGCATGTCAGGGAATAGTGCTGGCAGAGTGATTAAAAGCATGGGCTGTAGTGTGGCACAGCTCTGGGCTGAGGCCTGCAGATTTGCTGGGAGACCCATCTCTCTCATTTGCTCTGTGACCTCGGATGAGTTACTTAGGCCCTGTGAGTCTGAGTTTCTTATCTGTAAAATGCAGTATATTTCCTGGCGTTGTTAGAATTGAATAAAGTCATCAGAAAAGGCATTGGTTAGACCCCTAGATAATTCTCAGTAAATGATAGCTATTTTTATACCAAATGCAAAGAAGAGTCAAATGTAAGTGCAAGATTTCCTCCCCAAGACAGGAATGATGTAAAGAATTCCTTTGAACCTTCATTCCTTCATCTGCAAAATGAGGGCGTTTGTCCTAATCAATCCCTCTCCAAGGGCTGTTGTTCACCATATTGGGTGGGCAACTGCACGATAGAACAGTGTGGAATGTGGCACAGCCCAGGTCACCAGGACCACAGGCATTGGTCAGAGAAGTCAGTGTTCACAAGGGCGAGGGCAGCCCGGAGAGGTAGGTTTCGTGCTTCTAGGACAGGGAAGGATAGGGAGAAGTGGGAGGACTTTGAGGGACTCTCCGTCTCTGAGGGAGTAGCCAGCAGGGTGGAAGAAAGTAAAAATGCCTTGTACTAATAGAATGCTTTCAAGAATACCGAGTATTTGGCCAGGTGCAGTGGCTCACAACTGTAATCTTAGCACTTTGGGAGGCCAAGGCGGGTGGATTGCCTGAGCTCAGGAGTTCCAGACCAGCCTGGGCAACACGGTGAAACTCCGTTTCTACTAAAAAAAAATACAAAAAAATTAGCCAGGCAGGGCGGTGCATGCCTGTAGTCCCAGCTCCTTGGGAGGCTGAGGCAGGAGAATTGCTTGAACCCAGGAGGCAGAGATTGCAGTGAGCCGAGATCACACCACTGCACTCCAGCCTTGGCGACAGAGCCAGACTCTATCTCAGGAAAAAAAAAAAAAGAAAAAAGAAAGAAAACAGAGTATTTTTGTGGACCTTATTTAATCATCTGACAGGAAGGTACTTCAAGTCTTACTGGATTTTTCAATAGGTGTGATAAGATGATCAATATGTGGACATTTGGCACCCCACAGCACACCCAGTCACCTGGTATCATGGAGTCTGGCCCAGTATTGGGGTGGAGGTGGTATACTGTGGTCAACAGTGTTGACCTAATTGTGCTGAAGGAATAGACAGGCAATTGCAGACTGAAAGTACTGTTTGTGTATGTGTGTACGTGTGTGTACACCATGGTTGTCCAAAGTCACTTCCTCAGAAAATCTAAATGGGAAATGAGTGTTATCGATGAGTTCATTTATAGCCAACAGATTTCCTAGTATCATTTAGAAGGGAGATGAACTTTTGGGGTCGCCCTACCTGTCTGACTCTGTGCAGATGAGGAAACTGAGGCCATTGTTGGAGAAAGAAATCTCCCAGGGCCAGTCAACCTGGTAGTGCCAGCCCCTGGAAGAATCCAGAGTTCTTGGTGACTCACCATGGCTCCACACTGGCCCCTTGCCTCAGCTTTCGGTCGTGTAACATTGTGTTAATTGCTTCAGCTTCAGGCGTCACTCCTGTGTAATGAAGAGACCAGAATGTCAGCCTGTGAAGATCATCATGTGTTGGGACAAAGCCCTCCTCCATTTCGAACAGGAAGTCACGTTCTCCTGGAGTGGGAAACATAACTGAGAATCGTTTCTGCCTTGCCAAGATTCCGCATATTAATCAGGCCGGTTGTTCCTTGTAATTCTAGAATGTTCTGGCTGAGTTCTCATCAATGCCTCCTGGTCCAGTCCTCCCACCATACACCTGTCAGAAGTTCCTGCACCCCTTTGGGCTCCTCCAGGTTTTCTGTCCTCTTCCTGGCTTGGTTGTTTGGGGTCTTATTCTGAAAACTTTTTAAGGTTCTAATTTCTTCTCACAAAACGAGAACTGGGCTAGAGGCTCTTGGCTTAGGTTTGGATCTGCCTATTTGGATGATCTCTGTTTCTTCTTTGCAGTTAGTGTTTAATACTTGTAGTTTATTTCTCAAGCCCTTCACTCGGTCACAGGGAGCAAGAGGGCTATGCAGAGAAGAACACTTTGCCTTTCTCAGTGGCTTTCCATCCCAACACCTGTTTGTTTGTTTTTTTTTTTAAAGACAAAGTCCCAAGTTTCACAAACAGGTATAACAATCCTCACATTATTCAGGCAAAGAAATGTGACTTTTCCTCTTTAACTCCTCAAGCCTTTTTTTTTTTTAACAGCTTAACTTCTTTAATGCTGTGTCAGCTGTTAGGGAAATGGGAAGGAAGAGAAAAGAAAAATGGTGAATGCAAAGAACCATATTCAGGAGGTGCTTGGTCTCTGCTTACAAAGGCTGCAGCGAGACCCCCCCATATGAAGATGCTATCGAGGATTATGTGTGAGTGAATTCTGAGGCTTGGTGTGGGCGCTGGTGAAAGTGATTGGAAATAGAAAAACACTCATGTAAAATTTTCAGGGTCACCTTTTAAAAAGGAGAGTGTCCTTCTAAACCACATCTTAAGACTTTTCAAATTCAAAGGAATAAAAAATAGTTTAAAAATAAAATATTCTGATTTCTAAAATTCATAATTTTTTGATCAAACTTGTGCCATGACAGAGCTATAATTTGTGTTTTTATGTGTGTGTTTTAGAATGCTTAAGGAACTTGGGATAACCAATTTATAGTGCATGTGTGTCTATTTAAAAACTTGTGTGAAGAAGAGTTTTAAAAATGGAAAAATAGATCCAGGTTCTACTCCCTGTTCTGTAATTGGCCAGCTGGACAATGCTGGGCAAGTTTCCTTCTCTCCCTGACCTCCTTTACAGTGGCTGCTATTTATTAAGCACTCGACTGTGCACCAAGTTGCTATGCAGGCCTGTATGTGAATTATGGCAACAATCCTGAGAGGCAGGGACCATTAATATTGATATTTTCCAATAGGAAACTGATGTCCAGAGAGGCTAAGTAACTCACCTTGGAAGAAAGCTTCTCTGTCATGAGGCTAAGATTTGAGCCCAGGTTGTCTAACTTCAGAACCAATGATGGTAACCACTATGCATACTGTCTCCTCCCACTGCATAAAGTAGACTGTGACATGTGGCCCATTTTGCGTTTTAAAATGATTTGTGGCGTAATAGGCATTATAGGCCTTGATTTATAGTCACACATTTTTGTCTTTGTGATTTATTTAACAATAGGGTTTTGATCAATCCTTGAGTGTAACTTATTCCTAGAAGAAAGATGCATATTAAAATGGTTTGCTTTATTCTGTGGTTTTTGGGAACAGATATAAAAAGTGGAGACCACTTCTATTTTTATTTTTTAGAGGTAGTGTATGTGAAACTTTCCAAAGCACTTTTTGCTTGCATATTTTACCTTTAACAACTCTGTGAGGTAGGTTGGACAGATATTGAATTTAGTTATAATAGTTATCTGGAAATTCTTGTTTGTTAATTCTAGCACCCTGTGTAACTTGGGATTGGTCTTCATTGATTGCCATTTTTCTTTAAAATGGGTAACATTTTTTATGACATTTTTGTGGTAATTTTGAATTGTATCCTGGACATTGTGACTGTGATGGTGTGGAGACTCTGGATTCTGTTATATTCTTCTGATGACTGTTGATTTTGTTTGTTTGCTTTAGCAAACAAGCAGTTGGACTCCAGCTGCCAACTCTGTCTCTTGGGTGGCAGCTGAAATTTGTTCTTTTAGCCTTAGCTGGGTTGCTTAGGGAGTACCTCGTGCATGCATGGTTCAGGAGTCTGCCAGAGATCTGGGCAGAGTTTATACACAGAATCTGGGGCTCTTTTCTCTGGCTCTCTCCTTTCTGGGGTTTTCTCTTCATATTCTACCAGCTGAAGTAGCCCTGTGTTCTGTCTTCTGTTTCTTCAAGCCAGTAAACTGTGGGTTTCTGTCCGAGTTTTAGCTGCTCCTGTGGTACCAACCAGGGCCTGCCCTTGGGCTAAAAGCCATCAGAGACAAAACCTCGCCCAGTGCAGTACTTTTCTTGCAAGTGTTGATGCCCTCCAGTATCTGCCTGCCTTGGCTTCCTCTCCAGTGCCCTCAGAAAGTTGCTTTGTTTTGTTTTGTTTTGTTTTTATGTCTGTATGTGTGTGTGTGTGTGTGTGCGTGTGTGCAGAGTTTATAGTTGTTATCTGCAGGAGACTTGATCTATAGGAGCATCCTCAGTCATACCAGAAGTGGAGCAGGAAGGACAAATATCCCCATTTTAAAGATAGACAAATGAAGGCCCAGAGAAATCCCATCTCTGGTGTCAGAACACAAGTTTCTGGGTCTGTAGCCTGGACCCCCCTCTCTTTCTGACAGATCTAGGTTCAATTTTCACTTCTGCTCCTTGCTAACCCCATGACCTTGAGCAAGTCACTTAACCCTTTCTGAGCACACAGCTCCTCTGGGTTATTGTCAGGGTGAAATGAGATAACATATCTGGAGCGGCTGGGGCAGAATAAACCTTCAGGAAATGTCCCTGTGTCAACAGAAAGGGTCCTTGGGGATGTACTTGCTGTGATTGTTTGTCCTATCTTCCCCTGGGGTTGACTTTGGCTTTGTGTCCAGTCAGTGCTGTTGTGCAAGGAGGGAAAAAGAAGTAGCTTCATGTTCAAGGTGAGCAAGCATCCTCTGGGCCCAAGGCCGTCCTCTGTGGAAGTCCTGGAGGGGCCTCAGGCCAGCATGTCTGCCCCCAAGCTCCTGGTCCTCTCTCTTCCCCCCTTCCCTCTGTGGAGCACGCCCTACCATGCTCCCCAGTGCGGCATCCTGGAGTCCCACTTTGCGTCTCCAGTTCCTTCCCGCCTGCACCAGGCATCTGTGGAAGGTCGTGCACCTGCCTTTGCACTGTCTCTTGGTGTCAGCTTGTCTTCTCCATTCCTCTAACCAGTGGCCCAGATTTGTCCAGCCTGGATAAGCATAACAGCCTCATAACTGGCTGCTGATGGCAACTCTTGCTATTGTAAAGTGCTTAATAATAATGATGATGATGATAATGATACTATTGGGAAGTATGTAATAACAACAACCGACTCACATAGCACCTAATATATACCAGTCACGCTTCGAAGTCCTTCACATATATTAATTCTTTTAATCCCCACAACACTCAGTGAAGTATATACTATGATTATGCACATTTTACAGATGAGAAAACTGCTAGGGAGTTGCGCAGCTAGGATTTGAACCTTAGTGCCTAGCTCCGGAAGCTATGCCCTTGACTTCTTCAATAGACAGCTAGATATTTTTCACATGTAACCTGTGGGATAAGGACACTGTTATTCTTGTACTTATTTGGACGTGGGATAGGCGGGAACTCAAGGATTGTTAGTGGCCTGTGGCCAAAGGAAACTCCACCTTAGTGGCCAGTGTCAGATGCGATTCAGGCAGGCTGAGTGATGGGGGGAATGGATTGGCCTTTTGGCAGTGAAGAAATGGCTGCATGCCTGCCCTAATGGGCCAGCCACAGGAAGGGGAAGCATACGTACCCTTTTCTGGCTGTGTCTAATTATGTGGCATTTTTTTTGTCTCAGTTATAAAGATTTAATTGCTCCATTGTACTGGGGCACCAGGGCCTCTTATAAGTCATCTTTTATGATTGGTGATAATTGGCTCAGCTTGAATTGGCTACAGCTAGTTGCAATTTCCTTACCATTTTTAATCTGAGATCTGATTTTAGCCTTATCTTTTTTCTGAGTAAAGTTTTTTTTTTTTTTTTTTTTACTCAAACGCTGGGTTGTACGTGAGGAAATGCGTCAGCCTCTCCCCGCTACTCCATCACTCTATTTGGGCTGATTTATGCATTAAGCATCTAATCTAAAGATAGCAAAGATATGAAAAGGCATCTTAAAGTGTTTTAATGGCTTGGAAGAGAAAATCCCACCAAAGGGAGAAACGTGCCCTTCACTCTGTCAGTGTTGTTAGGATCTGATGCCTGATCCCAGGGTGGGGACATTTTTGACAGTCATGGGGTATAGGCAGACAGCATCTAAGGGAGCCCTACTTATCTACCGGAAACTCGAGACAGAATGCAGGTACTTCAAAAACGAACGACAGTGAGGGTTTGGGAACTCCTACAGATAAGTTTCCAAATGAAAAAGATAAGAAGCCTGTCAGCTGAAAGGGAATGAGGAATGAGCCACATAAATTAAGCCGACGGAATTTCTAGAGAGTGAAGTGTGCTGAGGCATCACCAGCCGTGGGATATAAATATAGCTCACCCTGTTATCATTCTGGGGTCTGCAGTCTCCATATTGATGTTTCTATGTTTTGAGTAAGCACTTCCTGAATGTTCCAGTCTTTGAGTCTGGCAGACTTGATTTATGAAGAAAAGATGATGATAATGAATGGGAAAGGCTTGCTGAGGAATTAATTTGGGGGTAGTAGTAAGAGCGAGCCTGCTTCTCTCACCCTCTTTCCCCAAAGTGTACTCTTAGGTGGGTGCTGCCAAAATGCACGAGTGGGGTGAGGGATGAAGCTCTTTTAGACTTCCTTCCTCTGGGGTCTGCTCCCTGCTCTGTCTGCCAGAGATATTTGCTGTGAAAGGCTTTCACCCATTTCTGTCTTCTTTCCTTCCTTTCTTTATTCCTTTCTTCAACTGAACTTTGTTTCCATTCACTTGCATGCCCCTGAAGCTTTTGATGTGCATGAACTGCCGTTGGCTTTTTGCATCTCTGGTTTCCCTTCCATGGCGCACGGTCATCACCTCTTTTGGCCACTCCTCTTTGAGGGCTTTTCTCTGCTTCCCCTTAACCCTGGGCATTCCCCGGGCTCAGGCCCTGCCCACTCTCTTACAGAAGGCTCCTTCCGGGGTCAGCATGTGCTTGGCATGTTTGAGGATCACGAATGAGTCAAGTGTCTGGATCCAGTAGAGATGAGGATGAGTGGCGGGCAGCGGAGGCAGCCGGGGCCATGTCCTGTGTGTAGGGCCTGTGTGGAATGTTGTGGATGGCACTGGAGCAGTCTGAGAAGGAGGGGGCTGCATCTGGAT
Source organism: Homo sapiens (assembly GCF_000001405.40). Taxonomy (NCBI): domain Eukaryota; kingdom Metazoa; phylum Chordata; class Mammalia; order Primates; family Hominidae; genus Homo; species Homo sapiens. Next base: position 16,467,363 of record NC_000003.12, on the reverse strand, counting down.
GGCTGAGTTTGTGAGCCAAGGGGCCTCTGCATAAGTGAGGTGTTATTGACCTTGGGATCTTTCTTCCTCAAAATTGAAAGACCAAGGCACTGTGGTTTATTCTCCTGCCTTCCCTCATTTCCAATGCCATCATATCCACTTGATTATTCTTTCCAGCATCTCTCTATGCATCCGTCTGTTTCATTCCTCCCACTGGTTCCCAGGCTCAGGCCTTTAGCTCAGGAGTGGACTACGATCATGATTTCCTTCTACCCAAAACCCTCACCCCCCTTTTTGTTTTGTGTATCTCTCACACATCATTAGACTAAACGCTGCTGGTAACACATTTTTCTCCACACTGACAAGATAAGAATTGACCTTAGGCCTGCCAGTCTCTTTCTCCCACATCTGGCCTTTGCATCCATCCCCCTACTAACCATCTCCTCTTCAATCAGAGTGACCTTCCTTTTTATCCTCCCTCCCTTTGTCTGTAGCGTAATTACTGTGTCTTGACTTGTATTAGATACTCACTGTCTAGAAAGATGGACTGCCTTCCATGTTTTCAGCTATGAGAAGCGTATGTGTGTCTGTGTATGTGTGTCTCAGTGTGTGTGTCTCTGTGTACATGAGTGTCTATACCTACCTCAGTATAGTTCTTGCTTTGAGAAGCTGGCAGTCTTGTTTGGCAGACAGGAGGTATGATTTTGAAATTCGCAGGTAACAGGTTGGAAGAAACTTCTGCCTGTAAAGAAGGTTGGTTTCTGAGGATGGTTGGTGTTTTACTTTTTCCTTAAATTAGGAAGGAGCCTGAGTTCAGGCCCAGAAGGAAAGGGGTGTAATGGCTGCTTCTCTGAAACGGCCTTAAGTGTTCATCAAAGAACAGAAGGAATCCTCTGCATCTTTTTCTGAGCTTCATGAACCACCAGTTGAGGAATTTGGAGTATATGATGTTGGAGGTCACTTCATACTTCGTAATTTGGTAATTTTTGCAATATTTTTACTATCATAGGTAAATAACAACAGAGATTTCATAGATATTACATCTTTAAAAGTAAAGTAAAACACTGATTTCTTTTTTTCCCACGTAAATCCCTGAATAGGAATGCAGTCCTCATGTGTACCTGTTCCTTTGCAAGCTGGGATGAGAGGACGATGCAAGTTAAAAGTGTTCTTTGTTGCAAGAGCAGGACGTGCTAGGCAGACAGTGGCTGAAAACGGAATGTGATGAGAGATGCAAGATTGTGGTGCATGGTGTATCCTGCATTCAAGCGCTTGGACCCCAAAATTGAGCACTGGGGAGCCACAGAAGAATTCAGAGCATGAGAGTGATGTGGAGTGATGGGCATTTAAATGGCTCATTCAAAGAAATGTGAGCTAAGTTCTGCTTCTGCCTTTCTGCCTCTGGAGAAATCTAAGCGCTGAGAGAAACAACTATGGAATCTTGTCAGGGAGGCCCGAGAGCTTTTTGTTTCTCAACTTTTAGAGGAGTTTGTGTTTCTTTTTTAAGGGCATGACTCCCTTACTTTTATGAATTAGTCTTTCTCTACCTTACATCTTGCTTTTCCCGCTCAAGTCCTCCCTGGGAAAATGGAGCTCCAGGGTTGGCAAGATGTGGACATCCCCTGCTCAGCCTTCTGCACAAGGTATAGTGAAAAGAAAAAGATTAGCTGTCCCCAGCAGGTCTTTTTGGTGGGTGTGATAATTTTGGTGATCTTATAATTCTGAAATTTTTAGCATCCGTAATTGACATGGGGGCTAAATTGCACCACTCATCAGATTGTACAAACTATTAAAAAGAAGCAAATTACCATGTATTTGTATAAAGCAGAAGAGGGGAAAGCAAGTGGCCTTTCTTTTAAATTATTGTTAAGTTTCGAACTGTATTGGATTTTGGATTTTTAAAAATTATTTTGTTTAATCAGGCATGGGGTGTGTGTGTGTGTGTGTGTGTGTGTGTGTGTGTGTCCCTCTGAGCTGCCAACCTCTGTTGGGGATATTTTTTTCCTGTGCTCAGAGAATTGCCTTGATGAAAGCGTTCAGCAATCAAATGGATAAAAATTGAACACATTCTTCAGGATACTTCTCATTTTTCTTCCTTATATGTTCATTTTCTGAACAACAACAACAAAAACCTCTATGAAATACTAAGGCTTTTTTTTTTTTTACCTTGAAGTGGCATCCTTGAATAGTTGCCTTCCATTATTTGTTTTAGCAGATTTCCAAGGTGACTGCCAAAATTCCCCAAATATTCCAAAAATAGAAAGACCCTTAATTGTGTTCGCTGAGACACCTCCCTTTTCCTTACTGGGACTGTCTGCTTCAGACTCATTCCCCTCTGTCTCTCTCCTTGTTGTGTTAATCTTAAAAAATGATTGTAATAAATCATTGTGATGGGAAGCAAATTAGAAGAGTGGGGAGATGGCTGGAATAAGAATCAGGGAACCGCACATGCAATCTTCTCTCCAAAGTTAACTTGCGAGTCACTGAATGTGTCTGAGCTTCAGTTTCCTTCAAATGAAGCAGGGGCTGGCAAACTTTCTGTAAAGGGAAAGATGGTAAATATTTTGGGCTTTGTGGGTGATGTGGTCTCTGTTACAACTACTTAAATCTGCAACAGCTTTTGTAGTGCCAAAGCAGCCATAGACAATATGCACATTTTATTGGAATATGCACATGGCTGTATTCCAATAAAACTTTATTTACAAAACCAGGCAGTGGGCTGGACTTGGCCTGTGGGCCATAGTTTGCCCAACACTGGCAAACTGTGCTCTAAAATATCAGAGTAAAAAATACTGCCTTCTTCTTATTATTAGTTTATATGGGGGGGAACTAATTATGACAATGAAAACACTTTGAAAAATATAAAGGAGAAATTTCTGTTTCTGGCTAGGATTGGGTAGTTTGAGGCAAACTAATGATCCCAAGAAGAACAACAAAAACTATATAAAATACAGAAAGCAACATTCTGTTTAAATCTGGGAAGTGTTGAAACAATGAGGAGTAGGGGGCTAAAATATCAAGAAGAAGAGAACTGTGGAGAGGTGAGCTGACGATCTGTAGCTACTTTATTTTTGGGAGATTTCTAATTCTGAGTGCTGACAAAATAATGGGGACCTGGGCTTTGCTTGGACGGAATGTTGCTGCTCTGGGAAAAATAAACCTGCAGAGCGTTTGTGTTCTCTTGGGACTGGAGTGGAGAGACAAAATTGGAGCTTGAGGAGCCAGAAATGCACAGTTGGCTTTCCCTTCAAGACAGTTGCTAAATTCTGGACTGCATGGGACGAGAGGTTCGAAAGATAAGCAGAATCCCTCCGGAAAGCAGAAGGGGTGTTGAGTAATCTTCTGGTGCTGAGACAATAAGGATTTACAGTTCAGTACCTGCTTTTGGAGGTTGGGAGGGGTGGGGGCATGGTGAACACACCAGGCTCTCAGTGAAGTCCAGGAGGGCTAAGTCCTAGCAAAGGGTGTAAGCCAGGAGCAACCTGAGTCTTGTAATAGTTCCTGATTGGTTTAGGTCATCAGCCCGCACCCCCATCCCCAACTCTATTTTCCTGACAGAAGAAAGGAGAGCCATCTCTTGAGGAAGATAACTTCATCAGAAATCTTTTCAACTTTCTAATACATGATGTCTGGTATTCAATCAAAAATTATTAGGTGTGTCAATGTGACCATTCCCCAAAAATGAGAGAAAAACAAATGATAGAAACAGATTCACAGATGATCCAGAGTGAATAGAATTATATTTAGCAAAAAAGGAATTTAAAAATAACTAATTAATATGTTCAAGAAAATAAATTTTTAATGGATAAAATAGATGAAAATATGAAAAATTTAAACAAAGAATTGGAATCTATAAAGAATAAAATGGGATTTCTATTACTTGAAAAAGATATCTGCAATTAAGAACTCAATGGATAGGGTTTTAACAGAGAGATCATATGTAGCAGAAGACAAGAATAGTGATCTGGAAGAAAGGTTAATAGAAACGATTTAAGCTGAAATGCAAAGAGGGAAAAATGGAACATATAGAAAAAAGCATAAGAGACAAGTGGGGCACAGTGAAAAGTCTAAGATATGTATAACTGGAGTCTCAGAAGGAGCAGAGAGGGAGGGAATGAGACAGAAGCAGTGTTTGAGGGAGGGAATGAGACAGAAGCAGTGTTTGAGGCTAAGAATTTCCCCAGATTTGTAAGAGAGATCAACCCATAGATTCAAGAAGTTGTACAAACTCCAAGCATAATAAATAAAAAGAAAAAGCATAGAGTACTGACTGGATAAACATGTTATTTAGAAACAAACAACACACTGGCATTGTAGATTTCTGTCTCTAGTGGGTGAGAACCATTACAGGATCAGGCTCTAGCCTCATGCTTCCTGTGTTTCCTTCCCCGAACCCTTGTGTATCCTTCAACCAAACCTCTTTGCTCATTGTCTCTTGCATTCTTCCGCTTCTTTACTTTTGTTAAGCTCAATTCATAACACCAGCCCTTGGTGTTTCCGTTTTTTAGGCACCTTTATCTTTGGCTTTATCATTGTCACTGTTAACATCTGCAAGTTGTAGTTTAAAGGTCAAACGAGACCTGCACCCATTGAGGTAGTGTATTAGTTTCCTGGGGCTGCTGTCTATGACAAATTACCACACATGTGGTGGTTTAAAGCAATAGATACGTAGTCTCTTGGAGCTCTGGAGGCCAGAAGTCTGAAATCAATGTGTCAACAGAGTCGTACCCCTTCTTGAAGGAAAATCTATTCCTTGCTTCTTCCAGCATCTGGCAGCTGTCTGCATTCATTGGCTCGTAGCTGCAGCTCTCTGCTCTGTCTTCATATTGCCTTCTTCTCCATGTACCTATGTCCTCTCCTGTGTGTCTGCCTCAAAACTCTCTGTGCCTGTCTGTTATAAGGACCCATGTGACTGCATTTAGGGACCACTTGTATAAAACAGGATAAACACCTCTTTCCAAGGTCCTTAACTTAATCACATCCTTTGTTATATAAGGTTACTATTCACAGGTTCTAGGGATTAGGACATGGACACATCCTTTGGGGGAACCTATTAAAGGTGGTGCTGCTATAAGAATAATAATAGTACGGGCTTAACAATAGTAGTTATGTGCCAAGAAGCATGCTAAGTGCATTATGTGGATTGTCTCATTTAATCCTTGTTCTGACTCTATAAATCAGGTTCCCTTATTACCACCATTGTACAGAAGAGGACTCAGGCTTGGCAAGGTTTAGGAACTTGCCAAGGCCATTCAGCTAGTAAGTGGCAGAGCCAGGATTTGAACCCACGCATTTGGGCTTCAGACCTCCTTGCCTTACGTGCTATGAGTGAGCAGGCTGAATTTCTGGTTGGACTGCTTCCAGGAGCTGGCTTTTAGACTGTGGGCCCTGGATGGTACTTCCTAGCTCTAAAATTCTATGGTCCAGTGAGTTTTTGTCAGAAAAGAAAACCTCAACCTGGATTATTAAGAGTATAACAAATTTTAATCTGCCAGATAATGGAGAGGATTTGCTTACACTGCTTATAGATGAAACTGACAGGAGTTTGCTGTTGTGCATTTTGATATTTGCTGATGGTTTAAGGTGTGTGTACTGGAAGGAAAAATTACTTGTGGACACACAGGCCAAATCTATACCATCTGAATGAATTGAAGTAATTACTCAGGTTATTTAGACCCTGCCTGCCAGATAATTGAGGTAAATGGGGTTATTAATTTGAAGTAGCTAGGTAATTTGGTCTGCCTCCCTTTGATAATGTAAACATGGTCATATCGTGTAATTGTATAATTGGCTGAAAGGGCCCTATTCTTTCTCTTGAAGCATCTGCTATTGTCTGTGGCCAGGCCTTTGGGTTATAGTGTGATAGTGTGTTCAATTAGTACAGAAAAACCCTAGGTATTTAGTGTGGGTTTCCTGGTGGAAAATTCATACATTTATGTGTATGTATTTATGTACGTGTATGTGTATATATTTTTAATTAAAAATGGAAATATAAAAAGTATTTTAAAATGGATAATTATTCCTGATTATTCACGGAAGAGTTTTAAAGAAATATATATATGCTTCCCAGTTAAACCACCTTAGAGTCTATTTGAGGAGATCAGCTCCTTTGTGAGAGTTGTTTTTTTTTATTGAGCCCCACTGTAATGTCTATATTTGAATTGCCTAAGAAACTCATTATAGCAGAGCTTATTCCTTGTCAAAGATGGTCAAAAGAAAATTAGATTCAGTTCATTAGCTTCTACCTAAACCTTGCTTAATGGGGCCCATGTTGTGGTTTTGTTATTGGATCACAAACATTTAACTTGATCCTTCCTATTCCTGGCACTGGCCCATATTGTCATGGCAGCTGTGCTGCCCGAGGGCCTCTGTGGCGTGGCCTCCTCATCTCACTCTCCAAAATGGCTGAGCCGTGGGTTCTGAGACTTCATTTTACATTGGGACCAAACCTGCTTTGTCTGTCATTTGTTGAAGAAGTCTGGCCAGCCTCGAGTAGGGGCTGCCTTATGAAGGGTAAGAAATTCTGGGGTGGGTAGGTGGGAGAGAGTGGGCCACTTCACAGCTGTGGTGGCCACATGTCTCAGATTTTCTGGAACCATCTAGCTCTAAAATATTCTCTATGGTTTTAGACCTTAAATCCTGAATTTTGGCATGGAAAATGAGGCTCAAGTGACGTCTGCTCACGTGTCTCTTGCGTTAGTTATCTGTATAACAGGCCTCTTACATGATATTTCTACCCTCACCAAAAAAGGAGAAAATGAGAAGAAGATTTAGGTTAAAAAAATATATATTCCCCACCCAGCCTCTGCTTGAAATGTGAGGTTTTGGTTTTGGACAGCGGCGTTGGTTGTTGACGTCATTGATCCAACTATTTTATTTCCCACTTCACTTTGCTTGCCCAGGTGTGGTCCAAGGAGTATGAGGGCTGTTAAGATAAAACCAGGCTCCGGAAATTCAAATGAAATGTCTACCTGAACCTCCTCAAGTCTTTCCTGTGGGCTGTGTATTTATTTATAAGCCTATTGGGCTTTGGCAGCAGAAAAAAAGAAGAAAGGAGGAATTTGTTTCTAAAATGAAAACCAAATTTAGTTAATATAAATGCTACCCATGTGCAACTCATCCTGCCAGATCCCAGTAAATGTACAAATATCAAAATAACACAATAGATAAAAATCACGGTGGAAAAAGAGAAATTGAGACACTTCTGTGTTTTGCAGGGCCAGAATAATCTACACAGTTTACTCCTTCCACCATGCATATTTTACATACTACATTATTATCTGATTTTATATAATATTCACATTGTAATTTCTGAATCAACTCTAAAATTCATAAAAATTTAGAATAAAGCTATGCCCACTCAAAGCATTGAAATAAGTCAATCATATGGAAAATTCATGTTCTCAAAAATGTCTTGGCTTCAGTTATCTGAGAAGAAAAAAATCACATTTAATTTTCTTAGTTTTCCAGTTTAGTTTGCAAATGTCAAATAACTAAAAGTTATAGGAACCAAAAAATGATAAACTTCTCTCAAAACTTATTGTATATAAATCTTATTTTTTTTCTAGCATTTAAATAAACAACAATGGCCAATAATTCTATAATATGTTCCTTTTTCAACTTTTTTCTATAACATGATGATATTGACTAGATATAAGTGATGGCTTATTTAAGCAAGTGAATTCTGCACATGGACTAGAATTTTTAAGAAAAATTTTAAGAAAATTTTGAATGTAGAGTTGAGTTTTATTTGTAATTTTCATTTATTTACTTATTATTATTATTATTTTAGAAACACAGGGTCTCACTCTGTCACCCAGGCTGAGTGCAGTGGCACGATCACAGCTCACTGTAGCCTTGAACTCCTGAGCTTAAGCAGTGCCCCACCTTAGTCTCCAAGTAGCTGGGATAAAGGCACACGCTGCTATTCCTGGCTCATTTTTAAATTTTTAAAGTAGAGACTCCCGCTTCAGCCTCCCAAAGTGCTAGGATTTGTAATTTTCAATCTTTTGAGATATGAGAAAATGAAAAATAGTTTTCTACTAGGGCACATAACTCTTCATGTAAGAGTTTAGGTGTCTGTTACACATTGTGGATATTACTTAGTCCTTTCTGGTTCTGTTAAAACTAATTTCCTTCAGAAAACACAGTAGTGGCCAGGCACAGTGGCTCATACCTGTAATTCCAGCACTTTGGGAGGCTAAGGCGAGTGGATTGCTTGAGCCCAGGGGTTCAAGACTAGCCTGAGCAACAGCGAAACCTCATCTCTACAAAAAATACAAAAAATTAGCTGGGCATGGTGCACACCTGTGGTCCCAGCTACTCGGGAGGCTGAGGTGGGAGAATCACCTGAGTCTGGGAGGTCGAGGCTGCAGTGACCTGTGATGGCATCACTGCTCTCCAACCTGGTGACAGAGTGAGACGCTGTCTCAAGGAAAAGAAAAGAAAGGAAAACCCAGTAGCCCTGGGTTGTAACTTTTAGGGAATTCGTGAAGCTAAGCACCATGTTTTCAGATGACTCCCCTGATTTTTGTACTTCTAATCTGCTAGAAAAACAGATGGACAGATTCATTATAAATGTGTATTTAAAAAGAACAGCTATATGGCCTGAAGGACTGCCCAAAGGGAACTGAAGTTTATGGAAAGCATTATGGTTTTGAGAATTATTTGGCTTCTTGCTGTTTTGTGGATCTGAGTTTTTAGTTGCTGGAATTTGACATCTAAATAAGAGGCTGTTTGCTATGATATGTAAATAGAGTGTGTGGGTCGAAATGCTTGTCATTATGCATGTTGAAAGGACAATTTACGATTTACAAAGATGGAAAAGCTCAATAAAGATCCACTATTGAAAAGCTACTGCAAAAGGAAAGCTATAGATAGATGGGCTTCTTGCAGATGAACAGAATTAATGACAAGTGAAAGGAAAAATTCACATCATGAGGAGGGAAAATGTCTTCCAAATGTCAGTGAGAGAAACACTTTTCCTTTTCCTTTCTGCTGTATCCTGGGCATAGCACCCCACTACCTGAAACTCCAGCACCCCGAGCATACCTGGACCTGAATAATACAGCAGAACATGCTGCAGCAATCTATTTCCATGCTTGCCCCTGCTGGCTTTGTACACCTCTATTGTCTAATCATCTCATCTTGTTTCCTTTTATCTTCCTGGTACCTAACACAAGCATGGCACATAGTAGGTGCTCAAAGAATGTCTGTCTTAGTCTATTTTGTGTTGTTGAAACGAAATACCCAAGACTGGGTAGTTTATAAAGAACAAAGATTTTTTTTTGCTCACAGTTCTGGAGGCTGGGAAGTCCAAGATCAACTTGCTGGCAGGTTTGGTGTCTGGTGAGGGCTGATCTCCACTTCCAAGATAGTGACTTGTTTTTGCATCCTCCAGAGGGGTGGAATGCTGTGTCCTCACATGGTGGAAGGCAGAAGGCAAAAAGGACCAAACTCTGTCTGTGAAACCCTTTTATAATGATATTAATCCACTCATAAGGGCTGAGCCCTCATGACCTAAGCACCTCTCAAAAGGACTCACCTCCCTTCACTGCTGCGTTGAGGATTAAGTTTCCAACACATAAATTTGGGGGAGACACATTCAGACCACAGCCATGTCTATCGAATTAAGTCTTAATGGTAAAAAGTCTCCTTTGTCTAATAGTTGTGTGTATACTTATTCCCTGCTCCACTGTGAAATTAGTAATGTAATTTTTGTTTCAGGCAGCACTTGCCACTTTCAATCAGAGGCACCGAAACAAAAAACTAAAATTTTATTACTTAAAATTTACAGAACTAAATAAGTGGTATTTGAGGTAAGTTTGTAATGCTTATATTTCTGAAATTTCAGCATAAAACTGTATTGAGACTTTTGGGATGCCTTGTATATCGTAAAAGAAGGTATAATGATAACCGGCATTTATTGAGTACTACTATGTTCTAGAAATGTAACCCTTCATAGGATTCCTATGAAGATCCTACCAGTTAAATATTGTTATTCTTCCTTTTTATACTTGGAGGAAGATTAAGAACTCATGCAAGGTCACTTGGCAAGAGGCCAAGCCAGGATTTGAACCCAGGAAGTCTAAATCCAGAGCCTGGGCTCTTAACCACTGAGTTAAACTGCTTCTTAAGAAGACTTGCCTCCCTGCAATGTTTACTGAAGGGAATGGATTTACCCAGACAGGCCTGGCCTTTGGTAGAAACGCTGCACAGCTCTGCGTAGAAGCAGTTAGTCATCTGTACTTGCAGAGGCTGTAAAACAAATGTGGTGAACTGTAAAAGATTAAAGAGCCTGTTTTCCTGCCAGCTACCAGAAAGTTTCACATATACTTATTAAAGTTCTTATAGCAATGGCATCTGTCATTTAAAAAAAAAACTTTTTATTGACACATAATACACAGAGTGTTTGTTTTTATGACAGAAGTGGTTCTTGAAAGAGTTGACCTCTCTATAACTCTAACACATTTCTATGTCAACCAGACATGACTCTAGGTCAGTGGTTCTCAGAGTGGTCTGGGGACCCCTGGGAGTTCTTAAGGTCCCAACTATTTTCAAAATGATACTAAGACCTTTGTTCGCCTTTTCCACTCTTATTCTTTGACAAGCGTGCAATGGAGTTTTCCTGTGGCTACACGACCCATGATGGTATCATCACTAATTAATATGTGCTTGGATATTCTTATTTTTAAAATGTCTTAGTTTTAAATGTTCTAACGTGAAGAATATAGATAGATGTAACCCACATAAACAAAAGTTCTTAGGGGGGTCCTCAAGAATTTTTCAAAGTGAAAAGTGGTTCTGTAATCCTTTTCTAAGAGTTTGGTCAGCGGAGGGTGTTTATTACTTTTTAATAATAAACTTATTCCTAACATACCTGAGTTTACAATCACCTTCCAATGTGTAAGAAGTTGAATGAGATGAAATTAGAAAGATAAACCATTCAGAAAGATAAACCATTCTCCTTGAGTTTCCTCTCATCTTTTAGGATGCTCCCAGAGGCTGGAGTACCTTATTTTCTAAAAAGAGGGGTATACTTTCTACCACAGATCTCCGAAGATGGGGTCTTTATTCTAACTTGCTAGGCATTCTTTTGAAAAGAACAGCCCTGGTTACTGTAATTGTTAATAAGGCAGCCTGTCGAGTGCCGGAATCCATTTTTCTGTGTGATTAGAACCCGGCTGCATTCCTCCTTCCTGACATTTCATCCACTCTGCTTCGAGGTCTTAAGAATTAGCTGTTCTTGGATTAAGTGCCCTTAATCAGCTCATTTTACATTACAATGTAAAGTTTCGCTCATGTTCTGCAGAGAACTTGATTTTCATTTGCTGTCCTTGATCACAGAATAGTAAGTGGATTCCCAGGAAATTTCATGAAGTGGAATGATAATGCAGAGACGGGGGTGGGGGCGGTGGGAGGGAGGTGTCGGGGGATGTGAAACTAATTGATTAGTTTAGAATCTTCTAATTTCCATGAGGAATGGAGGAGCCCAATTTGTATTTCTTCTTGGCATCATGTTCTCACAGATTGTCTGATGTTTCATTATCATCTTGACAGAACAGCCGATGTAGAATTATGTTGACTAGGATATCCGTTGAGTTTTTGCCATGTGCATTAATAGTCCATGATTAGATTATTTTGACTCTACTAGTTGGTTATCTGAGAGCTTGAGGAGTTAAGAAGAGAGTGTCTCTGAGTCCTGAGTTTTCAGTGCCACTGTCCTTTGAACACAGCAGACACCTCCACCCCCAACACCAATATACTGGGCTTTGAGGACCATAAATGACTGGTGTTAATGTCCTCTCCTAACAAAACTTGTGGGCAGAATGCTCCCCTATTTAGAATTTTCCTAATCCTTACATACAGCTGGCTTGAGTGTTTTCATCTGTCAGGACTAGTCCTTTGCCTGGTTTCAGTGTTAATTTGCATGCTTGTCATCCTAGGGTTTTGTTTTCCTGCCCCCAACCTGTTTTTGGAGTCTCTTCCCAGTGGATTTGAAAAATCCTGGCTACTAGCGTGAGGATTTTCACATACGCACACAAAGTAGAAGTGAACAGATTGTGGCTTTTGCCAAATAAGCCTCTTTGGTATTCCTCACCCCCTGAAAATAACATCATTTCTCCACGTAATCGTTATAGAAAAACACCACAGAGCAAATGCTCCTCACAAACACACGCCACCTAAACAAACTGGGCAGGTCATATGCTGCTGTTGCTGCAGCTGTTTGCTGATCCCAACAGGGTCCAACTCTTGTGAGCAAGGAGGTGTTTATGGCGTGGAGACAAAGCCTGGCTGCAGTGGGAGGGTTGCTGGCCGCCAGCCCTCATTTATCAGCCTGTTTTTCCTTACCCTTGGAAGACCTGGGATCTTCATGGGAGACAGCATGGTGGAGAGGAGGAGGCTGGGTTTTGCTGTCTTGTCCTTCCCAGTAACTGGTTCTGTATTTGCTCTATCCTTTGTTTTTGTTTTTTCAATCACGTAGTCATTTGCTAAGGATTTATTGAATTCTAGTTATGGACTAGGCAAAAAGCTAGTTGTGAGGAGAAGAAAATGAACAAGACAAAGTCCCTGCCTTCCCTGGGAGACACGCCAGAAAACTGTGATGGTGAGTGCTAGATGGTGCCTTGACACAAGGAGGGAGGCCTTGGTGTATAGGTTGAAGAAGTCTCTTCTAGAAAGAGTTGTGAAGGATGAGTAGGAATTCTCTAAGCAGTTAGGGAATGAGGAGGAGAGGAGAAAGGAGAGATTTGTGTCTTATGTATCCATCTACCCAATTCCCCCATTCCTGCCACCATGCAGGCATTATGAATTGATTGGGAACTGTTTCCCAGTGAGCTCACCCTTGGCTTCACAGTCTTTCTCCAGACGTGGCTCCAGGCAGCCTCTCACACAATCGTCCTCAGACTTGAGTGAGCAAACAAGTCAATGGCCCTGGTTATTGAAATGCAGGTCTGATTTAGTAGATCTGGGGATAGCCTGGGACCTGCATTCCTAATGTAAACACACTCTTCCCACCCCTAGATGATCCTGATGCAGGTGTGCTCACCAGCTGCCACTTTGCTGAGAAGTCAGCACGGCATGGTCTCACTCCATAGATGGACTGTGAATTGATAAGACCAATGTGGGGCAATTTGGCAATTCCTATTAAATTTTGACCCTGTAAAGATATATAAGAGTGGGTTTTTAGAAAATCATCATTGTGATAGAAACTATTAAAATCTATGGAAATGACTCTCATTAGGAGAGCAGAAGGTGACTAAGGAGACCTGGTTACAGTGGCAGCCTTGTCATCTAGGGAAGCTCAGATCTGGTGGAGCTCATACTCCTTGTAGAGGTCTGGCATCATGTCCTGTTCACCCCTGGCTTTGACTTTTGTCTTCTGCCTTCCATTTCTGCACTGTGGGAAGGAAGTCCTGGGATATGGAGAAGGTCAATAACATGTTATTTGCATTTTGCATTATTTGCATTATTTGCATTTTGCTTGCCTTAATTATATCACTCTCTCTTTATAAATGTCTTTGAATAACACTTTTAAAATTAAAATTGGAAAGTTGAATTTGCTTTAAATATTTGCTTCATTTATTTTCTTGTATCATACCCTGAAATTAAGCATGTCTGGTTTATGCTTGATATTTGTAACCACTGTGTAACTATTCTTATTTTTCTGGTTCTTCCATTGTAGACTCCCATAGCAGTAAATACGTTACATACGTTCATGCTTTATTTTTTTCCAATTACAATTATACCACTAAATTCACTGAGGAAATAAACATTACATTTTTAAAAGGCTTTGTTTTTCTTCGCTGTAATCAACCTTTCAAAGAAAACCTGAGCCCAAGAAGCTGACTATTGATGGAACTTAAACAAGTCCTTAAGCAAGGAACATCTTGGAGGCACACAACTGTGTAGAAGCAAGGAGGTGTCGTTTGTTGGTTTTTAAGAGTCATTTTGTTCTGATCTTGCTACATTCACTTGCTGCACTACTGTGGTATAGTAGAAAAAGCATAGGATTGGGATCTGAGGGTGTCTTCTATAGTCCTGGTACTGCTATGTCTCTTTAGCCAATTGTTTAATCCCTCTGGACATCATTTTATGATCTATAGAATGAGAACATTAGCTTAGTTAATTAGGGAGAATTCATAGTGTAGAGGTTAAGAGCATAGGCTCTGAATGCGTGGGTTTGAATGTCAGGTTCAACCCTTAGTGGCTCTGCAGGCTTGGGAAATTTACTCAACTTCTCTGGTCCAGAGTTTTCTCATCTTTAAAATGGAGATAATAATAGTACATAGCTGAGAGATTGAGAATTAAGCAAGGATGCTTGTAAAGCATATAAAACAATGTCTGGTGGACAATATATGTCCAATGGAAGGTAGCTATCATTGTTACTGTTGTTCATATTATTTCCATAATACTTCTATCATCATCATCATCATCCTCATTCTCATTTTTAAGGGCTTTTTCTGCTGTAAAATACATTGAAACCATTTGCTCAAAAAAGGAGATTAAAAAGCAGCATTTAAATTCTGAAACACTAAGTGCAAAAGAACTTGATAGGGAAGAACGGCTTGTGATATTGTCACATAACAGTTGACTGTCTTCGGCCTGACTTGGTTGCATTTCTCCACTCCCAGTGATCTCTAAATCCAGTGGATGTCTTCCATTCCTCATCTTACTGAAGGGCCTGGCAACACTGACCACTCCTTCACTGTCACAGTTGAGACCATAATTGGTCAGTAAATCAAAAAGGTTGGTTGGAACAGGGAATTATTTTTTAAAAGGTATATATTGTAAACATTTTATTTTAGCTTAAAACACAAAACTGATTGTGTTTTCACAGTGAATTCATTGAAAACAAACGTTCATCTGCCCATCATTAGGTGCAGAGCTGTGGTCTTTGACAGTGTTTCTGCTGACTAGCTCTGCGTCATCTTTTGGCATAAACCCATGATACAGTAGCTAAGCATTTCAATCAACATTGTGAAGATGGAGGGAGACTTTAGATGTTTACAAAGGTATCTGAATGTAACCCCGCACATTTTAAAATTACTTTTCCCTTCGCCTTCTATTATATCCTTACCTTCATCTACCTTGACAGCTATTATTTTTTTTTTAGTTTTCTTTAGAATCTTTGGCTTCTTATGAATAACTCTCATTCACTGTTTGTACAGTAGTTCCCCCTTATCCTTGGTTTCATTTTCTGTGGTTTTGGTTACCTATAGTCAACCGTGTTTCCAAAATATGAAATGAAAAATTCTAGAAATAATGCATAAGTTTTCAATTACTCACTATTCTGAGTAGCATGGTGAAATCTCGTGCCATCCTGCTCTATTCCGCCCAGGACGTGGATCATCTATTTGTCCTGTGCATCCATGCTGTCCATAATATACCCACCCATTACTCACTTAGTGGCCACTCAGTGATCAGTTCCACTGTCTTGGGATAGAACTGCTTGTGTTCAAGTCACCCTTATTTTACTCAACAGTGGCCCCAAAGCACAAAGCTAGTGATGCTGGCAATTCGGATATGCCAAAATGAAGCTGTAAAGAGCTTCCTTTAAGTGAGAAAGAAGAAAACTCATATGCTGAAGTTGCTAAGATCTAAGGTAAGAATGAATCTTCCATCTATGAAATTGTGAGGAAGGAAAAAAAAATCACGCTAGTAGTTTTGCTGTCACACCTCAGGCTGCAAAAGTTATGGCCACAGTGCATGACATGTGCTTAGTGAAGATGAAAAAGGCATTAAATTTTTAGGTGGAAGACACGAAGAGAAATGTGCTCTGATTGGCAGCAATTGGGTTCTTTACTATCTGTGGTTTCAGGCATATCCCCTGTGGAGAAGAGGGGACCACTCTATTTTAGTTTGTATTCATATAATATTTGATTAGGCTTATTCATTATAACCAGTGCAACTGGCATAAACAGGTTTGAGACTACACCTAGCCAGCTGTTGGTTAGCCTACAAGCCAGCTAATGAAGCAGAAAGTCATGGGTGTACTGGAGAGTGCCCTATTAGACTTCGTGTCCAGCATGCAGGGGCATCTACCATGTGTCCTGGAAGGAATGAAGGCTTTGGGGGATCTGACGTGGTGGGTAAGAGGAGGTCACTGATGAGACGTTCTGCTGTTCCGTCTTCCCTTGACTTCTAGGACAGCACTCTTCTGCTTTGCTTCTTGTCTCTCGGGCTGCTCCTCTGCCTCCTTTGCAGATCTGCCCATCTGCGCTCAGCCACTAACTATTGAGAGTTTGGTAATTCTTGGCTGGAGACCTGATCTTCTGTCTGCATGTTTTCTCATAATGAGAGTTTATCCAAGCCCCTGACCTTAGTGAGCATTTATGCACAGGTACGTGAGCCTCCGTTTTCTATCCCCAGTCCAGAGTTCTCCGTTTGAGCTGAAGATCCTATATTAATGGCCTGACTAATGTTTCCTCTGGGATATCACAGAGGCCCTCTGTAGTCAACAGGACCAAAACCAAGTGGTGAAAGTCACCACTATCTGTTCAGGTCCATGCAAACCAGAGACCTAGGAGCTGTCTTTGCCATCCCTCTCCCTCATCTCCCAGCCATCTCTTTGGCTTTGTTTTCTTATGATGGAAAAAAAAAAGAAAGAAAGAGACTTGAGAACAGGGTCTGATGAAAAGGTAAGAGAAGGCAAAATAACACCTTCTCTGAAGGTTGTGGAACAGACACTAGATTAGTTTTATAGCATTTGTTAAACTTATTGTTTTAATCCTGGTTTGGGGTGCCTGTCCTGCCTCAGGAGCAGTTAGAGACAGGAGGTAGAGACAGGCCAAGACCTAGTGTTGTTTGATGAAGCTAATTTGCCTGTGGAAGCCACCTGAGGGAGCATAGACATGGGAGACATGTTAACCTGAACAGGATGCTGGTGGACTTCAGGTCATGCAGCATCATGGTGCAGTGGGAGAGAGCCCTTGGATGGGCCTCAGGCTCTTATCCTACCTGCCTTCCTTCTCTGAGGCCACCACCTCTGTGCACCTGGATGTGGCCAGACACTATCTCTTCAGCCTCCCCTTTCTATGCCATAGCTAAGGATAGACATTTGGGGCTTATTTTTTCATTTTAAATGTTTTGCCTGAAATGCTCCCAGACAGAGCTGCAAGCAAGGCAGGCCTGAGGTGGGAGGAGAATTTAAGATATGAGCCCTTGTTCTGGCAGTTAGTAGAGGAAATTAAAAATTGTGGGTTAGGAAGGAAAGTGGAGAAGCTGACATTTTATGACTCTTTCAGAGAAATATTTTCTGTTTGCACATTTAATTTTACAAATTGGGATGGATTTAAGACAGGCATGGAGAGTGGTCAGGATGGGGGTGACATGTCTTCTGCCTTTGCTTTGTGTGCTATGTCCTTAATGTATTCCTGCCGCAATTCCACCTCTTTCCCCTGCTGCGCCTCCCTGGGGCCTCCTGCAGCCCTCCTCCTGCTGCTTCCTGGTCACTTCTAGAGATGGGGCCATTTTCTAGAACCAGCTCTCTAGGCTTCTGCAGTTCCATTGCAGACACGCCCTGCCCCTTCCTCCTCACATCCCTTTCCACAAGTACTTCAGCAGCCTGTAGTGGAGTTCAGTGCAAATCAGAGGCAGCAGTCTGTCAGCATGGCTTTTGTCTCGTTGATTTTTCTGAGTCTTGATGTTCTAGACCATTTTTGGCTCACATTCAGAAATGACTGAGAAATCAAAGTCAGTTGTGAAAGCTGAAGAATATTGATGCAGAGCTGGAGTGGTTCCGAGACTTAAGGATCAACTCGTGGACATGACAGTCTGTCACGTTAGTAACAATGTGTGAAGTGATTAGGGTTATGCATAATGGTGATAACAACAATGATTTTAGCAGCTCCCGTGTATGGAGGAGTTACCAGTTCCAGGTGCAGTTCTAGGACTTTATGTGCATTATCTCAATCTTCATAGCAGCCTGATGAGAAAGGTGTTATTTTTATCCTCTGTAGACAAAAATTGAGGCCCATAAGCATTCGTAATTCACCCAAAGTCATATGGCTAGTAAGGGATGGCACTGAAATTTGAACCCAGGTAATCTGGTCCAGATTAGGAACTGGAGCCAATACACCACCCATCTGCCTGAGCCAGATTTGATGAATAATCAGCTTTCTCTCCTATAATTCAATTCCAGATTTCTGTTCTTTATTTGCCTAATAGGATCTGCATAATTTAGAACTAAGATAAAATGCACTCTGGTTAAAACAAAGTAATAATCCTACTCATTTCGTATGAATTTGTGGGGATTTCAGATATCATGAAGCCTTCCCACTCCACTCCCCAAGGAACCAGACCAGAAAGTACAGGAAGGGGAAAACTATGTTAAGTTGAAACATTAATACCACACGGATGCATTTATTAAGTGTGTGAGGGAGATGTTGCCTTTCTGGAGCATAACATAAATCATCTGGAAAATTCAGTACAAAGCATTTCCAGGGACTCAACACAACCAACTGGAGGGCCTACTGTCTATTGATATTTCTGCTATGAATAATCTCTGTGGGATGCCGGCTGGCTGCTTGCCTCCAGCAGTTATTTCTAGTTTTGCTAGAGCAGTGAGTCGCAGCCTGTAATCCCCGCATGGGGTGAGACTTGTGACTCAGGAGGATGTTTGGGGCCTGCCAATGGGGCAGAAGAAGGTCGGGAACGCAGTGGCTCCTGAGAGGTAAACATTTTAGAAGCAGTGTGATTGTGTTACTAGAGATTCTTGAAGAGCAGGCATTTAAGGGACACAGGGAGCAAACCATCAAACATGAAGGCAGTAAAAAGTTGTACTTTTTTTCCTCCAATTTGGAATAGCGACAGTTAGTTAAGAAAAAAAATTTAATGTGCTTCAAGGAAGGTTACTCTTTTGATCCCACATTGTAAGGGTTGTGACAGCTTGTCCCCATTCCTTGGTGTTATGGATTTATTTTGGGAAAAAGAAGTGACCTCAACTCATAGCTGTAGCTAAAGAATGTTGAAAAAGGAATTAAATTGGCACCTCCATAAAAGTCAACAAGGGATCATGTTTTTTTTTGGACTGTAAGAAAATGCATCTGTTTAAAACAAAAGGTTCTAGGACAGAGCAGTCCAATAGAAATACAATATGACTTGTGAATGCCATTGAAAAATTTTCTAGTAACCACATTAAAAAATAAAAACAGGCAAGTTAATTTTCATGATATATTTTATTTAATCCAATATCTTAGACAATTTATCATTTCAATATGGAATCAATAAAAAATTATTATTGGGAGACTTTTTTTTTTTTTACCAAGTCTTTGAAATCCTGTGTGTATTTATTTATACTTTGGGCACATCTCAATCACACTGGCCACATTTCAGATGCTCGATAGCCACATGTGGCTGGTGGCTCCCTGGATGGAAGGGAGGAAGAAAAGAAAAAAGAGAGAAAAGAAGGAGAGAGGAAGAGAGGGAAGAAATAATACATTAGAGAAAATCTAAAGATTCCTTATAAGCACACAAATGCCTATCAGATCCTCATGCGTAACCTCAAAGGCCAGACTTCTCCATGGCCCATCTCAGTAAGTGATCACTGGCAAGTCCAGAAAGTACATTCCTTTGCCTGATTAAAAATCCATCTTTCCCTTCTTGTGCCAACGGTGGATAGATCGTATTTTTCTTCTGGGTGTAATTAGAAATGATTTTCACCTGATTGCTTCGTTGTATTAGTCTGAAGAACATCCCCCTGACCATTGGCTCTCACCTAATTGTTTACTTGATCTCATTCTCAAACTTTTCTCTTTTTCACTGGAATGCCTGAGAAGGCAGCTGGGAGGGACATGTGCATGTGCCCCCAAACACCATTAGGGACCCCGTTTTCTTTAGTGGGAACCAAAATGCCTCTGAAAAGCAGAATCCCAAGGCATCCTAAATGCCATCTCTTACATAGGCAAAAAATAGACCAGAGAGTGCTGATGTCGATTTTGCATGCAAATTGGTTAATGGAGCCGGAGCTGCTCAACTCGTGTGTATGATTTTCTATTTCCATGCACCAATTTGGGAGTTTATGCAAGAAGGCGGTAATCCTTCATGCAAAGCTGAAAATGCAGCTGTGGAAGCCTGTTTTAGAGAACAAGAGCTGTCTGGTCCTGTTCTCATTTGACTGAGTTTTGTTGAATCTTTTGTGATGTCATAAGACAGAGGAATATTATTTGTTAAAATGCATTTACAATGCATAGAACTTTATGTAGACTTAGTGAATGGTTTTGTGGCTGCACTGCTGAATATATGGTGTGTCTACACTACAGTGAGGAAAAGGAGAATCCACTGATAGGAATTTGCTGGTGTGTCTTGGGGTGGTGCCTTTGAACAAATGAGTGGTCTTCTTTTGTGGATAGAAGTTGTGCCAAGCCCCCAGAGTGTGGAATTTATTCTGTCATAAGCCTCTTGAAACTAGTCTTACACGTGGTCTTTATGATTTCCAATAGTTTCCATAGTTTGTCATTTTATATTACTATATTCAGAAGCTTTTGAAAATTCACCTAAGACTTTATTGATAAACCAGTGTGAAATTTTGTTACAGAGTCGAGACCTTGATGATAATAACTCAGGAGAAAAAGAAATGACCTCGTTTCCTGTGTAGATGCCAAACTCAAGTGTGCTCATACCCTCGGGTACCGCACTTTTTGGGAAATCTCTTGTTTTCCATTTTCTGCTGTTTGGAGTTGAGATTTCCAGTCACTGTCTTGTATACAACCATGGTCTTTGTCCTATTATTATTTGGCCATCTTTACAAAGTGAAATTTTTACATTCTTCCTTTGCTTTTGTTGTCATATCAACCTTTGATTTTCCCAGTGGCATGTTTTTGAATTATCCCAACTCAGCAGCTTTTTTCTTCCTGTTGCTTTTGTAACTCCTGCTCACACTAGCAGAGACAGAGAAGGATAGTTGGTGACCTGAAAGTGAGGTGTCCCTTCTGCTTGTTGGACGTGGACCGAGAGATGAGGCCGATGAAGATTTCCTGGAGATAGATGGTGGTGATGGTTGCACGACAATGTGAATTTCCCTAACGGTACCTAAAATTGTTAGAATAATAAATTTGATGTTAGGCATATTTTACCACAGTTTTTTTTTTTTTAAAGGTTTCTAGGTTTCCTCTGAGCTTTACACTGGCTGACTCTTTTCCAGGACTCATTATGGTTCTTTCATCTTGGTCTTGTGGCTAATCTGCTTTAGGGCCCAGGGAATATGGGGACCCCAGAGTTCACCATCCACCAGAGTGACTGCAGGTAGCAGTTTGCATTGGACTTTCTTTGACGGAGAGAGTGCTACTGCAGTCCTGATGTGGACTGTGGCCTTATCAGAGGAGAATTTCTTCATTTAATGACAGCTGCTAATGAGCCTTCTCCAGGCACTCTTGGTTTGGCCACCTTGTTGGCAAATAAACCCAGCATGGGTTCTGGCCCAGTGGAAATTATTTAATAGGCAAGACAGGGAAAAAAAAAAAAACTTCAATGAACAATTTGTAGAATTAAAAGTTGTGATAGATGCTGTGAAACAAATGATTGGTAATTAATGATATAGAACAGAGCTGTCCAATGGAAATATACTTTGAGCCACATATGTAAGTTTAAACTTTTTAAAAGTCACATTTTTAAAAGGTAAAAAGAAACACATGAAATTAATATTAATATATTTTATTTAATCTTAATATATCCAAAGTATTGTCATTTCAGTGTTATTAATATAAAAAACTTCTTACTTAGATATTTTACATTCTCTTTTTCATGCTAAATCTTTGAAATTGGTTGAACATTTTATACTTATACCACATTCATTCAGACTGGCCACATTTTGAGTGCTCAATAGCCACATGTGGCTACTGTCTTGGACAGCGCTGGTAGAGAGCTGTGTGTGTGTGTGTGTGTGTGTGTGTGTGTGTGTGTGAGAGAGAGAGAGAGAGAAAGAGAGAAAGAAAAAATGGCAACAGACAGAGAGAGAGACAGAGTGGGGGGAAAGAGAAAGAGCAGGAGAGAGAATTGTATGGATGAGGGAGGGGGACTCATCCTTAGACGGTGTGGATAAAGAAAGCCTCCCTATATCTCCTTTTTGTCTCTCTCTCTTTCTTTCTCTTTTTCTCTTCCTTGAATTTGTGAGGCCCATGAGAAGGTATCAGAGCAATCATACTCTTAGTTGAAACTGAGACTCCTCAAAAGTGCCTTGTAAAGATGCATTATTTTTCTTATATGTTTTCTCTAAGAGCTTGGCTGCAACAGCATTGTTTTTGGAACTGTTTACATCTGCATAGTAAGTCCTCACTTAACATTGTTAATAGGTTCTTGGAAACTGCAACTGTATATGAAACAGTGTGTAATGAAACCAATTTTACCATAGGCTAATTGAGAAAATCAAGAGTTAAATTCCTATGGCATATTTCTGGTCACAAAAACATTACCAAACTTCTCGATAAAGACCAAAACATTTCTAATACTAAACATGGAAATAAATGTGAGCTATACATACAGTTAAGAAAGATTAATAACAACAAATAAGATGATGACTTACCCAGTTTTTGGTAAAACAGCGAGTGATGGTGGTTGTAGTGGTGGTGGGTTAAATCAAGGAATAAATGTTTGCAAAGTGAAACTCGTAAGGAGCACTTACTCCCACCACGAAGTTCAAAACCAATAACAAATTTGGTGGGCTCGCCAAGTGCTTTCATCCCACATTGTTTATTGTGGTACATTGTGGTACACATTTTTATTTTACAATTATTTGTATTCATTCCTTCATTCATTTTCCAACTCGCTTATTCCAGTTCAGTGTCTGGGGTGGCCGGAGTCTGTCCCAGCAGCTCAGGATGCAAGGCAGGCGCCAGCCCTAGACAGGATGTCATTCCATTGCAGGAGTACTCTCACACATACACTCACACTTGCTCAGACTGGGACAATGTAGACATGGCTGTTTACCTAACATGCACATCTTTGGGATGTGGGAGGAAGCCGGAGCGCCTGGAAAAAACCCATAGGGATATGAAGAAATTAAGTCTTAAGATTTTATAATAGAAAATCCATACAGGATTTCTATGACAAATCATTTTACATTGTAAATCCAGTAGTTTAATTTTTATATTGTTTGTACATACTCATTAGTGGCTAGTCTTTGATGCCATCAGCATAATGTACTCTCAAAATCAAGAGAACTACCAAGAATGCCAGCTATCATACTCATTAGGAAAATGGCTTAAAACATTCATAATTTGCTTTCTTCTGACTCACAAAAAGCTCTTCTTGGATTTGGTATGGATGAGTTTCGTTACCGATTCTGAATAATTGGTGATCCTTTGTGTCTTCTCTAACAAAAGTACTTTTAAATGTATGAAATATTGTATTAATACTCCAGGTTCCATATCTAGTGGGTTGCTTTTAATATTTGAGTGCCCACTACTAAACCTAAGCATCAGGGGACCTGGTGTTTCTTAAAAAGGCTTCTTGATGTATCTTAGCCTGTGTCTTCTCTGACAAAATGGACTGGTGAGGTGAACAATAATGCCATCTTCTGAGTTTTATTAATGGATGCAGTCAATGGAAATTGTTGAGTCAGTCTCCTTACAAATACCTGGACACTGAATTTTTACAGTACAGTGGTGTGTGTGTGTGTGTGTGTGTGTGTGTGTGTGTTGTGTGTAATTCATTGACTATGTGTGATTCTCTGAAATGACGAGCAAACCAATAACAACTTAACTCTTCCCCGCTCCCATTGTCACGACAGCCTGATGCTTTAACAGTCATTTGTGGTCCGGCGGCCGGCAACTTAATTCATTTGATGAGGCATCTGTTGCTTTGCCAGTTACTCCCTAATTGACCTGCAGAATCTTAGGTTTATATAAGCTTAAAGAAGTTCTTTTAGTCTTACTGAGATTCCCCTGTGTGTTCATCCATGGTTTAATTAAGGTATTAAGAATAGTATTTCAGAACTCATTCAGCTCAATAGCAAAAATACAAATAACCCAACTTGAAAAATGGGCAGAGGGCTTGAATAGACATATCTCCCAAGGAGATATAAAAGTGGCCCACACATATATGAAAGAATGCTTATTAACATCACTAAACATCAGAGAAATGCAAATCAAAACCACAGTGAGATATCAGCTCACACCTGTTAGAATGGCTACTATCAAAAATACAAGAGATAAGAAGTGTTGGTGAGGATGTGAAGTATAAGAGAACCCTTGCACCCCGTTGGTGGGAATGTAAACTAGTACAGCCATTATAGAAAACAATATGGAGGTTCATCAAAAATTAAAAATAGAAATATCCTATGATCTAGCAATCCCATTACTGGGTATTTCTCCAAAGGAAATGAAATCAGTATGTTGAAGAGATATCTGCACTCCATGCAGCATTATTCACAATAGCCAGGATATGGAAACAACCTACATGTCCATCAATAGATGATTGGATAAATAAACTATGGTATATATATGCAATGGAGTATTATTCAGCCTTAAAAAAGAAGATGATCCTCCATTTACAACAGCATGGCTGAATCTAGAGGACATTCTGCTAAGTGAAATAAGCCAGACACAGAAGGAAAAATACTACGTAATCTTGCATATATGTGCAATCTTAAACTAAAAATCAAATACACAGAAACAGAGAGTAGAACTGTAGTTTGGGGGGTCAGGGAGATGCAGGGAGATGGGGAGTTGTAGGTCAAAGGTACAAAGTTGCAGTTATGTATGATAAGTAAATCTAGAGATCTAATGTACAACATGGGGACTATAGCTAATAACATCGCGTACTGGAGATCTGCTCAGGGAATAGATTTTAGGTACTCTTACCACGCACAAAAAAGAAAACTAACTATGTGAGATGATGGTTATGTTGGTTTTCTTGACTGTAGTAATCATTTGAACTAAGTATATATACATTGAGGCATCATGTTGTACACCTTGAATATACACAACAAAAATCCATTAAAATTTAAAAAAAGAATAGTTTTTTTTTGTGAAAGCATGTTATTGATTGCTAGGGCTCGGGGAGAGAGGGGAATGGGAAGAGTAACTGCTTAATGGACATGGAGTTTCCTTTGGGGGTGATGAAAATGTTTCATAACCTATAGATAGAGCTGATGGTTGTGCAACATCATGAAGATACTAAACGCCACCAAATAGTTCACTTTAAAATGATTAATTTTATGTTATGGAAATTTCACTTCAAATTTTAAAAATAGTGTTTTAATGGTGTGGTCTCCTGAGCCTGGATATGTGTTTTGTTTTGTTTTGTTTTGTTTTGTTTTTTAAGTTTCAGATACATGAGTTTGTTTAATGAGAAGATGACAGAAGTCTAAATTTTTAAAGCCCTTAGAACAAACATTTTAACTTATTCCACAGATTTAGAAATGGCACATACAGAAGACATGGGCTTTGTCTTCTGCAAACATTATTTTAAAAATTGGACTCCTATTTCCTACCTATACAATAAAAAGTCCTGCATCAAAAAGTGATTGATTTTAGTGTTTTGCTAAATTGGATCTACTGCAAAGCCCAGGCAGATTGATGTTATGGCACTAGCAGTCTTGAAGGAACTTTTTAAAAAAGAGAGATTTGGTTGAGCAGTGTAACATTATCAGCTTCACCTGTGAGGGAAATTTCCCGAGGGAATTGGTGTCTGTCTCATGTTGCACTCCTTCGTATTGACAGATCCATTAGCGGATGTAATTAGAAGACCAAAGTCAGACTTTGAATAATTAGGTTAAAGTCACAAATGATTTCTGGGCAAAATAATAGAAGCTGTTGCAGTTCAGCCTGCTGTTTCCTGCTTTACAGAGCTGAGTGAAATGGGCAGTTGCTGTATGCGGTGGTTTCTTTCTTGTGTTGGAGGCTGATACTTTCCCAATAATCAAGTTTGAAATAGCAAAGACCTCACTTTGGCCCTTTGCAAATGTCTGAAGGGCTTCGTTTCCAGGGAATAAATGGAGCTGTGGAATGTTTTTGCTAAACAAAACATAGTCATAGCAAAAACAAAATTTACTTTATCCCAGGAGTGTTAAGAAATGTGTGGTTTTGTGGATTATGTTTTTTCTCTGTTTTCATTCCTTTCTTTTCCTTTTTTTTTTTTTTTTTTTTTAGTTCTTGGAATAATGGTTTATTTATTTATATGGAGTTATTTTCTGAAAGAAAAACAAAACACTTATTTCAAAAGACGTTTGGACTCTCATGCCACCCAAAATACCTTTTCAGCAGTAGTTTCTATATTTTGATTTTATAAAAGCCTGTTATTGGTAATAGAGTCTGGAATAAAAAAAAATATTTCCAAAAGATTCAAAATGCAATCATGTGATTCTAAACTTTTTGTTCATCTCAGTGCCAATATAGAAAAAAGAGGAATTAGGAAATAGAGGCCAGTATCAAATACCTGCAGATGTGTCCTTGAAGCTTTTGATGTACCTTGTGATGATGTGGGATGAACAGAATGACATCCTCCTCCATGTATGACTGATGCTCACACTGCGCCTGGACAGTGGCAGGATCAGAAATAGGAAGAAGTGCGGGGCATCCATCCCCCAACTTTATCAAATGCCCCATCCATACTCTGCAGGCTGCTAGGTCTTGACTTTGGCCATATGGGATTGAGAAAAAAATTACAGTTACTTGTCACATTTAAAGATTAGGAAGATTAAGATTTCTGACTTCTTGAAAGTAAGAGTTAGAAGTTCTGGCACCATTGGGCCCCCCCCCCATTAGCAGTAACCATCTTGTCCCCTTGGGCAAGATGGGGCCTCGGTGTTCATTGCTGTCCCCCTGGCTCATGTCTCTTGTTTACTTTATTTTCCTGGCCTGCAGATACCTCTGTTAATGGCTTTGGGATCTGCACCAAGCCCTCTGTCCAGTAAGGAGATGAGACTCTGCCCCTGCCCAGGTAGGGGAGAAGCCAGGAGAGAATTGTCCTTTGCACTGCAGCAGGACAAAGCCCTGGTATGGGATGAAGATGGGCAGGAGTTCAAGACCAGCCTGGCCAACATAGTGAAACCCTGACTCTACTAAAAATACAAAAATTAGCTGAGCATGTTG
This sequence comes from Homo sapiens, assembly GCF_000001405.40. Lineage (NCBI taxonomy): Eukaryota > Metazoa > Chordata > Mammalia > Primates > Hominidae > Homo > Homo sapiens. The sequence continues at coordinate 16,440,355 of NC_000003.12, read as the reverse complement.
GTGCACACCTGTAGTCCCAGCTACTCAGGGGGCTGAGGCAGGAGGATCACTTGAGTCCAGAAGGCGGAGGTTTCAGTGAGCCAAGATTGTGGCAGTGTGGGAGCACGTGGGTGTCCTTCCCAGATGAGGCGAGTGTGATCACTGTAGATAAAAACTATAGAACCTGACAGATTAGAAAGTGGAGAAAAAGTGTGATCAGCCCTCGCGGCAGCGGCCCACTCTGAGTAGGCTGGCATTTTCTCTTTTTGGAAGGTAACGGTGGCTAAGACAGCCATACCAGTGTCCCTTATCTTCAGACTACGAAGTTATAATTAGAAATTTTAACTTATGATGAGACGGTTCATGTGGTTCAGCCTTAGAGTCAGCTCCTGGTCAAAGGCCAGGAAGCCAAAGTAACTACAGAATAACTCATGCCGTTTCCTTGTAGCTCTCTTCTAGGGTGAAGGAGACCCATCATCCTTGATACTTAAAACGTTAGTTTTCTCTCCCACCGCTGGGCAGGCATCTCTTCCCTAGAACTCCTCTGAAAAGCTCCCCACACTCCCCCAGAGGACAGTTAGCCCAGAATCCCTAGTGCCTGGGCAGGCAGAAGGCTGGAACCCTCGGGCAGCAGTGATGTTTCTCCCGCCCACTGGCAGTGGGTATCTTCCAGCCTCTCCTTCCTCACTCCAGCCACCCACACATGCCATGTGGGTGTTCCTTCTTCCAATTCTAGCTCTGGTTTGGGGGAACTCTTTTAGTTAACATTGAAAACAATTGTTATATTATCCAATGTTACTTTTTAGTTAGAAACTGGTACCTCAGCCTCCAAATTGAAATAATAAAATTATTGCATTTTAAAGTTGAAAGCGCCTTTTGCAATTGCCCATCCAAAGTCTTCATTTTGTAAATGAGAGTCCCAAGAGATGGGGAGGGAGCTATATAGCTTGCCCAAGGTTACATAATTTGTAAATGAAATCAGGCAACTATTACAAAACAAAATAGTGGAGAGGTTACTCTGATAAGTAGGGTGAGAAACAGACCAACAGGCTACAACTGGTATGTCCATCCAAGTGGAGAAATCATTCCTTTGTTTATTCGCCTAGGAGTAACACTGGGGAATTGGTCACTTCATAAGAACTATGTTTTCTTTTGTATTTTTAAGGTTAGGGTTCAAATAGAAACATGAGATTAAGGCCTTTAATCATGTTTATAATAGGAGCCTTTTTTTATTGCTTTAAGATCATTGAGATTCATTTTTATTTGTTTCTTTTAACCATGAAGCTAAATTTACTTTGACAGCATGCATACCAAAAATTAAAGCCACAAAATTGCTCAGCTTTGACAGGAGATACATCTTTAGATTTTAAGATAAAAATTTAAAAGGTATTATGTTTTTTTCAGGAAGCATTTAAATATAAAGTGGTTGATTGACTAACATTTTTAGTGCACCGATTTGGGAGCATGGAGGTTAAGGAGTGTGGGTGGGAATGGGGAAGGATTTCATGGCCCCACATCATGTTGTCATCACCATCCCGGGGTGACCAGTCCTCCCATTCACCACAGCCAGTGCCACCGCCTGTGATTGTTTTGTGTTCTGTAGATTACACACACATCATCCCACGTGATCCTCACAATGACGCTATGATGGAAGACAGGTTGATGTTGTTATCACCATTTTATACAAAGAAATTGAGTGTTCACATGACTGGGGTTAGCAGGCAGTGAGGAGAGCAGCTGGTATAGAAACCTGTCTTCTTTTTTTTTTTTTTTTTTTTTTTTTTTTTTTTTGAGACAGAGTTCTTACTCTGTCTCCCAGGCTGGAGTGCAGTGGCACGATTTCAGCTCACTGCAACCTCTGCCTCCTGGACTCAAGTGATCCTCCCTCCTCAGCCCCCTGAGTAGCTGGGACTATAGGTGCACGCCAACATGCGCAGCTAATTTTTGTATTTTGGGTAGAGACAGGGTTTCACCATGTTGGCCAGGCTGGTCTCGAACTCCTGCTCTCAAATGATCCACCCGCCTCGGCCTCCTAAAGTGCTGCGATTACAAGCGTGAGCCACCATGCCCAGCAAGAACCCTGTCTTCTAAACATATTAACTACTTTTATTTTTTATTTTAGTGTGATGCATAAGAGGAAACAAATGTATAAATTATCAAACTCTCAATAAAGGTTTATTTTATTATAGCAGGAAGAGTTTGAAAAATTTGAATCATTTAAAGAATATTGAACTGTAGAGACCAATATGAGTTTGAGTTAAATATGAGTTTGAGGGCCCATATTCGATGACTCACAGATGCTGTTTGTATATAGTTTTATCAAAGGAGAGGGGATCTTGGTGCTGGATAGTATTTTTAGGTTTGATTGACAACGTGCAGTTGCCTTCCATAAAGCCCTACACTCCTACCAAAAGTACATTCAGTTTTTCAAATAAAACAAACTGTCTCCGCCACATGTGGTTTTGCCCTTTTGGTTCAGCAGCCTTGTAATCTGTTGACAGCCCCTGGTTTCCATAAGGTCGACACCCAGCATTTGCAGGCTCTGGGACAAGAGGACAAAAGGAGATCTTGGGCTGGGCCAGGATTAGGGTGAGGGGAGTGAGGCAACATTTATAATAAATAAAGACAAGATCAGTGACAGTATTGTGCAAGCCGTATTGGAGCTTAAAGTGAAAGGAAAAAACACCGATCCTATCTTTTATTTATTTATTTATTTATTTATTTAGTAACTCTGTCACCCCAGGCTGGAGTGCAGTGGTGCGATCTCAGCTCACTGCATCCTTGACCTCTCTGGGCTCAAGTGATCCTCCCATCTCAGCCTCCCTAGTAGCTGGCACTACAGGCACATGCCACCACACTCAGTTAATTTTTGTATTTTTTTGTACAGATGGAGTTTTGCCCTATTGCCTAGGCTAGTCTCAAACTCCTGGGCTCAAGCGATTCTCCTTGAGGGCAGGGTGGTATTGCCCTTCAAACCTAAAAATGCACACACTCTTTGTCCAGCAACCCTACTACTGGTAGTACTTCTATGGCTGGACTCATGAATGTCTTTCAAGATATATGGACAAAGGTATTTACTACTAGGTTGCTCTAACAGCCCTCAAGAAAGGTTCACTCCCACCACGATGAGGGCCATGCCTGTTTCCCCAACACCCTTGCATGCAGTGAATATTACAGAAGTGAAAAAGGAAAATGTATTATTCCAATAGCAATAAAATATAGAATAACTAGGAATAAACCTGATAAATATGTGCTATCTGTGTGAAGAAAACTTTAGCATGCTCCAGAGGGACCCAAAGGAAGACTTGACCAAATCAAAATTTTGCCAGTTTCTTGCATGGGAACTTGTAGCATGGTGAAAATATTCATTCTCAGTCAAGCTATGATTTGAACATGACCCAATAAAAATACCCACAGACTTTTTTAGTGGAGCAAGGGGAATTTACTGAGCTGATTTTTAAAGATCATTTAGAAAAACGAATTAGGAAAATTCAAAATATAAACAGGAATATAGGAAGATTTGACAAGTAGTTTAACCAGATATTAAAACATAATATGAAATTAAAATTGTTTGAAGTAGTGTTTTATACAAATAGATTAATGGATCACAGTCATAAACTCATATTTGGGAATATAATAAATGATAAGTGGCATATGATATATGGCATCTCAAATCAATGAGGAAAAATGGATAAACCCCTGTGGTGGGGGGGTGTTCAATTCATATTGCACACTTTACATGGGATAAATTCCAAATCGATAAAAGATTTATATGCAAAAAATGAAATATGTATTATGGGAATTCACAAGAGAATTGTTTTATAATCCCAGGTCTTTCTGCTATGACACAAAACTCAGAAGCCATTGAAAGCAAGATTGGTAAATTCAGCTTCATTTAAAAAGTTTTTCATGGAATCACTTGAACCCAGGAGGTAGAGTTTGCAGTGAGCGGGGATAGCACCACCGCACTCCAGCCTGGGCAACAGAGAGAGACTTTGTCTTAAAAAAAAAAAAAAAATTTTTTTTTTCATGGCAAAACCCACTATATGCAAAGTCAAAAGGCAAGCAACAAATTGGGGGCAGATACATCAAAAACTAAATTTCCTAATATGTAAAGAGTTCTTACAAACCAATAGAAAAAAAGCCCAATGACTAAATAGGACACGAGGCAAAGATAATGGACAGACAGTTCACAGACAAGGAGACACAGCATTTAAATATGAAATGTTTAATAAGAAAAAATACAAATTACATAATAAGATAAATATAAGTTACCATGTCACAGGGATCTTTTTTTTTCCACTGAGAATTGTCAGAGTATGGGAAAAGAAATAACTTTATACATCACTGATGGCAGATAAATCCATAATACTCTATGGGGGAAATAGCACTAGCTGAAAAAATTACAATGCACACATACATATGTGTGTGATATATATATATATATATATATATATATTTACATCTCTGATTTTTTATTTATTTACTTTTTGTGGGTACATAGTAGGTGTATATATTTATAGGGTACATGAGATGTTTTGATACAGGCACACAATGCATATATTTTTAACCCAGCAATTCCACATCTAGGAATTTATTTTGTATATGTACTATAAGCGCACACATGCAAAATCATGTAGGAATGAGATTTTTCACTAAAAGATTACTTGTAAGAGCAAAAGTTTGCATACTCCATGGTATATCACACAATGGATCTGTAGAAAAGAATGAGAAAGCACTCTGTGTACTGCTATGAAATGGTCTCTTAAGAAAAGTATACTGTTTTGTTTTGTTTTTTTGCTTTTTGAGACGGAGTTTAGCTCTTGTTGCCCAGGCTGGAGTGCAGTGGCGCAATCTCGGCTCACTGCAACCTTCGCCTCCCAGGTTCAAGAGATTCTTCCGCCTCAGCCTCCCGAGTAGCTGGGATTACAGGCATGCACCACCACACCGGACTAATTTTTTATATTTTTAGCAGAGATGGGGTTTCATCATGTTGGCCAGGCTGGTCTCAAACTCCTGACCTCAAGTGATCCGCCTACCTTGGCCTCCCAAAGTGCGGGGATAACAGGCGTGAGCCACTGCCCCTGGCCGAAAAGTATACTGTTAATTGATAAAAATTGATTCTAAAAAGCTAGGTGTGTAATGTTATGCTGACATTTGTGTAGAAGAGGAGGGAAATATATAGACCTGTTCACTTTTGTATGAATTCTTTGATTGTTAATGCATATACACACAAAAAGATAATACTGATTTCCTCTAAGGAAATAAATGTAGGAGGTAGAGGATAGGGCTAGGATGTAGACTTTTCACTGAATACACATTTGTACCTTTTGACTTTTGAACGTTGTTTGCCCTTCTCAAAAATAAATAAATTAAAAATCCAAATTTTAAAATAATTCAATAGGTGAAAATATTCCTGGTTTTTATTTGTGTAATTCTAATGCTGAATTAAAGTGTGTTTTCAAATATTGGTTAGCCTTTTACACTTTTAAGGCAATTGCCTATTCATATATTTTTCCCGTTTAAAAATTATTTTGGGGTGGGGAGTGTTTTGCAAATTTAAGGAAATTAGCCCTTTGTCTTAAGGGTCACAGAAATTTTGTTCCAGTTTGTCTTTTGACTTTGTTTATGCTGCTTTTTGCCACCTAGTATTTTTATATTTGCTCAATGTATTTTTCTTCTTTTCCCTTCCCTTCTTCCTTTCTTTCTTTATTTCTGTGTGTTTTTTTTTAGAGGGTGGAAATGACTTTTTCATTGTGATCACTGATAAGACGACTCTAGATCTAAGACAGTCCATTATTATTTTATTTTATTTCATTTTTGAGACAGTGGCTTGCTCTGTTGCCCAGGCTAGAGTGCAGTGGCCCTATCATGGCTCACTGCAAACCTCCCCATTTCCAGCTCAAGCGATCTTCCCACCTCAGCCTCCTGAGTAGCCAGGACCACAAGCACTGGCTAATTTTGAGGGGGTTTTTTTGTTTTTGTTTGTTTGTTTGTTTGTTTGTTTGTTTGTTTAAGAGAGACCGAGTTTTACTATGTTGCCCAGGCTGGTCTCAAACTTCTCGGCTCAAGCGATCCATCTGCCTCGGCCTCTCAGAGTGCTGGGATTATAGGCCTGAGCCATCACGCCTGGCCGACATCCAATTATTAATGCCTTTGGGTGATTTGGAAAACGACAGGCTGCTTATAAAGTCTGTTTGAAGACAGTAAAAACTGGGACAAACTCATTTTAGCAGTGACCTAGAGGATCCTCCCCGAGGGCAAGGGAAGAGGGGTTTGGGCAGGGCTGAGTGGGCGTTGTGATGGGTCTTTGATGAGCCTCTCCTCTCTCCACTCCAGCGGAGCTCCCTGGGTCCTCAGCAGTGAGGCTGGCCTCCCTGCGTGACCTGCCCGCCCAGCTCCTGGAGCTGTACCAGCAGGGCTTCTCGCTGGCGGCCCTGCACCCCTTCGTGCAGCCCACCCATGAGCGGGAGAAGACGCCCCTGGAGCACATCTTTAGAGCCATCCTGATCAAGAAAACCGACAGGTAAGGCCTCCACGGGTGAATGGGTAGCATCCTGTTGCGGCTAAGTTATGCTCAATAGAGGAGGGGAAGTGAGAGGATGGGGTTGGGGGTTGAAATTTGCATGCTGTCCTCAGGGCCTCAGCCCTCAGACAGGTGAGGCAAACAGTTAGACAACCAGAGAGGTTTCTTTCCTAGCATCCTGCGATGAAAAACAAATGCATGTCCAACTGCAAGTAGAGAGTTCCATTTTACATTCTTTCCCTCTTTTAACTCACTGGATTAAACTCAGCTAGAAAAATGTCTCCTCAGAAGAAGCATATGCCCAGAATGATGTGGCTAGTAAAAGTGCAATACTTTTAAACTGAAAGGCATGACTGGAAAACAAATAATTTTGTTTAGAGGCTATAGACAAACTTAATGTCTTCCCGCAAAGTCTAGAAATACTTTAACATTTTGCGCCTACCATAAATTCTGTCAATCACTTGACAGTTAAAAAAATACAAAAAATAAACACCACCTAAATAAAATGCTATAATTGGTTTGGTCTTGATTTAGATTTTCAGGGCTTGGGGATGTTTTTCAGTTTGGCTTGCCCAGTTGAATGCTTATGCCTATATTTCAGTTGAGCCTAATTAAGAAAAGAGAAGTGGGGTTAGTCTTTCAAAAGGAACAATATTAATTTTTTTAAAAAAAAAAAACAGTGAGGATGGGATGGAGAGAGCAGTATGTTTTTCCTGCTTTCATAAAAATAAAAATTAAAATGAAGTCTGGGAAAGGAAATCAGATTTGTCTTTTGGCCAACTATCATAGAAGGAATGACAGCATGTGCCACATTTTAAAAAGGGAGTACAGAGCAGCTCCTCCTTGTTCTCTCCTTTTAAAGTCACTTTGCAGGTAGACAAAGCATTTGGCTGGTGTGCTCATAAGGGACAGCTGTGAGGCATGAGGTTGCGTGTCTAAGACTGACTCCTCTTTCCTTTCCTTTCCTTTATTTCTTCATGGTTGATCAAGCTCTGGGGCTCTTACTCTACATCAACACACATTACGTCAACACACATTAGAATTCAAAGTGAAAGGTGGTGCATGTTTTTGCTCGAACCCAGAATTCACACATGTTTTGGTAGGGCAAGACTTTTCTCAGTGTCTGCCTTTTATGTGTATTAGTTTGTCTTTCTCTCTCTCTCTCTTTTTTTTTTCTGTAGAAACAAGGTCTCGCTATGTTGCCTAGGCTGATCTTGAAATCCTGGCCTCAAGCGATCCTCCCACCTTGGCCTCCCAAACCACTGGGATTATGGGTGTGAGCCACTGAGCCTGGCTGCATATTGGTTTCTTTTCTTTTCTTTTTTATTTCCTTGAGATGGGGTCTCACTCTGTCACCCAGGCTGGAGCACAGTGGCATGATCTCAGCTCACTGCAACCTTTGCCTCTCAGGCTTAAGCCATCCTCCCACCTCAGCCTCCCAGGTAACTGGGACTACAGGTGCACGCCACCATGCCTGGCTAATTTTTTTATTTTGGGTAGAGACCGGGTTTCGCCATGTTGCCTAGACTGGTCTGGAACTTCTGGGCTCAAGAGAGTTTCCCACATAGGCCTCTCAAAGTGCTGGGATTAGAGGTGTGAGCCACCACGCCCAGTCCATTATTGGTTCCTTTAGGTTGATTGGCTGTTGATCATTATCTGGGTCAATCATGAGAAGATTGGGGGCCACAGTGGTTTTGAGTGACACTGACACATAGGATATGTATAATGACAGTAGCTTATATTTAGTGAGCACTCACTGTATGTGAGGCTTGATCATTATCATTTCATCTGTATCATATGGCTATGAAATAAGTGTCATCTTTGTTCCCATTTTAAAGGTGAGAAAACTGAGACACAAATGTTGAGTTGTCAAGGTCACACGGATGGCAGCAAGCAGAGTTCTGCCTTGCTCCCAGGAAGGCTGTCTCCCGTACCTGCATTCTTAATCCTGGCATGAAGCACGTGCTGAGTTCCTTTACCCACAATTCTTGTGGAGAACCACTTTAGGAAAAGAAAGTGGGGGAGGATATCTTTGATCTTCCATAAAGAAGTACTTTTATTACTCAACCTTTCCCCCATTTTACCCCTCAGTAGTCAGTAAGTAAATCAGAATTTCAGCAAGGAAACAAAACAGACAAATGAGTTGTATGGATTCTATAAGGCATCCACTGGGCTCCAGGGATTCTATTCTGCAGATTATCCGAGTGGCCTTAGTGTTTAAAGGAGACAAGTCCATTTGGGTCAGATCACTGGCACATCCTTCAGTGTGATCTGCCATAGGCGGTGACATGAGCTCAGGACTTGGCCTGAGCTTAACTCAAAAAGTGAAGGTGTATCTTTTTTTTTTTTTCTCCCTGCTGTGGAGCAACACTTCTCAAACTTTAATGTGCTTGTGAGTCTCCTGGGGATATGGTTAAAGAGCAGAGTCTGATATAGCAGGTCTCAGGGGAGGCCTGGGACTCTACATTTCTAACTTGTTTCCAGATGGGGCAGATGCTGATGGTCCGTGGCACGCACTTTGAGTAGCAAGTGTGTGGAGGACCTAATTCTTGCCTGGCTTCATGCCTGGCACTCAGCAACACTATTGGGGCTTGCCACTTTACTCCTAGGAGAGCTGTAAGCACCAGGCTAGGTAAGAAAGAACACAGAACTCGTGGCCAGGAGGCCTGCGTTCTAGGCTGCACTTGGCTACTAGTAAGCAGTGTCGTGCAAGGGGCACATCGATGGATCTTTCTCGGCCTCCGTATTCTAGCTGCTACAATGAGGGGCTGTTACTACATGATTTGCAAGGCTTGCACCAAACTCTAAGTTATCTGATGGGACAAGATGGGTGAGGAAGCCCGTCTTCAGAAATAAGAACCACCACTTTGGGGAATAGTGCATTATAAGCCAGCAGTGAAGCTGGGGGCTCAGTAGGGGTTGTTTACTTCCACTAACGTAGCATGAACAAATGAACTTACTTTCCAGAAGACAAAAATGAGCAAACTGTTGAGAGGAATGAGACTTTGTATGCAGGAGGGTTTTCAAGAAAGGGAAGTTGGCAGTCTCCTTGGGTTTGAGCTGACTTTCATCCAGAGTTCCTGAACTGCCTGCCTGATGAACTTAATGAACATTTCAACTCCTGGACAAGCAGATCCAGAGAAGGAAATTCCTTAGGTAACTTTGTGTTGAGTCTTTGGAACTGCCTTTTTTAAAAAAATGCAAAAGTTTGATAATTTATCATGTAAAATGAGGCAAAAATGATCAAGAGGATCATCCCCACTTCTAGCCCCAATGGTATTAGGTGGGAGGAGTGGTGGAGGTTGGAAGCAGTCATTGTAAAATATAATTTTAAAGTACAGGAATTTTCTCTCCTAGCAAATGCAATAACTGCATTTTTTTTGTATTATGGGGAAAAGACTCCAACGATCTTAAAAATAAGCAAACAAAAAAACATCAAGGCCAGGTGCAGTGGCTCACACCTATAATCCCAGCACTTTGGGAGACCAAGGCAGAAGATTCTCTTGAGCTCAGAAGTTCCAGACCAGCCTGGGCAAAGTAGAGAGACCTAGTAGCTACTAAAAATTTTAAAAATTAGCTGGGTGTAGTGGCGCACGCCTGTAGTCCCAGCTACCCGGGAGGCTGAGGTGGGAGGATTACTTGAGCCCACGAGCTGGAGGCTCCTGGGATGTGACTGTGTTATTGCACTTCAGCCTGGGTGACAGAATGAGATCCTGTCTCAAGAAACAACAACAACAAAAAAAAAACGGACTTTTTCTTTATCAATAGGGAGTTTAAGTAGTAAAAACAAAACAAAGGAAGACTTTTGTGATTAATTTTTAATTCAGACAGTTAAAGTGATACTTTTCACAAAGTCTGCCAAAGTTCTGACAGTTATAGATGCTGTTAAATGAAATGAGTTAGCTTTTAAAAGAGAAAGAAATACTTGGTTAATATTTTTCAAGTGGAGCACATTGAAAGAGATGTAGATACACATTCTAGATTATTGTTGACCCAAGTGAACTTCATTACCAAGAATCACCATGAGATGACTCTGTGAAACTTCGATATCAACCTAATGTGTTTGGAGGGTTCACATAAAATTTTTAACAAATAACTGGGCTTTGGGATATGCCAGAAACACCAGACGGAACCCCTCAAGCCTGCATTTATCCCCTCACTCATTCACTAACACTTGCTGAGTGAGTACTCTTTTCAGAGTATTGTGCTAGGAGCTCTATGTGGTGGGAAGTTAGAGAGTGCAAATGCCAGGCTCAGTTGAATGTGGAGCCTGCCTTCCAAGCACTTGCAGTCTAATTAAGTAAATGAGATATGTGCCTCATGCCACAGGAGTTTGGGAGAAGGAGATGCCACCTCTCACTGGAAGGGAAACCAAGGAAATGTTTCTGGAGGGGCAGCTTTTAACTTGGGCCTGATTTCTTTTGGGCAAACATGGGGAGTAATGAGCATGAGGCAGGAAGAGTTTATTTAAATCTCCTAATGAAATGTTTTCTAGTAGTATTTGAGTAATTGGAGAGCATCGTTGACAGTCTAACTAAATTATTAATGAGTCATTCCAAAAGTAGTTCTCAAGTGCAGTAACATTCCTCTGAGCTCACTGCCATTTTGACAGATTTCACTTACATCCCTGAAAAATTACCTGATCTTTTCTTCTGAAAATTCTAATAACTGCCATTTCATTTTACCATGGCAGGCCTAGCCACACATCTAACTGTAAACTGTTCTTAATTCTAAGTGTATTGAATTTAGTCAAGTCAGTTACTTTGACTCAAGTTACTTTGACTCAAGAATGAATAGCTGAATATGAAATACTTAGTGAATAAGTAGAAAGAGAGTTTGTACTTCATTTTCTCAACTCTTTCTTTGGAACACTTAGTGATTTTTAATAGACAATATAGTTGCACTCACTCTGAATTCTAAGTATAGTTAAGTGATCCTTCATTTTTTTCAAGTAGTTTTCCTTAGAATGAGTTGCTAAAGATCTTGAAACTTGATGGCTAACAGAAGTCAGTTATTAAAACGTCACTTCTGATGTTTCATGAGTGTGGGTTTAATTCTAGGTTGTTTTATGGTTATAGATGTAACTGCAGTACAAAAATGCATGGTGCTGGCCATTTTTCAGCTGTTGAATTGTCGTTGTACACACATGGAGCTAGGGGCGTCATTGGTGTGTTTTTCATCATGAATGAGTTGAAGTCCTTTGGCGACAGCTTCCGTAGAGTAATGCCTTACATGGTACAGGGACCAGCATACTAGGGAGCTCTGTGGACATTTATCAGGCACCTTTTGGCCTAGGATTAGGGTGGGGGCACACAGAGGACCTGTAGTTAATGCAGAGGCTGCAATTCTAAAATTCTTGTGGAAGGTGGAAAATGTGTACAATCAAAGTTACCCTTGAAAATCTTTTGAAGTGCATATAAAATGTAATACTGTGGCATCTCTCTACCTGACCAATGCATGTCTTCCTTCAGGACTAGATCAGATTGCTTTTCCAACAGTGAACCCCAAGGGGAGGTAAGCTGGTTTGGGTTTATAGTGAGTACTCATTGGAATCACACCTAGGATGGTGAAATTTTTGCACCTAGGGAAGCATTTGTGGGAATTGGCATTGAGGGAACAGGAACTCCACGCCTCCCTTCTCGAGTTCATTCTGGGGCACATCTGCCTATTGAATAGAATAACTGGCACTGTTTTAAGTGGTAAACATTTATCCCTTTTGTTTGGATTTTTCTAAGGTAAATATGTATATGTAATTTCACTATGCAAAGATGACTCTAAGGAGCTCCTAGATCTCAAGAAACTTATCTATCTACTAGGGAGCTGCAAAATATATGTGCAAATTATATAATTGCCCAGGTAAGTCTACAGGTCTTGGTTTGCATCTCTAACCTGGAATTTGTTAATGAGAGTGCTTTAGAAGAGGAGGCTCTGCGGCTGTCATTTGCTCTAGGTTGGGCATGATGGGTAGACTGGAATAGGGAGTGAAAAAGTGGGAAGGGCCTTCCCACTATTGACATTGTGGAACAAGTGGAACGTGGTGTCCAAAGAGAAACAGTGGGAGGGCAGGCATGAGAAGCCTGGAGGAGGCTGTGTGTGGTGCTGTAATGAGCCCCTCAGGCCAGGGCCCACTTCTCTAGCTGCTGACTTAGCCAAGGCTACTGCAGTCCTTGTTCTAGAACAGATTCCTCCAGTGATTCTTAGAAGAGATGCAGTGGGTTGTTGAGAGTTACGGTGAGCTGCTTCATCCCAAATTGACCATATGCTTGGAGTCTGTGAAATGTTTCCTCTTAGGCCATATCAGCAAGCTGTACTCCCAAGTGCTTACGAGCAACACAGATGACTGAATGAGTCAGCCTTGTCCACCCAGGGTCAAGTGATGCAAGAGAAACGATTCTTTTGGCTTTTGCTGTTTTATTTCCAGGAAAGTAAATCTCAGAGAATGCTCATCCCTTACCCTTTGTTTCTCCTCTTGAGACCCAGAATCTAAAATTCTGAAGACTCTGTCTTTATTCTAAGACAGGGCTTGCAAGCTCAGATCCCTACAGTGGCCTGGCTCATTGAATGGGGACTCTTGGGAAGTAGTGAGTCAATGCCTTAGCTCTGTCCTATGGTTATCAGGTGTTGCCAGGTCTTGTACTTTTTTCAAGAAAAGCCAGAAATCTGGATTTTTATGTGAAAACTTCTCTTTTAGCCTCACTTTTCCAAAGTAGGATTGTTTGTCCCTAACCCATGCCACTGGCTGCCATCTTGCAGCCTCTAAGATTTCTGTGTAGTGCTTACATCAGTAGAGGTAATCACACACCCTTTGAGCTGCTTATCCTGCCTTCGACACACAGCAATTGCTGGAATCTCAGTCTCTCCTGTTATTGTGTTTTAGATGTCTGCCCACCTCCACTCCCTTTGCTGAATCCTCTTCCATCTTTGGATTCCCATTGCTTGCTCAGAGTGCCAGGCCTTGAATAGATATTGCTCAATAGATTTTGCATGAATTGAGTGGGATAAAACCATGCCCTGGAATTTTGCTACAATCTTTTACTAAAGGACCATAAATTCATTATGAGATAGATCTGTCTTTGGTTTACGTATTTATCAGTACCAAAAGTATATCTTAATAATGCAGCCACATAGCACAGACCTCAAGTAATGGAACAGACACACACACACACACACACACACACACACACACACACGATCCTTTCATTGCCAAAATAACAGTGATTTGCCACAAGAATAGATGTCCATTATTTTTCACTCTTCTTTTTCTTTTAAAAGACATTCAAAGGATGGCCTTCAAAGAAAGGAAATCTTTGCGGACCATAAGTGAAGTACAAATGCATTATGTTATCTTTTTTTTATAGCCTACAAGATAATATGAACATTTTCTTTGGCATTTGAAAAGGGCAAAATTGGGAAAGTACAAAATTATACTGAAACTAAAAAGAAAATCCTTTAAAAAATTACAGTCGAAAGTGTCCTCTTTAAGTGGCCTTGTGTCTTTTCATGTCTAATTTTTACCAATTACCTTGACTCTTGGGAGAATTATAGGGCTTCTAGAAAGAGGTTTCATAATTAAGCGAAATACACAGGGGGTGGTAGCGCCTACTGGGGTGTGCCCTAGAAAATGTTCACACGCGAGGCCGAGGATCAGCCCTAGAGTGCGCTGATTGTTGGAATCACACGTGGGGAAGAAAGTAACGGTGGGTTTAGCACTGATTGATGCGTGCTACTGTGATGGGAAACTGCAGCCGCCGGTTTATTCCCAGAGAGCAGACATTGAGGAAGGTGAATTCAGAGCTCTTGCTTAAGGCAGAGCGGGGAATGAGAAGGTGTTTGTTTAGCATGTGGGTCGTTATTTTGGATTCCGATTTAGGTGGGGCGAACACCCGTTGCTGGCAGCTGCCCCTCGTTTCTGGTGTGGTATCTTTCCTCATCAGTTTTCTCTAGCTTCCTGAGGGGTGTGGAGGATTTGATTAGCTCTCCGGGCTGCCACCGTACCCCCTGAGGAGCTGTCCAGCATCACCAAGACTACCTTAATTTATTCCTCTTATTTTCCCATCTCACTCTGGAGTGACACCCTTTTCTGGTGTGTTGAAGTTTCAGGATTCACCGTTAATTATTTGTTTGCACTTTTCAATCTCATATGCCAGCGTAAAGCCACCTTCTCTTGGGGGAAAGAATTTTTTCCAATCCACACTCCTAAATGGCTTGCCGAGTTACTCTTGTTCTCTTCCTCCAAAGCATTGGCCTTTACCCCGGTGGAGAGAACAAGAAGGAGACGTGCATGGTTGGTGTGAGAGCTCATTTTCCCCACTCCTGTTCTATAGCTGCCCTTGATTGGCCTGTGTCTTTCCTCACATTTTATTTATTTTTTGTTTGTTTGTTTCTTCTGAGAGAGAGAATTAGCACACTAGTGATTTCCACCCTCTCCCCAGAACTATTTTGAAATGACAGAGAACAGTGAGCAGGTACCCAAACAAATGCACAAGCACTGAATTTCTTTGAAATTTCCTGTTAATCTTAAAACTTGGGTGAATACTTCAGTACCATGAAATGTCTGTATTTGTTTTTAAATAAAATAGAGGCCCCCTCTTCCCACATGTACATACAATCTTTAAGTAAAAATTGACTCTCTAGGAAGATTTATTTGGTAGCATTGCAAGGTAGACTACAGGGACATGATTTTGAGAATCGTATGCATAAGTGTAGGTAATTTAGTTGCAAATAATTTTACTAAAGCGTTGGAGTTTTCTATTTATATGTCTGTCTCATATTAAATATAGGAACTCAGATTGTCTTACTTTAAATCTTTGTGGGAGTCTTGTATTGAATAGTCTACCTATTCAACTCTGTTGAATTGAAAATTGACATTTTTTCCTCTTTGTCAATCAGAAGTAACTTAGATTTTTTTTGTGTGTTTTTCAAGCTGAAAAAGATATAATGGGCATTACCAGTGATGGGTCCTGGATGAGACTAGTCATTGAGTTTTACACTTTTAGATATGAATGCAGAAGTAGGTGAGATATAATGTTTAGATGTATATAAGTACATTATTAATGATTTAAATGTTCATGAGATTTTTATATAATGATTGTCTCTAAAATCTGTCCAAATTTTATATTTTAAATGATTGAAAGATGGAACCATTTACAAAGAGGTAAATGCTATAAAGATGCTATAAGTATATGAAAATATGATAAATATGCTATAAATATGAATACATCATTTCATTCACTTCCTATCATCGACCATGAGTTGGAACTTAAAATGGCTACAAAGACTTTAAAAACCAAATTAGCAGCTTGTATTCACATAACACCTGTTTCTGAGAGTCTGAGAGCACTTTGCTTTGTTCCTGTATGTTTTCGGTATTATAATTAATTCTCATTATGTCCTCATGATGGTTGTTTCTGTTGTTAATATTTGTCGAAAACATTACTGTGCTTTCAGCAGAGGTTTTAGACATACACTGTTTTGTAACCAAAAGATACCATGACCTTCCCTCATTCCCCACTTCTCATTTTATGTCTAGGAAAATGAGGCTGAAGAAGTCATTAACGACTTCTCAGTCCGAAGTTTGGAGTGGGTAATGGGAGTGTGTGGTGAATATAGAACTCAAGTTCCATCTTGAGACTCATGGCACAGAAATACATCATCTTTCAACTCAGAGGCCCCAGAGCTTATAGAAACATCCTCAGAGAATTCTGAGAATTTTCTGGGCTTTGTAACATCCCCAGTCCCCATGGCTACACTGTGGGACCAGAAGCTTTGCTAATTCCCCAGCTGGTTTCAGAACATAGGGCTACAACTGCAAACCACTTAGAGCTCCCCAAATGGCCCCATTCAGCAGGCTGGCTGGGTCTTTTCAGTTTCTGCACCAAATGATTATATGCAAATAATGGTTCTACGATTATCAGTGTGTTATTTTCTCTCTGCTCCCTAAAAACAAAATAAAAATGTATTTATTACGTGTCTTTTGGGTCCGCTAAGGTAGCAGTCTTTGTTAGAGAGAATGAGATGGACACGATTCCTGTTCGTGGGGAATTTGTAATATATTGCTATAGTTTAAGTCTCCAAAATTACTCCATCAAGCAACCTGGATCTCTTAGGAACATAATGCCCCCTTTTCTTGTAAAGAACATTTATGTGTTTGCAGGTACTTCTTCATATGATTTCTCATTTTTGATAATAGCCATCATAGCTACCATTTATTTACTGCTGTGGCTGGCTGGAGTCCTTGTTCATTGCTTCATGATATATATTATCTTTATTCCCCTAAGCCAAGATGAAGGAAATGAGACTCAGAGTGGTACTTGTCCAAGCCAGTGTCCACACGTTTCATGAGTGGAGAAACCGGTTTTCACATTGGCACCTGTCTTCTAATAGCATTCCTCTTTAATTGTTTAGCTGTGAGGGTTAAGGTAGGTAAGGATAGAATTTCTCAGCCTTGGTACTATTGACATTTTGGATCAGACAATTGTGTGTGGGACTGTCCTGTACATTGTAGGATATTTAGTAGACTCTCTGGTGTCTACCCACAAGATTCTACCAGCAAACCCCCCATCCCTGCAGTTGTGACAGATTCCAGACATTGCCTAATGTCTGTGGAAGGACAAAACTGCCCCGATTTGAGAACCAGTGGGTTAGTTAGGGAGTAAGACAGGGAGTCTAACTTTTTTTTTTTTTGAGACAGAGTCTCGCTCTGTCACCCAGGCTGGAGTGCAGTGGCGTGATCTTGGTTCACTGCAAGCTCTGCCTCCTGGGTTCTCGCCATTCTCCTGCCTCAGCCTCCCAAGGAGCTGGGACTACAGGCACCAACCACCATGCCCGGCTAATTTTTTTTGTATTTTTTGTAGAGATGGGGTTTCACTGTGTTAGCCAGGATGGTCTCGATCTCCTGACCTCATGATCCACCCACTTCGGCCTCCCAAAGTGCTGGGATTACAGGCGTGAGCCACTGCACCCAGCCAGGAGTCTAACTTTTATTTTCTTCTAGGTAGCCACCTTTGCCAAGAGCACTTATTAAGTTAACCTAACTTTGCCATTGAATAAATGCCACCTTTATTATAGTTAGGATTTCTATATGTACATCCCAATCTATTCCTGATTCTTTATTGTTTCTTTGATCTACTTATTGATTTTTGTGCCAGAACCATGTTATTTTGATGATAATAAATTTGTAATGTATGTTAACATCCAGTAGGGCACTATTCTTTTTTTTTTTTAGACGGAGTCTCGCTTTGTCACCAGGCTGGAGTGCAGTGGCACAATCTCGGCTCACTGCAACTTCCGCCTCCCGGGTTCAAGTGATTCTCCTGCCTCAGCCTCCTGAGTAGCTGGGATTACAGGCACGTGCCACCACGCCCAGCTAATTTTTTTGTATTTTTAGTAGAAACGGGGTTTCACCATGTTGGCCAGGATGGTCTCCATCTCCTGACCTCATGATCCACCCGCCTCAGCCTCCCAAAGTGCTGGGATTACAGGCGTGAGCCACCACACCCGGCCAGGGCACTATTCTTTTTTAGGATCTTGATAACTTTTGTACGTTGATTTTTCCATGTAAAGCCTGAAATAATTTCTTCAGTTCCTGGTAAACTCTGTTGAAATTGTAGTTACATTAACACACTAATTTAAGAAGAATTTCCACCTTGTGTTTTCAAGAACATAATGTTCAATATTATTATTGGAGGTAAATTTTATTTGAGAGCTTCATAATAATTCTGGAAATTCTATGTACTATCTAAACAGTGGTTACCAAAGTGGGGTAGACATATTTAATGTTGAAGGAGAACTGAGGTGTCTATTTTTATATATTTTATTGAAAAATTAGGAGAGAGATGATGTGTCATAATATTTAGCATTCAGGTTGAAGGTGGTGTCCTGGCTTGGTGTGTATGTCAGAGGTCACATGTGCTGTATGGAGCAGGAGGGGCCTGCAGAAGGGCTGGGTTCAGGGAAGCACTTTCAGCTGAGATCTCAGTAAGGTGAATTAGTGGATCGCTTTTTGTAATTTTAGCTAAATTAACTCTCATGAAATATACACATGGCTTTAAAAAATTTCTATGAAGTGATTGCAGATTGAAGAGAATACCCGTAATGTAAATGTAAAATCCTTCTCTCTCTCATGTGGAAATGGCTACACTGACCCGTCTCTGCCCATAAGAGCTTTGTGGGACGCAGTATGAGATTAAAACACCAATGTTGGGCTGGGCGTGGTGGCTCACACCTGTAATCCCAGCACTTTGGGAGGCCGAGGCGGGCGGATCACGAAGTCAAGGGATCGAGACCATCCTGGCCAACATGGTGAAACCCTGTCTCTACTAAAAATACAAAAATTAGCTGGGCATGGTGGCATGCACCTGTAGTCCCAGCTACTCCGGGGGCTGAGGCAGGAGAATCACTTGAACCCGGGAGGTGGAGATTGCAGTGAGCTGAGATTATGCCACTGCACCCCAGCCTGGGCGACAGAGTGAGACACCATCTCAAAAAGAAAAGAAAAAAAAAAAACACCAATACCAATGCCTACCTGTTCAGATCTGATTTAGAAATTTGGAATTATCAAGAAGACTTTTTGAAAAGTGTGTTATAGTTCCATTATGTTAACAATGAATCTCATTTCAAGTGTATATTTTGCCTTGAGGTATTAGCTATTAATAGTGTGAACTTACTGTGATCATCATTATAAAATATTGCTTATTTCATCATTTCTGTTGTTTACGATTTTCTGTTTTGTATGTTTTGTTTTATAACATATGTAAGATGTTAGTACAGTGGTACTCAGGAATTTTTTTCTGGCACGCTGTGTGATCAGAAAAATTTGGAGACAATTGATCCACTCAGCATTTGAGACACACTGGAACTGGTGGTTCCTGAAGCAGTCGGAATCTTGCTACTCAAAGTGTGGTCCATGCACCAGCAGCATCAGCATCACCTGGGAGCTCTTAGAGACACAGACTCTCAGGCCTACCCAGACCTGTCGAATCAGAGTCTGTACTTTAACGAGGTTCCAGATGAT
Organism: Homo sapiens; assembly: GCF_000001405.40. Taxonomy (NCBI): domain Eukaryota; kingdom Metazoa; phylum Chordata; class Mammalia; order Primates; family Hominidae; genus Homo; species Homo sapiens. The sequence continues at coordinate 16,420,838 of NC_000003.12, read as the reverse complement.
TTGCACATACATTAAAGTTTGAGAACAGAATTAAGCTGTCTTTTCCTGTAACACAGCCATTAGCCATGTATAGCCATTTAAATTGTTAAAATTAAGTAAGAATAAAAATTCAATTCTTCAGTTGCACTGGCTGAATTTCAGGTGCTCAGTAGCAAAACATGCTGTAGCAAAACCGTAGTGGCTATTTTACTGGACTGTACAGATATAGAACATTTCTATCACCTAACTCAGTTAGTGGGTATAGGTGGGATGATTTGGGAAGGAAGAAAACAATCAGCAAAGTTTAATGTGGAACATGTGCATTCAATGCACGTAGAGAAGAGGCTTCTTGTAACCTAACTGGACAGGTCCCATGAGAGAGTCTCATGAACACCATTCCTATGTAGCTATTATTGCTATTTTTGTTTGCAGATATGTGACTTTTCTGAACCAGTAAATGTCAGGCAGACTGCTTTTATTCAGTATTCTATTTGTGATAAAATATTATTAATTATGCATCGCTACTAATATTAGTTCTTTCTACATCTGTCAATGTAAAGGAGAGACTTGCAGCATTCCAGAGAAAGCAGGACCCTCCCCCAGCTCCCATTCTGTGTGGCTGCTCTCCTCTTTTCTGCAGCCCAGCTCACTGGGCATTGAAATTCTTTCACAACTCCATTAGACAGGGAGCACCGAGGCAAAGTTTGTCTGTTTTCCTCTTGGTCTTTACGGTTAACAGTGCACTCCTTGTAGTGCACAGTGGCTGATAGTTTGTCTCCCAGGGAGCCAGCCCTGACAGTAAGCAGCAAGACAGGATGATTTCTCTAGAATAAATAGCAGGGTCGGATAGTTAGATGTCCCTGGTAACATCTCCCCAGTAGGCATGCACAGCTCCCTGAGAGAGTGTGTAGTGGGAGTATCCTTTGCACATCTCCCCCATCATGTCCAGAATGTTCCCAGAGATACCAAACTTTTTTCAACAGAAGTGCTGAATGTCTTCTGCTAGAAGGGGAAGGGAACATCGGAAGAAAGGACAGTGACTCATCTGTGGGTAAATTCTTCTCCTTCGTTGTGCTTCCTACTTCACAACTCCCCTGGGGGACCCTATACTGAGGTGCTTTATTTAAAGATTTGCTAGGATTTGTTTACTTGACTATTTTTTCCTCAAGTATTTCTTCAGTTTTGCTATAGGGGAAACTTTTAACTCCAACAGGCTCATTGTATTTGTGTAGATTTGGTTCATTTTGCAAAGAGGGTTCATAAAATTATGGGAAACCTTTTCCCTATTGTACTGGGAGCATCTCTGGGAAGGTGCAGGTTATTCCCCTGCCCACAACCACCACCAATTGCAGGGACAAGAAATACTGCTCTTCCGTCCACCCACTCCCTTCGACAAAAATCTCAGTACAGTTCTCATTGCTGCTGTCCTAAAATATTCTTCCCCCCTTCCTACATCATACACACTGCCGCCTGCTTAATCTTCCCAGAATCTGTCATAGTATCTTTCTCTCTAAGGCCACCCATGACTCTTCTTTACTTCACAGTTAAGGCGAGTACCGTCCTTTCTCAGTAACTTTGTTTCCCACTATTCTGCCCCGGTCACTGCAGAGCCCACAGTCACAGACTCGTTCTAACAGTGGATTCACCCACACGTTCCCTAGGCTCATCATTACAGCCTCTGCTGAGTTACAGGCAACCCGCACCTTCACACACCTTTTGCCTAACTGACCTATTTATTATTTCCATCATATAACTCATGCTTTTCTCAATCTAGGTCTTCATTAATTTCTGTTCTCAGGCCTAGAATGTCCTTTTATCCATTGTCCCATGACTAACTTCCATACAGACTCAAAGACTCAGCCCACACACGCCTTGCTCCTTAAATTTTCCCCTGATCCTTGACACTGGAAATAATTGAATTCTCATAGCACTTCTGTTTATACACAGTCTATCTAGACTTGAGGGCAGGATCTAGACTTGAGGGCAGTGCCTTCAATCCCTCATATGTGGTCAGCAGTCAAGCAGGTGATGGATAGACAAATGAATAAGTGGAGATTTTTATTGTCATTAGTTATACGTAAGTTAATGAAACTAGGAATAGCTTTCTTTTTCTTTCATTGACAAATCTCTTTCAGATCTCTAGCTCATTTCTCTCCCTAATACTTCTTTAAAAAAAAAAAAATAAGCTGTTCTGATTATTCTATTTGAGCTTGGTGTTGCTTTGGGAAACAAAAATCTTAAAATTCCTTCCTGTTTCCCAGAGATAGAGAATTTGTTTTTGTCAACTGACGTTTAGTATTTTTTTTCCTGGCTGGAGAAGTGCCTAGTAATCTGTTTGTGTTTGTCACCATTTTTTTTTGATTATTTCTAAATGAAGCAAAAATAACCCTACTGATGAACTGCACATTCTCTCTCCTTTTCATAACTGCCTGTTGTCCTGGGAAAAAGAAGACATCGTTTAAACTCATGGTCTTTGAAGAGATCTAAGGGATTTATGAGCCAAAATGGGATTTATTACATGTTTATTATTTAAAAGTAATGTGTATCATAGTTTTTAGTCACATGCTTATTTTTTAGAAGTATAGTTTATAATAGTTTTTCGACAGGCAATTGTTTTTTAGTGGCCTCATTTTAGATCTTCCCATGAGACCAAAATGCATATTCAACTTACTACTTGGCACTTTGTCAGTGATTTGAGGGTTAACTGTTTTGCCTGTGATAATTACCAATATTGAAAGCACTCATAAGTGTTAGCAGTACTTGTTACAACAATGCTATTTTAATGTCTTAGGAAAGGGTTAGGTCCCACCACTGTGAGAGCAGAGTGAGGGGCTGTTTAAATGGGTCAGACAAGGCCGGGCATGGTTGCTCACACCTGTAATCCCAGAACTTTGGGATGCCGAGCTGGAGGTTCACTTGAGCCCAGGAATTTGAGACCAGCCTGGGCAACATGGCAAAACCCTGTCTCTATAAAAAATATAAATATTAGCTGGGTGTGGTGGTACACGCCTGTAGTCCCAGCTACTTAGGAGGGTGAGGTGGGAGGATTGCTTGAGCTGGAAGGCCAAAGCTGCAGGCTTTTATATGAGAACAAAATGTCTAGATTATGTGCTTTGGTTTCAGAAAGAATCTTTCACTCGTTGCCCATGGGCGTTTGAGTTTACAGCGCTAGTTTGGCCATCTGACCCTTCCCCTGCCTGGAGAATGACTACACCACCCTTGGCAGACGCTAGGGTGGTGGTGAGTGAAGATCTCCAGGTACATCTCTGAGTTTGCACACAGTTTTACAGTTGATGTTTGTGTATGAGTAATGAGGTCAACCTGACACAGAATAGGGGTCTTTTATCATGTTCTGAAACGACCCTGACATCTGTGGCCAGTTGTGTTGACATTTGTGTACAAGTGCTCAGTGTCCAAATCTACTTTCATATGTTTGTCTGACAAGCATTATTTAATGTGTGTGTGGTTTTTTTACTTGTTCACATTCAGTTTTGGCCCAAGTTCTAGATATAAGGTGTTAAAGAAATGAGGACTGTTTGGAATGACAGAGAAGTTCTGGAGGCCGGGTGCGGTGGCTGATGCCTGTATTCTCAGCACTTTAGGAGGCTGAGGCGGGAGGATCACTTGATGGCCTGGGCAACGTAGGGAGAACTCATCTTTACTAAAATTCAAAAAAAAAAAAATTAGCCAGACATGGTAGCATGTGCCTGTAGTCCCAGCTACTTGGGGGGCTGAGGTGGGAGGATTGCTTGAGCCCAGGAAGTTGAGGCTGCAGTGAGCCCTTGATCATGCCACCGCACTTCAGCCTGGGCAACAGAGTGAGACCCTGTCTCAAAAAAAAAAAAAAAAAGAAAAAGAAAAACAAGTTCTGGAAATGGGTAGTGATGGTGGTTGCACAACATTGTGAAGGTACTTAACGCCACTGAATTGTACACTTAAAAATGATTAAAATGGTAAATGTTATGTGATGTGTATTTTATCATAATAAAAAAATTTTTAAAAGTAAGGAAAGCAAGAAGTTGGAAGTAGTTTTGAGTTTTTCTGACCAGAGGAAGCATAGACCCCATTCTTTCATTTCATTATCCCTGGTCTTTTTCCTTGAAGGTTTATTTTCCTCTTAGAATACAAGAGTCTACATTACTCATCTTTATAAGTCATTCTTTCTATTTTTCCCTTTTCCATGGACTTGTTCAGTTATGTCCCAAGGAAAATCTCTAGGAGAGTGGCAGATACAACATACCCTGCCTAGGAATAACTTGAGATTTAACAGAAAAGTTGCAAAGGTATTCCAGAGAATTCTCATATGCACTTCCCCAAGTTTCCCACCACCATTAATATCTTACATTACCATACTATGTTTGTCAAACTAAGAAATTGACATTGGTACTTCACTGTTAATTAAACCGTAGATTTTACCATTTTTCTATTAATGTCCTTTTTCAGTTCCAGGATCCAATCCAGGGTACTATACTGCATTTAGTTGTCATGTTGTGATGGCTTTTTAAAACTTAACGGGGCTCAGATGTCTTAGTTGCTTCTCCATTGCCTCCAGCAATCAGAACCACTCTGTTTATGTGCATTATTAAAACTATGTTGCTACACTCTAAGGATTCGAGTTCATTTTGTCCTATTCATTCTTGATTTTCAGGAAATCACATCTCTGCCAGTAGTACCCTTTTATTCTCACTCCTTTCAGAAAATTCCTTTGGAATGGTGAAATACAGCCTCTCAAATCTCCAGTGCTCTGTGTAAGTGGGGGGTCCCAAGATGTAAGATGGGTCAGAGCTCTTTTTAGTTAATTTTTCCCCAGGCTGTTTCTGAGAAATGACTCAGCAGCAAGATGATGATTTTTTTTTTTCAAGGAGCCAAGCTATTCTGAACCCAAATCAAAATTTAAATTTGACAATCTGCCCAATTTATATGATTATCTGCCAGATAATCATATAAACAGATAAACAGATTAACAGATTTCTTCACACCTATTTGCATAGGGTGGATTAAATTCAGTTTCCCTCTTGGGATTTCAAGAGGATAAGTAACTTGGAGAGAAGATTATAAATTTGTTAATTGAGGAAATTGACAGGATGTCTCATACCCTTCTCCTTGACTTGCTTCCTTGCTTCCTTGCTTCCAGGAAAACAAACGTGTTCTCTTTGTTTTCTTCCTTCTTCCCTGGTTATTCTTTCTTTAGCTCCTTGGCTGTTTGTTCCTCTTTTCACCCCACCCTCTTCATGGTGGAGGGTCCCAAAATTAAATTCTTAACCCTTCTCTTGCTACATTAATGGAGAGCTCATTTAGCCTCATGCTTTAAGTAATACCTGGGAGACTGATGACTCCTAAATTTATATCTCCAGCTGCAGTCCAGACCGTTCTCCTGCAGTCCAGACTTCAGTATATATATTCAAGTATATATGTGTGTGTGTGTGTGTATATATATATATATATATATACTCAACTGTCTACCAGACATCTCAACTTGGATGTCTTCTGGATATGTCATATTCAACATATCTGAAACTTGAATTATCTTTCTTCCCCCCTAAGCCTGTGCCACCCAACCCTTCCCCATGATAGTTCTGGCAAAGTCATCCATTCTCCCAGTTGCTAAGGCAAAGATCCTTGGAGTCATCTTCATCTGCTTTCCTCCTTCCACACCCCACAACCTGTTCATATGAAAATCTTGAAGGTTTTACCTTGAAAATATAACTGGAACCCAGCACTTCTCACTGCTGCTAGGACACTGTTGCCAACCCACTCTGAGCCATCATCATCCCTTGCCTGGACCACTTAGATGGGCTTCTGGCTGCCCCTTACAGCCAGAGGGATCCTTTTAAAATTCACCAGATCATGTCACTTCTCTGTTCCACACCCTCCACGGACTTCCTCTGTCATTCTGAGTAAAAGCCATTGTCTTCACTGTGGCCTGAATGTCTATACTATCCATCTCCCCTGAGGCTCTCCAACTGTGTCTTCCTCCCTGCACCCCTCTGCACTGAGCCCCGGCCACAGGGCTTCTTTGCATGCCCTCAGCTTAGGGCCTTTGCATGAGCTGTTGTTCCCTCTGCCTGGAGAGCTCATGCCCTGGATGAGCCCGGTCCCTTACCTCCTGGAAGTCTTTATTCCAAATTTCACCTCATCAGTGCAGCTATCCTGACCACCCTCATTAAAACTACAACTGTCTCCCTGCTGCCCCTGCCATTCACCTTACCCTGCTGCTGTGTTTCTTTTTTCCTTTTCTTTTCTTTTTTTTTTTTTTGAGATGAAGTCTCACTCTGTTGCTCAGGCTGGAGTGCAGTGGTGTGATCTTGGCTCACTGCAACCTCCGCCTCCCAGGTTTAAACAATTCTGTCTCAGCCTCCCAAGTAGCTGGAATTATAGGCGTGCACCACCATGCCTGGCTAATTTTTGTATTTTTAGTAGAGATGGGGGTTTGCCATGTTGGCCAGGCTGGTCTCGAACCCCTGACCTCAGGTGATCCTCCCACCTCAGCCTCCCGAAGTGCTAGGATTACTGGCGTGAGCCACTGTGCCCAGCCCTTTTCTTTCTTTCTTTTTTTTTTTTTTTCAAGACTTCCCACCATTGGGCATACTCTGTTAGGTGCTCATGCATGTCTATTGCTTATTGTCTTTCTCCTCCTATTAGATTGTTAGCTCCACAAAGGCAGAGGTTTTGTCACTTCTATCTATTGATGAATGCTAAAGTATAGTACCTGACACAGTAGTAGTGTGGTCCATATTTAATGAATGAATGAGTAATGAACTGTGAAAAGTGCTAGGAAGGAAAAGTAAGAACACAATTATAGATGATAATAACAGATCAGTAGCAGGTAGGATTTGTTGAGCCTGGATGTTGTACCTCTGTGCTAAGGGCTTTGCTTCTTTTTGTCCTATTTAATCCTTACAGCAATGTTAAGAGGTAGCTCCGTATAATATCCCATTCATTAGTGAAAGAAACTGAAGCACAGAAAGTTTAAGTAAATTGCCCAAAGGCTCACAGCTGGTGTATTACCTGCCTCTAGTTAGCTCTAACACCGGTAGCCTCTAACTAATAAATCTATTGGAATTATCATACCAAGTTGGGGATGGCGAGTGATGGGGAAGCATATTTTATTATTAGTCATGCTCTCCTCAGAGTGTCTTTATTTAATTGGAGAGTGCTTAGTGTTAATTTCCAGATAAAGTAGGTTGGGGGGGCTTTTGCTGTTAGTTAACCCTGTGTACGTCTCCAGAAATGCATTCTGTGTTTTCTTTTTCTTACTGTTTAAAACCAGATCTCTCTGTCCTTTCCAAAAGTGGAAGTCATCTGGACTTCTGTCCAGGGGAAGTTTGGTGGTTTCCCATATTCTTTTCCAGGATGATACAATGACATGGCCCTTTGGGGAGCATACCTGGTATTTCCACTACCCCATAGGAAGGTGGCAATGCCTGCTCAGCTGGGAGTTTCAGGTTAATGCTTCTTCCATAGAAACTAGATTGATAGCGGAATATTTATTCCTTTGTCCTGTGGTATCTTGGACAACCAGGCCACAGCCCTGGAGGTCACTTCTAGGACATGTCCACTTCTGTCTCCCAGGATAGTCCTTGCCCTCAGGGACACAGAACACTCCTCACCTGATGGAGCTGCTTTCAGATGTCTGGCTGGATTTTGTGGGTTTGGGCCTAGGCCTGGTCACCAGTGGGTGGCCTGTTCTAAGCATGAAACTGCCATGTCTTCCTCCTCAGGAACTGTGTTAGTTTTCTGTTTTCTTTTTTTGGTATTAGTTTTCTATGCTCTGTAATAAATGATAACACATTTCATGGTTCAAAATGGTACGTATTTATTATCATATGGTTTCTGTAGTTTATCAGGGTTCTTTGCTTCAGAATTTTATCAGGCTGTAATATCAGTGTTGGCTCAGGCTGCAGTCTCATCAGAGGCTCAACTGAGGAAAGCCCCACTTCCAGCCTCCCTCAGTTTGTTGGCAGGAATCATCTCCTTGTAGTTGTAGGACTGGGATCTCTGTTTTCTTGCAGCTGTTGGCCAGGGACTACCCACAATTTCTTGCCATGTGGCTCTCTCCTTCTTCCTGAAGCTTTCTTCTTCAAAGCCAGTAAGGGATTCTCTAGCTCAGAGGGAGTCATATAACATAATGCCATCACAGGAGTGACATCCATCACCTTTACCATGTTTTATTGAGTAGGTGCAAGTCACAGGCCCTGCCCCCACTGAAAGGGCTGGATTGCACAAAAGTGTGAACACCAGGAGGTGGGGATTGTTGTGGGGGTCATCTTAGAGTGTGTTTGCCACAGCAACCATGGTCTCCCCACCACCACCTCACTCCCCACCTCCAGTGCTGAGAAGCCCAGAAACTCCCTCTGGCAGCTCTATAGGGCTTTGCTAGTGGATTTAATGCTGTTTTTCATAGGATTAGTGGCAAGGAGAGAGTTTCTGTGTGACTGTGCCTTCTGCCTTCAGCTCTTCCTCTGTGAGGCCATAGCTGCACCATCACAGAGTGCTGACTTCAAGGCTGGGCAGCCAGCATCTGTCCTCAAGGGGTTTAGGGATTTTTCCCCCTTCCTCTCCCTTTCAGCCATTCTTCAGTGTAATAATCCTTTCATTTCAAATTGAGGAGCTAATTCCCAAAGGCAGGAGAACGCCTATTACTTGCTCACCTATTCCCCCAATATGCATTAGATTTGCTTTTCCAAGAAACCATAGGCTGAGATGTAATTTTCCATGGTTCATCTAAAAAATTTGTAATGCCTATTTTTCTTGATCTTTTGTGCCCCTTTCAGTTCAGATGTAACTGAGTTAATTATTTGAAGAAATGAACCAGAGCTTCCTTTCTTGTTATAGAACTTCTTGTTCCAGAACCAGAGATGGTACTTATTAGATTCTATGCTAAAGATTATTCCCTAGAATCGATCTGGGCTGTGAGTTGCTTACAGACCAACTTGTCTTCCTTTTGTTCATCCTGTGAATGTTGTACTTAATGGATACAGCATTGACTTATTTAAAATGATTATAGTTTTTTAGTCTATTCATTTGAAATCTCAATGGATATTTCTAAATAACCTCATATAGCCTGTTTCCATGTAACAGAACAGCTGGATTTTAGATTTTAGAACCCCCTCTCCCTCATCCTGATTTTTGTTGTTTGAGACCTCACATGGTACGTATGACAGTGTGTCTTGACCAAGTCTTCTTTTCAAAGGTCTGGAATCATCTGCCTTAGTTCCTCTTAATATGTCTTTTGTTTGGGGAGGAAATGAGAACATGAGTCTAGTCTCTGACCAAGTATTAAGGCAAAAAGGTTAGGGTTCAGAATTGGTTTATTCTTTTGGGATTAGTTTGTTCCAGATTGAAATCAGTTTATTGTTTTACATTTTGAATGTATGCGCCACAGTACCCTACCCTTGGAAGGGTATGTTGGAAAGAAAAATAAAAATAAGCTATTGAAGTTTGCTTACCAAATCACAGTTGCACACCTGGGGAAAACCAAATCCTCTTTCATTTTTTTCACTTTTAAATTTAAGGTGAATCATACACAGATGGTTAATGGTAGCAGAAATTGCTTTTAATGCTATATAAGAATCTTAGAAATTTATTTAAAACGTTGCAGCAAATACACAGTTAGAAACTGGTGAGATGCATGTATCTCAGGAGTTCAGTGTGGAAGTGCCTGCTTTATGCATTTTCTGGACAGTCCTGCTCTCACAGGGACTTCAGGGGCCCCTCTTTGGTAGAACAGCCTCATAAGTGGGCCAGGAGGGCTCTGCTCCCTCCTCCACCAGTGCAGATTAGCTGTGTACATGAGCCCTGGACAAGGAGCTGGGAGCCTTGGTCTCTAATTCCCACTCCCCAATACCACCAGCCACCTAGAAGAGACAGCACGTTCTGCCAGCCTTTAGCTGCAGTACCACTCTTGTTGCCTTATGCCTGGCTGGGCCAAGGAATCCTCTTCAATTTCTGACACCCACGTGATTTCCACTCTAGTGTCATACAGGAGCCCTGCCTGTGAATGGCTGTGAAGTGGTGGAATTTCCTCCTGGTGACCACTTGCTGCTGGCTCTCCTGAATGGGTGCAGTTTTGAACTGTGCTGTATCACAGGGATGTCTATGTGGTGGTGCTTTGGAAAGCAGCCCCTGTGTGCAGAGATGGCAGGGTGCGCTAGGAAGCCTCTCCTTTGACAGCAAGACTACAGGCCTTCACCTCAGACAGCCGTTTACACCCACGCTGTTTTCCCAGAATTTCTTTTAGTTGCTCAGTAGTCTTTCTTTAATGCATCTTTAATTTCCATAGATTTTGCCAGATTGCCCTCTAAAGGGGTTGAACCCTTTTAAAGTCTTTTAAAAATTAATTTTTAATTTTCTAAGTGATATAGGAATATATTCTTTTCATTTAAAAATGAAAACAATTAGGGATTATGGCTAAATTCACTTTTGATCACCACCCCCACACCCATACCATCACCACCCATCCCCATCCCCATCCACATAAGCCTTCCCCATTCCCCAGGGGTACCTGCTATTATTGGTTTGGTGTATGTCTTGCTTGTTCTTTTTCTGTGCCCTGGCGGATATAAACCAATGGGACATAGACATTACTGGAGTGAGAGTTTGTGTGTGTGTGTGTGTGTGTGTGTGTGTGTGTGTGTGTGTGTGTGTATAACATGTAAGCTGTATTGTACCAAACCCATCATTCTATAATGATGTGTTTTACATGATGCTACATCTTAGAGGTCTTACTATGATGTGGATATGTATATATTACTTGAGTAGTTTCCATAAACCATTTTTCATCAGTGCCTTTTTGACGTTACTTTCGGGAAAGAATCTGGGGCTTCATTAAAGACCCAATGATTCTTTTTAAAAAAAAAAAAAAATATTCTGCGTCTGGGCACAGTGGCTCATGTCTGTAATCCCAGCACTTTGGGAGGCCAAGGCGGGCGGATCACCTGAGATCAGGAGTTCCAGACCAGCCTGTCCAACATGGTGAAACCCCATCTCTACTAAAAATACAAAAAAATTAGCTGGGCGCAGTGGCGGGCGCCTGTAGTCCCAGCTACTGGGGAGGCTGAGGCAGGAGAATGGCGTGAACCTGGAAGGTGGAGCTTGCAGTGAGCCGAGATCACGCCACTGCACTCCAGCCTGGGCGACAGAGCAAGACTCCGTCTCAAAAAAAAAAAAAAAAAATTAGCCGGGTGTGGTAGTGGGTGCCTGTAATCCCAGCTATTCGGGAGGCTGAGGCAGGACAATTGCTTGAACCCGGGAGGTGGGGGTTGCAGTGAGCCGAGATCGCGTCATTGCACTCCAGCCTGGGTGACAAGAGTGAGACTGTCTCCAAATTATGCAAGATATTAATCTGTTTCTGTGTGTGCTTTTCTTTCTCTTCAGATCTCAGAAAACTGATCTTCACAATGAAGGCTACATCTTGGAATTAGATTGCTGTTCCTCCTTAGACCACCCGACAGACCAGAAACTCATCCCAGAGTTCATTAAGAAGGTGAGCGCTACAGTCAGGGTACCATTGAAGAGGTTTGCGAGTGTTCCCCTGAGTGAACAGGCAGGTAGCTGCCTTAGGACAGATCAGCCACACTCAAGAGGCCATGCAAGAGCTGTGACCTAAACCTTTGGCAGCCCCACAGGGAAGCAGCCCCCTCCAGAGCTGACTCTGGAACAAGATGGCTAACCCCTCCTCCCCAGGCATGCAGGAGCCCGGGTCCTGTCTTTTCCAGCTGGAGTGGGGTTAACAGCTGACAGACCTGCAGGCCTGCGCCGGGACTCCTTTCAAACCCTCATGGTAATGTGACTTCCCAGATCCCACCTTCCTTTTATCTATGGGTCTTCATTGCCGCAAGCCCCCTTCCCTTCCTAGTGTGGAAGCATGCCAGAGTCCTGGGCCACCCACATTCGAACATACCAGGGAAAACTGCGTAGTTGCAGGGAATTCATATTTCTTCATGCCATATGAGGTTTTGTGCCTAACTGTAGGGTCTACTTGAGTTTTAATATGACATTTACTACAGAAGGAATGTCCTAGCCCCAAATTGGGGCTGAGTTCACTGCTTGATGCTTATCTTGTTCTCTCTTACCCAGTGTTCCCTAGTAATCGACAATTCCCCCACCCCATACAGGTGATTGTGATTTGAGGTCCAATCAGCCAATTAGGGAATTTGTTAATAATTATTGTCAGCTGTCAGCTTTGGGCCAGGAATAGTACTAGATGTTGGGATACAGAGAATAAAACAGCCGAACTAGTGAACCATATGAGGTTTTGTGCCTAACTGTAGGGTCTACTTGAGTTTTAATATGATATTTACTACAGAAGGAATGTCCTAGCCCCAAACTGGGGCTGAGTTCACTGCTTGATGCTTATCTTGTTCTCTCTTACCCAGTGTTCCCTAGTAATCGACAATTCCCCACCCCATACAGGTGATTGTGATTTGAGGTCCAATCAGCCAATTAGGGAATTTGTTAATAAATATTGTCAGCTGTCAGCTTTGAGCCAGGAATGTACTAGATGCTGGGATACAGAGAATAAAACAGCCGAACTAGTGAGTGTTACCAGCAGAAGTGGCCGGGGCTGAGGAGCAAGGGGATCCGGAAGGTACTTGGAGCTGAGATGGGAAGGATGACGGGGTGTCTTTGGGGATGCGGCTGTGCTCGGACAGGTCGGGAAGCCCTCCAAACAGGGAACAGTGTACATGAGGGCCTGAGGCAGGAGGGAGTGAGGGGAATCAAAAGAACGTCAGAGGGAGAGTGAGGGTCGGGAGAAGGGGCCAGAGACAGCTGGGACAGGGCTGTAAAGGCAGCGGGAAGCCGTTGAGAGGAATTTTGTATAACAGTAAAATGATTAGGCTGTCCCTTTAAAGGAGATTTGTTTCCTTGCTGCCACCCTCCCTTCAACATGTATTGAGTGTTCAGGCTCCAGGGACTCTGGGAGTAGCCGCTCATGTATGGGTCTATGGCCCATAGACCAGGAGCCAGATGATCTCTGAGGTCAGAATTTCTGGTAATTTTACTAGGATGAGGGAGGCTCTTTCTACTCTGGTAGAATTCAGATTATTATTTAAGAAATGGGGGAGGGGGGAAGTAGCTTTTGTTCACATACGCATAAGCCTGAGAACACAAGTGTTTTAATAACGCATGTAGCTTTCTATAGAAATAGAGCTATCTTTGTTTGGATTGCTGCAAATAATCAACTTGTATAGGGACATCCTAGAAGTGGAATTTACCCTATGATCCGAATACCAGGAAAAAATCATTTTAGAAATGGTTTTGTAATTAAGACTCAGATGCTTGGAATATTTGAGGGGTAAGTGAGTAAAAGAAAGGCATAAGGCTCTGCCCACTCTCAAATATGCTTTTTAAAAACATGTGATTTGAGGCTGGGCACAGTGGCTCAGCTGGTAATCCCAACACTTTGGGAGGCTGAGGCAAAAGGATTGCTTGAGCTCAGGAGTTTGAGATTAGACTGGGCAACATAGTGAGACCTCCATCTCTGCCAAAAAAAAAAAAGTCTCTTTAAAAAGCCGAGCATGGTGGTGCTTGACTATAGTCCTAGCTACTCTAGAGGCTGAGGCGAGAGAATTGCTTGAGCCCAGGAGTTTGAGACCACAGTGAGCTATGATTGCACCACTGCACTCCAGCCTGGCTGACAGAGTGAGACCCAGTCTCTTAAAAGAAAGAAAACATATGAGTTGATATGAGTTGGTGACTTTGTCTTAACCAAATTAGGTTATTGCATGGCTGACCCATTGCAGTGGTCCTGTCTCAGTTCTTCAGGAAACAGCCCGATTTGCGAGCTACTGGGGTGTTGTTTCTGTAGTACCCAAGTGGAGATGTCCATCTGTCCAGTGGGAAAGGCCCTCAAAGTTAGGGTTTTTATGCCCTGAAGGACATTAGCCAGTTTTTATCTTAACTTTTATGCCAGCATTCTTTTTTTCCCACTGATTATAGATGTGTGTATGCACATGTGTGTCTGATGATTCATTAGATAATTTATGAAGTAAATGACACCTGCTCATTCTGTGTTTGTATAAGTCCTTAACACTGTGTAGGTTCTTAGAAACTGACTTTTAGTGAAACAGCATACAGCAGGTCCTCAATTTCATTCAGTGTCATTTAGTTTTAACCTTGAGAAGAAAATTGGTTTCATTTGTCATTTTGCTCAAAGTCTCAGTTTCCAAGAACCTATTGACAACATTAAGTGAAGACTTATAGTAAGAATTCTGTTCTTAACGTTTTGAAAATAATAGGCTTTAAAGCCCATCGTATCATCCTGTTCCTGTCATACACTTGGTTTTTAAATAAGAAGACAGACTGGACAGCTTGTAAACCAGGGCAGCAGTGAGATTTCTGACCCGCAGTGTCTCCAGATGTCTATCCCAGAGTTCCATCTCTGTTCCTCTAAACAGAAATGTGGCTTACGGTCATTCCTGCCTTGGAGGAGCCAGGTGTGTTGAGGTTGCCCCACCGTTTGCCCCCGCATTGTCTGTTAGTGGACAGGGCTGGACTTGGAAAGACCTAGCATTTCTCGCTGTCATTGCTGGCTGTGGCTTTAGTTTCTAGTCCAGTTGCCATGACAACAAGAAGTGGGACAAAATAATGGGACTGGGCCCCCTTCTCCCTGCTCCTCTTTTCTGTTGCTGGCCATAATTTCTAAAGAAAATACCACCTCTGTGTGCAAAGAGCAGAGGACAATTCCACGTACCTCTCCAACACCCGTGGCTATTCCAACTGATGGCTGAATTTTACATGTGTAAATTTTTCTGTCATCACACCAGGTAGAAGACCACAGGTGCTTCCCAGGAAGAAGTATGCTAAAAACCATTTGTGGTTTTTTTCACTGCAAATATTTAATGAATAGCTTTGGCCCTATTTATATATATGTAGTGGTGACACTTGTTAATTGCAGCTCAGTTAGGTCAAGATGAAGCTGTGTCATTGGCCGCCTCAACTTGCAGTCATTTTTATCTGGGTCATTATTTTGTGTGAAATAATGGCTCCCGTTCCTATGACAAGTAGATTGATCTTAGGATGAGATGGTAATTAACTCGTTTTGTCATAGTACCATCATGCAGGACAGGTTCATATTCTTCTCTGCATATTAGAATTAAACTCAAAAGGATTAGATTTTTTCATAAGAACAATGCCCCAGTATTATTTTTCCACCAAATGTTTTAAATTAGCAGAACCTTTGGATAGAGGACACGGATAGAAGGAGGGAGAGAAGATTTCATTATTTCTCACAATTAGGAAAAGTAAAGTCATTTGTGTCTGTGTCATGTAAAATTAGCTGAAGACGCCGTAATTTATGCCTCTCTCCATCATGACTTTTCAGAGTGTGAAGGGAGTTGTGTAAAGATGATGATGACTCCATTCCTTTTGGTGTGGCCAGTTTCTCTGAGTGCTCTAGCTGGTCAAATGAAATCTACCTTACTGCATTTTGTTTTCTCCTGTTGTGTCCTGCTGTGTTCCATCCTATTGGCCCTTTATGTAAGTTATTATGGACCACAGAACATTTAAAATGCAGAGCTATGGGCAGACTTGGAGAGACTTGTTTTCTAAGTCCTAGAGCCGAATGCTCGAGGGATGAAAAATTGAGAAGCTGTGAGAGAGTGATGGTGCTGCCAGAATTCCTTTGGGACGAGGGCTCAACCAGCCCATCAGGTGCACCTGGAGACTGTGTGGCTGGCAGGTCCGTGGGGGCCTCTGGAATTTCCCACTCCTCAGGGCTCCCAGAGGATTGTAAAGCAGGCAGAGTGACACAGAATGAACAGCCTATGTGTTCATCTTCAAATTGCTGTTCATTCATGAGAGCGTCTATGGGAAAGGTCTACAGTTTGGAGAGCACTTTGAAGTTTTCAGTCATTGTGCACGTTTTCTGGCATGTACTTCTGGTCTCTCAAAAGTTCCATTTGAGAGACCAGAATGGCAGTGGAGTCTCCCTTCTAGACACCAGGAAACTAAGCTCAAGGGGCAGAGGGCTTTGTCCAGGGGCTGGAACTGCTAAATGATGGAGCCTGGATTAGACCCTCCATAGGAGAGGCACGAGTGGGCAGCCAAGGGGCTTCAGAGTGGCCAGAAGGTTCTTTGGCTAGGTGGACTGGAGAGAGCTTCGGAGAGGTGTGGAACGAGGGCTCTGCAAAGTGAGGAACTGAGACTGGAGGAGGCTGAGAGGCAAGGTGGGCAGCTCTGTGCCGTTGCTGGCATGCACAGGAGCATGGGTTGAAGGCATAAGGCTGAGGAAGAGCCAAGTCCTGTTTGACTTGAGTGTAGCTTGGACAAAAGAGAAGGAAGGCTGTTCTGGGTGGGCTTCCTTTGATTATGTGGAGCAGAGCCTTAGTCTGGCGAGCTCTAGTGAGTCAGGCGGGTTTACTGTAAAGATGTAGGGCATGGCATGGAGTCCCAAGGAAGAAATACAGGAAACCAGGAGAAAAACAAAATATATGTATATTGTGTATATATATTATATATTGTATATATATTATATATTATATATATTATATATTGTGTATATATATTATATATTATATATATTATATATTATATATTATATATAATATATATTACATATTATATATATTATATATTACATATTATATATATTATATATTATATATTATATATAAAATATATATTATATATAAAATATATATTATATAATATATATAAAATGTATATTATATATTATATATAAAATGTATATTATATATAATATATATAAAATGTATATTATATATTATATATAAAATGTATATTATATATTATATATAATATATAATATATAAAATATATATATAATATATATAAAATATAATATATATATAAAATATATATTATATATTATATATAAAATATAATATATATATAAAATATATATTATATATTATATATAAAATATAATATATATATAAAATATATATTATATATTATATATAAATATAATATATTATATATAAAATATAATATATATAAAATATATATTATATATATATATAAATATAATATAATATATATAAAATATATATTATATTATATTTATATATAAATATAATATAAAATATATAATATATATTATATATAAAATATATAATATATATTATATATTATATATTTTATATATAATATATAATATAATATATATAATATATATATTATATATTATATACATAAAATATATATTATATATATATTATATATTATATACATAAAATATATATTATATATATATTATATATTATATACATAAAATATATATTATATATATATTATATATTATATATATAAAATATAATATATGTGTGTGTGTGTGTGTCTCTGTCTCTGTCTCTCATATGCTGCTGGCCCATGTTTGTGTATCTATGGTTTATTTAAATTTAAAATAAGATTTTACTCTGCAGAGGGAATCCTCCTCATGCGTTAGGCAAACCTTATGCTGAAGTGCTCATGTCTACTCTACCCTTAACCCTCATCTCATGCCTGTGAAGACTTATCCTCATTTGACAGATGAAGAAACTGAGACACAGAGAAGCTATGCAGTTTGCCAATGTTATAACTGTGCATGGCAGGACTGAGATATGAACCCAGCCTGTTGGACCCAGGGACTGTGTTCTAGAGCACTTGGCCATGCTACCTCTCCTGTATAGCTTGTCCCTTTCTGGACAGAGGTGGAGGCTGTCAGAGCCAGAATGTGAGGTTGAGCATAGGAGGCAAATGGCCATAACGCGTGTTGGGTACATGGGGTCAGATGTTGGAGTGCCTTGAAGGTGTCCCCTCAGTGAAGGATGGGCTCCAGGCCCTTGCCGCCCAGGTTCTGCTGATGGAAATTGCCTCGTCCTGCCTGCGGGAGAAAGCCACGCTCCCTGCCCTTGTCCAGATAAGACATGGTGGCCTTTGCCTTCAGGCCCTCAGCTCTGGGCTCTGTTCCCCAAGTTGACTCCCTTTTGTGATGGAGCTCCTGACCTCCCTGATCTCCTTAAGAACTAGGTTCATCTTGCACTGGCCCACTGAGCCTTTGCAATGAAGACCGTTGAGGGGCGGCTGGTCCCACTCAATGAGTGTACTGTCCTGGATTAAACCGAGTACATTGTCCTTCAGAAAACCGAATGATGCTACTTATGCCTCAACCTAAAGAAAGCACCTTGACAGATGGAAAAATCTCAATGGCTTCTTTTAATGAAACAGAATATCCCAAATCTCCGGGATGATGAAATTTTGCCTGTTATGTAAATGACTCATCATTTACTTTCTGGCTGATTGTTGAGTATTCAGAGTTTCATTTCTACAAGTGCGGTGCAGAGAGTCTAATTTTAATTAGGGTAAGATGCCAATTCAGAGTGAAATGAAAATTATGTTAAAAAGGCTCTCCTGTGCTTGCTGCACCAGAACCCACCCACAAACCAAGAGAATAGTGACATTTAAAAAAGATGAACCTGGGGAGGGGGGTTGTTGAGGGGAAGTAAAGGCAGAAAATGGAGTGTCATCCCAGCAATGAGTGTGTCTTCAGAGTGGAAGACAGTGAGCTGGCGGCTGGCGCAGGCCTTGCAGGGGGCAATGGGGTACCCTGCTTACTGTTGTGTCTTCAGGACTTAATACATAAGCGTCGAGTTAATGGATACATTGAAAGAGAAAGAGGAATACTCACTAAACCTTCGTGTCATTGAAGGAGAGAGAGGTGCCAAGGATGACACCTGGGTGACTCAGGTGTGAGATGGGGTCATCTGTAAGGACCAAGAACACAGCATGAGGAGCCCTGGGGGCAGAGAGGTGATGAGAATGGGGATGGTTGTATGAAGACTTGAGGGGTCAGGGGGACACTCAGGGAACATTCCAGAAGGCAGCTGTGGTTGTTGGGCTGGGACTTGCAAGAAAGCCAGGAACAGAGATGTGGGTGTCTGAGGTGTCAACCCTGAGAGCAGGCAAGAATGGTGGTAAGGATGGTCATCCAGTGGCACATGCCCATCTCAAGGGGCAGTTTCCACTGAGCCTCCGCTCTCTGATGCCTGGTGGAAATATGGACCCAAAATTGCAAGATCTGTTGTTTGGTTGGGCACCTGGCTGGCTTTGTTTTAGAGAAGTTAAGTTTATATTTTCTTGTGAGGTTTCTTGGTTTTTCAGCGTAAGCAGACAGATCTATTAAAAAGACTGCAAGATCTAGACCAGTTTGTCTCACGCTATCTGTGGTGAAGGACCAGTTTTTTGCCAATTCATAACAGAGATATACTTTGGTAAAATCCAGAGAAAGAAAAATAGCACTTTTCCAAGGTAGAGGGAGGAACAGAAGAGTGTGATGTTACAGAATCCAGGGGAAGAGCATGCTTTGAGAAGAGATGGAGAATAGTATCAAAAGCTGGGAGGAGGTCAAGTGGGAGGGGCCCACCGGGTTTGGCCACTGGATGCCACGGGTAAGTTTTGCAAGAGCAGTTGTCATAGTATAAAACAGGCAGAGGCCTTCCTGCCATGGGCTTAAGTAAATGTGTCTAGAAGGACAGAAGAGCAGTTTACTTTAGGAGATTTGAGATCCCCACCCCGTCTTTTTTTTTTTTTTTTTTAACACGGCTTCATTCCGTTGCCCAGGCTGGAGTACAGTGGCACAATAACAGCTCACTGAAGCCTCGACCTACCCAGGCTCAGATGGTCCTCCTGCCTCAGCCTCCCAAGTAGCTGGGATTACAGGCGCGAGCCACCATGGCCAGCTAATTTTGTTACAGACAGGGCTTCACCATGTGGTGTCAAACCAACAAGGTTTTACCAGGTTGGTCTTGAATTCCTGGGCTCAAGCGATCGGCCCCCATTGGCTTTTCAAAGTGCTGGGATTCCAGGCATGAGCCACCATGCCTGGAAGATTTGAACATTTTTTTCAGCTGAAAGGTATTGGGAGAGAAGAGGTGATAAAAGATGGAGGCAGGTTCCAGGCAGGGCGAGGTGGGAGGGGCACAAGGTAATGGGCATCCCCTCCTTTGATGCTGGCAGGGGAGGGAGGAGGAAGGTTACAGGCTTAGATGTTCCTAATGGAGGAAAAAATGCAGGAGCTACTGCCTGGAGGCCGCTGTTTTCTTATGAAGTTCCTCTCCCACCCTGGCCTCTCTTGATCCTCTGTCCTCTTGCTATTTTTATTAGCCTGTGATCTTCCTGTTCTGTCCAGAGAGGTTCGCTGAAGTTAATTTAAGCCGGAGGGAGGGAAGGGGTCATACGCTTGTCTCAATCACTCCCCAAAAAAGGAGATACTTTCTTGTGCTTCATTTTCTCCCTCTGCGGGAATCTACTGTCCAGCATCAGTGGGTCAGGTTTCGTTCACATTTCTTTGAACAGATCTTTGCTGGTAGTGTTTGGGAATACTTTAGTAAGCCGGTCTAGGTAATGCCCTGGACACGTGAAACTTAGAGTCTAGCTGAGGGCACAGACACAGAGCAGATGGGCACATGAGGGTTGTAGGATCACAGATGGGTGAGCGCTGTCGAGTAGAACATGGCAAGGGGCCTGCCCCAGGCTGGCAGTGTTGGGGGAGTGCTCCATGAAGTGTACATACCAAGACCTGAGGGTCAACAGGGGAGGGAGGGTGGAGGTGGTGGGGACTCCTGGAGCAGCTCAGACAAAGCCAAGGTGGGAGGGAGTAAGTTTGGTTTGAGGAGCAGAAGGGAGTTCACTGTCTTGCCTGCAAATGACAGAGGGGTGAGTGAGGTGGAGTGAGGCTGGAGAGTGAGTCGGGTCCCCATACAGCCCTGCAGGCCAGGCTGAGGATGGGGCCCTTTATCCTAAGTGTAGTGCAAAGCTGCTGGAGGGCTTTCAGGAGCAGCTGGAGAATGATTCCTAAATGTATACTTTGGAAAGATCAGAATGGCTGCAGGTTAGTGACTGGCTTCTGGGTCAAGAGTGGGTGTGGTTAGGACCCTGTTGGAGTAACTCTTCATAGACAAGAGATCGTCACTTAGTTTAGGTGGAGCGTCTTGACAGAGATGTAGAGAGGTAGATCTAAGAAATATTGAGCCAGGCAGACCACCAGGGTTGCTTCTGGATGGGGTAACGAGGCACCGTGGAGAGGGAGAGGACAAGGCTGGTTTGGCTCCTGCAGTTGGATTAATGGGCCCTTTGCTGAGATAAGGATGACTGCAGAATGAGCTGTGGCATCTGTGCTTCAGGAGCTCTGTGCAGAGATCTGGGCTGGAGACGCCTGCTGGCAGATGGTAACTGAAACCACGGTCATGGATGAAATCGCCCAGGAAGGAGGGGAGGGTGTGAAGGAAAAAGGCCTTAGGGCTGAGCCCAGGGGAATTCCAGCATTCAGAGAAAAGAAAAAGTAAGTAGCCAGAGAGGTCAGTGTGAAACTTGCTGAGTGTGGGGGATGGAGGCCAGGGGAAGAGGGCATTTCAGCGATGGAGGAGTTATCAGCCCTTTCCACTAACCCCTAAGACTAATGTCAGAAACAGCTATTGCTGGAGTGGCCATGAAGTCACTGGCAACCTCCACAGAAGCATATTTTTGTGAGGCATGATCCAAAATGTTTTTGGGGTACAATTAAAAACCGCTGCCATTTATCCTATAGAGGTCTTGTGTGTTTTTGCCTTAGTCCTAGGATAGTTCTGAGGTTGTTTTTTTAAAATTTAAAATTTTAAGATGTTCTTTTTTTTCTCATGGGTTTGCTGAATTATCTTCATTGTTCTCCTTAATATAATTTTTTATTGAGCAATTGGTTTTAATATCTGACCAGGGAATTAGATCTTGCCCATGTAAAGCATTAAAATTTTATGTAATTTTTAGCATTTGGAGCACATATCATATGAAATAATAATAAAATGACTTATAGTTAAATCAGAAAGAAATAACAACTTGGGATCCCTAAAAAATGTGCACAGAATAGACAAGTGGCCTATTGTTAGCTCTGTGGACAGCCTGTGGCTGCTGTGAGGCCTGTACTCCTTTGTCGTCACTGCAGAGAAATTACCCCACATCCAAGGAAGTAAAACTATTCTAGAGCTAGTGCAGGAGGCAGATGACCAGAGGAGAAGCAGAAGGTAACCAAGGGGAGGTGGCAGCTGTGTGACCAGGAATGCTTTGTTCCAGGGAGAGACTGGGCCTGGGCATAACACTCTGTCATCTCAAGGTGACTTTCCAGCCACCCAGGGGATGTCTCCATTCCGCTTGTTGCTAGGAGGTTGATGGTATCAAGGCTGACATGACTTTGCCTGAGGCCTGGTGTTTTGGGTTGATTGTAGGCCAACCTGGGAGCTCCTGAAGGTGAGGGGTGAGCAGCTGCTTCTCCCGGACCTGGCTGTGGCCATGGGGCACCTGGATGTTACTTTGTCCCTACCCTATTGAGATGGGTCCCAAGGTAGACTGGCAGTGGATGAGCTGGGGCAGCCCACAGCTTCTGGCCCCTGTTGTCTCTGAACCATTCTTGCTCACAGCAGACACTCATGTTTGTTTTTGGCCAAGAGTGAAGCCTAAAGGGCTGAAGATTTGGAGTTTCTGTTTTCCATCCAAGCCAATGGCTCTTGATTGCACCCTCCCTGGAATGCTGCTGGGTAAGAGTTTTCCTTCTCCAGTATGTTTCAGAGGCACACACGTTGTAAGTAAGCCCTCTTGGAGAGTCATGATGCTTCTTTTTTTTTTTTTTTTTTTTTTTTTTTTTGAGACAGTCTTTCTCTGTCACCCAGGCTGGAGTGCAGTGGTGCGATCTCGGCTTACTGCAACCTCCACCTCCCGGGTTCAAGCCATTCTCCTGCCTCAGCCTCCCGAGTAGCTGGGATTACAGGCGCCCGCCACCACGCCCAGCTGATTTTTTCGTATTTTTAGTAGAGACGGGGTTTCACCATTTTGGGCAGGCTGGTCTCGAACTCCTGACCTCGAGATCCACCTGCCTCAGCCTCCCAAAGTGCTGGGATTATAGGCGTGAGCCACCGCGCCCGGCCCATGATGCTTCTTAAAAGAGTCAAGGCTCTGAAGAGGTCCCGGGTGCAAAACTTGCTTGCTTGGTTTAACTTGGCATTCTTCAAAATGACCTGAGAACTTTCTCCTGGCTTTTCCTCCTCTCCAAATACCGCTCTATTTTTCAAGGTGAGAGAAAGAAAGAAAAAAGAAAGAGAGAGAGAGAGGGAGAGAGACCGAGACCAAATACCTATCTATACCATAGCACATACTTCGGAAAATGTACCAAATCAATGATGAATCTATTGACCACCTACCAACCATGGAAAAATCACAGGTAGTCAGTGGGGTGGGCGGGGGTGTGGTCAGTTTCTTCTCTCTTTTCTATTTATTTTTAAGTTTTATTTTTATTGTACATATTTAAGGTTTACAGCATGCTGTTTGATACACATAGTGAAATGGTTACTGTAGTTAAGCAAATTAATATATCTTGCATAGTTACCATTTTTGCGGTAAGAGCGCCTAAAATCTCTCAGCAAATTTCCAGTATACAATAAAATATTATTAACTGTAGTCCTCATGCTGTGCATTAGATCTCCAGACTTATTCATCCTGCATATCTTCAATTTCGTACCCTTTGACCTACATCTCCCCATTTCCTTTCTGCCATAGTAACCAGTGTTTTATTGTTTCTATGTATTTGATATTTTCTTTTTTTTGATTCCACATATAAGTGAGATCATGCACTATTTTTCATTTCGTGTCTGCCTTATTTCACTTAGCATAATGTCCTCTAGGTTTATCCATGTTGTAAATGGCAAGATATTTTTTAAGGCTGAATAATATTCCATTAGACACACACACATATACCTCTTACAATTTTTCATCCATTCATCTGTTGACAGGTTTTCTTCTCTCTCTCTTTTTTTTTTTTTTTTTCATTTTGAGACAGAATTTCACTCTTGTTGCCCAGGCTGGAGTGCAATGGTGAAATCTCAGTTCACTGCAACCTCTGCCTCCCAGGTTCAAGCGATTCTCCTGCCTCAGCCTCCCGAGTAGCTGGGATTACAGGTACCTGCCACCACGCCCAGCTAATTTTTGTATTTTTAGTGGAAACGGGATTTCGCCATGTTGGCCAGGCTGGTCTCAAACTCCTGACCTCAGGTGATCCGCCCACCTCAGCTTCCCGAAGTGCTGGGATTACAGGTGTGAGCCACTGCGCTCAGTCCTCTTTTTAAAATGAGTACTAATCCTGGCTGTTTACAAAAGTACAAAATTGCCATAGATTCAAATGAATCTAGTACTTTATTGCATTTTCTTGGTTCCATTAAAACAAATCTTCCTGTCCCAAACATTTGGTGTAACTGTGTGTTTTCTAATCCTCAATGAAACCTCTAATGGAGGGAAAGATTTGGAGCAGAGCAATTAAAAACTCCCTCCTCTCTTTTTTCACTCTAGAAAGACGTGCTCGGCACTTCTGCCATTCTTCTAGTGTCTTTAATAACAGATATAGCAATCTTCTAACACCTAGCAAAAACTAGGTCAATTGGATTTGTTGACAGTGTGGAATTGTAGATAGAATTTGCTGTGCTGTCTGGATCAGCCCCGGGTAATCTGACCACTTTCTCTCAAGAGGTGCACTAGCTGAGCTAGGATCACGCTGCTGCACTCCAGCCTGGGTGACAGAGAAAAATCCTGTTTCTAAAAAAAATTTTTTTTAATTCTAAAAATTTAAAAAAAGATGCACTGGTTTCTCCCTTTCCTTTCTGCTTTCTCATATTTCTCCTGACTCCTGGACTTTTTCTGCCATAGCTGTTAATCAGATCTTCAAATATCAGTCTTTCCAGGTTTGATTTTTCTTTCTTTTATCTCTCCCCTGAGGTCTCTGATCAAAAATGGCATTTTATTCCTTAGCAACTCTGTCTTATAAAGTGAACCATCTATGTATATTTTAAATCTAATAGTCATGTTAAGTAAAAACAAGAGTGAAATTAACTTTAGTAATAAGTCTTATTTAACCCAATATATCCAAAATAGTATCTTTTCAACATATAATGAGATATTTTACTTTTTAAAAAATTTTTTACAAGTTTTTACAGGTTTCTTTCAAGGCTTCAAGTGACATCAGGTTTTCACACTTATAATCCCAGCATTTTGGGAGGCCAAAGTCTTGAAAATCTGGTGTCACTTAAATCACATCTCAATTTGGATGCTAACTTTTCAATAATTGAAGCGAAATATTCTACAAAGTAAAGTTGTACTTAACAGAAAAATATTTCATATTGCTTTCATTTTAAAATTAAAATTAGAGGCAGGAGGATTGCTTAAGGCCAGGAGTTTGAGACCATTCTGGGCAACATAGCAAGACCCTGTCTCTACAAAAATAAAAAATAAAATTAGCTGAGCATGGTGGTGCATGTCTGTAATCCCAGCCACTCAGGAGGCCGAGGGGGGTGGATCTCTTGATTCCAGGAGTTCGAAGTTACAGTGAGCTATGATCACACCACTGCACTCCAGCCTGGGCAACAGAGTGATACCCTGTCTCTTTAAAAAAAAAAAAATTCAGCTCCTTGGTCTCATGAGTCGTATTTTAAGTGCTTGATAACCACATGTGGCATATGGCTACTATCTTGGACAGCATATTTTAGTAGAATTCATTTATTTAAACAATTTTCAGTTTTTCATAATTTCTAAGTTGATACAAAGCATTTGTGATTGAGTCTTCTCAGTCATAAGGGGAGGCAGAGCACAGAGCAATATAAGGCATATATGCCAAGATCTAAAAGACAAGCTCCTATTTTTCCCATGAAAAACATTTAAAAAGTTTGGGGCCAACTTTGGCATATAACATTTGAGGAATATATTTGAAATAATTTCTGCTTATAATAATTTAATTGCACATGCATATTTTAAATTATATAAATTGTATAAACTTGGAAATGGTGCTTTTCCCCTGTGTTTAAATCTCATGGAACAATTTTATTTCTGTACTTTTTTTTCATGTATTATTGCACTTGGTTGCCTTTATCATCACCAGCATGATTTTCAGGGCTATCTAACACAGTTTCAAGCTCATCCTATTTACTTTCTTCCAAATTGTTTGGGATTCAGCACTTTTAAAATTCATAAATGATGCTATCTCTGGAAATTCTGTCCTGAGTCATAAGTGCTCAGTCACATAACATTAGGAGAGTTGATTTTTCTTGTCCAGCTCATATGTCAATAAGAAATCTCCATAATGGAAACACTTCACATTGCTCTTAAAAAAAAATAGAAAACACCTCTTTTTATTGAAAATAACATCAATACAGGCGAGTGCATAAATCATAAGTGTACAGCTCAATGAGTTAGCACAAAATGAACACACCTGAGTAACCAACACTCAAGAAATATTAATAGAGCAGGAGCAACAGCCTGAACCCTTCCTGTAGCCACGCCCACAATTCCCCACTCCCCTTCCAAGGGAAGCCTCTCTAACTTCTAACACCAAAGGGTGGCTTCGCCTGTTTGTATAAATGGTGTCTTTTGCTCAGCACTGTGTCTGTGAGATTCATTTATGTCACAGTGGTTCATTGGTGTTCATTTGTGTGTAGAATTCCTGCATTGCTTTGTTTTTTGTTTGTTTGTTTTTAAGGGACAGGGTCTCACTGTGTTGCCCAAGCTAGAGTGCAGTGGTGCAGTCATAGCTCACTACAGCTTCAAACCCTGAGCTCAAGCCATCCTCCCTGCTCAGCCTCCCAAGCAGCTAGGATTACGGGTGTGCACCACCACACCCAGCTAATTTTTTTAAGATTTTTTTTATAGAGATGGGGTCATGCTATGTTACCCAGGCTGGTCTCAAATGCCTTTTCTGGCCTCAAGTGATCCTCCCATCCTGGCCTCCCAAAGTACTGGGATTACAGGTATAAGCCATGATGCCCAGCCCTGCATTGCTTTTTTAAAAGCCATCTTTAAGAAGATTGCCTACTATAGCACCCCAAATTGTTTTCCATGTTGTAGGAATTATTTTAAATTTTTCTTAGATTTATTTTCCTCCTTAAAAAAAAGTCTGGCCGGGTGCGGTGGCTCACACCTGTAATCCCAGCATTTTGGGAGGCCGAGGCAGGCAGATCATGAGGTCAGGAGATCGAGATGATCCTGGCTAACACGGTGAAACCCCGTCTATACTAAAAATACAAAAAAATTAGCCGGGTATGGTGGCGGGCACCTGTAGTCCCACCTACTTGGGAGGCTGAGGCAGGAGAATGGAGTGAACCCAGGAGGTGGAGCTGGCAGTAAGCCAAGACCGTGCCACTGCACTACAGCCTGGGTGAGAAAGCAAGACTCCATCTGAAAAAAAAAAAATTAAAAAAAAAAAGTCCATCAGCTTATTTCAATAAATGTCCCAAAGTAGCTTTGAATATGTTTTCCCCAAGAAGCATCTTGCTGTTCAAAATAAAGTAACTGAGAGAGTCCTTATATTGTGAGAGATCTTGAACGTATGTAAATGTCAGAGCAATTCCCTCATTTTTGAGAAATAACATTTTAGGGGGTAAAATCCAGGAGATCACTAGGTTATATCCAGGCTGTATAGTGTATGAGTGTTTATAAGTGGTGTATTTCACTTTCTGTCTTATGTGCATTGGAGTTTTATGCTGTAGTTAGTGAATATTGGTCCCACTCTTGGCAGTGAACATAATGTCTATGGTGCATCTATCCCTAGATATCTGCTTGGCTGATTCCTTCACCTCCTTCAAATCTTCGTTCCAGGTTACCTCAGTGCACCTACCTTCCCACCCATCTTTAAGAGAGCAGCTTGCCTCCTGCCACTCCCTACCCTAGTATTTTGGACTCCCTTTGTCTCCTCTATTTTCCTTTTACCTAAAGTTCTTGCCACCTCTTAAGACACGTTACTGTTTTTACTTATTGTGTGTATTGTTTCTTGTCATTTTTTGTTTGTTTGTTTGTTTGATGCTGAGCTCAGAATAGGTCATTTAGCATGTGCTCAGTGAATGTTTATAGAATGAAAGAGCAAGAGCCTGTGTGTTTCCAAGGCTTGCAGGGCCTCAGAATTGTATGGGAACAGATGCTGTGAACAGTGATGCAATGAAGATAAAGTACAGAGGGTTAGGAGACTCACACATTTTCTTTTTTTGCAACTCCAAGTAGCTTTTTTCAGTATCTGGCATGGTTGGGACTTGTTGAAAAACCCTCCCTGGAAGTGACTTGTGAGGGTTGGATATCACCTGTTAATGCTTCATACGTCCCAGCAGACTCATTTACAAATATGGAATTTGCTGTTATCACCAGGAAAATTTCCAGACTTTTATTTATGATATATATATATATGTGTGTGTGTGTGTACATATATACACATATAACTTTTATGTATGTATAAGTAATATATACTTATATATGTAATATATACTTTTATATAGATGTAATATATATTTATATATGTAAACTTTTTATGAGCTGGAACATGTTTTGAGTGTCAATTATGCACCGTCAGTGAACACATGGGGCAGCTGACTGGTTTACAGCACAGGTTGAACTTTCCCATCTGTGTGTTCAGAAGTGCTGAACATCCCACCTCGGTGACACCTCCTGTCTGGGATCCAGCACAGATAATGAGTGTGGGAATTTGAACTAACCTCATGGCATGTGAGGGTGGGGTGTCTTGTCTGAGAAATGGAGTGTATCCTGGCAGGCAGTTAGGCTGCCTGCTGTATCTTCCCCTGACACTGGAAGGTTTCATTTTAATTGCTTGTGATTATGTAAAATCTTTTCTGAGGGTTTTGAGAATCAGTGTGACAGAATTACAACCCACATAAGGTTTTCCCCTTTTCTGCCTTTGGGAGAATTCCCACTCAAAGAGCCAGGTCCCATTAGGATTGGAGTCAGCAGGGCTGAAGATGGCTAGAGGACACTGCAGGGAGGGAGAAAGCACTTGGAGATGAGATACTCAATTATTGAAACTGACTTGCCTCCTCAAGAAATCTGGAACTTTAAACCCAGTTCCAGAATTCTCTCCTGATTCCAGTTAAAGAAACCTACTACCTAATAACTTAGGCAGCCATTTAGGTGGGATGTTTCACTTTCTGAAATTCTTAGCTTTCTTCCCCGTAAAAAAAACAAAAAAAAAAACAAAAAAAAAAAACAAAAAAAAAACCTTTGCACTAGAATGATAATCTCTAGGATTGCCTATAGCTCTGATATTCTGTGAGTCTATGGTCAATCCAGCTTTTAAATGACTTCCCCTTCATTATCAAAGAGCCTTATTTGATTAGTTCAGGTTTATGATAGTGGTGTGCTGCGTTTCGGTGCCATATACCCTCATTTTGTGAATTTTTCTGGGTATGTCTTAGTATTCCCTCTGCTCTTCATCCACTATGGCAGTGTTTGCTGATTGATTGGTAACTATTTTTGTCCTCCCACTTAACTAACAACTGTAATTGGAGCTCAATATAAGGGCTATTATTTTTACAAAGTTTGTTTTCCTTTTAAGGTTAAAAATAAACATTGCCTTCTGACACTCCAGTGGAAAAAATCTGTTGTGAGAAAAATCTAAACTTTAAATGATTCATTTGTGGGATCACTTTTGACTTCTTATGTGTTTAAAAGAATGAGAAAAAGGGCATATTACCATTATAGGGGTGGTACTGTATTCTATACATGTAACCCAGGATATGTAAGTTGGACAAAAGAGTCAAGTATTTTAATAATTCATTATTATAAATTTAGCATATGAAATAATGAGAAAATAGAATTAAACTGAGGTTTCCCATCTAATTAATTACTTCCCAATCTACATCTTCATTCTGTTAGCCTGATAGCAGCATTCCTAGTTTTGAAAAGGTAGCTGGGGGGAGATTCGTAGTGTAGATGTTAGGGATGAGGGTGATGGAGGTGTTATTCATTGGGGTACTAGTGATGGTCTTGGTAAAGGTGATAGTGGTGGTATTGATGGGGTGGTAGGGATGTTATTGGGCAAAAGCAAAAGCAGTCAAAGGAGCTGTTAGAAAGAAAGATTCTTCAGAGAGAAAAAGGTTGTCATGGGGGGTACAGGGAGTAGAAATCAGATGGAAAACACCTGAAGAGATGGAAAAACTTTAAAAGAAAATGTTTAAATATATTCCTGGTGGAAATAAAGTTAGTTTTTTGATGAACTATTCATCGTTCAGTTGGTGTAGAAATTTTGTTTCCAATGACTTCCCAGTTTGAATGAGATGCAGTGTCTACTCTGACTAACTTCTAAGACACTCCCCAGAGGGCAATGACAGCTTCTCGTTATGATGCCTTAAGAATAACACAGATGGATATATTTTTTAAGTTTCAAGCACAGGAGTCTCTGTGACCCTTTCTGACTCTGATGGTGCCTGGGAATGTGGGCATCATTCTTTATTGCTTTTGAATAGTAAAGCATCATCATTAATTCATGCTCTGTACATTTGTAACTTGTGATAAACAAGAACTAAGCCTAAGTTTGCATACAGGTTTGCTAAACCAATTAATAATGTAAGCTAAGCTGCAGGGGCAGTGTTTATTTACCTCAAGGCTACCTGCTTTTTCCAGCAGTTTGGATGCACCATCACAAACTGAGAGGCTAGTTACAAATTGCTCTTACCTCTTTATTAAAGCAGATCTCTGAAGGCTCACTCCTTCAGAGCTTTTGTGTTATCCTCGTTTACATTTCTGTATATTTGAGTGTGCTGCTAACTGCATCTTTTATAAAGGATTTAGATTTTACACTTTACAAAATCATTGCAGTCTGGTATTTCCTGTGGGTATGGATTAGTGACGATCACTGTATTTTAAAAGATGTCTATTGCTGTGTAACAAACCACCCCAAAACATATTGGCTTTAAACAATAGCAGTCATTTATTTTGCTCACAAATCTGCAACTTGGGCAGTACTTGGCAGAGGCAGCTAATCTCCATTTCACATGGTATCAACTGGGCTGTTTGGTGGTAGCTGGGGGATCTACTTTCAAGATGGCACACTCATATGGCTGGCAAGTTGGTGTTGGCTGTAGGCCTCTCGACAGACTGCTTAAGGCTTCCTCAAAACATGGCAGCTAGGTTCTAAGAGCAAGCATCCCAAGAGAAGAAGGTAGAAGTTCATGGAATTCTGATGATTATACCTTGGAGGTCACATAAGGGTCCTTTTCACCTACTCATTGGTTGAGGCCGTCATAAGGACCCATAGTGGTTGAAGTACAGGGGACATGGGTTCCAGCTCTTGATGGAGGAGTGACAAGGTTCCAGCAGACCATGTGGAATGAGAAATATTGTTGTGGCCATCTTTGGAAAATACAGTCTGCCACATACATGAATTCCAACATGCTTATGTTCATTTCTGGTTCATTCTTCTACTAGGAGAGAACTTTGAGAATACGTAACAAATAAAAATGAAGGCGAGAAGTGGAAATAAATTCAGTATTGAATATAAGGGTTATTGGACATTGAAGATAATCTTTAAATGTATAATTCTCAGTAGTTGTTAATGCAAAGCTGTTCCTTCCCTCCCCCCCGAAAAAAAACCCATCTCCTATTTGTTACTCAAAGGGATCACATATCTTCATGTGCTCTGAAACTCTCTTAAATCATTTCCATCTTCCAGAAAAACCATCCCAGTGTTCTCCAGGGTATTTACAAAAGAACAATAAAACATTCATTTTTTTAGCACACTGTAATGAAAACCATCCCCAAGTACTTAGTTTAACTGCCTTGTTTACCGTGGGAGTTTCAAATGTCATTAGGACCCTGTTATATTTTTGTTGGTCTGGAGTCGTGGGAATCACAAAGTATTTTTTAACCAAGGGTTAAAACTAGGATAGCAATGCCCAATGGCACCATCTCAACATTTTGTTAAAGTGTGTTTCATTAATGCTTTGGAAGCCTATGTAAATCAGAGGATGGTGGGGGGAAGAAAAGGTCACGAATACTGGATGTTAAAGCAGTGTGGTGTGAAGAGAAACATCTGCTCCTGGTTAAATTCTTTAAACTTATGTTCTTTTGACTCACTCATTTAACTGTGGTGCTGAGATTTGAGTTCAATGAAGACTCTAAAGCTGGTTTTCCAGAATGTTCCAGGGAGTCTTAATGAACCCTTGAGTTCTTAACCCCAAGCTTGTAATTCCAAGGTCACTGGTATTACCAAAGTATAAAACTAGGGTTGTCAACCTCAGCAACTCCAAAAAACTGTCTTTTTGTTTTTTGGGACCTACATTGCCTCATCTTAGTGCCTTTGTGAAACAAGGCCCATGGGTATGCCTGATTATGAGGCATTTTTTACCTTGATAAGAAGTAGTGATATTAACAAATTGCTTATTGCTACTTCTTTTCTTTTTCCTGAGGGGAAGATTGACTTGGTTTCTTAAGAGATGGACTGAAAACCCACGAACTGCACATTTTAACAGCAATGCTTTCTTGAGACATGTCTCTGGACCTGCAACCCCCTTAATGTCTCTAGGCCTCAGTTTTCTTCACTGTTAAGATGATAGGAGTAGCAAATGATGTGCAAGTTTTCTGAATCTCAAATGAATATATTTTTAAAACATTATTGGTCCCAGATGGATATTTCCTGAAATTGTAGACTCATAGATGTTTCCACTTGGGGGTAACCTCAGATACTGCAAATTTAATCTCATGCCTATTCATTCCTTTAATAAATGCCCAAGGAATACTTACTGTGTACCAGGAACAGTTCCAGATGCTGAGGACAAAGCAGGAGGCAAAAGAGACAAACTGCCTGTCCTCATAGAGCTCTCATCCAGCTAGGAAAACCAGTTGTAGGGAGATGGAGGGGGGAACAGCATGCCAAACAGAGGGATCTGCAAAGTGCTGAGGCCCCCTGATGGGAACAAATCTTGGGGTAGGGGGGAAACAATGACAAAGACTTGTGAAGGTGTCAGGAGTTTGGGATGTGGCCTGAGAGGTGGGCAAGACCCATTTCAGGGGCAGGGCAAGGGTTGGGAATCTTATTCTAAATGGGACATCGTTGGAGAGTTAAAACGAGCAGCCTTAACTGGCTCACATCTTTCAGATACCAGCCTGGCTGCTGTGAGGGCTGTATACAGGCCAGCATGCAGGAAGAAAACCAGCAGAAAGGTGGTGGTGAGGCCAAGGAAGAGCATCTCCAGGAGGAGGGGAATGCATGAGCTACCAGAGAGGATGGGGTGGTGAGGGCTAAAAAGCCTGTGGGATTTGGCGTCATGGAGGTGACAGGAGGGCTGTGGGGAGCTGCCGGTGAGGAGGCAGTACAGAAGCTAGAGAGTGAGTGGAGGTGGAGTCGGTGAGGCGGGTGGGTGGACGAGGCTTGCTTACTTCTATTGTTGGTTGGATTCTTTCCTCTTTTTCTTCTTTTAAAAAAAGATAACTTGAATTTAGTTGTATGCTGAGTGGAAGGAGCCAGTAGAGAGAGAGAGAGAGAGAGAGAGAGAGAGAGAGAGAGAGAAATTGAGGATATAGAAGAGAGAAGTGGTCCTAAGTAGAGCTGGGTCTTCCAGGGTGCCAGAAAACATGAGCTCTATGGCCTGGGTTTTGCCTTAACCGGGTCACACCGATGCTGGGGACAAAGAGTGGAGGGCCAGAAGAGGACATGGGGATGGGCTTCTCAGCTTCTGACCTCGATTTTGTCTTTAAGTCATCTCTGGAGGTGGTGGGAAAGTGGGGAGAGGGTGGGACCCAGCAGAGGGGAGAAAGCCCTGGGGAAGCACAAGACAGCTGATCAGGGAGGAAGGGAGCCACTGCAGGGTGGCCGTGTGGCCTCAGCCTTGGCGGGAGACCTTGAGCCCTCCTCCTTGTGGCCCTGGGTGGACTGGATGGATGCGACATTTGTGGGATGTGTCAGACAGAGAAAGCCAAGGATATAATAGGAGGAGAGTGATGGAAGCAGTGGGTCATGTGATGGACAGGGAAGGAAGAGAAGGAACACTCATCTGTGTGCCTCTTAAAGCAGCTTTCTGGGTCTTCACTGCTGGTCACACTGAACCAGGTGACCATATGTCCCAGCTTGTTCAGACAATCCCAGTTCATGCCTGTCATCTAAGCGTAATTATTATTTTACTTTTTGCTTCAGTTGTTTGACAAATCAGCATCCCATGGTGTGTCACAGACTGCTGCCTCTACTTTTTGTCTCCCGTGGACTTCTCACATCCTTTCCCATAGCAAGTGTAGGCTCTTATGACCTTTCCCATGAGCTCTGCAGTTACTTCCGGGCCCCAGCCATGTCCCTTGCCTCCTGTCTCCTCGCTCTGTTACCAACCCCCACCTCGATCCATACCACATCCTGTGGGCAGATTTCTTTTCCTTAGGACAGGCCTGATCATGTCACTTTGCTCAGAAGTCATGATGGCATCTCATTGCCTTCAGAATAAAAAGTCCAGACTCTAAAGATGCAAGACTCTGCAATCTAGCCCTGGTATTTCCCAGTACAGCTTAGAGTGTAGGAACATTGCAAATACAGCGCTGAGCAGCGTAACAGGTAGCAACGTGGGCTCTGGAGCCAGCTGCCTAGGTTTGAATCCTACTTGCCCTTTACTAGTTGTCTGACCTTGGGGAAGTTGCCCAATATCTCTGTGCCTCAGTTCTCTAATCTGTAAGATAGGGATGAAAAATAATACCTATTGTTATTATTATAAGGATTAAATGAGTTAATCCACGTACAGCCTTTAAAACAGTGTTGGGCATACAGTAAGCTCTCAGTAAATTGTGATTACAGAATTTCAGCTCAAGCACACTGAACATTTGCTCTTCCCTGCATGACTTCTGAGGCTTTCTTGCCTCTTCACTTTTGCTAGCCCTGCTTCTCATAGGAATCCTTCTCCCAAATCATTTCTGTATGCACAGATTTTACCTGTGGGTAAGGTTAAATCCATGGCTACCAATAATGGATTTTGACAGCCACAGAACTAACAGACTGGGAAGGCTGGCATGCATTCTTTGACTCCCACAGGACTATGACGAAAGTCTCTTTAAATGCTTTGCTAACATAACATTTTGAAGTTTGATTTATCAGTTTCCTTGTGGGTGTGCAGCAGCATTTAATGGAAGCCTGGGGGTCTTGCAGCCTTGGAGGGGGCAGCAGATTCTCCTGCCAGTTCTTTTCCTCAATGGTCCTACTTGGATGATGGCAGTTCTCATGGGCCAAGGTCGTCTTTGCTCCAGAATCCTGTTCTGAATGCAGACAACCACACATATGTTGAATTCTGCTGATGGGCATACACTGAGGAAGATTGGGATGTTCTGGGCCAAGGAAAATCTGCCAGAGGTGACTCCTGACTACTCCAGCGTGTTGACTCTTTGACTGTGCCCTCCTGGTCAGGGCATGCATCTACTATGACAAACTACTCTGTGCAATGGAATGGCTGGGGGTTGCTTGGTGATTCCAATTGGTATTCAGTAAGTAGTTATGGAATGAATAAATGAATATTAGTATCTTCATTTTATAGATTAAGAAACTGAGGCTAAAATAAATCAACTGATTTGACCAATAATATAACTACTGAGTAACAGAGCCAGGTCCAAAGCTTTAAGCCTTCAAACTCTTTGTCCAAGGGCAGATTCTAAGACCTCTCAGTCGCTAAATGAGAAAACCACAACAGCAGAAAGTTTACATGATCTTTCCTTGTGGCCCTAAAACGGAGCTAAACATCCAGCAGCGCCTGGCAAAGCTTCCAATTTCTGCAGCTAAGTGTTAACATGTCAAAACTAAAGGCGGCTTCAGATGTGAGCTCAAACCCGTGTTATTTTTGAGCCTCCCTTTTCAGAAAGCTGTACAAGAGTGTAGGTGACAAGATGGGAAGGGTTGTGTGTGTCTGATAAAATATTCACTGTAAAGACTCATGTGTAACTGCAACCCAGAATGGCATTTTTGTACCTGTTCTTGACACCTAGGGCATGCCTCTGCTGTGGGCTCCCTGCGTGTGCTGTGCTATGTTGTCACGGATCGGGGGCGTGTGAGTTATGAGGGAGGGCCGGAGTGGGCAGTGGTCTGATCTAGGGTATATAAGTATGTGGATGTGAGTCTTGGATTTACCCCATATTATATGCCTCAGAAATCACTGTCAAAAACTCTATTATTCAGTATTTTATGTGATTTATTATGCTCTATAGCAGAGCTACCCAATAGAACGTTCTATGATGATGGATATGTTCTACACCTGCACTGTCCATGGGGTCATCACTAGCCACAAGTGGCTGGTGGGTGCTTGAAATGTGACTCATGTGACTAAGGAGAGGAATATTTAAATTTTATTTTATTTGAATTAATTTAAATTTAAATAGCCACATGTGGCTAGTGGCTACCTATTGGACAGCACAGCTCTCTATTTTTTAGCAGTAGGTTTCTGATTCCCAGCATTAATTAGCTCATTAGTTACAGGCATTTCATTAAGTTTATTATGTAACTTGTAGAAAATAAATCCATCAGTTATAGATACAACCTCCCTTACCTGGTGTGTAGCAGCTCTCCTCAAAGCACAATGGGGGAAATTTCCTTTACCTGGGCAACAGTGATGGCTGAAAGCCTCCCTGCCACACTTCAGCCTCTCACGTAGGACCTGGAATCGATACCAGATGAAGTCCTAGTTGTCTTGTTTCTGTTTGGGGCTCACTGTCATTTGGGAGCCTGTACCGAACTTTTATTTCATGCCTAGTCAGGTTTAGATTTAGAGACCTCCATCAACTTGCCCTGTGCTATCTTATTTTCCCCTACCTCCTGGTGGGAAGAGAGAAAATTGATTATTTTAAGGAACTGGCTCATGTGATAGTGGGGGCCAACAAGTCTGACATCTGCAGGGCAGTCCAGCAGACTGGACATTCAGGTAAGGACTGGTGTTGCAGTCTTTGAGTTTGAAGGGGAGAAAACCCAGGGAGAATTTCTGTGTTGCAGTCCAGAGGCAGAATTCTTTTTCCTTTGGGAAATCTCAGTCTTGGCTCTTAAAGCCTTCACCTGATTAGATGAGACCCACCTAATAATGGAGGAATCCACTTTACCGAAAGTCAACTGATAGTAAATGTTAATCACACATTTAAAAAATACCTTTACAGCAACATCTAGACTAGAGTTTTACCAAACAATTGGTCACCATAGTTCAGTCAAGTGGACATAAAATTAACTGTGACACCATCCTCCTTAGAGTCAGACAAAACAGTCTTGGAAGTGTCTCTGACTCTTTACCCATGCTATCTACTACAGGCTGTGGACACTCCAATCCCTATTGACCTGTGAGCAGGAGGCTTTTCTCTTCCTTTTCCTATGTTCCATATAGCCTTCATTTTTATGAAATCCAACCTGTGTCTCACTTCTTTCTGATTTCTCACCCCGATTGATACACATACTCTAAATCACAAATACGTATATTCGCATGCACATAGAGTATATATCGCACTTATCATTAGCAACATGGTATTCATTTTGGACATAGAAACAGACAATCCATCCTAGAAATCTAATGTCATATTATTTTTAATAAAAATAATTCCTCAAATATATAACCAAAGATTTTTTTTACAATGACTTGTGACTTTTTATATAACTACATTTTTTTAAAAAGAAATATTTTTCACATCATGATTCCTGATTATAGTTACAGTGGAGCATGTCCTTACTTATTATAGAGCAACTGAGTGAAGTTGTGGATTAGTCAAAACAGCCATGTTTAATTTTCAGTGCCTCAACCAGAAATTGTTACTCTTTAAGTATTTGGGGCAGGTGGGTTCTTACAGGCAGCAGAAATGAGAATAAGGTGGGTGAGGGTGTATATCAGTTTAAACAGGCATCCACCTGGGCATCTTGGCACAGGTCAGATTATCTGAAGTGGAAAGAGTGGTATCGTTGAAGAGGCATCAGGTTGGGCTTAGGATACTCAGAGCGAAAGCCAGGCATGGCTTTGGGTAGTTCTGTGAGGTTTGACCAGTCACAGAATGTCTTAAGCAGTTTTCTCTTCTGTAAGGTATGATTTTGAGGCCTAAGGGAATGCATGTGAAAGTTCTTTGTAGAAGAGCTGTGCAATGTTAATAGTTGCTGTTTCCTGTAATCGCTGTTGTTAGAGATGTTGTGGGCATGCGTGGGAGTCTGTGGGGAGCTCCATGGCTGAGGTGACCTGGCTCCTCATGACCTGTTCTTCCATGTTGATTTGGTTCCATGCTCATGAAGACCC
The DNA here is from genome assembly GCF_000001405.40 of Homo sapiens. Lineage (NCBI taxonomy): Eukaryota > Metazoa > Chordata > Mammalia > Primates > Hominidae > Homo > Homo sapiens. The sequence goes on along the minus strand of NC_000003.12, from coordinate 16,382,862 downwards.
TGGCATCGCCTGAGGTCATGGTGATGTCCAGCAACAGATGATGAGGGCTTGAAATAAAGTGAGCTTGGATGGTCACTTTATGGAGAAGGAGGAAGTAATTCCAGAAACACTGGGGGATAAATGTGGTAGGGTGTGGTGAACAGACACACAGGATTAGAAACAGGGAAGAAGATACTGTGATTCCAGCTGGTGAGACCAGATCAACAGTGGACCCGTCAGCTGTGATCGTCTTCTGTGTAGGTCTGAACTTGCAAGGAAAGCCAGGGCTAGGGGTTCACACTTAGGAATAATGAACATCTGATTTGTAGCTAAACCCATGTGAGTAGAGGAAGTCACCAAGGGGAGTGTAGAGTGGAGGAGAGCTGGCAGCCGGGGATGAACCCTGATGAATACATCGCATGCCCACCACCATGATGAATGTGAGACTGGCTCAGTAAAGGTTATAAATGCAAGAATGAGAAGCAGGATTTACTTTAGCCATAAGTACACGGTCAAATGACTTTCTGAAAAAGAGGAAAGTGTCTATACTAGGGTAAGACAGAACTGTAAGAGTCGTGGCCCCTAGATCTAGCCAAATATTGATCTTCATAAAATCTAAATGTGGTCGTCTAGTTAAAAAGGACTACGCACCCTTTTTGGTAAACAACTTGGCAGCCTCTGCCAAGCCTTTGAAAAGTTAATATCCCTTCATTCATTAATTCTACTTCCAGGAATCTATTTGAAGGAAATAAGCAGAGCTACAAATATGCTTCCTCTTCTTGGGGGTGTGAATTTCCCTGGAATGCATAGGATAAGGGCAGCATTTAACTTTGACATCTTTTTAAAGTTTGGATCCTAGGTAGCACTATGGTATAAGATACAAAATTTGTGCTGAAGTTGAAGGTAAAAGATGAGCATTCGAAGAAATCTTGCAGTTTTCCCTCAGACTCCCACTCTCCTCTGCTCTTGAGGTTATGACTGTGGTGGGAGAGTCGGATATGCTGGCCTGCAGGGTGAACTGAGAGCCTTTGCGGGCATGGATCCAAGGCCATATGTGATCCGGTCCTTGTCATGTCTAGTCAAGCTTCATTTCTGGGCTCCTCTTGGTTTCTCATGTCATGTTCCAGAAATATTTCTAGAAATTTCCTCAACACACCAGGCTGTTGCATACTGTCACGCTTTTGCCCATCATGATCCTTCCTTGCCTTTACATGGATTGCCCTCTCCTTTTCCTTTACATATGTGCTGAACTCTTATTCATCCTTCAAAGCCTTCTGCAGAGTAGGTCCCAAATAGGTTTTGTCTAGCATGGCATTTTGGAAAAAAAAAATTGGATTTGAATGCTTTAAGGTGAGGCATGCATGCTCCAGTTCTGCCACATTTCTTATTCTTCCTTTTGTGTTACACCACGTCATTTGTTACATCCCTGATCTACTCGGAGAAACTTTTCTCAACCTCCCCTTCAGGCAGAAATAATCACCATTGTCACTGTCATGTCTATGCCTTCACATCCATTACTATATTATCCTCTATGAGGAATTTTTACAATATTTACTTTTTCAATTCTAAAAGTAACATCCATGCCCCTTAAGTAAATTTTGAAAATTACACAGTAATAGAAAAAAATCACTTATAGCCCCACTCCCCAAATACAGTGCTGTTTTCATTTTGGTGACTGTTTTTATGCATAGTTTATGTATGTGTATTACATAGTTGTCATAATAAAGTGTATGAAGTTTAGAATCTTGACTTTTTATATGTCATTTCAAGCATTAATTGTTCCATGATAGTGTAATTATTTTTAAACTCTGTTCGTAATAATTGGTCAAATCTTCTTGAGGGTTGGGGATCCTATTTTACATTCCTGGTACCTAAGCACCGTGTTGGCCTGGACCAGTGTAGGGGCTTATTAACTATTTGTTGGATTCTACAGCTGAAAAATTAATGTCTCCATCCCTACCTTCAAGGAGCTCATTTCGGGAGAGAAGGCATACATATTCATCCATTATTTAATATATTCATTCATTCAACAGATATTTATTGAGGACCTGCTATATGTCAGACATCATTCTATTACTGGGGATGCAGCAGTGCAAACTACCCCAGCCCTCATGAAATGTGTATTCTAGAGCAGTGATTCTCAAACATCAGGCTGCATTGGAATCACTCGGAGGACTTGTTAAGACACAGATTGCTGGATCTCACCCTCAGAGTTTCTGACTCAGTAGGTCTGTGGTGGGGCCTGAGAATTTGCATTTCTAACAGGTTCCCAGGGGATGCTGATGCTCTGGTCTGGGGCCCACACTTTGAGAACCCCTGGCCTAGAGGATAAATTTGCAGTACAAGATGGCAAAGGAATATGGTTGTCTGGTTTGTTGTGGGAGAAGGGCAGGTGTCTGTGTCCAAGCCTCTCCAATTCCTCCAGTCCCAGTGAGGAAGGGGAGGGCTAGGATAATGCCCTGTGTCTGGAGTCCTCGCCTCTTCACTCTAGATGACAGCAGTCTCTGCAGGGCCGCAGAAGCCCAGGACTGATAAGGAGAGAGGTTAGAGATACCGTCTTTGTGCCCCATCCTTTGGCGCACTTGCCATATGTAATGTCTAAACTAAGTTTCAGTGCAACTGCAAAATAAGTGTGTTTTCACTCATTTTATACATGAGAAAACTGAGGCACAGAAAGTTTATATAATCTACTCTGGTTCCTCAAGATGGTGAGTCACGTATCTGGGGCTCCACATCAGGCCTTTCCAAAAGCCTTTAAACTTCATGCTATTTCCGTGACTCTAGTTGAGACTGGCCTATGGTTGAGCCCTCCATGGAAGCAGTTATTAAAATGCTTCAGAAGTCATAGCTGTTTCCTCTGCAGTAAGAGAGTAATAGCAGAAGCTAGTGCAGGTGTCTCCTCATTTCATTTGAGGGCTGTAAAACCCATTGCCTTTCTCTTTTGGCATATGTTGCCAGAAAGCTCAGAAGTATGCTTTGCATGCAGTGGCTTTCCTCAGCCTCCAAAGTTCTTTGGTATAATTATTTCCCTGCTATTTTCTTTTAAAATTTGTGTTGCTGTGCCTTCTTTTAGGAGCTTTATAGAATAATTTTTAACATAGGTGGATATCATAGATTAATGAGGGAAAAAATTTTCAGAATGGAATAGATGGCTTTAAGATTTTTTTGTCTTTTGTTTTTTTTAACTTTTGAAGAGTGAATTGAGCCAACTCGGGGCGTATGAGTGGACACATACATGCCCATAGACATGTATGTAGTTGATGCTTTGACATGTGTCCACTGAGTCTTGTGATTAAAAGAATGAACTTTGGCCCAGGCCAGACCTGGTTTTGCACTCTGGCTACTCACTGCTTGTTTTATGACTTTAATGTCTCTGGGCTCCAGTGTCCTCATCTGAAATGGAGACAATGATACCATGCAGCATCATTGAAGGATGAAACGTTTTGTTGTTTTAATTTATGTAAAATGCCTAGCTCAATGCCTAGACATAGTAGGTCTACAGTAGACAGTAATTACTACTATTCTTATTTTATGTCTAGCACAGGCTAGGATTTAAAGACTGGACTGCATGTTTGCAACTGCAGTTTTCCAGGTTGCGCAGTGTGGAACAAAAATGACTTTCCATTTAATGTCAGGGTGGTTCTTCCGAGGAGAGCTGTCAGGGCAGCTTCTCCTTTAGAGAGAATACCTCTGTGCTGGCAAAACTGACTCTCAAATGAGGGTAGATTATCATTGCAGAGGCCTCAAGATTTTCTGAGGTCATCTGCTTAGAGCTTGGTGACTAAGACTTAGACAGCTCTGAGGTCTGCACCGCCTTATTTATTTGTAAAATGACTTAAGCATCCTTGCCTGGAAAGTCCCCTAAAGGCTACCTTCTGGCTTTGGCTGGCTCTTGCTTTATTTTATTAGGTTATTTATTTTCAATTTTTCTTTCAAACTTATGACTTACATTCAACCCAATTGCCTTGGGCTATTTTTTAGGGAGAGGGAAAGTTCAAGTACCTCGGTACTGCAGGTGGGTGTTCATCCCCCATCCCGTTGGTACAGGGAGTGAGAAGGAACCATCACCTCGCTGCTGATGGTGTGGACCAGGACTTGGAGAGCCAAGAGTCAGTCTGTGGCTGTGGGCTGGGCATGATCTGTGGGCTCCTTTGACCTTCCCTAAGCCTGAGAGCACCAGGGAGCAAGGTGTCCATCAGATGATACCTCTCAGGGAGGATTTGCCCACAGCCTTGGCACAGGGGTGATTTTCCCACCTCTGCCCTTCTCTGCCAAAACTATTGTCCAAAAAGGAAGCTCTTTGGGCCATAAAATGCCATCTGTTGTTTGTATATGGTTATATAGACAAGCTGTAGTTATACAGTAGCCTGATGGGCAGGAAGTCAGTGATTCGTCCGAAAAAAAGTGACAAAAAAAACTAAACTCTTAATAAAACAAACTTCCTCCTTCAAACTCTTTGTTTAGAACTTTTTCCAGCCTCTTTAAAAAATGTTAATAAGGACTAGTGTAGTGTTTCAAAGTAGTGATTTCAACTCTTCAAAGCCAAATGCTTTATCTTTCCATCAGACAATATAGTTAAAACAAATTAAAAAAACTGTCTTCTTCAGACTAGGGTGTGGGGGCAGGTGCCCCTGAGGACATGGAGTTCCTGTCAGCTTGGAATTCTTCTCCTGCACCTGAAACAGCCTCGCAGGCCTCGGGGAGGCGCTTTGCACGCTGCACGTGTCCCTTTGATAGACCATTTCATTCACTTGTTTCCCTTCCTTTTGTTTGCCTCACAGATCCAGGAGGCTGCAAGCCAGGGCCTGAAATTCGTTGGTGTTATACCTCAGTACCATTCCTCTGTGAACTCGGCAGGCAGCAGTGCTCCGGTGTCTACTGCCAACAGCACCGAGGATGCCAGAGATGCAAAAAACGCACGTGGGGATCACGCGTCACTGGAGAATGAGAAACCGGGGACTGGGGATGTGTGCAGTGCTCCGGCTGGGAGAAACCAAAGCCCAGAGCCCAGCTCAGGCCCCAGAGGGGAGGTGCCCCTCGCCAAGCAGCCCAGCTCACCCTCCGGAGAGGGAGATGGTGGAGAACTTTCACCACAGGGGGTGAGCAAGACACTGGATGGACCGGAGAGCAACCCCTTGGAGGTGCATGAAGAGCCACTCTCAGGGAGTAAGTATGTCAGCAATGGGAGTTTTGACCCACTTAAAGAGCAGCTAACAGCTTTTCATTAATCCCCATGGTATCTCAGAGAAAAAGGAATGGAATTTAGAGTGTAGAGACAGCAGTCCATCAAACAGGAGAAACTTTATCAAGCAGTTATCTGTGCCACCTGACTGTTTACTTACTGAAGTTATGACTTCTGGGGAGTTCAGAACCACATGAAATTGACTTGCAGTTTGCTCCAAAATGTCACGTTTGAAGTGGATTCTAGACTGTGAGCTCTTTTATCTCCTGTGCTCTCGAAATTGCCCTTGAATTATCCAGTTTTCACACAGGAAGTGTCAGCCTGCCAGGCACCGATGAAAACCTACACACCACCTGTTAAAATACTTGCCTAAAGCAAGACATTTTACAGCTGAGCAAACTGGGGTTTAGAGAGGAAATTTGTTGCCCAGTCTGGAAATAGGCAGTTCGGGCATATGAACCCAGGTGGACTTACCCACCATCCCTTCACGCCTCTCTGCTTGGTCTTTCCTGTGTGATAGACTAACAAGATTTGCCGAGGCCCTTAATAAGATTTACAGGGAGCAAAGTTTCCCTCCGTTTCTCTGTATTTCCTTTTTCTCTACTTTCTTCAGGAAATCAACCATCCATATTTCCCCCTTTCTCCAGGAAATCTAGCATCTGGTCATTTCCTGAGAGCAAGGTACTTACATAAGCCATGTAAGTAAGAACAAGTATGAAAACTAACAGAAGACCCCCAGGGCTTAGGAGGGCTTTCTGTTTAGGCCTTTCTGGATGATCTCCCTGGTTAATATTGTTATTACCATTTATTTACGAATTCTTGAATTTAGCCTCTTACAAGTGATAATGAACAGGTGGTGCTTCCAGAAGGGAAAACAAGGAGAAACAGTTTCTTTTGTTACATCAGAACTTCTTGAGAGGAAAATTATGGGATGGTTAATTCCAGGGGCTTATTTGCAAAGTTGATTTAGAGGGAGATATTGGAGCTGCGTCAGTTTTGTGATGTAGTAAGACTATTGTTTAATCAAGGCATTGAGCCTTCTTAGTATGCACTGAAGTAGAGCCCTTCATCTGTGTGATTTTTCGCTGTTTGAGGCACATGCCTGCTGCCCTCATGAAGTAGCTGAGCATGCATTTAAGCCCAGTGTGTCGTCCTCATGAACGCCCAGGTCTTAGTCCAGAAACCTCCATCTTCTCATGGAGGCTGGGCTGGATGTGTGTGCTCTGAATCCTGGGCAGGAAGATGGACCTCACTGGAGTCCTTCTGTACGGTCCAGGACTGTGGGAGGGCGAGAGTCAGGCCAGGCAGAGGCCCCCAGGAGAAAGGGCAGGAGTGATGGAGAGGTGAGGAGCATGGTGCTCAAGAATCTAGAGTATACATTCCGGCCTGCCTTCCGTGCCTCAGTTTCTCACCCTTTGAAATGGGGATAGAACGATAGTTTCTCATGGAAAGGTTAAAGTTGTACATTTAAAGCACTCGGCACTGTTTGACTCATGAGTATGAGCTGCTATTATTGGGGTACAGGCTCAGTAGTCCTGACACTCGACCTCCACCTCTCATGGAATCCTGGCTTTGAGAAAGGAGGCAGTTACTATTGAGGTTTCCTCAGTAGCTTTCAGATGCTTCCTGTGTTCCAGAGCCCACCTTCCTCCGATACTCCTTCCAGACTTCCTGCCTCCTGTGAGAGGATTATTCACTGGGGAAACTTGTCCAAGGAACTTCCGCAGGTGCCCAGGACCTTCTTGCTACCCCGTGGCCACTCACCTTCCTCACCCAGAATCTCCCCTGATGGCTGAACACAGAAAAATTGACACCCAAAGCATCTTGGCCCCTATCCCATCACCCAAGTCCCTGTTCTCTCCTGGAGAAACAGACCCTGCTGGGGAGGAATGGGTGAATGTGTGTGTTTCTGGAGGTGGTCAGCCCACCAGTGGATGAGAATTTCAGCTCTGCACGGGTAGGCCAGGAGGAGGGATTAAAGCCTCCTTCGAGCCCAGTCTCCCTAGGCAGGTAAACACTGCCTGTCTCTACACATAAAGCAGTCCCTTTATCTCTCTGCTCAGGCTGCGAATCTCTGAAATTTAGGCAGCTCACTATTATCCCTTTTCCCTCCTTTGATGGAATAGATGAGCTTTTGGGTTTTTCATACAGGGATCATTTCACATATAAGCCTTTCAGTGGTCACGATGGCAGTCACCCTCCAAGTGCCCTATTCTGTGTCCTTCTTGTGTCATCTCAGTAACTCCTCACAACAGCTTTATGGCAGAAGATGCTATTACTAGATCCATTTTACAAATAGGGAGTGTCACCTTTTATACCCCCATATAGTTAAATTTCTTTATCACAGCTTGAGTATTTGGCCTCCCTGAAGGCTGAACGTCCAGGGACCCTGTCCTTATTGGTTGTGACCCTCACCTGACCCCCAGCCTCTCTCCTAATCTTTCTCCTAGGAAGCCCACTCACTGTCACTCCCCCACAGGCACACACGGGCCCCCCCAGGCACCCCTCCCCACTGCCTGCTCAGCTCCCAGCTTGCCTTCTCTCAGAGCCCCCTAAGGGAGGGTGAAGTGTTTTTTACTCCTCTTCTGCCAGGTGGGCTTAAATAGGCAATCACAGCAAGACAATTAAAAAAAATCCAGAGGGAGTCTCCCTCCTCTTCCCTCCTTCTCCTCAGTTAATTTATTTCCTTTATAGGAGGCCTTGGGGAGAGGAATCTAGGCAATGCCTGCTCAGACAGGACTTTCCAGTGGATTCTCCATGCGGAAGCAGGGGCAGGTCGTCCCTCCCCATCTCTGCGGGCTCGGTGCAGCCGTCACGCCTCCTTGCCCCTGCAGGTTCTTGGGGAGGCCCGCCGTGGGTTCCTCTTCCTGCTCGCTGACTTATTTCCTGGTCTGGGGGAATTTCCTTTTGGTTGGAGGTCCGTGCTGTGCCGTGATCACCTGAGCCTGTGCAGGGACAGCCTCAGTGTCTCCGTTGCCACAGCTTCCATCAGAGAAACCAGGAGGCTAGACAGGTTCACGAAAATTCTAATCATTCTCACCGTCACCAAAATAACAAGTCTTCCAAGCACTGCCCTTCCTACCCTGCACCTCCTCACTTAAAATGCTTAGAAATGTCAGCCAGAAACCCAAGCGTGTGATGCCAATCATGTTTCTGGCTGAGAGGATTTTATTCAGTAGCCCTCCCTGGCTGCCAGCTCATTGTGAATGGCCAAAACCTGGGGGTTGGGCTTTCCTGATGTGAGGGCTCCTTCCCTCCCAACTCCCTTGGGATAGTTGGACCCCATGATGCGGCCCCCTCCCAGATCTGCCACCTGCCGCCATCTTTCTGGCCTTTTACTCAGTCCATTAACAAACAGCTATTGAGCTCCCACCCACGGTCATCAGCCCCTGCCTTCTGTGTCCTGATGAAGTTAGCCTCTTGTTAGATTTGGGAAAGAGCCCAGGGTTTGGGGTTTGAAAGACTCTTGGCTGTGCCACTTACTGGCTTGTGATTTCTGGGGGATCCACTTAGCACTTCTGGGCACAGAACCAGGGCCACCCCCTCTCATCAAGTTTGGGAGAGTCACATGAGATGGTGAAGGTGAAAGGCCCTTGTAAATATGGGACACATGCCTGTGGCTGCTGTCATGCTTGCAGGTGGAGTCCTGTGGATTGTTGTGCACGCAGCAGCGGTCCCTGCACTTTGCCTTTCCTGCTGCCCTGGCAAGCGGGCCTCACTATTAGTACCTGCTATTAGTACCCAAGCCTTAGCGAAGCTTGAGCAGCCTTGCCCAGATTTAGGCATCTGGATGGAGCAGCCTGGGGCCCTTCTACCCTCCTGCCCTGCCTCGCCACCATGGTGCCCACTGCCTCCCTTCCCAATGCAAACCTTTCTGCTTAGTTCCTTCTGCCCATGACCTCAGCAGCCTGCAGTCCCCACCCAGCTTGGACTGCCCAGCCAAGTGTGATGCCCACTTGTTCCTTCCAATGCAGCTAATGACCAGCTGCCTCCTCCTCCCACATCTAGCCCTTGGAGCCCCAGATTTTCACCCAGGCTCTAAACTCTTTCTTCTCTCCAGACCAGAGGTCTCCTGGGACAGCAGGGCCCAGCCAGTCCCCTGCTTACCCTCAAGACCTGGGCTCTCTGGGGCCCCACCTGCAGGCAAACTGCAGCCTTCCATCCTGTGCCAGAGTCCCCACGCCCAGGTACAGACCTCAGGGCTGGACAGCTGCCTCTTTCCTCCCCACTCCCTAGTAGCCTGGCAAGGCCTGAATGGACCAGGCTCCAAGGCTGGCAGGACTCAGCCACCCCCACCCTTGGGCCCCATGCCCCCTTAACCTGCCCTCACTTTCTCCTCTGGTTGGCTTAGGTCAATACGGTGAACACGTGTAACAGGAGGGATCTAAATGAGGCAAGGTGGGGGAAAGGGAGAGATGAGAAGACAGTCCAAATGCTCCTTGGGTGCTCTGCCAGTACAGTCCTTCAGCCACTCCCAGAACATTCTCAAAAACAATGCCTTCCCTATCCCTTTGGGACTTACCATCCCATGTCTGGAAAAATCTTCCAGCTGGGGTCATGGCAGAGTCACAGAGCAGCTGAGAAAATTTAAACAAACGTGGGGCTTCTTTTTGGAATCTTTGGTGCTTGCTCACGTGAGGATGTGTGTTGGAGAATCAGAATATTAAAACATCAAAGGACATCACTTTTGGACAGTTCTCTTGGCTGGTTTCCATGTGGGTAGAGAAAGGACTGGAGACAAGGAGATGATGGGGCAGAGGAGCGTACAAGGGTTATGCATGTGCAATCAGGTTTCTCCCAATATTTCATTGCTGCTGATGCTTTGGAGGCTCTTCGTTCCAACACTGTTTCCTTTTCCTGAGAAATTTATTTCTGTCTCTGGCTTCAGTCTGGCCCCCTGGGGAGGATCAAGCCGGGAAAGCTGTCAGCACCGTCTACCTTTTCTGAGGGTCTCTGTCTTCCTCCGCTACACCCCCAGCATTCTCACTTCTCCTTTGGCCTTCCCCTTTTCCTGGTTCATTACGCATTTGGGAAAGTTATGTTTCTGTCTTGCCATTGAGTGGGAGTTCCTTCTGTGTGATCAAGTGTTACCATGTAGTTTTGGACTTTGGCCACTTCCAAATTCCCCACCTACTTCTCCCACACAGAGGCTGTGATTTTTTTCTTCTTCTTCTTAATTCATTTGCATTTGTGCTTGACTGTAGCAGGCTGTAGCGAGTGGTGCTATGGCCCATGTTGGGGTCACCTGTGGACAGCTCTGGCCGAGCCCACCGCTTCCTTAGCCTCTCTACCTGCAGCCATTCTCGGGAATGGGCCCTGAGGAATTAATGATTCAGGAGTGACCTTCAATTTATGGGGATAAATGTCCCACCTTCCTTGCCCTTGGTGGGTGAATCTGAAGTGTGTTTTACACAGTGTCTCAGGGTCCTTGTTGGGATTGAGCCCTAGCTGCCCCAGTGGTAACATGCTCTTCAGTGCACTCATTCACTGGCATCATCTCCAGCTCCTTCCTGTTGCCCATTCCTACTCCTTCCCTCTGTTTCCTGGGATCACTTCCCAAATAAACTACTTGCACAGGAAAGCTTGCAGGGTCTGCTTTCGAAGGAATCCAAATAAACCCAAGAACTCACTAAAACCTTGCTTATCCTCTTGCCCTCGGTAGCTGCAGCTTTTAATTGAACCCCTGACACCCAGGACTGGAAAACACCCAATCATCTAGTTCACCTCCTGCCCACCCCAGCCCCAATTTATGGCCGGATTCCCTCCATTACGAACCTCCTCTGTGTCGCTCCATTTCTAAAGTTTGTATTGTGAACTCACAAACTAGTCTAGTGACTGCCAGTTCTATACACCAAGACCTAATTTCTGGTGTGAAAGTACTTCCTGGCTGGAGATGGCTTCCTGAGTAAGCAGGAGGGCTGAGAAAAGCAACTTGGCGTGGGGATGATGAACAGGCTAGAATTGGTGTTTAAAATACAGGTGGCCACTTCCAAAGACGGGCACCTTCCTTCCCTAATTGTTCTATTGGATGGAAAGCCTGAAATGGCTGCTGTTCATTCAGGTATTGCTGATGACAAAGTAATATGGCCCAGCGTTGGTCCCTAGAGATCTCTGCTGGTGTTCGCTCAGGCGGGGCTGTGAGAAGACTTTGTGACCTATGTGAGATAATTTTAGATGTTAGATGGATGAACATATTTGGTGTTAATGTGCTTCATCATTACCCCTTGTTTTTGGCAAGTGGTAGCGGACTGCCTTCATAGTCATGAAACAAAGTTTCCTTTTTCTAAAAAAATGTGTTTGTTTAAATAAAGGAAAGTGAGTCAATTAAAAAAATCAACTAGTACTTGGATACCACAAAACATTGTGAGATACTGAAATCTGAGAAACAGCATCAGAGAGTGTGGGTCCAGGTGTTTCATGCAGGGAGCATGAATGTGCTTTGTCCTTCTTGCTAATGTCAACCATTGTTTATGACCTTTAAATTCTTGCTTCAAAGAAGGGTGGGGATTTTCTTATGATTTAAGAAGATATTTTTGGAAACCAAAGCATATTCCTGACTAGCCTGTGTAAGCAAGACTTTTTAAGCTGGGTCAACTGATTGCTTGACTAAATGAGGAGCACAAAAATAGACTCTCAGACTTAGATTGAAATTCCAGGTATTTGCTTCTGGAGGCTGCTACTGCTAAGCCACGCCCAGCTGCACGTAGGCAGTTGCGGCTCAGCTGCTGGGTGGCAGTGATTATTGATTGCTGAAGAACTGAGCTATAAATGAAGGAACCAAAAGCTCAGCGCCTCATCCCCTGTGCCTTCTTGGCTGTTTGGACCGACCTGCCACTCCAGGCAGGAACTCTCATTTACGGGAACATATTTATTTTTACATATCAATGATGTATTTTTGATGTACTTGATTAAGTATTATGGGTTCAGCCCCAGGAAACACTACTGCAGTTTATAAATAGTGAGTTCAGGAGTGTACAAGGTTCCTGGAATTAGAGCAGTATTTTTGTTTTTATGTGTCTCTGTACATTTAGTTTTCCAAAGACCATTCTCACCCAAGTATGTCTGCTTTTATTTCTAAAACACATCTTTGTATGAATTTCTAGAACCATCTGCTATGTTCTTTTCTCAAACACCTAGCTGTGCCTATTAATCGCAGATAACAGCTATTCATTATATTCCAGATTAAAAACCTAAGTTCCCCATCAGAAGCCCAACCCTTCAGGTCCATGTTACTTTAAGCCAGCCTCAACTTATTACTTGGAATGAGGCTTTATTATCTGGCAACAATACAGCCTCACAGAGATTTCAGCATTCATCATATCATTTATTCAGGCTCCTGAGAGATTCCACTTAAGCCGATGAAACAGATTTTTATCATCAGTTGACCTCTTCTCTCTCCACTCCCTTTACAAATCCCAACAGAAATGGAGATCTTCACCCTTTTCAACAAACCGAAGAGCCATCAGAAGTGCCGGCAATACTACCCTGTCACCATTCCTCTCCATGTCTCCAAGAATGGCCAGACAGTGAGCGGTTTGGACGCCAACTGGTTAGAGCACATGAGCGACCACTTCCGGAAAGGAGGCATGCTGGTGAACGCAGTCTTCTACCTTGGAATAGTGAATGGTATGTTTGGAATTCACAGTCCTTGGGTGGCCCTTTGTGAACTCTGCTTCTAACTCTTGAAATCTTAGTCCCTCTTCAGAGTCTGCTTCATTCAGAAAGCTCTGCAGCCGATAACCATGCTGCATTTTATTTCTAATTAACACATCTTGAGGAACTTTCCATAAAGCCCAGGGCCTGTGCTCTCAAAACCTCTCTACGAGTCAGCCAGGTATCTTCTGAAATGACAGAGAAAGTGGAGTGATTCTATTTCATCGAAGGTGGCCTCAGTCTCTGTTGCTTTTAAAGGCTTTTAAAAAGATTGTTCCCTGGATTTGTTAATTACCCCCTGGGATTGTGGCATTCCAAAGTGCAAATTGTTTGTAGACACTATTACAGTTTGAAGTAGCAGTAGCAGCACCTTGAAATTAACAGCAGAGAAATAAATTGAACAGCCTGGTTTCTGTAAGCTCCACTGAGACACACACTGTTCCCAGGTCTCCCAGCACCCAGTACCCCCTCCCCAGTAATGTGCTGTCTCTAGTGGTTTGCTGCATGGGATAGCACTATTGATGTCAGCTCTCCTAAGGCAGAAAGTCTGCCCACAGTGGGAAAATGTGTCAAACAAAGAAAAGGCTTTAGGTTAACGAGAAGGCAAGTTGAGTCACCAGGGTGTGTCAAGTCTGGGAGGCAACTTGGGGAGTGGGACCAACGTGCCAGCACGTGCGTATCCTGAGGACTGCCAGTCAGCAGGATTCCTAAGTGACACATAACACCAAATTTGTCAATCCCAGCAAAACCTGGCAGGGGGCATCAACAGCGCCGTGTGTTGTTGTTGAGCTGTTTTCTCTCAAGAATTAACAGAGTCACGAACAGAGTTTGGATTCTACATTGTTTGCAATCCTTGAAATGCCAGCAAGCATCCTGAGAATAGAGACCATTCTGAATTCTAAATGAATGTACTTTAAATCATCCAAAGTCTTAGAACATGATACAGCACAGACAGCTCTTAATTTTGGATGCGAGTCTCTATCTAAGTATCATTGACTAATATTGACACGTTATCATAGTAGCAGCAGGCATTGTATAGTGTAGTGGTCCATAACCATTTGTTGAATGCATGAATGACACAAGAAAGGTGATTGGCTTGTTAAGAATACATCCAGAGCAGGGCTGTCCAATAGAAGTGCCCATGATGATGGAGGTGTTTGTTCTGTACCTGGGTTGTCCAGTATGGCGGCCACCGGCTGCCTGCGGCTACTGAGCACTTGAAATGTGGATACTGCATCTGAATAATTGAATTTTAAAATTCATTTAACTTTCATTAAGTTTAAATAACTATATGTGGCTAGTGGCTAGTGTCACTGGTCAGTGTGTACTTGGTCAGTGCAGTTCTAGAATATACATGCCTTTTTTTTTTTTGGACAGAGTCTCGCTCTGTCGCCCAGGCTGGAGTGCTGGAATGCAGTGGCGCGATCTCGGCTCACTGCAAGCTCCACCTCCCAGGTTCATGCCATTCTCCTGCCTCAGCCTCCCGAGTAGCTGGGATTACAGGCACCCGCCACCACGCAGGCTAATTTTTTTGTATTTTTAGTAGAGATGGGGTTTCGCTGTGTTAGCCAGGATGGTCTCAGTTCCCTGACCTCGTGATCCACCCGCCTTGGCCTCCCAAAGTGCTGGGATTACAGGCGTGAGCCACTGTGCCCGGCCGAATATACGTGTCTTTAATACAACTAATGTAGGGTTACTTCTGTGCCCTGGTGGCAAGGTGGGTAACCTCCCTCTACACAAGGAAGCCCTCCGTGGGTACTTACAAAGTTCCCCAAAGCCAGGGGTTGTCACGGTCTGGTTTCAGATGCATCATAAAACACCAGTGGCGGTACATGCTTGGGGCCAACTTGGGACAGATGTTTACAGCCTGACATATCAGTGTCAGAGAAGGCCAGGGAGGAACCTTTGGCTCCCTGTTTCCTGCAGGGACACCACATTGCCCATCTTGGGTTGTGGCAACAGTGGCTCCTTTCATCCCCTCTCGGTGCCCATAGATGCTATCTGTGGCCATGCATAGTTTTACATTCCTCCCTAGGAAACTGATGGTTAGTTGTTGAAGGTGTGCAGAGAGGTGCTGGAGATAGTGGATACACAGGTGGCCACTTGGAATTTCTTCCCCTCTTAGGAAAACTAGGGCATCAGAAGGAAGGTTTTCTCTTTGACCCCACTGCCTGAGCATGTCAGGGGCCCTAAGACCTCCAAGAAAGAACACTTGGAACGTTCACAAACCCATTTGCTGTTCCTCTACCATTATGGTTTGGTGATCAAGGCTGAGTTAGCCTCCTCTACTTCCCGTCACCCCACTCTTCAACCTGGAGTCCAGAAATGCAGACAACTTAAGCAGCTTTTTCTTCAGATTTGACTTGAGTGTTTGAAATACTGTTATAGCCTCCCTTGGCTTTAACCACATTAAATTCATTCTTCCTGCCCTGAAGACAGAACATGAAATTTCCCCTGGCAAGCGCAACCGTGAAGTCCTCCACAGGGCCCAGGCATCTTCCTGTATGCAGCCCGTATCTTAGAGCGCCACCATAGCTGTTCATCTCTATGTCAGGGAGGGCTGCACAATTCTCAGAACAAAATGAATTGAAACCCACTCTGACTTTAAACACCATTTCACCCTTTATATGTCTTTTGGGAGGGAGAGTATGACTGGGAGTAATGCTTCCTGGGTTAGGGCGTTTCTGCTCTGGAAAAGTCCAAGGTTTCCGTTGGCCAGGGATGAAATACGTGTGTGATCTTTTCCCAGAATTAAGAAAAAAAATGGCAAGCTAATCGTAATCATAAGAGGAACCTATTTCTAGTGAGATAATTAGTGTCCTTACAAATAAAGCTGGCAGAGCTAGAAGCACATCTTTAAGCTGTTTGCCATCTGGAATGGCACTAGTCACGACTCCTGAATAGAGATTTATACTCCAAAATATTTTCCACAGGGTCATAAAGCTCATGAGAACTGTGTCCCATAAACAAGGTGATGTTTCAGCCTGAATTACCCAGTGCAGACTCCAGAGCTTCTGTTCTTGAGGCATTACTCCCCTCCCCATGCCTCCCACCCTGGGACATAGAAAGACTTGTACAGTCCTCAAGTTTGGGCTCCTGCTCATGGTGTCCAGGACTCCTCTCCCTGGGTCGTTCATTAAACCTTAGAATGACCCGGTGTCTTGGGCTGGGGGAGGCTCTGCCCGTGGGCTCTGGCAAGCTTAGGGCACAGAGGAGGGGCATAGTGATGACCATGGACACCTAGCGGTTGCTTTGTGTGGGTGCTGGTCTCAGTAATTCAAACTTAGCATTGACTTCATCCTCACAATACCTCAGTGAAGTAGGTAGTTATGCCTGTGTTATAGCTGTGGAAACTGAGGCACAGAGACATTATGTCATTGTCAAGGTTACTGGCTAGTAAGAGCAAGAAGGTGGCAGGAAGAAAGAAGGGGGTAGGCAGACAAAAGGACCATGAGGTGGGCGGGATAGAAAAGGAAAGACGTGGCTATGCTGGCAGGAGTTGTGGCCCCCAGCGGGACTTTGGCGGCTCTCCCGGTGGGACGAGGAGGACTCCAAGGTCACTCTAGGGAGGTGGCAGGACCCGATGGAAGCAAGAATGAGTCCAGGGGCCACATATAGAGCAGCCAGGCACTCAGGAACATGTCGGCCAGTGAGATGAAGGCCAGTTTCTCTATTTCTAGAGGATGGGAAAGACCAGGAGGAGAGACCCCGAGCTGAGCCAGCTGTTGTGGAGGAGTTGGGTGGGAGCCAGGAGTTTGGGGTAAGACTAAGGCTGCCCACCCCTGAAGACCCAGCGAGGAGGCTGATTTTTCACGAAGGCCTCTGGGCCTACAGAATGGCTGCTGCCATCACCAGCCACTGAGGCTGCTGCCGCTGCCACCATCTCTCTTGCCCTGCCTTGCCCAGCATTCCTCTGGTTCTGTCCTGTCCCCCGCCTCCAACTACCCTCTTTGCCCTGCCTTCCCTGCTCCACACCCCTGCCCACTCCTGTCCTCGTTCCTCATACCCTTGGCCTGTGCTTGCCCTTTCCTACCCTGGCAGTCCTCCACCTCTTTGTTTCAGAAATGGCCTTTGCAGCTGATTATCCAAACCAGAATCTACTCCAGTAACAGTCGGTGTTTGCGGTGACTGTATCCTCACTTCTCTTTTTGCCTAGAAGAGCCCTTTTTTCTTTCCCTGACTGCTTGAAAGGAACCTAGCCTCTTATTCTGCAGAATGGCCTGCATGATGGTTTCATCTGGTCAGGGCTCATGGTGTCATTGATCTTATATCTCCAGCCTCTATTTCCTGTAACCTGGAAGTTAGTTCTAAGGCCTTGATAAGTTAAGAATTATGACAAGAATACGTTCCAGGCAATGTGTTCTCCACACTGCATCACATAGGGGTCACATGACACCCAGATGTCTCTCTGCTGCCACCTTTTTAAAAGATTAGGTCTCCCTTGAGACTTTCTCCGGTGCCCCAGCTGCATCTAAATCCAAGTATCACTTTGTATGGGTATTTATACCACCTTTTTTTGACACCTAGCATATCCTCCATGATCATATATTTGCAAAATACATAAGTAAAACACATGTACATGTTTTAAATAAAATATATATTAAATATGTGGGGTATATATTTTATACAGACATACTCGCAACCAACCCCCCAGGCAGGTCCTACTTTTTGTACTTTCTTAACATCACAGTGCTGTATTCAGAAGGTGGCTAATGATAGTTCTGGATGATGCTCAATAATGCCAGTGGTGGTGAGGGAAAACACTGATATTGGAGTGTTTCCCCAGGAATCTGCAGGTTTTAGGGTGGGACTGGTAAAGAGGGAGAATGAAGTAGTACCAGGTGTTTCTGATAGCCACTCCCTTGGGACACCACCCACCTCCAGGAATGTCTGGCCTAGTGGTTACAGGCAGGGCTTCTATTTCAAAGAAGCCACTTAATAATGTAGGGGCTAAATTGCACGTATGCCATTAAATGCATTTTCTCATGTGTCCATAGGACACCTTTAAAAAAACTTTTATTGCAGTTTAGCACACACGTAAAAAACTGTACAGATCATAGGATATAGCTCAGTGGCTTTTCACAAGGTGAGCACACCCATGTCACCAGCACAGAGATCAAGACGTAGAACTTAACAAGCCCCTAGAAGCCCCTGCGTGCCCCACGCTGTTTCTATCCCCCCAGAGTAACCACAGTCCCTACTTGAAACACTGTTGATGAGTTTTGAACTGTACAGACTTTATATACTTGTCATTGTGGGATTCATTCATATTTTTACATGTAATTGAAGACCATTTTCTCTCATTGCTGTGTGCTATTCCATTGTGTCAAATACACAGCTATATACGTAACTTAGCCATTTACAAGCATATTTTTATTTATTTATTTATTTTGCCCCATATAGGACAGCATGGCATCTGCACAGATGTGGCCCCAAACAGAAGCCCTAAGCCCATCTCATTGTGACCCAACTGAAATCTCACCCTAACCACCGAGGCAGAGAGAGTATGGTGCAGTGGTCAGAAAACACCAGCTCTGCAAGGGTAGAAACCTAGCCTGTCTAGCACCTACCCCCGGTGCCTCAAACAGGATCTGCTTCACCATAGTAGTAGCTCAATGTCTACTGTGGAAAACGAGTAGGTTTTAGGATGAAACAAATCACATTTCAGATCTGGCTTGGCCCTTGAACTCCACATGAACATGGACTAATCATTTAACTCAGTTGTCTACCCACTAAAAGGGAATGACAGCTCTTACAGAATTTTGGGGAGGATTCAATGAAAAGCCTTGAACTGCATCTGGCAGAGTGCTTCCACGTCCAGCTAACACTGAATCAGAATGTTTCTTCCCTATCTGGTCAGTTAAATGGCGCTGCAACTTGCAAGCTAACCCTTTTCTACCTGAAGAGGAGTAATATCTTTTCTAGATTATTCATTGCCTCAAATTGAGAATGTAGGAAGGCAGGCCGGCCCAGAGCAGCAGTGAGTGTTCAAGAAGCAAGAGAAGGCAGCAGCCTTGCTCATTCTTTGGTTAATAGAGCAAATTAGCTGCAGTGTGATTGGGAAGCAACATGGCACCGTTACCTGGGATTGGTTGAGCGGTGATTACATTTGCCATGGGATCACATGTCATATGATTGCATGTGCAGTTGGGCTTACGCAGTTGGCGATTGCTAATCCTGGAATCAAGGTGGTGCCAAGAATCCTGGAATCAAGGTGGTGCTGTGCGACCTCTGATGGAGAGAAGGCGCCCTCAGAGAGCCAAGAGGATCTGTTATGCCAGCTAGTCCAGGGTGGACAATCTGGTCCAGTCTAGCTTGTTTAAAGGAGAACAGTAACACTTTGTCTTTAACCCTGCAAAAATAGACCAAATGCATTGACCGCTTGTCATGGCATGCACATTCAGGCTAGACTTTGGCGAAGCACAGCACCCTGGGGCTGAGCCTGAAGGTTAGCTTGATATAGACAGTCTTAATGTCTCAGAGGCTGCAGAAGAGTGGTTGCCTCACAGAATTTACCTCTTGAAATAATATGGCAAATCTCCTTTTCCCACATCCTTCTTGTAAATCATAAGCTTGGAATATTAAGGTGGCCTTTTGCCAAAAGACCAGCATCAAATATTTATACAGTACGAGGGAAAATAGCTTTTTGTGCACAGTAGGGAAGCATCTTCGCTTTAATAAAAAATGCAGTGATAATGGAATGTTTTCCATAGACGGAGGGCAGTTTAACCTTTTTACATTGGAGCCTTCACTCTAAGATAAACCTATTTATACCCAATTCAGTGCACATTATAGTGAGGCTGAGCCATGAAGGTAATGAGGAGACAAGGAGTGGACAAGGCCGTCAAAACAAGCGACTCTTTAAAAGCCCAGCTGTCTGCTCTCTGGTTCATTGACTTTTTTGCTGTTACAGATAACCAGATTTTGATAGCCATTCTGAACTTCAGCCTCATGGTTAAGTAGGTGAATCAGTGCTCTGGATTCAGAATACTGGAGCATTAGGCTGAGGTGGGGAGGCTGGGAGGCAGGCAGTGGATGAGGTGGGTGGTGAATAAGGATCTGGGTGTGTTCCTCCTTCATGCCCTCAAGCTAGCCGTAGCTTTCCCTGCGGACTACACAGCCCCCTTCCCAGGCCTGTGACTCAGGAGGAAGGAGAGGAAGCCCAGCAGGGGATGGAGAAAAAGTCTGGATGGGCTGTGAGTGTCCCCTTCCCTCTTCTGGACCTCGGCTCTGCCATGCTCGCCATGGGCAGGCTAAACACCATCATATAATTTATGTTGAATTAAGCACTTAAGTACTGAAAGCACATGGCAGGCACTTTTAAAGGGCTTAGAGGTTTTCCATTGAGAAGATCTGTATGTAGAGGCTTTGGAAATTTGATATAACTTATTTTTGTAGTAGTCTTGAGGAAATGTGTGCTGTGTTGATACAATCCTGATGGAATCATTGAGTGTCTTCTGGTCTCAAGCATGCCCAGGTCAGGATTTGGGAGGGCTTTACTCAAAGGGGTCTCTTAGGGCATCCCTATTGTGATAGGGGCTCCAGATGGACTCCTGGAGTGTTACCCAGGACTTAAAAAGTAAGCTGGACTATGGTCCATACTCACCTTGGACCCCAAAATACTTGTGATGTGATTTAGCTGCAGAGCAGCTGTTTTTCCCTGATAACCTATGAAACATGTCTCTTAGGAGGCCATGGAATAAGCACTTGGGAGGAACATTTCAGCAAAGCAGATGAGAGAGGCAAGCTTAGCATCTGCCAAGGCTGTTTGATAACAGACTCTCAGGATGGGAAACAAGAAGTTGGAGTGTGTTATTGGTTTACCCATAGGGCTCTTACTTGAAATGGAGAACTATCTTATGTTGGGATAATATCAGGATAAGGCTGCTGTGCTTATTACCTTACAGCCATGGTTTGTTGAACCGGTTAGGCCTTCCTATTATTCTGGAATGAGGACCCAAGCTAAGCAAAGTACAGTGGTCTTGTTTTTAGGTCTAGGTTGTGCATTGTGTCAGTCAGCTATTGCTCCAATAATTCTGTGTAACAAACCACTTCAGAACTCATTGGCTTACAATGGTAACAATTTACTCTGGCAGATTTTGGGGTTGGCTGGAGCAGCTCTGTTGAGGCAGAACTGGTCTCAGCTGGGCTCCACTGCGGCAGCTCTGCTCCATTTGTCCTTCATCTCCCTAGAACCAACTGGCTAACTGGGGCATGCCCTCTCAATGTAATGGCCAAGACACAAGAGGCCAAGTTCAACCACACACGTGCTTTTTATGTCTCTGCTTGCATTACACCTGCTAATATCCCATTGGCCAAGCAAGTCAGATGAACAGAGCCCTAAGTGGCTGGCCTCCCCACCAGTCAATTTAGTCTTAACCACCTTCTCTCCTGATTCTGCTGCTCACCTGGTCCTTGGCTGTCCTTCGTTCACTCTGCATGTCAGGCTGGCTGTCCCTTCCTCCTGGAACTCTCAAACCCTGCAGATCCATGTTCCTTGCTTGCTTAGTTCACTCGAAGTGGGGAGCCCTACCCTGATGCCTCTTTCAAAAATAGCCACCACCACTGTGTCCACCTTCACACTCTCCCCTTGGCCCACTTAGTATTTTTCTAGCATGTATCACCTCTGACATGATGTTATTGTCTTCCTCCTCCACTGCAAGGTAAGCTTCATGTAGGCAGGGACTTTATCTTGCTGCTTGTGAGATCTCTAGTGACTACAGGACTACTTGGCACATAATAGATTCCCAGTAGGTGTCATAATGAATGGCTGGAAGGTTATTCAGTGCACTTGAACTCCAGTAACATGTCACTCACCCTTCTGAGGCCCTATATGCCATTTTTAGACTCCTCTAAGGGAAGTTTTTCTATTTAGATTACACTAAAATCATCTCCCCATAGTTTTAAAAAACTCTTTGATTCTAGTTAGGCCTTCAAGAGCCTTGTAGAGGAGAGAAAAAGGAAATTCTTTGTCATTTGTGTTGTCCATTTACTTGTGTTATACCTGTATTAACTTGTTAATAACCTCACAGAAAAGGATATAAAAGAAAACTCAAATTATATGTAATTCTACCACTTATAACTGCTGCTAGCATTTTGTGTATTTCCTTAAAGTTTGTCTAAACCATTTTAACATAAAAATCCATATTGAGCTCATGTGGCAGTTTTATATCCTAGTTTTTTCTCCATAATATTGTATCTAAAGCATTTTTCCAAATCATTAAATTCCCATAATATTTTTAGGGACAGGCTAGTATTTTATAGAAATCTCCAAATTTAACTATTTTTCTATGGTTAAATATTTGGATTGTTGAACATTTAGATTAAGTTTTTAAGTAATTTTATAAGTAATGCTTGTAGATGGGTATTTGATGGCATTGGAGGTTATTACCTCATGATAGACAAGAAAGGTAAGATTTCTGGGTGAAAGAGGGTGGACTTTTTGTGGCAAGCTCCTGCAACATTGTTAAATTGCTTTCTATAAAGATTGTACAGTTAAAATTCCCTTAAGCACTGTAAACTTTTGCATATCACCATACCTTTACCAGCAGTGAAAATTTTCTTTTCAAAATTTGTCACCTTGCTAAATAAAAAAGAAGTTGAGGCCTGGAACGGTGGCTCTTGCCTGTAATTCCAGCACTTTGGGAGTCCAGCAGTCCGAAACTAGCCTGAGAAACATAGTGAGACCGCATCTCTACAAATAATAAAAAATTAGCTGGGGTGGTGGCATGTGCCTGTGGTCCCAGCTACTCGGGAGGCTGTGGTGGGAGGATCACTTGAGCCCAGGAGGTTGAGGCTGCAGTGAGCCGTGATTGTGCCATGGCACTCCAGTCTAAGAGACAGAGTGAGACCCTACCTCAAACAAAAAAAAAAAGAAACTGCAATTTTTTTCAATGTTTACTGGCCATGGAAAGATAAAGAGAATTAATTAATTGCTTTATGTCCTTTGTTTCTAATGGTGTTTCAGTATTTTTAACTATAAAAGCTTTTTATATATAAAAATATTAAGCTTAGCCTTTATTTTTGTTATTGTTGTTGCAAATAATTTTCTCATGCTGATGACCTTTTGTTTATGGGGTCTCTTGGGAGCCAAAGCTAAAGATTGTTATATATTCACATTTGTCAGTCTTTTTCTTTGTGACTTCTAGAAAATACTGGCAGTTCCAGGAACTCCAGCATGATTCAGGGGACTTTCTGAATTTGTCTCCCTTCCCTCCCCATGAAAAAAAAAAGGTCACATTATTATGGATTTGCCCTATTAAAAATTGTCCTTTTAAAAGAGCGTATCATTGAAATGCGCTTTGTTTGTATGTTTACTAGGACTGTCATAACAAAATACCACACACTGCGTGGCTTAAACAACAGACACTTATTTTCTCTCAGTTCTGGAGGATAGAAGTCCATGGTCAAGGTTCCCACAACTTCAGTTTCTGGCTAGGGCTCTCTTCCTGGCTTGCAGACAGCCACCTTCCTGCTGTGTCCTCACGTGGCTTTTCCTCTTTACACACGCCAGGAAAGGGAGAGAGAGGGCTCTGGTTTCTCTTCCTCTTCTAATAAGGACACCAGTCCTATTAGACTAAGGCCCCATCCTACCCTAGTTAAAGGAGGACTAGGACCTCATTTAACCTTAATTACCTTCCTAAAGGCTCTGTCTCCAAATATAGTCACATTGTGGGTTAGGGCTTCAACATACGAATTTTGGGAGGAAACAATTCAGTCCATAATATTATGATTGAGCAGTGTTTATAGCATCAAGTCTGGGAACCAAGAGAGATTGTCCATAATCCCATAGATGAGAGACCTAGCCCTTGAAAGAGTCACATCACCTTTCATGATAGAGCCTAGCTTCAAACCACTTGCTTCTAAGTCAGTCTTCTTCCCCCAAATCCCTTATCAAAATGAACCTAGGACATTTAGGAGCCATGCCCCAAACAAAGGGGCAAAAGGTGCTTCCCTTAGTGTATTCTATAGGGTCAAGGACTCTGTTCAGTATTTCTTTTTTTTTTTTTTTTTTTTGGAGACAGAATCTCGCTCTGTCACCCAGGCTGAAGTACAGTGGTGCTATCTCGGCTCACTGCAACCTCCACCTCCCCGGTTCAAGCGATTCTCCTGCCTCAGCCTCCCAAGTAGCTGGGATTACAGCCATACCCTGCCACGCCCAGCTAATTTTTTGTATTTTAGTATAGATAGAGTTTCATTGTGTTGCCCAGGCTGGTCTCGAACTCCTGAGCTCAGTGAATCCTCCTGCCTTGGCTCCCAAAGTGCTGGGATTACAGGTGTGAGCCACTGCGCCTGGCCTGTTCTATATTTCTTTTTACCCTCATTGCCTAAGATAGTTCTTGATCATGCTATACATTTCATGTATACTTGTCGAATTGTGCAGAGCTCAGAACCTGGTACATTGACTAGAGCAGCACCCAGGGAAACATTTCCAGTGGTAAATTATTTGGGAAAATTCCCTCTCCCCCACATTCCACCTCTTGACAAGAGCTGCCTAAGATGTTGTCTGGACTGCAGCCCACATCATGTGAACTTCCAAAAATCAACGCATCTGACAAGCTCAGATCTGGTGTGTTATATCTCTTCCCTTTAAAAAAAAAGAAAAAAGAAAAAAAAAACCCTCACCTAAATATAGTTTGCTTCTAAAAACTGTCTCTAAATGACTGTGTTTTACCCTGGATAAGTTCTCCCCAGTGCATCCTGACGCTGGAGCATGAAAAGGAAGGTAAACGTGTGAAATCAAATGGTGATTGCTAACAATGAAATTTGGGCTCATAAAATCAAGGATATTATTCAAAACTGTGAGGTAAATTAGCCTCATTCATTCTGATAGGGCTAGATAGACTCTATGGCTTGTGTGTGCCTTCTTTAATTAACATGCTGAAAAGATGTTCTGATTGGGATTATTAATGAATGCAGTGGAAATGTTTGCTGCTTAGAAGACTTCTGCCACAGACGGTTTACAGACCCCCCCCACCCCCGCCTTTTTCTTTTTCCACAGATTCCTTACATGGCTTGACAGATGGAGTATTCATCTTTGAAGCTGTTTCCACAGAAGATAGCAAAACCATACAGGGCTATGATGCTATTGTGGTTGAACAATGGACAGTCCTGGAAGTAAGTGTGGGGTTGGCAGCCCCGCTTCTTTTGTTTAGACAGCACTTGTTTTATCCGCCTGCTTGATCTGACCGTGGGGCTGTGGCTCAGCTGTGGCTTTCTTCTGAGAGGGAGTTGACCTGGTAGGTCCTAGAAGGATCCCCTTAGTCTTTTCATTCCCCTCTTTTCCCACCCCCAGGTAGGGGTGGGCCCCGCTCTTCCCTTTCTGCAAGAAAAGCACATTGCATGTGCCTGGCCATTTGGTGGAAGGAGAGTTGTCTTCCATTAATTTGCATATAACTGACAACTCTAAGTGATATAAATGAGGCCACATAGTTTGTGGCCTCCGTTAATACTCAGAGCAGCATCAATATTGGAGCCAGACCCTGTGGCTCCCTCTGCAGCTATCCTTAGAGTTATGCACATGAGCTCACTTAATCTGCACAATAAGCCTTTTAAGTAAATACTGTTATTGCCCATTATATAGATGAGGAAACTGAGGCACAGAGAGGTTAGGTCCCTGGTCCAAGATTACACATTAAATACTGAAGAATGTCTTTGAGAAATGTTGACTCATGAGGCCACCAAATTGCTGTGGGAAGGGGAATTCCTCAAACCACGTTCTGCTGGGACTTTGGAGGAGCTAATTTACTTCCAAGATTCACTAGTGGGTAGCTGAAGGGCATTTCTCTAACTGCGGAAGCATGGACTTTTTAGCCTAGTCTCTTGTACACACAGTGTCTGGGATATAAAGGGAGAAGCTATTTGGACATAGAGAACTGAATTCTTGGTTTTTTTTGTTTGTTTGTTTGTTTGTTTTTTTGTTTTTTTTTTTTTTGAGATGGCATCTTGCTCTGTCGCCCAGGCTGGAGTGCAGTGGCGCGATCTTGGCTCACTGCAACCTCTGCCTCCTGGGTTCAAGCGATTCTCCTGCCTCAGCCTCCAGAGTAGCTGGGACTACAGGCACCCGCCACCACACCCAGCTAATTTTTGTATTTTTAGTAAAGACAGGGTTTCACCACGTTGGCCAGGCTGGTCTCAAACTCCTGACCTCAAGTGATCTGCCTGCCTTGGCCTGTTGAAGTGCTGGGATTACAGCGTGAGCCACCGTGCCCAGCCATGGACATAGAGAACTGCTTTCTGAATGCTTTGGAAGAACACAGGATTGGCATTGCTGGGAGGGCCTCTGCCAAAGAGGGCTCTCCAGGCCGAGGGAAGACAGAGGTGGATACAACCCTTTGTGAGGAGTGTGGGGCACTGGGACCCTCTAGACAGCCAGTGCTTGCCACACCCTTGTGCCTGCCAGAACTGCAGCCTTGAGGCAGTCCCTTGCCTGGTTATTGAAGTGGAGATGGGATGGTGGGGGGTGAGTTGGATGTCCCCCGGGACACTATTACTCAGCTTTGAAGCTGCAGCAGTTCCCAGCACACGTGAAGTGAGGAGCAAGGCTGTTGGGGGGCATACCTGCGTCTGAACAGGGATGAGAAATAACTGCTTGCAAGTGTGATAGCAATGGAGTACCCAAAGGAACTGGAGTCGTCAGAAGCAGGAGTTGGAAAGTCACAGCATCCGGGGCTGGTTAGCGTAGGGGCCAGAAGTCCTGAGGGAAGTCAGGAACCAGGTGACAGCCTGGTGTGAGATCAGCCCCACCAGTTACTCCTGTGTGACCCTGCTGCCCATGGTCTCTCCAGGGTCCATGCTCCTAACTAGAAATGGGATGCAGAGGAAGTAAAGCTCAGTCCAAGATGCCAAGCGAGTGTGGGCAGGTCCTGTCACCTCTCAGGACCCTGTCCTTCCTCAACTTGTAAGCTGGGCAGGTCACATGGCCCATCACGTGTGGTGGAGTGAAGGCTCCAGGTGGTGGTGAAATATGAAATGCCAAGAGTTGAGGATCTGAAGGACTGAGCAGCCGGCATTCAGTTTGCTCCGTAACATTTGGCTGTAACAGTAGCGATGCATGGCTGCACCCAAAACATGTGCCTGTGCCGAGTGATTGGCAGGCCATGGGGATGTGTGTGAAATTCCTGCTGTCTGTATATTAAAATGGCTGTTAAGGGAGGGCTCTGTGGTTCCTCAAAAAGGATGACTTGATGGCAGTGATCCAAAATCATCTATAAAATGGTTCTTAAAAATTAATGTGACTGCAGGACCAGTAGCCTCAGCATCATGTGGGAAGTTATTAGAAATGCAGATTCTTGGGCCCCACTCCAGATCTGCTGAACCCTCCGGGGGTGGGGCCTGGCAGTCTGCGTTTTAGCAGGCCCTGCAGGAGATTCTGAGGCTCACTCCATTTTAAGAACCAGGGCGGGTATAGATGCCACTCCCATGTGGGAACTGTACCCCACAAGGTGATGGATTTGAAAGGTGGGACCCCAGGAGTGATGAGGCTGCAAAGGCTCCACCCTCATGGATAGGATGAATGCCCTTAGAAGAGAGGCTGCAGACCACTGCCTCCCCTTTTTTGGCCTTCCACCTTTCATCATGCAAGGACACCTACATGGCACCATCTATGAGGAATGGGCCTTTGCCAGACATTAAACCTGTTGGTCAGTGTCAAGATGCCTGATCTTGGACTTGCCAGCCTCCAGAAATGTGAGGAATAAGTTTCTATTATTTATAAATTACCCAGCCTGTGGTACATTGTTATAGGAGTAGGAATGGACTGAGACAGAAATTGGTACCAAGAAGTGGGGTTGTTGCTATAACAAATACTTGAAAGTGTAGAAATGACTTTGGAACAGGGTAATGGGTAGACGCTGGAAGAGTTTGGACATACAGGCTAGAAAGAGCCTAGATTTCTGTGAATGGAGTGTTAGGGTGATTCTGTTGAGGGCTCAGAAGAAGAGGAGAGCTGTAGAGAGGGCCTCAGACTTATCGGAAATTATCTAAGTAGTCATGATCAGAATGTTCATAGAAATATGGACAGTAAAGGCCATTCTGATGAGGTCTTAGATGGAAATGAGGAACAAGGTATTGGAAACTGGAGGAAAGGCCATCCTTATTATAAAGTGGCAAAGAACTTGGCTAAATTGTGTTCGTGTCCTAGCGCTTTGTGGAAGGCAGAACCAAAGAGGGACGAACTAGGATATTTGGTGGAAGAAATCACTAAGCAAAGTGTTCAGGGTGCAGTGTAGCTGTTCTTGGCTGTTGATAGTAAAATGCAGGAAGAGAGAAACAAACTGAAAATGGAGTTTGTAATCAAAAGGGAAGCAGAGCTTAAAGATTGTGAAAATTCTCAGCCTGGCTTCGTTGTCAAGAATGAGAAAGTGTATTCAGAAGACAAAACCAAGGTTGGCCAGGCTACTGTTTGATAGGGAGATTGGTGCTGGTGGAAGGATGCCATATGCTATTCACCAAGACAACGAAAGGAAGACCTGAAGGCATTTCTGAGATCATCAAGGCTGCTGCTCCCATCAGAGGCCTGGAGTGTCAATGCCTGGGGGACAGAACTGTGTCAAAGGAGGTGACTTGGGCATCCTCAGTACCTTCAGGCTTACTGCCCAGTGCTGTCTCAAGTTTCTGCTCCACGCAGTCAGGCTAACGCAGCCTCTGAGATTGACATCTCCTGAAAGCAGATGGAGGAGAGATCTTGTGGGAAGACTGTAACTCCTTGGTTTATGGGTTTCTTTTCCTCTTTGCAGCTGGTGGAAACAACCTTCAGGAGTCAGCTCTTAGGTCACCTCCTGCAGGGTGAAAGACCCCTCCTCTGTGTTCTCATAACTCTCTGGGCATGACCCTATCACAGCTCCTGTTGTACTCTATCCTTGTTATTTGTCCACTTTCCTCCCTCCGTTGTGAGTTTCTTGGTCTGGGAATATTCATCTTTGTTCTCCAAGGCACTCCAGTAAATGCTTGCTGATTGGGTTGAAGGCTTTTTGGTTCAGCCCAAGGTAGACTAGTGTTTCTCAAAATTGAGCTTGTATCAGAATCACCTGGAGAACTTTTTAAAACACAGCTATCCAGGCTCTACCCCTATTTCCTATTCAATGGATGTCTTAGTCTGCTTGGGCTGCCATAACAAAATACCAGACTAGACGGATTAAACGACAGAAATTTCTTTCCTCTCAGTTCTGGAGGCTGAAAAGTCCAAGATCAAGGTTCTGGGAGGGTTTGGTTTCTGGTGAGGGCTCTCTTCCTGGCTTGCAGATGGCTTCCTTCTCACTGTATCCTCATATGCCCTTGCCTCTGAGCACGCACAGGTGGGAGGGGGCTACTCTGGTGTCTCTTCTTATAAGGACACTAATCCTGTTCAATCAGGGTCCCATGCGTATGACTTCATTTAACCTTAATTACTTCTGTAGAGGCCCCATCTCCAAATACAGCCAAACTAGGGCTTGGAGCCTCAACATACGCATTGTGGGAGGATAGAAAACATTTAGTCTTTAACGGTGGCTCTGAGATGGGGCCCAAGAATTTTCATTTCTAAAACATTTTCAAGTGAGCTGCTGCTGCTGGTGTGGGAACCCCACCTTGAGAATCCCTGTCTTAGGGGAACTAAGTGTAGACAGCTCTGTAACCAGCACAGCCCAGCAATGTCCAGTCCGGGACAGGTTCCCCCGCACCTCAGCTCTTTGAAGAGGCTCCGTCAGACCCTGACTTGGGCCTGCAGACAGCCCCTCTCCTGCCTGCCCCTCTCTAAGGCTGGGGGCATTTTTCCAGCTCTCACGTCTTCTACCCTTGAGACCCAGCTACTTCTTTTCCCCACCCTTTTGGCCTCTGGGAAAGATTTTTCCTTTTTAAGGCCTGAGCAGGTCCCTTTTGGCTTCTAGTTAACTCTGCTTTTCTGGTAACCACTGTCCTCCCAGGCAGGCCTATAATCTCTAGCTCTCCGACCACAAAACGTCCCTGCCCAGCTCTTTCTCATGTCTCACAGTGGGGACTGGTCTGTCCCTTTCCTGCCTCTTTCCTCCTCCTGTGCTGATCCCTCAGCTCTGTGTAGATGTGCCATTCCAATTCCACCCTGTCTCGCTGGCTTCCCTCTCTCTTCACGTGCATGGACACACGAAAATGTAGTGTGCGGACAGTGCAGCACGTTGGCAAGACAGCGGAGATTCCAGAGTCTGGCCTGAGTGTGCATCCTGCCTCTCTGATTCCAAGCTGAGTGACAGACTATGTGAAAAGTAAACCACACCTGCTTTTTCTATTTTCAGTTGTATAAATGGGGATACTGGTAACAACCTCTCAAAATTGATGAGAATTAAAAGAGAAAATATATTAAAAAGTTGTGAATGTAGGACTGGGCACATAGTAAGCCCTCACTACATACTGCTTTCTGTGTCAGTCACCTGGTATCATCAGTGAGACAGATCCTCCCCCCATTGCCTTCGTTTTATGCTAAAAGCACAGAGGAGGTTGGGCTAGGGAACCTGTAGAGTCAAATACAAATAATTGCATTTTGCTCGGTTGGAAACCTACAGCCTAAAATTAAAGGCATTTGTAAGATAAATGTCTATCCATAGGGCATTTATAACAGGTATTTTGTTTACTTTCTTTGAGTTTACAGTCTAGTATGTGAGCAGAAAGGGTAATTCTTGGAAAGGAAAGGAAAAAACTACATAGATGAATAGGTAAAGAGCAAGATACAGAGACCCTCTTCTTCCCTCTGAATCTGTTTATCTTTGAGCCTGACAGCCCATCAGAGCTTATAGACACCACCAGGTGCTACCTGAGCCATAGAGCCTTTTCCATGTTTATCCCTCTCCCTGGAATATGTTCTAGCATATCAGTGCTTATCGTGAAATTTGGTGCCAGAATGGAACATAAGAGAGTAGAAAAAGCACTTACAGCTGATGCAATTGGTATGGTGGCTGGTGGGTTAATTGAAAAAGCCAATTAAAGAGACCCAAAGCAAATCAGATTCCTATCTTACACATTTTATTTGAATGTAAAGTATGTAAATACATGTCCATTTGCCAGTCTTTTTGAGTTGAGTGTCTGCTGAAGTAGAGTTCTGCCTCATCTTTCTCATATAAACCACACCCAAAGTGTGCTGGCTACAATGCCCAGTGTCAGTTTCTTTAAAATATCAATGGAATCTGACTGCAGAATCCATGTTTTCATGATTTTTTTTTCTAGTCTTTCTAGTCCCCTCACCCAACACACCCCTAATTCAGCCAGTTGTTACTTTTTAGTGATTGTTCTTTGCTGAGTCTATTCAAGGAATTCAACTTAGTTTTTTGAGAAACAACTTGTTTTTGCACTTATAGTTTATATGCTTTTAAATCATTTAAATTAAGACATGTAATTAGGATAATGGGTCTAACTTATATACAGCTTACCCCTGAAGTGCTCAGTTGGTGAGGTCAGAAGGGCATGAGCATCCTAGAAAGCAGCTGCTACCTGCGAGGACTTGACTTCTGTCAGGGTGGACTTGTATTTCTGCAAGTACAGCCTCAGGTAGAATGGCTTAGGGTATCATTACAGCCTCTGCAACCCCGCAGACTTTGTCATGAGGCTCTGGAGTCAGCTCTTCTCCACTCTCTGCCTGCGTATTCAATCTTTTGTTGAGTTAACCCCCATTTTATTTCATACTATTCGCTTCTGCCCATTTCCCCAGCCTGTCAAGACATTTCTGATCATGGATATATCATCCTTCATTCTGGGGATCTTCCAGCCTTGGCTTCCCTGAAGGCTTCATATGTATGGAGGCTCCTGACTGGTCTCAATGGCAAACAGACTGGATCAAGGACACAGTCCTTGGCGCGCTGCAGGAATCTCTCCACCAGTGCCTGACACTAACCCAAACCATTCTGCAGTGGATTCAGGTGGCCCTGTTGTTCCATCTTCCATTCCTCTATTGTATTTACATGAAAGGCTCGATGACACACTTTTCTGTAACTGAAACCTACTCTGGCCTGTAACCCTGTCTCATAATCCTGTGAATCCTGTGTAATAACACATTAGGTCTCACTTGTTCTTCATGAAGTTCTGCAGGTTTCTGGGGCTCAAGCTTTTGCTTTCAAAGGCTCCCAACCATCTCTTTAAGAATCCACTCTAGGATTTGCCAGGGAGTAACATCAATTTCTATGGTTTCTAGAATTCACAAGGGAGCCAATATTTGTTCTTTTTAAACCATCTGGCTTTTTTCTTCTATTGCCACAGTTTCTCCAAGATAATTACTTTGGTTCTGAGATCATAGTCTTTAGTGCCAAAGACAGCAGTTCTCTGCCTTTTTCCTGTGATAGGGATGATTTTCCTGTGAATAATCACTCCCATGAAAGGCCCAGGAATCAACACCCAAACCCCTCCCAGGCTGCATCTCCATCCTTTCCCACTGCAAAGCAAATCATAGCACAGGTGAGTAACGAGGAAGTCAGAATAGCCTCAGATCTACTTTAGCAGCGCCTTCAGTACTTTGACTTTTATCAAATTCTTGTGTGCCACTCACCTTGACAGTTACACACCTGTTTACAGAATAGTATGTATGGATGAGTGCCTTTTCCTTTAAAAAAAAAAAAAAAGTGATTCATCTCAGCTTGAGCTCATTTAAAATTTTCAAGTTTGCTTCAGAGGGCAAACTGCTAACATCTGTTAACAATTTGAAATGCCCACGCCCATCCATGACTCAGCAATTTCATACTTCATGTCCATCTCTTCTAAAGAAACAAATGCATGTGTTCACAAGAAGGCATAGACAAGGATATTATCTCAGCATTACTTGTAATATCAAAAAAGGTAATAATGTTCATGTCCATCAGTAGGGGAATGGTTAAACAAAGGATAATATATTCTTATTATAGATGAGGTCATTCTGTATAAGCTGACATGGAAGGAATTACAGGAAATGTTAAACGAGAAAATTAAGTTGCAGAATTGTCCTGTGATGGTTAATTTTATGTCAGCTTTGTTGGGCTATAGTACTCACTTACTTGATCAAACACCAATCTAGATGTTGCTATGAAAGTATTTTTAGATGTGATTAACATTCCACTCAGTAGAAGAGTAAAGCACATTACCCTTCCTAATGTGAGTGGACTTCAATCAGTTGAAGGCCTTAAGAAAAAAGATTGAGATCCCGGAAGAGGAAGGAATTCAGCCTGCAGACTCAAAACTGCAACATCGACTCCTGCTGGAATATCCAGCCTGCTGGGCTACCCTGCAAACTTTGGATTTTACATCCTCCACAGTCATGTAAGCCAGTTCCTCAAAATGAATCTTTCTAGATACAAGATAGCCTACTGATTCTCTTTCTCAGGAGAATCCTGATGAATCAGATACAAATGCTGTGATGCCATTAATGGGGAGAAAACTTCACAGTCTCTTAGACTTTAGCCAAATTTGTCTCCTTGTAGAAAAGCAAGTAAAATAGGAGTTGAATAATCCCATTTTTATTGTCTTGAACATACCCTTTTCTTGTGCAACTTCTTGCTTTGAGCATGATTTTAAATGGCGTATGTGTATACGTGTGCACACATGCACATACGTAGTTCACATACCTCATCTCATTCTAGGCTGAGGTGCATGTGTGTATACCTCACGCCACCTGCACACCTCAGCTCATTCCAGGCTCAACATTCCTCCTCTTTTGGGTTTGCCTTACTTTTGTCACCATCCCTGGAGGCTCAGGTACCCCCTTCTGTCCTTATAAATTCACACTCATCCATCTCTACAGCCACAGTGGTTTTCCTTAGTTGCCTCCAACTTTTATCTTAGGGTGACAAGTCCACCTGGAGCCAGCATGCCTGTATTTCTTGCCATGGGGCCATATTGAACTTTCCTCTGAGCCTCTGAAATTCTTTTTCTTCTTGTCTCTGGAGATGGCCGCTAGTACTCTTCTGCTGTTAGGAACGTCACAGAGAAAAGCTTAGTTTATACAGTTTGTGTTGCCCAGGTAAGTCATTTCCCTTCCCATAATGATGGGGAAGAGATTACATTTAGAAATAGTGACCCCAAAAGGCCATGATCTGATTATTGAGTCCTGACTTCTGATCTGAAACTTTGACCCTGTCCTTGGATAGTGGAGCCTGGGATGGCTGTCTGTCCCTCTTTTACCTCTTTTAGCCAGAATTTTCCCTCTGCCTCCTCCTTGGCAGCAGCCACTTGCTCGGGTGTTCTGAAATGTGTGTGGATTGTGGCAGTGGCAGGACACAGAGATGATGGGCTATTGGACCAAAACCAGTCCTCCTGCTTCCCAGTGGGGCAGGTGGGCTGGACTTAATCCATGAAAGAGTACATAAAAAATGAGAAAGAACCACTTGAGATGGTGATTAGGGGTTCCATAACAGAACCCTCAGGGAACTGGGAAACTCCATAGGCTCAAAGAGAGTGACTACTTTTTGATGCCCAGGAACAAGGATGCAAAGGGGCATTTGCTGAGGCCCCACACATCAAGGAGCCTCGGGAAGAAGACATCCTACAAAGGAAATGGGAAGGCATTCAAGGCTAATTGTGCCCTGCTGACCAGAAGTGCCCTGGGAGAGAGCAGAGACTGAACAAGGCCTCCTGGACACAGTGGGCTCCAGCTGGGTATTGGCAAGTCAAGCCAGGACTTGGATGGGCTAAGGGAATTGAGTGTGGGGGCTTCCTGCTGTGGGAAGTGACAGGAGCAGAGGCCAGCTGGAAGAGAAGGCACATCTATTAATTTTTTTTTATAATTAGAACACATATTGGATAATGTGGATGATCTCCTAGATGCCTTCAATAATAGATAATGTGGGTGATCTCCTAGACGCCTCTGATTATGGATAATGTCAGTGATCTAGATGCCTCGGCTTCCTTTTTACCATCATGCTTTCACCTCAAACAGGCAGCACTTGTGCCTCTTAGCAAAGCCCTGCTCCTGAGCTCCAGGAGCCTGCCCTGCTTTAAGCAACAAGAGCCACAAGTGCTCCGAGGTGGTCCTCGTCGATGACAGAGGAGTGTGGGTGTATGAAAGCCCTGCTCCCTGGCCTCAGATGGGGACAACTCTGAGCATAACTCACCCCTCAGAGCTCCCCACAGGATCAGACTGAGCCGCTGGTCACGGGATGTTCTTAAAATTGTGTCCTTCCTGGGCTGCTTCTACTCTGTTGTACGACTTCTCCCGCTCCCTCACTGGCAGCACATCCTTAATAAGTTACTTGCACGTGAATACTTGTTTTAGGGTCTCCTTATAGGGAACCTGACCTAAGAGCATGTGTAAAAAAGTCCCATTGAGGAATATTACATTGCAAATCGAGATAAAAGTTATTGGAGGCTTTATAATAATTTTAAACAAAATGCTTACAGTGCAAATGTGTATATAGTAAAGACTGAATCCTCCTCTCTCCTCTGACCCTCAATTCCCTAGTTCCCCTTTCACAGAGAAAGCTCCTTCCAGAGAGGAGGTGGTGTACACACAGAGGTGAGTGTGCACACAGAGGTGGGTATGCATCTGTGTAACAGAGAGGCAGAGGGAGATTTTATACACATAGAGGTGAAGGCAGAGTAGAGAGTTGAAAATGCTTTGAAGATTGGAGTAGTGAGGCCACAAGACAAGAAATGCCAGCAGCCACTAGTGCTGGAAAAAAACAATGAGCGGATTCTCCCCCTAGCCTCCAAAAGGAGCATGGGCCTGTTATAACCTTGACTTTTGACCCAGTGATACTGATTTTGAACTTCTGGCTTCCAGAACTGTGAGAAATTTCTATTGTTGTAATCCACCAATTTTGTGGTCATTTGTTATAGCCCCCCCTAGAAAATGGATATAACATGCATGGACGTCTCTCCAGGGTTGCCCTGTAGGGTGTCCTTGACAGTATGTTTGCATGTGAAAAGTCTGGGGAAGACCGTGTGGGTGAGGCAAGGGCCTGGATTTTTGCAATGGGTTGAAGGGAGCCATAGTGGGATTTTCATCAGAGAGCTGTACACTGGGACAATTGGCCCTGGAGAAAGGGCCAGAATGGGGGAAAGGCCAACAGAAGCCCAGGGAAATAGAATAAGGGTGGTGGTCATGGGTATCAGTTGGGTTGCTTTCCACCGTTCATAGCAGGAAATCCAACTAAAAGTGGCTTAAGCCGTAGGGGTGTTCATCTCATCTCATTGAGCAGGAAGTCTAGAGCAAGGTGGGGAGGTTGCAGAGTCAGCTTTGTCAACAGCTTAAAGATGCCACCAGGGATCCAGATGTTGCCATCTTTCTGTACTCATCCTCAGCCTGTCTGCAGGGCTCTCCTTATGATCCTCCTCACAAGGTGACTGTGGCAATTCTAGGTGTCTCATGCAAATGTGATGACAACCGTGAAGAACGGGGCAGTTTTTTCCTGCCACACGTCCCTTTTTATTAGCAAGTAAAAGCTTTCCCAGAAACCCACAACAGAGATTTCCTCAGGTCTCATTGGCCAGGACTGAGTCACAGACCCATGCCACTTGTCAAGAGTCATGGTTGTCCAGGCCTGGGGGGTGTCAGTGAGGAAGAAGCCCTGGGCCATCGAGGGGCTGTTGGCTTTGGCAGCCAACAGAATGTGCCACTGAGGGGGACTAGCAAGGCAGGATGCTCCTAGAGGTATTTTCAAGAAGACTGGACTTGTTGACGGTTTGGATAATGAGATGACAAAAGGAAGTATTTGACCTTTAATCTTTATCTGCACTTTTTTCTTCCATAAACTCAATTGTCCTATTTTCTCAGACAGCCATATTTCACTTCATATACAAAATTTAGTGATACAAGTAAGTTATATCTTTTTAAAAATTTATCCAACAAATAAATATTGAGTTCCTACTGTGTGTCAGCCACTGTGAGAGCATGATGAATGGATGAAATTCAGGCAGGAAGGATTGATTCCATTTAGTCAAGGGAAGGTGTGTAGTCATTAAAAATGAATGTGCACCCCCTGGCCTTTCCACATTCATCAATAATTCCTCTTCATTGTCAAGCTTCCTGAGGGGTGCTGGAAGACCCTAAATCATAGGAACCTTTTCAATCTGACGAGGGGAGAGGCAAGTATGCCGTTCTGGTGAAGATCATGGGGCAAAGTGAATTTTGATTCTTGCTGCAGAGGAAGAGAGGATGAAACAAATGATCACGTTTTCAAAATCCTGTGACAAATGCGGTTTAAAATATTCAGTGTATGCCACAGAACAACAAGAAAGAAGTGTATTAGGGTTCTCCAGTAAAACAGAACCAGTAGGAGATTATACACATACACATGCACATGTGCGCGTGCGCGCACGCGCGCGCGCACACACACACACACACACACACACACACAGAGATTTATTATAAGGTTTTGGCTCATGTGATTATGGAGGCTGAGGAGTCCCACAGTCTGCTATCTGCAAGCTGGAGACCCAGGAAAGCCAGTGGTATGGTTCAGAGGCCTGAGAGCTAGCAGCTGATGGTGTGGACTCCAGTCCAGGTCCCAAGCCCTGAGAACCAGGAGCAACAAGGGCAGAAGATGGACGTTCCTGTTCAAGCAGTCAGGCGGTGTTAATTCAGCCTTCCTCCACCCTTTGTTCTGTTCAGGTCCTCAATGACTGGATGGTGTCCACCCACACTGGGGAGGGCCATCTGGTCTACTCAGTTGACCCATTCAAATGCTAATCTTTTCCAGAAACACCCTCACAACATGCCCAAAAATAATGTTTATGCATCCTGTGGCAAGTTAAGGGCTCAATGTGATAACAGGGGCTATATCTTTAGGTTTTCCCAATGTGTTTGAGATAAAAAAGTGGGAGATAATTCTATAACAGCTTTAAACACACACACACACACACACACACACACACACACACAACCACCTACTTATTATCTTACAGTTTCTGTGGGCCAGAAATCCAGGTGGGCTGAACTGGGTCGTCTGCTGCTTAGGGTCTCAAAACACTGAAATGGGATGTCAGCAGAGCTGTGTGCCTTATTAGAGGTTTTGGTGGGGAAGAATCCACTTCCAAGCTCACTTAGGTTGTTGGCCTTGTGGTTGCAGGTCTGAGGTCCTTGTTTTCTTGCAGGCAGTTATCCAGGAGCTGGTCCTTGCTCCTGGGGGCTGCCCCCATTTCTTATGCTTTCCATGTGGCCCCCTAAAAGAGCTTAAAATGCATAGTTTGAGAGCCACAGATGAAGAGAGGGCAAATGGTTCTCCAGAGAGAACTGAAGTATATTAAATCAGTGAGCATAAAAGGTTGGGGGGTGTTCTTGTAGTTATGTGTTCACTCACTACCACTCCTTGAAATATGTTCTTTGAAATTCACCTGGCCAAGGCTTTTAATACAACTAAATAAAAAGGAAGGGCCTATGGGTGGTGTATAACTGATTGAGAGGCCGCACTTGGCAACGATGTGCTTTCATTGGGAGGAGGTCTGTCTTCATGAGCTTTCTGATGCCATCCTGTGCCTTGGCCTGTTTCACATCTTTTTCAGGGGCTTGTGCAGTGATCTAGAAGGTGGTGGACCTGAAGAGACCTGATTCTGGGAGGCCACAGAATACCTTGGGTGGCCCTTGGGATCTAAGAATAAGAACATGGATGCTCTTGGGCTCCACATAAAGCATTCTAGTTGGGCGAGGGGGAAGAAGGCCAGGGCAGGTCTGAGAGTGGGGAAGACTCTGGACCACCCACCCATGCCAGTGTCAACCAGAGCCGCCTTTTCTGAATGTATCTGTTTTTACATGTTGTTTCTAAATTAGATTATAGTTGATGCCTATAGGAAGCATCCTACTAATTAAAAAAAAAAAACCTTGAAAATTACTGATCTAATCCACTTTCTTTTTTGAGTAGGTTTCCCTGACTTCTTAAACCCCTTCCAATCTGTTACTTCTTAGTATATGAATGTTGGACAAAAACCAGCCCAATAAAATGTAATAGGAATACATTTAAGTATCAACAAATTGTATTTAAGCTCCAAAAAGTCAATAATATAGAATGAAGCATACCTGATTTGACAGCAATTCCAATGAAAAAGAGTTAATACAGGCCAAGAATGTCTCTACTGCTTCCCTCCAAGTGCTCTGGGCTGTGACCCAGTGAACATTTCCAGATCACAGCCCATGTTTCTTTCTGGTTGCTCACTCTCTGCTGAGACCCTGCTCCACCTCAGATCTTCACTTTTGAGGCAGTTGCTCGTCATTTCCAGCCCAACCCTAATGCCACCAGCTTTGTGGGGCCATCTATAAGACTATCAGCTGGCTTTGCTCTCCCCTCCTTTTGAAACAACCACATTTCACCTTACCTAGGAATTACTGAAGTTATCAAATTGCTATGCAAACTCCTTGAGTCAGGGACCAGCCATTCCTTATATTCATGGTTTCTGGATCCACATTAGTTCCTTTTGTGTTGCAGGTTTTTAACAAACATTGATTGAATAAATAATTGGATAATATGAGGTTAGCACTGCTTAGAACAGATATCTTTGACCAAATTTATGAAAACACATGCATGAAGGACTTCTCCCTGTTTTCTTCAGTCCAGTGCTGGCTGACTTAGAGTCTTAGGTTCCACCATGACCACCATATTTGATGAGAAACATCAGCAGACTCTAGGGTACAGGTGAAAGTGACAGTGATGCGGGAGACACCTGGAAATGGTGGGAAACAATTGGACATGTTTATCTTGGAGGAGGAAAAAACAAGGGTAATCAGGTAGCTGGCTTCCTCATATCTTTGAAGGGCTGACTTATGAGGAAGGAAGTAGACTGTTTTTGTTGATTGTAAGGGAAAAACTAGGTCTAATTGGAGAGTGTATGTGGAACTCTTTAGCAGAGGAAGTGGCTGGGGCCTAGGACTGTCAACTCCCAGATGCTGGTGTGACTTGGATGTTCCATTACCACTAATTAGGAGTGATGTTTTAGGCAGGAAGGACTAGCGCAGTGGTTCCCAAACCTTGCTAGTCCTCAGAATCACCTGAGGACTTATTAAAAATTCACATTCTGGCTGGCTGGCTTATGCCTGTAATCCCAGCTCTTTGGGAGGCTGAAGTGGGAGGACTGTTTAAGCCCAGGAGTTCAAAACCAGCCTGGGCAACATAGTGAGACCTTGTCTCTCTACATTAAAAAAATAAAAATTAGCTGGGCATGGTGGTGTGTGCCTGTATTCCCAGCGACTCAGAGGGGCTGTAGTGGGAGGCTCACTTGAGCCTGGGAGGTTGAGGCTGCAGTGAGCTGAGATCGAGACTCAAAGTCAGTGGGTCTTCGGGGTGGAGATTAGGGAACTGCATGTAAAAAATTCAGCCAGGCCTAGCAGCCACTGGACTAGAGGTCCACCCTGACCCCTTCCAACTTGAATAAGCTGGGCATGCATGTTGACACAGAGCTTTTAAATCAGTGGCCTCTTTAAACATCCTTTTCGGGTGAAGTGGCAAATTAGGCTTGGCAAATTAGACTTAAGAAGGCTTGAGAACTAGTCTAGTGAGGCCAAGAGGCCTCTGCTTTCATTCTTATAACTTTTTTTATTTTTATAAAAGTGATCCATGGACACTTTCCCAAAATGTTAAACATAGTTACCATATGACCCAGCAATTCCACCCCTATATTTAAGAGAAATGAAAACATATGTCCACATAAAGACCTATGTACATTAATGTTGATGGCAGCTTTATTTGTAATGTCCAAAAAGTAGAAACAACTTAAATGTTCATCAAATGATGAATAAACTATGGTATATCCATATGATGGAATATTATTTTGCAATAAAAAGGAATAAACTACTGATATATGCTACATGTATGAACCTTGAACATATGCTAAAGTGAAAGAAGCCAGTTGCAAAAGACCACATATTATATGAATCCATTTATATGAAATATCCAGGTGAGGCAAGTGCATAGAGACAAAAAGTGGACTCGTGGTTGCCTCGGGGTGGGTGGGGGGAAAGGGGAGTGACTGCTAATAGGTACAGGGTATTGGTGTGGGGGGTGATGAAAGTGGTCTAAACTTAGATTGTGGTGATGGTTGTATAACTCTGAATATATTATAAACCACTGAATTGTTTGCTTTAAATAGGTGAATTTTAAGATATCCAATTATATATCAATAAAGATGTTGAAAAAAGTGACAAGTGGTCATTAAAGATAATTTAGAAAATACAGGTCAAGAAAAGAAAGCAAAGTAAACCCCAACTTTCAGCATCACTAGAAGGTAGCTGCATAGCATCTTAGGATAATCCTTCCTGTGTATATTCTATCTATATTTGCATATTTTTTACAAAAATGGTATCATACTCTTCAAACTGTTATACATTTTTGTATGTAACTGTATGCTGAAAATGTTTCTGTTATTAGGCTTTTACTTCATTATTTGTAATGGCCATAGAGTACTTCAATCTATGAAAAATTTTAATTTATTTAATTAGTTTTCCATTGGTGGGTTTTTGCTGACTTCAATTTTCTTGCTCTTGTATAGTAATTCATGTCAGTTTTGATTCAAGGTCCTTACTTTTTTTTAGAAAAATAAACTTTATATTTTAGAGTAGTTTTAGGTTCATAGCAAAACTGAACTGAATCTACAGAGTTCCCATACAGTATGTAGCCTTTTCCAGTTGGCTTCTTTCACTTAGTAATATGGATTTAAGGCTCCTCCATCTCTTGAGAGCTCATTGCTTTTTAGTGCTGGATAATATTTCATTGTATGGTTCCACTGCAGTTTCTCTGTCAGTTACTGAAGGGCATCTTGGTTGCTTCCAAGTTTTAGCAATTATGAATAAAGCTGCTATAAACAGCCATGTGTAGGTTTCTGTGTGGACAAAAGTTTTC
This sequence comes from Homo sapiens, assembly GCF_000001405.40. Taxonomy (NCBI): domain Eukaryota; kingdom Metazoa; phylum Chordata; class Mammalia; order Primates; family Hominidae; genus Homo; species Homo sapiens. The sequence continues at coordinate 16,341,321 of NC_000003.12, read as the reverse complement.
AGCTTATTTGGGTAAATACCAAGGAGTATGATTGCTGGATCATATTGTAAAGTATGTCTAGTTTTGTAAGAAACTGCCAAACTGTCTTCTGTAGTGGCTGTACTATTTTGCGTCCCCACCACAGTGAACGAGAGTTGCTGTTGTTCCACATCCTCACCGGCATTAAGTATTGTCAGTGTTTTGGATCTTGGCCATTCTAATGTGGTCATTCTAAGGTGGACTGTCTTATTTGCATTTCCCTAATGACATATGATGTTGAGCATCTTTTTATATGCTTATTATTTGCTACCTGCATATCTTCTTTGGTGAGGTATTTGTTTAGAACTTTTGCCCATTTTTAAATTGGGTTGTTTGTTGTCTTATTGTTTAGTCTTATGAATTCTTTGTATATTTTGGATAAAAGTCCTTTATCAGATATGGCTTTTGCAGATATTTCTCCTAGTCTTTGACTTGTCTTCTCATTCTCTTGAGGGCCTTACTTTTTGAAACTAGGGAATTTTTATCCCACGGAAACAAATTTCACCTTTGACTTCACCTTGAAAATTCTTGATGTTGTTCAGAAACGGTTTGGACAAGAAGGTGAGGGGTAGGGATTAGCACAAAAGCATTATTCTATTTAAAATCTATAACTGCAGAGTTACCTTCCTGTATAAAGACAAGGTAACTTTGAAAGAAGCAGAAACACTCATCTCCATTAAATGTTTGTTGGATGTTTTGTTTTTCAGTCTCTATCAGTTGGCTTCTGCTGTGTAACTAACCATTCCAAACTTAGTGGCTTCAAATAACCATGTATTAGCTCATGATTCTTTAGGTCATCTGATCAATTTTTCAGCCATAGGGCAACCTTGCTGATCTCTGCTGGGCTCTCTCATATGTCAGCTGGTAGCTGAATGATCTAGAGTGGCCTCATTCATATGTCTGGCAGTTGGCTAGAACAGAGCCTTGTGTATCTTAACATTCAGTAAGCTAACCTGAACCTCTTCACAGGATGGCAGCCACAGGATTCCCAAAAGCAGCAAGTGGGCAAGCCCCAATGTGCTAGCTTATTTCATGCTGCGGTTTGCATCATATTTGTTAATGTACTATTGGCCAAAGAAAGTCACAAAACCAGCTCAGAGTCAAGAGATGGAGAAACAGGCACTACCTCCTGATAGGACCCTCTGTAATGCGTGGCAATGGAACAGAAACAGGGAAGAAACAAGTTTGTGTGTGGCTAGCTAAATAATGGCCTTGTGCTTTATGGCCAGTACATGACTGTGTCTAATTTTCATACGTGAATATACTTCCAACTTCCACATGCAAAATACCCATAAAAATGGTAACACAGCATCCTGGCAAATTAATTCACATTTTTGGTGGCAAACTCATGTCTCATTTTAGGCATGATTTACAGCAATTTTGATAAGACTTTGAGAGTACAAGACAATGGTGGCAGAACCTACCCACAAAATGCTAGGACAGGTGCATTTATTCACTCACTCAACAACTAATTATCGAACAAATACTTCCTTAAGTGCCTGGGATTCATCAAGAACAAGATAAACTCCTTGCCTTTGTGGAGTTTGTGTTCTAGTGCAGGGGCAGAAAAACGAAGCACCAAGTCATGATCAATATGTGGAAATGGTAGGACAGGGAAGAGTGATGGGAGAATTTTCTAGAGGACCCCAAATAGGATTGGCCAGTCTCTCTGAGACCATTTTCATTTTCTGGACTTTGGGTTTTTCATCATTGGTTTGTCCCGTGGTAGGTCTCAGTGCAGATGCTGATGGGGACCCGGCAGCGCATCTGTTATGGCTCTGGTGGATTTGTCTCTGGTAGAGCAGGGAGCCAGATAGAATGGGAGGTGGACTGCAGGACTTGTAACATTGGACTAATGAACAGCCAGATGTCTGATGTGTCCTGAAGGCAGGATATTCCAGCTGGAGGTTTCTGGCACCTCAGAAGCCCTATCAGAGCTGGGTCCTCAAAGAGCATGCTGTGGGATTAGTGCAATGCAATTTGGTTTAAATAAGAGCAGAGCATAAGGAGGGAGGGCTGAGTGAGAATTGTGGTAGCCATAGCAACATGATACTGACAGTTGAGTCACCACAAAGAGAATATTGGCCAACTGTGATTGCTCCAGCATGGCTTGAGAATGTGGCACCTTTGAAGTTACCAGGCAGAGAAAGTTAGGGAGAGAGAAATCCCATGTCTTACCCAATCCCTTCCTTAGTGAGTCAAGACTGTGACAGCCCAGCACATGGTGTGTTGTGTGGCTCTGTTCGTTGTTAGCTAGGACAGTGAAATAATCTTTAATCTCCATTTCCCTGTCTCTTAAGGTTTTGAACCAACCTTTATTCAGAGACCTCTTCTGGGTTTGCATTTTATGATTATCAGTAAGCTGTTAGGAATCCACTGCTGACAGGTGGAGGGGACAACGTTGACAGTTTTGGGTTCTAGAATTCCTGCAGACAGACTGGCTCTCTCCCCAGGTCCCCAACTCCAAAATAAACAACTTTTTAATTATACACTTTGGAAAAGCTCCTTTTTTCAATCCCTTTTCTCTTTTCTAGGTAATACATAAGGTGAAAAATCAGAAAGAAGGGCTAAAGATATGATATAGGATCCCTCATTCATCTCTGATAGTCTAAAGAGAGTAATAAAGTAGCAAGTCCCATTTACTCCCAGAAAGCCTAGTTTTCTCTCTCATCAAAGCCAGTAGGAGGGACCTGGCAAGTCTCTGGATGGAGAAAATGTTTCTTTTTTAATTGTTATCAAACAAAGCTATTTCTAAGTTGGCCTGGGAGGACCCCCTCACCCTGAAGCACTCAATGTGTGTTTAAGATGTCAGCTTCTAGAGGACAGGAGCCCTGTGCTATTGCATACGTGGTCCCGATGAGCAGCTGACAGGATGTGGCAGCTTTGTGTTGCTTAACCACAGTCAGAACTGCAGTGCCTGTCCCTGCTACGGGTCAGAGTTGGCCCCAGCCATCGCCCCTTAGCCGCCGCATGTCCGGCCTCATTACCTTCCCTGTGATCAGGAGCCTTGCGTGGTTGCATGCCTTGCCTGGTTCTCATTCTGCTCATGCAGGTGTGTGTGGGCAGACACCCCTGATAATAAGGATGCATGCCATCTCCTGCCCTTCCATCCCGTAGCCCCTTTCTTCTTTCTGCCTTCCAAGTAACTGACGTTAGAGAAACCGCATGTACCAGGACCAGATCACCCAGCGTGTCCCAGAATCCAGGAGAATGTTATCTTGCACATGCAGGTTTGGTTTTCTTGCCAGCTTGGCATGGTGCTTTAGGAGAAGCCAGGGCAACATCTCGAGCTAGGACGATCTACCCAGTGTGGGTTTTTATCTCTCTCTTCCAGGGCAAGCTGGTGGCACTGCTGGGCCTCACAGTAGGTTATCATAAATTAGACTTCAGGGCTCCAGAGGTAATGCAAGGCCAAAGTGTCCGGCCTGGAGCAAATAAGGGCTAGGTGTGCCAGCCTTGAGTGTGGTGACAAATTAGGAACACTCCCCTTCAGCAGTAACTATATCATTGTATTTCTCTCAAATCAAATGAGGTGACTTTCTTTTCTTTTTTTTTTTTTTTTTGAGATGGAGTCTCGCTCTGTCGCCAGGCTGGAGTGCAGTGGCGCAATCTGGGCTCACTGCAACCTCCGCCTCCTGGGTTCAAGCGATTCTCCTGCCTCAGCCTCCCGAGTAGCTGGGACTACAGGCGCCTGCCACCATGCTTGGCTAATTTTTGTATTTTTAGTAGAGACGAGGTTTCACCATGTTGGCCAGGGTGGTCTCGATCTCCTGACCTCATGATCCACCCACCTCTGCCTCCCAAAGTGCAGAGATTACAGGCGTGAGCCACTGAGCCCGGCCACAAATCAATGAGGTGACTTTCATTACAATTTTCCTCCTAGAGGTTTGCCTGGTATTTGGTTCTTAGAATAATAGTAATAATAGTAATACACCAGTTAGCTTCTGCTGTGTAATAAAGCTCCCCAAAGCTTAGTGAGTTAAAATCATAACCCAAACAGGTCAGCTGGGTGATTTTTCCTTCAACTTTTAGGAAATCGACTAATCTCAGCATGTGCCTGCAGGCGCTGATGGGTGGACCACAGCTAGCAGCTCCAAGATGGCATCTCTCACGTCTGCTGCTTAGCAGGGCCACAGGTCTCTCATCATCCGAAGGCTAGCCTGGGCCTGTCCTCATGGCGTAGGCAGGGTTCCTGGAGAGTGAGCAGAAACAGCAAGGCTCCTTGAGGCCTAGGTTCAGGATGACCGTAATGTCACATCTGCCATATCCTATTTGTCAGAGCAAGTCCCAAGACCAGCCAAGATTCAAGGGGTGACCAGAGGGACTCTCCCTCTTATGGGAGGAGCTGCCGAGCTGTGTTGGAAAGTGGCCTGGACACAGGGAAGTCATAATAGACACCATTCTTCCAAACAATATGTTTCATGTAATAATAACAATTATTATTTTTTATTTCGTTGAGCTCCTAAAAGGCTACTGAGTTTGCTGCCTTTCTTACCTGGTAGAGAAAATGAGACAAAGATGTGAATTCACCAGCACTGGGTGGGTAAAGAGTCTCAGAACTGAAGCTTTTTATGCACTACATGTATTTTCCTCTGACCCTTTTCTGCATCTAAGAACTAAGCTTTTTTAAAAAAAAAAAATTATTCTCTTTGAACATTATGAAAGCCTAAGTTGTCTAAAATGAGAAGACTGCTCTCTCAGACTCTATTATGTTGTCCTGATTACATATCAGCAAAATGTTTTTCTGGGGCATTGTGCATAAAACAAAGGAGAAAACAACATCTCTAGCCGGCCAGCGTGCCTGTCCCTCCCTCCCGCAGAGGCCTGGGAGGCTGAGGGTGAGGAAGGCCAGCTGTGCTGGCTGCAGAGGGCTTTGCTGTTTCTCCACAGAGCAGCAGGTCGCCCCTTCCCTTCTCCCTCCCTCCACCTCACCTCCATGGGCTCCACTGGATGGGAACCATGTGCTTGTTCTCCCCACCCCTAGACTGGGATCTCCTGGGGCAGAAGAGGCTTCCCAAGTGGCACAGACAGAGCCAGGCTGACTGAATGTGAGATTCATGAATGAACAGTGATACCAGGCATAGCCCTGCCCTTTAGCATCCTGAGGGCCACGTGGAGTTTTCTGCAACACTGCCCGCCGTGTTCCAGCATCTGCCTTCCACTTGCTAGGGAGAGGTAGAGGTGAAGTGGCCCTTCTTTCTGTCTTGGCATTCCTGTCCACCCTGCCTCTAGATCTCCACTTTCCATGGCCGTAGGAGAACAGGACCTCTACCCTCCTCGAGTGCCGCTATAGCCAGCGTGTGCTGAGCAGGGCCCAGGCAGCCCTGAGAAGGCGCCAGCATGCTCTGCCTCCTCTGCACTAGCAGCTGCCACCAGTCCTTGCTGTCGGCCACTTCCCTCCTGCGGAGTCCTGCCTGTGGCCTCCTGAGACCTCACCATCCATCCATCCAGTTTCCAGGCTCCTTGTGACTTGCCCTCTTGAGATATTTGATGGTGTGATCAAACTCCTTTTTTTTTTTTTTTTTTTAAAGTTCCAGGGTGCAAGTGCAGGATATGCAGGCTTGTTACATAGGTAAACGTGTGCCATGTGTGTTGCTGCTCAGATCAGGCTATCACCTAGGTATGAAGCCCAGCATCCATTAGCTATTTTTCCTGATGCTCTCCCTCCTCCCACACCTCCAACAGGTCCCAGTGTGTGTTGCTCCCCACCATGTGTCCATGTGTTTTCACATGTGTTTTCACCGTTCAGCTCTCCCACTTGTAAGTGAGAACATGTGGTGTTTGATTTTCTGTTCCTGCGTTAGTTTGCTAAGGATAACAGCTTCCAGCTCCATCCATGTCCCCACAAAGGACGTGATTCGTTCCTTTTTAAGGCTGCATAGCATTATGGACTGGATAAAGAAAATGTGGTACAAACTCCCTTCTTAAGCCTGTTTCCCATGCAGGATTGTCCAAGGGCTGATTCCTTCCCACTCAGCCCATTTTCGTTCATCTTCTGCTCACCCCCTCACAAGGAAATCCAGCCCTCAGCCAGCCTCATCCCTCCAGGAGTTTTCACCTACCCTGCATCTGTCAGCACCTCCAAGTGTTTATCCCCATCCCAGCCTTTTCCTGGCCCTGAGCTGTGGATTAATTTCCTGTTGCTGCGGCAACAAATCACAGATTTAGTGACTTAAAACAACGCAAGTTTATTGTCTTACATTTGTTGAGTCAGAAGTCTGAAATGAGTATTAAGGGGCTAAAACCAAGGTGTTGACAGGACCACATTCTTTGTGGAGACTTTTAGGAGACAATCTGTTACCGACCATTGCCAGCTTCTGGAAGCTGCCCATGTTCCTTGGCTCGTGGCCCCTTCCCTGCATCACTCCAGCCTCTGCTGCTGCCATCACATCTCTTCCTCTGACTCTGGCCTTCCTGCCTGTCCTTATAAGGACCCCTGTGATTATACTGGGCACACCTGGATAATCCTGGATAAACTCTCCATCTCAAGATCCTTAGCTTAATCATATCTGCCACATCCCTTTACCATGCGAAGGGAACATTTTCACAGGCTCCTGGGATTAGGCTGTAGACATCTTTGGGGCCATTATTCTGTCTACCACAGGCTGTTTCATTTAGTTGCCTCCTGGACATTTCCATAGGTTCCTCAAACTCAGGGTGTCTAGAATAGAATTCATTCCCTCTCATTGTCCCTCTTCATCCTGTATGCCCCGGCTCAACACATGAGCAGCCATTGCCCAGTTCTCTGAGCTGTTGTCTGGGTGAAACATAATGTTAAATACAAATCCAGCACTGATGGGCACTTGAGTAGTTTCCAGTGTCTTGCTACTGCAGACCGCTCTCCAGTGAATAACTCTGTGCATTTCTCATTTTTTAATACGTAGGTTAAATTCCCAGAAGTGAGATTGTTGGGTCAAAGGGAAAATGTGTTTGTAATTTTGAAAGATACTGTCAAACTGTTCTCCAGGAGGGTTGAATCAATGAGCCCTTCCACTAGCAATGTACAAGAACGCATGCTTCCCCACGGCCTTGGCAACAAAGCGGGCTGCCTAACTTTTGGGTTTTTACCAGTTCAATAGGTGAAAAAATAGTATCTCAGGGTATTTTTTGTTGTTGTTTTTTGTTTTTGTTTTTGTTTTGAGACAGAGTCTTGCTCTGTCGCCCAGGCTGGAGTGCAGTGGCACGATCTCGGCTCACTGCAGCTTCTGCCTCCTAGGTTCAAGCCATTCTCCTGCCTCAGCCTCCCAAGTAGCTGGGACTACAGGCACCCGCCACCATGCCCGGCTAATTTTTTAAATTTTTAGTAGAGACGGGGTTTCACCGTGTTAGCCCGGATGGTCTCGATCTCCTGACCTCGTGCTCTACCCGCGTCGGCCTCCCAAAGTGCTGGGATTACAGGCGTGAGCCACCACGCCCGGCTGGTAGTTTTAATTTGCATTTTTCTTATGAGATTCTGCATTTCTCTCATGCACTTAGTGGGTGTTTGAATCTTCTGTGATCTCTCTTCATATCTTTGGCCCTTTTAAAATTTGGATTATTGGATTTTTTCTTTTCAATTTTTACAAGCCCTTTTTTTTCTGTAATATGAGCTGCAAACATTTTTCCATTTTGTCATTTGTCTTTTATATCATATGAGTTTTTATGTAATCAAATTTGTCATTTTTATTTTTTGGTTTCTGGATTCTAAGTTATTTAGAAAGGCCTTCCAGTGTTCACTTTAAACATTAAAATAATAACATTTTATTAAATGAGGGGGATTGGACACAGGCATCTATTTCTTTTCTGAAAAATCCTCATGAAATGAAACTAAAGGAATGACATAATTAGATAGATACAGGCAATTCTCATATTCTCAGATTCTGTATTTGCAAATTCATCTGCTTACTAAAATTTATTGTAATCCCAAAATCAATACAAATGGCATTTTGTGGCCATTTGCAAACATGTGCAGAACAGCAAAAATTTTGAGTTGCCTAATGTGCACTTTTCTAGCTAAGGTCAAACAAGGTAATATTGTGCCTGGTTTCAATGTTCATACTAAAAGCAAGTGTCCTTTTTGTGGTACACATAGTGCCACATTTTTCACATTTTTGTGCTTTTTGTTGGTGATTTAGCTGTTAAAAATAGCCCCTATGCATAGTGCTGAAGTACTGTTGCCTAGTGTTCCTAAGTGCAGGAATGCTATGATGTGCTTTACAAAGCAAATACCAGTGAGCTTTGTTCAGGCATGAGTTATAGTGCTGTTGGCTGCAAGTTCAATGTTCATGAATCAACACTATCTATTAAACAAGGTTATATATTGATCAGTTTGCAAAACTGTTGCGACCAGATGCTTCCAAGACCCTAACCCTATATTTCTCTTATGGGCAATGGTTCAATAGTCACTAATGCACTGTTCACAATGACTTTACAGAACATAGCTACCAAGAATAATGAGGTTCAATTGTAGGTAGGTAGGTAGGTAGATAAATCGATGCCCACAAGAACAAAAAGATTAGAAGAAGATAAAGTAGAAGATGAGTGATTTCAACAAATTTTTAGATAGATGGAAAGTAGATAGAGGAATCTAACTAATTTAGCAAAATGAAGGAAGCTACAACCTGGACGAGAAGGGTGCCATTTGTTTCTTGCAGAACCCAAGAAAAGCTTTGGTTTTCAAAGCATAAATCACCATGGGATGGGAGGTTGGGGGATGTGAACTGCAGAGCAGAAAACCAGGGTACTGGTTTAAAATCCTAACGTGGCGTGGTAAGATCCCTAGTTCCCCATCTCTGTCACATGCAACCTGGGAACCGTGGAGATAATGTAGGTATCAGAAGAAACCATTTAAAGAGATAAAATAAATGTATCCATGAAGCAAAAACAAGATGCTGTAAAAAAAAAAAAGAAGCAATCAAAAGATAAGAAAGGGCTTTTGAATCTTAAAAATAGGGCAGCAGAAAATTTAAAAAACATAAAAGTTGGAAGACAAAATGAAGGAAATCTCTCAGAAAGCAAAATTAAAAGAGTAAGAAAACTGTGGGGGAAGGTAATAAAATTAAAACATTTATCACACATTTTGATTAATAGCAGGTCCAGAAAAAAAGAAGATAGAAAAGGGAGGGGAGAAAACTTATCAAAGGGGGGAAAAATACATTTTTCAGAACTGAAGGACAAGAATCTTCAGATTGCAAGGCCATCAGGTGAACAATCCTTTGAGTAAAAAAGACCCACACCAAAGCACATTGTCATGAAATTCCGGAACTTCTAGGGGAGAAAAAAAAAATCCTAAAAACTTTCAAAGCAATACAACAGGTTACAGTTAAAATATTAGTAATCAGAATAGATTATCTCAATAGCATTGCTGACATCTAGAAACTACTAGAGGTACTTTCAAAATTTTGACGGATAAATCAATTTCAGCCCAGACGTCTGTACCTAAACTATTAGTTAACACAAAGGCATTTTTAGAAATGCACGGATTCAGATGACTTCTAGGGCATTGTTGCCTAGAGAGTCACTACAGGATGTGCTCCTGCAAAATGAGAAGGAAACCAAAAAAAGAGAACATACCAGCCATAGACAGTAATTTACGAAGAACCCAGGCATGAAAAGCAGCCAGACCAGATTAGAGCAAAGTTTCAGAAATGATGTCTCCAGTGGGGAAAAATGGAACTAATGTATTTAGGATCTTGGAATATTTATCGATGAGCATTAAATAGGGGTATTGCAACATGTGGGATAAATTAGTGATGGGTTCAGGTACAACCAGGAAGATGAAAAAAATGGAGGTAATAATTAACTCCAGGAAAAACAGAGGGTTATATAAAAAAGAAGGCATGGTCATAGTGCATTATTTGACCCAGCATTGAGCAATATTTGCAAAACTGTGATAACACAAACATTGACTTTTGATTTACTTTAAATTACAAAATAACCATTTGGAGCACAAAGAAAAAGGAAATAAGAAATGTTTATGGGAGCACTAAACCTTTATTTCCCATGGTAGAAAATTAGGATACCTAAAACTGATAAGTAAAATAAGAGTAGTATAAGCACACCCTGCCAGTAATTTGTGGGCACTAGTGTTTTGGTAGCAATTTTACAAAAGACACAGAAGTAGTTTTTGCAGGACTCTCCCTTACATACCCTAATTGGTGAAAGGCAAGGTCTCAGTCCTGTGGATGTCAGGAATAGAGGCAAACTGTCCCCAGTCACTTTTCTCAGGTATGGAGAACACCCCAGAAGTGGTCTCAAGCACCTTTCAGACAAGGGAAATCAAATTCCTTTCTTCATTTACAATCATGTATAAAGAGCAAAATATTTTCTTTCAAACTCCTTTTCTCCTAGATTGCTTCCACAGGATGAAACACAGGAGAAAAGAAGAGCAAACTGACATTCAGAATGCAAACTTTCTCACTGGACCAATTTATGAATTCCTAATTATTTCTCTGCATAGAAGATCTTTTAAATCATCAAAAGACAAACATATTTCTTAGTAAACTCTACATTCTGTTGTCCTAATTTTTGGAGGGTAAAGAAAGGTTGTGTAGGATGTCTATTTCTTTAGTTGATTTGCAATCACTGGAGAAATTATAGGGAACAAAGGAAAAAAGAGCCATAAATACAAATGAATTCCTTTTATACGAGTTGAAAAACCACAGGACATGCTCCATTTTTTAACACTCCAGGTGTGATCGGAGATTACGTATCCACCACAGGAGAGTGGAGAGTTAATTAAAATTTTTGCTCCTACTCAGAGAAAGAAATGTCTTTTTGTTTGATAAGCAGGCTGGCTTTTGAGTGTTGTTGGTGCTTTCTTCTCTCCTCACTGGAGTGTCACAAAAAAGCAGATCAAAGAGAGCCTTCCATCCGGATATGTTTCCTACCACCTTTCTTAGCTAATGGACTTAAAAGTGTCTTTCACTGACAGGCTCATCTTGTATTTTAGAAATGCCATCTCTTTACTATATTGATAAATATGCAAACGGGCTGTGATAGATGCTTACGGAAAATCACATTTAACATTAATTAAGCCAAGACCATTCCAAATAGTCGGAGTGGGAGAGTCTGGCAGAGTGCAACATCTCACCCCTACCATTTGTATTTTACTTGTCAACTCACCATGTGATGGCCAGAAATTAACACGTGAGATTGAACCTTCAGCTCTCTCAAGCAGGGTTGTTTTGTTGTGTTTTCCCTTTTGCTTTTGGCCTTTATGATTCTGTACCCTCTGGCTGACATCTCCTACCCTGAGGGGGAAAAAATGTTTGGGAGAAATCCTGCTGATTTTTTCTTTAAGAGAGTGACAAAATGAAATAAAACGGAGCAAAATAGAAGCAGCCGGTTTGCAGTCTGTCTAAGCAGGCGGGTCGGGCTGCAGCAGGGGTCGTTCATTGTCTCGCAGCTCTGGGTGCCCGCAGAGAAAACCTGGCCCGAGATGCAGCCACCAATAAAAGGACTCCATTCTGCCACTCAGGGCTTTGTGAGGCGCCAAAGCTTGTCCTGGTTGCCATGGCTACTGTCTGATTGTGGCGGGTTTGTCACAGTGCTTGATAAAGTGGGAAGGTTATTCTTGATAGGCCCAAGTAATCATAACCTCGCAAAGCTTGAGAGTGTGGATTTAAAATTGGTTTTCCTCCTCTCTTTAAACTGGGAATACGGGGATGGGGGCAGGGATTCTCAGGATAAAGCAGCCTCAGGACTCCTTCAGCAGGTGGTGAGCGTGGCACCCAGCAGGAGGAATACGGGCTGTGCTGGTCTGGAAGGGAGGTGTGCGTGTGCCCAGAGGCCAGGCAGAAAGGATGGTCACAACTGCTGGGCCATCTCTGGCCTGATAGAGGCTTCAGGGAAGGGACCAGAATGGCATTCTCTCCTGGCCCCACCTGTAAACGGATTATTCTTGTACCTCTCTCTCCTTTCCTCCCTTCCCTCCTCCCTTCCGCCTTCCTTTATTAAGTTTCCTCTTTCCCTTTCCCTTTCTCCACTTCCGCCCTGTCTCGGTCCACTTGTGCTGTTGTAACAGGATACCTGAGATCAGGCAATTTATAAAGGACAGACAGTTCTTGGCTCCTGGTCCTGGAGGCTGGGAAGTCCAAGGTCGAGGGCCTGGCATCTTGTGAGGGCCTTCTTGCTGCGTCATCCCGAGGCGGAAGCGCAGAAAAGAGGGGAGAGAGCAGGAGACTGAACTTGTAGCCTCAAGCCCTTTGCCTGAGTTGGCATTAACCCATTCACAAGAGTGGAGCCCTTCTGACCTAAACACTCCCACCAGGCCTCACCATTCAATGTCATTGCATTGGGGATTAAGTTTTCAACACATGGAAACTTTTTGGGGGATACATTCAAACCTTAGCACTTTCCTTCTTTTCTCCCCTTGCAGTGTGGCAGAATTTCTAACAGAGCTGATCCTTTAAAAATATATATTTTTTTCTCATGGAGAATGATGGGAAAAAGTTAGATTTGAGGCAACAGCTGATAGATTCTGGCCACAGAATTACAGACTTTTCTTTTGCCAGGAGGGACCTACATGATTACCTAGGCGATGGTTCTCAGACTTAGCTGCATCAGGACTACTGGGAAGGGCTTTTTAAAACACAGATTCCGGGGCCCTACTCCCGGAGTTCCTGATTCATCAGGTCTGGGATGGGGCCCTGAGAATCTGGGCTTCTAACAAGTTGCCAGGTGATGCTGATGCTGCCGGCTCGGGCCATGCTTTGGGAACCGACATAGACCAGTACCCATTTTATACAGCGGAGGAAAGGGAGGCTGCCAAGGGATAAATTAGTCGCCAAGGGTTCAGGTGACTTGATAGCCACTCTGGAACTGGTGTCCAGTTATAGAAGCTTTAAAAGCCATTTGAAGAGACAGGGCAGGTAGGTTGTTCCTCCTCTGCCTTCCATCCCACTCGCCCAGGGCATCCAGATGAGCTGGTTTTGTTCCCAAAGGGCCACCAGCAGGATAGCCACTCACCACACGTGGCCACCTTCTGAGTGGAGCACTCCAGACCATGGTCACGCGCGCTGCCTCTGAGTTAAGCCGACCACAGACCTTGGCACTCTAGGCCCAGCTTTGCCTTCTAATTTTTGCCCCAGGAAGCCTGCTTTGACTGTGGCTGGGATCTCTCCCACCTCTGCTGGCATTCAAAGTCCCATGGCCCTGCCAGAGAGCCCTTAGGTTTTTCAGTTCCTGGCATGTTTGTGCTGTTGCCCCTGCTAGCCTGTGAACTCCAGGGGCCGGGGCTGTGCCTTTGCACCCATCATGGCTCTAGAGTACCTGATAAATGAACTATGTGGGCATACAGGGTGGAAGGAATCTGGATACATGTTTGAGATTTTCGGAAGCCAACTACAAGAAGCCAAACTATGAGGGATGAGGAGTCCAGTTACACACAGAGCAGGGGTGGGGGCTACACTTTGAGTGTTAGTGAGGAACCCGTAGTAAGAAATGAGGCCTGTTGCAGTGAGAACGCCTGCAGAGGTGGAAGCCAGTGCAGGGGCCTCACATCAGGGCTCTCTCCCTGTGCTAGCAGGGGGCTGAAGTTTTTTTCGTTTTGTTTTTTTTTTTGAGATGGGAATCCCGCTCTGTCACCCAGGCTGGAGTGCAGTGGTGCCATCTCAGCTCACTGCAAGCTCCACCTCCCGGGTTCACGCCATTCTCCTGCCTCAGCCTCCCGAGTAGCTGGGACTACAGGCGCCCGCCACCAGGCCTGGCTAATTTTTTTTGTATTTTTAGTAGAGACGGGGTTTCACTGTGTTAGCCAGGATGGTCTTGATCTCCTGACCATGTGATCCACCTGCCTCAGCCTCCCAAAGTGCTGGGATTACAGACGTGAGCCACAGCACCCGGCCGGGGCTGAGTTTTTTAACTGAAAGACAAATGTTAGTTCCCCAAATCCTAATTTGAAATAAAACATGGCAGCATTCATTTATCCCTGCAAGGCAGGGCACATAACACAGGCAAAGCAGCTTCTGCGTGTACACACACATGTGGATGTGCATGTGTGTGTTGCTGTGGCTGGACATAAACGACTTGATCATTTGTCAAATGTAAGTTAACTCCCCACAACACGCTCTGAACTCATTCAGAGCAGCACGTGTAGTTATATGCCCTGGATACCGCTCAGAGGTGAGACAGTTATGCTTCGTCAGTGAAACTCACAGGAGGCTATTTGTCCAGACAAGAATCAAACAAAATTAATGGATTAATCTTTTGGCTGTAATTCCTTGCTGACATCACAGACTGAAATGGGGCCCAGAAGGAAATCCCATGTTGGCAGTTTGACTCCAAACTTTTAAAGTCTTCAGCAAGCATCGGAGCAGGAGCCTCTGAGTGGCCGGGCACCGCCACTTCTTTTCTGTTTTGCGGATTGGCAGACTGAATAGTCCCCTCTCATTGCCTGGGAGTTGGCTTGTGGCAGCAGCAGCCCTAATGCTGGCCTTGTTCCCCCAGGGTGTCGAAGTGCAGACAGACTACGTGCCCCTGCTGAACTCGCTGGCGGCCTATGGCTGGCAGCTCACCTGTGTGCTACCAACTCCCGTCGTCAAGACTACCAGGTAACAATAACAGTAATCATTAGGATTCTATTGAACACTTACTCTGTGCTAGTCACTGTTCCTAATGAGCACCTCACGTCTATAAATTATTTAATCCTGTGCAAGAGGCTGGTAGTTATGTAAACTCTCCCACTGGGAAGCAGCAGAGCCAGAATTTCACATTCTTAACCACCGTCACCCAGAGAACTCCCCTGCACCCCTCTTCCCACATGGGGGGCCCTGTGAGTCATTACTGCCCAGAATGTCAAAGATGAGCCGCTCAGACTGAGAGGGCTCAGAGCCTCCAATGCAAAAGAAATTCAGCACCTACTATGTGCCTTGTGCTAGGCTAGGTAGGCACTTTATATATAAAAATCTCAGTCCTCAAAAAGAAAAGAAAAATACTATGAGGTAGAATTGTATTATTATTAAACCCATTTTGCAGCTGAGGAAAGTGTAGCCAGGGAGGTTGAGGGACTTGGCCAAGATCAAGCACTGGTCACCAGCTCCACAAAGGGGCTGTAAAGGCCTGCCTTTCAGGCCTTGGTGCGGCATTCCTTATAATTTCAGGTTCATGCTCATTTGTCCACTCTCAGCTCTGCTTACGCTCCCTTGAGCCCAGTCACACCAACCATAAAAGGCCCTCCATCTATATGTTGGGCTTACTATCCAAATTAGTCTTGCCCTGTGGGGTTGTAAGCATGGATATGATTCCCATTTTGCAGATGAGGAAACTGAGGCTAGGGGAGGCTTGGTCACATACTTAAGGCTACCCAGCCAGTAAGTGGCAGAAACTGGGCCTAGAACCTCAGTCTGCAGAATCAGGCACTTTTCCTGGAGCAGGCCGTCTCTCTGCTGACCAGCAAGGATGCCCCCGCTGTGGCCCCCAGAGCTCCACCTTCCCCAAGCCCTACTGCATATTCACCACTGCAGAGTGATGGACAGCATGGGGCAAGGCTGGCAAACCAGGGTGATTGAGAGTGCAGAATCATGGTGACAACTGATGTCTTTCCTAGTCCCTCCTCTGGCTCACCAGGATCCTCAGATTCCACATTAGGTCACAGTGGGTCAGTGCACCAGGGGGAGCCAGTCTGCGGCCACTTTTGAGCCCCTTGGCCACTGGAAACCACCATGTTCTTTCTCAGCCAAGACTTCGACAGGCATAGGGCAATGCAGTGGTGTAGAAAGAACCCTGGATTTGGGGCCTGAAGACTTGAACCCAAGTCTTCAGTCTGCCACTTACCCACTGTGTCATGTTGGTCAAGTGACATAGCTTCTCTGAGTCAGTTTCCTGGTCAATTTCCAGAAGACAAGACTCAGAATGTATTTGAATGTGAAGGCCCAGCTGGTTCTGAGCCACCTAAGCCCAGGGGCTACAGACAGGTCTCTCTGTCTCAGACCTTCACACCTGCTAAATAATCCTTCCTAATCCTCCACCTCCCTGTTCCTTAAATGACCACTTACGGTGGAATGGAGACTGTGTGGAACTGGGTAGATCTGTGTTTGAATCCTCACTGTGTGATCTCCAGCCTGCTCTTGAGCTGAGCTTTTGTTTCCTTCTATAAAAGTGGTAGTTGGATTCCGTGGAGCATTGAGGTGAAGCTTAAATGAGCCATTATGTGTGAATTCACCCAGCCTAGCCGCTACACAAAATAGGTGCAGAGTAAATATTAGTTCTCTCCCTCCTTTTTCTTACAGACTTTGTAGCTGAATGCAGTAACATGTAAAGAAATTTACAAAACAGATTTAAGAAATGCAAATTAAAACCACAGTGAGATATAGCCTCACACTGATTGGGATGGCTATTATAAAAAAGACAAGGGTATAGAGAAAAGAGAACCCTTGTACACTCTTGGTGGGATTGTAAATTAATATAGCCATTATGGAAAATAGTACAGAGGTTTCTCAGAAAACTAAAGATAGACTTAGCACATGATCCAGCAAACCCACTTCTAGGTATATATCCAAAGGAACTGAAATCAGTATGCAGAAGAGGGATCTGCATTTCCATGATCCTTGCAGCATTATTCACAACAGCTAAGAAATGGAAACAACTTAGGTGTCCCTCATCAGATGGATGAAGAAAATGTGATATATATATATAAAATACACACACACACACACACACACACACACACACACACACAATGGAATACTATGCAACCTTAAAAGGGGGGGGGTCAGGGACATTCTGTTATTTATTACAAGGATGAGCCTGGAAGACACTATGCTAAGTGAAATAAACCAGGCACAGAATGACATACCTTATAATCTCTCTCATACGTGGAATCTAAAAAAGTTGAGTCATAGAAGCAGAGAGTAGAATGGTGTTTACCAGAGGCTGGGGAGTGGGGCGGATGGGCAAACGAGAGATGTTGATCAAAGGGTACAAAGTTTCAGTTAGGAGGAATAAGCCTTGGTCATCTATTGCACAGAATGGTGACTATTATAAACAATAATGCCTTGTATAGTTTACAGTTCCTAAAAGAGTAGCTTTTAAATGTTTTCACCACAAAAAGTGCTAAGTATGTGAGGTGATGGATTTGTTAAGTAGCCTGATTTAATCAGTCCACATTGTAAACATATATCAAAACATCACACTCTACCCCATAAATATACAATTATTATTTGTAAATTAAAAATAAAATACAAAATCATCAGAAGGGTGGAAGCAGGGGAAAAAAAAAACAGTGATCTTCTTTACAATACTTCTATCATCTTTAGAGGCAGCTCCAGGTCCTGCCTTCCTGGGAAGAGAGAATTCACTGTATTGTAAGATACGAGTCGCCCCTCCCTCGCATGTGAGCCAGAGCTGGTTAACAGGCACTGCCTTGCAGGGCCCGCCTGGTGCTGTGCAGTCTTTGGTGTGCCTGCAGGAGCCATGCATGGCTGAGACCCTGGATGCAGCCATGACCTCTGTCCACTGTCCTGTAGCAGCTGGAGGGCTGAGCTCATCACCCAGGTCCTTATCTACCTGCCCATCATTACCAGAGACAGATTTGGAAAAGGCCCCTGCCCCTTTGAGATCCACTGAAGCAGCCAGTGTGTCCACATTTGGCCAAGATGCTGTTACTTCCCATTAAGGGAATGGGCGTGTCCAGCTAGGAAGCTGACTTTGTAGGGATACCCAAAAAGCTTTTGTTGGGCATCTGAGATAGCCCCTCGGAAGCAAGGTTGGATGGCCTGGGAGCGGAAGAGTAGAGCAGGCGTCTCTTCTAACCTGTCATAATCCTGTGGGTGGTCTGCTTTGATGAAATTAGGGATGGCAACATCTGTGTCAGGTTTTGGGTTCCTCTAAGGCATAAAGTGGCTCATTCTCAGCTCCGTGTGTTACAGCGAGGGGAGTGTATCCACCAAGCAGATTGTCTTTCTTCAGAGACCTTGTCTACCTCAGAAAATCAAGAAGAAGGAATCGAAGGTAAGAGACTTTGATGGCCTTCCTAGGTTTTCCTCAGCAGGGCTTCATCTTCAGTGGATTTTCTGCAGCATTTGAGGGGGCAGCCTGCTCCAGCTTCCAAGGGCTCGCAGAGCCCAAGGAACACCTGAGCCCCTGGCAACCCGAATCACATCTCAGGCTGCTAAAACGGGACAGCTGAGGGGACTGGAGGGCCTTGTCTGCCATCGTCCTGCTGGGCCGGCCAGAAGGATGGAGGAGAGAGGCTCTTCTGGAGGCTTCAGCCTGCTAGATATTCCCACTAGGATGAAAAGAAGGGCACGAAGTCAGCTGCAGCCTGACCATGGGGTGGGGATGGCTCGAGCTCATGGCCAGTTTCTTTGTGTCTTAATCTCATTATCAGCTAGTTGGAGCTCTGGCCTGCCCTGTTAAGATTCCTTAGGACATTAAAAGTGTGGGGATCTAAGCAGAGACCCTGCCAAAATTTCTTCATGACAGGCCTAGACCCAAAGGCCTCTGTGTGACAGCTGGTGATGCTAGCTGTAGCCTGTGGCAGCAAGTCCTCAGGCCAGGCTGTCCTCAAGAGATCCCCAGGGCCCTTTTCCCCCTCTCCGGACTCTGAACTACCCTAGAAACAGTCGCACAGAGACTGGCCTTCTCAGAGAGTCTTCTCTGTGATTCCTGAAGGTTGAGCACAAGGGCTGTACGAGGTGCAAGTGTCGGCAACCCTTGTGCCAGATGATTCTGATGCTTCCCACCCCACCCTGAGCAGCCTGTGGTGCTTTTCCTGAGGACATTTTCACCAGTTGCTGGGGAAGAGGCCAGTGAGTCGAGTGGACACACCAAAGCCTGAGTCAGGCATCACCTGGATTCAGCTCACTGCACCTTTGATGGCTGAGGCCACATTCTCGGCAGGGCCTGCCTGACCTGCTCGGCTCCTCACTCCTGGCATCACTCCTGCATTCCTCACGCTTGGTTCCTCATGTTCTTTGGACACAGAGCCCTGGGAAGGAGCATCAAGTAAATGAACAGATTGGAGCAGCCCCTCACCAGCCAACAACTCCAGGGGGAGCCCACTTGTGGAAGGAGTGCCAAAGCAATGGTGACTTGAAGCCAGATGGGCTGGAGTGTGGAGGAAGGTCTTTCTCCAGGCTCTGAAGGTGTAATGTGACAGGTGACGGCACAATGGACCAGAAGGGAACTGCCAGCCCACCATCAACCACCAGGAGCAGGCAGCCACCAGCTGGAAGATGGATCGGCTGCAGAGCGCTGTCAGTTTCAGCTCAGCCACAGGCTCACGGGAACTGCATGCATTCAGCAAGTGCAACATTCAACACACAGCACGCAAAGGGCCCCTGTCAGATGCTGACAGACACCCGCTGCAGCCTTACAGAGGGAGATGGTGCCACCTTTGCCTAACAGGTTCCTGGTGGTGGGGCACACAGATTCCAAAGGAGAGACATGTGGTTGGATGTTGGTGTGAAGGTCATGGCATCGCATGCAGGGGGACAAGTCAGTGGAAACTTGAGTCGGCAGGGAGACTTTAGAGATAGATTTGTAAAAGCTGCTGTAATAAGGTTGAACTGACTCTCCTCAGGGAAAATTCAGAGAGGATGGGACCCACTGTTTTTTCAGTCAGTAAAAACTTCTAATCCCAAGCAGCTGTACTCATCTGGGTGGACTGCTTTCTCTTTCCATGTACCTAATTATTTCCTGCCTCATTCCAAGACTGTAGGTGACTGGTGTGGAGCACTTGTTCTACACAAGACCCTCTGGGTCACCTCACAGATGGGAGTCCTCCAGAGAGGGGGGCTTCACAGCCAGACTCCTTGGAAGAATCTTCTGCACTGGGTGTCCCCTCCTCACTCCTCAGCTGACAAGGGTCAGCGTCCTACTCCCACAGGCCTGTGTCCCCTGGTGACCGAGAGTCACTCCATCTAGTCCTCATCATGCCTGAGCTCTTGCAGCCCGGATGTTGGGACCACCCCCACTCCCTGAAGCAGCTTTTCTCTTGGTTCTTTCCCACCTCATTCTCCTGGTTTCCCACTAAGTTCCTCAGGGTTCAGACCCAGCCCCATTTCTCCCTTCACTCTTGCCTCTTCCTTAGAAAATCTCCTTCACCACCTCTGTGCCAATGACCATTCCGCCTGCATTTTCAGCCCTCACTGCACCCCAAGACTCCAGCTCCATCCATCCTGTGGCTCGAGGAAACCTATGACTGTCCCCCTCCCCATACCTCGCCCACCTGGCCAACCGCCACCCTATCTAGAGGAATGGCATTGCACCTTAGGGGCTATCCCTGCTGACCCTCCCCTCTCCTTCCCCTATATTCAATCTATCCTTAAGACCCATCTGTGTTAGGTCCCGGAGGCTCTGGAATCCCTCCACTTCTCTCTACCATCACTCGCCTCAGCTATTCTAATCTCCTAATAATAGATATCCCCTTCAAATAGGTTCCCTATTCAGAGCCCAAGTGATCTGTTAAAAAGGGAACTTGAATCCTGTCATCCCACTGCTCAAAGGAGTTCTAGTTTTGTATGACTCTGAAGACAAAGATGGAAATCAGTACTGTGGCCCTCAAGGCCCCAAGGGATCTGGTCCCTCTTACCTCCTCTGCCAGCCTCCCATTCTCTGTGGCCTCCAGCTCCTCTGTGGCCTCCAGTTCTTCCGTGTCCCCTCTGCCAAGGACATTCTCCTCCTTTCTAGCTCTACTCGAGCATCCTTTTCTCAGAACAGTGCTGTCTCCTTTTATACCAAACCAGACTCCTTTGTACTACCCTGGAAAAGAACCACGTTCTTCTCCTTCAGAGCTCTCCTTTGGGCTTTTAGTTATTTGTGATCATTATTTTATCCTTCCCAGGCAGAGTCAGACATAGTCTCCACAAGAGCAAAGACCTTTTTCCTGTGTTGTGTACCCAGATTTTAGTTGGTGCTCAACAGATACTTGTCGAATCAATGAATGAGTAATCAGCTTCTTAGCGAGGACACACATAGTATGTCTAGCATTAAAACTTAAGAAAAGAAACTGCAAGATTGGCACACCGAGGATGTGGCATATTTAGTCTTCTTTTAATCAGCAACATGGATAGATTTTTCTAATCAGGACTTTTCAGCATTGGAAAGAAACCTCTGTGTACGTGCGTGTGATTTTCAAGGCAAATATTAAACTTCTTCAAAGGGAGTAGGTGATTTCTACAACTCGGGAAGACTTCCTTCCAGCTAAACTACTTGAAGTGGACACATCATGGGCAGTTTTTAAAATGTGCAAATTAAATCCATTGGCTCCTGCTGACATGGAACTCTGGACACACACTGCTGTAAAGTGAAGGATTTCTTTTTTTCTTTTAGACAGTTATTTCTGAATTGGGCGGCTAATTGGATTTGGTGACACACCCAACTGCCACAGATGCTCTGGCTTGGGAAGGCCCCCAACTCAGTGCAACCTGTTTTATCTGCGGCTTGCTGGTTAAGCTCAGAGACTCCCCCGGTCCTACTCAAAACCTGGAGTCCATTCCCCAGGCTGGACTTGCCTGCCTTTAAGTGGTGTGGATGTCAGAGCTCACCTCAGAGGCTCAACTGAAATCTGGCACAGTCCAGGCCTCCTCTTGCTTTCTGAGACGTCTCCTTTTTGAATTGTTGGGATCTGAAACAGTTTTTGTTGTTTGTTTTCTACCATTTGTGTTCTCGTTTTGTATTATATCAGCAGATCAACAAGATGTGATCTTCTACAGGAAACTGGATGTGGCCAGGCATCCAGGGGAAACTATGGAAGCTCTGTTATTTAGCAAGAGCAGCCCCGGAGAGAGTATCTGGGCTCATATTAGATGGAAGGTCTAGCACGTGGTGGAATTGTCCTCAGTTGTACACTGCACAACAGCAGAGGGCGCTATTCACATCAAATACAATATGAATGGGGCCCTGGAGGTGTGCACCGCAGCCCTGGAGGTAGAGACAACCATTTTAGAGATGAGTAACTTGAAACTCAGATTCATAACCTGCCTAAAGACTGACAGCTAATGAGTGCCAGCACTAGGATTTGAACCCATACTATAATGCTTTGACATTTTAGCACTTAAGGCCTCTTAGCCAAAACAATCACCACTTTTTTGGCAACAGTAAAACTTCCTCTGACTTCCCTGAGAGCCAACTGCCTCTCGGAGTACTATACTACACAGGTAGGCTTCACTGGTCCTTTTCTAAAAACACGTAAAATGATATAAAATGTGAAGAGGCTCTGACTGTTTTGGAACATCCATTAAAAAAAAGGAGAGACTCTTACATTTGGGCTGGAATTAAAATGCAACGGCAGCTGCCTAACACAGGGCAGCAGTTACGAACCATAACACGGTGCCTGGAAACTATGGAGGCTTGGTGGAGGCAGCCACGGTCATGCTGAGGGCTAAAATCAGGGGCCTCCTCTGGTGGGTTTGGAGCCTCGAGATGCCTGCCTGGCAGGCTCGGCTTAAGTAGGAGGTGGGTCTGAGACACCACTTAGCCTACAGAGTGATTCCATTATTGGGATCCTCACAGTTTGGGTGGAAGAAGCTCCACCCATCTCCTAAGGGAAGTCTGTCAGCTACAGTACGAGACATTTCAAAAGAAGTCAAAGGAGAAACCCATCCAACATTGTAAGTGAACTCATTTGGGTTTTTTGGGGGATACAGGGTGGGAAAGGACCAGATAAATGTTAAATCCTAACCTCAACATGTATTTCACTCATGTTTCTCTACTTTAATGGAACATTCCATTACCATTCTTATCTAAAAGGTGCTAAATCCAAGAATCCTATAATGTATTAAATCTCAGAATTCTGTGTTTGGGCAAATGTTTTATCTGAGGAAACAGATCTCTACCGTGGAAAACTACAAAAATGGCAGATTTTTAAACATTTACATAGCACATTTTTGGTTTTTCCTAGCAAAGCGCTCAGAATGATTTACAACATACTAAAGCCTTAAGAAATCATTTCCCACTGATGGTGCAACTGCATTCCTGGGCTCCTCTCTCTAGCCCAGCAAGAAATCATAGGAACTGAGAGCTCCCTTTTTCTCTCAATTATATAATGTCTAAGATTTAAGTGCGTATTTGGTGAAACCAATGAGATAACAGCTGAAGCACAAGGAAGTGGCCATGGTGGGAACTGAAAACTAAAACCCCACGTGCACTCTGGGCCACCGAGATGAGAAATTCAGATTGAGAAACTTGGCCGGTCAGTGACGGAGCTGGGGCTCGCTCTCGGGTGGTCTTGCTCCAGAGATTTGATGAGACCCTGGTTGTTGCCCAACTCTATTACTGGCCGCGTGACCTTGGGACTCTGAGCCCCTGACTTCCCTGTCACACCAGGAAATGCTTGGTTGCAGGTTGGGCCCCCGGGAAGCGGCCTCTGAGATTGGAAGTTTTTAGAGGGAGTTACCTTAGAACACTTGTCGGTACAGTAGCGGGCAGAGGGAGAATTTGGGCTGTGATGCAGTCACAATCCCCCAGGTTGGCTTGGAGCTGGGATGGCATTTGCGTTATCCCAAATTGGGATCAGGAAATGGGTTGTTGTATCCCACCTGGGGCAGTCATTGGTTGTAGGTTGCCCTGGTGTGACCCTTCTGTGAGGTGGTGGTCAGCAAAGGGCTATCGGCCTAGCTGGGGAGCGGGCCCGCCAGTCCTGTGGGGGGATCTGAGCGGTACAGCACAGTGTCTGCCCCATGTTCTGGGCCCTGCCTTACTCAGGTGACCTAGTGAGAGAATGCCAGCCCCGTGCCTGGTAATCCTCAGCCTGCTCAGAATGGAAATGAGTAGCTGCAGCTCTGGCTCTTACTGGGGGCAGGCCTCACATCTCCTCTCCATCCTGGCCCTCCAAATGATAGGACTTTAGGAGCCCTTTCCTATGTGGGCCTTTGGTATAGAGCCAGTCAAAAGAAATACTGCTCTGCCCCAACAGAACCTGAAATCTACATCTAAAATACACATCCTGGAAGGTGTGGTGCAGGCTCTTGGGGTGGGTGTGATGTGATAGTGTGCGATTCAAGTTTGGTGCCTGTACTGCCTGGCTGGGGGATGCTGGGAATTGTATGTCTCACTCAGACATGGTGTGGGTATGAATGCAAACAAGGCTTTGGGTGAAGCTCTGGGTTCCCGGAGGCTTGTTATTTATCCCCATCCTTTCTGATTTCTAGTTTCAGTGGCGATTCTCCAGAGAAGAAATGCACAACAGGCAGATGAGGAAATCAAAAGGTAAACTCAGTGCCAGAGACAAACAACAAGCAGAAGAAAATGAGAAGAACTTAGAAGACCAGTCTTCCAAAGCTGGAGACATGGGAAACTGTGTTTCAGGACAGCAGCAGGAGGGTGGAGTCTCCGAGGAGATGAAGGGCCCTGTCCAAGAGGACAAGGGAGAACAGCTGTCCCCTGGTGGCCTGCTGTGTGGGGTGGGTGTGGAGGGTGAGGCTGTGCAGAATGGTCCTGCCAGCCACAGCAGGGCCCTGGTGGGGATTTGCACTGGGCACTCCAATCCTGGAGAGGATGCCAGGGACGGGGATGCTGAGGAAGTCAGAGAGCTTGGTACGGTTGAAGAAAACTGAGTCTTGGGCAATTTGTGCTAAAACTAGGTGAGTTGCCAAACCCAAGGCATCTTACCAACAGCTGGTTTGGGGGCTGGTTTCCCTGGTGTTGTGTGTTACCTACCCTTTGGCTTGGCTTGACCTCTCCTTGTGAGCTCACCTGAGCCCTCCCAGGGCCAGGTTCCTGACAGTGTTGGTTTTTGCACATCCACTGGAAAGGTGTCATTAATGACCCAGTGTTAGAATGCAAGAGGTCAGGTTATTCTAGCCCTCATGGCTGAAGGCCCAGTCCTGGCTCCACCACTCCTCCAGCCAGAGGGTCTGGACCATCCAGTGCCTGTCCTCGCCACAGGGCCTCCAGGGAGCATTCGGGTCAAATCCATGGACACCCTGGGCTACAAACCAAGGCTGCTGTTCATCCCACATCGTGTGGGGCAGTGTCCATCCCCTGCAGCTACTTGGTGACTTAACAACTCCAGGAGCCCTGTCAGCTGCCCTCCTCCACCTAAACCCCTTCGACTCTTCTGCTTTGACAAAGAAAATGACATTGGGGAGGGGAGGTGCTCCGCCTCCCAGCTTTTCTCAAAATAGTCCTATAGATACTGGTAATCTGGAAATGAAGAAGTAATTCTGTCTCTGCACCTACTTTTGCAGAATGTTCAAGGAAGTATTCTGTGTTAGTATTAATGCCAAAAAGTTGTTTTTAAAGGTTTTGTACTCAGCACATCATACAAACCACATTACTTCTGTCACTTCAGGGCATCGGGACTGGCTGGCGCCCTTGTTATGTGCTATTTTAATCAGTGTAACATTGGTCAAGTTGTTACCCATGTATGCTGTGTTTATCATGTGTATATCGTCCAGAAAGTATTAAGGCTTTAGGTAGATGCAACTGGCGAACCTTGGAGAGGGAATGCTGATTGTCTTGACCAAACCCACAGCCTGTCTCTTCTCTTGTTTAGTTACTTACGGCAATAAATCATCTATGAGTTAGTGCACCGTGAGGATTGAGTGTTTATCGTGTCACTAGGAACAGTCCTGGCCTCATGTCCAAAGGATTCCAGCCCACACCCCCCATTCACTATAAGTTTCTAACTCCTGGCAGCATGATGACGTGGTGGAGGAAGACAAAGTTCCCATGGAAAGCTGCAGAGCCAGCTAGGCTTGCTGTGCTTTCTCGTCATTTGTAGAAAGAGATGGCAAGTGGAACTCAGATGCCACCAGGTAAGTAAGGGGTACAGCCACCTCCCATTTCTGGGATGGTGGAGACAAATACCTTTTTAAAATAAGCAAAAAACCTTACATCAGTGTCTAACAAACATTGTTTCCAAGCTTTTAAGTAAATTAGTGAGGCAAGTTATTTCTGAATAACTTTTTAAATTAGTGAGGCAAGTCTTTTCCCTTTGCAAGTTTATTAAAATAAAACATTTGTAGGCCAGGCATGGTGGCTCATGCCTGTAATCCCAGCACTTTGGGAGGCTGAGGCAGGCTGATCACCTGAGGTCAGGAGTTCGAGACCAGCCTGGCCAACGTGGTGAAACCCCGTCTCTACTAAAAATACAAAAATTAGCTGGGCGTGGTGGCGGGTGCTTGTAATCTCAGCTACTCGGGAGGCTGAGGCAGGAGAATTGCTTGAACCTGGGAGGCAGAGATTGCAGTGAGCCGAGACTGCACCACTGCACTCCAGTCTGGGCACAGAGCAAGACTCCATCTCAGAAAAACAAAACAAAACCACAAACATTTGTAATATATTTTTATAGAGCAAAATGTAAAACCTTTGTACAGCCACATCACATAGCTTTTTCTTCTTGACAAACTCCCCACCCAACCCTCAGAGCTTAAAGAGGTTGAAGGCCCTGTTCAAAGAGAAGACAACTATTTTTTAATGACATTTTCCACAACTAAGTCAATGTCTATACAGCATTTTGATTTAATAAAAACATTATCTCTTGGCACATATCTTAAAGGATCATGATTTTAAAAATATATGCTAGTCAGCAACAGGCCAGGACAAAAACACCACACTCAACTTTGAAAAGCAAACGGTTCCAGGCTAGAGGGCCTTACATTGCTCAGCTTTGGGTACATTTTTCAATTAATTAATTGACATTTATGTTGGCTGTATTTGCTATGGGGAAAAAAAGGTGACAATAATTTGAATTCCTCAAGAGAGTTTGGCCCTAGTGTCAGGCTAACAGTTCCTAAAGGTCTTGTTTTTTCTCCCTTGCTTCTCTACACCCTGCTGATTCTGGCAAAAATCAGTCTACAGTGGAGGGTGTTAAGTTAGCAGCAGCTTGAAATCACTGAGGAAGCTATACAAAATCCTGATGCCGGGGCTCGCCTGCAGAGCTTGTGAATGAATGATCTGGGGAGTGGCGTGGGCATCAGGATTTTTAAAAGCTCCCAGAGGACTCTAGGTGCAGCCAAAGTTGAATACCACTGGCCACAGGGTCTCTGTCAGTTGAAACACAGCTTGTGAAATAAAATGCTTTCTACAAGTGGTAAATAATAAAGGCCCTAAAATCCATTCTCAACATCCTGCATGTACATTTCAAGTGGAGGCATTTCTGAAGGAAATGTTAAGTTCCCTGTGATTGCCAATAGGGTAAAAAGCCATCATTTGCACTGACCAGGTCCCACGGACAGTAAAAGCCACAAAGACATACAGGGTTTGGCATGAGGAAGCTTGTGCACTTGGCAGTTAAGTCTGTGAGGCTGCAGCTGTCACAGTGGGTTTGCAGGGGAGTCCTGCAAACCCACTGTGATCAGGTGGTTATCAGGTGATTGAAATGTGGCATTCCTACGATGTTGTGGCTGAATCCAGATTCTTTCACTGGGAAGCTGTTTTCAACTACTTCACCTGCAGAGGCTCAGGAGAGGGTAGTGGGTGAAGTTTAGCACCACTGGCAGGGCAATGATGGGAGGAAGAAGAATTCTTATCTAATCTGCTTAAAGAAAGGCAGGTGCATTGCTCTGAAGTGCATATAGCCACAAGGTCAAAATACTGACACATGGAAAGCCTGAGGAAATCTATGTTAATGAAGTAGTAACACTGTTTTGGGCTTGGTGTAGTGGAAAAGCCCAGCTGGGCTTTGGAATCAGACAGAGCTGGTGAGGATGCTAACTAGACCCAGTCTACATGTGTAACCTCCTCAGTTTCTTCACAGCTCTGAGCATCAATCGCCTCAAGTGTGAAATGGGGTGAAATGGCACCCACCTCTTTGGATTTTTGTGAGGATTAATAAGATGTGAATAAAGTGCTTGGTCCATGGTAAGTACTCTGTGGGTAGCAGTTAATCACATGCTGATAGGTAATCAATGTGGCAGATACTGTTAGTGCCCACCCAATATCCATGGAAGTATATCCTCTACTCCCCAGCTTCTCTTGCAGTTTGGGGCCATGAGACTGGTTCTGGCAATGAGACAGGAGCAGGTCTGATAAAAGCTTCAGGGACTCCCAGCCCATCATCTCCAACACCCTCAGCACAGTTCAAGATGGACCATGAGGCTGGGTGTGGTGGCTCACGCCTATAGTCCCAGCACTTTGGGAGGCTGAGACAGAAGGATCGCTTGAGCTCAGGAGTTCGAGACCAGCCTGGGCAACATAGCAAGAACTTGCCTCTGCAAAAAAAAAAAAAAAAAATCCGCTGGGTGTGGTGGTACATGTACCAGCTACTTGGGAGGCTAAAGTGAGAGAATTGCTTGAGCCCAGGAGGTCGAGGGTGCAGTGAGCTGTGGGCACACCACTGCACTCCAGCCTGGACAATAGAACAAGACCCTGTCAAAAAAAAAAAAAAGATGGATCTTGACATGGGCGTTAAATAAACCTTTGCTAAGGTGAGCCACTGAGATTTTGAGATTTATTGGCTACTGAAGCGTAGTATATCCCATCTTAACAGAAATACTGTAATAATATTTATAAAGTCTTAAATTATTTATCAATGGTTTATAAGTAACAAAAAGGTAAACATTAGTCAAATGCCTGTCAGATTTTTTCAGATCTCCAGGTTGACCATGCTTCACTAGAGTTGCTGATGCTTGATGGGAGCAGCTTCCAAAAACATTAGCAGGAGGTATTCTAATTTATTTCTTATGAAGCACATTTTATCAGTACTCTAAACATATTCATCATGGCCCTCTCTAAACCACAAAATCGTTCAGGAATAGCTCTCAGGTGTAGACAGTGCTTATTAGTAGGAATAGGTTGACCCCAAACTCACGACTCGTGCAACCCACTCTAGCTGAGCTCCTAGCTGGCATAGGGGCACTGTGCTGCAGGGAGCACACAGTCTGGGCTCTGTCCTGCTAGGGCTCACAGCAGCCTAAGATTGAAGATCAAGTCCTGAAAGGACTGGCAAGACGGGAAGGGTGAGGATGACTGGTGTGTGTGGCCAGGAGAAGCTCGGCACTGACTCCCAGTTGTTGCCACAGATCTTGTTTCCAAGAGCCCTGCTGGAAGTGCTGGAGGCCAACTGCGTGAGTAGTGCAGGGTGGGCCCCTGGTGATTAGTGCTCTGCCTGCACTATGACCCGCCAAAACCACTGATGCAGCTTCCCAGGAGAGGCTGGGTTTCCTGTACCTGGCTCCTAGAGTTTTGAACAGGGAAGTGTGTGGACATGAGATCTAAGGACAAGACCCAATGAGCCTTTGGCTAGGTTTCTGAGGCAGCTGTTGCCAGAGAAGGAAGCAAAGTGATGTTCACCACAGGTTCCTGTTGATAACAATCGTTTCAGTGGCTAGACTAAGAAAATGAACCCTGGCTGCAGATGAATGGCTCTCTGAACCTGGCTGGTGCTTGCTTCCCCAGCCCTTGCACAACAGCGGCATGTCCCTCCAGCAGAGGAAGCCAGGCTACGGGAGAGACCTGTGCATTTATGTGGGGATGAGGGGATCAAATGATTTGTTAAACAGATACACATTTTAAAATTCCTACACAACTGTGCTAGGTGCTGAGAAGACAGCAATGCAGAAGGGCCTCGTGAACCATGGTAAGGATTCTGGTCCTTGTTGTAAGGCTTAATAGGAGGCCACTGATGACATCAGATTTGCATTTTTTTAAAACGTCTTTCTGGCTGCTGAATGAGGAAAATGCAGGGATCCCAGAGATGCTGCAGAGGCTAGTGCTTTAGTCTAGGTGGGGGCTGCTGGCTTGAATCTTAGCAAAGAAGGGGATAGATTTGAGAGTTATTCAGAAGCAAAAGTGACTGGATTTTGCAAATGATTGGGGAATGAGGGAGGTATTGAAGCTACCAACCCTGTCCTTATCAAAGGCATTTCCTCAGAGTAATAAATACTCCAGTGATATTGCCTGGAACTTTTCCAGAACCTCTTGCATGGATTAGTTTTCAGAGTTTGACACATTCAACATTAGACAAAGTCACTAAAAGTGAAGTCTTTATACCTTTCTTAACACCCAAAGAGGCCAGGTCAAGAGTTCAAGACCAGCCTGGCCAACATGGTGAAACCCTGTCTCTATTAAAAATACAAAAATTAGGCGTGGTGGCATGTGCCTGTAATCCCCAGCTACTCGGGAAGCTGAGGCAGGACAATCACTTGAACCCGGGAGGCAGATAGTTGCAGTGAGCTGAGATCATGCCACTGCACTCCAGCCTAGGTGACAGAGCAAGACTCCGTTTGAAAAAAATATATAAAATATATAATATTTTTAAAAAAAGACCCAAAGAACTACATCTTTCTTTTTGGGAGGGAGGGAGGGAGTTGTGTGGCAACAGAAAGCAGCAGCTCTTGGGGAGGTGCCATGGTATGCATGTGGGAGTACAAAGGGAACCAACTGTCTTGGTTCTGACGGGCAGAGTGGGAATTCTCCCAGATGATTTTTTTTTTTTTTTTTTTTTTTGGAGACTGAGTTTCGCTCTTGTTGCCCAGGCTGGAGTGCAATGGCACAATTTCGGCTCACCACAACCTCCACCTCCCAGGTTCAAGCAATTCTCTTGCCTCAGCCTGCCGAGTAGCTGGGATTACAGGCATGCACCACCACGCCCGGCTAATTTTTACATTATTAGTAAAGACAGTGTTTCTCCATGTTGGTCAGGCTGGTCTTGAACTCCCGACCTCAGGTGATTTGCCCACCTTGGCCTCCCAAAGTGCTGAGATTACAGGCGTGAGTCACCGCGCCCAGCCCCAAATGATTTCTAATGGTAATGTTGGCAATTCCAGCAAAGCCCTGAGCCAGGAATTGGTGGAGAACCACCCTGGTTGTCAACTGTAGGGACTGGGTCTTGAAGAAAGAGTAGAGATATTCATTCATCCAGAGACAGTTTTAAAACATGATCCCATGTTGCTGACTGGCTTTTCATCCTTTAATGTGGTAAAACTTGTGTATTTAAATGTGTTGCTCACTAGTCATTAAGTTCAGTTTGGATTTGGATTTTTCTGTGGCCTCTAAATAATATAAAGGCTTAAAGATAGTAAGAAATATATTTCACTTATTAGGGTGAGCATTAAAATGCTTCCTATAATGGACCTCTGATTTCATGAACCTTCAGTCCTGGGTACCTCCTATCTTGTTGATTGTTCAATGAAAAAAAAACAAGAGAATCAACTTAGAAGAAAGAACAACTAGCAAACTTACCAGTTTCTAGGTCCACAAAATGCGTAAGTTAATAACTGTCTAAAACACTTCCTTTTTATGAACCTGGGGAACTATCAATCCAGTCCCTGTCTCAGTCAAGTACACCTTAAGCCCCAATGGGCAAATGTCAGTTTTATTTCTTACTAACGGTAATTCCACTATTTCTCTTGAGCCCTGACTCCAGAATTTAATCAGCAGTATAGTCCAAAAGTCCCCTGTATCAAACCAAACTTTTCCCTTGCTTCAGTCCAAGACAATGTCTTCTTATTCTGTCAACCCCAGAGATACAAACAATAGTCATCCCAAGAATCAATCAAATATTTGAAGAGAGTTAAGATACTCCTTAGACATCTCTCAGTACAGTCAACCTTGATCTCTAAGGCCCATTTTTCTATCATGAAATTATAGAAAGGTAAAGCTGAAAGCAATTTTAAATTGCATAGTCCTACCCACAGCGACAGATAAGGAAAGCAGGTTTCAGAGAGAGGTGGAATGAGTCACACAGGAAACAAGTTGTAGAATGGGCATGATTTAGGTCTCTTGAAGCCTGGTGTCATGTTCCTCCCACCATCCCACACAGCCAACCAATCTGCCTCATTTTTTGTTTCTTCTCTCTGGGCTTCTATAGTCTCTAAGACAGACAGGCCTACGGAACAATCAGAAAATTCAATCAGAAAATTGTTAGTTAAAAAAATCACCTTTCATCTAACTGATTAGGGGAAAAGACAGACAGGCCTACGGAACAATCAGAAAATTCAATCAGAAAATTGTTAGTTAAAAAAATCACCTTTCATCTAACTGATTAGGGGAAAAAAAATACTTAAGTATGAGACTGAGGGTATCTAATGTTGGCTAGAAATGGGCACTTTCATACCCTGTTAGAATATAAACTGATTAGGCATTTTATAGGGTAACTTGGTAATACTAGTCAATTTTTTATTCAGAAATGGCACTTCTAGTAATTCTACAGGAGTATGTGCAGAAAAATTATACAAACAGGTTTACTGCAATATTGCTTGTAATAGCCAAAAACTCCAAACAATTTAAATGTCCATCATGGAGATATGGTTAAGTATATTATGGTATATAGCAAGAATTTGAAGTGTATTAAAAGAAAGAGAGACATAGTTGTATAGGTACCCACAGTTGTATATGTATACAAGATTAATATACCATAAAATTTCTAAAAGGATACCCAGCAAGTTTTTTATACAGAAGTTCCTTCTAGGCAAGGGAATAGGATGGGGGAGAAGAGAACGTCAGCATTTTAATCTATATAATTTTATTTAATATTTGTGGTCACATTTATTAGGTAATTAAAAAATTATTTAACAATTTTTGGTCATATTTATTAGGTAATTAATTTTTAAAAAGGAAGAGATAAAATCTTGTTATGCTCAAATATAGCAAAATAGGACATGGGGATGAGCTGGAAGGGGCCAGGTTAGGCTGATGAGCTCCTGCAGGTTTTAAGAATTCAGAACAGACCATATGAAGATGGCTGCTCAACAACTATAAAAGTTTGGATTTCTGGGCACGAAACATTTTAAAATGCATGCCTTGATTTTATGGCACATTAGGAGGTATCTACATGTCATCACCACACTGCTAGCTTATTGTATGTTAAGAAAGAGTAATATTAAAGACCAGACATCTCACTGTTTAAGATGAGAACAGTATACTTCTTTTGAGTTTTAAAATAAAATAAGATGAAATAACGGCTCTCAGGTTAAATTATCAGATCATCTGCAATAACCAGGAATGGAGGAAATTGCTGTTTTCCATTCAGACAGGAAAAAAAAAATAGGAGCAACAAGACATGCCCTTGGATCATTTGACAATCACTGCATCCACACGTGTTTGTGCTGTGAGTCCCATATAACAATCCTCCTACCCTCCAGAGCATGGGTGCAGCCTTTCCCACTCTGCTACCCCTGGGCCCCTAAGATCCATCATTCCAGTGACTCACCCAGTCATCCATTTGCTATAGCTTCTCTTTCAAACAGTGATAGGTGCAAAAAAATATGTTGCCCCAGAGCATTTCCACTTTCAATTTTGTCGAAATGTTCTCAATGTGTTACTCAGTTATTTCCAGAAGATACCTTTATCACTTAGACTTACAAAAAAATAGTTTCCCAAAGTATTTAACTTGCTCCTAAGATAACCTTTGTCTTATACGTTCCTATCTTCAATGTCTAGCTCAGTGACCGCACATAGCAGATGCTCAATAAATGACATCATCCTCTAGAAGAAGGTGTCACTTCCCTAACTGAGTCCCACTGAATTACTCTTCCATGGTTTTTCATACAATCAGGCTGTTATTTCACTCCTCTTAAAAAAACAGAACAAACTGTGCTTTAATAGTACTGTACCAATTTAGCTGTACTGTTCATTCCCTAGTTTTGATAAATATACCACAACTACGTTAAACATTTGGGAAAGCTGGATGAAGGATATAGAGGAACCCTGTCTTGTCTTTGCAACTCTTCTGTAAATCTAAAATTACTTCAAAACAAAAAGTTTAAAAAATAAAACAACCCAATGAGAACAATAAATGTTCTCTTGACCCCACTTCCCTTTCCAGCTACCATTCCATCTTTTTTCTTCTCTTTATAGTAAATTTCTTTAAAACTATTATCTATATTCATTATAATTGATTTCCTCTCAATTACTCCTAAACCTATTTCACTGTTTTCACTCCCACCATCCGTCTTATCAAGATCACCAATGACTGGACCAGTTGCCAAATCAATAGCCACTCAATGATCACTCATCAGACCTCATCTTTCCTGTCCTATTAGCAGCATGACACAGCTAGCCAATCCATCCTCTATGAAACACTTTCTTCATGAGGCTTCTTAACACCACACTCATCTCCTTTTCCTCCTACCTGTTTATTAGAGAACTTTTTGCACGTTAAGAGCCCCGAACCTCATCAACCATCATGATTGAGTGTGAACCACTGACACAGCAGGGGCGACCTAAAACAAGCTGAACATCAAAAAATTGACTGTAATGGATGAAAACAATCAAATGTATAAAAAGCCATGAGTTCATAATGATACTTTAAATAATCTCACTGGTCGTCTAAAGGTTGCTAAGGCACCAACTCATAGTATGCTAACTGATAAATGAAAGAAATCAAGCATCAATACTGCCATTTCTTTACAGACTCATTTCAGGGGAATCAAAGCTGATGAGGGAAAGTTCTATATGGAACAATCACAGACAATATATACAGGAAGAATAACAGAAATGGATAATTAATCCTTAATGAAAAAATAGCTATCAGCAATGATCAATGGCTGCTAAAACAATTAGGTGAAAGTTTGATGAAGACCATTATATTGGATGAATCAGGCTGACAAATGCTGAAACCACTGATCCATCTTAACAGCATTAAAAGTGGGACAGACATTATATGCCTCATGTGATGCCACAGGAAGCACACCACTTTATAATACAGGCTTGCAAAAAAAAAATCTTGAATCCGAATATAAACAAGTTCTAAATCTAATTACCAGTTTACATGAAATACAGAGGAGAGAGGATCAAGCAACACCCTGAGGATACAATAGGCCAGGTTCAAAATGTGGGAAAGCCTACAGAACAAATAAGTCAGTTTCTTTAACAAATGAATCATGGGGGAAAAAAAGTGTCCATGTATATGTGTAGGGGGTGTAAGGAGTGTGCCATTAATTAATTAAAATAAAAGACATTAACCTAATGCAATATTCGGACTTTTGAGGCCATGAGGAAACAACACAGAAGGGTCTTAGAGGATATTAAGGAATCATTGTCACTTGTGTTAGGTATGATGATGACATTGTGGTTGTGCTGAGGTGATGTATCTGTTAGAAATATATACTGAAGAATTTAGAAGTGACACGATACAATTGCTAGGCTTTGCTTGAAAACACACCAGCAAGAAGAACACCCCCACAAAGAAGCTGAGGGCTGACAAAAACAGAATGCTGCTAGTCATGGAAGCCGGGTGATGGATGCACGAGAAGTCATTTTACTATCTCTACTTTGTCATATGTTTGAAAAAATATAAATAAAATCTGAGAAAGATACAAATATCAGACTAACCTAGTCCCTTGAGTAGGCTGGGAAAGGGTCTTATGTCAAAAGAAGAAACATTTTTTCAAACTCATAGAGCCAGAGGATCCTTAAGAAGTCACTTTAATCCAGCTTATCAACTCTGAGCATATTAACAAATATTTATGAAATACCTATTTTGTGCCTGGCACAGCAATAAACAAGACAGACGCACACCCACATGAAGGTTTCAAGTTAGACCACATCTAAGGCATCCAGCCTCTTGAAATCCTTTCTGAATAGGACAAGGAATAGCAAATTAATAACGACAACACACTCATGCAGTGCTCTGCCAAGCACTTTACATGTATGATCACCTTCAATCCCCGTAACAGCCCTATCATGTAGGTAGGTAGGCAGCAGTATCATCTCCCTTTTACATGTAGTTGTATGTAATTTTAAATGAGGCATAGAGCAGTTAAGTGACTTGCTCAAGGTCATCTACCTAGTAAGTAGTATAGGTGAGATCTGAACCCAGGCAATCTGGCTCAAGGGCTTTCGAGCCTATACTCTGAGCCACCGCACTATGAATTCCAAGCCACTCTGGCTGGAGTTAGCTCAATTTAAGTACCAAAAAGATCTGGACAGGCCTGGCAGGCAAGAGCAAGAGGACATTCTCGGCTAGACCTGAAAATGTTCTTCAGCACTTAGCACCAGAATAATGGCACTGAAAGGATGAACACTCCAGGCAAAGGTGATGACCTGGCCCATCTCAGCAATTCTGCCAATACTGAGTCAGCAACAGGGTGGCAGGCATAGCTGGGCAGGACAGATGACCCTTGCTCTCTGACAGTAGCAGGCACACAGCCAGCCGTGGTGCTGGCTAAACCGAGACAGTGGGCGACACCTCCCTATCTTCCCATCCCATGCTGCACTGGAGATGCTCACTTTGCACCTCCACTCCTAATGCAGAGAGGTCTGGGTTAGGTACTTTCCGCATACCTTTAGGTGTCCTCCCCCGCAGACTGCCTTCACCAGTTAGTAGACGTGCCCCTTGATAATCCCACATCCTTGCATCTCATCATGCTCCTATGCCCTCAGCCTGGGCACTTTGGGGCCAACTGGTAAGTCAGGGCTCCTTGTAGTGATCCAGAGCTTCACATATTCCCTTCACCTCTGAGGTACTAATGACCATTTCCTTGAATGGATTATGATATTCCCATCAGGTCAGTAGCTCCTCCCTTCCTCCCCAAATTCAAATCTGGGATCAAAATAGTTGACAAATGATCTCTGCTTAAAACTTGACAAAACTCAAAACTGGGCAGAAGCTAGAGTCACCTTCAGGTCCCATGAATCATATCTGTTCAAGCCCACAAGTCCCTGGGAGGCCTGCAACAACAAAGATAAGAAAGGGTAACCTGTCTTCTCTCATCCGCTCCAGAACAGAATCTCAACTGGAGCTCCTAGGTCTCCAGCACTTATCTGTCCTTCTTCCCAGGCTCCCTTCACCCTCCTGTGATCTCTATGCAGGCAACCTTGGGCCCAGGACTACTTGTCATAAAAGGAATGGCCTGGCCTCAGTCAGGACTTCTTTTGGATTTTTAAAAATCTAAACAAAGAACTACAATCTGCTTTCTAGCAGTTTCATCAGAGCAGCTTTGGGATGAGGCTCCACCATTCTTTCTATCCACTCTAGGGGACTGCCTCCCAATCTCAGACTTAGCAAGGAGTTAAAACATTAGTTGCTTTCTTTCAGTCATTCAACAACTATATGTTAAGGAGCTGCTGGTGCCAAGAACAATTCTGGCAAATGAGTGAAATAAAAAGTAGAAAAGCAGGATTTAGAAACAGCTCTCTACCCCCTAATCAATGCTAAGCACATTTCCATAGCAAGCCAGCCCAGGCACTGAAGGCAGATTCAACATGGAACACATCACCAATGCCTTTGTCCCAAGCAAGAAGCTGCCTCCTACAGCGTTAAGGCAGACAGCCAAGACACAGAAAGGGTTTCATTTGAGAAGAAACTAACAATTAGTCAGGATACACACTTAGGATATTCATTAACAAGAAAGCAAATATGCTGGATATTTAACTCCCTAAAGCAGTTTTCCTAACAATTTTCCATGTCCAAACTTAACTTTGATGGACCAAATAAGACTGTAGGCCATGGTACAGTAAACAA
Source organism: Homo sapiens (assembly GCF_000001405.40). Lineage (NCBI taxonomy): Eukaryota > Metazoa > Chordata > Mammalia > Primates > Hominidae > Homo > Homo sapiens. The sequence goes on along the minus strand of NC_000003.12, from coordinate 16,304,033 downwards.
AGGCATTAAATAAAAAGAATTTTCAAAGTAAAATTATTAAGATTGTATTTAAATTATACTTTCATTAAACATAAGATATATAGATGGCTGTCAAATAATTTAAAGCTAGCCCACATTTTATACTCAAAAATCACATTTTCCTATGATTAGACATAAGTATATATCTTTTTTTTGCCTAAAGACAAAAGAAAAATCTATACTGACCAATCATGGTACATCATGAGACAATTAAATCGTTGTTAATAACAGAAAATCAGTATAGTAAAAAATAGTTTGATCACTGAGGTCTTTGCAAAAAGTTTATCATTTAAGTCTGCCAGCTGGCTTTTATTATCCAGCTGGTCACTAAGTTTATAGCCTTAAAAAATAAGACAACTCAAGTAGAGATAAAAAAAATTAATCATGCCACAAAGGACAGGAGCTCTCCTGAGTAGATCTCACCTCTTTATTTTTTCTGCCTTTGTCTGCCTCCTACCACCACTTCTCAAAGCAAATGTGTTCTTTGGGTACATGGTTGTTTTCCAGTTGCTTGGAGAAAAAGTCTGTCATTGGAGGTGGGCCACAAATATAGAACAAAGTCTCTTTTGAAATATGATCTCTTATCTCCTTCTCCGTTATTCTTCCTTCTACCAAAAACCAGAATAAACACCAAATTAAGCCAGACATGGTTGTATCAGCAAATGAGGAAGGACTAACCACAATTCAGATACAGTGTTTATTTCCAAGTTCAGTGAGTCTAGTCTTCTTAAGCCATTCACAGTATGGCTCCTATTGGCATCTGGGCCCAGACCCAAGCAGAGTGCATCTCCAGGCTTCCTAAACCTAAGCAAGCAAAGTGGGAAGCTCATCGTAATGCACTCTGCAGAAAGGGCCAGCTAGCTTACTGGTCTTTGATGGAGATACAAATTGCCTTCAGCAAAGGAAGTAACTGTTTTATAAAAATCCTTTCAGAGGAAATTATGAGTTGTTTAAATGACCATTAATGGCAAATGGAATCAATTCAGCCAAATCTGGAATATAAATTATTTGTATGGACACTACAGTGATGATGCAAAGGCCTCTTAAAAAGTGTGAAAAGTACACTTTTAACACAGGCAATAGGAAACCTGTATATAATGAGTAAACCCAACTAAATATCCATTTTTCCATGAGGAATCATCCCAATTCCCCAGATAGTGACATTCCCAGCCAGCAGCTTCCAACAATAAAGCATCTACGCTCAACCAACTGGTGTGTCCATCAAATAACTGCATGGAGATAGTCAAAATATCTTTAGGGGACTCACCCGTGATGTATGGCTTGAGTTCCGCATTGATTTGTGTAGTCTGTTTTGTAACATGCAAACTGCATGCAATCTTCTCAGGAAATTCATTTACTAAATCAAGGATATTTTTCTGGAATGTCAAACATATTTGGTCACACTACAATTTTAAAAAATCAAAACAGATGTGCACAACCATTGACGCTGAACCTCAACTCCCATTCTGCACACGTCTGCCGCTCTCGCTCTCTACTTAGAGAGATATTGTTTGCAGCCTAGCAGGCCAGAGCATTCAGACTACAGAGGGCTATTTGGCTTTAATTGAAATCTGAATATGCTAACAAGCATATTACCAACTCTCCGGGAGTTTTTTCTTTTTCCTTTTTCTCAAGCATTGGCAATTAAGCAGCAGTTTCACTGACCACAGTTGTGTCTTTTAACTGTTTCTGTTCTTTTGTTCATTCCTGCAGCTGCAAAGCAATCCCCAGTGAAAGCTTTCTTCATCAAATGCACTTAGTTTAAACAGATGCAACTGACAGGGGTTTCATTTACCCAGCTGGGTCCAAACTGTCTAAGTCTTACCTACTCCTGTGATACACTAGTCCACTGTAGGTCTCTTGACTGGAATCTCGGGACCCTTGTGACTTTTCTGTTCATTTAACCTCCAGATTCCATCCCACCAAAACCTACCCTTTCCTGTCACCTAACTGCTAGCCTCTTCAACACTAGCAGTTTTACTTGTCTTGGGTAAGGTGTGTTGGTTAGTTCTCATTTAAGCATGATTAAATCTTGCCAAGCCTTTTGTTTGAACCTTTGCAGAGAAAACAAAACCTAGAGAAAAAACTTTCATGAACAATTAATACCACTACACAAGTTTGCTTACAGCAAGCTATACCTCCCTTACCTTAAACAGGAGTTCGCTGGTATTTTTTGCACTGTAGAATAGTTTTATTGTTCCTATCTCATATCCATTTCTTTTGTTTGCCTGCTCTCTGAGGAGATCTGCTGCGTGCCGCAGGATGGAAAGCAGAGGGTTAATTCCGACTCCTCCTGCAATCAACACGAGGTTTCTAGAGGCATCCGCAGGCTGAGGGTCAAAGAAGAACTCTCCACCCACTCTCACAGCCACTTCACAGTCAAGTGTACACTAAGGCAGGAAAGAAAAGACCTTTTAGTCTTTTGTAGCAAAGGTCTTAAACCAAATGTTCTACTTTAATAAAACTGGGTCTATCTCCTGTATTATCAGTATTTAAGACTATTTTTATAGCTTGCTCCCAATTTTCCCGATGCCCTGTGAATTGATTCCACTTGCTCATTTTATAGGCCACAGGCTAATCCACCTTCGTAATCCATAATGAACAGCCATTCCAATACTGAGAAAAGGAGATGTGCTTCAGTGATTTCACCATTTGTTAACTTCTTAGGCGATGAACTGGATTGAGGAAAGAGGCAATGGACTCAAAGGCAGGGTACAGCTCTGAAGTATGGGTCTCCTTTATCTGAGTTGTGTTCCTGTGTTCTAACCAAAGCTGAGAGAAACAGGATGTGGCAAATGTCACTAGACTGCCTGCCCTGGGTTCATCAAGGCTGAAAAGTGTAAGTACTGGTGCTCCTTCTTGATCCTCAGTAAGGCACAGCCAGACCAGCTCTACAGGCTTAGACCAGCCCTGTAGTACTGTTCAGTGCTGTTCCTGTCTCCCTAGAGAAACAAGAACAGGCAGCCAGAGGCTTCATACTAGGGAGTATCACATAGACCTATCTAGATAAAGCACCTATTTGGTGAGGTCACTTATGCCCGTAATACCATCAGAGTTGAATGTACTGTTTTTCTCAGTGGGGGTGCTACTGCTTCTGATGAAGGTGTTTGGGAAACTTGTGATGACATTTTTTATTGTCACAATGATTTGGGGAATCCAACTGGCATTTAAAGGGCAGGGCCAGAGATGCTAGAGATCCTACAAAATTCGTGGTTTCCCAGAGCTGGCTCCTACTAAGCTGGTGGTCAAATCTACAGGAATTTTGTGAGAAAGTTCCTACTGGTAGTTTGAAATCAGCCATTGTAGGAGTACTTACAGCACAGAAATCAGCAAATGATACAACTCAGATAAATTCAGACAGCTGGTTTGCCAGCACACCATTATCTACAATGCACAAGACTGTCCTGCACAATGACTTGTGAATGGCCCAAAAGACGTTCTTGTAGGTGAAAACTGGTTTATAATGATCTGAGACTAGACTCTAGCTCATTTTACAAATAAACTCAGTAGCCACAGTGTAGATTACACTTTGTTGTGTTCAGAACTTAACCAAGCATGTTCACTGTTCTGGAAAACCACATTCCACTTAGTGACATGTGTCACCCACACAACACATCTTTATCATCTGCATTTGTAGACAGTGTATTCACGGTGATTCTATGTTTAGGAATAGCCATCTGATTACTTCATTCTATCTTCCAGTTAGATCTGCCTAACCATTTATATTTTAAAATACATACTCTTTGATTATGGATCACTTTCTTTTATTTCTCCTTTGTATTAGTTAGAGAATTATGTTATTTAAAAAAAAACCTATGGGTACATTACATTAACTATGACTTTCATTTCAGGACAGTTCTAGAAAGGAGCATTGGATCTGACCGAGTTGGTAATCCCTTGTTTGGAAAAAAACCACTGATCTAGGAGTCAAAAGACTGAATTTTAATCATAGCCCCTATGAAATCCAGCAAGTCCCTTAAATTCTGAGCCTCATCTGCCACCCCTGGAAAATGGGTACCAGCACCTGCACTGCCCACCTCACAGGGTTGGTGTGAACATGAACTGACTCACAGTGGGTGGAACTCCCGAGTATCTGGCTCTACATAAGAAGGAATTTTGGTCATTGCAGCTGTCACAAAAGAAAAAGTGCTGGCAATACCAGCTTCCTTCTTCCCTGTCACTAAAAAACAGATTCTAGGAATAAAGAAACTTGTATTAAGAGCATAGGTTTCTCCCATTACACGTTCCTGGCATAAATCAACTAAATGAATGCCCTCCTAAGAAGTAATAACACATCGCGTGCTTTTTGAGAACCAAACCCTTAGCATTCACACCTTGGCACCTTGCATGTCAGGTGAGCAGTAGGTACTTCTGGACATGAATTTAATTTGGTCTCTGCAAGTTAAAGTTGAGTTAAATTTAGAGAAGATCTAAGAAAAATGAAAATTATTTGAATTCACAAAAACATGTCTTTTTTGGTAAAGAACTGTTAAATGAATGGATACTCTTTCAGGGGAAAAAATGTCTGAACCTCACTATTTTAAATATGTGGGAGATTTTTACATGAATGGTGATAAGTGGGTTTTCATTTTTGACAAAAGAAATTAGCAGCAAGGGAGCATTCAGTTAGGAATAACTAAAATCTAGGAACTGCTACAGTGGCTACCAAAGTGCTTTAAAATATTCTTTCCTTTCAAGTCTCAAAAATAGAATTTAAGATACAAGAGGCTCTGCCTAACGATGACAATGAATTTCATCTCCTATATCCTCCTTCCCTCCCTCTCTTGCTTGCCTGTGCAGTTCTCTCTTTATCTATAAGAATCAGAGTGAAAGAGACTGAAATAATTTTCTCCAGTGGCCATCTTTGGCATGCTTAGTAATGACAACAAAGAAAGCCTCTAGGTTATTGTTTTTAGAAACCAGAGTATTTTCAACTCTAAAGTTGGCAAGAAAATGTGCCCCAGGGAAAGATAATATTCAAGAAGCCTGTCTTATCCTTGACGACAAAATAATCTTCGGTAGGTCTGTATTCTGATTTGGTAGCATCCGGGAAGAATTAAAAGCCATCTTTGTCTTTTTGTTGATCAATAAAAACTGCGAGGGTAACACGAACACAAGACTCAAAGTACTGTACACTGTAATATGTAAGTGAATAAAAGGACATTACCTTCAATTACACAGCAATGTATCTAATTTTGGTATAGATTTTCTACTTGTGAAATAAACAACCTTTCCACAGCAACTGGAGCTGAGCACACAATAGCTGTCTAGAACCCTTTACCCTGCCAAGAGCTTGAGCCAAAGCAGATAAAATAAAGGAAGACGTTTATGGCACTTTATTCCATGTCTCAACGGTGCAGCCTGCTGCCACCCAGACACTCACGTGCCTCCATTGTCCACTCGAATGGCTTAATAAGACAAATCCTCAGGAGGAAAATAGCCACCTGAAAATGATTCCAAGAAAAATCTGACTTCATAAAGGCTGTTTGCAACTCCCACTGGGCAGAGTAGAGCAGGCACTACAATTAGGATGTGCATTCAGGCAATAACACTTTGAGATTTTCTACAGCCTGTAAGAATAAGTTTCTTCACTGAAATGCCAATGAGGCATGAAACCAAGCAGGAAGCTGTGGACCAGGACCAGGCCAGGTCGCGTGAGAAGCTAAGGATAACAGGGAGGATGGGGAGATGTTCATGGCACTAGGAACTGGGATGGCTATGCTTATTTCAACTCTGAGCAAGGGGCATGCAGATACCTCGTTGCTCTCACCCCAGCAGCATATTTTAGCACCTCTAGGAGCAACCTAGAGCCAGTAATGAGGGGAAAATCCAGAGACTCCAAAAAGCAATGAGGCAGCTGAGGCCACACTGACGGAGAGACTCAGAAGGTTGCAGGGTAAAAATGTGACAGGATACATTTACAATGGAAATGCCTACACAGGCATCTGGGGGTTATCCTGGACAGACACAACTTGACGTGTAAACCACAAGAATATATTATGTTGCTCCTGCACATTTTTAAAAACTTATTTTAAAAATTTCCTTAATAGAAATCTTTTTCTTTTGGTATACGGTTCTATGAATTTTAACACACATATAGATCTGGGTAACAATCATCAAAATCAAAACATATATTAGTTCCATCACCCCCTGAAAATATTCCCCTGTGCTATCGATCCTACCTTTACAGTAATCTCAACCCCAGTCAACCACTGGTTTCCCATCATTATATCTTTGTCTTCCAGAATGTGACAAAAATGGGATTTTACAGTATGTAACCTTTTGGGACTGCCTCCTTGCACTCAACAGAATGCCTCTGAGATTCACCCACATTGCTGCATGCATCAATAATTCATCTCTTTAATAGTCCCTTGTATGACTATATCACAAGTTATCCATTCACCTGCTGAGGGACATTTGGGTTGTTTCTAGAAGTTTTTAATAATTATGAATAGAACTGCTATAAATATTCATGTTATGCTTTTATATAAACATAGCCTTCATTTCTCTAAGACACTCAGAAGTGGTATTGCTGGGTCATATGTTAGGTGTATGTTTAACTTTATAGAAAACTGCTAAAATGCTTTCCAGATCGGCTGTACTATTTTGCATTCCCACTAGCAATATAAGCAATATATGAGAGTTCCAGTTGCTCCACATCCTTGCCAACGCTTGGTATTGTCAATATTTTTAATTTTAGACATTAGACTAGATCGTAGTGGCATCCCACCACATATGGTTTTAATTTACATTTCCCTCAGGGTTAACGATGTTTCAATACCTTTCATTGCTTATTTGCCATCATCATATCCTTTTTTACTGAAGTGTCTGTTCAATCCTTTGTCCATTTAAAAAAATCATGTTGCTTGTTTCTTTTTGTTGACTTTTGAGATTTCTTTATATATTCTAGATTCAAGCCCTTTGTTAGATATCTGATTTGTAAATATTTTCTCCTAGTCTGTAGCTTGTTTTTAAATTGTGTTAAATGCCTTTTGTAGAAAAAGTTTTACTTTTGACCATGTCCTATCATCAACCTTTTTTTTGATGGATCTTGCTTTTGGTATTGTGTTTAAGAATTTTACCTACCCTCAAGTTCCAAATATCCCATTTTCTTCTAGAACTTTTATAGTACCATGTTTTACATTTAGATCTACAATCCGTTTTGAGTTAATTCTGAATATAAAGTATGAGGTTTAGGTTTAGGTTGAAGGTTTTTGGTTTTTCGTTTTTTTGTTTTTTGCATCTAGATGCAAAATTGTTCCAGAACTTTTGTTGAAAAGTTTATCCTTTTGCCTTTCAATTTTTCCATTGAATCTACCACCTTTGTCAAAAATAAAGTGACCATATATGTCAGTCTATTTCTGAACTCTTCATTCTGTAACATTATTTGATGTGTTTCTCTCCTTTCACCAATACCATACTGTTTTGAATGCTGTAGCTTTATCTTAAATTTGATTAAGGTGATTCTTCTCACTTTATTCTTCTTTTTCAAAATTGTTTTAGCTATCCTAGGTCCTTTTTTGTTCCATATAAATTTTAAAATCACTTTGTCCATATCTATAAAAAATCCTGTTGAGATTTTGATTATTGTTATGTTAAATCTGTAAATCAATTTAAGGAGAACTGACTTCTTTACTATGTTGAGTTTTCCAATCTATGAACACAGTACATCTCTCTATTTACTCATGTCTTCTTTGATTTCTTTCATGGGATTGAAATGAACTGTGCTTTTTTTTGGACTATTTGCAAGAGGGTCCTACATTGGGGGATGGGCCAGAGAGTATCCTAAGCTAGCTGGTTTTCACAACATAAAAGCTCTCTTCAGCTACTACAGGACATATTAGTTCCTACAAACATGATTTGCCTGTGTGATTCTTTGCGTGCCTTCTCTCCTAACTGAACCTTGCTGCGTTCAGGTGGGCCTTCTACAGCCACAAAACGCAACTGTGTTTCCATACCCTCTTTGCAGGCAAGAGCTGTAAGTCCCACCCCACTCCCTCATGTATTTTTGTTGGTGCTCTATGAAATTTGCTACTCGGCCTCTCTCCTCTACTTATTTCCATGTGGCTCCTACAGAAACCCAAAAATTCTCTGCAACCTTTAAAAATATACTACAGTGTGTTTCCAAGTTTTGCTGAAAATAGAGGTTTTGTTTTCTTTTTCCTTCATTGATTTTCAATGATTTCCAGGAAACAGGAAAATGCTGTTTTTGAAGCCATATTTATACTGGTATGTGTTTTTGGTAAAGAAGGTAAGAAAATGCCTGGTTGGGATGGAGGTTGTTGGTAAATATAGAAGACACTCTTGCAATGAAGAGGAAGTGAAAGGAAAAGGAAAAGAATAGAAAAAGCAATAAGTGAAAAGGATAGAAGGGTCAAAAACTAAGACAACGAGTAACTGATCTGTTCTGAGCTCATTCTTTGTTATCAGAGTTCTAGTAGGTAATGACAGGCAGCTTCTGTAGGATTGTGTTGAGCCCTGTGGTGAAATAAGAGTTATTAACAGCAATCAAATTGGATTCTCTCTCAGAATCCCGAGTGAAGAGCTTTCCAGACACTGAAATAGAGAGGCAATGGCACCGTGGATTTAGCTGTGCTCACCTCTGGGAAGAAGCAGTACTATGTAATCAGATAGTTTCCCCTCCAAAAATGACAGAATAATAATTTAATTCCCTTTATTTAGGATGGTTAGGACAAAATAATCTGATTTATAGATTTACCATTTACATGACACAGAGAGCCAACTTTTTAGAACTTGTCTAAAATATAAAATATTTTAATTCTAAAGCAGTATTCAACTGAATACCGTTTGGTGACCCAGAAAATACTTCCAGATCCCAAAGTCTCTGACTCATACTTAATGCATCAAAGTTTCTTTGACCTTTCTTAGAAGCTCTTTCTGGGCATGTACCCTTTTACTCAAGCCCAGGTTTCTTAGGTGAATCAAATGAGCTTAACACAAATTTTGTGGGTGGCAGAGATACCCAGATCATCGCGTTTAAACAGGCAGTGTGCTTACCGTATTGTGAACCCAGAGGGCAGGAGGGTGGTTCGTATATTTCACTGCCAATTCTATCACTCTCTCTTGTTCTAGCAGTCTGGGACTGGAGCATATTGAAAACCCACCAACCACAGAGACTCCTGGAATAAAGAAATCAACCCTAAAAAGAAAGCCAAATAAATGATTATTGTTGAAGCAATTTTAAAAATTGGTAAATTAAACAGAATTGACAAACCTTTGCAAGACTATGAAAAAAAATTACTAAAATCAAGAATAAAAGAGGAGATATCATCACAAAGCTTATAGAAATAAAAAGAATTATAAAGGAATTCCATGAACAACTATATGCCAAAAAATTAGCTAACTTACATGAAATGCACACATTCCTAAAATGACATAAACTACCAAATCTGACTCAAGAAGAAAGAAAATCTGAGCAGACCCATAACAAGTTAAAGGATTGAGTTAATAATTTTAAAACTTCCCACAAAGAAAAGCTCAGGCCCAGGCCAGTCGCAGTGGCTCACGCCTGTAATCCCAGCACTTTGGGAGGCCAAAGCAGGTGGATCCCCTGAGGTCAGGAGTTTGAGACCAACCTGACCAACAGGGTGAAACCCCGTCTCTACTAAAAAAAAAATACAAAATATTAGCCAGGCGTAGGGACGCATGCCTGTAATCCCAGCTACTTGGGAAGCTGAGGCAGAAGAATCACCTGAACCTGGGAGGTGGATGTTGCAGTGAGCCAAGATTGCGCCACTGCACTCCAGCCTGGGCAACAAGAGCGAAACTTCATGTCAAGAAAAAAAAAAAAAAGAAAGGCTCAGGTCCAGATGGCATCCTGTTAAGTTCTATCAGACATTTAAAAATTAATACAAATCCTTCAAAATCTATTCCAAAAACAGAAGAGAACACTTCTCGACTCATTTTATGAGGCCAGTATTACCCTCATACCAAAGCCAGACAAAGACATTGAAAGAAAACTATAGACCAGTATCCCTTCTGAATTTAGGTACAAAAATTCCAGGAATACAAGGTTGGTTTAACATCTGAAAATAAATAAATGTAATACACCACTCAGTAGAATAAATGACAAAACCCACATGATCATCTCAATAGTCAAGAAAAGACATTTGACAAAATCCAACACTTTTTCATAACAAAAATACTCAACAAATTAGGAATAATTGGGAACTTTCTCAACCTGATAAAGGGCACCTACAAAAGACCCATAGCTAACATCCTACTTAATGGTGAAATGCTGAAAGTTTCCCCCCTAAGAGAAACAAGATTAGGATGTCTACTTTCACCACTCCAACTCAACATTGTACTAGAGGTTCTAGCCAAAGTGAGTAAACAAGAAAATGAAATAAAACGTGATCAGAACAACTAACATCCTACTTAATGGTGAAAGGCTGAAAGTTTCCCCCCTAAGAGAAACAAGATAAGGATGTCTACTTTTACCACTCCAACTCAACACTGTCCTAGAGGTTCTAGCCAAAGTAAGTAAACAAGAAAATGAAATAAAAGGCATTCAGATTGCAGAGGTGGAAGCTGCAGATGGTATGCTGTCATATATAGAAAATACTAATGTATTCACTAAAAAGATATTAGAACTAATAAATTCAAATAAGTTTGCAGGATACAAGATCAACAGACAAAAATCAACTGTATCTCTATACACTAGCAACGAACAATCCAAATGTGAAATTTAGAAAACCAATTACACTTATAATAGCATAAAAAAGAATAAAATAATTGGGAATAAATTTAACAAAATAAGTGTAAGACTTACACAGTAAAAACTACAAAACACCATTGGAAAAAAATTAAAGATCTAAGTAAATGGAAGCATATTCCATGTTCATGGCATGGCAGACTTAAATATTGCTAAGATGGCAATACTCCTCAAATTGATCCACAGATTCAATGCAATACTTACTAAAACCCCAGGTGTTTTCATTGTAGAAATTGACAAGTTGATCATAAAATTCATATGGAAATTTGAGGAACCCATAATCATCAAAACAATCTTGAAAAAGAAGTTTACATTTGTAGGACTCACAGGTCCTGATTTCAAAAGTTACTACAAAGCTACAGTAATGAAAATGCTGTTGTACTGACATAAGGACAGACATGTAGATCAATGGAAAAGAACGGAATGTCCAGAAATAAAGCCTTAAATTCATGGTGAATTGATTTTAGACAAGGCTGCCAAAGCAATTTAATGGCAAAAGAACAGTCTACTCAACAGTGGCACTGGGAGAACTGAATAACCACATACAAAGAATGAATTTGGACCCCTATTTCACAACATATACAAAAATTAAGTCAAAACAGAGCAGAAACTTAAATGTAAGAGCTAAAATTATAAACTCTTAGAATAAAACACAGGAGTAAGACTTCATGGCAATGGCTTCTTAGATATGACCCCAAACCAAAAGGGTTGGAAAAAAAATAGAGAAACAGATTTCATCAAAATTTAAAACTCTGTGCTACAAATGTTATCATCAAGAAAGTCAGGGCCAGGCACAGTGGCTCATGCCTATACAAATCCCAGCACTTTGGGAGGCCGAGGTGGGTGGATCACCTGAGGTCAGGAGTTCGAGACCAGCTTGGCCAACATGGTAAAACCCCGTATCTACTAAAAATAAAAAAATTAGCTGGGCATGGTGGCAGATGCACCTGTAGTCCCAGCTACTTGGGAGGCTGAGGTAGGAGAATCACTCGAACCCAGGAGCAGAGGTAGCACTGAATCGAGATCGTGCCACTGCGCTCCAGCCTGGGCGACAGAGTGAGACTCCATTTCAAAAAAAAAAAAAAAAAGTTAAGAAGACAATCTACATAATGGGAAAAATATTTTTAAATAATATATCTATTAATATTAAGGTTCTTGTATTCAGATTATATAAAGAACTCTTACAACTCAGTAATAAAGAGACAACCAAATAAAAAACTGACAAAATACTTTAAATTAATATTTCTTCAAAGAAGACATATAAATGGCTAATAAGCACATGAAGAGATGTTCAACATCAATAGTCATTAGGGCAATGTAAGTCAAAATCATAATGAGCTGGCAGTTCACACCCACGTGGATGGCTATAATCAAAGAGACAAACAATAGTGTTAGGGTCTGGAGAAATTGGAACATTTATACATTGCTGGTGGGAATGTAAAATGGCACAGCCACTCTAGAAAACAATTTAATAGTGCCTGAAAATGTTAGTTAGTTAGCATATGACCCAACAATTCCATGCCTAGGTTTAGACCTAAGACAGGTGAAACTGTATGTTCACTCAAAAACTTGTACATGAATGTTCATGGCAGCATTATTCACAATAGCCCCAAAGTGGAAACAATGTAAATGTCCATCAGCTAATGAAGATATAAACAAAATGTGGCATATCCATACAATGGAATGAAGTACTGATACAGGCTACAACATAGATGAACCCTGAAATCATGTTAAGTGAAAGAAGCCAATCACAAAAAGACCACACACTGTATTGTATGATTCTGCTGGTATAAAATGTCTATAAGAGACAAATCCATAGAGACAAAATAGATTAGTGGTCATCTAAGCCGGGCAGGAGGATAGGGAATGAATAAGAATCATTACAGAGTTTCTTTCTGGGATAAAAATGTTCTAAATGTGATTGTGCTGATAGCTGCACAACTCTGTTAATATACTAAAACCTCTGAATTGTACACTTTAAATGTTTGAATTTTATATGAATATATCTCAACATAACAGTCTTTTTAAGTTTTAAAAAGTATGAAAAAAGGGTCAAGAAAAGCAACAAAAACTCTCCCACTAGTATTTGACAGACTTAATAGGCCGATATGGCCTCTGAGTTACACAAGTCTTAACGTTTCCTTCTTTTCTTCTAACCACATCCTGTAGTCTAGAACTCCTGGGTTTCAAGCTTTCAATAATTCTATGCCACAGAAACCCTTTTTTGGTGAGGATTCTAGGAAATGCAATAAACCTAGTCACATACCAAGAAAAATGTATTGGAACACAGAACCACAAAAAATTCTCATCCCCATATCTGGGAAACATAAACATCCAATCTAGGTGTTTCACAGCCATCACAAGAGCAAAAAGTATCATCCTTCCCCAGTTGCTTACCTACATACAGGCCTAAAAGAAAAGCAAAAGATGTTCTCTAATCTGATCTATGACCTTAAAAAAATATTCTCCTGCAGTCTATGGCCTTACATTTCCAGTCATTTATTATAAGTGTTTAAAAACCAGTTCTGGATTGGAAGTGCTCCAGAAAAGGTCTTTGGCCAACTTTAACCTATTTTCACTTGACTCTTTTCCATGAGTACTTTAACTTTCTTTTCATTTCTGACAAGATAAAAATTTAAAAGACTATCGTTAGCATTTGTTAACACAGTTGCTATATGCTATCACAGAGGAGGTATACAAAAATCTCCATTATTTCCATGTTTAAAAAATAAATACATTAATAAGCTACTTTTGCTGCTTCATCTCCTGAACTACAGTGCCCTCTGCTGCTCAATGCTGATGAAGGCCATTCTCTCAGTTGAATGAAAGGGAACCAACCCTCTTCTCTAGTAACTCTGGAAAGCTACCTTTGGAAAAAAAGGACTCCTTCATTAAAAAATACAGAAGAATTTAAGTTACATAAAAACTTCATCTGAATGGATTTAAGAAAATATGCACAATACATATTTCATAAAACATCTGTCCAAGAAAGAATTATACCTTAAACACACACCTTTAAAAATGTCCTTTGCAGGATGAGCACTCTTGGAGCCATGAGTTAAAGCCCTTACTATATACCCAATGAGTGAGTGTATGCAGAAGGAGCCTAGGTGCGCGGTGAAGCAGTGGATGTCCACATCCAACCATGACACACCAGGCAGCCAGGTCCTGTCCACAAAGGGAGCCCCAGTGCCAAGCACACAGCAGCTATACTATGAGATCCCAGAACTCTTTAGTCCTTGCCTACAGTTCTCAGAGCCCCTCACTCATTCACTTAATGCAAACATCTAAGAGAGCACCTGCCTACCATATACAGGCACTGTGGTACTTGCTGGAGGTACAAAGATGCACATATGTCTTAGTTGCTGCCCTCAATGAACCCACTCTAAGAGGAGGAAAATTAACAAATACATACAATTAAATGGGCAATGATAAAATCTGCTTAGCGTAGCGAGGCAAGGCAGAGGAAGGAGGAGTCAATTCTACCAGGAGTACAGGAATTAAGAAAGACTTCACAGAAGAGATGCCCTTTAAACAGTCTTAAAAGACACACAATGCTTACCAGATGAGTAATGGGGGAGGACACAGTTTGAAAAAGATGCCAAGGAATACAGTGCTATGTTATGTGCAGTCCTGTGAGAATCAGGGCTGCCACACATGCTTGTGTAGGTTGCAAGGATATTATCTATCTACAGTGTGGCAGCCCTGCTCAAGGGTAGGTATAAAGTCTTATTTCTCTAATCTTGCTCCTCCAGTGTTTCTTCTTGGTGTCCTCTTTCTCTCAGCAGGGCTCAAAGTTGCTTTCTAGCATCTAAACTTATGTTATCTTGTAGAAAGTCAGACACACTAGGACCAGGAATTCCCTCCACTCTGTGAAAATGCTTTGGCCTTACTTCCCCTCAGGAGGCAAGCTATACCCAGCCAAGTGTGGATTGAGTACTGACTGGGGCATCAGTGGTGACATGGTGGTGATAAGCCCCCACTCCTGCCTGGCCTGCCACTCTTCCAATCAACAGCTTCAGTGCAGGGAAACTGACCAAGGAGATAAGAATTGGAATCTGTCCCCTGGGCCTTATCAGCACATATGATCTAACTGAATGAAATACTTATTAGCAATAACAAAAGCTAAAATCAAACAAATGAAGTTAACAGTAGGCATTATGCTAAACACTTTAAATATCCCAAAACGTAGGAATACTACTGCTCCCTCTTTGAAGATATGAGAACTGAAGCCCAGACAAATAAGGAAACTGACCACATCACAGAGCTGGCTGGTAGAAAGCAAGCATGTGAGCTGAGCAGTCTCCAGGGCACTAGGCGACAATACACTGCTACCCACAGTAGCATAACCAATGCCAGAGGCAGGCAGTGAGCACCACAGCCAAATGTGAATCTAGAAACTCAGGGCAGCTGCACACTGTGTGAGGACCAGTGGTGGCATGCTCCAGACCCAAGAGTGAGTGCCAAGCTTTCCACCCCAAGGGAGGAGGAATTCTGGTCAAGGGCAGGCCTCACCAAGGAGCTAGCAAGTGGTAGGCCTACTAGTAAGATGAACCAAGAAGTTCAACCCTGCTCATGTGAGAGATGTTTTGAGGTGGTTCTGCCTTTGGCCTTTCTCTCGGGATTGGATTGCTACAGTTCTTGGAACTGGTTTATTGCTACAGGAACCAGCCCTCTCTGCAAGGCCCAGTAAGAATACAGTGTAGTGCAAAAAGAGCCCCTTGAGGCCTATATCTGATCTATGCTGAAGGTGTCTACATGGGGATCTGTGGCCAAAGCTCCAGCTAGTCACAGACAACATTCATTTATTTAGTTAGAGTTGTGCCTGGAACCTCATTCTCAGAGTTTGGTAGGTGTCAGAGGAAGCCACTGGTCAAAAATTCAGAGATGTGGAATCACGGCCCAATCTCTTACCCCAAAGATAAGCCCAACAGCAACCCTCTCCTTGATTTCTAGCAGCTCTCCAGTCTGATAATCCTACCTACACAAACTGCATGGCAGCCACATCCTCACTTCCTATCCCTAATCCTTGCCCTCTTCTCCAAAGTACCACATGGCTGTTACTACCAAGCTGATGGTCTGAGACAGCCTAGAGCACAAAGCCATTCAAGCAACAGCATGGAAGGGACAGACACCGCCAACCTCAGCAAAATGGCCATTCTGTGACCATAAGGTCAAATATCAAAAGGAACTCACAACCCCTAGAACCATAAATCAATGGTAAGGGTAAAATTTGTTGAAAGAGGAGGGCCCAGGGGCCTGGAATGAATGCTGATCAACACCTGGGAGGGAAAGCGTCACACACTACCAGCCAGTGATCCTTACCCGCCAAGTCCGACCTCCGAAGAAGTCTGACAGGCACATACGAAAACCAGGCCTAAATTCAGTGAAATGGCCAAATCCATTCATTGGGATGGTATACATGACACCAATCCCAAATCATTTCATCTTGAGAATCACAGTAGGACTCTATTTCTACAAATATCACTAGGGAATGAGGACATTTTCTTATCAGGTAACTGAGGTTAGCAAGTGCATTACACTTGCAGGCACACCACGGTGGCAGCACAATAACCAATGCACAGGCTTTTCCTAACCAGGAGGCTGGGTCTGAGTCTTGGCAGGATTCAGAGTTGAAGGCACGGAGACAGTGCTTTGCACAGGACACAAACATTTCCACAGAAAGGAAATATGGAAAACAGATCATTACAATTAAAGTTTCCACTTTTCAATATAATGACTGCTAAACCATTTTTGAAGGGTAAATATGTTGCCCGCCCCCTAAAACAGGCAAAATGCATTTAATGTGTATCATCGAACATGTGCAAAGATTGCAGTAAATTGCTTCACAAACCCAAATTATTGCAATCAGCATCTTGTTTTCTAGTTCTAAATTCAAAGGCAAACTATTAACACACAAGACTGCTAACTCTTGCTATTATCACACTTGCTATTATCACACATCCTCCTTCTAACAAAACCACATTTCCAGATGGACTGCCAAAATTAGTCAAGTGACTCCTAAGAAACACTATCAAGACTGACATGCCAGAAATCCATTTAGAAATGAATGCTTTATTAAAATAAAGGACACACACACCCAAACACACCTTTCCTAGGGAAATTCAAGTTGCTTTCCTTACAATTGAACTTGAATTGAAGCTCAGGGAGGCCCCATTCGGAGGAAATGTTACCCAGTCAGCATGCTGATCAGTCCCGAGTCAAATGGGACAGACTTATGATTTGTGTGGGGGTTCTGGGGAGCTGGGCCTGACTGGGGAATCCTGATAACAAATTAGGCAAAGTATTTAAATTCAACCCAAATAAGGTACATATGATAGACAAATTCAGTCAAGAGGGTAGTGAGCCCTGTGATGACATCACTAGTTCCTCTTCTCTTCAGGATACTTTGTTTACTCTGCATTGGACACGAAGAAGACTACTTTTAAAAAACCTATGAATCTCCTGCAACACGTAACTCAAGGAGATTAGATTACTGAAGTGCATTCTGTTAGCAACCATTCCTGAAGAGTCTAATTATCAGAGCTGTCAGTTCCATGGGCCAGAACTAGCTTTGTTTGAATGTGGAAAACACAAGACAGCAATTTTCATATACGACTGAGGGAGCCACGGGCTCAAAACCCAAGTGGGCTCTGAGGCCAGAAAAGGAATCAGATCCTCTGTGCCAACAAAGGCTCACCCTGAGCAGATATGATTTAGAATTCCTCTTCCTCAAGGGAATGGCTAGCCTTTTCCAGGAGAAAAAATAATACCTTCTATCTGATGGCACCTTCTTGAACATACATACATGGAACACAGAAAAGTCACTTACCACTGGCCAGCTTTAAAGGAAAAGTCTTGATCAGCAACAAGCAAGCGGAGGCTCTTCACTGACGGTGACTCACTGGCAGCTCCACACACCTTAGCTGCTGACACAATCTAAAACCAAAAGATGAACTGTGGCTGAGGTTAGTGCGTACACAGCACAAGGGACAAATGGTGGCATCCTGAGAACTAAGGTTTTTGAAACCTACAAAGATGTGGTTTTTGAAAATTGCCAAACAAGGTAAAACACACTTTGCTTTAGTTCAGCCTACCACCATGTGAATACATTTTAATTAACTTTTTTTTGAGAGACTTGCTATCATACTAATTTAATTTTATCCTACATTCAAAAATCATCTATTCAAGGGATCTTTTAACCGGCATTTATCTGATGAGTATCCACAATGTGCTGTGCACTGGGCTAGGCACTCTGGGAAGAGCTCAGGGAATTGGAACTCTGTAAACAAGCCAGGGTCTTATCAAGGAGCTGCCGTTAAATTCTCCATCAGCACTGGGCAAAGTGAGGCCCACTCTTGCTTCTGGGGGTGTAAGGAGCCCACAAAGAGCTAATTTCAGAAATCAAAAGCAGGCACTTAGAAACTTTTAACAATTTCACAGAACAATCTTGTGCCTATTGAGTCTAGTAACAGAAAACAAAATGGGTTTGCATTCTTCATGTCTTTGTTTTTAATTAATTTTCAAATTCATTTTTTATCACACGATATTTTATAAAATGGAAACAGATCACAATCTTAACAATAAAAAGAGCCCTTCCCTACAGATAATTTGAGAAGCACTATTTTTACATGATGTATCTGATTTCTGGAAAGCCTTGAATAGGTTTGACTCGGGAGCTATGCAGGTATGTGCCATTCATGGCTCAACACCCCTCAAATTCAAAAGGTATCTATTTCCTTTATTCTTTCATCTGCTTTGTGTTTCTTTGTCCTGTAAGCCTGGGACATCTTCACAAGCAAAGAAAAAAGACAACATGACTCTTTCCTTCCTCAACCTTCTATGTCTGTTCATCTTTACTTGTGGCAGCAAATCAGCAACTAACCAAAATATAGCCCTCTCCTTGGAAAGTGTGACCTTCACAGCTCCACCAAAGGGTGCTTTGGAAATCTGTCAAGGTCAATGAACGTCCCATCCTAATGCTAGCTCATGCAGGCCCTCTACTCCAATAGGACTACTAAATCTCATCAAACTATTAGTGGAGACCATTTTCAAAAATCCACTGGATAATTCTCATGATGGATGGTGGTCTCTCTCACCACCTCAAAGTATCTTCTAGTATTATCTACCTTTCTCTCCCTCCTGCAAAATACCTAACCTTTCTTTCTCCATATTTTTGTCAACCCTCTCTTGCTCCTCTCCTAAAAATCAACTGGGGTAATTTTCCATTACTGACCCTCTACCTGCACTCTTGGTCCTAGTCCTGCCTACTCTCTCAGAAACACTGCTCCATCAGCAACCACCAGCCCTTTCCTTCATGTTCAATTTTCCTCCCTTTAGTACATTCCTGTTTCATCAAAGATTACATCTAATGCCATTTGCAATTCAAAGCAATTCAG
This sequence comes from Homo sapiens, assembly GCF_000001405.40. Classification (NCBI taxonomy): domain Eukaryota; kingdom Metazoa; phylum Chordata; class Mammalia; order Primates; family Hominidae; genus Homo; species Homo sapiens. Next base: position 16,284,881 of record NC_000003.12, on the reverse strand, counting down.
CAACAAAATAAAGTAAGCAGCAGAATATGGCTGTTAACAGCATGGGCTCTGCAGCTGGACTGCCTGGTATTTAGTCCTGGCTCTACCGCTTACCAGCTGTGTGACTCTGGGCAAGTTACCTAGCCCTCCTCAGCTATAAAATGAGAATAATACCACCTATACCTCATAGGGTTGCTGGGAGGATTAAATGAGATAATACTGACAAAAGTACTTACAATGCTGCTGGCCCACAGAACTCATTAATGTTGGTTATAATGTACAGTCATGTGCTGTGCAACGACATTTTGGTCAACGACAAAGCACATATACAAGGTGATCCCATAATACCAGATTTTTACTATTTTTCTATGTTTAGACACACAAATATTGTGTTACAAACGCCTGAAATATTCAGTACAGTAACATGCATATAGGTTTGTCCTCTAGGAACAATAGGCTATACCATTTAGCCTAAGTGTGTAGTAGGCTATCCCCTCCAGGTTTGTTTAAGTACACTCTATGTCTGCACAATGACAATCAGCTAATGACACATTTATCAAAACATCCCCGTCAGCAGGCAACACATGACTGTATTTCATTGTCTTAATTAAAATTAATTAGCATTTGTTTACATTATATATTACATTTTATTCATTTATAACTATATATGCCACCATACCAATGCTTTTGCACCAGGGCCTTAAAGACTGAGCACTGAACATCTCAGAGACTGCTCACATGGACAACAAGAAACTGCAGTGTGGTGGGCTTGTACATGTTTTTACCAGTGCAAACGTAAAAGCCATACTGTCTTGAATATATTTTAGAAATCTTGCCTTTCGTCTCTTCCTCTACTGAGACAATCAGCTCTTCTATAGCCCACAGAATCTTCCCTTTTTCCTTGATGCTCACCTTAACCACAGGTAACCTAGCTTCGGTGTTCTTGCAACTTCTCCTTTGACGGTTGGGGTCTTTCTGAACAACCAAACTCAATGTCCAGTCTCAGTTCTCACCCTCCCTGACCTCTCTGAATTTGGTATTTTCCACACTGATGCATTCTCCTTGTCTGGAACAGCCATATTGAACTTCTCAGGTCCCCTCCTGTTATCACTGACCTAGTCTTTCTCCTTTACCATTCCTTCTCTCACTTCTTCTGTAGGAGCTTTCCCTAAACTGCCTTGCTCCTACTGCCTCTACCACTCCAGGTTGAGGCCCTCAAGGACTCACAGACTACTACTCTCCTCCCACCTTCTGCTGACAACTCATCATTACTTTTCTGCCAATCACAAACTGACATCAACACTCCCCATAAGTAACAGCAGCCAATGCCTGAGGAGCATTTATCCCAGGTATATACCAGATGCTAGGTTAAATATTTTATGTGCATTCATTCATTCAGTTGATATGAATAATCATATTATATCCCAAGAGACAGTGTTGTTATCCTACATCTTGCAGATGAGGAAACTGAAAGATTCAGTAACTTGCTCAAGATCACCTAGCTAGGAATTGCGGATTCAAATCCAGGTTAGCTTGACCCTCCCTAAATCATCTGATGGTTCTGCTCCAGTGGTAAACGCACTTATGCCATACAACGAAATCCACCAAAGTCATTCCTTCCACGAACACTTATTGAGCATGGTGCCTGAAACTGGGGAACAGGGTATGCAGAGATAGAGAAGACTGCACCTGCCCTCACAGAGCCTTGCAAAATCAGCTTATTTCCATTACCAGATATTCAATTATGGATGCATCTTGGACTCAACACAGTCAATTACATTTTCAGTTGATATTCAAACACACATAAACTTTGACTCTTTCTGGTATACTGTCCCTAACACAGCCAAATTCCATAAATTTGGCTCATGTTTTTTCTTTCCCTTGCCTACTTGCCATCACCCTAAGCTGAGAATTTCTTTCTTCTCACTTGAACTACTACCTTGGTCTCCTTCTTGTGTCTCTCAAAGCAGCCAACAGGCAAATATTCCTAATGTTCCAACCTCACTGAGTTACTCTCCAGCTTAAAAACCTTAAACGGCTCTCTACTACTCAATCACCGAAAAAAAAAAAAAAAAAAAAAAAGCTGAAAGTCCCGTTTAACTCATACGAACTTGGGACTCCTCCTGGATCACTGTGCTTGTGGTTTTTTGGCCAAACTGGACAACCTGCTGGTCCTCAAAGGTACCTAACACCTGCCCTTCCCCAAAACCCTACCTAGGTCATTCAGCATGTGCCAAGCTCTCTCAGTTCTACCAACCTTCTGCTCACCCTTCTAGGCCCTGCTCAAGTAACACCCCCTGCCTGAGGTCCTCCCTCTTCTCTTCATACTCTCAACTCTACCAATATAATGTTTTTGCCTTTCTGACCATATTCAGCATGTATAAGTCAACTCCCTAGATGAAGCACAGGGCCCAACACACAGTAAGGCTCAGTAAGTATTTGCAGAATGAATAAAAACTTGAACTTTAAGTCACTTAAAATGGTTTTTCAGAACAAAGATTGGTAGAAATGCAGGAGCACTTTTTTTTTTTTTTTAAGCTGGGTGGATAGGGGAAGAGAACACTACAGAAAATCCAGATTCATGTTTAAAAGTATGGGAGAGTTCAGGGAGAGCAGACATTTATTTAGTAGAACTGGTATTTTCCTTTGTTTGCCACACATTCTTTTTTAAGTATCTTATTACAAAGACAAGTAATGAGAATCATCAGAGGTCTCTATTACTTCATTATTCCCCTTTTCTTACATTTACAGAAGTATTTTGGGAGACCAAGGCAGGCAGATAGCTTGAGCCCAGGAGTTTGAGACCAGCCTGGGCAACGTGGCAAAACCCCACATCTCTACAAAAAAAAAAAAAAAAAAAAAAAATTACAAACATTAGCTAGGCATGGTGGCACACTTGTAGTCCCAGCTACTCGGAAGGCTGAGGTGGGAGGATCACTTGAGCCTGGAGGTCAAGACTGCAGTGAGCCAAGTGAGACCCTGTCTCAAAAAAAAAAAAAAAAAAAAAGAAATGTTATTTTATAAACATTCATTTTTTTCTTTCGATATAATAATCTGTTAAAATACAGCCTCGAGGTAGATTATTTCATTTCTGACAGCTTAACTGGCATGTGTTGAATTCCTTAACAAAACTAGATAGGGAAAAGAATTTCAGCTGAGACACCTGAGAATGCGTCACGATCAAGTGCTAGGCTATGTGAAATGGAAGCATTAGTCATTTTCCAATGTCCAAATGTAAAATTCAATGAGGAAGGAAACAAGCTATACTTTCTATTAAGCCATATTTTCATTTGGATGCTGTCTATGACCAATTATTGGTATGACAGGCTGAGTATCCCTTACCTGAAATGCTTGGACCGGAAGTGTTTAGGATTTCAATTTTTTTTCAATTTTGGAATATTTGCATTATACTTATAGGTTGAACATCTCTCATGTGAAAATCTGAAATCCAAAAGGCTCCAATGAGCATTTCCTTTGAGTGTCACGTCAGTACTCAAAACGTTTTGGATTTTGGAGCATTTCAGATTTCAGATTTTTGCATTAGAGATACTCAACCTGAAATACAAACAGTAATGTACCTACTGCTATTTATCCTAACAAACTGGACAAAATTGTTTTATCTATATCTGGAACATAAAATACCCTGCACAATTCATTATTTTTAAAGACATGCTTCCCTGTTACTATTTTATTTTGCTTAACACAAATGCTGTATACTATATAGATTTCTAGCAATGTGGATTAAAAACATCAACGAAATCTTTTTGAAGACCACATATTTATTTTACTCCAAAAGCTAGTTCATATAATTAGGACCTGTAATTGTGGCCCCTGTTATATGCTATTCTTTTGTTGGATAGGCAAAACATAGTGGAGAAACTATTTATTTTATCATTTGTATTGGCTCTTATACTTAATGGATCGAAAGATTCACAACTGAAACCTCAACTATCCATGTCCTAAGTTAAAACACATGGCAGGAAATGAAGTTTTCCATAAAACAACATTTATGCTTTTCCAGTGTTCAGTAAAATAACAACACATTTGCCAACTTTACCAGTACACATGTTTAATGCTGAGGCAGAGTCAGCATCTAAAAGGAAATTCCATCACACTTGTTTAAAAAGCTGGTTTTATGTAGGATATTTTGATGTTACCGCTGGTGCAAAAGTCTCTGTACAGGAAATAGGTATTTCTTTGGAAACCTGGCTAGCTTTCCCTGTTCACTCCTGTTCATTCATTTTCTGGCTTAAAAATTTAGGCAAAGCCATGACTAGAGATGACCTAAAACAAAAATGTAGGTATGGTTCAGAGAATTTCAGAATTGAAGGAAACTTTAGTCATTATCAAGAATCATATGCCATTTTACACACAAAGACACCGAGACCCAGAGACATTATTTAAATGGTAGCAGAGTATCAATCTGATGTGTAGGAATCTGACTAGAAGCAGATTTTACTCAAGTGATTTACTAACAAAGGTAGACACAAAATTCTCCGTCAACCACACAATTTAACTTCTTAAATGGCTTATGCTGGTTAACACTATGCCCTAGAATGACAAGTAAACTCACTTTACTCCTACCAAAGGCTAACCTGTCCACCTGGGCTGGTCTCCTCTCCGTCTTCTCAAGCCTTCCCTCCAGCAACTATCCTCTCTCCTGCATCACACCCTCTCTACCCTCCCCATCAGAACACACGAGCTCTAGGATCTCCCACCTCATGTAACATGTAACAACAACAACAGCAGCAAACACTTATAGACATCCTTACCATATGTCAGGCACTTTACATACATTGATTCACTCAGTCTTCACAACTCTAGAAAGCCAATATTATTATATCCCCATTTTACATATGAGAAAACTGAGGTCCCAGAGCCAGTAAGGGGCAAAGCAGATTTAAAACCAGGCACTTGTGGTCTTTGCTGCTTTTCAAAATACAACAAACAAAACAAGCTTCTCCTTTAATCCAGCTTTCACCCCATTTCTCTGCTCCCATTCATATTACAACATTTCAAGAGTTACATATGGTCCTGTCTCCACTTTCTCATCTCCCATTCTCTCCTCAACACAATCTGATCAGGCTTTCACCCTCAGTAATGTACTAAAGCCAGTCATTCTGGTCACCCACTATCCACTTTGGTAAATCCAGTGATGACCTCTCAGCAGAATTCAGCACAGTTGGCTCCTCTCTCTTTCTTGAAATACTTTTCCCCCTGGCTCCAAGAACACTCTGCTGATCTCCTTCCTATCTGGCTGGCCACTCCTTCTCCATCTCCTTTGCTGGCTCTTGCTCTTCTGCTTGGCCTCTAACTGTTGACACATTCCTGGGCTGAGTCCTGAGTCCTCTTCCCTTACTCTCTACGTGGCCTCAACTTTTCATCTCTAGCAGTTAAACTCTCATCTCACATGTCCAACAGCCTGTTTAATTTCCATTTCAAATTTAACACAGCCAACAGGGAACTCTTTTTTTCTCCGGCACTGTGCTAGATACTATGATTACAGAGCTGCTAAACTGGGCCTTTCCCCAAGGAGCCTCCCTTTCTTTGTAGCCTTCAACTCACAGAAGAGTTAGTTACACACCCCTAGGGGCCAGAGGCCAGCTGCCAGGGCCATCAGACTATACTTCCTTGGGAGTTTTTCTAAGAGCTGCAGTCCAGCCCCCCAGATCCCCTACAACTACCTCCAGGCAGTGAGTGCCTGAGGTTTCTCTCCACCTGCTCTGCTTTGTCACTGCTGACAGTGTGAAGCCAGGAGCGTCAAGCACTGCTCATCCCAGGCTGGATCATCTCTAAAAGGTTCTTTGACCATCAAGCTCTAATAACCAAAGCAAGTTACAGGAATAACTGTTGAGAAACAGTGCATGTTGAAAAGATGCCCCCTACCTCAAATTGAAGTGACCACTCTACCACAATCTCCTTGACATGCATAGGTGATGACCAGTAGAGAATTGTAAAAGTTAGCCTTGGGACATAGTCCACTCTGCAGCTAAGCAGACCATCCCATTCAAACCCAAGCCTCATCAAGATCACAAGCGGATTATAAGCATTGGAAAATCAGCACCTGGAACTGTAGGATCCCCAAAGGCATCTGCCCCAGGGGCCCAGCCATTTATTAACTAACCACTCTGCCATCAGTATCTCCCCCGTTTCTCATGCCTAGTAACACATTGCTCAATTAAGCCTTGTCCGTCTAAACAGAGTGTCATATTCTGCTGTAACATAAAGGAAAGCTGATTTTATTATCAAAGATCTGAGTTCAAGGACTGAGTCCTTGTCCCTTGAACAAGTCCTTTAAACTTAGGACAACAATATAATTTATCATTCAAGACAGAATAATTTTGAGAGTGAAAGTGAGTGCTATTACACCAGGAACGAGAGGCATAAACCAGGACTATTTCAGGCAAATGAGGAAGCAGGGTCATCCTACCTAAATCTTTGATTCTTAATCCCCTCATCTGTGAAATAGAAATTAAAATCCCTACATGTCCCTCCCAGAATGGTTGTGAGAATCAAGTACCAATCTGTTGTATAATCTGGTGCTTTGTAAACAAAAAGGCAACATACACATAAGATACTGTAGGAAAAGACACAGGCTTCTAAAAGCAAACTAGTACAATAGAAAAAGAATTAGAAAGATTTCCAAAATCAATTAGGTGCATAAAGTCTTCTGATCAGAGTCCCATTAAAATCTGAGGATAGGAGCTTATCTATCATTTTCAATGCTGTAACCCCAGGATCTGGCCCAGGGTCTGGCACATTTCCAAATGAACAAATGAATGCATATGAATTAGTAATTTAAGAAATTCTTTCACTGCCAAACTCTCCCAACAAACTGATGAACAGAGCATATATTGCTCAGTAGGCCAACAGTCTGTAGAGGCCAAGCACGGAATGACCCCCTCCAGTAAAATTTGTCTTGCCTGAACAATCTTTACTGCATTACAGTATTTCTATCTTTATCTCCTTGACATTTCTAGGGTTACTCAGACTGCTTATTCTTTTGATTCTTAAGAATAAAATGAATAAAACTTGAACACAAACATTCCAATGTAATTCAATTCAGAGTTCAGTTTCCTCCATCAGCACAATCTCAGACTACTTACAGTTACAGTCCCAAGTAAGAAGCATAAACATCATAAATGGTCATTCAGTAAACTTTCCAGAGGAAATACATGCCCAAAACCAAAAGAACATTTCTGGGTGAGTATTCCATTTCCTGTCGACTCCAAGAGTAGCAACACAGTCCTTTAGCTAGGAATTCTGAGCTGGAGCTTCCTTTCGTCACTGAGAGACATGTCCTAGGCCCTGCTTCCTCTTTGTAAAATCCAGATGGCATCGTATCCTTAGGCTACCTCATGGACTTGAACTGAAGAGCAAATAACATGTGTAAAGTATACTCACTATACAAATTAAAGGCAAGAATGGAAGACGAGACTATAAGAAGCTGATCCAGTTCTGTTATGGCCAAACCTGAGGTGCCATTCATTTCAACGAGTCCAGGGTCCAGCCCCTACTCTATGGCTAGGAGCACCCTCTGGAGATTGGGGCAAGTTCCTAATGACCATATACTGCTGAGAAAGCCAGATACCATCTAGCTTTCTCCAGTTCCTCCCAACTCTTCGCAGTTCTCATTCTGTATGGGAGAAGAGGGGAAATTAGAAACAGAAGAGGAGGGCCAGGAGCTGTGGCTCATGCCTGTAATCCCAGCACTTTGGGAGGCCGAGGAGGGCAGATCATGAGGTCAGGAGTTCAAGACAAGCCTGGCCAACACAGTGAAACCCCGTCTCTACTAAAAATACAAAAAAAAGTTAGCCGGGCATGGTGGCAGGCGCCTGTAATCCCAGCTACTGGGGAGGCTGAGGCAGGAGAGTCACTTGAACCCGGGAGGCAGAGGTTGCAGTGAGCCAAGATCGCACCATTGCGCTTTTAGCCTGTGCAACAAGAAAGAGACTCTGTCTCAAAAAAAAAAAAAAAGAAAGAAAGAAAAAGAAACAGAAGAGGAGAAGAGATGCAACTAAAAATTTCCTGAAAGGTAGTACCATGATTGGATTTTCCTGTAATTTTCTGACTTGTGGGCACTAAAATTCTCAAGAGTTTGCATTAACTTTCTTTGTAGTTTACCTAAATTTGGCTCAAAATAACCCCCAAAAGTCCCAATAATTTTGTCCTATAAAATTCTGAAATGGAAGAAGGGCCGCCTTGCACCTTTTGCTGGCCCCGGGTCTCCCAGGACCTCATACAAGTGAAACTCAGCTATACAGGACAGCGATTTACTCTACAAATCGCCAGGAACAAAAAAAACAAAGACCAGAAGCTGAGTTTTTACCCATTTCCTCTAAATGACAAAGAAACACTTGAAAAGTGGTAAAAAAAAAAAAAAAAAATAGCAAGATTGATGGGTTTCTAGTAAATACCAGTTACTATGTAGTGACCATTTCACTCCTGACTCTCTTGACATCAGACGGGGGATTTGATATTTAAAACAAAGTACAGTTCCAACAACTTTTTCCTCTGCCTGAAGACAATCAAGTAAAAGATCCTTCTTAAAAAAAAAAAAAATTCACAGAAGAAACAATTGGAAGATGAGAAAAAAGTATGCCTAAAAGCCAAATCAGAAAAATCACTTGTATTAAATGAGGCAAAGAAAAATATAGTTAACACAGATGTGCTCCCTGAACACGCAATTACTTGATTCATCTGCCTTGGTGAAGCCACTGGCTTCTAAAACCAAGAAGTATACAAAATACTTGTTAACTCTTTTCTTTTTGAGACAGAGTCTTACTCTGTTGCCCAGGCTAGAGTGCAGTAGCGCAATCTTGGCTCACTGCAACCTCTGCCTCCCAGGTTCAAGTCAAAATACATGTTAACTCTTAAACTAGTTAAACAAGATTAACTAGGAAACCAGAATCTACGTTGGAAACATCAGTTAACTAAAATATGGATATAGGTGCTTTTCACACATCTTTTGAGTATCTAAATTTTACAACTATTACTTTGATAATTTCAAATTCAGAAGGTATTCAACAGTCTTTGGAAACCCAAGAAGTGCTTGAAATAACTACCAATCATCTTGCTAATCCAAATTTTACAAATATTCCATGAAAATCAGGTCAGCACAGGATAATTCATTCTTATTTAGCACAATTAATCAAACAGTTGAAGAATTAAACACAAATAAATAATCTATTATTGCCATTTTTCTAAACCCGTAGTTAATTCTTTTATATCTGCCCAAAAAGAAACCAGGGAAATGGAAGACATAGACATTGAAGACTCCTTACATAAGGATGTAAACTATGGAAGATTCTTTTCTTTTCTTTTCTTTTTTAAAGAGACAGGGTCTTGCTCTGCCACACAGGCTGGAGTGCAGTGGCACCATAATAGCTTACGTTAGTAACCTTGAACTCCTGGGTTCAAGTGATCCTCCTGCCTCAGCCTCCTGAGTAGCCAGGACTACAAGCACACCGCCATGTCCAGCTAATTTTAACTTTTTGCAGAGACTGGGTCTTGCTATGTTGCCCAAGCTGGTCTTAAACTCCTGGTCTCAAGTGATCCTCCTGTTTCAGCCTCCCAAAGTGCTGGGATTACAGACACGAGCCACTGCGCTTGACCACAAATTGAACATTCTTACTGCAGACAAGACACAACTAAAGAACATTTTTGGCAGAAAGTCTGTAAGCTACATTCTAAGATAACTCTTCCTGACCTACAAACAACAAACTATAGGTAGACTGAAGTCTTTGGAAGTTCTTATAAGACAGCCAAAGCAGGAAAACTGGCTATCTGAAGAAAATGTCAGATGATAAAAAACTGTTTTACAACAGGGGATGTCACTATGATACAGAGTAAAAAGGCTTTAAAGCTATGACTGTTTTATAAGCTTTCTCCAGCCAAATCAAACTTTATGTAAAGGGAACTTTTTCCTGTATAAAGTTCTGATCTTAAGGAACTATGAGAGTGCTCTAATGTTATCAACTGTATCCTGTTCTTAAAATGCTCATTTTTAGAAAAACTAGAGAGTTGTGCTGAAGAGAAAAAGTTTTATTAGTTGATAATTTTCCAAATTAAAGTTAAAATTCGGTGAATAAATGGTACGATTCGGTCATAACATGAAAGAACAAGGGCATGTTCAAAAGAACCTGAAACAGACGTCAGGTTCAGCAATCAGTCCTGGTTTCACCACTGGCATATATGGCTTGGGCAAGTTACTTATCAAGACTGAAGCTCAGTCCCTAATCTATAAAATATTTACTAGATCTCTAATAGTCTGTTTCTTTATAGTTCTTTCCCTTTTTCTTAAGATAATTTTGTTAGAACAGGTTTTCCCTAAGATTAGACATACTTTCATAATACTAGAAGTTGGCTAGAATTTGACATTAACTATTGCATTATCCTCAGTATTTACTGAATTCTGTGTTGCCTGACCTTTTGGCTATAGTTATGTATCTGTTACATAAAGGAAAATACACCTTTTATAATTTTATTCCAGTGGAACCAAACTAAGGAACTGCCCCTTAGCCGAGTTCTCAGGTGAGGTACTTCAAACTTGAAAGAATATGTATATCAGTACTTTATATGTCACTAACCATCATAATACATAGTCATTTAAGCTTAACATACTGTAGTTATAGTTATATTTATAAACCAAAAATTTTAATGAGGTTAATTTTAAATATATTTAAGTATATTTTAGAAATCATAGTTGATATCTTTTGTTTTTTTTTTTTTTTTTAGTGATAGTACAGTGATTTATTGGAAGGGGGAAAGCACACACCCAACAAAAGGGAGTGTGAGCGTACTCAGAGAGAGACGTGCCATTAGCATCTATTTCTTAATAGGTGTAACCTTTAAAGTATGTGCCTGCCTCATTTGTAAACCACAGAATACTGAATACTGTACATTCCCACTTATGTATATTTTATTAAAATTAATAAGCAAGAAATTATAGATAAGTGGTGATAACCTTAGGGAGATAAAGGTCTTTTATTAGGAAACAGAAATGATGGTGATATAAATAAAAATACTGTTTATATCCACACAAATTTGAAAAATGTAAAAGACTTTGTGGTAACAATAAAAATGTGAGAAATAGATATGTTTCCTTAGAATTGGCAGTCAACATAATTAAGTATGTTAATGCCTATGATGGATGCTGTGCAAGTTCCTATTAGTCCGATTCTTAGTCTTTTCATCTGTTAAAAAGAAAATACTGGCCAGGTGTGGTGGCTCATGCCTGTAATCCCAGCACTTTGGGAGGCCAAAGAGAAGGGATCACTTGAGGCCAGGAGTTCAAGACCAGCCTGGGCAACACAGCAAGACCATCTTTACAAAAAATTAAAAATTAGCTGAGCACAATAGTGTGCCTGTAGTCCTCGCTAATCAGGAGGCTTAGGCAGGAGGATCAGTCGAGCTTGGGAGACAGAAGCTGCTGTGAGCCATGACTGTACCCCTGTACCCACTGCACTCCAGCCTGGGTGACAGAGCAAGACTCTGTCTCAAAAAAAAAAAAAAAAAACAAGAAAATACTATTAACTATCTATCTATCTTACCTGTCTTAAAATATTATTATGTATCTTACGGCATAGTTTTGAGAATTCTGTAAGGTAAGAAACAAGTTTTTGGTCCTGGAAAACAGGAGGTGCTCAGTAAATATCAGTTGACGCTAAACAGTAAATAATATACTAATTGTTTGTAAATGCTTGATGATTCTTTTTTGCTTATATTTCACTTAGTTTCTGCAGGCTATTAAAATTAATTGGTCTTGTAAAATAAAATTCTGAAATGAATACTCTAATTCAGGGACTAGCAAATTATTACCTGCAGGCCAAATCTGGGTGTTTGGTAAATGAAATTTGTATACATACTGTCTATGGCTCTTTTCACATTATAAAATCAAAGATTAGAAGTTGTAATTAAGACAGCACGGCCCAAAAAATCTAAAGTATTTACTATCTGGCCTTCTAGGGAAAGATTTTCAACCTCTGCTCTAATTCTACCAGCCTCAAAATACAACAGGAAAGAGCCTGTAAGATAAATCACTTTTTTTTTTCATAATTTGCAAGGCCTTCATTTTATAAAAAGAAATCCTAACAAGTCTCACATTTACAGAATCAGCATTTTTGGTCACTTGAACAAACCAAAAAAAAAGTATTTTCAGATTTATTATTGGAAAAAGTGTACTTCCCCACAAGCTCCTAAATCTACTATGCTAAACTAATTTTACAGACTTCTCAAAAAAAAAAAAAAAAAAAAGAACTTTAAGCTGAATCAACAAACACATTACCCTTAGTCCCAAAGTAACTTTCTGAAAGAAGTTAGCCTTAAAAGTAGGGCCTAAACAATATGCCTTTACATTAAAGTGTATCCTTCTATTAATAGATAAATTTAAATGAGACAATATAATTTCTGCCCATGTTTGTAGAAGTATATAATCCTTCTTTACATGAAATAGTTTTTTTATTGTTAGCTTACATATACTTATAACACTAAGCTAAATATATCTGAGTAAGTGATAAACATTCAAAAAAGCAAAATCAAATATCCGATTTATGTTTTTAAACAAAAATGGGGTTACTCACTGAGGTAAAGGGTGAGGATCCTTTATTTCTCAGCCCTTGACACCCCTTCAGGTGGTAGATTAGCTTTCTATAGTCTGAATATGGTGGAAAAAATCTGTACATTAGAAGGGTAACAAGAGCTCGTCCACTTTCCTTTCTCAGATGTTAGTGCTTTCTCCCTTGATGAAATAAGTTGCTCTAAAGCAGGAATGAGAACAAGAACTTTGAGATGTGACGCAAAAAAAAAAAAAAGACCCCACACAAAAAAACAGAGAAAGGTAAGCTATTCATAAAATGTAGGCTTTAAAGGAAGTTCTAGTGCTAAAACATAACCCTAAACATCATACCTGTGAGGATGGCTCCCTCAGTTGCTGCTCTACTTGCTTCATCAAAAGGTAATCCATTCATTCCAAGTTTAAAGGGAAAAATTTGAGTATCTGTCATCTTTTCAAATCAGATATCAAATGTCCTGCTCAGAAAATTTCTAAATAGAAAAATAACAAACTTCCCAACTCTCCTTCAAAAGGACCAGACTCATCTAATGCTTTACCCATAAGCCAGTCATAACCACATGTAAACGGTCTAGCTGGAAAAACCTGTCATACCCCAAAGATACAAACCTCCCGTCGAAGGACACTTGCAGTTCTCTCCATGTGATCAGTTTTCCTTTTGGATTTCATTATGCTTTAATAGAAAGTAAAATTAGGTTATTACATATTATCCTCATAAAAATAATAAAATTAGTTTTTCCTGAAATATCATGGTTATCCTAAATACAGTGTAACATTACAGATCCTATAAAATGGCCAGTGAGTATCTGCCCGTCTAACTAAAGTTTTGGCCGGGCATGGTGGCTCATGCCTGTAATCTCAGCACTTTGGGAGGCCGAGGCAGGCAGATCATCTGACGTCAGGAGTACGAGACCAGCCTGGCCAACATGGAGAAAGCCTTTCTCTACCAAAAATACAAAAATTAGCTAGGTGTGGTGGTGCACGCCTGTAATCCCAGCTACTCGGGAGGCTAAGACAGGAGAATCACTTGAATCCAGGAGGTGGAGGTTGCAGTGAGCTAAGATCGTGCCACTGCACTCCAGCCCAGGCGACGGAGCAAGACTCCATCTCAGACAAAAAAAACGGTTAACAACCTGACAGCATGCACATTGAAGCTAAGGTGTTACCTTTCCGGGAGTTTGATATGCCTCCCACAACCATCAGCAGGTCGGGTCTCTTTGAAAATTAACTTCAAATGACACAGAAGTCTTAATGACTCACCTGGTTAGAGTAAGGTGGCGCAAAGTGCTGAGTGTCAATCTCAGTGACGCAGCCTCAATACGGATGGCTCCAACAGAGCACCGCAACAACCCAGGAATCATAACAGCAGCACAGGCCATGGCGCTTTCTGGGCAAACAGAAAACTGAAATTTCAAATTGTTTTTTTAAAAGTGGGGAAATATCAGACTATTTTAGAGGGTCAGTGAGGAAGAGTGTGGATTTCTGTTGGTGCTATTATGAGTCAAGTTACCACCAAAGCAGCCAAGAGCCTAACTTCACCTTGACAAAATTTCTGCCACTATTTAGAGTTGACTCAAGGTATCTCCACAATTATGTATATAAGTATGTAATTTTTGGTATTATCAAATATTCATGTTCTCTATCACTTTCTAAAATCTCTGGCCAAGTTCACATGACTAATCTTATGCTATTATAGAAGAGGGGAGATTTTATAACTTCCTGATAATTGTATTCTACCTGAAGAGTACTGCATAAGTCTTTTATATTTCTTGTTAAGTGTAAGAGGAAGATAAATTTACAACGGTTCCCAAACAAGAAGCTTAAGGTTTCCAGATATTAAAAAACCAAAACAGAAAATAATAACACTATTCCTAATAGCCCAAACTGGAAACTATCCAAATGCCATTACTACAGGAGATAAGGTAACTGTGATACATTCACACAGTAAGATATACTACACAGCAATGAAAACAAACTGCAACTACATGCAGTAACACAGATGAATTACCACAAATAACATACTGAATGAAAGAAGCCAGACCCCAAAGAACAGATATTCTTTTATTCTAATCATATAAAGTATAAAAACAGAGAAAATGAATCCATGATGTCAGAAATCAAGTTAGCAATTTCCCTTGGGAGGTGGTAGTGACAATGTTGCTTCTTAATCTGGGTGCGGATTGCATGGGTATTTTCACTTTTTGTAAAAACTGATTAAGCTGTCCTCTTAGGATCTGTGTAGTTTTCTGTTTGTACTTGAACTTCAACAAAAAGTTAAACACACACACAGATTCTTCAACATTTCAAATTCTAAAAACTACCAGCCTGTCAAGAAAAGCACTGATTAGGAGTCAGATGATATTTCTTTTTGGTTCCTTTTCCATCATTTTCCTATGTCAATTTTTAAACATTTCTTTGTCTAAAATGGCCACATTTAACATGTTACATTGCTCTATTTGTCCATCTTAGTTACCTTGAGAATAAATGAAAATGCATGTGAATACTTTTTTTTCTGAGCTTTTTGGGAGGCAGTATATAAATTAATTGTGATAAATTGCTGTTAGCAAAATATTCAAGCTAAGTGTTTACATTCCTACTCCATATTCATTAATTTGGTCCTTCATTCAACGAGTATCTATCAAGAGTCCACTATGTGGCAGGCACTGGCCTAAGCAATGGTGCTTTAGGCATGAAGAAAACAAAAACTCTCTTAGAGAGCTTGCATTCCAATAGATGAAGACAGAAAATAAATAAAAATAAATAAATCTGATGGTGATATAAGTCATATGCAGTTTATTTGGTTATACCCAAATCATATTAAAAAGCTCACTGCTTCATAACTAGTCTTTAGATAAACGATATATTTCTTCTTGTCATAGTATGTTGCAGCATCATTGCGGATAAGCATGCTACTTGCTATTTTTCTCTTTACTAAATGAAAAAAGCAGAAGGCCTCTTCAACCTCATTCAAGACCACTAAACGTAGTTTTTCTCCATTAAATGTTCTAAGTCAATAATGTTACCTTAATCCCTGAAAGAAAGAAGTTGAAACTTACCTTAGAAGTCCACGAGATTTTAGGAGTCATTAAGTATATGGTCAGCTGATTGACAGAATATTTTGGTCCTGCTATTACACTGAGACTTTTGGATGTACAGCAGTTGGAACATGGACAGCTTTTCCATGCATTAAAATTCTCACAAAGTTCCTGCAATGGCACAAACAACATATAACAATGTTTTGGGGAACTGATCAAAAGCACTATTACCTCTTAGCTGCCAAAGGAAAGGCTCATTAAAATCAGTAGGCATCACCTCACAACAAGCCCACTCTCAATTACCCCCTCTCCATCCATTCTTTCCTCCATGCTTCCATTTTTCTTTTTTGATTATTTATCTTACAGCTTATTTTGTTCATCTTCCTTGCCTGTCTTTAACACCTGCTACTTAGGATATCCACCCCAGGAAACAGCAGACCAAAGGCTAGAATGACACAGTTACATGTCATTTAAGGCCAAGTTCCCTGATAAAATTTAACCACTATATTGTTAAATATGGAAATACTGTTCTGTTCAATGTTTTAGACAACTATTGCTAAAATAAGTTGTCCTCACAATAGGATACATCATTTAATGATTATGCTGTTTGAATGGTCCCCTTCTCAACTGAACTGGAAAACAAATGTTAATTTTAAAAGTAGTTCTTCCCGGGCACAGTGGCTCATATCTGTAATCCCAGCACTTTGGGAGGATGAGGTGGGTAGATCGCCTGAGGTCAGGAGTTTGAGACCAGCCTGGTCAACATGGTGAAACCCCATCTCTACTAAAAATACAAAAAATTAGCTAGGTGTGGTGTCGGGCGCCTATAATCCCAGTTACTAAGGAGGCTGAGGCAAGAGAATCGCTTGAACCTGGGAGGCGGAGGTTGCAGTGGGCCAAGATCATGCCATTACACTCCAGCCTGGGCAACAAGAGCGAAACTCAGTCTCAAAAAAAAAAAAAAAAAAAAAAAAAAAAAAAAAGGAGTTCTCTTTAAAATCCTAAGATTTTATTTTGTGAAAGTAACCATGACCAAGAGTGCCACCTACTGGTAAATAAAGGACATTTTTATAAAATTCTGTTTAAAGTGCTTTCCAAAGCTTTATGCCAGTCCTTTAAATAAAATATAAAAAATTTAAAACCTACTAATTTTTTGAAATATGTCCGGCGGTTCCATACTGTAAGCATTTAATCAACCACAGCAGATCAATATATATCAAGTTATTTCTAAAACCATATAAAGTAGACCATCCCATCAATGTCTGTATCCTCACAGGCCTTCCCTTACCAAAAAATCTTAATTAACTTTATTTCTGAAATGCAGAAAAGTATAATAAGTGCTAAATAAAACTGACACCCATTAAATATGTAGTAAAACAAACTTCTGAAAGCAACAGATTAAATTTAACATTTAAGATTAATTATATGGTTTCAGTTCAACAGGTATACTCAGTTCATTCAACAACTACAGGGGTGCCAGGCACTATTTTAGGCCTTGGAGATATAATAAAGAACCAGACGCAAGGCCCTTGCCATCATGAAGCTTTTATTACAGTTCCAGAGACAGATAGTAGTAAACAAATAACAAGATAATTATAGATTATGATGAGTATGATAAAGGGAGTAAGAGTGATGGGGTAGGTGGGGGAAATATCAAGAAAGACATCTCTCCAGTGATGACACCTTGGCTGAGATCTGAATGATGAGGAAAAGGCGGCCAAGCAAATGTTAAAGGCAGACAACTCTGGCAGAAGGACTAGCAAGAGCAAAGGTCCAACACAGAAATAAGCCCGGCATGTTAAAGGAACCAAGGCCAGTGTGACTGGAGAGCAGTAAGCTGGTAAGAGTGAAATGAGATGAAGTCCAGCAGTCTATAGTAAGGGTAAGAATTTTATCCTAAGGGTAATGGGAAGCAACTGAAAAGTCTGAATCAATCAGGAGAAGGACAAGACCTAATTTATATTTTTAAAGGACTGCTCAAGTTGCTGTGGGAAGGATAACAGAGGGAGAGGGGCAGGAGTGGAAGCAGGAAACCCAGTTAAAAGACTCTGGTCTAAGATTATAATAAGGTAACAGCTACAGAGATGGCAGAAGTAGATGAACATGACATATATTTTGGAATTAGAGCCCCAAAACTTGCTGATACATTAGGCAGGGTGTGAGAGGACACTGACAGAGAAAAGCCAAGAATGCCTCAATAAGCATAAATGCACTGAAATTAAGTAAGTTCAAAGAACAATCATGACATCTGTCAATTTAGAATCTTAGGTGTCACTGAGGAAGAAAAAGGGCTCCTCTTGCTCCAACAGGCAAAGACACCTTAGTGGTAAACAAGTAGTATACACAGAGTATTTGACCGGAAATCAGCGGAACTGGGCTCAGGTGTGACTCCTTCCTGCTTTCTAATCTTCAGCAAGTCTCCTCTTGCCATTTTAACATTACCCACGCCACCTCACTGGATTACTGAGAGGAATAAATAAAATGTCTACCAAAGTACCTGGCAAGCAACAGTGTTACTAAAATCAATCCTAATACATTGACCCCTTCTCTTCCTTGTCAAACAACCTAGAGAGGTGGAGGTTTGGTATTGCCAATAAACAACTCCTTCTGGCCTGATATACAACAGCACTCATCAAATATAGTTTGCATTATACAATTATGACCTACTTCTTTTTTTTTTTTTTTTTTTTTTTTGAGACAGCGTCTAGCTCTGTCGCCCAGGCTGGAGTGCAGTGGCGTGATCTCAGCTCACTGCAATCTCTGCCTTCCAGGTTCAAGAGATTCTCCTGCCTCAGCCTCCTGAGTGGCTGGGATTACAGGCACACCACCACACCTGGCTAATTTGTGTATTTTTTAGTAAAGACGGGGCTTCATCATGTTGGTCAGGCTGGTCTCGTATTCCTGACCTCGTGATCCGCCCTTTTAGGAATAAATGTAAAGTTTAGTAGTCATTGTAATGTTTTCTTCAAAAGTGCACAGGGATATATTATGTATATGTGTTACGTAAATGTAAACTAAATGTTATATATCATTGCTGAACCAAGTAAAGCTCATAATTTCCGTGCAAAAGTGGAACATTACATCTAAAAAGGATCTTATATCATCTCTACTCCAATCCTTTCTTAGAAGAGGAAATAAGGCCCAAAGAATGTAAATATCCAGTTGCCAGAGGTAATCAACAACTCAAGATTCCGATCCCAGATCTTCTCTCGAAAGTGCTTTTTCACTACAATGCATTTCTTCTCTACTAAGATATTAAAATGCCTAGTAATTAAGTAAGACCCAATGTAATCGGTTTTACCAAAACAGGCACTAGCACTGCTTTCAAGACAAAAATGCCTTTTATCTGCATTTCGCTTCAAGGCATACATAGGCCTCACACTGATAAACCTGCCTACTGACACCATTTCTTTCACAACGAAAAAACTGGTACTCACATAAGTAATTTGTTCCTGGGCTTTGGAGACAGACAAGCTCTTCATTATTTCCCAGGTGTATGATTTTAGTCAAGATGCCCAACTCTCTGTACCTCAGTTTAAAGATTAATAAAATGGAATAACATGTAAACTCCTAGAGTTGACAATTCCACTTAGTGCAATAGCTGGCACATAACTTCCCAATAATAAAAGGTGATGTTATTACTATTACTAAAAATCATCGTCGTTAATAATGTTATAAGCCTGGCAAACAGAAGACTAGAACTCAATCCCTGCCTTCCAGGGCTTGGTCCTTTCAGCAACACAATTTAGGGTATTTTAAGGCGTCTGGGGTGAGGAAGAAGCGGAATGTACCTGCAGCCAGGAATTAACAAGCTGACCGTCGCCCTGGGCTCAAGGTCACTCGGTGAAGCGAAATTCTACGGGAACTGTTCGTCCGTCACCAGGAAGGGAGGTCGAGGAGGCTAAGCTGCTCTCGCCTCCCCACCCCGCCTTTCCCGAGGGCCGGGAGGCTGCTACCTAGCACCTGCTGCAGCCTTCAGCGGGCTATTTAAGGCGTTAAAGCAGACGATAAGAAGCAGGGAAACTTTCCCCGCTGGCACCTAGCTTGCAGACCCGGCCACGTTTAGTTGCAGGCGCCTGGAATACTCCGCGGTCCCAGACGTGACGTAGCAGCGCGGGCGAGCCCCACATTCTATTGGTCGCTGCCGCCCAATAGGAGGAGCGGTGCGCGACCCCGCTGAGCAAGCTTTCAGTCTTCCCAGTGTCTCCGCCCCTAGTTCAGCCATCTCCATGGTGACCGCTACCGGTTATCCATTTGGCCGCGCAGGGCGGAGTTGCGTCATTGCCTATGCGCCGGAAGGGCTAGTCCTTGCCCGGCGCGACCTGATGATGCCGAGCCCAGGCCGGTTCCGGCGAAGTTAAACCCTCGGAGCTGGCCTCGGACTGCTGGGGCGTTACCCCTTCGGCCACCCCCGCTGACCATGGCAGTGTTTCATGACGAGGTGGAAATCGAGGACTTCCAATATGACGAGGACTCGGAGACGTATTTCTATCCCTGCCCATGTGGAGATAACTTCTCCATCACCAAGGTAACTTCAGGGTCCCGCCCGGCGGTTCACCCAAGCAAGCGCAGTTTGGTTCCGCCCGTTCCTTCCATCATTGGGTAGCCTTTGCTGCGCTGTGTCACCCACGCCCTCTTTCCCGTTGCTGAATCTTCCTCCTCCCGCGTCCCCCCACCCCAACTAATGCCCTGAGCTCTCTCGGTAGGCACGCAGTTCTGGCCTTAGATTAGGTCAGGGAGAGGGTGGCGGAGAGCCTCTGTCTCTCTGCCCGATCCCTGCCTTAGGGTCCCAACCTGGGATATTTCTGTCGAGGAGGGGACTCGTTTTTTGTTTCCCAGGGCTTTTGGGGCGACCGAAGCTCGCCTGACCTTCCTAGGTGTTTCCCCTAAGTGACGCTTCTAGGGGAAAATGATGTCGGCATTTCTCGCTGAAGGCCCTGGGGTTCTCACCCACCTTGGGGGGAAGGCAAGCCACCAAGAGACTTGCATCTAGGGGTGGGATAGGTTTGGGGGAGGAGATGGCGAAGAGAAGCTATCCTGACCACATGGTATTTGATTTCGTTGTAGGAAGATTTGGAGAATGGGGAAGACGTGGCAACGTGTCCTAGCTGCTCTCTCATTATAAAAGTGATTTATGACAAAGTAAGGGATATAATTTTAAAACGGGGGAAGGGTATTGTAAGTCAGTGGCAAGGACTTAGATCAGCTTGTCAGTGATGAGTGCAGGAGAATGTTTCATTGTGCTAGGTAAAGTGCGGTATTTTTTTAGGCAGGTTTTAAACACCATTGATAAACAGCCGAATAGTAAATTAAAACGTTTAAAGTTCAGATTACGTAATTTATTTTAGCTTTAGAGATAAATCTAGCTTTAGTGAAAATTATTATTTATTAAATAGAAAGTATATAGATTATTTTAGTGGACAATTTTTTATATTTCTCTTCTATTTAATATGTAATTAAAATTGTTTAGAGCTGCTAGACTTACTTTGAAGGGAACAATTGTATGGTATTTCGTGCTGGCTTATACACAGAATTCTGCATTATCTTGTTTGAGATATAATTCCTAGGTGCAGCTTTACAATTTCATTTTAGTCTTTAGTTGCCCTATTATCTTTCACCCAAGGATGTTGACAATAGAAAAAAAAAATGTTATTACTGCCCACTCCTACCCAAAGTTTTGTTCAGTACTTGGAATGGAATCTTAGGTAAGGACCTTAACACTCTCAAGGATGAAGTCCAAAATGAATATAGGGAAAGTGGGGATGAGGCACAGAGCCTCATGAGAGAAGCGGGCTATAATTTAGACTATAATTTAGAAATATAATGATTCATTCTTGTATTAAAATGTGCTCTGCAACAGAAAGCAAACGGTAAGGAAGATCAGGAGTGCTGGTCTGGGAGGAAGTTGCAGTTTTCCATAGGGTGATCATGGCAGGCCTTACTGAGAAAGGCCTTAATAGGTAAAGATTTGAAGGAGGTGAGGGAGTGAGCCATGTACATATGAGGGTATGAGGTAAGAGAGTCGAGCAAAGGATCGTTCAGTGAAGGGGACCTAAGACAGGAACATGCCTGATTTTATCAAGGAACAAAAAGGAGGCCAGTGTGACCAGAGCAGAGCAGGATGAGAGTAGCGTAAGAAGTTGTGGATCACTTTAAGGACTTAGGCTCTTGTTGTGAGTGATATAGGGAACCATTGGGGGATTTTTGAACATAGGAGTGCTATGATCCAACTTAAGTTTTTTAAAAAATGATTCTGGCTGCTGTGTTCAGAGTAGCCTATAGAGAGCAAGCATAGAAACAGGAAAACCAGTGTAATAGGAGGCTATTACACTAATTAAAGAAGGAGATGGGTGGCTTGGACCTGGTTACAGCAATGGAAATAATGAGAAGTACTTAGATTCTGGATACGCTTTGAATAACTGATTGGATATAGGGTGTGAAGGAGTGAGACAAGGATGATTTCAATATTTGTGACCTTAATAACTGGGAGGATGGAGTTACTGTCAATTGAGGGAATGTAACTATAGGTATAGGGGTTGAAATTGTACATACTAAGTGAGAGGTCTGTCATCCAAGTTGAGCTGTTGAGAAGGCAATTGGATATGCATGTCTGGCGTTCATGAGAGAGATTGGCTAGCAATGTCAATTTGGGAGTTATCAGTAACAGATAGCATTTAGAGCCATGAGATTGGATGAGACCACCAGGTCTGTGAATGTAGAGATGGATAAAATACAGGACTGAGCCTTAAGGCACTACAGTATTAAAAAGTCAGGGAGGGAAGCGAGGAATCACCAAAGCTGATGGTAAAGGAGAAACCACTGAGAAAGGAGGAAAATCAGCAGTGTCAAATCCTGGAAACCAGATGAGAAAGGATTGAGGAAGTGGTGATCCTTGTCACGTGACACTGATAGGAAGCAATCAAGAATTAACCATTAGCTTTAGCAACACTGAGTTCATCTGTGACGGAGATGAGAGCAGTTTCCATGGAGTAACAGGAACAGCGCATGAGTGAAGAAACCAATGGGCAGAATACTGGTTGGAGAGAATGAGAGAACAGAAGGCAGTGAGTATAGGCATTTCTTTTAAGGAGTTTGCTGCAAAGGAGAGCACAGACATGGGACAGTAACCAGTGGTGATAGAGGATCAAGAGAGGGTTTAAGGTGGTAGAAATTCAGCCTTCATTAGTGAATATAGACATGGAAAGTTAGATTTAACCAGGTTTAAGGTTTTCCCAAGTGAATAGTAAGGAGTGAGAGAAGAGTGGTTATAACTGACCATGGAGTTTGAACTAGGTAAAGAGAACATGAAGGGAGTGAGGGGCAGTGAAAGGGTGGTAGGATGAATATGGTGGAGGTCCAGAGGGGTTGGAATATGGCATCCAGGGTGGATAAATGACAGCAACAGAGAAGAATAGCAAGGCGGTAGTCTCAAGACATAAGATTCTAAACTGATGGGTTTTAGACAGGAAAGGAGAATGGAGGCAAAAAGGAGGAACTAGCCCCACTTCCAATCCCTCTGGTACTAGGACTCTGAGAACACAGAGCCTCCACTAGATGGGCTTGTAGGGGAAACTGTCCTTAAGAATATGACTTCATCTCAACCTCAGCCCTGTTGACATTTTAGGCCTGATAATTCTTTGTTGTTCAGAGATACCCCGTGCATTATAGGATGTCTAGCAGGATCCCTGGCCTCTACCTACTAGATGCCAATAGCAATCCTCAGTTGTTTCAATTCAAACTGTTTCCAGATATTACCAGTGCTCTTGGGGATAAAAGGACATTTTGAGAAAGAGGTTGAGAATATGAAGCATTGTGCTAACAATGGACCATGAATTCCAAAGGGCACAGTGAAAGGGTTCCACATATTGGGCAACAGAGTAGCAGGGACAGAGTAGGGGCTGATCCTTCGGGAATCAGATTGCTGGAGGTGAGGGATAACCTTGGAAGCAGAGATTTTTGGTGGTAGCTGACATAAGCCAGGATAAAAGACCAGAGATTGAACTTCATTTACAAAGTAGCTAACATAGCAGATTATCCATGTTGGGAACCACATAAAGACCTGTCCCTTTTAGTTAGAAGAAGTAATTACTTTGAAGAGGACTGGTATTTGAATGACCAAATATTAAAGTGGAGAAGTTTTAGTGTAAGTAGTAATTAATACAGAAATTTAAAATATGTGGCATGTCTTTATGTGATTTCTGAGAAGTGGTTGCTCTGAACTGAAGATAGGGATGTTTGTTTATAAGGTGCTTTGTATTAAATAATGAATTCAGATCAAAAAACTGATACATGTTTAAGATTCTACTTCTGGTGCTGTCATTGGCTCTTTGAACAAGGATGAAATGATAATAGCAAATGAAAAACAATTAACAGCGCTGGATTGATGCTGTAACAAAATGAAGGTTTAATATTAATGTATTTGTGACCGGAAATTCATTGGTTAATGTCATTTCTCACTCTGTCTTAGGATCAGTTTGTGTGTGGAGAAACAGTCCCAGCCCCTTCAGCCAACAAAGAATTAGTTAAATGCTGAAGAAGCCTTCAGGAATCCAAATCCTGAACATTTGGAATGAGCCCAGATAGAAATATCGAATGCAAAGCTACTGGCTTCACAGAGACAACCATTTATGATTTGCTGTTCTGTAAGAGTGTGGATTCTTTCTATCAACTGCTGATATCATCTTCAGGAAGCAAGTCCATAACATGACATATCTGGATTTTGTGCTTAGAACCTTAAATTGGAAGCATTCTTAATTATGCATCTAAATTTAAAAGAAGATAATTTCAAAACAGTGCTTTCTTTCCCTTGGTTTCATCATTTTCATATCTTAAACCAAATTACTTCGGTATCTGACAACAGCATCATCTACCTCAGTCATTAGGATTTCTTAATAAAAAAGAGATTGTATTTTTGACTTGGTTATTAAGATTATTAAAATTAGCCCTTCCTTTGAAATATGACATCAGCTTTGCTGTTCTAAATTTAAAATTAGTTGCTTCATCAGTACCACACTTCCAGTTTCTATACCAAGCCAGTCTCCTCAGTTTTCCCATTAGAATGGACATGTTCTGTTCAGCGTGTCATTTCTGTAATGCTTCATGCAGAGAGTTTGGTCATAGTATTAAAGAGAAAATACAGTGAGGTCACAATGTCTCCAGAGCTAAAAGTTAGTGAACAAGAAAGAAAGTCCAAAATGAAGTGATGAAAGAATGAGGACTTTTCTTATATTCTGCATATTCCTTGGAAGTCAGGACAAGATGAAAAGAAAAACATCCAAAAGAAGTGAAATTGGTGA